>NC_000007.14:20240242-21490242 GCF_000001405.40 Homo sapiens | reverse complement strand
TGGGAGACAAAGGAGGGAAAAAGATCTCTATGAAATGAACACATATGATACACTGTTATTCAAATTCAAGTTTTCACTTCATTTCTCAATTGCCTGCTATAGTTTGCTTTTCATTGTCCTCATTTAGATACTTAAGAAAACAAATAAGTAAACTTGTCCAGAGTTTTTAGTGTAGTCAATGGAACAGACAAGTTGTAGATAACTTGGTCCATTCTGGCCAACAGTGGACACAAAGGGCAACAGTTTTGATGTTTCACATACTAATTAAAACATTTATATAAGAAAATTCTGGGGCTGGGCACTGTGGCTCACACCTATAATCCCAGCACTTTGAGAGGCTGAGGTGGGAGGATCACTTGAGGATAGGAGTTTAACGCCAGCCTGGGGCTGGGCACAGTGGCTCACGCCTGTAATCCCAGCACTTTGGGAGGCCGAGGCGGGTGGATCCAAGGTCAGGAGATTGAGATCATCCTGGCTAACACAGTGAAACCCCATCTCTACTAAAAATACAAAAAATTAGCCGGGTGTGGTGGCGGGCGCCTGTAGTCCCAGCTACTCGGGAGGCTGAGGCAGGAGAATGGCATGAACCCAGGAGGCGGAGCTTGCAGTGAGCCAAGATCATGCCACTGCACTCCAGCCTGGGTGACAGAGCGAGACTCCATCTCAAAAAAAAAAAAAAAAAAAAAAAAGAAAAAAGAAAAAAAGACCAGCCTGGGCAACATAGCAAAAACCCACCTTTAAAAAAAAAAAAAAATTAGCTAGGTGTAGTGGTGTAGGCCTGCAAGTCCCAGCTACTCAGGCAGCTGAGGTGGGAGGACTGCTTGAGCCCAGGAGGTCAAGGCTGCCGTGAGCTATGATCACATCACTGCGTTCTGGCCTGGGTGACATGGTCTCAGCAACAACAACAACAACAAAATTCTGTGAGAAAACTTCAACGAAATTGATGGAGTTTTCTGTTTCATCTGTTTTGATCAAATATTCCTTATTTTGTTAAAAAAATTGAAGTTTCATTCCCAAATGAATTTTACAGAATCTGTTTCATTTCCACTTAAGCTTATAATTATTGATACAATTATAAATACATTTAACTTTATATAAAATTGTATCTTGGCTAAAACACTAAGTCGTCATATATTATAAAGAACCTATACTGCAGTTGCACAAGACTTTTTAGGGGCTCTTTTGAAAAGGATTTTTTCTTAGCTGGTGAAAAAGAATTTGAGATCTGGTTAAAGATCCCTATAACACTAGTTGCTAAAAATCATCCCTAGATTGCCTTACTTCTAAGTGGATTATGAATGGCAAATAAAACAGTCCAGTAAGTAGGCAAAGTATCTACAATAAAATATTCACAAAGTACACTATATTAACACATGTAACATAAAAGTGTGCATATCTATATGACATCGTTATTATAGACATTATCCATTTAGTTGTATCATTATAGTATTTCCAAGTTATCAGTATTTTTTTTTTAAGAGACGGGGTCTTGTTATATTGCCCAGGCTGGAGTGCAGTGGCTATTCACGGGATCATAGGCACTATAGCCTCGAACTCCTAGCACAAGCAGTTCTCCCGCCTCAGCCTCCTGAGTAGCTGGGACTATAGGTGTGCACTACTGCACCTGGCTAAATGTAACCCTTTAAAGTTTAAGAGAGCAGCATGATTACATGTGTTTGTTTATTCTCCCCACTGAGACACCCATTAAAATAATAGTAAAGGCATAAAAGGGTTAAATCTACAATAACAAAAAAAAAAAAAAAGGAAAGGAAGTCCATCAGCAAAACAATGATTATATCAAATGTCTGCAAACTAGAAAATAAATTGTCAAGGAAGAGAATATGTTCTAGAAGACAGTCAATGTCTTCTGCTGGGAGGGAGACATGGAACATAAAACAAAATTAAAGTCCATACATAGACTATAACTACTATCAAAAAATTGGGGCAAAATGTTAATATTAAAGATTTGTATCTTAAAAAAACATGGTTGCACAGCATATTATTGTATTTTGGTAATTAGGCATCTTCCAGTGTAACACAGTGTTCCACCCAGTTACCTAAAATAAAAGCCACTAGCTTGGCAGAGGCAGTGGCTCACACCTATAATCCCAACACTCCAGGAGGCTGAGGAGGATGGATTGCTTGAGCTCAGGAGTTCAACACCAGCCTGGGCAACACTGAGAAAAATCTGTCTCTGCAAAAAATAGAAAAATTAGCCAGGTGTGGTGGCATGCACCTGTGGTCCCAGCTACTCGGGAGGCTGAGGTGTGAGGATCACTTGAGCCTGGGAGGTGGAGGAGGTTGCAGTGAGCTGTGATCGTGCCAGTGAACTCCAGCCTGGTGACAGACAGAGACCCTGTCTCAAAAAAACCAAAACAAAACGCCACTAGCTCATAAAGTTTTCAAAATCTTTCACTTAAGATTTCATCAAATCACCACCATGACCACCACCACCACCACCACCACCACCACCACCACCATCATCATCATCATCATCATCAACTTGAACAAAAACAAAGAATCACTGGACAATTCAGGAACGCCTACAACACTGGAAAAAGATACAGACAAAAAAATCATCCTGGAGGAAACATAAAATTCTAGATTAAAAAACTGAGATAATTTCAGCAAGCACCTGCATCCATACAATGAGAACAAAATGCAGTAAAACAAAACAAAACCCACCAACAATGATGGAATACACTATTGGAAATTAAAATGCAATTCAATAGAAATATCTGAAAGTAAACTTAAAAAATTTCATGGAAAATAAAATGGTAATGAGACAAAAGATATAAGAGAAAAACTGTAAGACCAAAAAAAAAAAAAAAACCCTAGAGATTCCAAAATATGTCTACTAAGAGCCCAGAGAGACAGAGAGAGAGAGACAGAGAAAGAGAGAGAGAGGGAGAGAGGTGACCCAGAGTACAAGTCATTAGCACAACAAATAAAAATCTATTCTCAGATACAGCATTATGAAATTAGCAGCACACCACAGATTAAAAGGCGCCCTTAGCGTTAAAAACAAAACAGGGGCACTTCAAGAAGACACAGGAACTAATGTGAAAGACCTTCCAATGGCCAAAGGTGAAACAATTTGAGCAAGAAAATGATAGTATTGAATTATAACCCAAAGAACAAAAGAACTACTCATGAGACCATACCAATGTAAATAAATGATTGCATAAATAATTGGAGAAGAAAGTATAAGTGGTACAAAGAACAAGGAAAATTGAAAATGACCTTTCAAACATCACAGTAATAACTGCTGCAGGCAAGATCCACTGAGGAATGCTAAAAGTGAAGCTTTAGTATTTTATTTGTAAAAAAGCCCCCCAAACTCCTCTAAAATAGTAATTATTGTGGTGGTTTTAACATATGTCCACAAATTCTTCGATACTTCTCCCTTCAGGAGGTGAAGCTTAGTTCTCTTCCCCCTGAATGTCGACTGAACTTAGTGACTTGCTTCTAACAAACAATATGGAAAGAGAGAAACTGTAACTTTACAGTGAAGAAATGTGGCACACCCTACATTAACCAATACATCAGGGTTAACATCACCAATAATGAGATAATCACATTACATACTTCCTCTTATATGATAAGAGAAAGACACTAATGTGCTATTCTTCTCATGACAATTCACAATCTTACTCTAATCATTAGAAAACATTAGACAAACCCAATGTGACAGACATTCTAAAAATACCAAAACCACTTTCAAATGTGTCCAGGTGATAAAAGACAAGGAAAGGACTAGGAAAAGTCACAGATTGCAGGAGACTAAGGAAACATGACAAACAAATGCAGTGTGTTATTCCAGACTGAATCCTGGAAAAGAAAAGGTATATTGGTGGAAAGTGTAATTAATAGTATTGCAACAATGTTAATTTCTTAATTCTCATAAGGTACTGTGGTTATACAAGAAGTTTACAATAAGGGAAGCTTGGTGAATGATATGCGAACTCTATGCTAGCTTTGCAACTCTTCTCTAAGTATAAAATTATTTCAAAATAAAAATAAAGCTGCAGGGAAGAAATCAGGTCACCTACAGAAAAAAAAAACAAGAAAAAATAACAAACCTCTTGTTGATAAAACAGATGAAAGAAAATAGAGCTGTGACAATGTTTTAAGAGAATGTAATTTTCAATCTAGAATACTGTATTAGCCAAACAACCAAATTAAGCAGAAAGAGAAAATAAAGAATCCTTTAGACAAATTTATTTCCCCAAGCTTTTCGTTAGGAAGCATTTCAGCACGTTTTCCAGCAACGAAGAGAGTAGACCAAGAAAAATGAAAACACGAGATCTTGAGAACCAATATGAGATCTAAAACGAACAGAGAAGGGAAGAAATCTCAAGATAATACCCCTGGAACAGGTCTACAGAAGAAACTGTTCATGTTCATTAGAAAGATGGAAGGCTCCAGAAAAAAGGAAAATGTGACTGGAATTCACATTGTTCTTAAAAACTTGAAATAACTAAAGATTATTTCAGGTAAAGTCAAACAATACAAGAAAAAAGAAAAGGCATTGTCTAACTTTATTGGAAATAGAGTGGTGAGTTAAGAGAGAATGCCTGGCCTGCATACAGTTTTTCAAAAGAATCTTAATGTCTTCAGATGGTGCAAAGTGAAGTAAATCCTTAATTCTAAATGCAAGAACTCAATAGATAGTATAAAATATTGATAGATCAATAAATAACAGTGTTTAAGTATATGATTTAGATACATGACAGTCATCCTAGAAAGAACAAAAATGCAAAAATAGTTAAAATAGTTAGCTATGATATTCTCTGGAAAGCAGGATGGGGTGGGGCAAAGAGCCTCCTTATTACAGTAAACTTTTCTGTGATTTCATTTTTAAATACCATATGCATATATTGTTTTGAAAACCTTTACAAATTTTTTTAAAAAGCAAACAGATCACTATTTTCAGCAGTGAATACAAATAACTCCATTCATTCATAGCCAAGTCAATAAGTTTCTATTTGTAGTAGTGGTTAGACATCAAATAAAGCATAGTTGTTGCTACGAATGGTTAAGGCTTTCAACTTAACATATTAAATGCTTAATCAATACTTATTTCAAAATATATTTTTTCATATTCTTTTAGACAAATTTAACAAACAGGAGTTACTCTGTTAAATCTTTAAAAGTAACAATTTTAAGTATACTGATATTAATATTTTTTAGTGTCAACCTGTTTTAATTAAACAATTTTATGTGTGATATATTTAAGATGTTTGAACCACTGAAAGTAAGCTTAAAGTATATTGGATTATGAATTGTCAATCCAGTAGATAATAATGGTGTGAATCTTTTTTTTAAAGATATGCCCCAAATCATAATATTTGGTTTTGAAGTATATGTATATATAAATTCTTAAATAAATTTGTTTTGTGTATCTGCAAGTGTGTGGATGTGTAAGAGAGAGGGACTTTACCAACTCATCATTTCTTAGACAAAATGAAGCAATCATAATGTGAGGTTCCAAATCAAACAAAGTAGAAAATTTTCTTGGCTTCCCTAATTTATCCCACTGCTAATCCAGGATGGAAACACTGCATCCTTTCATGCAGACCTAAATAGCAGAGTATTTTTCTAAAACAGATATCAACAACTGGTATGGAATTAACTTTTAATCAATCATATTTGCCAACGTCAATGGTGTATATACTATACAGAAAGATTTCAAATTATCTTTTTTAAAATTAAAATTCAGAGCTTTACTATAATGCTAACTTTTTCAGGGATTGCGACGCTATACTAACACAGGGTGAGCATCCCTAATACAAAAATCTAAAATCCAAATTGCTCCAAAATCTGAAACTTTTTGAGTGTTGACACGATCCCACAAGTAGAAAATTCCACACATAAGTACTTAACACAAACTTTCACACATAAAATTATTAAAAATATTGTATAAGATTACCTTCAGTCTTTATGTATAAGGTATATATGAAACAAAAATGAATCCCCGAAGTATTGC
The DNA here is from genome assembly GCF_000001405.40 of Homo sapiens. NCBI lineage: Eukaryota > Metazoa > Chordata > Mammalia > Primates > Hominidae > Homo > Homo sapiens. The sequence continues at coordinate 21,484,253 of NC_000007.14, read as the reverse complement.
ATTGTGCACATGCAAAATCTGAAAAAATCCGAAATCTAGAACATTTCTAGTCCCAAGCATTTCAGACAAGGGGTACTCAATCTGTACTCATTTGTATTACTACTTTATGTGTATATCAAATTAAATAACTTTATATTTACCATTTTTAATAGATTTCATAATTTTTTCTTTTCTGATACTACTTTCTAATCTTAAAATGGAGCTAATTTCTATGCCGGTGTTGCTGTTGTTAGAATCAAATGAAGTAATATATTCAAAATATCTGACTATAATATAGCAGCTGATTTAGAAATGTCAGTTTTATTTCTCCCTTTGTCCCACATGTATCTTGGTACAGGTTTAAAGTATAAAGTATAATTCAATAATTTATTGAAATTAATTTATTCAATAATGAAATACTGAGTCCCAAATTCTAAATATTCTGAAAAGGGTAGGTGTTCTGGGCAAAAAAAGAAAAAAAAATAAAGAAAGAAGGAAAATTGCCCAAAAAGAAGTCAAGGCTTAATATAAAACCACAGTCATTAATATAGTAAGAGCATTGGTGTAGGAACTGGCAAATAGATAAAAACTTCAAAACAGAGAAACCAGAAATTGAACCACACTTAAAGGAGACATTATGTAAAAGAGGACAATCAATAGAGACAGAATGGGCTGTTTAAGAAAGGGCTTTCCATATGAAAGAAAAATAAAATTGTATTCTCATTTCATTCCATCAACAAAAAGAATCTTGAGCGAATAAAAGATCAAACTTACAAAAATAAAACTTTAAAGCTATTAGAAGAAATTGTTTTTTGAGACTTTATGACCTTGGGACAGAAGAAAAATTTATAAACAAAAAGCAAAAGACAAAAGAAAAGATTTATATTTGACTAAATAAAAATGTAAGACTTCCATATGACAAAAGGTATGACAAAGATAAAAGACTAGCACTAGTCCTTTATTGAAAGGGAAAAGTATAACATATAAATCATATAAATAAGGAAAACTTCTGAAAGAAAAAATGAGAACCAGAATTAAAAAACAAAGCCATAAATGACTAATATACATATGAAAGGTGCTTAATCTCATGGATAACCATGAAAAACACAAATTTTTAAAATAAGAAACAATTTTAGATTGAAAAAAACTTTCAAGGCCTGACACTACTGGGTACTGGTGAGCACAAAGTGGAAACTATCAATCACTGCTAGTTAAATAGCCACTGTAGAGACTCTTTAGCCATTACCTAGCAAAACCAAACATACACATTCTCTATGATCCAATAATTCCACTTCTCACACATGTTCTCATCAACTAAGTTTGTGATAGCACACACAAACCCTAGCAATAACCTCAAACAGTATGGGAATGAATTAATATAGTGTGGTAGACTCATGTGATAAAATATTATATAGCAGTTCAAGGAAATTCATATATGCAAATATACATATATGTACAAACAGATCTCAAAACAAGTGAAATTTATAATTCTGCAACATTGTAACATTTCATAACACACACAAAACATTTTTTATGTAGATCCATTAATCATATATGTCAGAGTATTAAAAGTGTACGTAAAACTTAGACACATTAGATTTATAGCAGCTGCAGTCTTTGAAAGGTGAAAGGGTAAACATGATGTTCACTTTATAACTGCTTTGCTGTATTTGAAAAAAAGCAGAAAATATAATATTAACAACTGACCATTCTGACTGAGGGTTGTTAGATGTTTATTATTTAATTATTCTTGATACTTTGGTGAATTTTCTGGATTTGTTAAGAAAAAAAAAAACTAAAACACACTAATGAAAGTCCCCATTAAGATGATAATTCAACTCTCTTTTCACCTATTTAAACACTTATGAAAAACAATGTATGATTTCAACATGCTAAGATTACAATATAAACAAATGGAATAAATTCCACTTGTCTCATAAATATGCTGATAAAGTTTACAAAAAGTAGAATAAAATGTATCTCAGAAATGAGGTTAAAAATGTTCATCTTAAACATCTTCCATATAATTGCTAAAGTAAATGCCTTCTCCTTCATTTGCATATTTCCAATTTGATAGCTAAACTATCACTAAAATTTTCATGTAAAAACTGAAGAAATAAGTAAAAAGTACAAGTCCTAAAATCAACTAACCTGTATGGGTTCTTCTATGTCTCTGGAGCTCATCACTCCGTGTGAATCTTTTGCCACAAAACATCCAGTTGCATATAAAAGGTCTTTCTCCAGTATGCCAGCGAAGATGTGCTCGTAAATGAGATGTTTTGCCATAAACTTTACCACATCCTTCAATATGACAGATATGCTGCTTCTTTTTTCCTGGTTCATTACTGCCTCTAGCAAAAACAAAAACCGAACATTAATTACACTGCCAAATAGTAGGTTTACAATTATAGAAAAATTAAAAAGAATCAAGGTAATTAAATGATGCTTCTCTGAATAGGTTTGATCATGATGCCATAACTGTAGTTCAAATCAGAAAATTTTCAGTTAAAGACAAAATAAAACAGGTCTGTGTACCAAATTGCTATGAAAATGTGTTAATCTCAAAGAGTTTATGCTCTATTATGGACTCACGTTCCTGGTCATAGTGGGCTCTTCCCTTGGGAAAAAAATCTCTCTAAGCCTTTCAAAACACTTGAAACTTCTCTAAAATTTCAAAAGGATGGCTAAATCCAGTTAAAAGTGTAAGATGCAGAGTTTCGTTTCTAGCAGGGCAGTGTGAGGAGTTCCATGGATCTGTTTCCCAGTGAAAATTCTAAAAAAAGCAAAAAATACCATTTAAAGTCTCTGGAAATGGTTCTAAAAGCAAATAACAGCAAATAAAGAAACATTTATTCAAGAAAATCTCACAGAAATTGGTAAGAACAGTAAGAGTCTGTGGTATTTGAACCAAGACTCTCCCCTTCCCTACTTCCTCCCGTTTCCACACAGGAACATTAGAGACTGGTGCAGCTAAGAATATGATTCCTACTCTTCCCACCTCCCGGTCAGAGGAGTATGGCCCCAGGAGGGGCAAGATGTCTGCATTTCTTATCTTACCCCTGGTTGCCTGTTGCTAAGTTCCAGGCAAGTGTAGCAGAACCAAGTCCTTAGCCCTGGGACATAGACTCTACCTTGGATGTGGCATGATGAAAATACTGGGGTCCAGGTTGCCCTTGACCTGGCCCATTCATAGTTCATAAAGTCAAAGTTCTAAGCCAGGAGAGGCCAGTTGAGAAGACCTGAGGCTATTGCTGCCCCAGCAACCAGGCACTCAGCTCTTAAAGCAGGGTTGTAACTCAGAAAGAAAGCCACTGTCTCAACCCCCGGTTCAAAAGCCATAAGTCAGAAACACACCATAAAACAAAGAGCTCCAAATCTCTTCCCAAAGGAATTGACTTCATTTGCAAGACAATGTGAAGAAGTTCAAGCCTAAGGGTACTCTCAAAAAAAGTAGAGATGGTTTCAAAAGGCAGTTAATTGGGAGAAGACTAAGAGATTCACTGGAAATAAAGGCTTAACTACAGGTTGGCTAGTTTGCCAGAAAGAAGTGAGCAAAGAGGCTGTGAAGAACCTTCTTAGGGTCAGAAAAAATGTCAAATATTGAGATTCTTGGGAAAAGTAAACAAAACTAACAAACTTTTAGCTAGACTGACCAAGAAAGTAGGACTCAAATTATTAGAATCAGAAATCAAAGAGGAGATATCACTACCAACCTTATAGAAACAAAAAGGATTACAAAGGAATACCATGAACAATTCTACGGCAATTACTTGGGTAACTCAGAGGAGATGGACAAATTCCTAGAAAAATACGGACCAAAATACTAAAACTGACTCAAGAACAAATAATCAATCAGAATACACCTACAACAAGCAACTAGACTGAATTCGTAATTAAAACTACCCATAAGAAAAGCCCAAGAACAGACAGCTTCACTGGTAAATTCCACAAAACATTTAAAGAATTAATACCAGTTTGGAGGGAATACTTTCCAATTCATTCTATGAAGCCAGTATTATCATTACCAAAATCAGATAAAAACAATACAAAAAGAAAACCACAGACATCTCTCTTATGAATATGGATGCAAAAATCCTCAACAAAATACAAGCACACTGTCAACATTGTACCAGAGGTTCCAGACAGAGAAACTAAGCAAGAAAAAGAAACAGAACTCCTGCAGAGTAGAAAGGAAAAAGTAAAAACTATCTCTGTTCACAGATTCCATGACCTTATACACAGAAATCCTAAAGACTCTACTAAACAAACAAACAAACAAACAAACAAAAAAACTGTTATAACTAATCAAAAAGTTCAGCAAAAGTTGCAGGATAAAAGATTAATACATTAAAAAATGTATTTCTACATACTTGAACAATCAAGAAAACAGTTCAACTTATAATAGCATCAGAAATAAAATTGGAATTTAACAAAAGTACAAAATGTATACTCTGAAAACTATAAAACATTGATGAAAGAAGTTAAAGATTAAACAACCAGAAATACTTCCCATGTGCATAGACCAAAAGATGTAATATTGTTAAGCTGGCAACCGTCCCCAAAGTGATCTACAGATTCAATGCAATTTCCATCAGAATACCATCTGGTTTCTTTATAGAAACTGACAAACTGATTCTAAAATTCACATGGAATTGCAAGTGTCCCGAAAGAGTCAGTACAATTTTGAAGAATAACAAAGCTGCAGGACTCACATTTCTCGATTTCAAAAGTTATTACAAATCCAAAGTACTCAAGATAGTGTGGTACTGACATAAAGATAGTCATATAGATCAATGGAATACAACTGAAAGTCCAGAAATAAATCCATGTTCTATGGTCAACTAATTTTTGACATGGGTGCCAAGAACATTCAACGGAGAAAGGACAGTCTTTTCAACAACTGGTGCTTGATGAACCCTTACCTAACACCATACGTAAAAATTAACCCCAAATTAATCACAGACCTAAATGTAAGAGTAAAAACTATAAAATTATCTTAAAAAAAAAAAACAACTAGGAATCTTAATGACTTCGGATTTGGCAATGAATTCTTAGATACAATACCAAAAGCAGAAGCAATAAAGGAAAATAGAAAACTCTAGACTTCAAAATTAAAACTTTGGTGCAAAGGCACTATCAAGAAAGTATACAGACAATTCACACAATGGGAGACAATATTTTTCTTTTTTCTTTCTTTTTTTTTTTTTGAGATGGAGTTTCGCTCTTTCACCCAGGCTGGAGTGCAGTGGCGCGATCTCGGCTCACTGCAACCTCCGCCTCCTGGGTTCAAGCAATTCTCCTCCCTCAGCCTCCCGAGTTGCTGGGATTACAAGCATGCGCTACCATGCTTGGCTAATTTTGTATTTTCAGTGAGACAAGGTTTCTCCATGCCGGTCAGGCTGGTCTTGAACTCCTGACCTCAGGTGATCCACCTGCCTTGGCCTCCCGAAGTGCTGGGATTACAGGCGTGAGCCACTGCGCCCAGCCAGGAGACAATATTTTCAAATTGTATATCTGATAAGGAATTTGTATGTAGAATATATAAAGAGACAATTCCATAATGAAAAATAAATAATATAATTTAAAATGGGCAAAAGATCCAAATAAACATTTCTCCAAAGATACAAACATGGCCAATAAGAACAAGAAAAGATGCTCAATATCATTAGTATCAGTAAAAACAAAACTGCAGTGACATATGACTTCACTAGGATAGCTTTAATCATAAAGTCAGATAATGACAAGTACTGGCAATGATCTAGAGAGACTGGAACCTTCATACCCTATTGATGGAAATGTTAAATGGTACAGCCACTTTGGAAAACAGTCGGTAAGTTCCTCAAATGGTTAAACATAGAATTACAATATGACCCAAAAATCCATTTCTAGGTAATTTCATATAAATACAAGAGAAATGAAAACATATGCCCACACAAACAGTTCTACACAAATGTTTACTGCAGTATTATTCATAACGGCCAGTGGGTGGATAAAACCAAATGTCCTTCAATTGACAGGATAAACAAAAATATTGTATATCCATAGAGTGGAATATTATTTGTCCCTAAAAAGGAATGAAGTATTGATCATACTGTAATATGGTTGAACCTTGAAAACATTATGCTAAAAGAAACCAGTCACAAAAGACCATGATTCCATTTATATGAATTGTCCAGAAAAGGCAAATCTATAAAGACAGAAATTAGTTGTCTAGGATGGAAGGATTGGGATAAGGGGGTGATGCTTAAAAAAGATACAGAATTTATTCTGGGGATGATGAAAACACTCTAAAATTGATTGTAGTCATGTCTACACAGCTCTGAATATATTAAAAACCACTGAATTGTACACTTTAAATTCGTGAACTGTATGGTGTACGAATGAGTTTTATATCAATAAAGTTACGTAAATATTTTATGAAAAAGAAAAAAAATGGGCTGGGCGAGGGGGCTCACACCTGTAATCCCAGCACTTGGGGGGCTGAGGTGGGTGGATCACCTGAGGTCAGGAGTTCGAGACCAGCCTGGCCCACATGGTGAAACCCCGCCTCTACTAAAAATACAAAAACTAGCCGGGTGTGGTGGCGGGCACCTGTACTTAATCCCAGCTACTCGGAAGGCTGAGGCAGGAGAATCGCTTGAACCCGGGAGGCAGAGATTGCAGTGAGCTGAGATTGCACCACTGCACTCCAGCCTAGGCAGCAGAGTGACACTCCATCTTGTTGGGGTGGGGGAGGGGTGGGGAAGAAAGAAAAAATATTTTTTAAAAGTGTAAGGAACAAGGCGGAGGACCGCTCAAATTTCATTCCTAAAATAGCCCAACTTAATTCCCTTTCTAATATTATATATCAACTTCTAGGCTACAAAGGTAATGAAGTTCTAGTGACCATCATTCCCAGCCAATTACTTGGTTTTAACTGCTGTTTTATGCCTTCCAAATAGACACAGTTGAAAAATACAGCATTTACCTTCCTTCTCCTTCCCTACAATTAGGACAGGAACAGGCAACTCTTCGAAGCCTCTTGCCAGGTTGTACCTCTTGATCAGAAGTCTGCTGGCCTTGCTGCAAATGCACTTGTGTGAGTTGGTCAGGACTAACAGCACCTATCGTGGCATTAGCAATTCCTCCAACTGCTACAGTTACAGGAGCTATAGTAGCTTGCTGGACTTTTACTCCATCTTGTCCTTGCTGCTGACCTAAAAAGGAAGAAAAAAAAGAAGTATTGTAATGTTTTCTACACCTAAAGAAAGGATTAAAAAAAAAAATCTATGTGCATAATAAATTTTTTCTAACAATCTGTGTAAAGTACAAAAACTAAGGGGTTAATGGCTTATACTATGTCAATCCTTCTAAAATATAGTATTCTTACTTTAGTGGCTCAGGTTGCCTATGTATCTAGATAACGGAACTATATACATACATCATTTAACTCACTTTGTGGCTTAATTTCTCTCTCCATCTGTAAAATGAAGATAATACTTGCCACTTACCTACTCACTAAAATACTATGAGGATACATGAGATAGTCTAAAAGCATTTTGAGATCCTAAAAGATGTTATATAAACACAAAGCTTTATTACCATTTCCACGGTAAGCAACATATCTTATCATAACAAGAAAATACAGGAGTGAAAAGTCACTAAACAAAGGATTAAGTTTTATGGACATCTTGCATTCCTAAATAGTTTAAATAAACATCTCTTTATTGATTCGACTTTTTTTAGTGTATACATAAAGTGGTTTTTGAAATGCAAAACCACCCAAGATTACTACATACTGTCACTGTAATCATAAAAAGACATTTAAGATATTATTACTTTATTCATTCATGTTATATAGCTTAGACTTCATCACTCAGATTAGTATATATACCAGCTTGGCTTCTTCACTTTGGGAAAAATATAATAAATAATGCACAATAAAACAACAATAAAAAAATCTATTGGCATGGCTTAACATTATCCTGAAATACAATGCTTTTTTTTTTTTTTTTTTTTTTTGAGATGGAGTCTTGCTCTGTCGCCCAGGCTGGAGTGCAGTAGCACGATCTCGGCTCACTGCAACCTCCACCTCCTGGGTTCAAGCAATTCTTCTTCTTCAGCCTCCCTAGTAGCTGGGATGACAGGCGTGTGCCACCATGCCCAGCTAATTTTTTTTGTATTTTTAGTAGAGACAGGGTTTTGCCATGTTTGCCAGGCTGGTCTCAAACTCCTGACCTCAGGTGATTCACCTGCTTTGGCCTCCCAAAGTGCTGGAATTACAGGTGTGAGCCACCGTGCCCGGCCTACAATGCCTTATAATTATCTTTTCTTTCACACAGTTCTACATTCTCTCCATCAGGTGTGGGAATAACAAGTATGTGAATGGACTGAAAAGAAAATACCAATTTATGAAAGAATGTTTCTACCTCAGAAAGTTGATGTAAGTATTAAGTAAATTTACAAATCCTCTACCAGAGTGCTGGCACGGAATTGCTCATTACATGGTAGCTACTGTTACCAATTCATCTCTGCTGAGTTCAGTGGCAATACAAGAATAAAATATGTCACTTTGGGAGGCTGAGATGTCAGATCACAAGGTCAGGAGATCGAGACCATCCTGGCTAACATGGTGAAACCCAGCCTCTACTAAAAATACAAAAAATTAGCCGGGCGTGGTGGCGGGCGCCTGTAGTCCCAGCTACTCGCTACTCAGGAGGCTTAGGAAGGAGAATGGCATGAACCTGGGAGGCAGAGCTTGCAGTGAGCTGAGACTGTGCAGCCTGGGCGACAGAGCGAGACTCTGTCTCAAAATAACAATAAAATATGCTAGCAGAAACAAACATACCGGTCCTGCATACAAAATAAAAGGGTTTCTTTCAGGCCAGGCGTGGTGGCTCAGGCCTGTAATCCCAGCACTTTTGGAGGCTGAGGCAGGTGGAACACGAGGTCAGGAGATGGAGACCATCCTAGCTAACACGGTGAAACCCCATCTCTATTAAAAATACAAAAAATTAGCCAGGTGTGGTAGCACACACCTGTAGTCCCAGCTACTTGGGAAGCTGAGGCAGCAGAATCGCTTGAACCCGGGAGGCAGAGGTTTCAGTGAGCCGAAATTGTGCCACTGCACTCCAGCCTGGGCGTCAAGAGTGAGACTCTGTCTCAAAAAAAAAAACAAAAAACAAAAAACAAAAAAAGGGTGGGGGAGGTTATTTCAAAGCTGCACATGTAGTACCTTAAATGTATGGGGCAACCAAGAAGAGGCAATAAAAAGTACCAAGTAAGAAAACAGTACACATTTTCTAAACAAAATTAAACCTCTGACTCTCCCAGCCAAAGTCAATCTCACTCTCCTCTGCGTATCCACAGCACCGTTAATCCTTCTGGTAGCACCCATAACTAACATGCACATTAAAAAATTTATTTTGTCACTGTTTTAGTAAGGATACAAACCCTCTACTAAAATTTACATTTTTGTACACCTTTGAATTAGCATGGTGTGGTAAGTAAAGCAATGCAAGTGAAGTGAGAGTTGTAAATTTATGACTGTGCACTCAGAGATCCTCAGTTTCCTCAACTCTAAAATAGTAACACTGACTTCCATAAAATTTCTGCTCCCTATCTACTTTAAAGAGCTGTTCCTGAGGATCAAGTTGATTTTCCAGGGGTAAAGGCTATATAAATTATAAAGCAATACATAAACAAAAGGTATAATTATTTTGTTTCAGTGTTTTTGAACATGTATTCAGTAAAACTAGATGGCTTAAGGATGACCTTGGCTACAAAATCTATTCAAACTACTTGTGTACCAAGAAGCACAGTGATACACACACTTTGTTTACTGCAAAAAATGCATTTCTAGAAATGAGAGTACTGTCTGAACAAGCACTATACAAAATCTACAGCATGGTCCCTATGGAGCTGCAGGTATTTTAAGTTGGTAAGTACCCTTTACATCCCCTGAAGACACAGGTATTTTTGGCCGTGATTCTCTGACTACTTTTCTCATAACATTTATATAACAGTCATTACTTTAAAGGTCGCAATAATATTTAAGATGACCTTTATTTTGGTAAAGAACTGCTAGATGAGTTTCAAGTCAAAGCTAAGTCTGGGGGTGAGGGGTGGGGAAGAACTGCTAGAGATTCCTGATCCCTCTGGTCCCCTGACCATGTCCTTGACACACTCCTCAAGCCTCCATATTGTGAGCATTTCTTTGTTCAATGCCTAAACAACTTGGAAAGTTATTTCAATGAATAACAGAGGCAAATTATATTTGAGTTTGTATATTGAAGCCCGTTAATTGACTTCATCTAGATGTTTCACAGACAGCTAAGTTCAACATACTGCTTTATTTCCACTGCCATCAGTAAGCCACCAAACTCCAGAGCAAGACCTCCGAGGCCCCACTTAAGTTTAATTCTATTGACTTCTCAGAGCTCATCTCTATTAGTCTCTCCCTTGCTCACTCTGCACCTGATATACTGGCCTCTCTTCTGGCCCTCAAATAAATCAAGCTCATTTCCTTCTTAGGGACTTTGCATATACTCTCCAGTCTAAGTGGGGATGCCTTTGCACCCAGATCTTTGCATAGTTGATTCCTTTGTAATATTCTGGTCTGAGTTCAAATCTCTCCTCTTTAGAAATGCCATTCCTGACCATCCCATCTAAAAGCTCCCCTCAATATATCACTGTATCATCACCTAGTTTTGTCTTATTTGTCTTAAATTACTTTGTCCTTTTATAATTTGGTCTTCACCTCACTTCTGAAGGTAAAGTGCCATGAAAGTAGGGATCTTGCCTATTATGTTCACTGCTGTATCTCTAGTACCGTAACAGTGCCTAATAACTCAATAACAGTGCCACTCAATAGCATATGCTTAATAAATCAAAGTTTAAAAATAAAAAATGATTTCATCTTCCAGTCTTGCTTCTGCTAATGTCCCTGTTTCAGTAAATGCTACCCCTATTCTCCTTGTTATCCACACTGAAAACCTTAAAATGTCATCTTTTAGGCTACTTCTTTACTCATTACATCCAGTGATGACCAAATTTTGAAGACACTACTGCCTAACAGCTCTTACGCTAACCTGTTTCCAAGCAAGATTATCATCTTGATCCAAGCCCTTGTTCAATCTGTGCCTCTACCAACCTAAATTGAGCTTTCCCTCCTTTCTCATCCTTCACACTGCTGCCAGAAAAATAAAAAAGTAGTGTTCTGATCATCTCACTTTCGTGCTCAATAACATTTAATCATTCTTCCACCGACCAAAGTCTGGCATTCAAAGCACTCTACCACAAGGACTTACTCAGCTCCTGGTTCACAGTCTTCCTTCTAATGACCAAATCTATTGTGCATTTTTTCAGTGACCATTACAGGACTGCTCTGCTGCATTTGACACCACTCGCCACTCCATCCTTATTCAATTTTGACTCTGTGAGCTAACTTCCTACATTTCAGAAACCCCTTCTTCTCTGTTAGCTCCTTTTTGTTTGGTTGCTTTTTTTTTTCTTTTTTTTTAAGAGATGGGGGTCTCACTCTGCTGTTCAGACCAGTCTTGAACTCCAGGGCTCAAGCAATTCTCCTGCCTTGGTCTCCCAAGTAGCTGAGATTACAGGCATGCACCACCATGCATGGCCTTAGCAATTTTTTAAAATCAGCACTTAAATCTAAATTTATGTCACTTTCTGAAAAGATTTATCAGCCAGGTGCAGTGGCTCACACCTGTAATCCCCGCACTTTGGGAGGCCGAGGCAGGAGGACTGCTTGAGCCCAGGAGTTCAAGACCAACCTAGGCAACGCAGTGAGATGCCATCTCTTAAAAAAATTAAAAAATTAGCCAGGCATGGTGGCATGTGCCTGTAGTCCTGGCTACTCATGAGAATGAGGTGCTGAGGTGAGAGGATCACTTGAGCCCTGGGGATCAAGACTTCAGTGAGCCGTGATGGCACCACTGTACTTCAACTTCAGCCTGGGTGACAGAGAAAGTCCCTCTCAAAAACAAACAAACAAACAAACAATCAAACAAAATACACCCTCTACTCTTCCTAGGCCACTCTCCAGGGTTCTGACTTCTCATTCTAACTCTCTTCTTGGGGGACCTCATCTACTTTCATAACTTTTACTGCTATGTGTAAGCTGATTAACTCACAGATCTGTGCCTTCCACTCAGAAGTGTCATACTCTTACTATCAACTGCCAGTGAACACTTCCACCTGAATCCTCACAAGCAATCTAAGAACCAGATAGCTTAGCCCACTTTCCTAATATAGCTCTTTTTCACCATTCAAATAGAAAATTTGGAAGTCATTCTTGATTCCTCTCTATCTCCTTCACCCTGACAACAAGAGCAACTATTGTTTTATATCTACTATGTGGTAAGGCACTTTACTGGATGTTTTCCATATATTGTTTCACATCCCTATGGGCTAAATATTACTGTCCCAAATTTTTATTTTTAATAAATGGAGTCTTGCTCTCTTGCCCAGGCTAGAGTACAGCGGCACAATCATGGCTTACTGTAGCCTCTAACTCTTGGACTCAAGCAATCCTCCTGCCTCAGCCTCCTGAGTAGTTGGGACTACAGATGCATGCCACCACACCTAGTTAATTTTTAAAATTCTTTTAGAGATTATGTCTCACTATGTTGCCCACGCTACACTCAAACTCCTGACCTCAAGTGATCCTCCTGCCTCAGCCTCCCAAGTAGCTGGGACTATAGGCACAAGCCATGGCACCCAGCTTACTGTCCCAATTAAGATGAGAAAACTAAGGTTCTCAGGGGTATGTAAAACATCCAAGATCCTAAAATGGAAAAGTGACAGAGCTGGGATTTGAACCCACACTTATCCAACTCAAAAAGCTATTCTCTTTCCACCATATACATTATCTATGTTGATCATAAGTCCCTGTTAAGTCTACCTCTTCAAAATATCTCAAATGTCTCCATTTTCACCATACCTATTGCTTGTACACTAGTGCAAGCCCTTATCACCAGTTTTGCCCCTTCTAATATTCATATTGCAGACCTAGCTCCCCAAAAAGCCAATGGGCCCTCCATACATTCACAATAAGGTCAGTATTTCTTAGCATAGTACATAAAGTTCTTCATGATCTAACTCCTGCTTAGTTTTATAACTTCATCTCTTGGCACTCCTGCTCCATGCCCACTCTCACCATCACCTACAGTGAACTCCTGTCTTCTCTAATGTTCTGTGTCTCCGAGCATTTGAATAATATAGCTGGAATCCAACACATTCTCCCACCCCAAACCTCCATCTCCCTTGGTCTGACAAAAGTCTATTCATCTTACAGATTTTAGTCTTTAATCCTTCTTACCAATGAAACTGCTTTGTAAAATAATTTTTTTAATAACTCAAAATTTCTTGGTATTGTAACTACACATTATGGTGAAACAGACTGAGGATGGCCGTTCTTTTATTTTTCTTCCACATTACCAGAGGTAAAACATTCCAAGGCTGCTTGGAGCAGCCAAGCCATCTTTCTTATTCCTTTTTTGTTCTGCTTTTTTTTTTTTTTTTTTTTCCAAATATAGAAACTGGGCCAAGGTAATGGAGGGGGACAGTTTGTTGGTAGGTAGTAAGACATCTGAATTGCTAACTATTCAACAAGATCTAGCTTGTTGGACATTTCTTGCTCATTTTCTTTTAGTACCAGTAGTTTTTTGCCTTAGTAGAGTAGTAAAATTTGAGACGACTTGAATTTAAGCTAACACGTAGAAAGGAAAGTCAGGTTTAGCTGGTAAAGGAAAAAGGCATATTCCATATAGAATAACCTAGTTCTCTGGATTGTGAGGCAGGGGCCTATGCCTAAGCCAACAAATTCTAACTTGAATTTTGGTATACCTAGCTCCCTAAGGGATCTCAAGAATTGGTTGAATTAGAATTTAAGTATTTCTGGTCTTACTAGTAAGACACCATCTCACTCCATCATAATATTAGTCATAAATTATTTCCAACAAAAGCTGCTCAAGAAAGAGGCCATCTGTGTGGTTTTTATGTCATTTGTCCTTTGGCTACCAAGGTTCCTGACACACTGAAAGTACTTAATGAATGTTTCTTAAATAAAGCGAATGATAATCTAAAATCTATACAAACATAGAAGCTTTCTTACGAAACTCGGCCAGCAGTATATCACAGGGCTGCTAAATGACAGCTAGTTTACAATACACATGCACATGGGTGACAAGACAGTAAGAAACCAAATCAAGTGGATATCTGCTACACTTCCTCCCTGACTCACTGATATGGCAGTCAGATCATTTAGAAGCAGATCCCAGAGCATAACTCTCAACCTTGGTTCTGAAACTATGTACTACTCTCTCAGGTATCAGATTTCTCCTATGACATTTGCTATCTACATTCAGCAAGGTGTTTTTTTTTTGAAAAGAGTATTATAAAAATATTAACTCTAAAAAATTATAGGCCCAGCATGGTGGCTCATGACTGTAATTGCAGCACTTTGGGAGGCCGAGGTAGGTGGATCACAAGGTCAGGAGTTTGAGACCAACTAGTCCTAGCCTGGCCAATATGGTGAAATCTTGTCTCTACTAAAAATACAAAAAAATTAGCCGGGTGTGGTGGCGGGCACCTGTAGTCCCAGCTACTTGGTAGGCTGAGGCAAGAGAATCACTTGGATCCGGGAGGCGGAGGTTGCAGTGAGTGGAGATCTCACCACTGCACTCCAGCCTGGGCGACAGAGCAAGACTCCGTCTCAAAAAAAAAAAAAAAAAAATTATAACTAAACTTGCCATTTAGGGAATAGGCTAAGATTTCTCCCTTTCTACCTATTTTGATGAAAATAAATAGTTTAGTATTACAAACACATACACTTTAAGTTTCTTTTTCTTCTGATTTTAAGAACAAAGCATGCTCACCATAGAAAACTATGAATGAGGAAATGAAATCATCCAGAAAGTAATTACCCATAGATTACCACTATTATCATTTTGATGTGATGATCTAAGTTCTGTTTTAATCTTTGTTCAATGTATTTTGATGCTGATACAACTTTACTATATAAAAATTCTGTATTATCCTCTTTTACTTATTTAGTAATATAAGTACTTCTAAGTTATTAATATTACAAATTATTTTAATAGTTGTGCAATATTTCATCATATACCATAATTTACAAAGCCATTACTGTACTGTTAGATATTTATTTCCAAATACTTATTATAAGTAACATAAAGTAATGAGCAACTTGAACTAAAATATTGTTTATTATTTCCAAGGGATAGTCCTAGAAGTGAGATTACTAAATCAAAGGACATGAAACATTTGTAAGACTATCTAGATTATAAAATTACAGGAGTATATATAAAGAGCTGCATTCATTTACATTTCCACCAGAAGTATGGGAGAATGCTGTTTCATCTCATGGAGCATGAGAAATTCAGTAAAATGTATAAAATCATTTAATAAACAAAAAATTGGATATCTCACTGTAGTTTCTAATAGAAGTGATTACTGCTCTCACCTCTAATACTGTACATTTCCTTAAGGTCTAAGCCAATGTAGTAAGGCAAGAAATAACAGATCTATATAAGAAATAAAGACTTAAAAGGAAGTAACGAAACTGTCATGATTTACAAAAGATATAATTATATTACTTAGAAAACTATAGAAAAATCAACAAATTATTATAATATGACATCTGTACATCAGCGAGATGGCCAAATACAAGAGCAACATAAAAAAGCAACAGTTCCCAACCATATCAGCAACAAACAATTGAAAAAGAAAAAAAAAAAATTCCATTCATAATAGCAACAATAACCACAAATATCTGAGAAATCAATCTAATTAGTAATATGCAAGATCTTGAGGAAGATTTAATAAAGGATATAAAACAAGACCTCAAAAGAGAGAAATATATGTTCTTGGATAGGAAGAATCATTAAACTAAATGTGTCAATTCTTCCAAAATTATTCTAGGAAGTGAATGCAATCACAAATTTAATTCGAAACTTTTCCATGAAAGTCTGCTAATTTGACATGTGAAAAATCAGCTAAGAAAAGTCTGAAAAAGCAGAATAGTAGAATAAAGATATGTAGGTAGCTACAGTAATTAAAATAAGGTGCTGTTAGCTTAGGAATAGGGACAGAAATGAACACAATTTAAAACAGATGCGTGTGTGTACACAAAATAATCCAACTGTGCCTTATTTCTTCTTTTGGAAAAGACGATTTGCAAGGTTTTTTCTTATAGTAAATAGTAAGTAACATTACTCTGTAAGTAAGACAGATCCGCAAATTTGAAAAACAAAACTATTTATCTATCTACCTATAAATAAACTCACCAACCAATAAACTGAAATTGACCTATTTAATAATAATCATACAGCAGGTTCAAAGTACATGTGTTTCTTAATTATGTTTTGTGCATATAACCTAGGGAACAAGGTTTTCTAATATAACTGATCAGGAAAAACAAAAGCTGTTGATTTCTATGATACAAAACTTGCCATGGGGGGCAGTGGGATTTTTTCTGTTCTGAATAATACTAAAATGATTCTTAACTGAGCCTACCTAGATTGACTTCCTTTACAGATTAAACTTGGAATCTGCCTAAGAAAATGTCTAAGGTCCTCTCAAAAAATATGTCTCCTAACATTGCAAATAACTTTCAATAAACACACTCTAAAATAGGATTTGGTTTACATAATGATCTGACTTAAAATAAGCAAGCAGGATGTATATTCCTAAACATAAAAAGATAACCAAATATGCTTAGGGCTGGGGAGGATAGAAAGGAGAAATGGGGAATGACTGCTAATAAGGGTTTCTTTATGAGGTCATATAAATGTTCTAAAACTAGATTGTGGTGATAGCTGCAAAACTCTATCAATATACCAAAAGCCATTGAATATACACTTGAAGTTGTTGTATAATATGGTATGGATATATATAAATAAAGTTGTTTTTTTAAAGGTAACTAGATTTAAAAAAAAATTTTTTTTTAATTCTACTTTTGTTGGCTCTAAGTACCTTTAAGCCAGTGGTTCCCAAATGAAGGTAATTTTGCCTTCCAGGAGATACTCAGCAATGTCTGGAGACATTTTTGGTTGTCACAAAGTGTGAGATTACTGGTATATAGTGAGTAGAGGCCTGGGATGCTGCTAAACATCTTACAATGCACAAAACAGACCCCAAAAACAAAGAATTACCTGGCCTAAAATGTCAATAATGCTGAGATTAAGAAATCCACTGAAACTCAGCACTGGAATAACTCAACTAACATTTATGCCTCTCATTCATATCATTATAAACAGCTATAACAAAACATATGAAAAATTAAAATATGGTACATTTGTGTGATCCCTATAAAAACTACATGAGTCTCCACAAAAACAGAAACTATATGACTGAATTAAAGCCTTTGAAAAGAGAGCTACATACATTTGGGAATAGGCTGTGACAGTTTTGACAGACATATGACTAGAGAGATTCCATGGTACACTGGTGGTAAAAAAAAAAAAAATCCTAGATTTGAAAATTATGCTTATTAATTACAAAATACTTCTTTGCCTTATGGAAGAGCTTCAATGACATGTTTTCCTGTAGATGAACTATAAATGAAAATATTAAGAAATAACCGAGTACCTTCTGTATCTCTTAAATGAAGGTGAACCCCATTAGCCAATGACTTCCAGGACTATCAACATACTATGGGTTATGTACAATCTGTGAACCAATATTGAGTTACTGAACAGGCGCAACAGTTTAGTAGAGCCGAAAGTAGAACTTTTGGGTCAAGCAGACCTGTTTCTGAGTTCTGATTCTCCCTGCAGTTTCTTCCTTTGAGGACCTGGGAGCTGTGGGAGTTGACTGAAATAGTGTATATAGCACACGTCTTAGCATAATGTCTGGAATATGATAAACACTCAAGAGGAATGTTAACTCCAGTAAAACAAACTGCAAATGTATTAAGTACAAATACTTAACAGCCATTCACATTTCCTTAAGTCCTAGCACTTTGGATGTGGACTTAGTATAGAAGTGAGATTTATTCATACAGCAAACTTCTACTGAGTACCTGCTATGTGCTTAATGCTGCTGGAGAAATGATAAATAAGATCTGACCAGAAGCCCTCACCTGTAGGGAAGACACACTCAAATAAATAATTATAATATGCACAATAACAAAAATGTGCATAAAATGCCTACTTAACAGAGAGGACAGTGATTTACTGTCAAAAAGAAACAATGAAGGCTTCACAGAGGAGATGAATCCACTGACAGGTGGAAAGAATAAAGGCAAATGGGAAGGCAGTGGGAAGGCTATATTTAAAGACATAACCCTGAGACAGCATACCACTGGAGATTAAAGTTCAAGGAGGTGAGGGGGCTAAAGATAGGGTTGGAAGGATAGATCAGGAAGGGCCTTAATTAAACCTTTTTTTTTTAAGAGACAGGGTCTTGCTCTGTTGCCCAGCCTGCAGTGCAGTAGTGCAATCATAGCTCACTGTAATCTCAAACCCCTAGGCTCAAGCAATCATCCCGCCTCAGCCCTCTCCAGTAGGACAACAGGCAAGTGCCACCATACCCAGCTAAATTTTTTATTGTGACAAGGTCTTGCTATGTTGTCCAGGCTGTCAACTTCTTAAAGAAGGGACTTTCTAGGGTAGGAGAGAGGGAATCCTTGTTAAGGTATTATGCCCATCCTTCCCATCCCCAATCCAGAATACCTGCCACACAATAATCACTCGCACTTACTCAATTTACTAAATGGCTATAATCGAACTAAACTATTTTACACCTATACTTTGTCTAATGCTGTCTTCTAAGATTTGGGGAGGTTATGCATATTTCCCAAGATTACATAGCTGCTATTAAGTGGCAAAGCTAAGATGTGAACCTAGGTCAGCCTGAATCCAGAGCCCTACACTCTTTTCTGGTTGGCTATATTCTCTCCTTAAGCACTAGGATATTATTTGGACTTTGCAGGCAACAGGGAGTTAGAGGTAAACACAGTAACACCTGTCTATCAATTCTGATGCTTGAAGGTATTGCTCTTTTGAAACTCCCTGAGCTAGGAAGGAAAGGCAACTCTAGTCATTTGGTGTTGGAGAGAAAAGCTTAGGAAAACAAAGATATACACCCTCTTTGGTACCTAGTTATTTCTATTTATTCTAATCTTGCTCCAGATAACTGTCAACTATTCTCAACTCTGTTTATGTTGAGGAAATCCTTCCTAGCCGGAAAACCCTAGAAAGATATGAATACTTTCTTTAAACAGAATTTGCCATATTTAAAACAAAACAAAAAAAATTTTCTAATTTTCCCTCATTCTACGTTGAACCATACTTGCCTAAGTTGATGGTGAAAAATAAATCAAAAAAGGAAAATCTGGCTAATTCTATGTGAAATTGTAAATAGTCTTAAAAAGTTTTAAAGCTACTTCCGGTCCTTTAGATGTACAATGAGTCACCATAGTAGTAATGCATTGCTATAGCCTCTATCACCAACTTTTATTCTACATTGGGCTCTATTACCTCTTGACAGTTTTTATAACTTGAAAAGTCTGCAATTGGAAGCCTATGAAGGTTGTGAGGAAGCTTGGCACAGTGGTGCACACCTGTGGTCCCAGCTACTCAGAAGGCTGAGACTGGAGAACTGCCTGAGCCCAGGAGTTTGAGTCTAGCCAGGGCAACACAGTAAGACCCCATCTCTAAAAAAAAAAAAAAAATAGAAAATAGATTTTTAAACAAAGATTGTGACAAACGGAGCAGGGGTGTATCAGATCTCAGTTTTAGGAAAACTCTGAAATGTCAAGAACAAAATAAACATGTGAAAACGTAGAGGCAGAGATACCAGTTAGGAAAGAAGCTATTTTACCTTCCAGATCACGAGGCTCTGAAAGAGAGCCCTGACTGGCCGGGCGCAGTGGCTCACGCCTGTAATCCCAGCACTTTGGGAGGCCGAGGTGGGCGGATCATGAGGTCAGGAGATCGAGACCATCCTGGCTAACACAGTGAAACCCTGTCTCCACTAAAAATACAAAAAATTAGCTGGGCGTGGTGGTGGGTGCCTGTAGTCCCAGCTACTCGGGAGGCTAAGGCAGGAGAACGGCATGAACCCGGGAGGCCATGCACTCCAGCCTGGGTGACAGAACTAGACTCCATCTCAAAAAAAAAAAAAAAAAAAAGAGAGCGCCCTGACAAGGGAATGAATCAGATATAAGAATAAATAATAATTATCATAATAAATAGTTGCTAGCACTTAGTGAAATCTTTTCTGTGTTCTAAGCACTGTGCAAAGTACTTTACATATCTTATCCCACTAAAGTAACATGATTTCTGCCATTTTACAGATGAGGACAGTCAGACCTAGAGAAACACTTGATCAAGATTTAAGTGGCTAAACTAAGACTTGAACCTTAGAACTATAAACTTTTAAGATAATTAATTGATAAAGATCAAATAAATCTATAAGTATTCTAATTTGAGTGATGATGATCCCATTAACAGAAATAGGGGAACCCCGGAGAGGAAGCAGGTTTGGAAAAAAAATCAGTTCTACATTCAGATGTCTCCTACAGACACAACCCAGCTCAAACTCTGTCTTCAACTAGAACTGCTCTTCCTCCAAGAAGTCAGGCTTGGCACTATCTCTTCTCCAACCACGATATTTAACTTCCTGTCCCTTTCACTCCGTTTATTTTTGAACTCAATCTTCATCCTCACTTTGTTCCCTAGTTATGTGGACACACTCTCAATCCAACCCTCCTCTGGCTTCGCTTAGCATCCGTGGTAATCCCTTGTGTCTCGCTGAACTTCTGCCACACCTGATGGTAATTCTTATCATCCACTTTCTGGTGTTCTTAGGCTGCTAAACACCAAGGAAAGAGATTACAGGAGGGCTAATAAAGCCCTAAACTTTACATTACCTGAGCCATCACTGTTGCTTGGTAACCTTTCATTCATCCTATGCTGGCAATGTACATAGCCCTTCATTGGCTGTTCCAATTTTTTTCCCTCTGTCCTCAAATCCTCATTCCCCTTTCCTTGCACCTTACAATCTGTAGATGATTTTGCCTCCTAATTTACTGAGAAGTCACCCAAAAGTATCTTTATTCTCCCTTCTATTATCAGCATCTGACTGGTTCTCCAAACATTGACTCACCTTTTTAAAATCTCATTTTAGAAGCACTTTCACTTGGGTGACAGACCCTGTCTCAAAAAAAAAAAAAAAGAAAAGTTATTTATCAGTGCTGTCCAATATGATAGCCTCTTGCCACATGTGGTAATTAGCACTTTAAATGTAGTTAATGCAACTGAGGAAATAAGTTTTTAATTTTAATTAATTTTAGGTTTATAAGCCACATGTGACCAACGGCTTTCATATTGAACAGCACAGTTCTTAGGTCTTATCAAATGATTCAAACACAAAACCTGCTGAACTTTTCTCAATACTCTCAAGTCAACATTCAATACCATCTGAGATTCCTCTTAGCTGCTGACATACTACCCTGTTCTCTTTCTATTTCTCTGATGGTTCTCACTTTTCTTAACTTTCTGCTTTTGGCCCCCAAAGACCAGGTGTAACCCTAAGTTCAGTTCTCATAATTCTGCAATTCAAACTCAAAACTGTCTGCCTCAATTTCATACACTGCCATAATTTCTACACCATCTCCATGCAAAAGACTTTCATATCTAGACTGCTGATTCTGATCTCTTCTCAGGACCAATCTCCAGATACAAACTAGACACTTTCAACATACTATTAGCTCAGACTTATTAACAAATATCAAAATTCAGGTTCATCACTTTCATTTTCTGGAAGTCATTTCTTTCAATGGCACAAGCACTTTCATGGTCATCCAGATTCAAACTCTACAGAATTACCCTTAAAATATTTTTCCTCTCTCCATTCATACATCAAATTCTTTTTTATTTTTATTTTTTTAAGACTCTTGAGAACCACATACTTTACACTCAAGTTCAGACTTCCCATCACTGATATCTGAGTCAATACTATGGTCCCGAAACTGGCTTCCCCATTTCTCCTACGTCTGTTAAAAAACAAAACTAGCTTGGGCAACATGGCAAAACCCCATCTCTACAAAATACAAAAATTAGCTGGGCCTGGTGGCAGCACACCTGTAGTCCCAGCTACTTGGGAGGCTGAGGTGGGCGGATTGCTTCAGCCTGGGAGGTGGAGGTTGCAGCAAGCCAAGATCACACCACTGCACTGCCTGGGTAACAGAGTGAGATCCTGTCTTCAAAAAAAAAAAAAAAAAACTAAAACTAAAACACTGCTTTATAAATGAAACTTCCTGTCCCCTACCCCTCAAAAATATACACATTCACATACCCTTTTCACCTGTCCTTGGTCTGACATCGTCATTCTACAACCAAACTTCTACCAACCTTGTGAACTTCATTTTCTAACATTCTCCTCAAAGTCTCCACTAGAACTTTAAAGGTCTATCCATTCTTTCTTATACAAAGCATATTCCAACTTCCTATTGAGAGGTGACAGCGTGCTGGCAGCCCTGGCTCACTCTCGGTGCCTCCTCGGCCTCGGCGCCCATTCTGGCTGCGCTTGAGGAGCCCTTCAGCCCACCGCTGCATCGTGGGAGCCCTTCTCCGGGCTGGCCGAGGCTGCAGCTGGCTCCCTCGGCTTGCGGGGAGGTGTGGAGGGAGAGGCACGGGTGGCAACCGGGGCTGCGCGCGGTGTTTGCAGGCCAGCTAGAGTTCCGGGTGGGTGTGGGCTTGGCGGGCCCTGCACTTGGAGCGGCTGGCCTGCCGGCCGGCCCTGCTGGCCCCCGGCAGTGAGGGGCTTAACACCTGGGTCAGCAGCTGCGGAGGATGCGCCGGGTCCCCCAGCAGTACTGGCCCACTGGCGCTGCGCTCGATTTCTCGCCAGGCCTTAGCTGCCTCCCCGCGAGGCAGGGCTCAGGATCTGCAGTCCACCATGCCTGAGTCTACCCCCACCCAGCCGTGGGCTCCTGCACAGCCTGAGTCTCCCCCAACCCCCGTGGGCTCCTGCACGGCCTGAGTCTCCCCAACAAGCACCGCCCCCTGCTCCATGGCACCCGGTCCCATCGACTGCCCAAGGGCTGAGGAGTGCGGGCGCATGGCACGGGACTGGCAGGCAGCTCCACCTGCAGCCCTGGTGCGAAATCCACTGGGTGAAGCCAGCAGGGCTCCTGAGTCTGGTGGGGACTTAGACAACCTTTACGTCTAGCTAGGGGATTGTAAATACACCAATCAGCACTCTGTATCTAGCTCAAGGTTTGTAAACACACCAATCAGCACTCTGTGTCTAGCTCAAGGTTTGGAAATGCACCAATCAGCTGTGTCTAGCTAATCTTGGTGGGGACTTGGAGAATCTTTATGTCTAGCTAAGGGATTGTGAATGCACCAATCGGCACTCTGTGTCTAGCTGAAGGTTTGTAAATGCAGCAATCAGCACTCTGTGTCTAGCTCAAGGTTTGTAAATGCACCAATCAGCATTCTGTGTCTAGCTCAGGGTTTGTAAATACACCAATCTACACTCTGTATGTAGCTAATCTAGTGGTGACGTGGAGAACTTTTGTGTCTAGCTCAGGGATTGTAAACGCACCAATCAGCACCGTGTCAAAATGGACCAATCAGCGCTCTGTAAAACAGACCAATCGGCTCTCTGTAAAATGGGCCAATCAGCAGGATGTGGGTGGGGCCAGATAAGAAAATAAAAGCAGGCTGCCCGAGCCAGCAGTGGCAACCCGCTCGGGTCCCCTTCCATACTGTGGAAGCTTTGTTCTTTTGCTCTTCGCAATAAATCTTGCTGCTGCTCACTCTTTGGGTCCACACTGCCTTTATGAGCTGTAACACTCACCGCGAAGGTCTGCAGCTTCACTCCTGAAGCCAGCGAGACCACGAACCCACCGGGAGGAAAAAACGACTCCAGACTCACTGCCTTAAGAGCTGTAACACTCATCGCGAAGGTCTGCAGCTTCAATCCTGAGCCAGTAAGACCATAAACCCACCAAAAGGAAGAAACTTCGAACACATCCCCACATCAGAAGGAACAAACTCTGGACATGCCGCCTTTAAGAACTGTTAACACTCACCGCAAGGGTCCGTGGCTTCATTCTTGGAAGTCATTGAGACCAAGAACCCACCAATTCCGGACACACTATCTTTTGTACAATGCCTTCCTTCTTTATTCCTGTTAGGGCTCTCCTTTTCTCAAAGAATTAGTTCAAGCCTACCAGGTTTCATGGAGTCTTTTATTTCTGCCCTGGCTCTCAGAAGATTCATCCTGCTCTTAATTTTAGTATTACCATCTTTTACCATTCATCTCTCTTTTAGCATATGCCACTTGTATTACTTCTATGCATTACCTTTTATTTTAATGAATATTCTGTCTCCTCAACTGGAACATAACCTTTTGGAAGGCAAAGGCTTCTACCTTTATGCTCTCAGAACTTAGCCTTGTGCTTAGACTTAGTAGGAATTTAAGGAATAAGTCCCAAAGAAATGGATATGCAGTTGAGAAGTGGTAAGAGGACAAAGTTAGTAAACAGGACCACTAACAATTAAATGGATAAAACAGGAAATAACGGTAAAAAGCAATCTTCCATGAGAGCAGAAAATATGAGCAAAGGCAATCACAGAATCAGGTATTAGTGTACTAACCATCTAAAAACAGTATAATCTTATTACAGTGATCATCAAACGATTCTTGGGACTTTTCTGTTTTACAGGCAGTTCATCCAAAGAAGTAATGCTCAAAATATATTACCTGGGTAAAACACAAAGAGTTTATGGTTAGTATCTTTCCCCTCTGCCATAGTATTTATTTTAATGAAATCTGATATACCATGGCAAGCTGGCAGCTTGTGTGGGTGGGTATAAGAATTTCCAAAACACGGTGGCTCACACCTGTAATCCCAGCACTTTAGGAGGCTGAGGCAGGTGGATCACAAGGTCAGGAGATCGATACCAGCCTGGCTAACACAGTGAAACCCTGTCTCTACTAAAAATACAAAAAGTTAGCCGGGCGTGGTAGTACATGCCTGTAGTACCAGCTACCCAGGAAGCTGAGGCAGGAGAATCGCTTGAATCCGGGAGGCGGAGGTTGCAGTGAGCTGAGATCGCGCCACTGCACTCCAGCCTGGTGACAGAGTGAGACTCTCACTCAAAACAAAACAAAACAAAACAATTCCCAAAACATTACAATGATAGCTTTAATTCTATAGAAGTTTAAATCAGTCTAGCTCTGGAAATACAGAACTAATGCTCAGTGCTAAGAGGGTACAGTATGCCCTGTCAGTTGTTAGGGTCATAGCTTAAAATAGCTGCATAGTTTAGGGCCAAGAGAGGTTGGTCCAACACTGTTAAGCTGTCATGGATCAGTCTAACTCCATAGATGGCTATTTTAAGCTGCATCTCTAAACAGCAAATTGAGCAATCAGGAAATACTAGATTTCTACATTCAAGTGTAAATGAACTGGCCACAGATTTTTCTCTAATATCGTGTGTGGGGGGAGGGGAGCGGGAAGGGGGTGCCACCTAAGAACCATCTTGCATATTCTACCAAGCAATCCAGATCTATCTTCAGTAGTAGGGAATTCAGCTTTTCACCTCCAATTAAGGTGAAAAGAGTATGAGCACTTATTTGGGGAAAAGGAGGATTTAAAAAAATTATTATATTAATTTTCTTGGACACAAATGACTTTTGGCATTTCTGTGGTGAAGGGAGAAGAGATGAGAACACAGGCAAAGAAAAGGTTTCATTCACTTATGTGATGAATTCACAGTATGATTTTTAAAAACTCATTTATAGACATAAACTGGCCGGACGCAGTGGCTCACGGCTGTACTCCCAGCACTTTGGGAGGCCGAGGCAGGTGGATCACCTGAGGTCAGGAGTTCAAGACCAGCCTGGCCAACATGGTGAAACCTTGTCTTTACAAAAATTAGCCAGGCATGATGGCAGTTGCCTGTAATCCCAGCTACTCGGGAGGCTGGGGCGGAAGAATTGCTTGAACCCAGGAGGCGGAGTTTGCAGTGAGCCAAGACTGTGCCATTGCACTCCAGCCTGGGCAACAGAGTGAGACTCCATCCCCACCCCACCCCCCAAAAAAAGACATAAACCTTGACAGGAAAACTGCACTTGATGGAAAAGACTTATTTAAATAATTTAAAGACGTGGTCAGACAAGAAATGAACTTCACTGTAAAGCTATAATCAAAGCCAAATCCTTTTAATACATGACCCCAACATTTCTTCTTCGAAAGTTATAAAAACTCTTAAGAGTAATTTAGCCTTTTAATTTCATCACAATAAACCCCCAAAAGACCATGAATTTACAATACCTATGTTACTATTTCTAAAATTAGTACATTTTAGAAATACATTAATTGTATTTCATTACATTAATTGCTCATAGCTAAGATAGTTCAAGATTATTTCTACATATGTGCGACTGCACTCCCGTCTTGGCCAACAGAGCAAGACCCCAACTCCTAAACACAAACACACACATGCATACACACACACACACCCCTATTGAAAAAAAAATAACAGTGGGTCATGGTCATACCGCTTACCCCTTTGTCACACTGGG
The DNA here is from genome assembly GCF_000001405.40 of Homo sapiens. Taxonomy (NCBI): domain Eukaryota; kingdom Metazoa; phylum Chordata; class Mammalia; order Primates; family Hominidae; genus Homo; species Homo sapiens. The sequence goes on along the minus strand of NC_000007.14, from coordinate 21,457,709 downwards.
GGATTTAATTATTATTTTATATTGCTATGTTGTTGGTTTCTTTGAAAAACTCAATGTGCTTCATCATCTTAGCAGACAATGGTCTGTTAATTATCAAAAACACTCTTGGCCTGCTTACTCTAGATGATTCTGAAAAGGAAAGGAACATGCAATTGTTCTTATTTCTAGATATAGTAAAAACTATAAATGTATAAAAAATGGAACCAAATAATTAAATACAAAGCAAGTTTTTTTTCAACAGAGCTTCATCTACTCAGTAAAGTATTCATTAAGCACCAACCACATGCAAGGCACAATCTATACACTGGAGGAAGCGAAGATGATAGCACTATTGAAGTGTCAGAGGTAGTATAACGAACCATTACTTAGCTAAATAACTATGTATGTTTTCCATTACAAAAGCTGAAAGTTGGGGCAATAAGAGCATCTCAGGGCCTCATGCTAGACCAAGTATAAGAGTTGGCAAGAAAAAGGAAATCTGGCAGGGACCAGATTATTCTTTATCATTCTCCTATGATAAAAGGTTATATTATAAAATAAAGTTGCTAAATGCTTTACTCAATATATAAAAAAATCTTATTTTATTTAGGAAGTTATAGGCTCCCTGGGGAGCAGATACATACTTTGGTGACATGTGACTCAGATATGTTTCCCAGTGGTAAGATACCTCTATGCCTTCCTTCTTAGGCTGGAGGCATTCAACCCCTGTAGGAAGTTTTCCTCTTCCTTTCACTCTCCTGCTTACTAACCAACCCCCAGAACTATTCCTCTTGGCCACAGTGGCTCTGCTCCCCCTCCACTGGGCTGATCTCTCAGTTCACCCTGACAGATAGCTTGTGGGGATGGGAAAGACCTTGGGGTCTACATCAGGCAGACCTGAGACATTTTATTTGAAAAAGCAGAGGAAATCCCAGACATATCACTGACAGGCGGCTTGTGAGAATGGTAGGGCTAAAGCCTAAGACCGTGTGCTGTCTAGGATTTCCTCTGCTTTTTCAACTAAAATCGGCTCTTTCCCAAAAACTCACACCACCTTTTCTCCTGTTTTCCCTGTGGGTAATCTGAAATGGCCTTGCACACCCGCCAGACTGCCTGCCTCAGGGGCACATCTGCCTCTTCGTTTTCACTTTGCATGCCACCTGACTTCTTAAACACACACTCCCTGTTATTCATGTGTCCGCAGCTCTTGCTGTGTGCTTGGCAGCAGACAGGGGCTCCCTTGTGGATGGATATTCCCTGAGATTTATACTTGTTTTTACCCTACCAGCTCAGATGACCTCCAACTCTTCCTGTCTGTTGGCACATTGCTGAGACAAACACTAATCGGAACCCTGGCTCTGCGAGCTCCTTATGACTTACCATACACCTTTTGTTCCTGTTAATGCCCCAGGGCCAAGTTTTCCAGTGTCTTTTGAAGCAGTTTGCCTGCCTGCATAGGGCTTCACTCTGAGGCCCTTTAAAGACCTTACCCACTTGCTTTTTTGGAGTTAGCAACCCTTTGGGAGGAGAGAAAATTCTTCTTTTGCCATTTGTGAGTTCTCACCCCAAGCCCCAAGTGCTCCAGAGGTTCCTCCTTTAGGTCAAGAGGGCCAATAAATGTTGCCCCCTCAAATCCAAGGGCTGCTGTTTTTGCAAGCATATGAAGGCTTTCCATGAGTATTCCTCTAGCTTCTTCCCACTTCCTCCTGTAGCCTCCATTTCACGAATTACTTCCATGCCCTTCCCAATATGCACCAAGATCTTCAGGGTCATATTTGAAGGGAGGGAAGTCCAGCCCCTTGTGGCAGTTAGCTGGAAAAGCAGGCTTCTCATCTACTTAAAGAACACGGAAAATGGGAATCTGAGAAAAGAGATCATCATTTTGTTGCTAAAATGCTGCAAGTGAGAGTCACTCTAAGGTTATGAAGACAAAGATATAGGCTGGCCCAAGACTGCAGACAAAAGAGACCCATAAGACAGAGATGAAGGTTGGTTCCAGGCTAACAGATTACCATTAGAACAGGGTTGAAGGCACAATGATAGGTACACAGTAAGACAGGTTCATTCCGTAACCCCAAGGATGAACTGGGGGGCCCTGTTCATATTGGTGTCTCCAATGTTCTCAAATGGGTAATTGTGACAAGACACTACAAAGGTTAAGAGTACATGGTAAGACCAGTTCATTATGGAACCCTAAGGACGAATGGGGGATGTCCTATTCAGGATATAGGAAAGTAAGAGGGGACGCTTTCTTTTTCTTTTTCCTCCTCTGATCTCTCTTCACAGATGGGTAATCATGTTTCCATACCCCAGGACATGCCCCATGGATGCATCCTCAAAAAACTGGGAAAAGTTTGATCCTTCAAACCTTAAAACAAAAAACTAGTTTTCCTTTGTAATACTGTTTGGCCTAAAAATAAACTGGACAAAAACTACAAAAGCCTACTCCTTCAGTTAATTGCAAGTGGTGTGGGAAGCCAGGCTACTGGAAGTCAAACTTCCCCAATGGGATAATCAGGGAAAAATCCCTGCACAGCTTGACCCCTCTGCCACAAGCTCAGCCACTGGAACAGGACATTCCTGAGGGTTGAAGCACGCCCCCACCCCCAAGACAAAATCTCAACTCCTGACACTCTTGAGCTGAAGGGGCTCTCTGCTCTGGCTGGCTTCCAAATCAGACATTGTTGCCATCAACAGTACAAAGCCAAGGGAAACTCTAGATGTGGCAAGTAAAAATTATAAATTTCCCTTTTGGGTTCAAAAGCTGCCTACTCTGTGCTAATGTCCTGCTCTGATCAACTCTCCTCCAAATCCTGTCAGGTAATGGGGGCGTATGGCACCCCTTCCCTAAAAAGAAAAGATTCACACCCTTTTGGGGCAAAAACTTACTTTCAAAGATGGGTGCCCAACCTGTGAATTCATCTGTCTAATAGCCCCATTTCTCTTCAGAAAGCTACCTAAATCTTTAACCAATAACTTCAACTGGAAAGTCCTACCTCAGAGGTTTAGAGAGAGCCCACATGTATTGGGAAAAGCCTTAGTAAAAATCTAACCAAGCAGTCTTTTGAGGGTGGATAACTTCTACAGTATATAGATAACCTCATCTGCTCCCCCTTCATAGGACTCACACAGCAACAAACCATAACTTCCTAATAGAAGGAAAATGACTTTTATCTAATTCAAAGGTTATAAAGGTAAAGAGGTATTTTTGGTAAGGAAGGTTAAAAAGAAAAGATATTTTATATGAGAAAGGATCTTGTATGGTAAACTATTGTCCTAAAGTAAAATGGTTGTATAAAAAGAGGGATGTTCAAGCCAAGTGAGAGAGTCCAAGTATGTTGTAGATGGTCTGTGTAAGTTGTAAAAAAAAAAAAAGTTAGTAAAAGGGAATTTATAAAGAAATGTTATATAATTGTAAAGGTTATTAAGCCCACTAAATGCTTCCTAAACTTCTACTATGACTCTTAACTGGACAACTTGTCTGCTTTAAAGCTACATAAGGCCTGAAGACACACAGAGTTAGCCATGCCCCCTAGCTATGCTGGAAAGAGTCAGACCTTATCTACACTTCTGTCTGGTGTCCTAGGCTCCACACCTAGTACATAATTAGAATTTCTTACTTACCAGGTTTTCATCCAAAGTAAAAGCTGCTAAGAGTTAACCATGTAACATGTACTTGAGACTACTGAAAAAAAGAGTTTTACATGTAAAACATGTAAGTAAAGTAAAATGTACTTTTGGTAAAATATCATAAGAAGGCATGGGAATATAGATTTTTTTGGCCTAGTTTAGGGAGTTAAAGAATTATTTTAAGTTAGATAGGATAAAGCTAAAGGTTTGAGCAAGTCGTGGCAGATGTGTGAAATATTAATCTTGTAAAAGAAATCCTGTGTGAACACGTTAGCTAACATTAAAGGGGTACTATTCAGACTATTCATAAATTAAACATTGGAATAAAAGCATAACACAGTTTTCTTAGAGCATTCTTCTGGTCTTTAACAAAAAAATTGTAAAGGGTTATAAAAGGTCTATGACAATCTTACAAAATGAGGGCAAACTGATTAAGATTGAATAGATTTGTCTATAAGGTTTTATTAAGAACTGGGTTTGACATCAATAGTACACCAATGCAAAGGTGAAATCCAGCTTTCTTTGGGCTGTATTTGTGTAAGTGTGTTATTGGTATGGGTTCCAGAATTATGTGAAACTCCTACAATTCTGATATGACTAGGCATACATTATCAGTAATAATTATAATTGTTAAGTTAAATTATTGCATGCCACAGAGGCTAACAAATTTCCTTTTCAATTGTGTCTGGCTGTGGCTGCCCTAAGACTTTTTATCATCCACAGATAATTGTTACCTTGTTTTAATCCTCTTTAAAAGGTGGTTTTATAATTACTGATAGGCTTAAATGCAGGTTTCTGATAACTGGAGATTGTGACATAGGATAAAGAAAAAAACCTTTCAGGACTCTCATGAAAGCTGAAATGTTCATGAATATAAAGCAGAACAGGAGTTAACTGCATGGACTGAACTAATAGAAGACTAAAATAATCCTTTTATGACTTTTTGCTTAAAACATTGCTAATTCTTTGTTTTTCAACGCCAAGAAAACTTTTGAGCTATTTACAGCTTTTAACAATTGAGTAGGTCGGGCACGGTGGCTCACACCTGTAATCCCAGCTCTTTGGGAGGCCCAGGCAGGCAGATCACAAGGTCAGGAGTTCAAGACCAGCCTGGCCAATGTGGTGAAACCGTCTCTACTAAAAATATAAAAATTAGCCAGTGCGGTGGCAGGTGCCTGTAGACCCAGCTACTAAGGAGGCTGAGGCAGGAGAATCGCTTGAACCTCGGAGGTGGAGACTGCAGTGAGCTCAGATCGTGCCACTGCACTCCAGCCTGGGTGACAGAGTGAGACTCTGTCTCAAAAAAAAAAAAAAAAATAATGAGTAAAGTATACTCCTATAAACAAAATTTGGAACATACTTCTCTCAGATTTCTGCAGAATTTGGAAACTACTTGTGAGTATTCTTAACTAATGGCAATATAGTTATTTGCATAAGTGCAATAAAATCTGTTTTCTTTTGCAACAGGACACAATTGGAGAAACTGGTTATTTTACCAAGGTTTTGACTGGAATGGCATGCTTTCCTTTAAGAATCAAAATTGACTTATAAAGCCAAGAAAAGCCCCTCTGGAAAACTGAACTCATACATTGTCAACACAGTCCCTGTACAGGATTCCCGACCTGTGGCAAGTAAAGAATGTCACTTTTGACAGGCCCAGGAGCCCCAAGCAAGACAAGGGGAATTTGTCCAATTCATACAGGTATTTGATGGCACCAACTGATAGCTGGGCTTAAGGTTTTAAAAAGCCTTATCTGAGACTCCTTATGGAAGGAAGTTCCATCAAAGCCAATTTTAAAAGGAGCCTATATGGCAAATAATTATTCTTGCTGTGCTTTATGCAACTCATTAGGCCAAGTATAACAGAACTAAAGCTTATTTTGCAAACAAATCAGTCCTATCATAATTTGTTCTTAATAAAAATGAGAACTGAAGAGAAAAATCATGTTTCAAGAACTATGGTACTACTGTTATCAAATTTTAGTCTCATCAGTTGTTATTAAGTTTTTTTCTGCCATTTAGAATAACTCTGCTCATTCCTGTGAACCAACCAGTGATCTCTGGCTACAGCTCAGAAGAAATAAAAGGGATGGGTAATGTAAAAATCTGGGTCAATATTCTAATTCTGGGCATGTATCGGAATTGGTTAGCAACCCCACGCACCCAGGTCTCAGCCGGCATGACTACAGCTGGCATGACTGCAGCCACCTGCCTGGCATGTTGGGAGTCTCAGAATTCTCAGAATTCTTTAATCTGTCCTCATCCCCTTATTTTGTCTTAACATCTCTACTTGTCGTTTTTGGCCTCTGTCTTCTAAATCTAATAATCTGATTTGTCTCCTCTCACCTTCAGGCCATCCAGCTCCAGATGATCCTCAGTAAAGAATACCATCCTCTCAATATCCAAGAGTCACCCTTCTATAGGGGACTCCTAGACTGCCCATCAGTGGGACATGACAGAGGCAAAATCCTGCCCCTGTCTCCCTTGGACCTGGCTGAATTCAGCTTTCATCAACCCACAGAGCCACCCTGCCCTGACAGCCAGCAAGAGGCCAAGACCTACAGAACAACCACCATCATCCCTGTCAGCAAGAAGCAGTTACAGAAGACTGACCATCCATTTTCCCCAAAGAACTGGGGTCTTGGACTCTTAAGGGAGGAAATGTTACAGTAGGTAGTCAGATGTGAGCAGGACAGAAAGCACCCCCTAACCCCGCAACCAAGAATATCAGGTGGTCAGGCAGTTGTTAAACTGTCGCTCTAATATAGTAATTGGTCACAGCCAGCAACAGGGAAAGGCAGTCTCTCAGTAGCTAGAAACACCTGAAGCTGGCAATCAGCAGCTTCCTGATAAGATCTCAGGAGTTGGACGAGTGAGCTCAAGCATACACACTAAGAGGCAAACGGCAGAGTTTAACTGATATATGAGCACTAGACTGGTAAGGGAAAAAACAGCTCAAGAGAGCATGCATAAAACTTCAACAAACACACTGCACGTGCAGCCCCTCCCAAGTGCTGGCAGGCCACTGCACATCTGGACAGCCCAACCCAAGGGAAGAATCATGCAAGAAGTAACACAACCTCAGAAACACACCAACATATAAGACCCCAAGTCAAAGGTCAAACCACACACTTGACTCTCATGTCGCCCGCTTGGCCCATTTCCATGTACTTTACTTCCTTTCATTCCTGCCCTAAAACTTTTTAATAAACTTTCACTCCTGCTCTAAAACGTGCCTTAGTCTCTCCCTCTGCCTTATGCCCCTTGGTTAAATTCTTTCTTCTGAGGAGGCAAGAACTGAGGTTGCTGCAGACCTGTATGGATTCACGACCACTAACAAAATGACATGCAATTCTAGTAACAAGCTAGTATGTAGTATATGAAAGATTTTCCTGGGCAGAGAGTTAACTTCCTTACTAAGTTATATCCTGTTTAAGCACTTGCATTATTAAGAATGTATTTCCTTAACCTAAATTTCTTCTTCCACCATAATTATATCACAATTTGTTCAATCTTCTGAGGAAATGGAGAACTATCACAAGTGGCTGTATGGAGGACCATTTTTAAGCCACTTCTCAGGCTTCATCTCCCTCTTCCTTAAAATGTGGAACACCAAACTGGATCCAATACTTATATGAAGGCCCAATGAAAGAGAATATAACAGAAACCTATTGCACCCCAAAGCATGTATATTTACCTCAATATTACTATGCCCACCAAAAAAGCCCCCTAAAATTAAAAAAACAAAAATCACTTTAAAAAATCCACCAAATTTCCTAAATCATTTTTGTTTCACTATAAATTATTGATATCCCTAGTCAGCAATTTCTCATGTTGGCTCTGTTCACAATATGACTATTTGACCCAGTCAAATTTACCATAAAAACAGAAATCCTGGAAAATCTTTACAATGAAGTACCTGGCTTAAAGGCTGCTGCAAGTTTCCAAGCTTACAAATCTAACAGCAAAAGCCAAATAAAACAAAGTAAGAAAAAAACATAAAAACAAGTTGAGATACAAATGGGTAGATGTGGGACATAAAATAAGTCTCTGGGATCTATTATTAAAAATAGTTTTATAAAATAAAATATAAATAACTATATTAAATTTTAAATTTTAGTTTTGCTAGATGGAGAAACTGTATCAATTGGAACAATTACCTAGCAACCGAACCACTGCCACTTGGGATAGGAGAAAACAAAATTAATACCTTATTCCCTTGAGAAAGGCAAGAAGAAAAGACTTGCCTATAATTTTTTTCCCAATAAAAAATGCTTACATTTGAATGTCTACTTAAGCCTGAAGGAATCAGACCTAGGTTATCCTGGTTTGCCAATAACTAAAGGTGTGATTTGGGTAAACCATATATTCACACTGGGCCTTAGTTTTTCCATTTATAAACAAAGAGAGCAGAACCAAAGATGATCTGTAAAGGGAGCTTATAGATGAGAATTTGTCATCTTCCAAATCAAGTTTAAAGTTTTTTTATACACATACATTATACATATGCATGTATATATACACACACGTATACTTAAACATATGTACATATTTACCTATACACGCATATGTATTTCAGTACCATTCTGAATCTCTTCAAGTTACTTCCAAAAAAAGCTTTAAATCTAACAGTATTTAATACTTTCTTAATAATAAGATTCTTTGCCACAAGGATTGAAAAAAAATCAGTAGCCCAAAGTTTTAAAAGATAGTGTATTAATAGAAAATTGATTGCCACTGAAAAGATAAGTTTGTTACAGTTCCCAAGAGGAGGCGGCACAACCTGCCATAGGATGTGGAGCATACGGGTCAGTTAGGAGACAAAAGCAGGAGTAGAAACTGTTGGCGAGATCCTTTATTGTGGTTTCCACCACAAGGAACAGGCAAAGCAGGGTAAACAGGCTTAGGGTTGGCTAGTTTGAATAACTTTAGAAGACCGTGGGGCACAGGGGCTGTCCCTAGTTGTTTGGTACCTCGCCCTGGGGGGTGATTAGAGCAGGTGGTCTAAAGTATGAGAACCTAATATAGGAGGTGGTTAGGATGCAGGCTCTGGATTGGTTGGTGTGTGTTTTGAAAAAAGCATTTGCAGGAGAATTGTCTTTAGGAAATGGTTAACCCCGGAAGAGGTAGTCCTTCCAAAGTCAGCAGACCTCAGATGTCAAAGCATAATACATAAAATAAAAGGGTTAATATACTCAATCAAGCCAAGTAATAGAGGAGTCTCATTTCCATTGGCTATTTACTGAACATGCACTATATACCAGCATTGTTATATGTTACAGATGTAAAAACGACAATGTAATAGAAAATAAGACTGTAAAATGTTAAACATACACACATAATAATTTAGAAGAAAAGAGTAAAGGTAAACAAAACGATGTAATAATACTTTACACCTATCAGTACTCTGGCATTTACAATACATTGTCACACATATTACTCCATTTAATCCTCAGAAAAATCCTGTCTAGTAGGCAGGCTATCTTCATTTTATAGGTGTTTATTACTGAGGCTTGTGAAAGCTAAAGGAGATTCCCACATCACAGACAGTAACTAAAAGAACAGGGAATTGAACCCACGTCTCATTCTTGTCCATTTCTATTTTCACCAGCACCACAATGTCACCTTCATTTTAAGTTAAATCTATATAATTATCATGTAGAAACAAATAGCTATTCCTAACCACTGAGGATTGACTGCTCAATGATCTTTAATAAGAATGGCCTAATATTACATTAAAAAACAGTAGGATTCTTAATAATTAATGAAACACAAATTCTTTACTAAGAGTACTTGCCAGTGGTACTAGAAAGCACAATTTTCTTTTTTAAAAAATTTCTGTATAATAGTAGTGAGCTAGACCTCAACTAAACTTTCTAAGACATTACTTCCAAAACAGCTCTTTTATTTCTCAGTAATCATGGGTAACTAAATATTTGTTAAAGTGGTTCAAAAAATTTAGATTAACCTACAAAATGAAATCCAAGCAAATATTATATTTTAAATTCCTGTATTTTATTGTTATTTAATTCAAAAAATTCTTCACGGGGGGTCATTCTGTAAATGCATCCTTTGACTTTAATGCAATCCTATTATGTAAAGAAGTACTTTCTTCCAGGCCAGGCACAGTGGTTCATGCCTGTAATCCCAGCACTTTGGGAGGCCGAAGCGAGAGGATCACTTGAGGTCAGGAATTCAAGCCCAGGCTAGCCAAGATGGTGAAACCCCATCTCTAGTAACAATACAAAAATTAGCCGGGTGTGGTAGCACATGCCTGCAGTCCCAGCTACTTGGGAGGCTGACACAAGAGAATCGCTTGAACCTGGGAGGTGGAGGTTGCAGTGAGCTGAGATCACGCCACTGCATTCCAGCCTGGACCACAGAGCAAGACTCTGTCTCAAAAAAAGTACTTTCTTCCCAAGACAGCAGCTAGAATCCAACATTAAACTCTATGCATGCCAGTAGTTGTGAGGCTGAAAATGGTATTCTCCCTGCCTTAATACTCTAACAGAAAATTCAACAGCTCCAGCAAATAGTTTCCACTGTTCTAATGAGACCTCTTGGACTATAAATCAGTTATGATATTCTTCACCTTCTAGAATATTAGAAAGTTGTCTCCTTTGAAACTGAAATACAAAGATCCATCTAACTCTTCTACTAAATTTCTAGATTTTACAACTACTGTCCCTGGGGCACACTAACCAGAAGTCCAAGTCATAAGGTGCTAAGGTAATAAAATGGTTAGGTAGGTTAGGATGGTTACCCAAAGTGAGATGGCAAGAAGGCAGCAAGGACTATGGTAAAATCTTTGGTATAAAGTATTGGGTTTTGGAAAGGTTAGGAGGTAATATTGAACAGAAGAGCTCTATATTACAGGGTTATACTGCTTGTAAGCTAGAGAATCTCAGGCCTAAGCAATCACACACTATGGCTTTAAAGGGCAGCTGGTTTCTAACTAGGCATCTTCAAGGTCTGTATCCGCTGGCAAGGGCATTCTGAATAGTCAGATGAGGTCCCAGATGGCAATCTACATGCCCAAGGGTTTAGGGACCTGGCCCCCATCTTTGCTGTTGCTGAAGGCTGGACATGTGGCTAGTCACAAGGGCGCTAGTGAATGAACCATATTCTAAAACATTCTGTGAATCCTAAAAATGACTTAAACCTAGAGACTAAACTTCTTTAATGGAGAATAGCGTTAGAGTCAATATTAGATTTGGCTTCAAGAATCTGTCAAAACATTTTTTGGAACCCAGGCTTGGGGAAAGAAAAAAAAAAAAGAATTTGTCAAAACAAACAAACCCGTATATGAACATGCTCCATTCACAGTTTAAAAAGAAATCAATTTGATTTTAAAACTAGCAATATTAGTAAATAGTATTTTTCCTGAGCTTTCCCACTGGCTCAGTGAAATAAAATTAAGCTGATTTAGTACCTACATATTTGTGCTTTATAGAATTCTAACACTAAATGAAAGTACCTATAGAATCCTAACACTAAATGAAAGTACCTCAAGTATTTCATTTTACGAAACACACTACACACACATACATTCACTGTACAAAAGAAAAAAACCAAGACCTCCATTCCCAAAGGTTACAAAATTGTTTAATGGCAGAGACAAACTGCTACCTAGCACAGAGCTCTTTTTTTTTTTAAATATGTCATAGTTACACTCTGCTCATCACAAACCACTTATGGAATGAAACATGTTTGCTTTCCAGTTTGAAAATTATACATAGTTACCACTACCAGTTCAGACAGCTGCCAAAGAATCATTTTTAAAGTGCTGAAAACTGTCTAAGTACTTTGATTTCAACAATCACGTTTTCTTTGTGGCTTAGGGTAAGGATAGGAGTATGAAGAGGTGGGCTAATTTTTAGAAATATCCCCATATGAGCTGGTATCCTTAATTATAGTGAAGGTGCGGGAGAACAAGGAAGGTGATGAATAGGTATAGAATATAATCCCTTTAAGTTTTCCCTGAATGTGTTTATAATGAGTAAACATATACACTAAGTATGCACACACCACACACACACACACACATATATATCTACCTACATATGCGTGCACACACACACACACACACACACACACACACACACACACACATACACATAAGATACACAAAATGAACTCGATCATATGTTTTGGAAATACGGACTAAATTAACTATTCTATTTTCGTATATTGTGAATGCACTCTGATGTATCAAACTCTTGCAAAATGTAAATTGGTCTTCAATTCTCTTTGGTAGCTTGTTACTAAAAAAAGAGAGAAAATCCTTTTAAAACTTTTCAGGGAAACCATGATTTCCTTGGCCTCAAGGATTTGTGATGAAACAGCAGAAAAAATTTTGAAGCCACACAAACTCTGGGTTCTTTTCTCAACACCCGCCATGTATCAATTCTGTAACCTTAGGCAAATTATTTAAACTTTCTAAGCCTTGATTTTCTCATCTACTAAAAACAGCAATAATCTAAGATCAAGATAAAACAAAACTCACCCAGAACAAAGTATAGTCTCCATGAATAAAGAACATGTCTGTTTTGTTTCCCCAGCACCTAGAACAATATGCGATGTATACAATGGCAGATACTAAATATTATTTATCCAGCAGAAAACAATAAAGTTGCAGGACCAACCCTGTCAACTAAGCTAATGCTACATAAAAATTACATGCAGGATTAGCTAAAGAACATAAATTCTACACATATACTAATTCTTAGGGTCTCTGGGTTTTCTTAATGTTATTTCCTTCAGAAAATGGGCATAAATTCCTATCTAATGACATCTCACATCCTCATCAAGAAGCAAGTCATGAAATTTAAGCCTTACAAGGTATATTCTTTTTGGGGTTTTACAACTATTAATGAAAACAAAATACAAGACTCCCTCTTTTGGGCCCTTTTCTTCAAAAAATAAAAGAAAGGGAAAAAAGAATACATACTCTTATTGCGCTTATATTCTTAGAATCTGTGTTTTTTCATTTATTCAAAATTAGTTTGTGATACACAAATATTTAGTCAGGGAGATGTTATTACTAGCCTCAAATTCCCAATCAACACAGTCCATCAAAGTAATAAAAACTTTCTTTCTAATTCCCTTTGTGGCATATGTACCTCAAACCCCCAAAAGAACACAAGGAGTGGAGCACTCAGCTAAAGATCTAGGAATCTGTTTCTTATTGAGCATATTACAGTAATTACAATAAAATACTTAAAGTAGTAGTGGTTAGCTGTAAAGGGAGATTACAGTCCTATTCACCCGGACTTGTTTTATAAAGAATTTTTACTTACTAGCACCCTAACTTACTGGCTATATGATCTTGGCCAAGTAAATTAACCTCTGATAGCCTTGGTTTCCTGTTCTATAATTTGAGGTCACCACCACCACCTTCTTCATAGGATTGTGAAAAATAAACAGTTAATACACATAAAGTGCTTAAACAGTGGCATATAAGAGACAAACAATAAACTGAGTCCATAAATGATCACAGAAAACAAACACTACAGTATACAGAGAGTACACAATTCAGGGCAGTAAGTGGTAATAGTACAAGTACGTTTAGACTCTGGTTCCATCATTCACTATGTGGCCATGAGCAAATTATTTAACCTCTATAGGCCTCAGTTTTTATACCTGAAAGGAGAGATGTCAGCAATACTTACCTTACAGTGTATTCTGAAGATTAAATAAGTTAATAGATCAAGTGCTGCATGCATTATCTGGTATACTATAAACGTGCAGTAAATGTCAGCCAAAATATAAAACAAACATAAGGTTCAAAGAAGTACCCTTTTACTTCTTGTTTCATTCATTAAAGAAAACTGCATAATTTCTCTCCCCACTGGAATATTATGGAAGCAGGAGTTCAGTCCCATGTTATTCAATCATCTAAGGAACATATCAAGCCGCACAATACAGATGCTGAGTATTTACTTGCTGACTGAATTCATGGATGCAGTCTGCCAGTAGGGAGTACAGGTAATAGATGAAAGTCTAACAAGGGGATATTAAAACCATTTACTTGCCCTATAATTAAAATCAGTAAAGGCAGTGACAACCTACCAATAACAACAACAGGTGAGAGAAATTCTGAAAATAAAAATACGCTTTAACTTTAAAAACCTATACTAACAAAATCAGAAATAATAAAGTTTGCTTCAACAAGCATGTTATAGTTTGTAGTATTTATGACATCTGTCAAAGATTTGTCTCAACCTGGTTCATATGTAGATTTAAATATTTGGAAAAACCTGCAGAATTCACAAACCACTTTTAAGTATTTCTTTCTCTTATATAAATCCCGTTAGTACTTGTCATCATATTCACCTAGTCTCTTCCTCTTCTCTCTTCTCCTTCAACTCCCTGGCATAGATATCCCCAACTAGACCAGAGCAAGGATTTTCCACCCCTTTCCCAGCCCCACACCAGGCACAGATACCCACTTACCAAAGCACAGATCACTATCTCGTTCCTATACGCCTGTGCAAAAGCAGCTCCGCTTCTGTGAACAAAAAGCTATGGTGACTTGACTCATTATTACAGAACTGTACTAAACCCCTTCTGACTGGCCACATTAAAAGGCATCTACATAATAATATCAGAGGGACAGAATCAACCTGGAAATTTTACATACCTTCAATTTCTTCTCAAAGTATCCCCTAACTGGTAAGATTCTTACCTTCAACTGTCTACCAAAACATATGAAGCAATCAGATTTAAATTCCCTTTATTTCCGTTTACTCATCACTTTTCCTTTTACGATCGTAAACTCTCTCACTCCTTTAATATATATCTTGAGTCTATTCCAAGGATCTGTCCATCCCATTCTCCTATGAAATCAAAGTTCTCCACCTGTGTCCTTTCTTCTGGTTCAGTATCAGAATGACAGATACTAAGCAATGCTCATCAAGGTGTGAGAAAAAATAGAATTATAAATTAATACACATACTTACATATATAACACAGACTCTACTCACATGAGGCTCACAATTCAACTTTTATATGAACACTCCTTGAGCTAATTCTCAATTTTGTAATGTTTACAAAATACTAATTGAGCCAGGCATGGTGGCTTAAACCTGTAATCCCAGCACTTTGGGAGGCCAAGGTGGGTGGATCACCTGAGGTCAGGAGTTCAAGAACAGCCTGGCCAACCTGGTGAAACCCCATCTCTACTAAAAATAGAAAAATTAGCTGGGTGTGATGGCAGGCGCCTGTAATCTCAGCTACTCAGGAGGCTGAGGCAGGAGAATCACTTGAACCCGGAAGGCAGAGGCTGCAGTGAGCCAAGATCGTGCCACTGCACTCTAGCCTAGGCGACAGAGTGGGACTCCGTCTCAAAAACAAAACAAAACAAAAAACTACTTGAATTTCAAAAATTGCATGTGAAATCCAACATAACCTGAAGTGGCCCTTTTCTTCCTTCTGATATGGTAAACTTTTTAGTCATCCTTTGAGTCTCAGCTCCAGTTATCACCCTTTCCATGAAAACATTCCCAGAACCCTACAAGCAGAACTAGTTCTTCCTTCTTCTGGGATTCTATTAACACTTCATTCACAGCTTGTATAAACCAAACACCACAAAGTAATTTAATTAGCTATATGTATGACATATATAGATATTAGATGATATCTATCATGTACTATTGAGTCTAAGATGCAAATGATCATAAGAAAGAAAAAAGTTCTGCTAATTAAACTATGACATGCCTTTGATTACAAGGTGTGTTTTAATTTTATAGATTTAAAATGGGCCCAGGCGTGGTGGCTTACGCCTGTAATCCCAGCATTTAGGAAGGCTGAGGCGGGTGGATCACCTGAGGTCAGGAGTTCAAGACCAGCCTGGCCAACATGGCGAAACTCCCCTCTCTGCTAAAAATACAAAAATTGGCTGGGCGTGGTGGCGGGTGCCTGTAATCTCAGCTACTTGGGAGGCTGAGGGAGGAGAATCACTTGAACCTGGGAGGCAGAGGCTGCAGCGAGCCGAGATTGTGGCACTGCACTCCAGCCTGGGTGACAGAACAAGACTCCGTTTCAAAAAAAAAAAAAAAAAATACACACACACACACACACACACACACACACAAACACACACACACATAAAATGAAATAAAAATAAAATGTAAAAAGCATGTCCTAGAAGCAGAGAAGTACAGTGTGTCTCCCACAACAGATAATATATCCTATGAGGGCAGAAAACATGTCTCACTTCATCTTTAGTTTCTCAATGCCTATTACCATGCTTGATACAGAGCAGGGGAAAAGAACAAACCAACCTGATGTTTTTACCTAATCCCTTACCATGTCTTTCACGTCACCAGTGTAGGTCCTAGAAAAGTTCAACAAGCTGTTTTTTATATTTAGTAACCATTTACTTCACTACCACAGCCTTTCTAGGGACCACTGTGAATTCATAACTAAATTACTGCAACAACATCCTTTTATCTGAGCTCCTGCTTTCTAACTTTTCTACACTTTTATCTACAAAGAAACACTCTCATAAGTATCATTTGCATTGCAAATATTTTTACTCAATATCTCCAATCCACTAGATTCAAGTTTTTCAAATTTATTTATTATTATTATTTTGGCACAATCTCTTCTTGAAACAAAATGTTAGGAAATGGTTCAAAAAACACACTTGTGTGGCTGATGCAGGAGTGGAAGGCTGTTTGGTTGGCAAACCCTGAGCTACTCTGTGAGACCACTAAGCCTCTAGGAAGCACACAGAAGAGAACCCATCATTCCCTGTGTTAGTTAAAAGCTTCCACATGATAGCTTTGTGCTTTTCCAATCTTTGGTCCCCATCAAGCTCATTCCAAGTTTAGCAGCTTGACTCAAGCCATCCTCACTCTTCACCTGTCACCCCCAAAGTCTCAAATGTCCACTTTCCAAACCAATCTTTAAGGCCTATTTCAAGTCCTATCTCCACCAGAAAAAGCCTTTCTTGTTTACTCCCCACTAACCTCACTGACTTCTGAGCTCTCACACTTGTTTTCCATGCCTCAAAACCCAGTACTTACGTATAAACTCTCATATGTAGTTGCAGCTGCCATATAATGGTTTCATGTATGTAAATCTTTCTCCTGAACACAAGCATCATTTTAAGACAGGTTTAGTTAGTATCTTCAGAACCTAACAAGGGTTAATCAGACAGCAGACATTTAGTTCTTACTATACTGAAATACACCACCTGTTTGCTGCTGTTGTTGTTGTTGTTGTTGTTGTTGTTGTTGTTGTTTTGAGACAGGGTCCCGTTCTGTTGCCCAGACTGAAGTGCAGTGGCACGATCTCAGCTCACTGCAACCTTCGACTTTCAGGCTCATGCAATTCTCCCACCTCGGCCTCCCAGAGTAGATGGGACTACAGGCATGCACCACTATGCCCAGCTAATTTTTGTATTTTTAGTAGAGACAGGTTTCACCATGTTTCCCAAGCTGGTCTCAAACTCCTGAGCTCAAGTGATCTGCCTGCCTCGGCCTCCCAAAGTGCTGGGATTACAGGTGTGAACCACCACGCCTGGCCACACCACTTCTTTTCCACCTGTTAATACACCTCTCTCCATACACCTCACCTCACCCTTGCTTGCACTTTACCAAAGCTTTCTGAAATTCCTCTTATACAAATTTCTCGTTTACCTCTGACATATAACTCAAGCTAATATCCATACCTAAAATATCTCATTCCCCCACTTTACTACTTCACATTCTTCTAGTGGGTGTCACTACGTAGAGATGTCACCAAGTTACCACCTCCTGCATACAGTTTTCTTTACATTATTCAAAGCCTTTTCATACATATTAACTTACCTAATCTTTGAGACTCTATGAGGTAAAGAAGGTAGGAACTAATATCACTATTTTGCAAATGAAAAAAAGGAATGGAACTACAATTATGATGTTTGCCCAGAGTGGTACAACTAATTGGTGGGGGCGGGGAGTACCCAAGCAAAAATGTGAGTTTTAATTCTTAGTGTTGTGCTCTACGAAGCCTCTAAGTACATGTGGTCTGCACGAATAATAAACCTACTATAAGAACCATACCTCTGATCAAGCACAGGTATTTCTTACCTCCTTAACTTTATTATCATCCCTGAGGAAAAGAGAAGCTTCATAAATCTGAATTATCACTTTTTCTATTCGAAAGATTCTTGCGTCTTAAACATTTTACATACAGAGAGACATATTTTTAAGAGACAAGGTCTCACTCTCTCACCCAGACTGGAGTGCAGTGACAATCATAGCTTACTATAACCTTAAACAGAACTCTTGAGTTCAAGCAATCCTCCTGCCTCAGCCACCTGAGTGGCTGGGACTACAAACATGGGCCACCACATCCAGCTGATTTTTTACTTTTTCCTTTTTTCGTAGAGGTACAGTCTCACTATGTTGCCCAGGCTGGTCTCAAGCTCCTGGGCTCACGTGATCCTCCTCCCTCAGCCTTCCAAAGTACTGAGATTCCAGGATGAGCCATTGCACTTGGCCTCAAACATTTTCAAAAAACACCTTTGTACCAGATATTCTGAGCCATGAAGAAAGGGACTACTGCAGCAGGACTGTTCATGGAAAAAAAAAAAAAGGAAAGAAAAGAAAGGAGGGTGTGAGGGGAGTAGGGAATGAGAAATTACTTAATGGGTACAGTGTACATTCCTGCAGTGATGCACACACTAAAAGCCCTGCCTTCGCCACTATACAACATATCGATGTAACAAAATTGTACTTGCACCCAACAAATTTATACAAATAAAAGATCAGCATAAATAACTTAAAAAAAAAGGCATACAGATTTGCTTGCTCTGTAGGGAAAACTGACAAATTTACAGCTGTGAGTGCTTCCCACAATTTGGGCTCTTTTAGGATCCTAGATTTTCCAATTGTTCTCTAATTTCCACTCAAGAAAAAGTAATCACATTGTTCACACTAAAGTGACAGTATCAGAAACACAACTATGGTTAAAGAGCTAGAGCAGTCCCCCCTTATCAGAGGGGGGAATATGTTCCAAGACCCCCACTGGATCCCTGAAACCATGGCCTGAACCCTATACATATTGTTTTTTCATACATACATACATACATACCTGTGATAAAGTTTAATTTATAAATTACACAAAGTATGAGATAACAACTTCTCTTTGGCATATATTTGGCTTATCTTGGATATATCCAAATTGCCAGCATTACTACTTTTGCACTTTCAGGCCATAAATATGTAAAGTAAAAATACTTGAACACACTGTGATACCACAGCAGTTGAGAAGGTTACTAAGTGACTTGTTAGCATATACAGAGGGTATAACTGGACAAAGAGAAGATTCCCATTCACCCTGGACAGACTGAGATTTCACCACACTACTCAGAAAGGCATGTAATTTAAAACTTGTAAATTGTTTTTTTCTAGAATATTCCATTTAACATTTTTGGACCATAGTTGACCACAGGTAACAGAACCCACAGATAAGAGGAGACTACTATACCGAGATAACATATCGTAACTACAAATTCAGTGTCAGAACTAAAGCATATGTTTAAAATACTAACGTTTTGGTATTCACCAAATAAAAGAGGAAACGACATAGAAAAATAGCACCTAAGTACACAGTAAATTTAAGAATGAACAGAAATATATTAATTTATGAATTACAGTGCTACATTTATTGCTTAATAGAATTCACCCTCATACAGCCTCTATGAAAAAAAATGGTAAATATCACCCACAATCTCCCTCACAAAAATCCCTAAAGACTTAATCATGTAAGTTTAAGACTTACAGAGAACTCTGGCCATGTGCTGGATGGAAGTACCCAGAACGAAATAAAATATATATTCTAATTTCATAGACCTTAAATTTTAGAATTAGAAGAAGACTCAGAGTTTATAGTTTAAGCAAATTTTCTATATGGTACAAGAAATTCTTCTGCAGTCTACAAAATCTTTGACCGATGAACATCCAATCTTTAATGAATGATCACTACTTAATGAAACAAACCATTCCACTGTTGTGTAACTCTAGTCTGTCTTTGTGTGTGCATATACATATGTTTTTCCAGGGCCAAACAAAATTATAGAACTACGTTAGAAAAAAAAAAAAAGCCCCTCATATATCTAAAGACAGCTGTCACAATTTCTTGTTTTCTTTTAAAGATAAAACTCCGTTCTTTGATTATTGCTAGTACGAAATGTTTTCCACATTCTTCATTCTGGGAATCCTTCTTGATACATTTGCGAGTCTGTCAATGTCCCATTTAAAATGTGCCACCCGGTACTGCGCACAATATTGCAGAAGTATCTCACAAGCACAAGGTACAGAAGCTTTATTCTACTCTCAGTTCATTTTAAGCCAATACATCCCAAATCATTTTCACAGGTCCTCCTGCCAAGCCAGGTTTTTTACCTTGTAGGTATGTAATTCCCTCCATCTTAAGGAGAGGATCTTACCTGTTAAATGTATCTTACTAATTCTGGCCCACCATTTCAGCCTATTAAGATCACTCTGAATCTCAGTTCTATCATATAAGCACCACCTCCCAGCTTTGTCTCATATTTGAATTCAGTAAATTCAGCCATCCTTCAACCTGGTATTTGAAAAAAAAATGTCAAACTACATCAAAATTAGAACCCCATGCCATAGTGTGAGACCTCGTAAGGAGGTGAATAATAATTACCACTTTTCATTCAATTGTGCAACCAGCTATGAGCCTTCAAAGAGGCCACAACTATCAATACTAAAATCAAGATAAATTATGTTAACATTATTTCCTTTGGATACTCATCTGGAAATCCTAAAGAAAGAAGATATGAACCTAGTTTCTTAGTGAACCCATAGTGGCTCCCAGTGATTCCTCGGTTCTTTTTTAAAATGCTCAAGAGCCAACTACTCAATAATTCATTCAAGGACTTTGCTAAGGACGGTTATCAAGCTCATTTGTCTGAAGTTAAGAATGTTTTAAAAAATTGAGGTGTTATTCATGCCAAATCTTCTGACACTTTTTACCATGCAGCATAAATTTTAAGTTATTGATACTAGCCTGAAACTGAATCTGAAAGTTCCTTCTGACCCTAGGATAACATCCATTTTTATCATCTTGACTTCCAAAAAGCAAACCCAAAAATGCAGTAGAAAGACAACTGGAGGAGAAGTCAAGATTCTAGCCCTCACTTTGCCATCAAATATAAGAGGGTCATTTAACCTTTCTGGGCTTCAATTTCTTCATTTCTAAAATAGGGCTAAGGAAAGAAGGTGGGAGAAAGAGGCTCATTTATTTTTAAGTTACCTTAGTAACTACAATTTCATTAAGCCCTCATCTCACCACACACTTAAATAAGCAATTTGTGGTTCAACAGGTTTCCTTTGCCACAATTTGCTCCTTCACTAGGTAGCAAAATGACAAGCATTATGAACATCCAATCTTAACAGCCAATCTTAACTCAAATCCGCATCAGAAAAGTACAGAAGAGCACATATATGTGTACACTCTGATATTAGGCCAGGTTCCCCCGTTACTGTCAATCCTTACTGTGTAAGGATTGACTTAATGTAGCAGTGCAGAATCTTCGACCCATATTTCTGCTTTCACTTCAAACAGTAAAAACACAAAATGCCTTTATAAATAGACTTTAGCAGCAGTATCAAAAGGTTACAACTGCTGAGCCATAATCTCCAAGATTCTTTCCACCTACAATTCTATCATTTTGTAAGTCTGTTATTTCTACAAGATCTATGCGTAGCACCATTCCCTATCTTCCTTCTTGATTAAGTAAATTTAGAGCTGTGAGTGCTTTCATGCCTGCCCCAATATCCTCAACCTGCTTTCATGCCTGCCCCAATATTCCCTAAGTATTACTCATTATATATTCCGATTCAGAATTTGAAAAGCAGATGATTAAAACTCTATTTTCAGCCAGACACAGTGCCTCATGCCTGTAATCCCAGCACTTTGGGAGGCTGAGGTGGGGAGATCACCTGAGGTCAAGAGTTCGAGACCAGCCTGGCCAACATGGCAAAACTCCACCTCTACTAAAAATACAAAAATTAGCCAGGCGTGGTGACATGTGCCTGTAGTCCCTGCTACTTGGGGAGCTGAGGCCGGAGAATCACTTGAACCCAGGAGGTGGAGGTTGGAACAGATATCGTGCCACTGCACTCCAGCCTGGGCGACAGAACGAGACTCCATCTCAAATGCAAACAAACAAAAAACTCTATTTTCCTTTGCTAATCTATCCTGAAGTCCTTCTTAAAAAAAAAAAAAATGCCCTTTTACAAAATTAATGTGGCTCTACTTTGAGTACTTTTCATCTTCCATGAAAAAATCATTCAATAGGTAAAGCCAGCTTGGTAGTTCAGAACCTAAGTCATTCGTATTGAATACAAGATTTAAGTTTCTAATAATGAATTCCAATCTATAACAAACAGTATTAGAAGATTTTAAAGAAATAAGATTACTGGAGTAAATCTGACTCCTCTGAAAAAAGACTAGCCAAACACAGGAGTACATGAGTATGTATATATACAGATGCCCATTAGGGAAATCCAAATTAATAAAACATATATGGCAAAGGAAAGCCATATTTGCATTAAACCTCAAGCCAATTTTCCACCTTTAGTAGCTCTGGAAAAAAAGATCAGTGTAAGAAGTTAATTTTACTGGATTGAATTCAGTTTTAAAATTAAATATAAATTTTAATTATTTTCTTTGGTACCTATTTTTACCAATAATGAAGAATTGGTCCTCCCATTTCTGGTTTCATACTATATCCCCAGGTTTCATATTTTAATTCCTTGGAGAAGTAAAGAAATTAGGTAAGAGAGTCAAGTTCTTGAAGGGTCAGCAGTATCTTATTATTAAGTCTGAACTTCCTCTGTGGGAGAACCAGCATAATATTGTTAATTTCCACTAAAATTGACAAAGAAATATTCATTCATCAATCAAAAGGCCTACAGTATGATCTCTGTTACTACATATGATGATTACTGCCAAAAATAAGTCACATTGTGGACCACTCCAAGTTAATTACAGATTTAGCTATCAATTGTTCCTACATAGCTCTAAAGTCTTTAAGGAAATGTAACACCTGAAATTCACTTTATTTAGGGCTCTTTGACTAGTAGAAGACATTGTGAAAACAGGTAGTTAACTCTCCTCACTTAGTTAAAATAAAGGAGCTTAAGCCAGAGGTACAATTAGTTGTCTTTGAGCTTAAAGTAAGGTTTCTGCTTTTCCTTTGAAGTCAAACTCAGCACGTTCACACTTACAAGTGGGAGCTAAAAAAAAAAAAAAAATGATTACACATGGACATACAGGTGGAATAACAGACACTGCGGACTACAAAAGGTGGAGGGCAGGGTGAGGGTGGAAAAAAATACCTGTTGGGTACAAGGTTCACTATTTCGGTGATGGGTACACTAAAATCCCAGACTTCTCCACTATGCAATATATCCATGTAACACAACCGCACTTGTACCCCCTAAATCTATTTTTTTTAAAAGTAAAAGTAAAAAAATTTTAAGTTAAATTTAGAATCCCAATAACAAAACAAAAAGTATGCAGAGCATACACATATTTAGTTCCTACTACAATTCTAACTAATGCTTAGCATGAAGGTCAGGATTTACAGCTGAGACCAAAGCACAGAAACACATTATACTGAACACGTTGTTAATGGGAAGAGGATCCCCCTAGGTTGTTGCTAACATTCTCATTTCATAAAACGAAGTATGAAGCTCCCCAGCTTCAAGTACTGGTTTCATTAGATTTACCTTGTATGATTTTACTTTTTTCTGTTCATGTCATCTAGACTTCCCTTAATCTCCTGAAGAGTAAAATGAGAATAGTGGATGGTGGAGAGTTTTAGCTCATTGTCCTTGAGCTAGCAATTACATTCCGTCAAAGCTACTAATTTTTCAAGGCTTCTCATAAAAATTTCGAGCAAAATTTTCCCCACAAATTAAACAATACCATTCTCCTGGGGAACAACATGAACCGACCAAGAAAGTACTTACAGATGAATGGGGACACAAAGTAAAAGATCTGAACTTTCAGGGCTCATTTATAAAAGGGCGATATGGGTACTTATTGCTCCTTCTCCCCCTTGTCAAGACAGAAAAGTTCCTGGTGTCTCACTCTTTGTGTCTTTTTTTTCTTTCTTTTTTTTTTGAGATGGAGTTTCGTTCTTGTTGCCCAGGCTGAAGTGCAATGGCGCGATCTCGGCTCACTGCAACAACCTCCACCTCCTGGGTTCAAGTGATTCTCCTGCCTCAGCCTCCTGAGTAGCTGGGACTACGGGCATGTGCCACCACGCCCAGCTAATTCTGTATTTTTAGTAGAGACAGGGTTTCTCCATGTTGGTCAGGCTGGTGTCGAACTCCCAACCTCAGGTGATCCACCTGCCTTGACCTCCCAAAGTACTGGGATTACAGGCGTGTGCCACTGCACCCGGCCCACTCTTAGTGTCTTACAAATGCAAAGCCAAAAGAAATTAATGAAAACAAAGTTGTTTCATTAGCTTCATTAAAACCATTCCAAGGCATTACTCCTAATTACAAAGTGCTATTTTCTCCATCATCTTTTATACCTTAGTTCAAAGAGCATTTGTCAAGCACCTACTAAGCTAGGCAATGGGGTAAAATCTGCAAACTAGGCCTAGATTAACTGTATTGACTTGCAGACATCAAGCAAGGTACACTTCTGGTCTTTGTCAGACTGCTGTCTTTTTAAAAGGATTGAGCATATTTATTAGAACATAAACAACATCGACAAAATTTTAAATCTTTGGTTTCAGGGGGAAAAGAATCCAACTATGTAGAGTTCAAATTTCCTCCTCTACTTAAAACAGAACCACCCAAATCATGTAAATCCTTTAAGTGAAAAAATTATCCCTGAAAATGAAGGAATAACCACACCTATTGGCAGTGTTCAGCATACAGTAGCCATCTCAATACACACTTGTGAAATAAAAACTAAAAAGTTGTAGTTGCCACCAAAATCTGTTCTCTGAGGCACAAACGAACTAGCTCAACACCCCCACTTGCTTCCATATTCTGTCTTCTGGTTCACTGCTGATGACCAGACACTTGATTCTCAAACTTCAGTGAGTTTGTTTGTTTGAGAGAGGGTCTCGCTCTGTCACTCAGGTGGGAGTGCAGTGAGGCAATCACAGCTCACCGCAGCCTGGATCCCCCGGGTACAAGCGATCCTCCTACTTCAGCCTCCCAAGACGCTGAGACCACAGGTGTGCCACCACACCCAGCTAATTTTTTTAAATTTTTTGTAGAGACGGGGTCTCCCTATGTTGCCCAGGCTGGTCTTGAACTAGTGGGCTCAAGCAATCCTCCCACCCTGGCCTCCCAAAGTGTTGGGATTACAGGGATGAGCCACCACACCCAGCCACTTCAGTGAGTTTTACAATCACCTGGAAAGTTTGTTTGAAAGGCAAATCCCTTGACCCCCACAATTCAAAACTTACAGTACCAAAAACTGGATCCTGTGTTTATTTTAATGCACCATTCAAGTTAATCTAAGTTTGGTTGGCCAAAACATTTCTTTACCCTCACAATGGCTAAGGGAAAAACCTCTGGATTGCAAAAGTTATCAACTAGAGAGCAGAAAAATTGATTACTTCTAACCTAAATTATAAGTTAATTCTCTTAATTAATCACAACTCACTAATGCTTAATAAGCAAGATGAAATGGAAGTGAAGTAACTTCTGCTTTGACAATGCAAACTGTCATTCAACCCACCAAAAACACTTTTCTGAAATACTACAATTATTGTCAAAGTTTTTAGCAAAGGAGTAGAAATAAAGCAAGTTAAGGATTGTAATCCAGAGAAACATTTATGTAATTACGCTGTAATAGTTTTAGGAGAAAAAGTACCGCAATGGAAACACTAACTAGATGACTGTCCTTGCCACTAGCCACATGTGGCTACTTAAATTAA
Source organism: Homo sapiens (assembly GCF_000001405.40). Taxonomy (NCBI): domain Eukaryota; kingdom Metazoa; phylum Chordata; class Mammalia; order Primates; family Hominidae; genus Homo; species Homo sapiens. The sequence continues at coordinate 21,432,160 of NC_000007.14, read as the reverse complement.
AATTAAATAAAATTTAAAATTCAGTTCCTCAGTTGCCCCACACACATTTAACTGCTTAACAGCCACATGTAGCTAGGTAGATAGAAAACATAAACATTTCCAACATCACAGACAGTTCTGCTGGATAGCGCTGGCCTAGAAGCACTGGTATCTAGATAAAAAATATAATCTCGGTTCTCCTGAATCAGAAGGCTTTATCTGGCAATTTACAATTTTACATATATATGCCTACTTCAGGTATTAACCATAAAAGAAGAACCCTAGCGTAATTTTTCTGCAACTTGTTTCAAGAAAGATCATTCAAAAGTGATAAACTTATTTATCCCACATTATCAAAATAGAAATATTTAACTAACAAGGTCTGGAAGTATCAAAGGCACTAAAACACAACGAGGTTTTCATCAAATCAGAATCAATGAAAAGGGTTTAATTACTAGAAAACAAAAGTTATTAGGTACAATAAGACTGGTCCAAAAAAGATTAAAACTACTTCCCAAGTACTTCAGAAGGAGCTATTTATATGCATAACAAATAACAACTGCTTTTACAATAGGTTTAAAAATAACTTTACCACAATTAATTCAAATTAGTGACATTTTACTGTCAACATTTTTCATTGCTTTCCACCAACCTTACATTAAACATCTACAAATCACACAATGACCATGATTTAATTAAATATAATTTTATAAATGAAGGATTATTCATTCAAATCCTGATAGTAGCATAAAAGTAGGCATAAAAGTTAACCAAACAATTTACAACTTAAAATTATCTCTCAACTGCATCAGTATCTAGTTTAAAACCAGTGTAATAAAACACAAAAGCATGGGCGACAAGATGCTGAAGCTTGAGAAATAACTTCCACTAAAAAAAAGTTAGCCTTATTACACCACAGAATTAAAAGTTCAACAGACTCACAATTATATATACCAATTCAGTTTAAAACTACTTTCCCTCAAAGAAGAGATAAATATCATTTCGACTAGGGTTCTTTCTGAAGAGCTGGAATGTACTCAAATAAGACCACTAAATTACAGAAGGCAATTATGATTCTAATCAGAAAGCTCTGTCCCATAAAACAATACTTTTTAAAAAACTAACAAATTTAACACATTATTATAAAATCTACAAAAGTGAACATGTCACATTGATTACTACAGAGCTATGTTTGTTAGTATAATATTGCTATTTCTGGTTCCTTATGATTGTGTGTTTACTTCAGAGGTCTACGTCAAACCTTAGAATTAGGAGAGAAAAGCAATAATTGTTATGAAAAACTATTTAAAAGGTACTTAAAAAGATGTCAGAACTTACCTGCAACACTAGTGATTGTAACGGGAACTCCCTGCACTTGAACACCTGCAGCACCCAGGTTGGCAACGCTCACTGTCTGAAGGTTAGGCACTGATGCAAGCTGGGCAGTATTCAAAGTTATTGGGGCACCAGCAACAGCCACAGGAGCAATCTGAGCAAGAGTTGTGCCACCACTTGAAGACACTGGGGTGATGGTTAATTGTTGGGATAACCCAGCATTCTGAACTTGCAAATTTGAAAGACTCTGAATATTCTGAACCTGTACAGTTTGCCAACTGATTTGCCCTGAAGGTGTTAAAGTTGGAGCCCTGATAAGCACCTGAGTCGGATTTACTGCTTGAAGTTGAACATTCTGTAAAGGCTGCTGCTGGATGGTCTGAATCGTCTGCCCTGACTGGAGTTGAAACGACTGTGGTGGAATAGCCTGAATGATCTGTTGCTGAGGCTGTTGGATCTGGATCTGCTGTAAGATAGGTTGGCCTACAATTTGCACCTGCTGAAGAGAATTTGATTGATCCTGTGCATTCTGCATTCCATTAGGCTGAAGCTGACTGGAGCTCTGGGCTTCAGACTCAGTAGCAGCAGGTGTTTGAGATTCTTCAATGGTGCGTTCAGAACTACTGGCTGATGTGCTTGCATACTGGCCAGTATCTGCTGAGCTCACTAATGTGTCACTGCTTGTCAAAGACGTTGAAGCAGTGGTTGTGCAGGTAGTGGAGGAGGAGGGAGATTCTGGCATAGTACTGGCAGAAGTAGTGGTGTTGGTGGGTGTGGAAACTAATTGATTCCCATTGGAAGTCCCACTATCAGCAGTAGCAGCAGGCTGGCCAACCTGCCCAGTCCCTCCTCCGGCAGCCACGTTGTTTATCACTGGCAAAGCTAGAGTCACTCCTCCAATGTTAATTGGTAGGGTTGTTACAACTTGAGCCTGAGTACCAGGAAGAGTCTGTAACTGCAGTGGTATTGAAACACCAGGTCTAATTTGGACCGGAACTGTCTGATTTGCCAGGTTTTGAGCAAGAATATTCCCAGAAGCTGTCCTGTTAGCAGCTGTGAGTATAGCTTGATTATTACCTGCAGAAATGAGCTGAATTTGACCCTGCAAATCCTGTAGAGATGAACTACTAGTTGGATTGATTTGAATTTGTTGACCTTCCACTGTCTGAAGTTGTGGAATTACTTGGTACTGTACACTACCACTTGGATTTTGTACTTGTATGACTTGAAATTGACCAGGGGTGGAAGAATTACCTGATTTAGTTTTTGTAGGAGATGCACTCCCGTTATTACTGCTGGAAGAACTAGACGAACTAGAGGCTGGTTGAGAAACGTTATTCTCTTTTGAAGCAGGAGGAGTGGAGGCAACAAGTTGCCAAGCGTTTCCAGCAAGTTGCGTTGTTACCAGTTCTAGCTGTTGTGGTTGATTTTGAAGTTGCACCAATCCTTGACTTGGATCTATAATAATTTGTTGTTGTCCAGTTGCTTGATTTTCACCAGGAGTCCCTATTTTGCTGCAAGTAGCTGCCAGTAAAGCCAGAGGAGAGGGCTGAGAGTCCTACCCAAAATGGGACGGTAAAGGAGAGGGGGGGGGGAAAAAAAGTGGGCGGATTTAGTGGAGGCCAGTAGTTGCCAGGGGGTTACTTATTTTGACAGCTCTACATAACAATTTAGGAAGCAGCAGAAATCAAAAAGAAATACGAACAAAAGTAGATAAGAACTATATGAATAAGGAAGCAAGTCCTATAATATCAAGTTTAAATAAAAGGAAATTTCTTTACAACTTTGTAAAGTGTTATGTTCCTAAACTCAAAATGCCCTTGGGAACACACACACCGTTTTCTTATAGTCTGAATTCCTGATGTAATTTTAAACAGCGTTATACCCTCAAAGAGGTGAAAACTTGATGAATTTACAATTTAAGTTCCACACTCTCAGAAAGATGCTTTGAGTGGATAAACATTTTATTCTGTTACTTCTGGACATTCAAAGGGCATAACTCCCTCTCTCTCCTAATGTGTCGTGATGAATTTTTTTAATTTGTTTGCTTTTACCTGGGAGCCTGAGGTTTTGGGTTTTTTATTGTTATTCTCTGGCTCAGAGGTTTTCCCTCCTTCTGTAGCCATCGCCGCTGCCGCTGCCGCCTCCTCCTCCTCCTCCTTCTTCTGATCTGCAACAAACCCCCCCACCACACACACACGACAACAGGTTATTAGGATTATTATTATTCGTCTTCTTCCTCTCCTCTTCTCCCCCCTCCCCCCGAACATTAATCTCCATAAACCCGCGATCCACGCACACCGGCAGGGGGTGGGGGAGAAGGAGGGAAGGGAGGAGGGGGATATCACAAAACGTGGTTTGAAACCCGACCCATCGGCTCCAGAGCAACACCCAGAAGGAGGTTGTTCTCTCTCAGACATTAAGACAAAACACAACCCTCCTTCCCTCCCCGATTCCCTCCCGCCCTCTCCTCCTCCCCTTAAAGCATCTCAGCGGCCCCGGGGGAGGGGGGAGAACCGAGCAGGGTCTGGGGAGGGAGGGAGAGAGGGAGGCGGCGAAGGAGACTGAGGGGGGTGGAGAATACGTACCGCTCATCCCGCATTAACAGGACAAACCCTCAGACGGAGACACTGGGATAGAGGTGGGTGGGGGTGGGGGCGAGGCGGGAGGAGAGGCCGGTCCCGCCCGCCCGCGGTGGCTCGGAGGAGGCTGTAGCTGGCACAGGCTCTGCCTCTTTTTCCGCGAATGGCCGCCGCTGGGCTGTGGCGTAGCAGCTCCTCTCTCCGCCCGAGCCCGGCTGACTCGCCCTTGATTGACAGCGGCGGCGCGCGGCGCGGGCGGCGGCGCGGGTCGGGGGCGGGGCCAGGGCGGTGCGAGCCTGGCCGACTCCCCACCCCCCTCGGCCTCTCTCCGCCGGAGCCTCCGACTCTCCACCCCTTCCCCCAGCGGATTGGCCGCCGACCTGCCGGGGGCCGGGGCGCTGGGGCCGCCTCCTCTCCACCCCCTTTCTCGGGGTTATTCCTTTAGCAGCTCTTCTCCTCCTCCCTGGCTCCTCTGGCGCTCTTTCTCTCGGCGTTCTAGCTCAGGAGCGCTGCCGGTAGGCCCTCCATACAGCCAAACTTGTTGTCTCAGGATATCCCGCCCCCTACTCATTTCCCAGCGCCCTCCACTCAAAAACCCCCTCCAGCAATCCCTCCAATTGCCACTAAAGAAAAAAGTAGGGCCCTTGATCCAGGCAAGCGAGAGCGGCGGACGTGGGCGCGCGCGGACCACCAACAGGTCGGCGCGCTGGGTGAACTGCCCGCTGCCCCCGCGCAGGGAGCATGGCTTTCCTGAGGCGCATCCGGACCCGGGCGCCCTTTTTCCCTGGCTCTGTCTCCATTGGCTGAGCCCAGGGTGACGCGCGCTGAGTGGTGGGAGAAAGGGGGTGGGGCACTACCGCGAAGGCTGTCGGTACTCGTAGTTTCCGGCGGTCGCGGTGCCTTCTTCGAGGCACCGCCTCTCTCCCGCCCCCGACCGAGGCCTGGCTGCCGAGCGGAAAGCTGCCCGAGGGGGCGGTGGCGGCAGGGCGTGGCCGGGGCCGAGTGGGAGTTGAACTGAGCGAGGAGGAGGGGGAATGGGTGTTGTTTGCCTGGGCCTATCCGCCGCGCGGGGCTGCCCAAACCACCTCTGCCGCCGCCTCCTCGGCTCCAAGCCGCTCCCCGCGGGGCGAGCTCACACCCGGAGCGCTCGGCGATTGAGCGGGCGGCGGCGTGGGGAGGCGGGGTTTGCTGTCCTCGGGGTTTGAATGAACCCGGCTTCTTGAAGCAGCGCCCTCGCCTTGCCTTTCTTTGCTCACCTTCCCCTCAGGCCCCCTGCTTTGAGTCCGAGGCCTGTTTTCTCACGGAGAAGGATCTTCCATTTTTATTTGTTGTCTCTCTGGCTGGCAGCTGGTGCAGAGCAGTGACCCGCCTTCTAAGAAGGGTTGCATCGCGTTTTGCCTAAAAGCCTAAGTGGTTGGCGGAGTTCTAAGCCTTATCTGACAAGAGTCTCCGGGCGAAGAAAAGCCCAGCTCCATAAGGGTCAGCCCCGCTTACGGTGTAGCGTAAGCAAGCGTAAGGGCAAGTGGAATTAACATCTGGCTGCACAAAGCATCTTACTGTCAAATGCACTTGAGCAGTGTCCTGCCTCAGCTTTCCTACAAAGTCCTGAAGTCAGGATGATGCCATGGAACGTAATCAGCGCCTGATTAACTGTACCAAAGGTGGAAGTGACCCCACATGTAAATACTGGCCTTGGGAACAAGGCATGCTTACACCCCAGGCTCAAAGCCATTGTCTCACTTCTTACCTGGGCTTCACACTCAGCCTTGGGCATTTTTGTCTCCTGCCTGAGGCCTGACATGTTGCAATGGTGAGGAGGTCCCAGATGCTGAACTTGACTGGCATTTCCTTTGCTTGTTAAGGTAATTGCAAAATCAGCTGATGACAAAGCCATGCAGCAAGACAAAGCAATTCGAATAAAGAATTACATGGTATTGTCTACCCCATCTTATACAATGAGCCAGAGATCCCTGAACAACGTGCTTTTTCCCCATCGTGTACAATATAGAAAGCTCAAAAGTGCTTCTTACATTTACGTATATACTGTCTCTATCCTCAGGTCCCCTCCTCCTCCCAGTTCACCAAGATAAATGAAGACATTTTGCAGTCTTATGAATTGGGGCTTTCATTGTCGTTTTCGTTTGGAAAACCTGCTTCAGAGAGGCAATGTCACTGACTCTGAACCATAGATTAAAAATAATGCTTCGGGAGGCCGAGGCGGGTGGATCAGGGGGTCAGGAGTTTGCGACCAGTCTGGCCAACATAGTGAAACCTTGTCTCTACTAAAAATACAAAAAATTAGCCAGGTGTGGTGGTGTGCGCCTGTAATCCCAGCTACTCGCGAGGCTGAGGCAGGAGAATCGCGTGAACCCGGGAGGTGGAGGTTGCAGTGAGCTGAGATCACGCCATTGCACTCCAACCCCGGGCGACAGTGCAAGACTCCGTCTCAAAAAATATATAATAATAATAATAATGCTTACCATCAGTATGAATCTGCAAAGTCCTAAATATTCTCCACCCTATAGATAAGTGGGAATACTGGTATCCATGAAACATAAGTCCTGCTTTTTATGGTGGACCAAAGTCTTCTAGTCCCTGGCTGTTATGGACTGAATGTTTGTGTTCTCTGCCCCCTTCCCCATTCATGTGTTGAAATTCTACACGGGGCGCGGCTCACTCCTGTTATCCCAGCTCTTTGGGAGGCCAAGGCGGGCGGATCACTTGAGCCCAGCAGTTCCAGACCAGTTTAGGCAACATGGTGAAACCCAGGCTCTACAAAAATTAGCCGACGTGGTGGCGCTGTCCTGTAGTCCCAGCTTCTTGTGAGGCTGAGGCGGGAGGATCACTTGAGCCCAGAAGGCGGAGGTTGCATTGGGCCAAGATGGCACCAGTGCACTCCAACCTGGGCAACAGAGTGGGACTGTGTCAAAAAAAAAAAAAAAAAAAAGAAAGAAAAAAAAAGGGAGAGAGGGGAAAGGGAGGGAGGAAGGAAGGAAGGAAAAATTCTACCCCTTAGTGTGATGGTATTAGAAATTAGAAGGTAGGGTCTCTGGGAGATAATTAGGATTAAATTTGGAGTCCTCATGAATGAGATTGGTGACCTTAGAAGAATCAGGAAAGAGCTTGCTTTTCCTTCCTCTGCTCTCTTCTATTTGAAGATAACAACCAAAAGTCCTCAGTGTGATACCCGGTGGAAAGCGAGTTTTGCTAGGGAGGTAATATTGACAAAGACTCTCTCCTTTGACCAAACTTTAATCTGGTTATTCTAAGTCCTCTTTCTGACTAGGTCCTGACCTGGAACTCTGTCCTTAGTTTAGTGGCTTTGTTCATTTAGTCCAGTTTTAGCAAGAATCCTGCTGGGTTGGTTGGGTAAAAACGCCTCACCCTTAATATTTGACCATACTTGGTATCTCATCAAATTCCTTATCCCCTGTTCTCGATATCTTAGCACCCTGGCCTGCCTTCAGCAATAACCCCATTAAATTGGTTTAGCCAGAATCCTCCTTTATTCTGGAAATTTCCCCTTAGTAATTTTCCATCCACTGACTCCATCCTGCTCCTTGGCTTCAGATCTCTAGTTGTCTTTGTATTCATAGTTGAGCCCAATCTCTCTCTCCCACTGCAAGACCCCATTGGATAGTCTCTCCTTGACTAAAGTCTTTATTGCTGTCTTTAACAAGTATCCTGAATTATTTTTTTCTTCAACATTGTAAATATAAATTCAACAAAATACTCGGCCTCAGGCCTGCGAGGGTGGTCTTTTCCCTGAGGAAGCAGTCTAAAAACATTCCTTCCTATGCTCATTATTGCCTAGAAAACAGTGGCTTTCAAACTTTTAAAAAAATTATGACCCACAGAAATAAATATATTTTACATCATGGCTGGCCCAGTGTGTACTTTTTAAAAATTTATGACCCTGGGCCAGGCGCGGTGGCTTATGCCTGTAATCCCGGCACTTTGGGAGCCCAAGGTGGGCAAATCGCTTGAGTTCAGGAGTTCAAGACTAGCCTGGGTGAATCACTTGAGGTCAGGAGTTAAAGACCAGCCTGGCCAACATAGTGAAGTCCCATCTCTACTAAAAATACAAAAATTAGCCAGCCGTGGTGGCAAGTGCCTCGGGAGGCTGAGGCAGGAGAATCCCTTGAACCTGGGAGTCAGGGGCTGCAGTGAGCCGGGTGCTATAGTGAGCCGGGTGCTATAGTGAGCCGAGATCATGCCACTGCACTCCAGCCTGGGCGACAGAACAAGACTCCGTCTCAAAAAATAAAAAAAGGAATAAGTATATTTTACATATGGCCCAGTGTGTACACACACAGAGGAAATCAGCATTTGTATGTGAAATATTTAATGACACTAAGCACTGACCATTCAGCTCAAACACGTCCATAAAGCTGAAATAGTGTCCTAGAGGTAGAAGTCCTCTGCCACGAATTATCCTTGTAGTTGTGGAATTGAGAGATCCAGAGGGTTGGGGAACAATGAGGGGACTTGCCAAGGAGGGGACTTGGACACTAGTTCATGGCATAAATGAGAAAAAGGGACTGTATTTGAGTGTCTCTTTTAGGAAGTTTCTTTTTTTTTTTTTTTTTTGAGACGAAGTCTTGTTCTTGTTCCCCAGGCTGGAGTGCAATGGTGTGATCTTGGCTCACTGCAACCTCCGCCTCCCAGGTTCAAGTGATTCTCCTGCCTCAGTCTCCCAAGTAGCTGGGATTATAGGTGGCTGCCACCATGCCTGGCTAATTTTTGTGTTTTTAGAGAGATGGGGTTTCACCATGTTGGTCAGGCTGGTCTCGATCTCCTGACCTCACGTGATCCACCAGCTTCGGCCTCCCGAAGTGCTGAGATTACAGGTGTGAGCCACTGCCCCCAGCCAGGAAGCTACTCTTTAAATAACTGTTAAGCTGCTTCATTTTTTTTTTCTTTTTTTTTTTTTCCTAGCACCCTCCGAAAGTTATACAAATCATTTTGTATTTGGGAAGCAGATAGCAAAGATTTGGAGAGACCATAAACCAGAGAATAGTCAAAGCTTAACGTCCACCTTTGCTCAAAAGTGTATTAACTGAGAGTATAGCCAACCAGAAATTAGACACAGGACTCAGTGAACGTATTTCACTTAGAACAAATAGCCTCCTTAGTACATCTGGACCATGCATAGTTGTTACCATAATAAGGCCCTGGTAGAATATAAAATCACATTAAAAATAAATTCCTTAGCCAACAATAATTGTTTTCAGGAAGGAGAGAAAGTTTTAGAAAGTTTAAGTGTAATGTAATTGGGATATTCATATACATATATATATAACTGTCACTAGCAAGTGAATCAAGATAAACCTGCAGAGTGCTGTGTTTAGTAGATAAGTAGATGGCCTTGCTATTCCTCACATGCATGCATTTAGCTTTCTCATAGTCTGCCCATGTACAACTTCAGAGAAGATTTAATTCACAATTTTTAAATGTGTGAAGTTTATTATTTCAGCCCAGTTACATGTATAGTTAATTCACATTAGAACACAATTAATAGCTATTGGCAGTTATTGGAACATAGCATATACAACTGTTCAATATTTTCTATCAATCTATATGTGCAAAGGAGTATAATGTGGCTTATTATTGTTGCCATAAAAGATATTTGGTCAATGTGGACGTTAAGACATAGATGAATTAATTTCCCTAAGGTTATATATGAACTTGGTGATTGCCAAGTGCAGTGGCTCATTTCTGTAATCCCAACAGCTTGGGAGTCTGAGGTGGGAAGATCACTTGAGCTCAGGAGTTCAAGACCAGCCTGGGGTGATATAGTAACACCATGTCTCTAGAAAAACTAAAAAAAAAAAAAAAAAAAAAAAAAAGCTGGGTGTGGTGGCATGCACCTGTTGTCACAACTACTAAGGAAGCTGAGGTGGGAGGATCGCTTGGGCCTGGGAGGTTGAGGCTGCAGTGAGCTGTGATGATACCACTGCACTCCAGTCTGGGTGACAGAGCAAGACCCTGTCTCAAAAATAGATAAAAAATAAAGTTGACGATTTAAAATCATGAAAATATAGAGCAAAAATGCCTATTGTATTTACAATTGTAACTTTCCAAAATATGCCAATTCCAGATACTCAATTTATTATTTTTTCATTAATAATCTTTCATTGGATAAAACCACTCAGATTTATATTCTGGTCTGCTGCTTATTAAAAGTACAACCTTTGGGCAAGTGACTTCAACCCCTCTGAGCCTCATTCCTTCATTTATAAAACAGTGAAAATGATAATATTACCATCTCATGAGGTTGTTTCAGGAATTGAATGAGATTAAAAGATTTTTTAGAATAGTCTCTGGTAAACTCTCATTAAATGTTGGCTGTCATTTTAATCATTATTATTAATATTATTACTAAATTATGCTAGTTTCCACAAGCAGTACACAGAGGTGTATGAGTGAAAGGCCTCTCTATTCTATCTACCTCTATTCCAAACACTGAATTCATCAATGTTAACTGATAGTATATCCTTTCTCACTTTTCTCTAGTTTACACATATCATATATGTGTGTTTATGAGATTTTTAACATAAAATTGCACACACACACACACACACACACACACACAACATATATATGCAAACTTGGATTTTTTACCTTAATATATTATGGCCATCTCACCAGGTTAAAAAATATATAAATTGAAATTACTATTTTAATACAACATACTGTTCTGTGATATGAACATATTTTATTCAATAAAAATACCTGGATTGATAGCCAGTTTTCACCCTACCATAAATTGTAATAAACCATAAATTGTAATAAACTTAGTTACACCAGTACTTGTAAAAATATTCTTTTATGTTGTTACTTTTGTTTTACTAGAGAGGTTTCCAACAGTGGAATTGCTGACACAAAGTGGATATTTAAAATCTTAATATATACTGTAAGATTACTGCATGAAAAAGTTTTTTATTTCATATAGTCACCCAGTAAGTGTGAAAATGCTCATTTTCCTATAGTTTTACCAGCATAGATTATTCCAAACCTCATAAACTACTGCAGCTCTGATGGGTGAAGAATGTATTGACCTGGCTGCTAGAGGGGTTGAGCATCTTTGCATTTGTACAATTCCCACTGGCCATGTACAATTCCCACTGCAGCAAACTGCCTGTTCATATTCTTGCCTCTTTTATTTTTTATAGTATTATTTGTATTTCTCTTACCCATTTTCAGGAGCTAAGTGTATTTTGTAAGATTAAGGCTTTGCTTGTCATTTGTATTGCTAATATATTTTTCCAATATTTATTTATTTATTTGTGTATTTATTTAGAGATGGAGTCTCAATCTGTTGCCCAGGTTGGAGTGCAGTGGTGCAATCTGGCTCACTGCAGTCTCCGCCTTCCAGGTTCAAGCGATTCTCCTGCCTCAGCCTCCTGAGTAGCTGGGATTACAGGCGCCCACCACCACGCCCAGCTAATTTTTATATTTTTAGTAGAGATGGGGTTTCGACATGTTGGCCAGGCTGGTCTCAAACTCCTGACCTCAGGTGATCCACCCGCCTCAGCCTTCCAAAGTGCTGGGATTACAGGCGTGAGCTACTGCGCCCGGCCCCAATTTATTAACTTTTATCTTTTGCCACATATTTTGTATAATGTACTTTTAGCTCTATTTTAGAAAGGTTATTCTTAACCTAAATGAATGCTTTTCACAGTTTATTAAAACATATTTATATCCCAGCACTTTGGGAGGCTGAGGTGGGCGGATCACGAGGTCAGGAGTTCGAGACCAGCCTGACCAACATGGTGAAACCCCGTCTCTACTAAAAATACAAAAATTAGCTGGGTGTAGTGGTGTGTGCCTGTAACCCCAGCTACTCAGGAGGCTGAAGCAGGAGAATCGCTTGAACCTAGGGGGCGGAGGTTGCAGTGAGCCAAGATCACACCACTGCACTCCAGCCTGGGCGACAGAGTGAGACTCCATCTGAAAAACAAACAAAACAAACAAACAAAAACATGTTTATATATTATATACACAGGGATATGTTACCTTTTGTACTATTTAGGCAGCATCCACTATAATAGGAGTGGATAATTATTTTCTGCTTCCTCTACCTCCTACCCCTCCACCATAACCCCACCCATGCCCCTGGCATATGCACGTAAATCCTAAATGCCTAGAAGAATGCCTGGCCCATGGTAAGCATTTGATACATACTTACTGTGTCAATGAATTGTAAAGCTTTATTAGAACTACACAAATAAAATGGAGTTACCCCATCACAGCAAAATTACAGCAATTTTTCTTTTTATCAGATTTGGAAAATAAATGGAATGGCCTGAATTAAAACATAAACTATGAAATTCACTAAGAAGGGGGCTAGAGGAATGTATCCCAGAGGAAGCACTCCCAATATTATTAACAGATAGTCTCCCTAGCAGCTGCAGGCATTGATTTTTAATGATAGTTATGGATTCTCTTAACTATCCAAGGGCAGCCAGTGATAATAACATTCAGGTTCTATTTCCTGATTTATTTTCATTGATAATATTTTTCTTCTCTAAAGAACTTGAGTCATAGGTAATAAAATAGTAAAATATAAATTGAAATAGAAAATCAGTTCCAATGAAAAAGAGAAAACAAACATGACCAATAGTGTCAATGTATATGTTTCATCTGAGCTTTAATTTTGACCCTGAGCTTCCTAGCAGCCACAGCAAGTACAGAAACATGGTTGGTTGTGTAATTGCATATCAGAAAGAAAAAAATTGCCAGTTTCTCAGAGATAGCAAAGCATTTCCTAGCTCCAAAGACTGATAGCTATTTCATAAATGTCATTTGAATGTTAGGGCTATGACTTTGCCATTTCAGGCATTTAAAATGCTTGGAAGGGGGCACATGTTCTCAGGATCTCCTGAGGGCTGTGTCACAGGCAAAAAAATTGTTTAACCAAAAAATGCTTGGAAGAATTAATTGTATTAAATTTAGGAAAGTAGTTTGAACTAATTAATAAATTACATACATGAAATTATTTTTAAAATTTTTGTGTTTATTTTGAGATTAATAGAGCATTAAATCAAATATTGGGTAAAAATTATTATTTTATTCAAATACTTATAGACTTAAAAATTGACCAATAAGGTGTGAAAATTGGACTTGAAGGCCTGAGGAACAAAACTGTGACTTTAATAAATCGAATGTTAATTTAAAACCCAAGGGTCTGTAATTTTGTTATTCTAAACTGTTCAAAAGTCTCCCTTGGATCAGTCATACCCCAAATCTCAGCACCATGCAATATACCCATGTAACCAACCTACACATGTAACCCCCTGAATCTAAAATAAAAGTTGAAATTATTTGAAACAAAAAAGACAAAAGTTGCCCTGGGACATTTATAGAATTTATACCAACACCCTTAAAATAACTAAATGAATCAACTGGAAACTAGATATTTAAGAATATCTGCCATTGCAAGAGATTTTACTCTTTAGGTTTTAGTTTAATTCTGCTTTCTAATAACAAGAACAGTTGTGTACAAAGCCTACTCTGTTTTTTTATAACAGATTCTTAGTTTAAATACAGTAGTCAAACAAGGCTCAGAGGAACAAATATCAAGTTCATCTATAAGTGAATTCAAAGTTTAAAAATGAAGTATAAAGAAGATGGGAAGTATTCATTTTAAACTACTCAGGATTGTTTTCTGGTTTGTCAAGCCACTACCCTTTAAGCCCACTCATATTTTTGTGGGGCCATGAAAATACAAATTTTTTTAGAGTATCATTAATAGAGTTCATGCAGCTTGGCTAATAGCCATTCCAAAGTGAGTGAGGTCAAGTAGGGTAAAACTTAGCTGGCTTTGAAACCAGGCAAGCAAGGGCTACCATCTTAGTTCTCAAGTGAGTTACTTAACCTCTCAGAGTTTCCTCATTAGTATGTAAAAATCTTCATAATAATTTCTACCATATAGAGTTAGTAAGAAAGTTAAATAAGGTAATCTCGATGGCAGGTACTTAATAATTAATTTGAATTTCTTTCCTTCTGGTTTACAGTGTTTAAACCATCTTTCATGAAAATTAAACCTTGATTTTGCTGTTCCCCTGTATGTAGTGAGGAAATAATAGCTTCTGGGGTCATCAACCTTTTTGGACTTTAGGGTCTATATACATTTTTGTTTTTTAAAAGCAATTTACTATAAAGCTTACAGAAAGCAGTTCAAATTTAATGTAAGAGGGTGGGGAAGTCTCCTTTTATCTCCAAAACGATCTGAACTCTGAAGTTTACTAACTTCTAGACCTAAAAGACTTGAGTTTGTCTAACAAAAGGAAAAGGCATTAGGGAGATGAGAAGGGCTCTTTAAGGTAATGTAGAAGAAATGTAGGAGGAGAAGAAGGGCTGGGATGCAGGAGAAAGAGTGTGGCAAGGAGAGTAGCAAGATTGAAAACTGCAGGCATACATGGGTTGGCTTCCCTCCAAAGGGGCGTATCACCTGAGTGTGGCTTGTGCACTCAAGGAACATGATACAGGAGTTGGGGTGCTTCTCCATCTCTACACACCAGGGAAGGTAACGAGTTCCTAGACAAAACAGATGGAATATTGGGAAAAAAACAAAAACAGAAGGCAAAAGGTTGAGAGAACTCCGTGTAGAAAAGGACATAAATGGCAAATGTGACCAAAAAAGAAAAAAATACGTATAATTATCCTGTTCAATGAGCTCTGCCCACAAATATTTTTTTCCAAAGGTGGTAAGTGGTTTGAGAAAATTTGGGTTAAAGTATGATTATGAAAGGGGTTAATGTCTGTCATGCATCATAGACACAGTGGTGTTTTGTGCGAGGACACTTGTAGGTGTGCTGTCTTCTCAGATAATGTGTCTGGAATATGCCAAGAAGCCTTCTTGTTAAGTCCTGCCAAATCTTTGGCCAACTCCTGACAGATCATGTGAATGTGAACAACATAACCAAAAGAAAAGTAGGAAGTGTTTCTCAGGACTGTGAAGGCTGGGGTGGAAACAAAATCAGGGTACCATGTAATTGGGCAAGTTGCAACACGGAGTCAAATATAATATCAGTAATACATTTCCATAGTGATGAATGCAAAGTCTTCAACAAATTAGTATAGCAGTAGGGTTGCTTTGTTCTCTGTTAGTCAAGCCAAATCCAGAATGTTTTTTAAGAAGGACAGCAACAACTGGAAGAAAAGATGGGCCAGGATGGCAAGAGACGAGAATGGTTTTAAGGATGGTGGATGATTTTGGAAAGGGTACTGTAACAGTCTTCAAATATTTCAGGCCTATTCATGAAGAGGGATTAGGTTTACTTTAGGTACAGTAGATCCTCAAATAACGCTGTTTCATTCAACATCGTTTTATTGTAACACTGATGAGAAAAAGAAATGAATTCCCAGCAAGGCCACTCTGTGTGGAGTCTGCACGTGCTCCCCATGACTGTATGGGTTTTCTGCAGTCCTCTGGTTTTCCTCCCACATCCCAAAATTGTGCCCGTTAGGTGAATCGTCATATCTACATGGTCTTGGTGTGAGTGAGTGAGTGTGTGTGTGTGTGAGTGCACTCTGCCACAGGAAGGCATCCTGTCCAAGGTTAGTTCCCACCTTGGCTCTGAGCTTTGGGGATAAGCTCCAACCACCTTTGACCCTGAACTAAAATAAGCAGGTAAACATTACATTGTTTTATTAATCTTTCTTAAATGTATATGTAGCTCACATTTATTTCAATGTTTAATACTAGAAGTGTCTGGTCTTGCTCTGACCCCAGGCTGGAGTGCAGTGGCACGATCATGGCATTGTAGGCTGGAACTCCAGGGTTTAGGTGATCCTCCAGCCCCAGCCTCCCAAAGTGCTGGGATGACAGGTGTGAGCCACCATGCCTCGCCTGTTTGGGGTCTTTATTTAAGTTTGGCAATGTTTTTGTGACCAGAAATATGCCATGGAAACTTAACACTTGTTTATATGAATTAGCCTATGGTAAAATTGGTTTGTTGTTTCTCTTAAAGTCACAGTTTCCAAGAACCTATTGATGATGTTAAGTAAGGACTTACTGTAGTTTCAGAGGACTGAACTAAGATCAATAAATGGATGTTGGCAGGAGGTAGATTTTGGCACAATATAAAAAGAACTTCTGGGTTGGAGAAATGTTGGTAAAAGGATAAATAATTTAAATGCATAAATCCTAAAGAATGAGAATGATCTGAAATGAAACAAACTCCCTTGAGGCGGTGAACTCGTCTGAATCAGAGGCATTCAAGCACAGCCTCAACTATGACTTACTGGGAATGTTGTAAAAGAGGATTTATGCATCTGACAGCATCCAGACCCAAATTCTGTGGAGACCAAAGTTTTTAAGGTTGGGGGGCACTTTTTCCAAACAAAGGATACAAAATTATGAATAAAAATAGATACAGAGGCTTAGAAGGCACTTTTGCGAGTGAATGGTCCTTGAAACTTAAGCTTCAATAGCTTTGCAGTAAATTCATATCAAGGAAGTCAGTGGATATCAAACAACTGTGAGATTTAAATTGTTTCTAAATAATGAATAATTCTTCTTTTTTTTTTCTTTTTTTTTTTGGAGACGGAGTCTTGCTCTGTTGCCCAGGCTAGAGTGTGATGGCGTGATCTCGGCTCACTGCAACCTCCACCTCCTGGGTTCAAGCCATTCTCCTGCCTCAGCCTCCCAAGTAGCTGGGATTACAGGCACCCGCCACCATGCCTGGCTAATTTTTTTTGTATTTTTAGTAGAGACGGGGTTTCACTATGTTGGCCAGGCTGGTCTCGAACCCCTAACCTCGTGATCTGCCCATTTCGGCCTCCCAAAGTGCTGGGATTACAGGTATGAATAATTCTTCTTAATTTTAAAATAATTATCCTGTTATCTCTGAGACAGGTAGTGAAAAGAGAAAGGAAATGAAGTAAGACACACCTAGCTTCCTATCCTGCCTCAGCCAGGTAACCTGGGGCAAACTATGTGATCTCTTTGAGCCTCAATTCCTTTATCTGTAACATTGAAGTGATGATGTCTATCTTGAAATATTTGAGGGGAAAAATTAAATAAAAGTGTGTATGTAAAGCGCTGATATATAGAAGTTGTGCAATTCATGATAGCTAAACTGAAAGACTAATAAGATTTGGGTAGTCATAAGGATAAGATTTTTAAAGATGTCATTTGGAGTTCTCGTGTCATCAGGAAGATGACAAATAATCTTATTTCACATCCTCGAATTTAAGGCGTAAGACAAGAGTTCATAAAATGTCACCAAGCTGTGATAATCATATTAGGCTTCCTTCAGCCAATTCTAGCTTGTGAATGGAATGGAAAAAAATCACTCACATAACTGGTTGGCCAAGATAAGAACCTTTGTACTCTTTGTTCCTTCTTCTTTCTTTCAAAGTTCGGGATCAGAATCAAGGACTAGGGCATTTCTTGTCACTCTGTATCCAAGACGCAAGTGGCCAGGTTTAAGTGTACACAGATGGGCCACATTATCAAGGAGGTAGTAGGTTGGCAGGAAACTATTATATCATGCAGCTCTAGGACACCATTCATCTAGAAGACTGTACTCAAATTGAACTCCTCAGTCCAGCAGAGATGGGGTCACTTGGGAGCTTGTTAGAAATGCAGAATCTCAGCCCCACCCATGTGTTTTAACAAAATTTCCAGGTGATTCGACACACAGCAAAGTTTGAGAAGTGCTAAACTAAACAACAATGTCCATGGCTCCCCCCCGCCCACAAACTTCTGCAGTGCTCTGCAGTTCTGAGGATCCCTCCCTTGGGTTCTTGGAATGCATTTTCTTTTTTTTTTTTTTTTTTTTTGAGACTCTGTCGCCAGGCTGGAGTGCAGTTGCGCGATCTCGGCTCACTGCAACCTCCGCCTCCCGGGTTCAAGCGATTCTCCTGCCTCAGCTTCGTGAGTAGCTGGGACTACATACACGCGCCACCACGCCCAGCTAATTTTTTTTACTTCAGTAGAGATGGGGTTTCGCCATGTTGGCTAGGATGGTCTTGATCTCCTGACCTCATGATCCGCCCACCTCGGCCTCCCCAAGTGCTGGGATTACAGGCATGAGCCACCGCGCCCAGCCTGAATGCATTTTCTTTTATAAGGTCAGAAAGGTAAGAAGGAGTGAGGGGCTGGCCTTCTTTTCCTAAGAGAAGGCCCAATCTGCCTGATTCTTATTGAGCTTTCATTCTATGGGTTCTCTTCCTTTCATGCAACTCATGAGACAAGGTAGTTCAAACTTGAGGGCAAGTTATACTTTGCAGAAGGTCCAGGCATCTCTCTGGCTACCACATTCCCTTCTAAGAGGTGGAAGAGGAACGATGGGGCCAAGGGTTGGCTCCTACTCCAGAGAGAGGCCCAGATTCTCTAAACCAATTCTCTTTATTTTTCTCTCTCTTCCCTCCTCTTCATCATCATCCTTTTTCTTTTCCTCTCTCTATCAGCTGGACAAAATAAGCCAGGGAGCAAATTCATTGGGAATGACTCCTGCCCTAGGAAGACCTAGATGACAGGCTCAACCAGTGTTGGAGCTCACTCACTCTCTTATCTTTTTCAAGCTAATCAGTATGTTCCAGATCCACCTTTCCTAACCTTGGCTGTGGCCTTGAGGAAAAGGGGAAAGAGGAAGAGAAACCTATTAGGCATGTATTATTTTTAAACCTCCAGACTAAACAAAATGAATCCTCTATTTGTCATAGCACAGCTTCTCAGGATGCACTGACATTTGGGAAGGCTCATTTAGTACAAAAAGACATGCCTTTGCTGCCAGTGACTATGTGTATGTTAATTACAAATACTTAGCACTTACTGTGTTATATATAAGCACTTTACATGTATTGACTGATTTAATCCCCCATTAGCTCTAAAAGTTAGGTGTTATAGTTGTTCTTATTTCACAGATGTGAAAATAGAGGCACTCAGAGTTTTAATAATTTGCAAGATTACCCAGAAAATAAATGGTAGGGAGTGGGGATTTGAACCCAAGTGCCTGGTGCCAGAAACCTTGCTCTTAACCTGCCTCTGACACTTGTCTCCAAGGAACCCTGCAAAGAGAGTTGTTTGGTTGGCATGTTCCTGCTCCTCCAGCCAGTTACCATCCTAATCGCATTACCATTCCCTACAGAGCTCCTTTGTCAAAGCACAGCCACAGATTTTAAATCATGAAGGATGTGTCTGACTTTGGTGAATGCGGCTGTTTGTTTAGTAGACCAACCAGATTTACAGATGAGAAAAGGAAGCATATCATAGGCTCAGAAAGACTTCCCACAGCACCAATAGTTTTTTTTTTTAACAACAACAACAACAACAACAACAACAACAAGAAAACCCTCAACAACGAAAAAACATAAAAAAGAAAAGAAATATGAAGGCCGCATAAGATAATTAGGGTAATTCAACCAAAGAGAGACAAAGAGTTACTCTTTTCCTAAAGCGAATTTTCTAAGGGTAAGATTTTCAAAACTGAACCAGTTAAATGTATTTCCTGTTCTCACCCACAGCTCCTTGCTTTGGGTAAGCAAGTATGCTGTTTACAAAGTACTTTCACAGATGTTTACTCTCTGATCTTCACAGCACCCCAAAGAGGTTGAGTATCTTGCCTAAAATAACACAAACTAAGTGGCAGAGTTTAGACTGCAGCCTGGTGTTCTGAGGTAGAGAGGCAGCTTCACTGCCTGCTCTCTGTTCTTTAGTGATAAAAGAAGAGTGGAAAGACATGTGAATCTCATACTTTAAATTTGGAAATTTCCAGTCACACAGAAATAACAGCTAGCAAGTTATCAAGGGCTTCACCATTCACCAGATGCTGACCTAAGAATGTCACATGGTGTAATTTGTTTAACCCCCAAAATAGATCAGTGAAAAGCCTGTTATAATCCACATCTTGCAGATGAAGAAACTGAGGTATGGAAAAGTTAAATGACTTGCCCAGGCTCATCCTTCTAGCAAATGGCAGAGCTAAGACTCCAACCAGGACACCTGTTTCCAGAGCTGTTCGCTTATTACCAAGCTCTCCCATCTCTGCTGAAAAATTAAGATCAAATTGACAAGAGAACTGAACAGCATTAGTCCTCAGAAACATCTGTGATGGAAAAGGGAGAGTACACAACATGTTTGTAGTGGGAAGAAATATTATTACAATACTCGCATGTTAAATAATCATTTGAAAGTAAACAGGATTATCAGTTAGGTGTCAGCATGGAATATTAATGATTAATAAAGTGTATCAGCTTATATAATCTGTATATCTTCCTGTGTAAGGAGCTGTGTGGAGTGATGGGGGCTCCAAAGACAAGCAAAAGGTGCTCCTGGCTTCAAGAAGCCCACAGGGAAGCTGGAGAGATGACAAACCATCATCACAGGAGAAGTTATACAACCCAGAAACCATAAATAAAAGTTCAATTGAAGCCATAATTGAAGAGATGTCACAAGGCAGTAGGTGATTAATTGCAAAATGAATTCTCCAGTCAATAACTGTAATGGGAGTTTAAGGCAAGGAGCAATCCCTCCAGGCTGGGGCTGTGAGGGAAAACTTTGTCAGGGAGCTTGAGCTTGAATTGGATCTTGAAGGATGCCCAAAATGTGAATAGCTGTAGGGTGGGAGGGGAAGGGAATTCCAGACAGAACAGTGTAGGTGAGCCGAGGTGTAGAAGCAGGAAAATACGGGGAAAGCACATTTGAGGTGGGAAAAAAAAAACAGGAGGCCTGGCTGGACCTGACATAACTCCAGGGCCAACCCCTCAACCCTTGGAGCTGCTGCTGTGGAAAACACTTCATAAGGCACCCTGGTACTATCCAATCTCGAACCATCCACCTGCTGTCTGCCTGCCTTCCTACTTCTAGGCCAGGGAGCCCTTGGTAACACATGCAACCACAAGATGGGCAAATCCTTCCAAAAATCTTGTGTTCTTCCCACACTCATGTCTGTTTCTGTTTCTCATGTGAATTCCTTGAGAAGTACAATCTATCCAGGCAGCCTGTTAGGAATATATCTTTTGGAAAGCCAGAAAATTTTACCATACTTCCCATCCCTGTCTTTATTCTTGGAGACTTTCTTAAAAGCAAGTTCCTCCTGTTACAGTAGGTAGCTAGTCAGACATGAGCAGGGCAGGACAGAGCACACCCTCCTGCCTCCACCAAGAGGCAGGCTCCACCAAGATGTCTGGTTGGACAGCCATCAGGTGATGGTCAAGCAGTTGTTAAACTGTTTCTCTAAAATAATAATTGGTCACAGCTGGCACCAAGGAAAGGCAGTCTCCCATTATCTAGAAACACCTGAAACTGGTGATTAGCAGCTTCCCGATAAGATCTCAGGAGGTGGGTGAGTGGACTCAACCATGCCCACAAAGAGGCAAAATGGCAGAGTTTAACTGTTATATCACCTTCCTCTAGGAGCACTGCACTGGTAAGGAACGAACGCCTCGAGTGAGCATGCGTGCAACCTCAGTAAACGTACTGTGCATGCGGCCCCTCCCAGGTGCTGGCTGACCACTATGCATGTGGACAGCCCACCCCAAGGGAACGATCAGGGGAGGAGGATGCCGTCGTATAAACCCCAAGTCAAAGGTCAAACCATGCACTTGATCTCTCAAGTCACCTGCTTGGTCCTCTTGCAAGTGTACTTTACTTCCCTTTGTTCCTGCTCTAAACCTTTTAATAAATTTTTGCTTCTGCTCTAAAACTTGCCTGGGTCTCTCACTTTGCTTTATGCCCCTGGATTGAATTCTTCTTTCTTCTGAGAAGGCTGCAGACCTGTGTGGATTAGCCGCTGCTAACATCCACTCTGCCTGTGTGTCCCATCTGCTCCAGGCTTCAACCATCAGCAACCTATGCCCACAGGTCCACCTACACCTCCCAGAGTGCCCACTGGAAGGCCCCTGCATGGTGACAACACCCTGACATGCTCACATTCTTCCCTCCCTATGGCTTCCCTCAATGGAAACATTTCTCTGAGTTATCTCACATACAGCACGTAGGGTCAGAGTCCTGCTCACAGCCATTGTCATGGCCTTCATTCAAAAAAATAGTCTTTATGCCTGCTATGGATATAGCAATAAGCAGAATGATCAAAATCCTGCTGTCTGGTAGCTTACATCCTTTGGGAGTGGTTAACCGGGGAAAAAAAGTAAATGTATGTAAAGTTCAGTGGTGATGAATGCAATGGAGAAAATTTAAACAGGGATGTAGAGTAGGGACTACCTGTGGAGGTGGTACAGGAGGAAACTAGGAAGGGGACAGCTAAGCAGAGATCTGAAGGAGATGAGGGAGCCACTAGGGGAAGAGCTTTCCAGACATGAGGGAAAGCAAGTGCAAAGGGCTTGAGATGGTCACAAGTTTTGTCAGGTTTGGGGATGGCAAGGGAGCCAGTCTGGCTGGAGCAGGATAGGCAAGTTGTAAAGTGGCAAGAGCTAAAGTCAGAAAACAGGGCAGGCTAGTCAGGGAAGGCCATGGTGAAGATACTAGGGGTACTCAGTGGGAGGTGGGAAGTCATGGGACGGTTTGAGTAGAGGAGTGCGGTATCATAGGATATCTATTTTGTCTTTGTCCCCAGTTCCTGTCACAGAGCTCCTAAAGCCCTTGGAATTTTCTGAGTGACAGGAATGTCTGTTTTCAAAATGAACCCCTTTCTATAAGACCTGAGCTTATGCTAATGAAGTGGCTTAAGGTGAAGCCTCTCTTTTTTTTTTTTTTTTTTTTTTTTTTGAGACGGAGTCTCGCTCTGTCGCCCAGGCCGGACTGCGGACTGCAGTGGCGCAATCTCGGCTCACTGCAAGCTCCGAAGGTGAAGCCTCTCTTAGATAACCTCAGAATGGGGCCAGTCACCAGAAAGACCAAATAGTTAGAAGATTAGAGGGTTAGAACTTTCAGCCCCACCTACTAACATCCGGGATAAAGGGAGCAGAGTGCTGGAGATTAAGCTCTCTGAAAACTCCAACTAGAATTGATAAGCTTCTGGATGCTTAGTATGTGGAGGTGATGGGAGGGTGGCATGCCCAATGAGGGCGCGGAAGCTCCACTCTGCCCTCCACACATACCTTGCCTTATCCATCTCTTCATCTAGCTGTTCATCTGTATCCTGGATAATGTCCTTAATGATCAACCAGCAAATGTAAGTAAATGTTTCCCTGAGTTCTGTGAACCCTCGTAGCAAATTAATTGAATTCAAGGAGGAGGCCATGGGAACCCCAGTTTGTAGCCAAGTCTGTCAGAAGTAGAGGTGATGGCCTTTTGCTTGTGACTGGTGTCTAAAGTAGGGTGCAAGTCTTGTGGGACTGAGCCCTCAACCTGTGGGACCTGACACTGTCTCCAGGTAAATAGTGTCAAATTGAATTGGATTATAGGACACGCAATTAGTGTCTTTTGGAGAATTGCTTGGTGAGTGGAAAACAAAAACAAAAAACCTAAACATCTGGTCACAGAAGTGTTCTGTGTTGAGTGTGAGAGAGAAAAATAGAGAAAAAAATTTTTTCCTTTATAAGGAGTAACATGGTCAGAAATATATACAAAAAAAAGTTTCACCCAACTGCTAGATGATAGATGCAGGCAAATAGGTTCAGAATGATTCTTCTTCCATTATTTTATAAAAATTCTGCATCTGTAAGTAAGGTCATGCCATTCAGTTGTAGCACACTCTCCACGTGAGCGTCACCTTCATACCTCTACTTCCTCATTGTCAGTCACTGAAGACCTCAGCCTTCATGAGAAGGTTTCCTCTTCTCAAGACTTGCCATCAAACAGAATTTTGTTCATACTCGGGTCCTCCATTCAACTGATTGTCTTCTTAGCTCATTGACTTTATTCCAAATATCTTCACATCTTTTTCCCAATTAGCCATTCAGTCTCATTGCTAGGTCAAAACTCTACCTTCACCTGGAATTTGATCTACTTTTGAAATCATTAAGTAAACATTCCATTTTCAAATTCCAATTGCCTGCCTTTGCAGTTTTCTTGCTTATTTACTCCTAATTCAGGTATTCCCCAACTTCATGGAAAACACCAGCTCATTTCCTGTTCAATCTAACTCAATCCTTCCTACTCAATCCTTCTACAGTCATTATGGCTATTTCAAACATTCTTCACACTTCGCAAACCCTTCATCCTACTTGCCTCCTCAGTGACTTTTAAAATGAAATGCATCAAACTCCTGTCACCCTGTTTACCACGCTCATCCCTCCTTCTTTCTTCAAATCCCACAGAACGAAGCTAATGCCTTCATCTTGCTCAGTTTCTCAGCCTCTCCCACCTTAGGCACTTGCTCCACAGATATCCCTGCTCTCAGGGCTCTGGCTTCTTGCCTTCAGCACTTAGTCATGCTCACATCTTTCTTACTTTGGAAACACACACACAAATAACCCCAAGCACTTTACCAAACCACACCCCTTTTTTCTTCTTGCCTTATCTTTTGCTCCTCTTCACAGCCAAACTTATTGGAAAAGTGTTCTATTCCCTTTTGTGTCCTCAGCCTTCCTTCCCATTCGATTTTGCTCTCACTTTATTCCCCAAGATTGCCCTTGATATTCACCAATTTCCCTCTCCAGGCTTCAACACTCTGCACTCACCATTACTGAAGCAGCCCAAAGACAGGCCAAGCTCATGCCTGGTATACTCTTTCCTCCACGGCAGTAGACTAACTTCTGTTCATATTTCTTGTTTCAGGAACTTTCATGGCTTCAGGGAAGCTATTGCTAACACACCATACCCTCCAAATTGCTGGGTAAGATGCCCTATGCGCTGTCATGGCATCTTGTACTTGCTAACATATGCCCATGGCCAACAGACAAAATGGGCCCCCTGTGGCTAAAGGAGCTGCTCAAAGTTAAAACATGAGAATGAGGCACCCGTGACTAGGTGAGGGAGCAGTCACCTACTCTGGGTTCTTGGCTACAATCAAGCCAAATCAGTTCCTCCTGTCAGTGTCAAGATAGACTACAGCTGAAAATTCCCCAAATGACCACCAACAGACCACCTGGTGGCAACCTCCCACTTGGTGAAACCTACCACCTGGAACCAGCCACTTAAGAAAGACTAATTATTTGGGGCTTAAAAGTCATCCAATCAAGATCCTATTCTTCCCTCCCTTTCTCTCCCTCCCTTCCCTTTCCCTCCCTTTCACTCCTTGCTCTGCCTTTATATAATAATCCCTAACTCTTCATCCTGCCCCACCCCACTTTGGACCACATTTTTGTTTGCACTGAAGGCTTGTATCTTTCCAACTGCAGACTGCTTTTAGAAAATAGGGTTCTCAAAAAAAAAAAAAAAAAAAAAAAAAAAAAAAAAAAAAAAAAAAGAAGAAGAAAGAAAATAAAGTTCTTCCTTTTTTCTCCAAGGATCTCATGGTCTTTTCTTAACATGCTTAATCCTTCTTTACATTTATCACATTGTATGGACACTTTACTCATGAGCCTTCCTTGCTAGACCATAAGCTATTGGGGGTCAAGGTCAATCTATATGACAGTTCTTTGTATATGCCTGGGTTATTTCTGTTTGATACATGCTCCTTTAAATTAAGTATACAGCTAAAGGTGAATTACGAGTAACGGCATATAGAACTTGCATTTTTTCTCTGATATTAAAAAGTAATTGAGGCCGGGCGCGGTGGCTCACGCCTGTAATCCCAGCACTTTGGGAGGCCGAGGCGGGCGGATCACGAGGTCAGGAGATCGAGACCATCCTGGCTAACACAGTGAAACCCCGTCTCTACTAAAAAACACAAAAAAATTAGCCGGGCGTGGTGGCGGGCGCCTGTAGTCCCAGCTACGCGGGAGGCTGAGGCAGAATGGCGTGAACCCGGGAGGCGGAGCTTGCAGTGAGCCGAGATCGCGCCACTGCACTCCAGCCTGGGCGACAGAGCGAGACTCCGTCTCAAAAAAAAAAAAAAAAAAAAGTAATTGAAAGTGTTCAACCAAAGGAGTGGCTTGATCAAAAGTCTGATTTTGTAATAATCTCTTTTACTACCTGGTTCTCTTTGCCTCTATCAACCATCTCATTTCATGGAGCTGTCAAAGGACAAAATTCCAACAAATGTAGTGTAAAAATCTCAGTTGGCTTTATTTGTGGTTCTAAAATAGAGCAACACTTCATTCTATAAAATATAATGTATTCCAATGAGCTGAGCAGAAGAGTTTGGCTTCATAGAGAAGGGCTGAAGAAAGCAGAAGCAAAGAACAAAGAGTATGTTAATTACTCTTAGAATAATAGGAAAATAACTAGTTAACATTAGGTTATTTCAGCCTCCTTTATAAATAATTAATTAATGTTTAGAGGTGGGGTCTTGCTGCATTGCCAGGGCTGGTCTTGAACTCCTGGGCTCAAGGATCGTCCCACCTCTGCCCAGGATACCTTTTTAGTGCAAAGGAAATTTCATTATCATGCCAGTTGAAGATTTAAACTGATCTGTTTGGGAAATTGGCTGTTATTTCTTTCTCCTAATTTCTTAGAAAGTCAGATAATAACTTAGTTTGGGTTTGGTGATGTGGAACTTTTAGCATGGGTGACTTCATTTTGATTTTTAGTCTGGTCTAAAATGCAGAATCTTAGTCCAAAACAATGGTTTCCTAGAATTTTTATTTGACGGGGCTCTATGAAATTCCTATTCTACTGTGTGCAAAATTACGCTCACCCTCGAAGTCTTTCTATTTTCCAAAATAGGAAGTAGAGGAAGATAAGTTAGATAGAGAAGGAGCAACGTTGGGTATTTACATTTGAAATGTGTGTGGGATAATCAGGTGGAAATGTCCAGTGGGTAGCTGAGTAACTGCATCTGATGCTTAGGAGAGGTCTGAGCTAGAGACATGTAATTTGGACTCATCAGAAAATGAGAACGTGTGTATGCTCACCAAGGGAGAGCATGGAGAGAGAAAAGTAGAGGGCTGACATGTGGAGCCCTTAAGGACACAGCATGTGGAAATGGACCCAGGAAGAAGATTGGCTGCAGAAAGTAAAGTATAAGGGACTGGTCAGAGAAGAGGGAAAGAACCCACAAAAGGCATATGGTGGCCTAGGTCTAAACCCCAACCTTGTTCTTTGTGCAAGCCCTCCAGCCTGTTCATTCTCCCTGCCCTCCAGACCCTGAGATGAAGGCTACAGAACTCTGCTGCTGCTGCTGCCTTGACACTCCACACATGCAGGTAATCTAATTTTAATCAGTTTCTCATCATTGGATAGAAGTAGTTTATCTTTGACCAATTCCTATCACATTAACCCCGATAGCTATTCTAAATCTCCACTCTCCCAAGAATTGTAATCATTCTCTCTCTCCCTGTTTTTTGAAACAATAGCTTTATTAAGATATAACTCATATACAATTTACACATTTAAACTTTTAAAATTTAAAAATTAAAATAATTTGAAAATTAAAAAATTTAATGATTCTTAGCATATTCACAGATTTGTATAACACTACTACAATAAATTTTAGAACATTTCATCACCGCAGGCCGGGTGCAGTGGCTTATGCTTGTAATCCCAGCACTTTGGGAGGCCGAGACAGGAAGATCACCTGAGGTCAGAAGTTGGAGACCAGCCTGGCCAATATGCAAAACCTCGTCTCTACTTAAAAAATACAAAAATTAGCCAGGCATGGTGGTGCACACCTGTAATCCCAGGTACTTTGGAGGCTGAGGTACAAGAATCACTTGAACCTGGGAGGTGGAGGTTACAGTGAGCCGAGATTGCACCACTGCACTCCAGCCCGGGTGACAGGGCAAGACTCCATCTCAAAACAAAAACAAACAAATAAAAAAGAGAACATTTTATCAACCCAAAAAAGAAATTCTGTACCCTTTAGCCATCACCCTGTTCTAGCCAATCACTAATTTACTTTTCATCTATATAGATTTGTCTACTCTGAGTGTTTCTTATAAATAGAATTATAAAATATGTGGTCTTTTGTGACTGACTCCTTTTTCTTAAGATAATGTTTTAAGGTTTATCCATGGTACAGCATTACTGTAAAATATGAAATACATTTGGTCTTTGTCCTTAATTCCTGGCACAAGAGCATGTCTTTCTGTTATTCATTATTAGCCCCTTTTGACCACTCCTGAGTTTATGCTAAACTTAGAGTGGCCATCCCTAGATAACCTCAGAATGGGAATGGTCACCATAAAGACCCAGTGATTAGAGGGTTAGAACTTTCAGCCCCACCCACTGATCTCTGGGAAGTGTGCTTGGGAGGGAGAGTGCCTATAGATAAACTCTATAAAAACCCTTGAACAATAAGATTTGATGAGCTTCTGAGTTGCTGAACACACGGAGGTGCTGGAAGAGTGTCATGCCCAAAGAGGGCATGGAAGCTCTGCGTTCCGACTCTCAATCTTATCCTATCCATCTCTTCATCTGGCTGTTCATCTGCATCCTTCATCATATCCTTTATAATAAACTGGTAAGTGTGTTTCCCTGAGTTCTGTGAGCTGCCCTACGGTATTAGTCCATTTTGCATTGCTATGAAGGAATTCCTGAGACTGGGTAATTCATAAAGAAAAGAGGTTTATTTGGCTCATGGTTTGTAGGCTGTGTAAGCATGGCACCAGTAAATGTTTGGTTTCTGGTGAGACCTCAGGAAGCCTTTACTCATGGCAGAAGGGGGAGGGGGAGCAGGTGTGTCACATGGTGTGAGAGGGAGCAAGACAGAGAGGGGGAAGGTCTCAGATTCTTTCTAACAATCCGAACTCATAGTAACTCATTACCATGGGGAGGGCACCAAGCCATTCATGAGGAATCTACCCCCATGAGCCAAACACCTTCTATTATGCCCCACCTCCAACATTGTGGATCACATTTTTAACATGAGATTTGGTGAGGAGAAATATCTAAACCGTATCAGCTAGAAAATTAATCAAACCCAAGAAAGTGTTGTAAGAACCCTGATTTATAGCCTATTCATCAGAAGTGTAGTTACGTCTATTACATGTGATTGGCATCTGAAATGGGGGTAGTCATGTGGGACTGAGTTCTGAATCTGTGGGATCTGACACTACCTCCAGGTAATCAGAAGTGAATTGAGATATAGGGTACCCACACATCTGGTCACAGAAGTGTTCTGTGTTAAGTGTGTGAGTAGAGGGAAAAAACAATTTGTTTTTTTCCTTTACAGGCATGCATCAGAACTTCACTCTTTTTTATGAAGAAATACATTTGAATGATAGTTCATATTATAGATATAACACATTTTGTTTTTCCATTCATCAGTTGGTAACATTTGGGATATTTCCACCTTTTGGCTATTATTGAAACTGCCTTTGCAAAATTATGACTGAGACAGTGAAAGAGACCTAACCTAATTGACTCCATCTTGCTTTTAACGTTTAAGCTGTCCTTGTTCCTTCCTGGGTGTAGGCTGAACTAACTTCGGGAGGAACTTAGTTTATAGTTTAAAACTAAGACGATAATAGTCCTTTCCTAAAACAAACCTCCTTCTTGCCTGGGGACTAGACTGCCTTTATAGGACTAACAAATTTGCCACAAGATTAGAAATTATGGCTTAGGAGACATGCAGCTGGAGGTTACAAGATTCTGACCTTCCCTAAACTGCTCCTAAGATCAGTGCTTGAGATATTTTGCAGACCCTGCACTTGATGGATCACTTGGCACCACCCAGATTGATAAACTGGCTCATCTGATCTTGTGGCCCTCACCTAAGAATTGACTCAGTACCAGAGGACAACTTCAACTTCCCATGATTTCCTCTCTGACCCAACAAATCAGCGCTCTCAAATCACTGTCCTTCCCCCACCCACCAAATTATCTTTAAAAACTTTGATTCCCAAATGCTTCGGGAGACTGATTTGAGTAATAATAAAACTCTGGTCTCCTGCATAGCTGGCTTTGTGTGTATTACTCTTTCTCTATCTGTCTTGATAAATTGAGTCTGTCTAGGCAGTGGGCAAGGTGAACCCATTGGGTGGTTACAATATGAATAATGCTGCTATGAACATTTGTGCACTAGTGTTTTAGTGGACATATATTTTCTTTCTCTTGAGTTTATACCTAGGAGTGGGATTGCCAGGTTATATGGTATATTAGTCCATTTTCATGCTGCTGATAAAGACATACCCAAGACTGGGAAGAAAAAAGGGGTTTAATTGGACTTACAGTTTCACATAACTGGGGAGGCCTCAGAATCATGGCGGGAGGTGAAAGGCACTACTTACATGGAGGCGGCAAGAGAAAATGAGGAAGACGCAAAAGCGAAAACCCCTGATAAAACCATCAGATCTTGTGAGACATACTCACTACCATGAGAACAGTATGGGGGAAACTGCCCCCATGATTCCCTCCCCAAACACGTGGGAATTGTGGGAGTAAAATTCAAGATGAGATTTGGGTGGGGACACAGACCCAAACCATATCATATGGTGACTCTATGTTAAATTGTTTGAAGAACTAATTGCCACACTATTTTCCAAAGTGGCTGCCCCATTTTAAATTCCCATCAGCAGTATATGAGGGTTCCAATGCCTCCACATCCTTACCAATACTTGTTTTCTGTCTTTGATTTTAGCCGTTCTAGTAGGTGTGAAGTGATATCTCATTGCGGTTTTGATTTGCTTTTCTTTGATGACTAATGATATTGAGCATCTTTTCATGTGTTTGTTGGCCATTTGTATACTTTTTATGGATAAATGTCTCTTCAGAATCTTTGCCCTCTCCTTTCCAATGTGTGCCCAGCAGAATGGCTCCCACACAGAAAGGTGGCAACAAGAAAGGCCATTCTTCCATCAATGACATGGTAACCTGAGAATACACCATCAACATTCACAAGGGCATCCATGGAGTGGGCTTCAAGAAGCCTACCTCTCAGACACTCAAAGAGATATAGAAATTTGCCATACTGGGTGCTGTGGCTGATGCCTGGAATCCCAGCACTTTGGGAGGTTGAGGCACATGGATCACTTAAGGTCAAGAATTTGAGACCAGCCTGGCCAGCATGACGAAACCCTGTCTCTACTGAAAATACAAAAATTAGCTGGGTGTGGTGGTGTGTACCTGTAATCCCAGCTACTTGGGAGGCTGAGGAAGGAGGATCACTTGAACACAGGAGGTGGAGGTTGCAGTGAGCTAAGATTGTGCCACTGCAGTCCAGCCTGCTGGGTGACAGAGGGAGACTCTGTCTGAAAAAGAAAAAGAAAAAGAAAAAGAAAAAGAAATTTGCCATGAAGGAGATGGAGATTCCAGATGAGGGGATTGATACCAGGCTAAACAAAGCTTTCTGGGCCAAAGGAATAAGGAATGTTCCATACTGTATCCATAAGCAGTTGTCCAGAAAACGTAATGAGGATGAAGAATCACCAAGCAAGCTCTATACTTTGGTTACCTATGTACTAGTTACCACTTTCAAAAAAAGTGCCACTGCAAATGAGAACTAACCACTGGTTGTCAAATCAAGTTATAAAACGGCACACACACACTCTCTCTTTCTCTCTCTCTCTCTCACACACACACACACACACACACACACACAATCTCTTTTTTTAAGAGATGATATCTCACTATGTTTGCTCAGGCTGGCTTGCAGTGGCTATTCACAGGCATAATCATAGCATACTACAGTCCTGACCTCTTGGACTCAAGCAATCCTCCTGCCTCAGACTCTTGAGTAGCTGGGACTGCAGGCATACGCCACCGTACCCAGCTACTGCCCAGTTCTTAAGTGGGTTATTAATCTTTTCATTATTGAGTTGTAAGAGTTCTTTATATATTCTAAATACAAGACTCTTATCAGATAAATGTTTTCTCCCATTACATAGCTGTAATCCCAGCTACTCGGGAGGGATTACAAAATGGTGTCCTTTGTAGCACAGGAGTTTTAAATTTTGTCCAATTTAGCTATTATTTCTTTAATTGGCTGTGCTTCTGACATATTTAAGAAATCATTGCTTAGTCCAAGATCATGATTACCCACTACATTTTCTTCAAAGAGTTGTTCTAAGTCTGTTTCCTCTTCAAAGTGGAGCAAGTTAATAAAAATACTTACCTTATAGTAATGTTTTAATGCTCCACTGAGTTAATGTTTGTCTAAGCTCATAACACATCTGGCACATATAAGTGCTCTATAAATGTTAGTTCTTAGAGACCACCAAGAGTAGCTTCCCAATACTTCTTATTTTTATTTTTATTTTTTGAGATGGAGTCTCGCTCTGTCACCCAGACTGGAGTGCAGTGGCCCAATCTCGGCTCACTGCAAGCTCCGCCTCCCAGGTTCACGCCATTCTCCTGCCGAGTAGCTGGGACTACAGGCGCCCACCACCACGCCCGGCTAATTTTTTATATTTTTAGTAGAGACAGGGTTTCACCGTGTTAGCCAGGATGGTCTCGATCTCGTGACCTCTTGATCCGCCTGCCTCGGCCTCCCAGAATGCCTGGATTACAGGCGTGAGCCACCGCGCCTGGCTCCAACACTTCTTTACCAACTTCAACATCTCAATTTTAACTTTACTTCTCTATCAGAGCAAGGGTGTAATTGACTTTTTACATTTATTACAAATAATACATAATCACAATTACATTGTTTAATGTACATTCTGTTATCTAAAACTGCGATGGTTACTATCCAAGCTCTAACTTTTGGGTGCATTCCTATATTTGTGTTATGCAGGATATTACATGATATTGATCATTTTAGCATTACCATACAAGCTGTGTTTTTAATGAAATGGAATTATGGCAATTTTACTTTGCATTATATAAATCAGAATGTATTACAGCTGTTAAACTGGATCGTAAAAATAGTCTCTTTATACAAAATAGATGAAAAAGGGAAAAACCCACCAAAACACTTTGTTTCCATATAATTATATATTCCATTTATTTATGGAATAAATGACCAGCTAACAGTATAATCTACATTAAAGCCATTATCATTCTTCATGAAGTTGGTTGGGAGTTATCTAAAGCTCTAGTTAGTCCACTTTCTTCTAGTGGATAAATAATGTGAACTACTACCAAGGATGTTTTAAGAATCTGGCTGGTAAGCTTCATTTCCAATCTACTTCTAGGTCAGTGGTTCTCAAATTTTAGTTGCATTAGAATCACCTGGAGGGTTAGCTAAAACACAGATGCTAGGCCCCACCTGTACAGTTTTTTGTTTGTTTGTTTGTTTTTGAAACAGCGTCTCACTCTGTCACCCAGACTGGAATGCAGTGGTGTGATCATGTCTCACTGCAGCCTTTGCCTCCCAGGCACAGGTGATCCTCCTACCTCAGCCTCCTGAGTAGCTGGGACTACAGGCACATGCCACCACACCCTGCTAATTTTTGTATATTTGGTAGAGGTGAGGTCTCACCAGGTTGCCCAGGCTAGTCTCAAACTCCTGGGCTCAAATGATCTGCCGTCCTCGGCCTCCCAAAGTGCTAGAATTACAGGTGTGAGCCATCGTGCTGGCTGAGGGCCTAGAGTTTCAGTAGAATTGGAGTACAGGCCTGAGAATTTAGATTTCTAAAGACTTCCCAGGTGTTATTGACACTGGTGGTTGGGGCCCACATTTTAAGAACCACTGCTGTAGTGCAGTTAACAAACATTGAGGATATCTAGTCTACAGTTTTAAGTTGGCCAACATCCAGAAAATTCCATGGTTCTTCAAGATTCCATCAGATATACTGAATCTCCCTAGAGGATCTGTGGAACTCCAAACATCTCACAAATCTTATAGCCTTCTAGATAAAGATGGGAATATTTGAAAAATTAGGGGGATGGTACTCCTCAAATTTCTAGGAAAGCTTAAGACCCCTGGAGACTCCACTGACTCTTGAGTGCAGACAATAGAGTTAATCATGTAGCCTAACTATGTGCTTGGTCTAGTGATTTTGTTTTGATTTATGTTCCGCAGCAGAGCAGGCCCTGTGACAAACTGGCTTCTAGCACCCAACCCTTGCTCAATGAATCCTTTGTAAAAACAGGTCCATTTTATACACTCCTAAATTTGTAGCCATTTCAGTGAGTTTTATGATGATTATAATTTGCTTTCTAGTCTCTCTCAGAGCTGATACTTTTGTTTGACTAATAAGCTTTCCTTCCTTTTTCCTTCTTCTGGTTTTGTTTTCTCTGCCAACAGCAGTAGGCTTATGACTTGAGTAATGTCCTTGGTCTTGCTTTAGAATTGGAGTATAACCCATCCCAAGCAAAAAATTAATGGGGTAAGTTCGTCTTTAATGTGAACTCACAATGCTGGAAAGATATACTCTGGGGCCACCATTAACCATGATCTCTGCAACAAAGAGAAAGACTCTCTTTAGCATGATACCAAAGTTTGGGCTCAGGAAATGATACCCCGAAATATGGAGATTTGACACACCGAACCAAAGAAGCAGTCTCAGGTCTCTCTGACTTTCCCCACTTCTTAATCCTCTATCTCTCCGAAAGCACAGGGTGAGGCTGTTCTCTGGATTTCTTTTCTACCTAGAAACTGGACCCACCAAAGAGGAACATAATTGCCATTGATCCTTTCCTCCAAATTTCATTAACCAGAGAAGATTATTATATCACAGAGGAAGAGCCCACATTGGGCTATGTCACACCCAGAGCCCGCATAGTGTTCTCTGGTCCCATTCAATTCTTAGAGACCTATTTACTAAACATTTTCTGTGCAATGGACCCATTCATTCCCCCTAAAAATAATTATGCCTCAAAATGGCCACATTTTCCACATCTTCTTTTCTTCTATGAAGAAGGGTATATAAGCATCTGAACCTCATTGGGTTGTTGGATAATCATGTTCTTGCAATACCTCCGTGCATAAGCATGTTACATAAATTTGCATCTATTTTTCTATGAATCTACCTGTTGTCAGTTCATTTTCAGCAAATCTTTAGAGGGCAGAGGGGAAACTTTCCCTTGGCCCTTACACCAACATACAAAGAGAAATAGAGTCAAGAAAAGAGAACTTGATGACATTGTTTGAACCTGGATTAATAGCAATAGCTTTGTCATTCTGAATTATTTGAGCCAATACATTTCCATTTTAAGTTAGCTAGTTTAAGTTGGGTTTCTGAGCTGAGTGTGATGGGGCACACCTGTAGTCCCAGCTACTCAGGAGGCTGAGGTGGGATAATGGCTTGAGGCCAGAAATATGAAGCTGCAGTGTGTTATGACCATGCCTGTGAATAGCCACTAGAGCTACTGCACTCCAGCCTGGGCAACATAGCAGTACCTCATCTCTTAAAAAAAAAAAAAAAAAGGTAAATGACAACTCATCTGCATGTCTCTTTCTTCATTAGTAAAGTGGTTGAGCCTATTATCTCCGATCCATGGCCTATGCCTCAACAGATAATTACCCCTGATTTTAAAGCCAAGGAGAATTTGTGATTTTAAGAATTATACTTGCAGATTCCCCAGAAAGGAGCTAAATAAAATGATGCTTCAAGCTTGGAATATTGAGCATTTTTTCTCTCCTCCTACTCTCAAAAAATGTTTCATTTGTAAAGACATTGTACTGGCTGGAGTGGCAGTGAAGGGCTCTGCTTCAACTACTGTGGAGGAGAGTTTTCTTTTTTCCTCTTTATAGGGCAGGGGCAGAAAAGCCTCAGGAGGCTGGGCGTGGTGGCTCACACCTGCAATCCCAGCACTTTGGGAGGCTAACGTGGGAGGATTGCTTGAGCCCAGGAGTTTAAGACCAGCCTGGGCAACCCTGTCTCTACAAAGATACAAAAGTGAGCCAGGTGTGGTGGCATGCCCCTGTATACCAACTACTCAGGAGGCTGAGGCAGGAGGATCACTTGAACCCAGGAAGTGGAGGTTGCAGTGAACCATGATCTCGCCACTGCACTCCAGCCTGGGTGACAGAGTGGGACTCTGTCTCAAAAAGAAAAAAAAGTCTCACTAAACTCAATCAACAAGAATTTATACTAGGGAGGGCAAAATGACAAAACAGCGAATAAGTTTTGTTCATTCCCTAGTGCTAATATGGATAATTTTTCCTGGTTCCAGTTAATTGGGCATTGAATATTTTGAAATAAGGTGTCATTGAACTACCCAGGACAATGAGTGGACAGAGGATGTTTTACCATGAAATTCTGATTTTGAACATACCTTTCCAGAAATAGATGAGTAACACAAGGTACTTCATTTTTGTAGCAGAGACATAGTCCACTGCTACAATTCAAACATAGTTGGTTGAATTACAGAAGAAAGACTTAAAAAAGGTATGACTCATTTAAAATAAGATATGGGGAACTCTCCATTTCTCTCTCTCTCTCTTTTCTCTTTCTCTTTTTCTTTGTTTTTGACAGTGTCTCACTCTAAAGCCCAGCTGGAGTGGTATAGTGGCATGATCATGGCTCACTGCAGCCTTGACTTGCCAGGCTCAAATGATCCTTCCACCTCCGTCACCCAAGTAGCTGGGACTCCAGGTGTGCACCACCACACCTGGCTAATTTTTTATATTTTCTGTAGAGATGGAGTCTTATCTTATTCCCCAGGCTGGTCTTGAACTCCTGGGCTCAAGTGATCTGCCTTGCCTTGATCTCCCCAAGTGCTGGGATTACAGGCATATGAGCCTCCACACCCAGCCAACTCTCCTTCGAATATGTATCTTAAATTATTTTTTTGCAAGGGAAAATTTCATGGTGGATTTTTTTGTCAAGGTAAAAAGAGCAAAGAGAGTATTTAAACTGAAGAGCAACCTCTTTACAAGCATTGTGTGATTCTTGAAAAGGGACACTGCCGACAGTCCCTGGACCTGTCTAAAACAGCGTGTATACTGGACTGTGCATTACCTAGCATAGAGGAAAAATTGAATACTTCTATATGATAATTGAGATTTTTGAGCTACATTTTGCCATAAGGATGGTACACAAGGGTAGCAAAATGTGGTGTTTGGCTATTGTTTTTGTTATTGTGTGGTTTTAAAGAATTAGTAAGATGTTAGTGAAGTTCTCCAGTAAATGAAAAGTGGGGATTGTAATTTCTACAAGGAATCTTCATGGATATGCCACAGATATAGTCCCACAAGACTGAATTCCTTCTTTTATTAAATTTTTAAACAGAGTCCACTGAGTGGATTATTCTTTCTTACAAATATCTCTTTCTGTATGTATTTGTTTATTTATATTTTTGAAACATAGTCTCGGCTTACTCTGTTGCCCAGGCTGGAATACCTACAATGGCGTGTGTGATCATAGCTCACTGTAACCTTGAACTCCCGGACTCAAGTGCATCCTCCCACCTCAGCCTCCAGAGTAGCTGGAACTACAGGTATGCACCAACATACCCAGCTAATTTTTTAAATTTTTTTGTAGAGACAGCGTCTCAATATGCTGCCCAGTATGGTCTCCAATTCCTGGCCTCAAGTGATCCTTCACCTCAGCCTCCCAAAGTACTGGGATAACAGGGATAAGCCCGTGTCCAGCAACAAATAATGTATTTAAATAAATATTTTCAATAATGGGAAACAATTCATTATATGAACTACTACCAGAGGGCTTATCACAAATGCATTCATTTCCTAAACTGGATTTTGTAGTATTTTATAAATATAATATTGATGGTATTTAATTATTTTAAGTAGCCCTGCAAAATATTTTAGAACTTAATACTATTTGCTGTTTTATCATATGGTCACTTCCTACATGATTTCTTTCTTGTTCTATTTACTAAGACTGGGCTGCTAACTATAAATTTGGCCTCATAATTTTTTTATTAATTTTTTATTTATATTAGACACGTAATAATTGTATATGCGTATAAGGTACATGACATTGCAGTGCATGTATACATTGTATAATTATTACAATTATTTTAAATCCATAATATGTGTCCAGGTGGCTATTGTTTTCTTGAAAACAGCTGCGATTTTCCCATGTGTCCTATTCCTAATACCTAAGGTTTTGGTCACAAAACAGGAATAATTAGTAAGATTATCAATGAGAAGAGGAAAATGTAATAATTTTAATAATTTAAATTTCTGGCCATCTAATTAATACACTGCTAATCTGGTATTCTAAGCATTGTATCTAGCTGTCAATAATACCATCATCTAACCTATTTCTTTTTGCTTCACATTGATGATTTGTTTAATTCAACTGAATTTTCCAAACTAGTTTGTGTATTATTTGCTTATGGGTGAGTTAAAGGTCACACGAACCAAGCAATCTACTCACTCTCTCATAAGTACAATAAAACCATAAAATCATTAAGATAAGTAAAGTAGGTCTAATGCAAGTAACAACCTAGGTGGCCAAGGAATAATTATGTGCTAGGAAACCTAATCTAAGAGAAAGTAAACTGAGTGCTAAACTTAACTCTGAACTTTGAGGACATAGAAGATAAAATGGAATTGTGATATGTTACAGATCATACGTGTGTATCAATGAACAAACTTTTTCTTACCATATACTTTAAGAGGTATATATCCTCCAGGGATCTTGAGTGGTATAGTGAAATGCATTCAAAATAATTTTTAAAGGTCAGGGAGGGGGTAATTTGTGTTTTAGTTCTACGAAAGGAGAGTGTAATATGTTAGCTCATAGTCCGTGAAGTCATTTCTATGAGGGAGCTAGAGGGTTATCCAGGTTTACAGGTTACTGATGAATTAATTTGATAAAGGCAGAAAGCTTAGAGGATCTAGGGCATTGATCTTCAAACATTTTTATTTCTATACATCCTAAAATAATTTAAAAAATCTCCCCCTTAAATGTTTTAAAATTAATATCTAAAACATTTCATAAGAAGTTAAAAAAGCTAAAAACGATATAATTTTTAATATTTTAACTATGTTTTTTAAATGGTAACCTTTACAGTACATTTAAAGGCATAAAAGATCATTTAAATACCATGTAGACTTGATAACACCATTATCAGTTTAAAATACAATAACAACATTTAGTAGTCAGGAATTTTACATTGTTCCTTATTATCTTTGTACGCAGATTTTCATTCTGCTTCTACTATAGAACTGTCTTTGGAGATGAATTATTATTGGCATTCTATTGCTCAAAACAATCTAATTGTATAATTTTATAGAAATTATTTTAAGTATAATTGGTTAATATTGCTGTTTCTTTCCATTCAGATTTCTGCTCTTCATATTTCCCTTTGGATTAGATATTGTGGGAGTGGCTGTGGGGATTTTTGGGGAACCAGGTAAAAAGAAGTTGAGATGGGAACATGTTTAGTGTGTATTTAATGGGTTATGTATATATGAGGTTGACATTCTCTTCCATCTGTAGTTAGGTAGCAGCAATTAGAGAAGGAGTAAAACCTATACTATTTTGTCAACTCACTTGGAGTCTTAATACATAGGTTCAGGGCTAGAGATTGAACGATGATATGAATGCAGAGACTTGCACTACAAGCATATAGGTGGTGGAGAAGAAACAAACCTGAAATTAATGGAGACAGAAGCTAGTTTATGAAAAACTGTCAGCAAAAGACTTGGTTTCCATAAACACTTGGTCAAAATAGAAGTTTTCACTTATTAGGTATGTACTTGGTAATGCAACATGTGCAATTAGTAAATGTACCATACAGTTTCCTCCTTTTTGTTAAAAATCACAGAAAATAAGGCCGGGCGCAGTGGCTCATGCCTGTAATCCCAGAACTATGGGAGGCCGAGGCGGGCAGATCACGAGGTCAGGAGATCAAGACCATCCTGGCTAACACGGTGAAACCTTGTCTCTACTAAAAATACAAAAATTAACTGGGCGTGGTGGTGGGTGCCTGTAGTCCCAGCTACTCAGGAGGCTGAGGCAGGGGAATGGTGTGAACCCAGGAGGCAGAGCTTGCAGTGAGCCCAGATCGCGCCACTGCACTCCAGCCTGGGCGACAGAGCGAGACTCCATCTAAAAATAAATAAATAAATAAATAAATAAATAAATAAATAAATAAATAAATAAATATAAAAATCACAGAAAATAGAATTTCTTTGCCAGTCACAACTCTTTAGCAATATTACAAACAGCATTTATGTCTGTGAGTAAAGTCACATGTTTTTGCATCCAAATGATCAATAATTTTTTAAAATTGTTGAAGCCTGTTGTTAAAGAGAATACTGACTCACATTCCTATTCTTTCCATAAAAATAAAATATTAAAATCATTATTATATGAAGAGGCTATGGACATATGCAAACAAAGTAATGTAAAAAATAAGTTAGAGATGTATCGAGTACTTACTGAAAATGTTGTAATATTTCTAGATTTAGAAATATTTGTGTTGTCTCTTAGCATCACAAAATTTGTAGTGTTTTATTTCTTTTTTCATTCTAAATGTTAACATTTATACCTAAATTTATGTACTTTTTCTTAAAAAGCCCTCCTCTCACCCCAAATAATAAAAGCCTCAAGCCCCATAAAAGTTGCTTACACTTTCTTTGCTTTGATTTTGTGGGCCTTTGCCTCAGTGGTGATCTACAGTTATACAGCACACGGACTGCAGTACAAGAGGATCCTACCCTGTCCTATAGCACATGTCAATCCAGAACATCTCAAAGTTCCCCAAAACAGCCTGTTCTACTGTGTGTTTTGTTGTTGTTGTTGTTGTTTTTTGAGATGGAGTCTGGCTCTTGTCACCCAGGCTGGAGTGCAATGGCGCGATCTGGGCTCACTGCAACCTCTGCCTCCAGGGTTCAGGCGATTCTCCTGCCTCAGCCTCCCAAGTTGCTGGGATTACAGGCGTGCACCACCATGCCTGGCTAATTTTTTGTATTTTTGGTAGAGACGGGGTTTCGGCATGTTGGCCAGGCTGGTCTTGAACTCCTGACCTTAGGTGATCCACCCACCTTGGCCTCCCAAAGTGCTGGGATTACAGGCATGAGCCACCGCTTCCAGCTCTTCTGGTGTTATAATTTGCCCTTAATGGAAATATGATTAAGTCAAGGAATAAAACGTCATAGATATTGTATTGGGGATGTTTCACAGATACCAGTTGTTTGGGGCTCCTGAATTTTTTTCTCCCAACTTTTAATTTTGGAAAATGTCAAATGTATGGGAAAGTTGCAAGTGTAATATGATGAATGCCCATTTGTCTTTCACCTAGACTTAGCAATTGTTAATGTCTTATGTTTGCTTTCTCTTTCTAAATAAAATAATAATTCTAGTAATAATAGCAAGTACATATTATTATTGTTGAACCATTCGAGAGTAAGTTGCAGACATCCTGATCCTTTATCCCTAAATCAGTAACTACTCTCTAAGAGCAAAGTTATTCTCTCAGGTAAACAGATCCCTCTTCAAGGAAGAGTCTGCTGCCCAGATGCAGTAAGTGCCAAGCTCCTTTAGGTCAACCCATCTCAGCTGCAAGGAACTGCCTCTTCAGTATAATGTCACCCTGTTCCCAAAGCAGCTTTCATCAAGTAACTAAAGCAGGTGATGGCAAAAATAAACAGTTATTTCAATGGACTTGGGATGATTCAGGTAGGCAACAGTCACTCCAGAACTCCCTTGACCTACTCCTTAAATGCTGGTGATTTTCCAGGATCTCTGCCTCAATTTTCTTCTTTTCTGACTCCAGATTAGTGTTTTTCTAAAATTTTTTGCATCTAATGACTACATTGTTCAGGAGAAGAAGCCCAATTCAAGATACTTTAAAAAAATTAATCATAGATATCCACATACAAAAAAATTAATCTAGACACATACCTTTCACAAAAATTAACTCAAAATGAATCATATACCTAAATGTAAAGTGCAAAACTATAAATAAAAGATAACATACAAGAAAACCTAGATATCCTTGGGTATGGTGATGACATTTTAGGTATAGCACAAAGGGATGACCCATGAAAGAAATAATTGATAAGCTGGACTTTGTGGAAATTAAACACTTAGGGTGGGTGCAGTGGCTCGTGTCGGTAATCTCAGCACTTTGGGCGGCCAAAGCAGGTGAATTGCTTGAACTCAGGGGTTCGAGACCAGGGTGGGCAACATGGTAAAACCACGTCTCCAGAAAAAACACAAAAATTGGCTGTGCATAGTGGCATGCTCTTGCAGTCCCAGCTACTCAGGAGGCTGAGGTGGGAGAATCACCAGAGCCCAGGAGGTTGAGGCTACAGTGAGCCATGATCTGCCCACTGCATTCCAGCCTAGGCAACAGAAT
Source organism: Homo sapiens (assembly GCF_000001405.40). Classification (NCBI taxonomy): domain Eukaryota; kingdom Metazoa; phylum Chordata; class Mammalia; order Primates; family Hominidae; genus Homo; species Homo sapiens. Next base: position 21,390,259 of record NC_000007.14, on the reverse strand, counting down.
GAGAACTTGTCTCAAAAAAAAAAGAGAGAGAGAGAGAGAGAGAGAAATTAAATACTTCTACTCTGACAGACACTGTCAAGAGAATGAGAAGACAAGTCATAGACTGAAAAAAGTATTTGTAAAAGACATATCCATTACACTGTTACCAGTAGTGAATCCACACAGGTCTGCAGCAACCTCCATTTTTGCCTCCTCAGAAGACAGAATTTGACTGAGGAGCATAAGGCAGAAGAAGAGACAGAGGCAAGTTTTACAGCAGGAATGAAAATTTATTAAAAAGCTTTAGAGCAGGAACAAAAAGGAAGTAAAGTACACTTGGAAGACAACCAAGCAGGCATCTTGGAGGACAAATGCGCTGTTTGACCTTGGACTTAGGGTTTTACATGCTGGCATACGTCTAGTATTTTGTGTCCCTTTTCCCTTGATTCTTCCCTTGGGGTGAGCTGCTGGCATGTGTGGTGCCCAGCTAGCATTTAGAAGTTGAGCATGCTCAGTGTGTTTACTGGAGTTGTATGCATGCTCACCTGAGCTGTGTGCAATGCCCCCGTAGTTCATACACCAATTAAACTCTGCCATTTTGCCTCTTAACGCACACGCTTGAGCCCACTTGCTCAACTCCTGAGATCTTATTGGAAAGCTGATGACCACCAGTTTCAGGTGTTTTTTGTTTCGTTTTGTTTTGTTTTTTGTTTGTTTGTTTGTTTTTGAGATGGAGTCTCACTCTGTAGCCCAGGCTGGAGTGCAGTGGTGCGATCTCGGCTCATTGCAATCTCTGCCTCCCGGGTTCAAGCAATTCTCTGCCTCAGCCTCCGGAGTAGCTGGGATTACAGGCGCCCGCCACCATGCCCGGCCTCAGGCTGGTCTTGAATTCCTGACCTTGTGATCCACCCGCCTCGGCCTCCCAAAGTGCTGGGATTACAGGCGTGAGCCACTATGCCCGGCCTCAGGTGTTTTATATCTATTGGAAAACTGCCTTTCCTGGTGCCGGCTGTGACCAATTATTATTTTAGAGTAGCAGTGTGACAGCTCCCTGACCATCACTTGATGATCACCAGACATTCCTGATGGGGGTGGAGACCCTCTCCTGCCCTGTTTATGTCTGACTAGCTATCTACTCTAACAAAACAATTGCTAATCCAAAATATTCAAAGAACTCTTAAAACACAACAGCAAGAAAATAAACAACCTAATTAAAAAATGGGCCAAAGACTAAACTGACTTGTCACTGAAGAAGATATACAGATAACAAATAAGCATATGAAAAGATGTTAAGCATCACATATCATTAAGGAATTGCAAATTAAGACAACAATGGGTTACTGCTACACAACTACTGGAATGGCCACAATCCAAAACAATGACAACCCCAACTGCTGGAGAGGATGTGGAATAATACGAATTCTCATTCATTGCTGGTGGAAATGCAAAATGGTTACAGCCACTTTGGAAGACAGTTTGGCCGCTTCTTACACAATTAAACCTACCTTTATCATATGCTCCAGCAATCGAGCTCCTTGGCATTTACCTAAATGAACTGAAATGTGTCTGCACAAAAGCCTACACATTAATAGTTACAGCAGTGTTATTCATAATGGTTTAAACTTGGAAGCAACCAAAATTCCTACAGTAAGTGAATGGATAAACTGTGGTATATTTAGACAATGGAATATTATTCAGCACTAAAAGGAAACAAGCTATCAAGACATGAGTAGACGTGGAGGAATCTGAAATGCACATTACTATGTGAAATAAGCCAATCTGAAAAGGCTACCTAAAGTATGATTCCAACCATATCACGTTCCAGAAAAGGCAAAACCATGGAAACAATAAAAAGATCAGTGGTTGCCAGAGATTGTGGGGAGGAAGGAATGAATAGGTGGAGCATGGGAGATTTTGAGAGTGATGAAGATACTGTTCTGACATTCTTCGATCTGTATGACACTATAATGGTGAATACATGTCATTACACGTTTATCACTAATTCCCTTAGTGACAAATGAACCCTAATGTAAACTATGAACTTTGAGTGATAACGATTTGTGAACTTAGGCCTATCAGTTGTAACAAATGTATTAATACCACTCTGGTGGGATAATGATAGTGGGGAAAGCAGTGCATCCTTTGGGGGCAGGAGGTATGTGGGAACTCTCTATACTGTCTGCTCAATTTTGTTGTCAATTTGAAAGCACCCTAAAAAAATTATCATTATTAAAAAATTAATCATAATTTTATATAAAAGGTAATCATGGTTTTACTTAAGCATAACTTTTAAAATTAATCATAGTTTTGAATTAGTAAAAATAAAACTACAAACTTTTGTGACTATTATTATTTTTATTATTTATTAAGGTTGTTTCATATTTATGAGAAGAATAGTATGGTTTCCATTCTTCCATCAAGGTATCTCTATTTGAGTTTCAAATCAGACACCACATCCAGGCAGTTTCTTTTTTTTAATTGAAATTTAAAATTTTTAATTATTATGGATAGATAATTTATTATCTATACAATATTTCTTGGGTATATGTGATATTTTGATACAAGTATACGATGTGTAATGATCAAATCAGGGTGATTGTGGTATCCATCACCTTAAGCATTTATCATTTCTTTGTGGTAGCAACATTCTTTCAGTTATTTTGAAATGCAGAGTAAATTATTGTCAGTTATACTCACCCTATTGTGCTACCAAACGCTACATCTTACTCTTTCTAATTGTATTTTTGTACCCATTAACCTATCCTTCTTTATCTCCCCGCTCCAGGCAGTTTCTTTCATTACTTTTTATTTCTATTTTATAAAAACTTATAGGTTGTTGAGAATGGCATGTAAGAATTGTTAGCTCACTCAAGTAGTTCTGGATATTTGAATCAAACATGGATTCAGAAATTATGCAACTTTGTAATTACTTTCCGCATTTTTCAGTTACTCAAAAGTCAAATATTAGAATTTGGGAGATAATTGCAAAATAATTATTAATGTACCTCTTAGGTATGTTTTTGGCTCTGAAACTTATATCTTTATGTTTTAGTTGTAGCATGTGAATATGTTTTAAAATATATGCCTAAATATGTTGTTTATCCCCACCTTTTTTTGTTTTTTTGACAGAGTCTCGCTCTGTCACCCAGGCTGGAGTGCAGTGGTATGATCTCAGCTCACTGAAGTCTTGACTGACTGCCCAGGCTGAGGTGATCTTCCTACCTCAGCCTCCAAAGTAGCTGAGATCACAGGTGCATGCCACCATTCCTAGCTAATTTTTGTATTATTTGTAGAGGTGAGGTCTCACTATGTTGCCCAGTCTGTTCTTGAACTCCTGGACTCAAGCAATCCTCTTGCCTCAGCCTCCCAAAGTACTGGAATTGCAGACATAAGCCACCATGCCTGGCCCTGTTTATCCCCTTTACATAGGGAAAAAAATCCCCAAGTGTTAGAAAAGAATAAACTCTTGCCGAAACCAAAGAACTGTAGTTTGGTTTTTCCTGAGAAACTGAAATCTTAAATATTAACATTAAGGTGTTTCAGGCCTGAAGTTAAAATACTGAATGCATTTCAAAGATTTACCACTTCAACAAGATTTTAAAATCACACAAATGTGCTTTATTGGCTATGCCATGTCATAAAGAGATGTTATTATCTTATCTCATCTCTCATTTCCATTCAAGAGGTATTGTTTTTAAATGTAAAAAGCATGACCTGGAACCTACTGCCCATTTCTTTGCACAGCACGCTGAGAAGATGCTAAACTTTGACTTCATTCACAATTTTTCATAATCTACTTCTTCAGTTCTGAATTAAGATCTGGAGACATATTTTTACCTTCCTGCTATTCGTTATGGAGAAAGCAGCCTAGGGATGGACACTTGGACAAAACTCCTATTTATTTATGTATTTATGTATTTAAGTATGTATGTATGTGTGTATTTATTTATTTATTTATTTTTGAGACGGAGCCTTGCTCTGTCACTAGGCTGGAGTGCAGTGGTGGGATCTCAGCTCACTACAAACTCTGCCTCCCGGGTTCAAGTGATTCTCCTGCCTCAGCCTCCCGAGTAGCTGGGACGACAGGCGTGCACCAACACACCCAGCTAATTTTTGTATTTTGGTAGAGATTGGGTTTCACCATGTTGGCCAGGATGGTCTCAATCTCTTGACCTCATGGTCCGCCCACCTCAGCCTCCCAAAGTGCTAGGATTACAGGTGTAAGCCATCGCGCCCGGCCTCCCATTTATTAATGTATTAGTAACAACATCTTCTGGCTGCACATGTTGCAGGTGCCCTATCAATACTGATCCCATCAACCCTTTCCAGCCCAGAAATAAATTGTTAACTAAACAACAAAAACTCTTCTCCAATAGCATAGTGAGCCAGGAGATCTTTAGACAATTCTACTTTGCAATGACCACTTGCTTTCCTTTATTGCAAAAAGATGAACTTGACAAACATACCAGGAGATGGTAGCACCATAAGGCTTGAGTCATTTCCGTACTAAGATAGAATTTACGTAAATTACAAGAGGATGGAGCAAATGTATGTGTTATTCAGGCTTTATATCTTCTTCTATATCACAAGAAATTTTGCATATTAACTACTTTGTAATATTTCTTTTCAATAACTTACGGAGGCTGGGTGCTGTGGCATGCACCTATAGTCCCAGGTACTCAGGAGGCTGAGGAGGGAGGATTACTTGAGCTCAGGAGATTAAGGCTGCAGTGTGCTATAATCACACCTGTGAATAGCCATTGCACTCCAGCCTGGGCAACATAGCAAGACTGTGTCTCTTAAACAAACAAACAAAGAAACAAAAAAAACAGAAAAAAAGAACTTAGGAGTCCTGTCTCTCAGTGCCCCAAATGAGAAAGAAAACATTGTGATTGGTTGTCAAGCATTACAGGTATAACAGAGGGAGGCAGGTCACCAAACCCAGAGGAAAATACCTAACTGAGACGATGAGGCTTGGCTTAGGCAATTTTATTTCCTGCTTTCTCCTACTAAAACAGGACAACTCTACTGGTGGGAACACTAGCAGCTCAAACAAAGAGACTGTGAAATGATAAGAAATATATTTGGTTTTTGTCCCTGGATCCAGGCACTAAAACCCTTGGAATTTGCTTAGTGGTAGGAGTTTTTCATTATTCATAATAAACTCCCTTTGATCTCACCTGAGTTCATGCTAATGAAATGACTTAGGATGAAGACCCTCGATAGTCTCAGGACAGGTCTAGTCACTAGAAACCAAATGATTAGAGGCTTGGAACTTTCAGCTTCCACCCTCCCCCAACTCTGCAAAGTTGGGGATGGGGGCTAGAGATTAAGCCCCATAAAAACTCCTGAACAGTGAGATTTCTGGATTGGTGAATGCATCCACCTGCTGGAAGTTAGCATACCCTAACTCCACAGGAACAGAAGTTTCTGCACTAGGGACCCTTCCTGACATGGCCTTATATACCTCTTCATCTGGCTGTTCATTTGTATGCTTTATAATAAACCAGTAAACATAAATAAATAACATGGCTTCGTGAGTTCTGCGTGTGTGAGCCATTCTAACAAATTACTGAACCCGAGGAGGGGGTCCTGGGAGCCTCAATTTATACATTGTGTAAGTCAGAAGTATGCTATGAGAAACCTGATACTCGGAACTGGCCTCTGAAGTTAGGGCAATCTTGTGGGTCTGAGCCCTAAAACCAATGGAACATCACATCCTAAGTAGTTAGTGTCAGAACTGAACTGGATTGTTGGACACCTAGTTGGTATCTGAACAGAATCAGATAGCTTCTTGGTGTGCAAAATGCCCACACATTTGGTGTCAGAAGGGTTGTGTGAGTGTAGAAACAGAGTTTTCTACTGGGGACACCATAGCAGGCAGCTGAGAAACTAGGGTGGATAATAGCTGATTAATAATTTAAAATTGGTCAGCATGGTGACTCGCATCTGTAATCCCAGCACTTTAGGAGGCCAAGACAGGATGGCAGGAGGATCACTTGAGCTCAAGAGTTTGAGAACAGCCTAAGCAACATAGTGAGACCCTGTCTCTACTGAAAAAAAAAAAAAAAAAAAAAAAAAAAAATTAGACAGTCCTGGTGGAGTGCACTTGTAGTTACAGCTACTTGAGAGGCTGAGGTGGAAGGACAGCTTAAGTCCAGTAGCTTAAGGCTGCAGTAAGCTGTGATTATGCCACTGCACTCCAGTCTAGGTGACAGAGTGAGATCCTGTCTCTAAAACAAAACAAAAACAAAAGCAAAAGCAAAAACAAATTAACCTTACAATTATTGAAATAGAAACTAAAGAGTACTTTGAAAAACCGTTTGGCCAATGTCTGTCTCTTAAAGTTCTGAACCTTTCACCTAGCTATTGATTAATTACAGCTGTCAAAGAGAAGAGCATCTGGATTAACTTTGGGTCAAAAATTCCCCTAAATCGAACACTAAGACTTTTAATGATAAACAAAAAACATTGTCAAGCACTTCATATATGTATTAGGCAATTGCCAAGAAATTATTCATACTCTACACAGTTGTAAAGCAAAATATCTGCTGATAGGCAAGCTAACACATACCAGTAGTCCTATACCATTTGCTTGCAGTTGGCATCTGTTATGATTGGTTGCTCTCTATGCCTTATCAGTTGTTAAATATTTTGAATATCCCACCTGGTCATTTCCCCAAAGACAGTGATTGCTCTTTAACTTTGCAGGCTATTTATATTGGGCAACATTCACTAGAGTCATTTGCTAAAAGATTTTTGCCAAAACTTAATCTGTTTTGTTGCTAAGCAAAATAGATAGTATTCACTTTTGTGGCTGGTTTTATCAGCTGAGCAAAATACATAGTATTCACTTTTGTGGCTGATTTTATCAGCTTGTTAGCAACAGTGTGACTTTTGCCTGTTTTGGCTGTGAAATGTACAATGTTGAAGGATGCCTCTATAGTTTTGGTTTAAGTGATACAATTAATCAGCTTTATACTAGAAAATAGTATATTTGCTTGTTCTAGAAAAATTAAATTGGTTTACTTGATTGAAACTGGGCTTTCTTTGAAAATGGAGCAAAGGCATATATACTTCATGTTATCATTTGACAAAACTTCACTATTTGACAAGGATGGTGTAAACGGACACCACCACATAATGCAATACTCAGATATTCATAATGGCAGTTCCCATTTGCATTTTTCTTTCTCAGGTCCTTGTGTAAAACCACCCCACTCTACATTTCACTGGAGGGCTATACTATTTATCTTTTTAAAATTAAATTATTTGGCATTGTAGTGTTTGTTCCCATCTTTTATGCTTCAGTGGGTCACTGTTGGTCCATTTTTGTGACTTGGGGATAAAGTACAATAGTATTAATTAAAATGCAAAATCATAGATGTAAAAAATAACATAAAATATTTTCCAAGATAAACTTACCAATGCAGTTTTTACAGAGCATGCAAACCAACACTCATTAAACATGTAATTGGATTTCTGCGAGAATAATGACGAGCTTTTTAAAAAAGTTTTTAATAATGAATAATCTTATACTCAATTTTGTGAGATGTGTGTGAATAGAGTTTTATTCTATTTTTTCCTTTCATACAGACACTCTCTGCAAACCACTGTGGGTCAACTGGAGGTCTCAGGATCACATTTAAAGATGCACTGTTTGGCCAGGCCCAGTGGCTCACGTCTGTAATCCCAGCACTTTGGGAGGTTGAGGTGGGTGGATCACTTGAGTCCAGAAGACTAGCCTGGCTAACTCAGTGAAACACTGTCTCTACTAAAAATACACACACACACACACACAAAATTAGCTGGGCAAGGTGGCGCGTGCTACTGCCACCTACTCGGGAGACTGAGACATGAGAATTGCTTGAACCCAGGAGGCAGAGTTTGCAGTGAGCCAAGATCCCACCACTGCACTCCAGCCTGGGTGACAGAGTGAGACTGTCTAAAAAAAATAATAATAATAAAATAAAAAATAAAAACTCACTCTTCTAGAGAAAATCTCATCCATAATTTTCAATTCTACCCATGGGCCACAATTCCCAAATATCTATCTCAATCTTGCCTTTGATGACAGACAATGTATCTTTTTGTATGTCTCCTTTTGAACATTAATATGTCCATTAATCTCAATATGTCAAAGATCTCAATATGTCCCAAAGATGCTCACCCAATTTATTTTTGGCAACTATTTAGAAAATTTTGAATCATTAGAAATTCTTCCATTTACTTCATGTCTCACTTACAATTAGCCACCAAACCTACTCAATTGTATCTTCTAAACGTATTGAACCTTACCTTTTATTTCAATTCTGCTCATACTGCTTTTCTTCAGAATTGTGTAATTTCCTGCCTGTTTTGCTGCCATTTCTTCCATATTGGTCAAGCTCTCCTGTTCTTCTCTAATTTATATTCCATGATTCCAAGGTGATCCTTTAAAAAAATGCAAATTTTAAGTATTAGCCCAAAAGTTATCCATACTTTTTTCAGGATAAAAATAGAAACCTTTAGTATCACATGTAAGTTTCTTCATAATCTGATCTTGGCTCACTTATCTGTCACTTCCTCAATATTACCATACATAACTTTTTACATTTATGTAAATATATCTTGGTATTCATTGCTGTGTTTTGCACATACTATTCCTGACAGCACCTTCCCATGTTTCTCCCAAGTCAGCTTTGCCTTGGTTGATCACATTCTACAAGATATAGTTCAAAACTAATACAACATCTGAATAGCCTTCCCTTATTAGCCTACTATTTTTCTTTTTAACCAAGGAAGAACACAAATTATGCAGCCAAGTTTCCCACTTTCGGGGAAATTGCAGGGGTCTGCACACCCAGAGTGCAATAAATAAATCTCACCCTGGGAAAGCCACCTTCATGATCATTTTATCTTCCCTGCCAGACGAGTATGCTCCAACATTTTTGAAGTAAATGCTCTCCTCTACATTCAGTAATTCTCTACATAACTCTTTTATAACACTTGAAGTGGTTGTTTTAGTATCTAAACATTTATCAATCTTATCTTTTTGCACTTCTTGATTTTGTTACTCTAGTTATGTTTTAAGATTATGGAAAGATAAATCAATTGGTTTATATTTATATTTTTATTTAACATATTTTAGCATGTAATCTTTTTTTTTAAGTAATTAAATAAGAGAACTAAATAAACTTGTAATATTTTTCCCTAAACCTAAGACTCTCACACCGGGGCCTTTGTTAAAATATTTATAAGAATTTTATGTCCTATAATGTAAAGTTTTTAACATTTTTTTTAGAAAAGGTTTTGCTCTGCTGTCCAGACTGGAGTACAGTGACAAGGTCATGGCTCACTGCAGCCTTGACCTCCTGGGCTCAAGTGATCCCCCCACCTCAGCCTCCCAAGTAGCTGGGATTACAGGCGTGCGCCACCTAACCCGGCTCAAGTGATCTGTCCACCTTGGCCTCCCAAAGTGTTGGGATTACAGGTGTAAGCCACCTTACCTGGTGTAAAGTTGTTAAACAGAAATTGTACCTGCCAAATTATTCTTTGTTACATTAAATTACTTATCCTAAAACGTAGCCAGGTTTCAAATCTAAATTTTAAACATCTTGATATATAGTTTGAGGGCAGAAGATAATAAAAAATAAATTGCTGTTTCTTGTGGGTTGAGATTTCCTAAGAAGAGAGGTGACTTAGTTTTTATATGTTAGAAAGGATTATCACACAAACCTATATTATATGCACTACCTTGATACTAGAGAATCAAAGTATTTTGAAAATTATTTTTGTGGCCGGGCATGGTGGCTCACGCCTGTAATCCCAGCACTTTGGGAGGCCAAGGAAGGCAGATCACCTGAGGTCAGGAGTTCAAGACCAGCCTGACAACATGGTGAAACCCTGTCTCTACTAAAAATACAAAAAAATTAGCCAGGCATAGTGGCACATGCCTGTAATCCCAGCTACGTGGGAGGCTAAAGCTGGAAAATTGCTTGAACCCGGGAAGTGAAGGTTGCGGTGAGCTGAGATCGCACCACTGCACTCCAGCTTGGGCAACAAGAGCAAAAACTCCATCTCAAAAAAAAATTATTTTTATGTTATTGATTACTGAATCAGTATATTTTATATATATATATGTACAGAAGAAAGCTTGTGGACTGACAAGTAGACCATTCATTAGGAAGTTTCTGTTCCACAAGAAGGATTAAGAGGGGGAAAGATTATAAGAACTTACAAAAGTATAATCTGGAAACAATAAAATTGTAAAAGTAGAAAGAAGAACATAGAAATTTAACAATAAATAGTGAACACACTCTGTTTTGTGGAGTCTTGTTTAATAAATGCATACATTTACATTAGTACAGGAAAGTCACAAAGTCATTTATTTCTATTTTGATGAAAGTACTTATGACACCTCAAACAATCCAGTCCAGAGATAAATGTGGATCCAATTGTCACTAGAAGACTGCTGAGGTATTAGCTTTGATTCTCTTTTGAAGTATTAGCTGTGTCATGAACACAAAGGTTAAGAGAATGCTTTGGAAATAGCCTTGGAAAAAAGCCACAGGTTTAGGGAGAATGTTTATTTCTTGATTTAAATATAGATAAATCACATTTCGTTGTTATTTATATGTTATATATCATATACGTTATATACGATATCAAATACTGTTTACAACTAGGGTGTCAACATTTATTTAAATACGCAAAATATTTTGATTAGTGTTTGAATGTTATATTTTTAAACTAGAAGTCTTTATATTTAAAATTAGTTTCTTATAGACAGCATATACTTGAGTCTTGCTTTTTTATCCAATCTGACAATCAGTACTTAGAGTGTTTAGACCCTTTACATTAAAATAATTTTGGTGTGATTAAATTAAAACCTACCACTTTGGTAATTGCTTTTTATTTGTCCCACCCACTCTTGGATTTTTTTTCTTCTTTTTTCTTGTTTGTATTTACATTAATATAATACATTTTATGATTCTATATTATTTCCACTATTGGCATTTTATTTTTTAAGTTTTTTAGAGACAAGGTCACACTCTGTCACCCAGATTGAAGCGTAATGGCATGATCATAGCTCACTGTAGCCTGGGACTACTGGACTCAAGCAGTCCTCCTGCTTCAGCCTCCTGAGTAGCTAGGACTACCAGTGCATGTCACTATGTCTGGCTAATTTTATTTTATTTTCAAATTTTTTTGTAGTGACCAGATCTCACTATGTTGCCCAGTCTGGTCTGAAACTCCTGGCCTTAAGTAATCCTCCTCCCTTGGCATCCCAGAGTCCTGGGATTATAGATGTGAGCAACTTCACCTGGCCTGGCTTATTATTTATACCTCTTTAATACATGTTTTAATGTTTGCCCTAGAGTTTATAATGTACATCTTTAATTAAGTATAGTCTACCTTCAAATATTAATAATATAATACTGCTTCATGTGTAGTATACAAACTTTGCAACAGTAAACTCCAAATTTCTCCATCATCTGTGATATTGTGAGACATTTTACTTTTATATAAGCTATAAAATCCCAATACATTGGTGCTACTATATTTGCTTTAAGCCATTACCTTTTAGATTGATTAAAAATAAGCAAAATATTACTTTTACGTTTAGTTTCATTTAAAGTGTTTCAGGAGGTCTTTATTTCTTTATGTAGATACAAGTTTCTGTCTGGTGTCATATTTTTTCTGCCTTAAGTACTTTTTAAATACATTTATTACAGTGTATGTCTGTGGGTAATGAATGCTCTAAAAATATATCTACATTCTTCTGTGGTAGAATAAGAAATGTGTTTGGTCTTTATCCCTAGTTTCTGTCACAGAGCACCTAAAAAGCTTGGAATTTCCTGAGATAGTGGTATCTTTTGTTACTCATAATGAGCTCCTTTCTATACAACTGAGTTTATGCTAATAAACTTAGTGGGGATATCAGGGGATGGCTGAAAGGGGTTGGAGATTAAGTTCAATGGAAACTCTTGAACTAGGAAATGCAATGAGCTTCTGGGTTGCTGAGCTTGTGGAGTGCTAGGAGAAAGGCTCACCCAGAAAGAGAATGGAAGATCTGTATGATTCTTTCTCCCATACATTGCCCTATGTGTCTCTTCCACATGGCTGTTCCTTAGTTATATCCTTTATAATAAACTGATAAACATAAATAAAGTATAATCCTGAGTTTTGTGAACCATTCTAGCAAATTATCAGACTCCAGAAGGGGCTTGTGGGAACCCTGGTTTTTAGTGTCAGAATGGAATTGAATTATAAGATAACTCGGTGTCTGCTGCAGAATTGCTTGGTATGTGGGGAGAAACCACACACATTTGGTGTCAGAAGTATGTTGTGAGAGTATAGCGTAGAGAAAAAGTGTTGTGTTTTCCCGCCTTCATTTTTGAAAGATTTTCTGAGTATAGCATATAGGTGCACAGATTTTTTTTTTCATTGCCTTAAAGATGTCATTCCACTGTCTTTTAGCTTGCATAGTTTTGATGAGAAGTCTGTCATAGTTCTTATCTTCTTTTCCCCTCTGTAATGTATCCTTTTTCTTAGGCTGCTTGTAAGATACAGATTGTCCCCAACTTATGATGGTTCAACTTACAATTCTTTCTTTCTTCTTTCTTTCTTTCTCTTTTCTTTCTTTCTTTCTCCTTTCTCTTTCTTTCTTTCTTCTTTCTTTCTCCTTTCTCTCTTTTCTTTCTTTCTTTTTTCTTTCTTTCTTTCTTTCTTTCCTTCCTTCCTCCTTCCTTCCTTTCTTTCTTTCTTTATTTCTTTCCTTCCTTCCTTCCTTCCTTCCTTCCTTCCTTCCTTTCTTTCTTTTCTTTCTTTCTTTCTTTCTTTCTTTCTCTTTCTTTCTTTCCCTCCCTCCCTCCCTTCCTTCCTTTCTTCCTTCCTTTTGTTTCTTTTCTGACAGGGTCTCACTCTGTCCCTAGGCTGGAGTGTAGTGCCATGATTACAGCTCACTGCAGCTTTGACTTCCTGGGCTCAGGTGATCCTCCCACCTCAGCCTTCTGAGTAGCTGGGACCACAGGCCCATGCCACTATGCCTGGCTAATTTTTGTATTTTTTGTAGAGATGGGGTTTTGCCACATTGCCCAGGCTAGTCTTGAACTCCTGGGCTCAAGCAATCAACCCACCTCAACCTCCCAAAATGCTGAGATTACAGGTGTAAGCTACTGCCCCTGGCCCTCAACTTTAACTTTTTTTACTTTATGATGGTGTGAAAGCAACACATATTCAGTAGAAATCTTCCTTCTCTCCTGATCCTGGGCACCTACAGTGAGCCACAGCTCCTAGTTACCCTGCATTTCCATTTAGGATGAGTTTATTGGGATATAACCCCATTATAAGTCAAGAGGCATCTGTACTCTCTTTACCTTTGGCTTTCGGTTGTTTGAATATTTCAAGACTAGGTGCATGCTGTTTTATTTATTTATGTATTTTGTATTTATCTAGCATAGGGTTTTCTGACCTCTTTGGATTTAGGCTTTTGTTGCCCAGGGTAATATGGTCATAGTAAAGTTTCCTGTCCTTTCTACAGTGGTGACAACTCCATTACTCTACCTCTGCATCATAAGTGAGGCTTTCATTGGTTTTCTACTGTATCTGTAATCTTTTCTCATGACCATAAAATGAAGGTCCACGAAGAGCCCGTGAATGGGTATAGATACCCCTGTGTCTGTTGCTACTATGGGTTTTATACTCTCATCATAGTCGAGGCTCAGATTTAACAATTTGTTGCTAATAGCATATGAATTATTTCTGCCCACTTATATAGCAGCCACATATTCTTTTTGTGCTCTGCCCCAGGTGATTCAGTGCTTGCATCCAGTCTCTTCTTGGAGTTTCCAGTCTTTCCTTATGATTCAGGCTAATTGGTTGCCATGAGATCTCAGGTTACTGATGGGTTCAAGAAAAGTTATAATTTAAAATTTTTTTTCAGCTTATATTTGATTTATGGATAAAAATGATATTCTGTCCATTTTTCTACATTCAAAACAGAATCCTAAAGTCCAATTAGCAAGATATTTTGGACAGAGAAATTGTGCATTTCACACAGAAAGGAATTTAATGACTTAGCTAAAATTTTATTCATTGAAGAGAACAAATAAATATGTTCTACTTTAAAAGTGTTGGTTTTAGAAAATTTCTGTACATTTAATTTTAATGTATTTATTTAAAACTCTATGCTTTTAAATTATAATTATTTTTATTTTAAGAGCTGTGCAAAAAAATTACTACTTAATATTGTTTAAAGCAAATATCCAATTTCTAATGTCCATAATTTAACAGATCTGATCACAGAATACACACACACACACACACACACACACACACACACACACTACTGTGAAGTTTTTAAAGAAATATCTGTGAATGATACACTAATAGTGTCCCTCCATATATATTACAGAGAAAATATTTTTAAAATATAACAATAAGAAAAGAATTTTTTTTGCATTGCTTATAGTTACTTTACTTTTTGTTGTGTTTTTTCTTTTTTAGGCCAAGCAATGCTTATGGAGCTCATAGCTACTTTATTAGATGTTTTTCTTTTTCAGTAGAAGCCATTGTAATACTTTCTATGTGAACACTGATCTTAAGTATATTTTCATTGATAAATACACTAGGCAAATGAATGTGCAATGACATTAGTACATAATTCCTGAAGCCTATTCCACTGGACATTTGATCTGCATATAACAGAAGTTAATGAAGGTTCTATGGTCAAATAAATTTGTATACTTTTGGGTTAAATAAACTTAAATAGGTTTTTATTTGTTTTGTTTTTGTTTTTTAATAACCAGACTACTCAGACTTTAATATGCTAATATACATTGTAAATCTCATTGAATAGACTAATTTTCTTAAAAATCTTTTCTAATTAGAATTATTATTCCATAAGACTATACTTTTCAGTGTTATCAAAATTTATTTCATTGCCAAACACTTTGAGAAATTCTGTATATTTTCAAATACAAAAAAATTAATGGATGCCCCCTAAGTGCTAGGCTACATATTATATCCTGCAGATTCTTTTGAGTAAAATAGGCATGGTGTTTGCCCTCATGGAACAAACACATATTTTAAAATAGATTTTTTTTCAAGAAAGCTAAATAATAATTACGCAAAAGATTTCTAGATTCATTGCCATAGAAGTGAATACAAAACATTTAAGTATATGTATAAAATGAAATATGATAAAACTTAATCGAAGAACAGCTTGCATAAAATATAAGTATGAAAAGCTTAACATAATACATAAAGAATTAATTTGAATTCACAAGACAAACATCAAGTCCCAGTAGTAAATGAGCAAAGGGTATAAACAAAAAAACCCACATAAGTAAAAATTTAAATAGCAAAAGAAGTTATTAAAAAAAATCTATTGTTCCTAGTAATCAAAGCAACATTTTAGTAGCATCTATTTAACCTCTATAAATTTGCTTATACTATAAAACATTCAAACAAAACAAGTAAGTACAAAATTGACACAGTTGTGATCAAACAAGCTTTTTGGAAAGCATTCAAAGCAATACCTATGAACAGCCAAACTAAATGCATCTGCTCACTGAGTAATATTACTACTAGGAATTTTTGTAAAAAAAAAATTCAACAGAACAATAAAACTATGTTTATGGACAAATACATGTTCACTGTAATTTTATCTATAGTATTAAAAATTGGAAACAATGTCAATTATAATAGGCAATGGCAAATTAAATATTGTTATGCTAATTTCATTGATTATTATTTTTATTGTGCATCTAACCTAGACAGCTTAGATTTTCTGAAAAAATAAAAAAATTAGCTTAATTAGGTGCACTGCAGTGGGTTTACAAAAATCCTATACTTATTAAGAGTAATACTTTATGTTTATGTGTAAAAGATTGTTAATTAGATGATTAATTTGAGTGAGCTACGGCAGGCCTTGGAGGTTGATAGCCAGATGAACTAGCTGTCTTCAAACCGTGACCTATATATAGGTGTGATAAATGAACATGAAAACAATGTTTTCCTGTGCTGGTGGAAAAGAATTTATAAACATTTTGCATATATTTGCATAATCTACATGTAATCAATTACATTGCTAATATACAGTTGTTCCCTCTTATCCATGGGGGATATACTCCAAGACTCCCAGTGGGCCCCTGAAACTGAGGATAGTACTAAACTGTATATATAGTGTGTTTTTTCTTATATATACATGCCTATAATGAAGTTTAGTTTATAAATTAGGCACAGTAAGAGATTAACAATAACTAATAATAAAATAGAACTATTATAAGAATATACTGTAAAAAAAGTTCTGCAAATGTGGTCTTATTTTTTTCTTTCTCTCTCAAAATATCTTATTATATGTAATATTTTCAGACGGTGGTTGACCAAAGGAACTGTGGAAAGTGAAACTATGAATAAGGAGGAGACTATTGTAAGGATTAGCAAGTAGTGGTCAAGAAGATAGATAATGAATAAAATATAAAAATGTTCTATCACCATGAAACGGGTACATAATTCAATTAACTGTAATTGAAGGTAATTAGCTGGATTCCATGTGGTGGGTGCAGAATTCCATGTATCTAAATCAGACAATAAAAAGTTGAAAATAAAATTTGCATAAAGGTGAAATTTACCCAAGGAAATTTACCGAAGGAATATATTTTAAGGACTGTAAAGCTGCATGGCAGCTAAAAGCATGCCTTTGAGTTTCCCTGTTGATATGGTAAGTGTTACCGGCTTGGAAAAGGATCACAGTTCTGATCCCACATTCCAGTTCCCCAAATCAGACAGTTTACCTAGATCTGTAGCAGGGTATTCATTTTGAATCTTTATCTGGAGAAACCGGCACTGCTGGAAATAGTAATATTCACTCTTTAGTCAGATGAATAAGGGAGGAGACCACCCCTCATACTGTCTTATGCCCAATTTCTGCCACCAAAGAAAGAAGTAAAAACTAAAACGCAGAAATGAAATCCATAGGCAGACAGCCCGGTGCCACGCCCTGGGCCTGGTAGTTAAAGATCGACCCCTGACCTAACTGGTTATGTTATCTGTAGATTCCAGACATTGTGTGGAAAAGCATTGTAAAAATCCCTGTCCTGTTCTATTTCGTTCTGATTACTGGTGCATGCAGCCACCAGTCACATACCCACTGCTTGCTCAATTGATCACAACCCTCTCACACGGACCCCCTTAGCGTTGTGAGCCCTTAAAAGGGACAGGAATTGCTCACTTGGAGAGCTTGGCTCTTGAGACAGGAGTCTTGCCAATGCTCCTGGCTGAATAAACCCCTTCCTTCTTTAACTTGGTGTCTGAGGAGTTTTGTCTGAGGCTTGTCCTACTACAAAATGACTTTGCAAACCCATTAAGTTGTAGAAGTTATATAGAGATAGTAACATAATATATAGAAAGTATTAATACTGTGATAGTTTATGTGAAATATATTTTAAGTCATAATGATAATTTATGTTTCTTATATGTAGCATACGAAATGTTCAAGAGATGACATGTTAGAGAATCTCTGACATGTTAGGGAATTTAATTGTATTGTATTTTTAATTAGAAATGCCTGATTATACTTGTGATTTAAATTTGACATGCATTAGGGAATGTAATCAATTAAGTTTACAAACAGTGCTTGAATGCTTACTAAAGTTGTACATTCAGTTTGTTTTATTTTAAAAAGCTGCTTAAGAATTTATAAAGACTGTTTTAGTCTGTAAGTTGGCCTTATCAGAAATGAGGTGTTTGAAAAAATAAAAAATATTAAAGTTATATATGTAGGTTAAAAATCTAATACATTAAACTTACTAAACTATTAGTTAAAAAATAAAGAGTAATTAAAAGCGATTTGCTTATTCTTAATAAAAATTATTTAATTTCTAAATCTGCTAGTAAGAGTTATATGTTGAATTTAGGGGTTTAAGAAAAATTTAGTCCTTTAATTAACCACAATAACAAATTTCACATTTAGACAGCTCTAAGTGGTTCATTTTGCATTTAAAAGCCCTCCCTTGGACATTAAAAATTCACCGACATGTTAAGCCCAATGTTAATTATCAATTGAACATGACAACATGACAAATTCATGTCACTCTGAAAATCCATTTCATTATTCCATTTGCATTTGACTACTTAGTGACATTCCTTGCATTTTAAATAAATATTTAATAAAAGTATCATATTTAATATAGAAAATTTGTAAGTAAAAAATGTGTAAGAAAGAAACATTGCCAGTAATCCGCCAAAAGATGGCCACTACTAATATTTTAGTATATTAGTTTTTTATATATACGTTAAGCACAAATTAAATTAGTAACCTACTGTATATTCTTTATACATGGTTTTTTATATGTTGGCTTTTACATTTTAACTTTTTTACCATGGCAATGTGTACAGATTTTACATTGCAAGGAGAGAGAACCGGGGGGCTTGAGTGACTTTTGCCACAGTGTAATGAAGGAAGTGTTGGATTTGGTATTAGACAGAAAAGAGGTTAAATTTGGTTTCAATGTTTACTAGCAGGGAGGACCTCGGACAAGCTTCTTAACATACTCTAGCCTCAATTTCCATACCTGTGAAGTGATAATGATAATTACTACTTAATTTGTTTGTTGGGGGAAATGAGGTATCTCTATCTAAAGCAGATAGGGCAGTATCTGATATTAATAGTTACTTTTATGCTAAGAATTGTAGAGGTTGGTTTCAGTAGAAACTTTCGGTTCAGTCTGTGATCTGAAGTGCTTTTGAGGTGAAGGAATCTCAGACCCATGGAAGGATTCTTTGTTCTCTGAATTCCACACATGACTAGTTAGAGCTGTTCAATGTGATTGGCAAGCAGAGTTAAGAGTTTGCTGTAATAGCTGCACTGGAAGTGTGCAGACAAATCATGGTAAGAAATTCAAAATCGAGAAACCAGCCAAAGAAAAAAATGCTCAGCACATACATTTAAATAAAAGTATTTGTTCTAATTGCTTTTATGTATAGTCAGAGACAAATCATTTAAAATGACAAAAATGTTTTTTTTGGAAAGCTCAGCAGGCATTCAGGGCCCCGGAGAGTCATCGTTATGAAGGGAAAATACTAACAGGGTGGACTTCAATTTTCAATAAGAAAATTGGAGGCTTTATTTGTGTGAGTCCAATTAGTGCAGCTAGTTAAATTTTTCAAATTGCAGAATTATAAGACAGTTTTAGAAAAGAAATGTTTTATGTAATTCTAACAACTATGCATATCCCCTTGTGGTTGGAAATAATCCTTTTTGTGAATGATTCTTCTCAGAAGAGAGGCATTCACTTTATGTACACGACATCTTGTCTTTGGTCTTTTTTTTTTTTTTAATGAGCCTCACAAAAAGACCCCCTAGAAATGATCAGGAGATGCCAACTTATTCTCCACATAAACATTCTGATTTCTAAGAGTTAACAGCCACCGCCTTTGTGTTTACCTGAGGCTATACTCATTGCCAAACTTCCCTGACAAGCTTTTTGCCCTTACTTATTGTTGTGCTGATATCCGGTGTCAGAGCGTTGTAGATTGTGCTGGAAACACTATGTAATTACATGGGCTTTCTGATCTCAAAGTTACCTCACCTATTTCATCACTATACTTTTCTAACAAGGGAACGGAAACCCAAGATATAAGACATCAGTGGGAAATTGGCACCATGGATATTGGAGAGCCAGTGGCACTATATTAAACTTCAAAATGAAAGAAGGAGCCTGATGGCAAATTCACTTGCTTCCACTTTTGAAGGTCAACGAGTCACATCCCGAAAACTAGAGTGATTCTTCAAGTGATCTGTAAATACTTCACGTGTTTAGAAATGAGTGTTGTAACCTAATCATTTTGGTGATTATAAATTCTCAGACACCTGCTGTCTGTCTTCCCCCTCACACCTGAGGACCTGCACAATGTAGAGAGACTACAATAGATATATGGCTAAAGTAGACAACGTGCTACTTCTGCATTTTCGTATTAGTAAACATTTTAACACATTTTTTCATATATGCAAATTAAAATTATTTAAATAAAATGCGGTTTCAAATACAAATCTATCTTTTTATTTGAAAACAATATTTGCCCTTACAAAGTCCAATAAGTTGTTTTCAACCAATTCGTGTTTTATTGATAGAAGAGTCAAGTGTTAAAAGAAAAAAAGTGAGAATGGCATTAAAAATTTAAAACAATCTATTTTTGTTATATCAAATAAAATTGTTGAGGCTCTTTGATGTCTGCATTTTTGAAATTTCTAAAATCAATGTCTTTTGCACTTTGCCATGCAAAGACTCATTAGAAAAATTAGAGAAAAAATAAAAACACGAAGAATTATTGAAGTGTGCAAGTCATATGATTTTAGTCTTTTAAGCAGGTATTGAAGGTGCTTTAAAAATGTTGGATGATTAGTAAATAATACTAATAATAGATTTTTTTTTCCCTTTAGGTAAAAATCCTTTTGGAAGCCCAGGCGTGGTGACTCACGCCTGTAATCCTAGCACTTTGTGAGGCCGAGGCGGGTGGATCACCTGAGGTTAGGAGTTCGAGATGGTGAAACCTCATCTCTATTAAAAATATAAAAATTAGCCGGGCATGGTGGCGGGTGTTTGTAATCCCAGTTACTCGGGAGGCTAAGGCAGGAGAATTGCTTGAATCCAGAAGGCAGAGGTTGCAGTGAGCTGAGATTGCGCTGTTGCACTCCAGCCTGTGTGACAAGAGCAAAACTCCATCTCAAAAAAAAAAAAAAAATCCTTTAGAAATTAATAGCTTTGTTAGAGCTTTGTTTTCTCAGATTAATAAAAATAATTTTCATTTCATTAAAGATACAGAATTTATTACCACTGTGGTTTCAGCTCCATCAAAGGTAGCTTACGTTGGCCAACTCTTTGGTCATCAATTTTGGTGCACTAGATTCAAGTTAATAGTAAAGAAGGAATTCTATTTTTTTTTTAATTTAAAAGACAGGGTTTCACTCTCACCCAGGCAACACAGTGGTGCAATAATAGCTCACTGTAACCTTTAACTCATAAGGTTGAGCTTAAAGGAACCTCTGGCCTCAGCCTCGCAAGTAGCTAGGACTATAGGCATGCACCACTGCAGCCAGCTAATTTTTTTTTTCTTTTTTTTTTTTTTGAGACAAGGTCTGGCTCTGTCACCCAGGCTGGAGTGCAGTGGTACAATCCTGGCTCACTGCAGCCTCGACCTCCTGGGCTCAAGCCTCCCACCTTAGCCCCCCGAGGAGCTGGGACTAAAAGTGTGTGCCACCACACCTGGCTAATATTTTTTTTGGTAGAGATGAGGTTTCGCCATGTTGCCTAGTCTGGTTTTGTACTCCTGGGCTCCAGTGATCCTCCCACCTTGGCCTCCCAAACTGTTGGGATTACAGGAACAAGCCACTGCACCTGGTCAAAAATTTTTGATGTTTTGTAGAGATGAGGTCTTGCTATGTTGCCCAGGCTGCTCTCAAACTCCGAGCTTCAAGTGATGCTCCTGCCCAAAGTGCTGAGGTTACAGGAGTAAGCCACCACGCCCAGTCTGATTCTAATTGTTAAGAGGTTTTAATAGACTGATTTGACCCCCTTAAAGTTATCTTCCAATAATAATGTTAATAATTTGTATTTTCAAAATATTCATTTTAAAATAGGTTTCCTTTTAAAATGTGAACATTTCTGTTTGCCTGAGTTTCTATTTTGAGGAATCAGGTTTGACCTGAAAGCTTGAGCACTGGCCAGTCTTTGGAAGATGATTTATGATCAATTGACCTAATCAGTCAAAGCAGAGAGATGAGTCAAGGCTGAGGGTTCAACTTGTACAAGAGCCAAAACCTTCACATAGAGAAAAGCTCTTGACATCCATGGTTGACAGGTGCACTCTTAACACCAGCACTCTAATCTGTGCTACTGGCCATTGACAAACAAAAGTGAAGCCTTTTTAGACCCCCACCAGAAAACGTGGAAACCAGCCCATCTGTCCTGAAATGTTTTTGTATCACTATGGCCATTTTGAAAGCACAGAACGGCATACTCTTATATTTATAATTCTAGATCTGCATCTGCTGAAGCTATGAGCTCCAGAATGAACAACCTTTAGACAGAACTGTAACCCTCAATGAGTGCAGATGGTTTTCTTTTCCGCTGCACACAAAACAACATTTTGGCTGCACAGGTTAATCAAGAAATGAAATGAGGAGCAGCAATAGCAACAACAACAGCAACTACAAAGATGTATGAGGCAAAGGAAGAAGTATAGTGAGAAGGACAAGAAAGTTTACATCAGGGGTCTGCAAGCTATTGCACTTAGGCCGACTGCCTGTTTTTATAAATACGTTTTCTTTAAAAACTGTAGTTAAATATACATAACTTAAAATTTATCATTTTAACCATTTTTAAGTGTGTAGTTCAGTGGCATTAAGTACATTCATAGGGGTATGCAACCATTACCACTACTCACCTCCAGAACTTTTTGTTGTTGTTGAGATGGTGTCTCACTCTGTCGCCCAGGCTGCAGTGCAGTGGTGCAATCTCGGCTCGCCGCAACCTCTGCCTCCTGGGTTCAAACGATTCTCCAGCTTCAACTTCCTGAGCAGCTGGGATTATGGGCGTCTGCCACCATGCCTGAATAATTTTTGTATTTTTAGTAGAGACGAGGTTTCACCATGTTGGCCAGGCTGGTCTCGTAACTCCTTACCTCAGGTGATCCACCCGCCTTGGTATCCCAAAGTATTGAGATTACAGGCGTGAGCCTCCATGCCTGGCCTCAGAACTTTTTCATTATCCCAGTCAGAAACTCTGGGCCCATTAAACACTCACTCCCCATTTCCCTCTCTTTCCAGCCTCTGGCAACCACCATTCTACTTTCCATCTCTGTGAATTTGCCAAATCTAGATACCTCATATAAATGGAATGATACGATATTTGTCCTTTTGTGTCTAGCTTATTCCACTTAGCATAATGTTTTAAGATTCATCCATGTTGTAGCCTGTGTAAATAAAGTTTTATTGGAACACAGCCAGGCCCATTTGTTTACATAATGTCCATGGCGACTTTCACATTACGGTGGCAGGGTTGAGTAGTTATGATAGAGTTGTGATGACTGACAAGACCAGAGATATTTACTCACTGACCCTTTACAGAAAAAAAACTAAGTCCTTGGTTTAGATTAAAGAACCATAAAGTACCTCCTTGTTTTTTAAAAACTCCTTTATAGTGTTACTTGCCTATGGCAATTTTGGCTTATTTCTCAGCCTGATAAATAGGATTAATGAACTGTTTATCACACTGTTGTCATTAGTAAAGAGCCTCAAATGTCAAGATTTAAAATTCTTTCCGCAGGTCTGGTTACAGTGAAAGAGGGCTCATTTTCACATTTCACTGATACACATTTTACATAATGAGGACTGATCAGTGAGAGCTGATTAGTGAATCTTGGTGCAGAAAGTTCTAAAGCATGATGGACAGTTGCAGAATCTAAAAATGTCTCTTTTTCTTTGCCTTTGTCCTCTGTAATTGTGAATTTGTATGAAACAGCATAATGTGTATGCAATATTTGTAATGATAAAAAGTGTGCATTTTTGCTTGAAAGTCTAAAATATCATCTTCTACCTGAACTATTAGGTATAGTTTCTTATTTTATTGCATTGTATTAAAATTTTTTTAGGACTCTCCTAATTAGCACTACTAAATTATTTGTGGACAAGTACAAAGAAGTCTGAGAAGAACATTTTTTTTCTCTGTATTCAAAGCAACTGGGAAGGAAATGTATGTTGTAGTTGCAAAATACAGATGAAATGGCAGATAATGCTATTTCCCATGAGGTCAGGTTTCAATGATTCATCCTCTGTTAACAAAACGTAATGTGCTTGGGCAAACATTCCAGATAAGACAGCACCTGGTTTTATCATACATGATAAAAATGAAAAGGTCTGAGGGACACTTTATGGAAACCATCGAGGTAATAATAACAAAACTGTAATAGCAAACATTTCTGTGGTGTTGACTTTGTGCCAGGCACTGTTCCAAGAATTTTGCGTATATTAACTCATTTGATCCTTATGGCAAGTTTATGAAATAGGAACTTTTATTATCTCTCTTTACAAAAGAGGTATTTGAGGTATAGAAATGAATAGCTCTATTTTCACTGTTAGGTTGGGAGTGGGGGATGGATGTTGACCAACTGCGGCAATTATTGTGTTTCAGTGGTCACTTTCTCTATTCAGACACCCAGAAGACACAGTTCATCTAGCGAGGAGCACTCTGACTTCAGTGAGGGGTTGGTGCCCTTCTCTCATCCTCAGGCTCCCTATTCCTGTGTCAGTGCCTCAACGGTTGTCTCCATTCACTTTAAAATGTGTCTTCATGACAAAGACTCTGATTCCTACCTTTGCCTCAACTTTTGCCATTTTTTCTTCTCTTCCACCCACTTGCATGTACTTCAATGTAGTCCTATCAAACAACTTGGAATTCTTGAAATGTCTTTCCTGCATGAGTTCAAATCCACCTTTTCCTAGTTATGCTGTGCAACCTTGAACAAATTACTCAACTTTTTTTTTACTTTTAAAAACTGTGATAAAATACACATAACAAAAAACAAGATTGTACATCCATCACCACTATCTAGTTCCAGAATATTTTCACCACTGCAAAAGGAAACCCTGTACCTATTAAGCAACCACTTTCTATTCCTTGTCCCTCCAGTTCCTGGCAACCAATAATCTGGATTTTTGTTGTTGTTGTTGTTGTTTTTCTGGATACAGGGTCTTGCTCTGTTGCCCAGGCTGGAGTGCAGTGGTGCAATCACGGCTGACTGCAGACTTGAACTCCTAGACCCAAGGAATCCTCCTACCTCAGCTGGGATTACAGGTGCATGTCACCACACCTGGCTAATTTTCTTTAAAAAATTTCATTTGTGGGGATGGGGTCTTGCTATGTTGACCAGGCTGGTTTTGAACTCCTGGCCTTAAGCCTCCCAAAGTGCTGGAATTATAAGCATAAGCCATTGTGTCTGGCCCAGTATGTTTTCTGTCTTTATAGATTTCACAGCTTTGAATATTTCATATATATGGCATCATACCATATGTGGTCTTTTGTGTCTGGTTTCTTTCACTTAGTATAATTTCTTTTTCACTACAAAACGGCAACCACAGAGCATAATGTTTTTAAGATTCATCCATGTCATAGCATGTATCAGTACTTAGTTCTTTTTCACAACTGAATAAAATTCCACTGTATGGACATACCACATTTTGATCATCCATTCATCAGCTGATAGGCATTTGAGTTGTTTCCAGCTTTTGGCTGTTATGGATAGTGTTGCTATTAATATTCCATGCAAGTTTTTGTTTGAACACTTGTTTTCAGTTCTTTTGGGTATATACTCAAGATGAGAATTACTGAGTCATATGGTAATTCTATGTTTAACTTATTGAGTAACCGCCAAACTATTTCTCACAGTGGCTGCAGCATTTAACACTCCCAGCAAAAATGTACAAGTGTTCCAATTTCTCCACATCTTTGCCAACACTTGCTATATTCTATTTTTTAAAATTATAACCATCTGAGTGGATGTAAAGTGGTAGCTCATTATGGTTCCTCAATATTTTTAAGCCTTTGAATCTACATTTGCAATGATGATGCAAATAGCACTTAATTCATACAATTGTATGAGGAATAAATGCAATCATATATGTTGGGGGCTTGGGCTAGTGCTCTGTAAATGTAAGGTCTCTTATTATTCTTTTTTACCATTGCTGCTGGGCCTATGTTATCTCTCCTGGAAAAGACAGTACTCTGGGGTCAGATGTTTGGGCTCGAAATCTGATTCTACATTTGCCAGCTGCATGGCCTCAAGCAAGTTATTTAATTTCTGTGTGCGGCAGTATCCTTGTCTATAATGTGTTCTAGCAGTACCTATATTGCCTGGTTGTTTTGAAGACTATGAGTTACTGTATGTAAAGAACAGTACCTGGCTCATAGGAGACACTTTAAGTGTTAACTATTATTACTTCCTCCTTCTATTTCCCAGGATAATTCCTGCTCAATCTCCAGATTGCAGCTTTGATCTCTTTCCTGAGGAAGCTTCCTTTGTCAAACCCCCTAACCTCTATACCCAGCCCCCTGCAAGGTTAAGTTGGCTGTCCCTCCTATTTACTTACTGAGTCACTTAGATTGCTGTCTGTCTCTTGTCTTTTTGCACCTTTGTTTGCTCACTATCTAGCAAACTACCTGGCCTATAGTACTCTCAATTATTATTAGTTAAATAAATAAATGGGGCCAGGTGCTGTGGCTCACGCCTGTAATCCCAGCACTTTGGGAGGCCGAGGCGTGCGGATCACGAGGTCAGGAGATCGAGACCATCCTGGCTAACACGGTGAAACCCGTTTCTACTAACGATGCAAAAAAATTAGCTGGGTGTGGTGGCGGGCACCTGTAGTCCGAGCTACCCGGGAGGCTGAAGCAGGAGAATGCCATGAACCCAGTAGGTGGAGCTTGCAGTGAGCCAAGATCACGGCACTGCACTCCAGCCTGGGCAACAGAGTGAGACTCCATCTCAAAATAAATAAATAAATAAATAAATACATGTTAATCAATGATATATATGGTGGTGGATTCATTCATTCATTACCATACTGTACTCAAGGTATAATGTTGGGATAAAATGTGCATTGAGTGTGGCTAGATATAATATGCTTTAAATATTGACTGCAGGGTCTCTTTGTGTAGAAAAAGTCAGAAAATAATTGTTAACAAACAGAACTCTTGATGAAGATTATCTACATCCAGGAAATAAACCCATAAGATACTTATTTTAAAAGGGCCCTTGAGATACTACATATCTAAAACTTCTGAGGTTAGAAAAACTGCAAAGATAATTTCTATATTATAATCATTATCCATGGTTAAGTAACAAAGAATGACAGAAGAGGAGAGAAAAGGGTTTTTTTGGTTGTTGAAATAATGATTTTTGAGCTGTATACATATTATTTTGATTAGGTGGGTAGGGGTATATATTACATGGCATAAAGTATGGAAACTTTTACACTGACTTTTATTAGAGAATGGGACAGATAGTGCAAATAACAGTTATTAAGGATAGCACATTAAAAACAATTTTAAAGTAAATATAAAACAAAATTCAGCTATTGGCCGGGCGCAGTGCCTCACATCTATAATCCCAACACTTTCAGAGGCCAAGGTGGACTAACAGCTTGAGCCCAGGAGTTCAAGACCAGCCTGGGCAACATGGCAAAATACCATCTCTACTGAAAATACGAAAAATTGGCCGGACGTGCGGCTGTAGTTCCAGCTACTCAAGAGGTTGAAGTAGGATAATCACCTGAGCCCAATAAGTTGAGGCTGCAGTGAGCCGTGATTGCACCAGTGCACTCCAGCCTAAATGACAGAACAAGAACTCATCTCAAAGAAAAAAAAAAGTCTAGCTATTTAAGTTTATAGATTTAGCTAGCTTGAATTTATGTAGTATAGTTGCCTGAATCATTTAGTGACTATATTAAAATCTAATTGTTAGAGAAAAGTGACTGTATTTTTACTTAATGTTTATTAAATTTATTGCAGGTACATAAAATGTACATTTTATGATTTCTTTAGTATTTATATAGTTTTGATTAGATATGATCTTTGTTTTCTAAGATTTCACAACGAAAATTTTTAACTGTGGTGACTACTGCTTGGAATTAGGAAGTTCATGAGTAAATTTTAAGTGTCTGTTCTGCGTGATCCTATAGGGAATTCACATTTTTGATGAGAGAGCAAGAGTAATGGAATTCAAGTGAAATGAGAGTTCCAGAAACTAAATATTAACTTGGTGCCGATACTGGGGTTAGTGGAAAAAATTTAAATGCCACTTCTTCTCAGTCAAAGTCCCCAGACATACCTTTGTTTTTCTTTTCCTTAAATTCCATATGATGAAGAAAAGCTTTGGATTTTGCAGAATCTGCTCCTCTTCAGAACACCAACAGTAACTAATGAAGCTATAAAAAGTTAAAATCCACCTGCAGAGAAAATTAAAGTACAATTAAAGAACAGTTTTTGAGTATCTGTTTTTTCTCATGCTAGAGAGTATTGGGAGCATAAAGATTATAGGACAATGTTGCTTCTCTAAAGAAGTCATTAGTCTAGTTGGGATATAAAACTTATACATAAAAAGAGACACATAACACAACAGCAAAGTAAATGTTAGGTGTTTTGCGGAGTGTACTGATTACATACAAAAGTAAGAAAAGGAAGGAGGAGGAAAGAGAGAAGAAGACCATTTAAATTTTTATTCTTACGAGGGCCTTTGGTTGGAACAAGCCAATCTGATTAGGGTGGTTGGAAGAGGATGTCTCAGCTGACATGTACATGCAGAATACTGCTCAGGAAGCCAAAGCGGTGGCCAGTGATCAGATTCAACGTCAGAAATTCTTCTAGCCAAGGCTCTAGGCAACACCAAAGTCTGTGGATTTAAAAAAAAAAAAAAGATAGTTTGTGGATTTTCTATTGGGTTGCTTGGGAACTTCTTCATGGTGATATTAATGGCAAATATTTCTCTTTTGAAATTAGACACAGCTGTAAGAAGATTTCTGTTTGGTGGAGGTAGGAATACATATGGTCAAGCAGATAACAGTGTGGTTTGATAGACAGTCTAGATAAGAGAGAAAGCCAAGATAGTGGAGAGAGGTATGTAGAAGAAGCATTTAGATCATAGGCACCAGAAAGCATTGTGATATGAATGAAGGTTAAAGGAGACAGGATGTGGCCAAATATGCTTTCATCTGTCAACACAGGTCAACTCAGCTAGAAAAGGTGTAAAATTATCAGACGACCTCAAGAAAATGATTAATCCAGGTGGACAGAAAGACTTCAAATGCAGAGCCACTATATTTTAGAAGAAAACCATTTTTGTTTGGATGATGTAATGGGTCCAGAGCCAAGTGACAAATTCCCAAGGGTTCTCAATTTTCAGAGCTGGTAGAGACACCAGTAGACAAAAAGGAGTGCACTGTAAAAGAGGGAGAAGTGAGGGAAAGCTGTAACAAGAAGATCAGGAAAATGAAATTTCCAAAGAACAGAGAAATAAGATAGCCCTTTTTTTTTTAATTTTTTTAATTTTTTATTTTTTTAGACAGTCTTCCTCTGTTGCCAGGCTGGAGTGCAGTGGCGCAATCTTGGCTCACTGCAACCTCCGCCTCCTGGGTTCAAGCGATTCTCCTGCCTCAGCTTCCCAAGCAGCTGGGACTACAGGTGAGCGCCACCACGTCCAGCTAATTTTTGTATTTTTAGTTGAGACGGGGTTTCACCATGTTGGGCAGGATGGCCTCGATCTCTTGACCTTGTGATCCACCTGCTTTGGCCTCCCAAGGTGCTAGGATTGCAGGCGTGAGCCACTGTGCACAGCCAAGATAGCACTTTTATACATGATTTGTGTTCCTATAGTTTATGCCCCTCTGCAGCAGGACACCAGCAATGAGAGAATACGAGCCATGTTGAGAACTCACACATAAAGGCTAACGTCAAAATAATAGGCAGCCTAAAAAGGGAAAGGATTGTACTACCTGGTAGTAGTGTAATGACAGGAGGTATTTTGTGTGGGGACACCTGACTATTTATTAGTTTAATTTGTATGTAAGTCAGTTACCCAAATATGGGTTTTCACTTTGCTCATATCAGGATGGTTCTGAAACTCTGAACCCCATACAAAGGGGAAGATTGTGTCTAGAAATTTCCCTCTATCCATCTAGCTCTGTGTAGTATAGCTAAGATTCACCCTAGATTGTTTCTATGATGCTGGGGCCAGTGTTTTGGGAATTACTGTAATATGATGGAGAGAGCACAGCTTTTAGTATCACAAAATGCTAGCACCACAAATTACTAGCTGTGATGTTCTGGACACATTTCTGATCTTCACTGAGCAACAGTTTCCTCTTCTGTAAGCTGGGAATAGTAACATAGCCACTCTTATTATTAGTTGATGGTGCATATTAGTGATAATTGGCAGAAAGTGCCTGGAGCAGAGCCTGATACATACATGCTACTCAAATGTGGTGCTATCTTTAGATATCTCTAAAAAATTCTATTACTACAAAACTTGTTATTGTCTTGATGTTTGAATATGCTATTTTTCTTTCTCCTAGGAAACAAGAAAAAGAATCTATCATTTGTCATATTTCTTTCTTGAGTACAGGTGATATCACCAGGATAATTTATCATGAGTACATTTTATTGTTTTTAGAGTAATTGTTTTTTTTTTTTTCTTTTTCCTTCCTATAGTGACACTGAAAGCAGGCTAAATTTTCTCATTTTTAATTGCAGGAATGGTTGGGCTATTTCTACTGGGCAGGTAAGAGCAAATTTCCCTCCCTTTACATGGCATAGAAAAAGAGACCACCAGTATTGTTCCACCAAGGACCATTTAAAATTATCCTTTAGATTCACCTTGGTTATAGATTTTAAAGTATAGAGGTAGTGACAAAAAGTATCTAAGACTGACAACCTAAATTTTCTCTTTCCTGTTCAAGGAGACTTCCTGACCAGAAGATATCTCAGCCATCTAATCCTTTTAAAATTTGTCAGTCCTACTGGTGAAAATAAAACATGTCAGATACCCCCATTTAACTCTGTCGCTTCTTTGACTAAATTTTTCACTTCCAATGTAATGACTTGTGGCAGAATTGAACAATTATATGAACTTCTTCTCTTGGCTTCAAGAAAAGGACTCCCATTTTATACTGGTCATATTTCTTTGCCCTCTTCTTCAGCAATTGAATGGTGGTTAGTGTTTAGTGAGAGTTGTCATTTTGAGTGCCCCATGCAGATTGCAATAATTCACTTGCAAAGTGTTTAAAAAAGACAGCAGATAAATCTCAAAAATTCTTCCCTTTCCCCCAGGGATTAGCTCTTGACACTCATAAGGGAACAGAGAAGATTACTTTCTGATATCTCTAGGAATTATGTGGCATCATACGGTGCTGCTCTTGAGGGGAAGAAAACAAACAAAGCTCAACCTCTTCTGTGGGGAAAAGAGCAGATCTATAAGCAAATCCCAATTTAGCTAAGAAAGAATATATCTTGATTTACAACAGTATAAACATCTGTATATAAATCTATATACATTTAATTTCATAACACACATACCCAGTTCCCTGACATTGAAGGAGCTTGTCTAGGAGTCCATTTATTGTACTTCACAGGCCCCAATAACTTCACTTTGCTTCCAGCAATCCCACAGAAGTGCACAAAATTGGATATGACATTGAGTAACCCAGATATTTTAGCCTTTTGCCAAAGAGCTGCTGAAATGTTTTTGTGTTAAGGCCGAGTCTCTTGTAATGATGGTTAACGACTGTAGGCTCTAACTAGACGTGGCCGTGGGTTACTGCTGCTCTGAGTGTGAGAAGAAAACCATAATTCATCCAATGTGGCTGTTTGCTGAGGACATGTTAGTATTGACAAATGGCAAACTGTTGTGCAAAAACCTGAGTAAGTTGCATGTAAATAGAGAGTGATCACTTCCTCTGACACACAGTTCTCCTGCACTGTTGAATACAGAGCATGGCAAACGAAGAAAATTAGAATCTGGTGACTGATTTCTTTACAAATGGAGAAGTGTCACTGTACAAGCCCCATAAAATAATGTTTTAAGTACAGTTGAGTATGGTCACTTAGATCACCTACATTAAAATTATAGTACCATAACTTTTTACTCTTAATGCTTCCTAATTCATACATTCATATAGGCATGCATACACTAATATGTGTGAAATCCTGCCATCTGTAAACCATTGGGTGAGACATTTTGTCAGGTATAAAGATGAATCAGGTACAGTCTCTGATCCCAGGAATTGGGAAGAGGTTGAGGCAAGAGGTTAAAAAATTCAAACCCAAAACTGTAACATAAGAGAGCTATTAAGAGCTAAATTCTTTCTGAGGTTCTTTTTTTTTTATTTTTTGAGACAGAGCTCACTCTGTCACTCAGGCTGGAATGCAGTGGCGCAATCTCAGCGCACTGCAACCCCTGCCTCCTGGGTTCAAGCGATTCTCCTGCCTCAGCCTCCTGAGTAGCTGGGACTACAGGTACACACCACCATGCCCAGCTAATTTTTGTATTTTTAGTAGAGACAGGGTTTCACCATGTTGGACAGGCTGGTCTCGGACTCCTGACCTCAAGTGATCTGCATGCCTCAGCCTCCCAAAGTGCTGGGGTTACAGGTGTGAGGCCACCACAGCTGATCTTCTCTCTAAAGTTCTAAAACAAAATTCCAAAAAAAGAGAATATGATTAATCAAGCTCATTGTTTGATGCCAAGCATGAAGTTACTCCTCAGGCTGACCACATCAACTGAGGTTGGGAGGGCAGTGTAGTAGAGATGGCAAATTGCCCAGCAAAATGTGTGTTCCCCTTCCACAATATAGAATTATCACTCAAAAGCACCTGTATTTACTCTTTTATCTAGTGGGGCCATTTAACCAGTTCTTGACAATGGAATGTGAGCAGAAATTTTTGTCACGTCTAAGTCAAGACAACTTAAACAGCTAATATGTGTTCTAAACTCTCTTTTCCCGTTTCCATAGACAAAGGGGCCCTAGAAAGTGGTGGAAACACAAGATTTAAAAAGCCTGGATCACTGAATCACCATGTGGAGAACAGCCACCAATATACCTGGAACACCTACTGTAGGTTATAACTGCTGAGTCTCAAATTCTATCACTAAGCTACTAACAATTGGAGGTTTATTTGCTATAGCACCTAGGATTATTTTGATCCTAAGTAGGGTTGCTTTAGCAAAGTACCAGAAACTGAGTGGCTTAAAGCAACAGAAAGTTATTTTCTCATGGTTCCAGAGGCTAGAACTCCAAAATCCAATTGTAGGCAGCACCATTCTCTGTCCAAAGGCTCTGGAGAAGTCCTTTGTTGCCTCTTTGTAGCTTCTGGTGGTTGCTGACAAGTCTTGTTCCTTAGCTTGCGTCACTCCTGTCTTTGCCTCTGTCATCACATGGCCTTCTTCCCTCCTTCTTTCCCTTCCTTCCCTCCTGTCTTCCTTCCCCAATGTTGTTGTACCTGGATCTCTGTCTCCTCTTCTATTAAGACACCAATCATGGGATTTAGGGCAACCTAATCCATGGTGACCTTGTCTTAACTAATTATACATGCAAAAACCCTATTTCCAAATAAGGTCCCATTTCTGAGGTTCCAAGCAGACTTGAATTTTGGGGGGACACTATTCAATTCAGTAAAGTTACCTAGTATAAAATGTGGCTCTGTAGAATGCCCCCTTAGCAGATAATATAGGCATGTTAAACACCATGATGGACACCTTATCAAAATTGCAAAAAAACCCAAAAAACAAAAAACAAACTTAATCTAACATGTTACAGAAAGAAGGAACAATAGCAAGAGTTAAGTTTGAAAGAGTTAGTACATTATTCTCTGGGTTCCATATCTTTTTCTGCATCAGTCACAGGCACCAGTAAGTGACAGTTGGAAGATCCTTGCTTTGAACTCACACAAACCCAGCTCTATCTTATTTCTTTGTTCAAAAAGAGTTAAGCAGATGTGATTTCTCCCTTTGTTGAACTTGCAGTTTAGCAGGGAAGTCATATATAAAATATTAATTATGCAAATAACTATTTAAGTGGGCTTGTACTAGATACTTTAAAGAAGAATACAGATGCATATGAGAGAAGACCTAACCCGGCCCACCTATAGAAGTACACCTAAGCCAAAACTTTGAGAGAGGTTTGCCATGTATAGGCAGGGCAGAGTGGCTCATGCCTGTAATCCCAGCACTTTGGGAGGCCGAGGCTGGCAGATCATTTGAGGTCAGGAGTTTGAGACAAACTTGGTCAACATAGTGAAATCCCATCTCTACTAAAAATACAAAAGTTAGCTGGGCATGACGGCAGGCACCTGTAATCCCAGCTACTCAGGAGGCCAAGGCAGAAGAATCACTTGAACCTAGGAGGCGGAGGTTGCAGTGAGCCGAAATTGCATCACTGCCTCACTGCACTCCAGCCTGGGTGACAGAGCGAGACTCCATCTCCAAAAAAAAAAAAAAAAAAGAGAGAGAGACTGAGGTTTGCCATGTATGTTTGTGCAGGTTGGGCACTGCACAACTCCAAGGGCATTTTTACATTGTGGTCTACGTGAATGGTGCTCCTGGGACTCTTGCAGCACACAATCTATAAAGCTGAATATGGTAGCCTTGCTTACTAATGGGTAGGAATTAGATACAGAATGTTAAGCAGATGTGTGTGTGTGTAGATGATGGTGGTGGTGGTGACAGGTTGAGAAAGTAGATAGGCATTCCAAGTAGAGGGAACAGCATATTACAAGACCCTCAGGTGGGAAGGTACTTTCTTTTCTTTGTTACCTGACATGCGGGCAATTATTCAGACTTTCACAACCCCAAATGTTTTATTGGTAAAACTGGGGAAAACAAGTTTCATGGCTACTTAACTTGCATTGTCATTGTGAAGCATTGAAGCTATGTAAGGAAGCACAGTGCTCAGCATAGTGCTCAGTCTCTGTGTTTCCTTCTTTCTATTTCCTAGAAGCAAGGTGAATTTGGGGTCACCAACGTGACACTTAATAAATAGCAGGTACTTGATTCACACCTCTATCATTAACACTCAAAAGTTCTAGGACTATTAGTGATTGCTAAATAAGGTTTGCTTTCCAGGCAGCTAGTGCAAGAAAGGAAGGCAGGTTTGGACAAAATTATCAAGTTACCTTAGCTGTGTGGTGACCAAAAAGGGAACTGAAATTATGACATTGTCCCTCCCACCGCACAGTCCACACCCTTCTCACCCACACCCATCTGATCTTATCTCCTGCCCAATCTGACATTTTGCTCTTTCAGGAAGCAAGTTATGCTGTTCTTTTCTTATGCCTCCAGTCTATTTTTTCAACACTTTAATTTTATGTTATTGTGGTAAAATATACAGAACATGAAGTTCACCATGTAAATCATTTTTAAGTATACGATTCAGTACTTTTAAGTATGTTCACAATGCTGTGTGACTGTCACCACTATCCATTTCCAGAACACGTTCATTATCCCAAACAGAACTCTATAACTATCAAACAACAACTTCATTCTTCTTCCCGCCAATGCCTGGAAACCTCTATTCTGTTTTCTGTCTCTGTGAATTTGCCTATTCTAGATACTGCAAATAAGTGGGATCATAGGTTTATTTCACTTAGCATAATGTCCTCAAGGTTCATCCATGTTGTAGCATGTCAGAATTTTCTTCCTTTTTATGGCTGAATAGTATTCCATTGTATGTATGTGTGACATTTTGTTTACCGCACTTTCTTTTGTACAATTATCTTATTGCAGTGCTATTGTTTTTGTATGTATTGTGTGAGCACCTGATGGCAGATGTGTAGGCAGAAGTTCTAAAGCGGCCCCCAGTGAAGTCCCTCCCGAGTCCCTGGGACTTCAGAATGTGCTATCATGCTTGAGATTATGTTTTGTTACAGAGGGAGACCAGCCTGGATTAGCCTGGTGGGCCCAATGTAATAACATACATCTTTAAAAATGGAGTTTTCTCTGGCTGATGACAATAGAGGCAGTCAGGTTTGAAGCACGATAGTCATTTGGCACTATTACTGCTTAAAGATTGAGGAGCCATGGGAAAAGGAATGTGAGTGGCTTCAAAGAGCTGAGGCAGGTCCCAGATCTCAGATGGAAAGCACTTCAGTCCTGTAACTGTAGGGTACTCTGTCATAACCTGAATGGGTTTGGAAGTGGATTTCTCCTCAGAGCCTACACTTAAGTTCCCAGCCCGGCTGACACCTGAATACTGGCCATGGGTGACCCTGA
Organism: Homo sapiens; assembly: GCF_000001405.40. NCBI lineage: Eukaryota > Metazoa > Chordata > Mammalia > Primates > Hominidae > Homo > Homo sapiens. The sequence goes on along the minus strand of NC_000007.14, from coordinate 21,354,481 downwards.
GCAGAAATTCCTGCCACACCAGGTTGTTCTCTGGTATACTGAGTGGGGAGGTAATAAATGCGTGTTGGTTTAAGTTGCGAGATTTGTGGGTGATTTGTTACTCAACAACAGAAAAGGACGACAGCGAGGACCCCATCTTTTCATGTTTGTGTTTAGCCCACTGCCTGGAACTGACTAACTTCCCAACAAACACTAACCAAGTAATCGATTGAAGGAGGCAGGAAGAAGGGATGATGGGTGGAAGAGAAAAGGAAGAACAAATGAAGAAAGAATGGATGAGGCGGCAGGATGGCTTGAGACTAGCCTAGCCCTAGAGATAGGGAGACCCTGTCTCTACAAAAAATGAAAAAAAAAAAAAAAATTAGCCAGGTGTGGTGTCATATGCCTGTAGTTGCAGCTACTAGAGAGGCTGAGGTGGGAGGATCGCTTGAGCCCAGAAGCTCCAGGTTGCAGTGAGCTATGATTGCACCACAGCACACCAGCCTGGGTAACAGAGCAAGACCCGGTCTCTAAAAAACAAAACAAAACAAAACCAAACCAAACCAAAGAATGGAATATGGAGGAAGCAAAAGGGAAAAAGGTAGAGACCAGATGTAGGGGAGGGCATTCAAAAGGGCTGAAAGTGAATGAGGGAAATTTTTCCAAAGAAATCTAGAATATTCTTCACCTTCTTCAGAAATTCAGATGGTTAATGCTTTTAAAATTTTTAGTATTCCAATTATTCAATTGTGTAAAGTAAGTATTTGTTTAGTGTCCTGTCAGCACAGATTGTAACTTGAATGAACAGAAATCTTGAATGTGGTTTTATTTTGATTAAGAACAACACTTATCTTCGATGTCTTAGGCACCCGTATAGTCAAGAATAGCCTGCTGGTAAAAGTCCCTGAGGGCAGTTAGTCAAGGAGGATTGGACATTAATATCTTTGGATTTTGAAGGAACTTATTGGAAGTAATTTCAATAAGTTCAATAATTGAACTCGTATGCCTCATTCTACTCTAAGAAAAGAAAAATGAGTCGATCCTTTGCATGATCACTTATCTGGATTTTAAATAGATGCACAAGCTTCTGATACCTAAAGTGTCACTTGTATCCTCATGTAAATAGCAGGATAATTTCCTTGACAGAAAATAGCTTCCTCATCCATGCATTACTGTCCTCATGATTTCAGCATTAGAGATTCATTTCTTTAGATTAAACATTGATCTTGACCCTTGTGAAATGCAGCTATGTTACCAGAAGGAGTAAGCTGTAAGTTCATTAACCTTTAAACATTAATGAAACATATCAGATGATTTTTCTCTCCCTTGCACAAGAGCAGTGAGAATCTGGTCATATGGGGGAACACTAAAGAGGAACTAACATCAAAGTCAAATTTACTTTCTTAGAAATTCTGTGTAGCTCAAGCCCTGTCTGGAAAGCTTATAACTGAGTTCCAGTTTCGATTTCACTGGACTGATCTGCTGCATGCTCAAAGGTATATTCAAATGTCAAGGCAAGGACAGTTGCTATAGAGCTTAGTTCCTTCTTTCATTTGATTAGACACATAAAGGGGTCATGTTCATCAACATGTTTATTTTTTTTAAATGACAGAATGACAACCTCAACAAGCTGAAGAAAAATTGGGATATCCTCGGGCATGTAACTGAAGGGTACAGAAGAGCTGCTGACTTCCAACAGAGATGGGGGTTCTTGTGCCACATGTCATTATCGAAAGCCTCAGCCTCTCTGTTCTGCTTTCTTGTTTCCTCTCTTTTTCTCTGTCTTGTCTTTTTCTCTGTCTTGTTTCCTCTCTGTCTTTTGCTCTGACTCCTTTCTCCTCCCCAGCCATCCAATCTTCTCTCTCTACATGTCTCCGCTCTGCTTTTCCCTATGTTGCCTTTATTCTCTGAAAATGTCTTTCCTCTGGTAAAATACATGGTACCCTACACTGCTCCAGGGATACATTGTTAGTGCCATAGCCTACAGTTGGTTAGAGAAAGGGTACAGCACAAGTCCAGAGGATGAGCCTGATTGGCCGAAGTTGGCTGACTTTCCCATCCCTGCAATCCTTCTAAATAGGAAGATATGTTCCCTGTTTCCCATAGAGGCGAGGGCTTCTTTTACCAGAAGAGGTGAAAGGAAAAGGCTTTATGCAGATGAATCCATGACTTCCACAGTCTATTTCAGGGTTCTAGTTGGATTGGTGGGTTTAATGAACACTGTACTTCATTGCTTCACAGTGGATGGCAACATTTCTATTTCACATTGATGTTACATTTTTTGAAAATTTGTATAGCAGAGGTGGAAGAGGAGAAAGAGGTGGAGGGGAAGAAAGCAACGCTATAATTCTATTTATTGTCTATTCGAAGAATACAACAGCTGAATCATTGTCCTTCAAATTATTATTTTTTTAAAGAAAAAGCCCTTTTCAAAACTAGAAATGTGTTATTTTTGATAAAGTTGGAGATCCAAATTCCAATTTTACTGCTGCATTATCAGAGTTAAAAGGTAGTCACATCTGGTTAAGGATTGAGTGCCGAAATAAAATTTGTAAAACAAAATGAAAAGTTCTAGGCTTGGTTTGACTCCAACTCTTTAAGAGATCTTTGTTGCTTAATCATTATCTATTTATTTAATTAATTAATTAATTTATTTATTTATTTTTGAGACGGAGTCTCACTTTTTCGCTCAGGCTGGAGTGCCGTGGTGCAATCTCAGCTCACAACAACCTCTGCCCGGGGGTTCAAGCAATTCTCCTGCCTCAGGCTCCCAAGTAGCTGGGATTACAGTTGCGCACCATCACGCCTGGCTAATTTTTAGCCACCATACCCAGCTAATTTTTGTATTTTTTGTAGAGACGGGGTTTTGCCATGTTTCCCAGGCTGGTGTCAAACTCCCGGCCTCAAGTGATCTGCCAGCCTTGACCTCCCAAAGTGCTGGGATTACAGGCGTGAGCCACTGTGCCTGGCCTCATTTTTTAAAATGAAAAAAAAAAAAAAATATATATATATATATATACATACATATATATATAAGTATTAGCGACCATTTATGACACTAATGATGGTCAAAGACCTCTACACATACAAGCTTCGCATTATAAAGTTTCTAATGCAGAAAAATGTGGATTCTAGTCATCTTTTCTCACTTGGATGCATTTCTTGAGGACTTGCTGAGTAATGTATTTGGTACACTCTTGGTGTTGGCTACAAACAGGTAAGGAGAGAGACGGCATGACCATTCCCACAAAGTCAGTGAAATAAAAGACAGTCTTCCCAGGGACGACACAGTAGAGCCCCTCCCACTACTTTCTTACTTGTTATTATTGTTTATTTTTTTCAGGAAGCCCCAGTTGTCAGGCGTGGTGGCTCATGCCTGTAATTCCGGCACTTTGGGAGGCTGAGGCAAGCAGATAGCTTGAGCTCAGGAGTTCAAGACCAGCCTAGGAAACATGGCAAAACTCCATCTGTACAAAAAATACAAAAATTAGCTGGGTATGGTGGTGCAAGCCTGTAGCTACTTAGGAGGAGGCTGAGGTGGGAGGATCACCTGACCCTGGGGAGGTCGAGGCTACAGTGAGCAGTGTTCATGCCACTGCACTCCAGCCTGGGCATGAATGAGGTCCTGTTTCAGAAAACAAAAAACAAAAGAAAAACCCAGAAGCCTCAGCCCCAGTCAAAAAACTTTTAAAGTCCAATAGACATAAAATTACTGCTAAAACAATTTCTAAACGTTTGGTCTCACGTACTTTGGGTAGTACTGACAAAGATCATTGCTGTCTGTCATGCCAGACCCTTACACTGACTACAATAGGGATGATACTGTGTCTGAGAGGCTGAAGAAGAGACCCAGAGATAGTGAATGAGACATAGGGTTTATTGGGGGTACTTACGTACAGGGGTGGCCCAGTGGATGTGGGCTGAACAGGAGAACCTCTACTGTTTGTAAAAAGCATGCAGTTGACATGGCATTTTTTACTTAGCACCGTCTACCTAGAAACCTCCATTTAACCCAAAACAAAGGACCTCAATATCCGGTATGACCTGTGTTCTAAGGGCTGGGAATTTAATCATCCTTCATAGATAAGGAGTAAATCTCTGGGTTGGCCACTCCCGTATTCCTTAGCACAGAACTCCGAACACACATTCTTCTTAGACCATAGGGTCACCCTTCAGGGTATGTGTAAGTTAAGTTATTGCTGTCAGGTGCATCTGCCATACACTGTCTCGCTTTTAAATATATGATAATTTTGAAAGAATTTCAAGCTTTTCAAAGTTACAAAAATAGTACAGATTTCCCATACACCTTTCACCCAGCTTGCCCTAATATTAACTTCTTATATAACCAGAGTACAATGATCAAACTAGGAAATTAACATTGGTATAGTACAATACTATTAAGTAAATTACAGATTTCATTTAGATTTCCCCAGTTTTTTATCTAATATCCTTTTTTTCTGTCCCAGGATCCAATCCAGGATCCCACGTTTTGTAGTCATGTCTCCTTGATTTTTTCCAGTGGGTGACAGTTTCTCAGTCTTCCCTTGTCTTTTGTAACCTGGACACTTTTGAAGAGTATTGGTCAGTGATTTTGTAGAATGTCTCTTGATTTGGCATTGATTAAGACATGATGTCTTGGCCAGGCATCGTGGTTCATGCCTGTAATCCCAGCACTTTGGGAGGCAGAGGAGGGTGGATCACCTGAAGTCAGGAGTTCAAGACCAGCCTGGCCAACATGGTGAACCCTGTCTCTACTAAACAGTACAAAAATTAGCCGGGCATGGTGAAAAGCGCCTGTAATCCCAGCTACTCAGGGGGAGACAGGAGAATCGTTTGAACCCGGGAGGTGGAGGTTGCAGTGAGCTGAGATTGTGCCACTGCACTCCAGCCTGGGCAAGGAGAGTGAAACTCCGTCTCAAAAAAAAAAAAAAAAAAAAAAAAAGGACATGATGTCTTAATTCTGATGATTTTATCCTTGATTGTTTGGTTAAGTTGGTGTCTGCTGGGTTTCTTCACTGCGTTAGTCCATTCTCACACTGCTATGAAGAAATACCAGAGACTGGGTAATTTATAAAGAAAAGAGGTTTAATTGACTCACAGTTCCACATTGGTGGGGAGGCCTCAGGAAACTTACAATCATGGCGGAAAGCAAAGGGGAAGCAAGTACCTTCTTCACAAGGCTGCAGGACAGAGTGAGTTTCAGCAGGGGAACTGCCAGATGCTTCTAAAACCATCAGATCTCGTGCTCCCATGATTCAGTGACCTACTGGGTCACTCCCATGACACGTGGGGGTGATGGGGATTACAATTCAAGATGAGATTCGCATGGGGACACAGCCAAACCATATCATCCACTATAAAGTAACTATTTTTTCCCTTTATAATTAATAAATGTCTTGGAGGAGTTATGTTAAGACTATGCAGATATCCTGTTTCTCCTCAAATTTTGCTGATTTTGGCATCTCTTCAAATTTTGCTAAAATTGATAGATCATGTCCATGTTAGTGATTACATATTATTTTGTTGTTTAAAGAGACTCAGGGAGAGAGATCACGAATTATTAACTGGAGTGCTCTGTAAAGAACAACCCCTTCTTAATTTGTTTATATGTTAAATTATTTATTTTTATTGGTAGAGAGTTACAGGTATTTATTCCATTCTGTGAGTTATGATCCAATTTTTTTTATTTTTAAATTAAGTGTAAAGACAGGGGCTTGCTCTGCTGTGCAGGCTGGAGTGCAGTGGTTCGATGGTAGCTCATTGCAGCCTCAAAATCCTGGACTCAAGCGACCCTCCCAACTTAGCCTCCCAAGTCACTAGGACTACAGGCATCCAGCTAAGTTTTCTTTGTTTTTTGTTTTTTTTTGAGATGGAGTCTCACTCTGTCACCCAGGCTGGAGTACAGTGGCATAATCTCGGCTCACTGCAACCTCCGCCTCCCGGGTTCAAGCTATTCTCCTGCCTCAGTCTCCCGCCAGCTAAGTTTTTTAAAAAAAAATTTGTAGAGACTGTGTCTCACTATGTTGCCCAGGCTGCTATTGAATTTCTGGCCTCAAGTGATCCTCCTGTCTCGAACTCCCAAAGTGTTGGCATTACAGGCGTGAGCTACCATGCCTAGCCCAAAATTCTTATCATTTATTTTGTTGCTGAAACTGTTCCAGCTTTGGTTACTGGCCGCTACAAAAAGAAAACACCTTGTTTTTTCTATATTCACAACACTTCTGACACCAAATGTGTAGTCTTTTCCCTCACATTAACTAATTCTCTAACTCTCTAGACAACAACTTGGTATCCTACAATTCAATTATGATACTACCTTGAGCTACCACAGACCTCATGGGTTAAAAGCTCAGTCCTGTTACGGTAGGTAGGTGGTCAGACATCAGCAGGATAGGAAAGGCCCCTCCCACCACCAGGAATGTCAGGTACCCATCAGGTGATGGTCAGGTGGTTGTTAACTGTCACTCTAAAATAATAATTGGTCACAGCTGGTGCCAGGGAATGATCGTCTCCCAATAGATAGTAAAAACCTGAAACTGGGTGATCAGCAGGTTCCTGATAAGATCTCAGGAGCTGGATGAGTGGGCTCAAGCATGTGCACTAAGAGTCAAAATGGTGGAGTTTAACTGGTATATGTCCTTCTAGGGACATTTGACTGGTAAGGGATGAATGCCTCAAGTGAGCATGCATACACCTCCAGTAAACACACTGTGCATGCTCCCCTCCCAAGTGCTAGCAGGCCACTGCGTGTGATGACAGCCCATCCCAAGGGAAGAATCAGGGAAGAAGGAACACAAGACCCTGGAAGTACACCCACATATAAAACCATTAATCAAAGGTCAAAACTGTGCAGTGGTCTTTCAAGTTGCCCACTTGGCCCTACTTTCCTTTTGTTCTGGCTCTAAAGCTTTCTAATAAACTTTCATTCCTGTTCTAAAACTTGTCTCAGTATCTCCTTCTGTCTTATGCCTCCTTGGTTGAATTCTTTCTTCCGAGGAGGCAAGAATTGAGGTTGCTGCAGATCTATACAGATTCACCATGGCTAATGTATTTTGATGCTGTGTGATTCAGATACCTTTGGCTGCTAATGTTTGGCTGCCACAAGGCTGTCCCCCACTTTAGATGTCATTCACAAGTAGTGATTCCTAAGTTATGTGCACTTCTCTCCAACTTGGCTACAAATCAGGGCTTCTCACAACCCTCTCCTCAATTTGCTATAATATCTCACAGAATTCAGGGAAATGCATACTCTTTACTGGTTTATTATAAAAGGTACAACTTAGGAACAACCAAATGGAACAGATGCATAAAGCAAGCTATAGGGGTACATGGGGTTTTGAACCCCTATGCCCTATGTACACCAGCACCTGGATATGTTCAGGAATCTGGAAGCTCTCTGACCTCTTCAGTTAGGGTTTTTATGGAGGCTTCCTTATATAGGCACGACTGATTAAATTACTGGCCATTGGTGATTAACTCAATCTGCAGTCCCTCTTCCTCCCAAAAGGTCAGGGCTTGGGGATGAAAGTTCCAACCCTTTAATTACTTGGCTGGTCTTCCTGGGAACCAGCTCCCCATCCTAAGGGGTTACCCCAAAGCCACCTTAGTAAAGCATAAACTCTATGTGGTTGAAAGGGGCCTGTTAAAAATAACAAAATATGTGGCTTTCACCTTTATTGGTCTGAGCTATTTTAGGAACTGGGAGCAAGGATCAAATATTACGACAAAAGATGCTCCTCTGGCTCCTATCACTTAGGAAATTACAGGAGTTCTAGGGTCTCTGGCCAGGAGCCAAGGGTTAAGACAAAAAAAAAATCTTATTATATCACAATATCACAGATGCTCTCTCACATTGCACTGTTTCCCCTCTTATGACTAGGAGTGAAGGAATGGAAGGGAATTATATGTTTTTCATGCAGTAGTGGGCCATCTGAGAAGCACTGTGTAGAAGTTTCTCATGCAGTTCTCACCACAGCCCTATGAAGTATGCATCAGTATCTCTAGTCAACATGGATTATGGATCTCAGGCAGCCTGACCAAGACCACAAAGCAAATTTGGGTATAAATAGGATTTAGACCTGGGCCTGTCTGACTTTGGAGCCTCTTTCTCATACACCAGACTGCTTTGCTTTAAGGACTCAGGCCTTTCTTTGGGGAATTGGTCTAGTAAGTGAATGCTTAGTATGTGTACTCTATCACTTCCCTCCCCCTCTCTCTTTTCCCAAGCCTCTTTTCTCTCTTCCCCAGAGGGACTGGAGTCTTAGAATCACAAACTATGAGGGCTGTAGGGGATCTTAGAAAAATTCTCTTCCAAATCTCTTACAACATAAGTGAGGAAAATGTGGCTCAACCTGGGGATATAGCTAGATATTAAGCTTTGATTGGATCCCAGGACCCCTGACTTATAATCCAATATTCTCTCCCTCAAATTACCAGAGCCAAGCTCTGTGCAGATAGAGTCTGTCTTCTTTCTCTGAGCTTGGAGAAAGGCATTTCGGAATCTGAAGATTTTCCGAGCACATCAGAACTATAGAGAGGGATTCCCGGGCAAGATGGCCGAATAGGAACCGCTCCGGTGTGCAGCTCCCAGTGAGACCAAAGCAGAAGGCGAGTGATTTCTGCATTTCCAACTGAGGTACCCAGTTCATCTCATAGGGACTGGTTAGACAGTGGGTGCAGCCCATGGACAGTCAGCAGAAGCAGGGTGGGGCATCGCCTCACCTGGGAAGCTAAAGGGGTTGAGGAACTCCCTTCCCTAGCCAAGGGAAGCCATGAGGGACCCTGCCGTGAGGGATGGTGCACTCTTTATTTACACTGTGGGGGGAAAACCGCCTACTCAAGCCTCAGTAAAGGTGGTCGCCCCTCCCCCGACCAAGCTCCAGTGTCCCAGGTTGATTTCAGACTGCTGTGCTGGTAGCGAGAATTTCAGGCCAGTGCTGATACTACACTTTTCCCAGGTGTTACTACACTTTTCCCACGGTCTTCGCAACCAGATACTACACTTTTCTCACGGTCTTCGCAACCCTCAGACCAGGAGATTCCCTCAGGTGCCTATGCCACCAGGGCCCTGGGTTTCAAGAACAAAACTGGGCAGATTTTGGGCAGACACTGAACTAGCTGCAGGAGTTTTTTGTTTTTTGTTTTTTTTTCATACCCCAGTGATGCCTGGGACACCAGCAAGACAGAATCATCCACTCGCCTGGAAAGGGGGCTGAAGCCCGGGAACCAAGTGGTCTAGCTCAGCAGATCCCACCCCCACAGAGTCCAGCAAGCTAAGATCCATTAGCCTGAAATTCTCACTGCCGCAGAGCAGTCTGAAGTCGACCTGGGACACTGGAGCTTGGTGCGGGGAGGGGCATCTATCATTACTGAGGCTTGAGTAGGCGGTTTTCCCCTCACAGTGTAAATAAAGCAGCTGGGAAGTTCGAACAGGGCAGAGGGAAGTTTGAACTGGGTGGAGCCCACTGCAGCTCCCCAAAGCTGCCGGAGCCAGACTGCCTCTCTAGATTCCTCCTCTCTGGGCAGGGCATCTCTGAAAGAAAGGCAGCAGCCCCAGTCAGGGGCTTATAGATAAAACTCCCATTTCCCTGGGACAGAGCACCTGGGGGAAGGGGCAGCTGGGGGCACAGCTTCAGCGGAATTAAACATCCCTCCTTGCTGGTTCTGAAGAGAGCAGCATATCTCCCAGCACAGCGTTCAAGCTCTGCTAAGGGACAGACTGCCTCCTCAAGTGGGTCCCTGACCCCTGTGCCTCCTGATGGGGACACACCTCCCAGCAGGGGTCAACAGACACCTCATACAGGAGAGCTCTGGCTCACATCTGGCCGGTGCCCCTCTGGGAGGAAGCTTCCAGAGGAAGGAGCAGGCAGAAATCTTTGCTGTTCTGCAGTCTCTGCTGGTGATACCCAGGCAAAGAGGGTCTGGGGTGGACCTCCAGCAAACTCCAGCAGACCTGCAGAAGAGGGGCCTGACTGTTAGAAGGAAGACTAACAAATAGAAAGCAATAGCATCAACATCAACAAAAAGGACAACCACACAGAAACCCCATCCGAAGGTCACCAACATCAAAGACCAAAGGTAGATAAATCCAAAAAGATGAGGAAATACCAGAGCAAAAGGTTGAAAATTCCAAAAACCAGAACGCCTCTTCTCCTCCAAAGGATCACAACTCCTTGCCAGCAAGGGAATAAAACTGGATGGAGAATGAGTTTGATGAATTGACAGAAGTACGCTTCAGAAGGTGGGTAATAACAAACTCCTTCAAGCTAAAGCAGCATATTCTAACCCAATGCAGGGAAACTGAGAACCTTCATATAACATTACAGGAACTGCTAACTAGAATAACCAGTTTAGAGAAAAACATAAATGACGGATGGAGCTGAAAAACACAGCATGAGAACTTCGTAAGGCATACACAAGCATCAATAGCAGAATCAAACAAGTGGAAGAAAGGATATCAGAGATTGAAGATGAACTTAATGAAATAAATCACGGAGACAAGATTAGAGAAAAAAGAATGAAAAGGAACAAACAAAGCCTCCAAGAAATATGGGACTATGTGAAAAGACCAAACCTACTTTGATTGGTGTACCTGAAAGTGACGAGGAGAATGGAACCAAGTTGGAAAACACTCTTCAGGATATTATCCAGGAGAACTTCCCCAACCTAGCAAGACAGGCCAACATTCAAATTCAGGAAAATACAGAGAACGCCACAAAGATACTCCTTGAGAAGAGCAACCCCAAGACACATAATAGTCCGATTCACCAAGCTTGAAATGAAGGAAAAAATGTTAAGAGCAGCCAGAGAGAAAGGTTGAGTTACTCACAAAGGGAAGCCAATCAGACTAACAGTGGATCTCTCTGTAGAAACCCTCTAAGCCAGAAGACAGTGGCGGCCAATATTTAACATTCTTAAAGAAAAGAATTTTCAACCCATGACTTCATATCCAGTCACCACCAGCACTGCCTTACAAGAGCTCCTGAAGGAAGCACTAAATATGGAAAGGAAAAACTGGCACCAGCCACTGCAAAAACATGCCAAAATGTAAAGACCATCAACACTATGAAGAAACTGCATAAACTAATGGGAAAAATAACCAGCTAGCATCATAATGACGGGATCAAATTCACACATAACAATATTAACCTTAAATGTAAATGGGCTAAATGCCCCAATTAAAAGACACAGACTGGCAAATTAAATAAAGAGTCAAGGCCCATCAGTGTGCTGTATTCAGGAGACCCATCTCACGTGCAAAGACACACATAGGCTCAAAATAAAGGGATGGAGGAAGATTTACAGAGCAAATGGAAAGCCAAAAAAAGCAGGGGTTGCAATCCTAGTCTCTGATAAAACAGACTTTAAACCAACAAAGATCAAAAAAGACAAAGAAGGGCATTACATAATGGTAAAGGGATCAATGCAACCAGAAGAACTAACTACCCTAAATATATATGCACCCAATACAGGAGCACCCAGATTCATAAAGCAAGTTCTTAGAGACCTACAAAGAGACTTAGACTCCCACACAATAAAAGTGGGAGACTTTAACACCCCACTGTCAATATTAGATCAATGAAACAGAAAATTAACAAGGATATTTAGGACTTGAACTCAGCTCTGGACCAAGCAGACCTAGTAGACATCTACAGTACTCTCCACCCCAAATCAACAGAATATACATTCTTCTCAGCACCACATTGCACTTATTCTAAAATTGACCACATAATTGGAAGTAGAGCACTCCTCAGCAAATGCAAAAGGACAGAAATCACAACAAACAGTTTCTCAGACCACAGTGCAATCAAATTAGAACTCAGGATTAATAAACTCACTCAAAACCGCACAACTACATGGAAACTGAACAACCTGCTCCTGAATGACTACTGGGTAAATAACAAAATGAAGGCATAAATACAGAAGTTCTTTGAAACCAATGAGAACAAAGACACAGCATACCAGAATCTCTGGGACACAGCTAAAGCAGTGTTTAGAGGGAATTTACAGCACTAAATGCCCACAGCAGAAAGCGGGAAAGATCTAAAATCGACACCCTAACATCAAAATTGAAAGAACTAGAGAAGCAAGAGCAAACAAATTCAAAAGCTAGCATAAGACAAGAAATAATTAAGACCAGGGCAGAACTGAAGGAGATAGAGACATGAAAAGCCCTTCAAAAAATCAATGAATCCAGGAGCTGGTTTTTTGAAAAGATTAACAAAATAGATAGATCACTAGCCAGACTAATAAAGAAGAAAAGAGAGAATAATCAAATAGACATAATAAAAAATGATAAAGAGGAGGATATCACCACTGATCCCACAGAAATACAAACTATCATCACATCAGAGAATACTATAAACACATCTATGCAAATAAACTAGAAAATCTAGAAGAAATGGATAAATTCCTGGACACATACACCCTCACAAGTCTAAGCCAGGAAGAAGTCAAATCCCTGAATAGACCAATAACAAGTTCTAAAATTGAGGCAATAATTAATGGCCTACCAACTAAAAAAAGCCCAGGACCAGATGGATTCACAGCCGAATTCTACCAGAGGTACAAAGCGGAGCTCATACCATTCCTTCTAAAACTATTCCAAACAACACAAAAAGAGAGACTCCTCCCTAACTCATTTTATGAGGCCAGCATCATTCTGATACCAAAGCCTGGCAGAGACACAACAAAAAAAGATAATTTCAGGCCAATACCCCTGATGAACACCGATGCAAAAATCCTCAATAAAATACTGGCAAACCGAATCCAGCAGCAGCACATTAAAAAGCTTATCTACCACGATCAAGTCGGCTTCATCCCTGGAATGCAAATCTGGTTCAACATACGCAAATCAATAAACATAATTCATCACATAAACAGAACCAATGACAAAAACTACATGATTATCTCAATAGATGGAGAAAAGGCCTTTGATAAAATTCAACACCCCTTCATGCTAAAACCTCTTAATAAACTAGACATTAATGAAATATATCTCAAAAATAAGAGCTATTTATGACAAACTCACAGCCAATATCATACTGAATGGGCAAAAAGCTGGAAGCATTCCCTTTGAAAACTAACACAAGACAAGGATGCCCTCTCTCACCACTCCTATTCAACATAGTATTGGAAGTTCTGGCCAGGGCAATCAGGCAAGAGAAAGAAATGAAGGGTATTCAAATAGAAAGAGAGGAATTCAAATGATCTCTGTTTGCAGATGACAAAATTGTATATTTAGAAAACCCCATTGTCTCAGCCCAAAAACTTCTTAAGCTGATAAGCAACTTCAGCAAAGTCTCAGCATACAAAATCAATGTGCAAAAATCACAAGAATTCCTATACACCAATAATAGAGAGCCAAATCATGAGTGAACTCCCATTCACAATTGCTACAAAGAGAATAAAATACCTAGGAATATAACTTACAAGGGATGTGAAGGACCTCTTCAAGGAGAACTACAAACCACTGCTCAAGGAAAGAAGAGAGGGAACAAACAAATGGAAAAACATTCCATGCCCATGGATAGGAAGAATCAATATTGTGAAAATGGCCATACTGCCCAAAGTAATGTATAGATTCAATGCTATTCCCATCAAGCTACCATTGACTTTCTTCACAGAATTAGAAAAAACTACTTTAAATTTCATATGGAACCAAAAAAGAGCCTGCACAGCCAAGACAATCCTAAGTAAAAAGAACAAAGCTGGAGGCATTACAATACCTGCCTTCAAACTATACTACAAGGCTGCAGTAACCAAAACAGCATGGTACTGGTACCAAAACAGCTATATAGACCAGTGGAACAGAACAGAGGCCGAAGAAATAACACCACACATCTACAACCATCTGATTTTTGACAAACCTGACACAAACAAGCAATGGGGATAGGATGCTCTGTTTAATAAATGGTGCTGGGAAAAATGGCTAGCCATATGCAGAAAACTGAAATTGGACCCCTTCCTTGCAACTTATACAAAAATTAACTCAAGATGGATTAAAGATTTAAATGTAAGACCTAAAACTACAAAAACTCTAGACAAAAACCTAGGCAATACCATTTAGGACATAGGCATGGGCAAAGACTTCAAGACTAAAACACCAAAAGCAATGTCAATAAAAGCCAAAATAGACAAAAGGGATCTAATTAAATTAAAGAGCTTCTGCACAGCAAAAGAAACTATCAGCAGAGTGAACAGGCAACCTACAGAATGGGAGAAAATTTTTGCAATCTATCTATCTGACAAAGTGCTAATATCCAGAATCTACAAGGAACATAAACAAATTTACAAGAATAAAACAAACAACCCCATCGAAAAGTGGGCGATGGATATGAACAGACACTTCTCAAAAGAAGACATTTATGCAGCCAACAAACATGAAAAAAAAGGTCATCATCACTGGTCATTAGAGAAATGCAAAACAAAACCACAATGACATACCATCTCATTCCAGTTAGAATGGTGATTATTAAAAAGTCAGGAAACTACAGATGCTGGCAAGGATGTGGAGAAATAGGAAGGCTTTCACACTGTTGGTGGGAGTGTAAATTAGTTCAACCATTATGGAAGACAGTGTGGTGATTCCTTAAGGATCTAGAACCAGAAATACCATTTGACCCAGCAATCCCACTACTGGGTATGTACCCAAAGGATTATAAATCATTCTACAATAAAGATACATGCACATGTATGTTTATTGCAGCACTATTCACAATGACAAAGACTTGGAATCAACCCAAATGCCCATCAATGATAGACTGGTTAAAGAAAATGCGGCACATATACACCATGGACTACTATGCAGCCATAAAAAAGAATGAGTTCATGTGTTTTGCAGGAACATGGATGAAGCTGGGAACCATCATGCTCAGCAAACTAACATAGGAACAGAAAACCAAACACTGCATGTTCTCACTCATAAGTGGGAGATGAACAATGAGAACACAAGCACACAGGGAGGGGAACATCACACATCAGGGCAATGGGAGGGATGGGGGGGCAATGGGAGGGATAACATTAGGAGAAATACCTAATGTAGATGATGGGTTGATGGGTGCAGAAAACCACCATGGCACACGTATGCCTATGTAACGTTTGGCATGTTTGGCAAATGTACCCCAGAACTTAAAGTATAATAATTTTAAAAATTAAAAAAAAAAACTATAGAGAAACTGGTAGCTGCACTGGCAAAAACAAGGATGGTACCATTCATTGATTGAGCACCTAGGTCCCTAGGGTACTAGAGCAGGGGCTTTACATCTATGCTATCTGTGATCCACATG
Organism: Homo sapiens; assembly: GCF_000001405.40. NCBI lineage: Eukaryota > Metazoa > Chordata > Mammalia > Primates > Hominidae > Homo > Homo sapiens. The sequence continues at coordinate 21,339,215 of NC_000007.14, read as the reverse complement.
ACAAAAGTACATGACTATTATTATTATACTCATTTTGCTGAAGAGGAAGCTGAGATAAGAGAGGCCAAGCTACTCGGTTAAGATCATATCATAAGTGTTAACACCACTTCGTGTGATTCAAGCGGCACTCAACATGGGAAGTGGGTGGTTCCTGAAAGAGGTTATAAGGTCTTATCAGGCAGAAAGAGCGTGACACTGGGTGCAAAGGAGAGGCAGAGTTCTGTAGTTTTTGGAACTTCTGGTGTTACTGGGAAAGTCTGTTTTTACACCAAGCTGGGGTTCTGGGTAAGGTTTTTAGCTTTAAGGAGAGTGACAAAGACAGGAAATTACAGAATGGTGGATGAAAGCTAGGGCTGTTGAGTGAGTCACATCTGGGCTAGAGATGAGAATGACAATGATCTGCTTCCTTGTGCAAAGTACCTGACCTCTTTGAATGGCAACATTCTCATCTGTCAAATGGGAGTAACAGACATATCTCCCTCATAAGGTTCTGTCAGAATTAACTGATGTAATATATGTAAAAATATTCCAAAATGCCCCAGTGATGTAAATTTCAGATATCGTGTAATTGGCAATTGTCTCCCTGGCTCTGGAGCTCCCATCTGCCTGGCTACAATTTGGCCGGCTCAGATCATTTTACCAACCTGGCAATAACCTAGCATTTTACATGGTTGAATTTCGGGTGGAGATTTACTCAACGATGCTTGATACATTGCAAATCTTTATAAAATGTATAATAGTAATAATAATAACAATAAAAGAAGAAAGAAAGAGAAAAAAAGAAAATTAATCAGAGGACCAAGCCTGAGTTCCTAAATATGGTTCCCAATTTAGAAAGAAGCCCTCACCTATTTCCGCAAAGCCATGAGGATTTTAATTCAGGAGAGCCACAGGAGCCCAGCAATCAGTTCTGGGATTCTCAGGCTGTTTATATCCTCTTTGTCTGATGTGGAGAATAGCACAGGAAATACAGGCTGACCCTTCATGAAGGGAAGCCAGCGCACCTGGGGGCCGTTGAAAAATAGACCTAAAAGAAATGAGATAAAGATTGATAAGTCCCTCAGTGCTAAAGACATTTTAAACCAGGGAGATGTTAAAAGGGTTAAAACGATTCCATATATCACAGTACAAACTCTCCTGACAATATTTTTGAAGCTTCTTGACAATTGCCCGAATAGAATTAATACTCGATTGTACATAATCTGCCTAATACAAATCTGTTTCAATTGTGGCATTTTAAAAGTTATTTCTAGTACTTCAAATAGCTTAAAAGGAGAGTTTTCTTTTGTACAGCTAAATCACAATAATTGGTTTAAAACTGAATGGAAATGCACTGATTATCAATTAAGCAATGGGATTGATAAAAGCATGGCACTTGGTTGTTTTCAAGCTTTTTCTTTCTTCCTGATACTCCGTATTTACTTCTATCAATCTAGTGATTAGAAAAACAAAGTTCTGGTAAATGATGAAAATGTCATACAAACAAGAGCTATGGAATAAAAACTGTATTGTGCCAAGTAATGATGCTCTGTTCATTTCAATGTGTTTGTCAGCAAGTATACATAGCAATTTTCATTATGTGCTTTTACTAGAAATAAATATGGACCCACATTAAGCGAAAAACCATTGCTTATTTCCTCTTCCCAGGAACCCCATTTGGCTGCATCTTCAATCTATGACTTCCACATTCTGTTGATACTGTTAGAGCCAGAAACCTACAGAGTAATTAGTTTAGGTTTTGTCTACATAGCACCAACAGAAGCAATTGGAAAGTGAAAAATCCAGCCAAATAATTGGGCTTTGTGTGTGGAGGTTTCTACATGACTTTAAATAGCCAGTTAGCTCTTTTTTTGTTCTGTGAAAGGAAAATGCATTTGGACTAATTGGTTCTTTTATCACCATGTGGACCACATTATCAATAATTGGCCTAGGAGAGTTAAGTATGTTGGAGTGTTTCTTTGTGATGGAATGGGGAAGAAAGAAGGAAGGGAATTGCTGAGAAACAAGAAAAAAGGCTAGAAGAAGGTTAGCCGAGGAAGAACAGAGTGAGGGTAGGAATGAAGGGTAGAGGTGACAGACAGTCTATTTAAGATCCACCATGTGTTAGCAGTACTATCCTTGGTTCTGTACGTTTTTATCTCTTCTCCACATTGCACCAATTCTACAGCTCGGTGGTTTTCAAACTGTAGTTTGTATCACAGCACCCTATGGGGCTTGGTAAACACAGTTTCTGATTTTGTACATCTGGGGTACGGTTCAAGAATTTGCATTTCTAATAGGTTTCCAGGTGCCACTGGAGCCGCTGTTCTCAAGACTGCACGCTGAGAGTGTGACCTACAGAAAGCATTTTAGGTTGAATTGGTGGATGAGAAGCTAACTCCAAGGCCACGTGTGTACTGAGTAGGGAGTGGAGCTAAGACTGAAACTCGTATCTCTCTGTTTCCATATTCCACACTTCCTTTCCAGAGAGAAAGGTTAATGTGAACCTGAGAGGCAATGCCAATGGGCATTTTAAAATCTATGTCTTTTACTTTATTCCTTTATGGCACGGACACTACTGACCTTGTTCCTGGAAATACTACCTCTTTGGTGTCCTGTGAGTTCATTCTCTTCATTGTTTACTCATTCTCCAGCAGTTTTTTGTTTTGTTTTGTTTTTGTTTTTTTTTGTTTTTGAGACAGAGTCTTGCTATATCGCCCAGGAGTGTGGTGGCACAATCTTGGCTCACTGCAACCTCCGCCTCCCAGGTTCAAGCCATTTTCCTGCCTCAGCCTCCCAGGTAGCTGGAATTACAGGCATGCACCATCATGCCTGGCTAATTTTTTGTATTTTTAGTAGAGATGGGGTTTCACCATGTTGGCCAGCCTGGTCGTGAACTCCTGACCTCAAGTGATCTGCCCGTGTCAGCCTCCCAAAGTTCTGGGATTACAGGCATAAGTTACCGTGCCCAGCCTCCAGCAGACCTTTAAACGTTTATGTTTCCCGAGGATCCGTCCTTGGCCTTGTTCTCTTACTTTGGTAAGATACTATTTTAGTAAATGAACAGATTTGGTTTTTCTGGTATTTGATGAGTGACTAACGCTGTTGAGAATTATACCTGAGATACCCGTTGCTTCATATGTGCTAGCACAGAGGAATCAGAGAAAAAGTAATCAAATTATTGGTTATTGAATTGCAAAAGCCAGAGTTAAGGTCTGAAACAATAATTTAAAAATTGGTTTGAACATCTGCATAACAGGCAGAGTGCTTACTTTCTGGTCCTTCCTACATGAAGACATGTATGTTTGTAGATGGTAGGGATGCAGAGGAGAGAATGACAGAGTCAACATACCTTGGGGAGGAATCAGGATTTGAAAAGATCACCTGATGGGGTGCAGTCAACACCCAGGGACCATTCATTCCCTGCTCCTGCAGCCCCAGTGGGAGTCAGTGCCGGGAAGATAAAGGGAGTGAATTGGTGATCCAGGCCATCTGGCATCCAATCAAATGGCAGGCCTGGAGAGCTTTCTTTGGTGAACTCCCTGGTGGCTAGCAGAAAGAATGCCTCCATTGACAGGAACAGCACATCTCCTATTAACTTCTCATTGGGAGAGATGCCATGTGGGCCTCACCTGGTTTAGTCCCTGTTCGGTCATTCTATGGGATCACTCCTTTCAATGACCTAAGATGCTCTTAAACATGGTGTAGGGTATGGTTTTGGGTACTGGGGGTGTGGATGCTGCTGGACAAGAAAGCATCGTGCTTCTTGCATCCTGAGCTCATGCTTGCAGAGAGAGAAAGAGAGAGAGTGAGACTGAACTGGCTTCTGCTCTTCTCAGTAGAAACCTAAGCAGTGTTAACTCCTGCTACCAACCGATTATCTTCACACTCTCCCTTAAGGAGTGGCTTTAGGGACTATAGATATATTGTATCTCTGGCCTTACCTTCTTTCATGACCTGTAAACATGTATTTCCCACTGGCCATCTTGGAATTCTCTCAATTACCTTAATTATTTTCCTCTCCCCTTAGATTTCTCTCTAAATTTACCATTTCCCTGTTATCTCTAACTTCACTTGCCCTTTTATCTGAAGCCTCCTCCTTGACCCCTTTCACTTGCTTAACCCCTTTCAATGAGCTCTGTGACTTTATCTCTGAAATACAGTGATGCATCCCTTAACAGTGGGGATACCTTCTTAGAAATGTGGCATTAGGCTGGGCACAGTAGCTCACACTTGTAATCCCAGCACTTTAGGAGGCCGAGGCAGGTGGATCACTTGAGGTCAGGAGTTTGAGACCAGCCTGGCCATCTCCATTCCTACCATCTTCAAACGTATATGTTTTCATGTAGGAAGGACCAGTAAGTAAGCACTCTGCCTGTTATGCAGATGTTCAAACCAATTTTTAAATTATTATTTCAGACATTAACTCTGGCTTTTGCCATTCAATAACTAAGAATTTGATTACCTTTTCTCTGATTCCTCTGTGCTAGCACATATGAAGCAATAGGTATGAAACCCCACCTCTACTAAAAATACAAAAATTAGCTGAGGGTGGTGGCAGGTGCCTGTAATCCCAGCTACTCAGGAGGCTGGGGAAGGAGATTCACTTGAACCTGGAGGCAGAGGTTGTAGTGAACTGAGATCATGCCACTGCACTCCAGCCTGAGTGACAGAGGGAGACTGTCTCAAAAAAAAAAAAAAAAAAAAAAAAAAAGAAAAAGAAAAGAAAAAAGAAATGTGGCATTAGGCAATTTTGTCCTTATGCAAACATGACAGAGTGTACTTATACAAACCTAGATGGTATAGTTTACCACATACTCAGGCTATATGCAGAAAAATGTAGAGACTAAGGTTGATTTAGATTTGAATGCCAACCATGTTATCAATAGCTATAGACAAGTGCTATCAATATCACATAGAAGGCAGTCAATAAAAGCTATCATCATCATCATCATCATCACAAAATCATGAGAAGCTTTCCTTGCCAAGTTTATAAGATGAGGCCATTGTTATCAAGTTTATAAAATAGAAGAAGCACTTAAATAAGAATCAAGAGACTGGCTTTTATTTTTTTTGGTCTATTACTCGTTCTCCCATAATTAGCACTAGGACTTTAAGTATATTAAAAAAGTAGGATGCAAAAGGTCATCAGTTTTCCACTTTTCTAGGTTATATATTAGCTTACATAGGTATACATTAAGGCTGAAATTCAATGATCCAAGCACCCATCTCAAAAGTCAGGAAAAGAACAGCAGAGTAAACCCCCAAATGCAGAAATGATAATAAAGAGCAGAAATTAATGAAGTAAAACAAACATATTTTAGCCATTCTAATGTGTGTAGAGTTATCTCACCGTGGTTTTAATTTGTAATTCCCTCACAACTAATGATGGTTAGCATCTTTTTATGTGTTTATTTGCCATCTATGTATCTTCTTTGGTGAAGTGTCTGTTTAGTCTTTTGTCTGTTTTGTCTTGTTTTTTATTCTTTTTCTTTTTTTTTTAATTTTTATTCATTTTTTTTTTTTGAGACCAAGTCTCGCTATTGTCCCCCAGGCTGGAGTGCAATGGTGCGATCTCGGCTCACTGCAACCTCCGCCTCCCGTCTTCAAGTGATTCTCCTGCCTCAGCCTCCTGAGTAGCTGGGATTACAGGGGCCTGCCACCATGCACAGCTAATTTTTGTATTTTTAGTAGAGACAGGGTTTCACCATGTTGGCCAGGTTGGTCTCGAACTCCTGACCTCAGGTGATCCACCTGCCTCAGCCTCCCAAAGTACTGGGATTACAGGCATGAGCCACTGTGCCCGGCTCCTTTTTTTTTTTTTTTTTTTTTTTAAAGATGGAGGTCTCAGACTGGTCTTGAATTCCTGGGCTCAAGAGATCCTTCCACCTCAGTCTCTGGAGTAACTGGAATTATAGGCACATGCCATCATACCCGGATGCCTTTTATTCTTGATATTGAAAATTTATGCTCTTTTTCTTGATCAGTCTAACTTGTAACTACAGGTTTATCAATTTTATTAATCTTTTCATAGAATCAGCTTTTGATTATGTTACTTTTCCCCATTGTTCATCTGTTGTTTTTATTTTATTGATTTCTTCCCTAATCTTATTCTTTTCTTCCTTCTATTTACTTTGGGTTTAATTGCTTAACCCCTCCGTTTAGCCTACCTTCCTAAAGTGGGAGCTTAGATCATTGATTTGAGATCTTTCTCCTTTTCTAATATAAGCATTTAGCGCTATGCATTTTCCTCTAAGCATTGCTTTAGCGGCATCTGACAAATGTTCATGACCATTCAGTTGAAAAATATTTTCTAATTTTCAGTGTAATTATTTCTTTGATCTGTGGTTTGTATCAAAGTGAGTTATTTAATTTTCATATATTTGAGGTTTGTTGATGTTTTTTGTTAATTTCTAGTTTAATTATGTCATGATTAGAGAACACAGTGTAAAATTTCAGTGTTTTCAAATAAATTGGAACTTCTTTATTAGCTCTGTATATGGTCTATTTCGGTGGACATTCCATGTTCATTTGTAAAGAAGAGACTTTCTGCAGTTGTTACATACAATGTTCTCTAAACGTCAATTAGATTAAGATAGTTGATAATGTCATTCAGATCTTCTATATTTTCCTTGATTTTTTGGTTTGCTTGTTCTGTCAGTTACTGGGAATTGTGTGTTAAAATCAGCTATGACTGTGGATTTGTCTATTTCTACCTTTAGTTATGTAAGCTTTGCTTCTTATACTTTGAAGCTCTATTATTACATATGTACATGTTTTTCATTGATATATCTTTCTTATATATGTGTATGTAAGTATAGAAATGATATATAATGCCATTATAAAGTGTACTTTCTTGCCTCTAATAACACTTGTTATTGAAGTCTTTTGGGTCTGATAATAATAGGGCTATTCTACTTTTCTTATGCTTATTCTTACATGATATATCTTTTTTAATCATTTTAACCTATTTGTTTCTTATAATTTAGAGTACATCTCTTTTTTGTGTTTTTACTGATATATAATAGTTGTACATATTTTGGGGGTACATGTAATATTTTGCTACATTTATGCAATGTATAATGATCAAATCAGGATAATTGGAATATTCATTACCTCAAACATTTATCTTTCTTTGTTTTGGGAACATAATTCTTTTCTTCTAGTCATTTTGAAATATACAATAAATTATTGTTAACTATAATCTCCCTACTAGAGTGCATCTCTTTTAGACAGTATAGAGTTGATTTTTCTTTTTTAAATTCAGCCTGCTAATCTTTACCTTTTGGTAAGAGTGTTTATTCACTCACAGTCAATGTAATCAGTAATATGGTTGTATTTAGGGCTATTAATCAATCATTGTCTTTCTAACTGGATGGGTTGTTTTACTCTGATTCCAAGATTTTCTCTTTATTTTTGGCTTTCAGCAGTTTGATTATGATGATTTTAGGAAGGTTTTGTATTTATTCGCTTTGGATTTGTTAGGCTTCTTTGTCCTATTAGCATTTTCTATTAAATTAATTCCTCATTTTTTTCCTTCTCTTTCTATGGAATTCTAGTTATTCATATGTTGCATCATTTGCTATTGTTTCATAGATCCTAAGGCTCTGTTTATTTTTTCTTTAATCTCTTTTCTCTGTCTTCTCCAAATTTTGTAATTTCGATTAGCTTTTATATGCATCCTTCCTTCATTTTTAATCTACCACTGAGCCCATCAATACATTTCAAAAATTTGTTATAATTTTCAGCTATAAAATTTCAGTCTTGTTTGTTGAGATTTCTATTTATTCATTGGTATCATATTTATCTTTAATTCTTGGAAGAATAATGTATATATATAGCTTAGAAGTCTCCAACCGCTCAATTCAACATCTAGGTCAACTTGAAGTCACTTTTTATTGATTTTGCCTTTTTTTCCCTCTCTTTCTTTTTGATTATAGGTCTCACAGGGCTGTTTGTTTACATGGTTGAAAACTGGATATTGTAAATTATGAAATGTAGCAACTCTAAATTCTTTTTTATTCTTCTGAAAATTGCTGATTTTTTGTTCTAGTAAAAAGTTAACTTGCCCAGACACAAATTGCAAACTATCTTCCCTGTGAATACGGCAAGTGATTGCTGTGCCCTGTTCTTTTGGTTTCCTATCACTTCTTTTTTAATGCATGGCTTCATGTAAGTTACCCCGGTGTCTGTGTAATTTGGTAGTGATGGCAGCAGGAGGCCATCCGGAGTGGCCGCTGCTATCACTACGCTGACGGCAGCGAGGAGTCTCAAGTAGTGGCGGCAGGAGCAACTGTGGGAGCAGCAGAGGTGGCGGTGGGTCCCCTCTACCCCGCATCTCCGAGGGAGCTACTGCGCTACCTCCACACTTGCACGGCCAGGCAGGACCCCCTCTCAGGCCTGGAGCCTCCACCACAGCCTCAGCCTCACTCCCGGCTGTGTCCCGGGGTCCCATGAGCACCTGGCCAAAGGCGTAGCCAGAACTCGCAGGGCTGGCCATGGGAACATTGGGTTCGTTTGTGCGGGGTTGGCTAGGGCTGCCGGGCCACCTGCACCTTGCCTGCCGCCCTGGGGGCCTCCGCCATGGGCCGGGCGAGTTGTCCGCCGGTGGGGGAGCAGTGCAGTTGGGCACAGAGGGGCAGGCAGAGGGGTCCTCCGAGGTGGCGCTGGGCCTGGGGCAGTGCTCTGCTTCGTAGAGCCAGTGGGAGCCAGGAGCAGGCAGGAGCCCCGCGGCTGCAGCTGCCCAAGGTGTGGCTGCAGACCCAGGCATATCTGCACTCTTGGGGGCCTGGAAAGGCCCCCCTTCCCCCTGCAGGCTCAGAGGTGTCTACTCCTGCCGCCTGGCCTCTCTCGCCTGTCAGCTCCTGCTCCGATCAGGGAGCAAATTTGAAGCTGAACCCCTGCGCTTTCCCACCCTGACTGGGTGTGTGCACACTCAGGGCAGCACTGACTCATCAGCCTCCTGCTACTTTGGTACCCTCCAGACTTTGGGCACCAATGAACATGGGAGCGAGGCTGAGGGATGTGCTGAGGGCAGCTCGGTGCTGGCCTGCAGGAGCCCCTTGGCGCAAACAGCCTGGGCACCAGGAAGGGTGGCAGGAGGCAGACTCAGGCTCCTGGACGGAAGGGGTTGGGGTTCCTGGTGAAGCTCCACTTTCAAGCCAAGGAGAGCCTGAAGCCTGGGGGGCTGGGCTGCCAGTCCTGTAGAACAGAGAGGGAACTTGTGGTGTCTTTTTCAGCCCATCCATGGCCACCCATGGACCAATCTGCATGCACTTTCTCCCCTCTGAGGCCCATAAAAGCCCAATCTCAGCCAGACTTGAGAAGAGGAGGGAGAGATGATGGGATGACCAGCTGCAGAGAGGAGCTACCCTCTCTGTAAGAGCTGAACACTCATTAGGAGGACCTGCCTAACAGAGAGAAGCTACCCTCTCTGCTAAGAGTTGAACACTCCTTGGGACACCCTGGCTGCAGAGAGGAGCTACCCACTGAGGGTCTATTTTGAGCCATTCTATTGCTCAGTAAAGCTCCTCTTTGTCTTGCTCACCCTCCACTTGTCTACGTACCTCATTCTTCCTGGATGGAGGACAAGAATTTGGGACCTGCTAAATGGCAGGGCAAAAACAGCTGTAATGAAAACAGGCCTGAAATATGCCTCTTGCTTGCCATGTTGTGAGTGAAGAGGAGAAAAGAGCTGTGGCCCTCTGGGGAGCCCAGACCTGGGAGCTCCCAGAGCCAGGGCTGTGACTCCCTCTTTGGGGCCCTGTGGTTCCTGGAAGTCTCCAAGCTTCTAGGCACCACTGCGTTCTCCGGTGCCAGCTATGGTCCAGCTGCAGCCTCTCAAGGAGCCAGTGCCCATGCTGGCACCTGGAGCTGCCTGCCCCACTGCAGCAGCCGGTGTGCCTAGCTATGCACAGTGGCTGGACCCCATGCTCATTCACACACCCTTCCCTGCTCTGTGCCTGGCTTGTCCTTGGCAAGTCTGGGATCCAGGTCAGTAGTGCCAGTCTGCCAGGCTGAGTGGGTGGAGCAAAACTCAGGCAAAGGCATCACTGGCCACAGAGGTTTCTGGCTGGCAAAGTGACACCCCAAGAACCCTTAACAGTAGTTGGCCAGGGATTGGGTAGAGATGGATGCACTTTTGCTTGGGCTTTCTTGATTTTAGGCAAGGAATTTTAAGTTCTTCCACTAGTCTTATGCTTTGTCCTCTGATATTTCAAGTCTGTACATACTTCAAATATGTAAGCTGTTGGCTTTCTGTACATGAGATATACCATCAGTTAAAAACCAAACAAAAACAAATAGCAAACCCACAGAGCAAGCCCTGTGTGTGTCCATTTTGCAGGAGCCAATTCCTCTCTGGTCTCTGCTTTCTCCCCTCCTCTGGGCCACTTGGGGGCATATTTAATCTATCAGCCAGGGATTTTGGCAGAGTTTATGTAGTCATCTAGTCCCTTACGGGGAGTTGGTTCCAGGACTCCCCTTGGAACAACATTATCTATAGATGCTCATGTCTCTCATATAAAATGACATAGAATTTGCATAATCCTCCACAGAACTTTCTGTGTTTTTATTTTATTTATTTATTTTTTGAGACAGGCTCTCACTCTGTCTCCCAGGCTGGAGTGCACTGGTGCACTCAGGGCTCACTGCTGCCATGACCTGGGCTCAAGTGATCCTTGTGCTTTGGCCTCCCAGGTAGCAGGGCCTATAGGTGAGCACCACTGAGGAGGAGAATAGGGTATGGAGGTAGGGAACCTAAGGCTGATTCATGCTGACTTCCTAGAACTAAATCAAAAGGAAAACCCCAACCTTCCATACCCAAGTAACTAAAGGACCAGAGGCTACTCCCTTTGCAACTCCCTCCTTTTTCTGTGTGGCAGATGAGAAATTGAAAGTACATCTGATTGGTTCATCCCACAACCAATCAGGCTGGTCATGGGCCAAGTCTTCATTTGCATAGGAGAATAACCTTGTAACTTCACTTCAGCCTCCAGTTGATTGTTTTCTGCAACCAATTAGATGTTTGCATAGGGTGTAACTTTATAACTTCAGTTCAGCCTCTGATTGGTCACTTTCTGCCGCCAATCAGATTGATTGCAGACCACTACTTCATTTACATAGAGTTTACACCAAGTAACCAATGGGAAAACTCTAGAGGGTGTTTAAACCCCAGAAAATTCTGTAACCAGTGCTCTTGAGCTGCCTGCTTGTGCCTGCTCCCACCCTGTGGAGTGTACTTTCGTTTTCAATAAATCTCTGCTTTTGTCGCTTCATTCTTTCCTTGCTGTGTGTGTGTGTTTTGTCCAATTCTTTGTTCAAAACACCAAGAACCTGGACATCCTCCACTAGTAACACCACCATGCCCAGCTAATTTTTGTACATTTTATAGACTAGGTTTTGCCATATTGCCCAGGCTGATCTGGGCTGAAGCAGTTGGCCACTTTAGCCGTCCAAAGTGCTGTGATTACAGGTGTGAGCCACTGTGCCTGGCTCTACTTTTTCAATATTTAAATTATTTAAATTAATTTATAGATTACTTATATTTAATCTAGTATTTAAATAAAGTACTATTTACACAATACTTTATTATTTAAATTATTCTAGAATTATCTAAATAATTATTTTAATTATTCTAGATTATTTATATTTAAGTTAGTATAAATTTATATTTATTATTTATAAATAAATATCTAAATTATTTTTAGATTACTTATAATACTTAATATAATGTAAATGCAATGTAAATAGTTGCACTGTTTAGGAAAGAATGACAAGAAAAATATCTGTACATGTTCAGATTACAGATGCAGTTTGTTTGAATATTTTTGATTTGCTATTTGTTACTCCACAGATGCACAGACCACAGATACAGAGGGCCTACTGTACTCGGAATTTGAGTCTTCGTTCATTTGTAGTTCTCTTGCTGCTAGAATCTCTCCTTTAAAATTCCGCTTGTTTTTCCAGCCGTGAACTTTGATCTCTGACACCTTGAGCTTGTAAGACCATAATTTCCACTACTACTGTGTTCCACAACCATGGCTTTGGGGGTTGGCAAGTGCCCACAGGACAGAAAGCCACAAACTGAAAATTATTATCCTTCCCAATTGCAGATTTTTAAGAATTAACTATTCAGTGGCTTCCATCTGCTTTTGGATATTTCCAGCATCTTACATTTTTTTTTAAATCCTGTTAAAAATTTTTAAATGGTGGGTAGATTCTACAATCACCATTACTGGAAGTCTATTAAGTGGTTAATTTTTAAAAATCTGTCTATCCGAGTGCTCTAAATTCTTTCTGTGATGGGAAAAAACCTTTTGCTTTTTATTAACAAACCAAATTCTGACATTGCATAAAGGAATGCACAGGATGGAACATTTTAAAAATGTTATTTAGAGATATCTCAGAATTACCACGAACACTCGTATATACATTAGAGCCTGACATTATAGGTCTTATAAGAGTGCCTATTTTAATATAATAATTTTAATGTAGATTTTATCAGGAAAATTTACTGCTTGCTATGTTCTATATGATTCCTACTAAAATTATTAGTTTTTAGATCAATAGGCTTTAGATATAAAATTATGTATTACTTCATAGGGAGTATTTTTTCTTTTAGGAGTTGGGTTCTTTTTTACTATTACAGTAAGAGTATAAGGTATACTCTTCTTTTTTGAAATTCCCTTGATTTCTTGATATTGTATTTTCTATTTGTACAGAAATTGCCTGAGCCTTATCAGCAAACAGCCTTGAATGGACTAATAGGACTAGTTATTCATGGCTGAATGCTCTGGCCAGGAAGGCAGGTTATAACAGTCAAGGGTTAGTGCTTCTATAATAGAAAAATTCTTCTGCATCATTCAACTATTATTTCCCAACATACCAATCTATAACCATATTAAACCACAAAATTCCAATATTGCTGTTGCTTTGGAGTTTTAATTTTCAGATTGTAAAGCTAGCATTGTATGGAACTATTTCATTTTTAATTTACTGTTCTAAACATCTGGGTATCATCTATCTGAAGTACTTTTGAAACTGCTGAAAAAATATTAACTCTGTGCTTCATTCCATCCTGAGATAACAAAGTCAGTTTTGGAAGTCACTGTTACTGAATACAGTGCAAGACCCATCTAAAGTCAGGTTAATTCGGTTGATGTTAATATTGAACAAGCAGCTGTTGTTCATTATAGTGTATATCTCCTGAATTGTTTTAGAAATTGAAATCCCATGTATGTCTTCTTTTGAAAAGTATCTGTTCATGTCCTTTGCTCACTTTGGGTTTGTTTTTTTCTTGTAAATTTTTTTAAGTCCCTTATAGGTGCTGGATAGTAGACCTTTGTCAGATGCAGAGTTTCCATATATTTTCTCCCATTCTTTAGTTTGTCTGTTTACTCTGTTAATAGTTTCTTTTGCTGTGCAGAAGCTCTTAAGTTTAATTAGATCCCATTTGTCGATTTTCACTTTTGTTTCAATTGCTTTTGGTGTCTTCATCATGACATCTTTGCCCATTCCTATGTCTAGAATTGTATTGCCTAGGTTGTCTTCCAGGGTTTTTATAGTTTTGGGTTTTACATTTAAATCTTTAATCCATCTTTAGTTTATTTTTGTATATGGTGTAAGGAAGAGGTCCAGTTTCAATTTTCTGCATATGGCTAGCCAGTTATCCCAGCACAATTTATTAAATAGAGAATCTTTTCCCTATTGCTTGTTTTTGTCAGCTTTGTTGAAGATCAGATGGTTGTAGGTGTGTGGCCTTATTTCAGGGTTCTCTATGTGGTAAAAAACATATGAAAAAAGACTCAATATAACGATCATTAGAGAAATGCAAATCAAAATCACAAGGAGATACCATCTCACACCAGTCAGAATGGCTATTTTTAAATAGTCAAAAAATAACATATTGGCAAAGTTTTGGAAAAAAGGGAACACTTATACAATGTTGGTGGGAGTGTAAATTAGTTCAACCATTGTGGAAAGCAGTGTGGCAATTCCTTATAGAGCTAAAAACAGAACTACCATTTGACCCAGCAATCCCATTACTGAGTATATGCCCAGAGGAATATATTCTACCATAAAAACACATGCATGTGAATGTTTGTTGCAGCACTATTAACAACAGCGAAGACATGGAATCAACTTAAATGCCTGTCATTGACATATTCGATAAAGGAAATGTGGTACATATACACCGTGGAATACTAAGCAGCCATAAAAAAGAATAAGATCATGTCATTTGTGGGAACATGTATGGAACTGGAGGCTATTATCTTTAGCAAACTAATGCAGGAACAGAAAACCAAATACCGCGTGTTCTCACTTTTTAAGTGGGAGCTAAATGCTGAGAAAACATGGACACAAAGAGGGGAACAACAGATAATGGGGCCTACTTGAGGGTGGAGGGTGGGAGGAGAGAGCGGATCAGAAAAAATAACTATTGGGTACTAGGCTTAGTACTTGGGTGATAAAGTCATCTGTACAACAAATCCCCATGACATGAATTTACCTATATGACAAATCTACACAAGTACCCCTGAACCTAAAAGTTAAAAAATGAAACCCCAAGTATCCCCAAGTTCTCCAGACTTCAGAGGTCACCCCTTCCTTTTAAGACTTAAATAACAATAATTAGAGTTCCAATTTTGTAGGCTATCAAGAAGTATAAACGTCTCCCCAAATGTTTAGGAGGACCCTGGGAGGGGCACAGAGACACAACTCATTGTACCAGTCTTGGAATATGGCTGTACCAGAGATGCTTTAACAGAAATTCAAACAGCCATAGGATAGTCTGCACAAAGCTCTGACTATCTTAGGAAGAAAACCAACACCACAGTTTTGCTCCCAAGTTGTCTCACCTGAGATACTTAGGTTCTTTTCTCATTCACAAAAATATAGAGAAATGGTAGTAAATAAAAGATACCTACTTAATGGGATGATCGCTAAGAAAAAGGATAATATTATGGTAAGCAGAGAAATAGCTCTTCATCTAGATACAACCTATCTTAACAAATGCTCAAGGAGCCCAAGAACTCTGCTTCACACTTCTGGGGAGAGAAGAGACTTAAAAATAGTAAGGTAGGCCAGGAGTGGTGGCTCATGCCTGTAATCCCAGCACTTTGGGAGGCTGAGGCAGGCGGACCACGAGGTCAGGGGTTCGAGACCAGCCTGACCAACATGGTGAAACCTCGTCTCTACTAAAAATACAAAAACTAGCTAGGCATGGTGGTGCATGCCTGTAATCCTAGCTACTCAGGAGGCTGAGGCAGGAGAATCGCTTGAACGCAGGAGAATCGCTTGAACCCAGGAGGCAGAGGTTGCAGTGAGCCGATTGCACCACTGCACTCCAGCCTGGGCGACAGAGCAAAACTCCATCTCAAAAAAAAAAAAAAAGTAATAATAATAATAATTCTGATTCAGCAGTTTCGTGCGTGCAGTAGGCACAGCAGTGCCTTAGGTGGGCTTGCTGTGGGATGTGGCCCTGTGTACCATTCCCAAGTTTACAGTCTTTTTCTGTAGCTCTTCCAGTGATCTTACAGGACAACTATATGGCATAATAAATCCCTTTATTTAAACTAAAGGGAAAGGATTCTGTTGTTTACAATAGAGAATCCAGCTCTTTACACTTGTCATTTCTTAGTATGTCAGCCGGATCTAATCTGTTTTTTGTTTATAACCTTGACAAATATTATTGGAAATCATATGACCAAACTTGCAAGGCAATAAACTTAACACACATCTCAGTTTAGAGAAGTTTCATGAAGTGGCAGTGTTTCTCTATTTAAGAATAAAGTGCGTAGTTTTTGATGGTATTTTGGCACTTAACTTTGGAATGGATTATTGGAGGCGTAGTTCAGAAAACTGTTGGTTAAATATGTCTAGAATAGCAGAAATCACTAAAATACAAATTCAATATAGAATAATAAAATATGTACACTGAAACCTTCCAACTCTAAAAGGGAGCACTTTTATGAAAAGAAAAATTCAAAACATCCAAACATTCTCCAGGTTCCAAAATTTTCTACATGATTAAAAAAACTTTTCTTACAAAATACATTGTCTTTCGAATAGCGTTTTTTTATATTGTGTGTGTGCGTGGGGTTGGAGGAGTACAGTAGCGTGATCATGGCTCACTGTAACTTCTACCTCCTGGGCTCAAGCGATCCTCCCGCCTCAGCCTCCCAAGTAGCTGTTACTACAGGCATGTGCCACCATGCCCAGCTAATTTTTGTATTTTTTTGTATAGACCGAGTGTTGCCATGTTGCCCAGGCTGGTCTTGAACTCCTGGGCTCAAGCAATCCACTGGCCCTGGCCTCCCAAAGTGCTAGGATTACAGGTATGAATCACTGCACCCAGCCTTTATATTGTTTGTTACAAACTTCTATGGCATTACCCACAAGGCAAGTTATACATAAGTTGGGATGTACATTATGGGGTCAATATTGGTGTAAAATAATTGCAATTTTTGCCATTACTTTTAAGGCAAAAATAGTCTGAACATACAAAATCCCAAATATACTAGCATCAGTAGCTCATTATAAGATTAAAGCTGTCTAGATTTCTAATTTCTGAATGAATTCGAAAAGCAAACATAAAAACAGGATGTGGGATGAACATTTAATAACTCATTGATAAAGCTGGTAAAGATTGTGTATAAATATTAGTATTAAAAAGGAACAGATAAATAAAAATCTACATAGGATAAATCAAATCAAATTTTATCCTTTATATCCTTTCTAAATCAAATATTTATCCTGTATGTCCTTTCTATATAGGATAAATCCTTTCTATATAGGATAAATAAAAAGTAAACCTTATTTTAGTTTTTTTTAAAAAGTGTGATTAATTATGATACTACAAAAAGTACAGGTAGCTACAATTAACTCTGTGATGTGTTTAATTATAATATTTATCCTATAGATGGTTTTTATTGTTTATTTTATATAGATATAACTAAGAATTCTATGAGCATTTTTTCCACTTAGTTTTATAAGTATTTTTAAAATTTTTACACAATTCATATAATTTTATGAGTGTAAACTATTTCCAGTTAACATCCAATGGTTTAAGTTATTCCCCTATTAGCTATTACCAAAACTTTGAGTTGTTTTCAGTTTCATGATAATATAAATAATTGCATGACAAACATCTGTGTGCATGCACTTAATTTTTATATATAGGATTATTTTCTTAGGAGAGATTCCAGTTTAATTATTAGTAGAATTTCCTGATGAAAATTAGCTAAAAACTTTCTAAAATTAATATTCTAAATTATACTTCACTTGAAGTGAATAAACCAAATCCCTGGAAGTGAAATATGGTTGGTGGATGGGCAATGGTATCTTTAATTTGAATTTCGTAATTACTAGCGACACTGAACAGTTTTCCATATATTTGTTAATTAGTTGAAGCTTCTCTTTAGAAAGTTATGCTGTTTGTACATTTATCTATTGAGGTCTTGGTGGTCTTTTACTTTTTTTTCTTATGAACAAATTTTATAAAGATGACATTTCAACATGTGGCTTTAGACAAGCTCACAGATAGTTGAGGGAGAGGCAGGTCCCAGAGTCCATGTCACAGCCAGTGCTACATGTGCTGATTAAAATAGAAGTCAGAGCAGCCGCAGAGACCAAAGAAGTAAAGATGCGAGGGTCAAAAGCCTATGTCAAAAGCCAGCTTATTGGTATTCTTCTTGTGGTTTCATAAAAGAGTTAGTTGAACTAATTCATATTTTGGGGTGCTTCATCTTGAAGCAGCAACATACTGTAGTGGAAAGAGTGTGAAATTTGAAACACAAAGTGCCAACTATATCTTTTATTCAAGTGCGGAGTTAGCACCAAATGGACGCTGCCACGGTTTACTATCTGTGGCTTCAGAGTGGTGGCCTGAGCTATACCTGGTTCCATTTGAGCCGCAGCTGGTGCACCTGAGGTATGCTGGGCTGGAATGTGTGGAGCAGAGACTTGAAGTGGGCTGGAATGTGTGGAGCAGAGACTTGAAGTGACCCTGGACAGCGAGTCTTGAGGTTCTTCAGGCACCCTGGGCCCCTCCTTTGAAACCATTCTTCCCTCCAGGCCCCGGCACTCTGGGCCAGTGATGGAAATGGCAGCCTTGAAGTTCTTCCAAAATCATTTGGGGTTACCCTTCCATTGTCTTGATGAATAACATCTGGCTTCCTTACATCCATACTAATCTCCTTTATCAAACAGTCACTTGGCCACACCCTTGGTGTTCTTTCCTGAACAAGCTTTTTTATTCTATCCATGACAGAAAACTTTCTAAATCTAAGTTCTGCTTCCCTTTTGATTATAAATTTCATCTTTAATTTGTTTCTCTCTCCTTGCATTTTACTATAAGCAGCCAACAGAAGCCATGCAGCACCCTGAACACTTTGCTTAGAGATTTCTTCTGTCAAATGTCTTAGATCATTGCTCTTAAGCTCTCTGTCTTCCACAAAGCAGTAGGATGTGGACACAATTCAGCCAAGTTCTTTGCCACTTCGTAACAAGGATGGCCTTTCCTCCAGTTTCCAATACTCTGTTCCTCATTTCTAAGACTTCATCAGAATGGCCTTCATTTTTTTTGTTAACTTTTTTGAGACAGGGTCTCACTCCCATTGTCCAGGCTGGAATGCAGTGGTGTGATCGCAGCTCACCGCAGCCTCAACTTCCCGGCTCAGGTGATTCTTCCACCTCAGTCTCCTGAGTAGCTGGGGCTACAGGGGCATGCCACCACACCTGGCTAATTTTTTTATTTTTAGTAGAGATGAGGTTTCGCCATGTTGCCCTAGGTGGTCTTTAACTCCTGAGCTCAAGCGATTCTGCCTGCCTTGGCCTCCCAAAGTGTTAGGATTATAGGTGTGAGCCACCATGCCTGACCCCAGAATGGCCTTCAATGTCAATCTTTCTATCCGTGTTCTGATCACAGGCATTTAAGTAATCTCAAAGAAGATCCAGACTTTCCCTAAAGCCGTCCTCTTCTTCTTAGTCCTCACTGGAATAGTTCTTCAGGACCCAGCCTCTACTCATTAACCAGTTCCAAAGCTGTGTTCACATTCTTAGGTATTTGTTACGGCAACACCCCACTCCTCAGTACCAATTTCTGTCTTAGTTAATTGTTATAACAAAAGACATTAAACTGGGTTTAGAAATAATAGAAATTTATTTCTCACAGTTCTGGAGGCTGGGAAGTTCAAGATCAAGGTGCCAGCAGATTTGGTGTCTGGTGAAGCCTTGCTCTGCTTCATAGACGGCACCTTCTTGCTAAATCCTCACGTGGTGGAAGGGCAAAAGGGATTAATGCTGTATCCTCACATGGCAGGAGAGATGAAAGGGACAGAAATGCAAAAAAGCCTAGCTGGTTCCTTCCGGCCATTTCATGAGGTACAAATCTCATCCTAATCACCTCCTAGAGGCCCACTTCTTAATACTGTCACATTTTGAATTAAGTTTTAACATGCATTTTGGAGGGGACACAAACTTTCATACCACAGTAGTTAGCATGGCCATGTACAGTTGTGCAGGAGTATACTTCACATGGACTATGATGCTGGCATGTATGGTGCTCTCTAGAGCAGGGCAGTACACATCCTGTGCAGTTATATGTGGTGGCCCTAGTGATGCTAAACATAAGAAGAGGAGAGAAACAAAATGAAGGATTAGAACCACAAGCAATATCTCAGCAGGGGCTGGAGCTACACATTTGGTAGCACACCTATCCCCCAGGTGCTCTGGTCATAGGATTCTAATTCTCAGCATGTCTGATTCACCGTATTTTATCCACACCCCAAAGTCTCGTCAGTGTCTAGTACTGCTAGGTGTTTGCTGATTGTGTTGTCTTGAGACAGTTTCCATCTCATAGTTGCAACTGAAAGTTGCTATCTGGCACAGATTTCACACAGTTCTGCCCCTGAACACTTATTGCATCCTATGAGGATTGATAAGCACACAAAGGGAGCAGTCCATCTGATTCTCTGAAAGCCAATTTAGCTAATTTACTTGTTTCCATTAATTATTTAGTTTCAGCTGACTGCTTTTCATTGTCATATCAACTGTAGTGGTTTCTGTACAAAGCTCATAATAGAATTTTGAGTGATGTTCAATTTGTCCTGCCCTAGCTTCTTGTTGCAGCTGAAATCTGAGGGAAAACAGGAAGCGATACAGGCAGAGAGAGGGGAAATGGGGTGGAGGGTTGTGGGGGAAGGCTTACTTTAAAATCAAGCATCCTTATAAACTATTTTTCAGTAATATATTTATTTGTAGAGATTAAACCTCATATTGGCAAATCAGTCATTTGTTAATGGCTTTGGGGAAATTAATTAGAACCAAACAAATATTCATAAAGATTATTGGGGGTTGGTGTTTTCTTTTGTTGGAAAGTCATGGAGCCTTCATTTTGGTTTTGTTGCAGCTTGAATAAAGTCTAAGAGGTCACCAGGAAGCTTCTCAGCCCTGAGACAGAGTGAGTTATAGCAATTTATGTGTATGTACATTCTTAACCTTTTACGTCATTAACCAACATAAAATCAGATAAATGACAGGAAAACACTGATTCCCAAATACATTTCTAAAAAGAAACATGAGGCTTTCAGGCTTCTTTAGATTGTTAAGGTTTATAACTGCTTATTTCTTCAAATTTCTCATGTGGTGACAGCCGTGCCTTCCCATAATTTAGTTTTGACTCCCAGATTTTTTGAATCTCTGGCTCTATTGTCTGTGAAATGGTTCCTAATGGTGATAGTCAGAGGAGCTTTCTTTCCCTGAATGCTATTAGTGACCTAACAGAGAAGGGCGTGATTTAACTTGCCAGCTAAATGCATAACTGTAGCTGTGTAGAACAAATGAAGAGAGCAGATGCTACAAGCTGGTATTCATGCGACCTTTAACATTTCAGTGATATATGGCTGCTGTGAATGTAACTGAACTATAACCAAGAGAAAAGAATTTATCTTCTCTCTTCAAAGTATCGTAATCCTAAAGACATTATCTCACTCAATTTGTTAACAGTAAGAGCTCATAACAGTAAGAACTTGCAAAAGGACGGCAGAATGAGAGTTTTAATGTATTTTGCCAAAGGGAAATTTACCATCTGCCTGTCTTCATGAATCACATATGCTGAGAATAATATTTTAGAAGATACTGACAATAAGACACAGTAATTTGTAAATGAAAATTACTGATGCTGCCCTTTTCAAAGCACTCTGTGGAATAAATCAGTACAGAAAACTATAGGATTACAAGTCAAAGACTTGAAATAGGAGAATAATAAACTATATTATTGGTTTTTTATCATTGTAATAAAGATCCCCAATCTTTAAAGTGTTAATTACTTTGATTCAAACTTCACTATTTCCAAATGTACACTTTCAATGTGCCCCTGAGATAGGTAGGCTAGGAAAATACATTATCAAGCCAAGACTGCAATAAAGTCTTATTTGCAAACATTGTCAGACATGCAATTAAAGATCATAGAAATATGTCACTAACTAATCTGATTTCTCAGAAAGCATTCACTATAGCACAAATCATGAAATTGTCATTAATGGAAAACTCCAAATTTCTGTGACTTGAATTTGAAAAATATTAAAAAAAAAAACCCTCCAAATTTCAATGTGTACAGTTAATTGAAAAATCACGATAAAATCAAAAGTCACGATTTTAACTCTTGGAAAAAACAAAACATATCTGAAAATTGTACAAACAGTCATAAATTTGGGAATAACCAATAATTTTTTAGCAGTGGTCTTGTAATGTTCTTGATTAGTCATATGTATATCATAAATTTAGAATGAAAATTTTTCAGTTAATAAAACTTAGAAAATTAATATTCTCTCAAAGATTGGTTTTGGAAAGGGTATTAAAAGGAACAAAATAAGAGGTTTGTATAAAAAGTGAGCTCTCTTCTCTCATAAATCAGGTGACTTTAGCCTGAATTAATGTGGCTAAATTAAGAGAAACCAAATTAAGATAATTTTCTATTCTTTCACTATGTCTGTGGCGATACTGATACTGTGACACTTTCTTGTTGGCTTGAACGATCTTAAAGATGATTTTCTAATGATAGATGTATTACATGAAAGAAAAGTCTGTGATCAGTAAGGAGAACAAGGACCATGACAATCTCCATTTCCAAAACAAGAAGTACGTATTTTTCTTCTCTGAAAACAGAGTAAAAGGGAAGCTTTTGCAAAAGAAAATATATATCTTGGCAGTATTTATGCATGTTTTTTTCATAATCTATAAAGCTGAGTTAAAAAATATAGCAGTGTATTAATTAGATATATTTATCTCTTAAATCTGGCAAGACAAGACTTGCAGTTTCATAATGATCACAACAGTATATGGTTGAATATAGGGTATATATAGTCATATACTGTATGTAATATAGTTTCTTTCTAAAGGAAGTCATTTGCATGACAATGAAGTGGCGTGGGGGGCTACTTTAGAGATAATCTCAAGTGACAAAGTACATTCTTATTTAAATTCAATTTTTTACAATCTTTGATTTAAGGAGGAAAGATATTTAAGAACACCTGATGTAGAATCAAATCAATATGAATTCCAAGCTGTTAGAAATTCCAGAAGATATCAAAGTTTCTTGGAAGAGTTTTTGGAAGCTTCCAGAAAAAACAAAATATTGGGACAGCCCTGTTTGCAGAGAAGAATATAACTCTCAAATTATTGTCTGAAGTGATAATTTCTTTAAAAATTGTAGGAATAGAGCTGTAGGTAGAAGAAATTTGAACATTTTACTAACCATTTTCATTTTGCTTGTTTTTAGTGAGTGTGGAAATACGGCCACAAAATTAATTTAGGAATAAGCTTTTCAAGCATAAGTTGTAGATTAAATCCTCAGTTTGGTGGATTATTTGTATTTATCTAAATCTGCAATGAAAAAGAGTAGATTAAATACCGAAGGAACACTATCCTGGGGTTAATTTGGTATATGACAAATCCTTAAAGAAAGATGAGGAAAGAACAAAGTGAAAATATTGTAACCCAATATGTTGTGGCAAATACAAGCTATTTATGATTTCAACATTAGAAAGCATCACAAATTGTTCTATTTTAAGCTTGTAAAATAGGTATTAACTATTTCAGAGTAATAAGATAGATTCTTATTTGAGTCTAAATAATAATAAACTGTATTTTACTCAATAGTAATGCATAACACAATATTTAAACTTTAGGTGAAACATAAAGTAATATTTTGATGAACCCATAGGAAACTTGAAGGGAAATAAAGTATTTGAGTATTTTTATAACTTTGAGGGTGGAGAAGGCTGTGTATTTACACACAAAGGAAGAAATGCTAAAAGAAAACACGAATAGAATTGGCAACATAGAATCTTTGGTCTTTTACATGTCAAAACTTAAAGACAAACAACTAATTGAGGGAGATAAAGAACATAGAATCATGCTACCAAATCAATAAAATAAACACCCTCAACTAGAGTGGGCAATAGATAGTTTACAAAAAAAGAAACGTAAATGACTAATAAACATAGAAATCTATTTAATGCCATAATAATTAATAAAATACAAATTAATGCACCTCTAAGTCATATTTTTCTCCTACTACATCAGCAAACCGTGTTTTTTTAAATGAAATGATTTTTAGTGTTGGTGAAGATGAAGAGAAAGAGGCTGTTTTTTATTTTGTGGTAGTAATGTTGAGTAATAAAAATGTCTCGAGAACAATTTGGCTATGTATATTAAATATATATTATATCAAGTTATTGGGCAAGAAAATTCCACTTCTATTAATTCAGATGAAGGAAATGATTATAGATGCATATTGAGATATACATTGAGATTTGTGTGCAATGATGTTCTTTGTATTTCTGCTTTGTCCTACATGAACAGCCACATTATCACGTAGGATTCTGTGATAGGAAATGAGGCATTTGGGAAGTATATAGCATTTGGCTGAAACATTATGAATAGAGAAGGTAAATTCAAATCCTGAAGGAAAATTTATTTCTGTTAAGATAAGTTGCTGTTTTTTTAAATAATAAAAGGGAGCTCATGTAATCAAACCTGCCCCTGGTGACTAATTTGTTCTCCGACATGCAATACATTACCAGAGCCTCAGAGTTGATTATTCAGGATAAAGTTTACATGCCTAAGAGTGACAGTAGCCAGCTTGATCTTGGTGAGGCAAAATGAATGATTTTAAGCCCATGCATGACCTCTATTGTGGCAATCTGGTCACTTTGTTCATGAATTTCATTTTATAAGAAGACGTTGGCTGGGAAAAGAACTTGACATCTACAAGGTGAGTCATCTTATCTACCTGATTAATCAATTAATGGGTACCCTCCTTGCTGCTGTAATCATACGTGACATGAATATTCTTACATTGTGTCCATCATGCCTTCTATCAATTCTCCAGTTGTGTTTTCTCCAGGTTTCTGACTATTCATCTCAACCATTAGCCATGGCCAATGCTGCATCTCATAAATTTTGATGTTTCAAGTTTTTTTTTTTTTTTTTTGTAGAGACAGGTTTCTGCCATATCACCCAGGTTGGTCTTGAACTCCTGGACTCAAGCAATCTGCCTGCCTCAGTCTCCCAAAATACTGGGATTACAGGCATGAGCCACCGTACCCAGTTATGTTTTTATTTTCATCCAGTTGAAGATGTTTTCTCATTTTCCTTGTGATTTCTTCTTTGACCTATGAGTTATTTAGAAATGTAATGTTTATTTTTCAATTATCTGGTGATTTCTCAGAATTCCATTGTGTTTAGAGAATGTACTTGGCATGATATCAAGTGTTTAAAATGAATTGAGATGTGTTTTACAGCTTAGCATATGTTCCATGTATGCTTGGAAAGTGTGCATTGTATTGTCAAATGGCACGTTCTATACTTACCAGTAAGGTCAACTTGTTTGGTAGTGTTAAGTAAGTCTTTTTACCCTTACTGATTTTCTTTCTAGTTGTTCTTTCAATTACTGGAGATGAATATTGAAATCTCCAACTAAAATTATTTAATTTTCTATTTCTCCTTTCAATTCTGTAAGTTTTTGCTTTATGTATCTTAGGGCTGTGTTGTTAGGCACACATTTATAATTTTTTATATCTTTCTGAGGAAATAACTTTTTATAATTGTGAAATGTCTCCCTTTGTGTTTAGACATATTCCTTGTCTTAAAGTCTGTCTTTATATGACATTATAGCCACTTCTTCTATACCATTACTGTTTGCATGGTCTTTTAATTTCAATCTATTTGTGTCTTTCCATCTGAAGTGTGCCTTAATCCATTCCAATTTTTCTGTAAAATTATTTTTAAAAAATTAAAAGAAAAAATATTGTAAAAAATAAAGTGTAAACAACATATAGTTGAAGCTCCTTTTAAATCCAGTTTGACAGTCTCTGATTTTTGATTGAAACATTTAGCTCAAATATAATGTAATTATTCAACGTGGTTGGATTTATACCTGTAATTTTGCCAGTGTTTTTTGTATGTCTCATGTCTTTTCGTTCCTGTGTTCCCCCTTACTTATTTTTTTAAAATAAAAAAAAATGTATCAGGCCATTTTACTTTCTTCATGAAATTTTTAGCTATATTTTTTGTTATTTGTGGGTCTGTGTGTGTATATTTATGTGTATATATGGTTGTTCTCGGTATTGACATATGTGACTTAAACTTATCATGATTTATTTTAGGTTAATATTGACTTATTTCCAGTAAATATAGTAAATTTATTCCAATATACATTTGATCTTTGAACAACATGGGTTTGAACTGCATGGGTCCACTTATATATAATGTGGGACTTGAGTATGTGTGGATTTTGGTATATGCAGGAGATCCTGGAATCAATCCCCCAAGTAGGCTCAGGGATAACTGTAGTTCCATTAACTTTTCTCACCTTTGTGCTATTATTATCATATATATTACATGTATACATGTCATAAATTGGACAATATAGTCTTAGAGTTATTGCTTTATGCAAGCTGATGGTTTTAAAAAATATTAAGAGAAAAGAGGATATGCATAT
Source organism: Homo sapiens (assembly GCF_000001405.40). Lineage (NCBI taxonomy): Eukaryota > Metazoa > Chordata > Mammalia > Primates > Hominidae > Homo > Homo sapiens. The sequence continues at coordinate 21,313,231 of NC_000007.14, read as the reverse complement.
ATACAGTTTAAAAAATCCATCTACCTATTCACCATTTCTGATGCTCTTCCAGGTTACCATTTGGTATCATTTTGTTTTAGCCTGAAGGCTTCATTTGGTATTTCTTATAGGGAAGATCAATGATTTCTCTCAAATTTTGTTTATCTGGGGGTGTCTTTATTTAATCTTCATTTCTGAAAGATAGTTTTCCTTGATATAGAATTCTTGATTGACACTGTGTTGTTCAGTATTTTGAATATCCTATTCAACTATCTCCTGATTTCCATCATTTCAGATGTCAACTGTTAATTTTATATTGTTTCCTATATTTGATGCATTGTTTTTCTATTGTTGCCTTCAAGATTTTCCCTTTGTCTTTCAGCAGTCTGACTATGACATGTCTGTGTTCAGATCACTTTGTGTTTATCCTTCTTGGGGCTCTTAGAATTTGTAGAATTTGTTTGTTAATATGTTTCAAAAAGTTGGGGAGTTCTCAGACACTGTTTCTTCAAATATATTTTTAGACATTTTTTCTGTCTTCTGTTTCTTAAACTTTCATTATATATGTATTGTAATGCTTGATATTGTCCTAAAGATTTCTGACACTTTATTTTTCTTACTTCTTCAAATTGGATAATTCCTATTGATCTACCTTCAAATTCACTTATTCTTTCTTCTGCCATCTTAAATCTGCTGTTGAACTCATTCTAGTAAATTTTCCATTTTTATTGTTGTATTTTTCAACTCTCAAATTTCCATTTTTAAAAGTTTCTACTTAATGAGATTTCTCATTCATTGGTTTATTGCCGACATATTTTTCTTTAATTTTGTGAACATATTTATAATAGCTTCATTGAAGTATTTGTCTGATAATTTTGGAGTCTGGGCTCATTCACAGTTAATTTCTATTGATCGTTTTTTCCCCCTTGTGTATAGGTCACACCCTCCTGTTTCTTTTTATGACTAGCAATTTTTGGTTGAAAAGTTGATATTTTAGATAATATATTATCAAAGCTATTCTGAGTTTGTTTGTTTGTTTTATTTGTTTTGAGTCAGGGTCTCACTCTGTCACCCAGACTGAAGTGCAGTGGTGCAATCACAAGCTTACTACAGCCTCTGCCTCCAGAGTTCAAACAATCCCCCTACCTCAGCTTCCCCAGTAGCTGGGACTATAGGCATGCATTACTACACCTGACTAATACAAATTTTTTTTTTTTTTTTTTTTTTTTTTTTTTTTTTAGAGACAGGATCTCACCATGTTGCCCAGGTTGATCTCAAACTCCTGGGCTCAGGCAATCCTCCTGCCTCCACCCCACTAAGTGTTGGGATTATAAACGTGAGCCAACACACCTAGCCTGAGTTTTTGAGGGAAGGTTGTTGTTGTTGCTATTTGTACAGACAGAGTCTTGCTATGTTGACCAGACTGGTTTCAAATTTCTGGCCTCAAGCGATCTTTCTGCTTCAGTCTCCCACAGTATTGGGATTACAGTCATGAGTCTGGCCATATTAGTTATTTTTAATAAAGTTCCTAGACTTAAAAGCAGAATGTGCCTCTCCCATATTATTCATTTGCTCATGTCTTTTAAGTGTTTCTATTCCTGTTTTTGTTTTTTTTTTTTGCCTGGCTTTCTAGAAGTTAGCACTGTGTCTACATCATGCTTGTCCAACATGTGGCCCATGGGCCACATGCGGCCCAGGATGGCTTTGAATGCAGCCAAAGGCAAATTTGTAAACTTTCTTAAAAAGTTATGGGAATGTTGTGATTTTTTTTTTTAAAGTTCATCAGCTATCGTTAATATTAGCGTATTTTATGTGTGGCCGAAGACAATTCTTCTTCCAATGTGGCCCAGGGAAGCCAAAAGATTGGACATCCCTGGTCTACATAATTTAGTTTAGTGGTCAGCCACTGATTTGGTAGAGTTGTGCTTAAACACCTCAAGGCCCATAAGGCTTTCCATCTTATATTGAAGTGACAACTACCCCCTTACTTGTGCTTTTTGCCATCCCTTCACAAGTCTCTCTATGCATGAATAGTATCCTACTGGTCTAGGGATCTGTGAGGAGTTTTTCTCCGTTCATCAATGGTTCTCTTATTTCCAGGATCTCCCTGTTAAGTTCTGGTTAGTCAGTCACTCACCCCAATTAGGATTGCAACCTCGGTCTAGTAACACTGTGGGTTTTCCCCTGTCCATCCCTATCCCAAATCACTATTTATAGCTAGAAAAACTATGCTCTTTTTGTCCCCTAATCTAAATCACACTCAATTCTCTCTGGCATCAAACCTCCTGGTTTTCATGGCCTGCCCCAGCTGGTCATGTTTCATTCATATTAACCAAGCCAGTCTCAAAAGACCACATAGTATATGACTCCAAACATGTAAAAGTCTAGAATAGAGAAATCTGTAGACACAGAAAGTAGGCTAGAGGTTGTTTAAGGTTGAGGGAAGGTTGGGATATGACAGGTGGGTGTGGCGGTGATAGTTAAAGGGTACAGCATTTCTCTTTGAAATGAGAAAAATATTTCAAAATTGACTGTGGTGATGATTGCACATATCCATGAACATTAAAAACTATTTAGTTGTCCATGTGAAATGTGTCAGTTATATGGCATGTAAATTAATTATATGTCAATGATTTTTTTTAAAAAAAAAAAAGGAACACAGAGTTGTGGCCAAGAGCTATTCAAGGCAAAAAAAAAAAAAAAAAAAAAAAAATCAGAATATAGTCTAATCAAGCAGTGAAGAAATTTGCAGAATCCAAATAAAGGCAGAAGGAAATTGTTTACTAACAAACATCAGGTGCTGAATTAGAAGATATTATGAATGAATGAAAGATGAATTAATTATTTAAGGTATAAAAATCCAGGAGGCATAGGTTACCAAACTATACTCCAGCTATATGGTATGGACTTGGAGTTTCTTGTTGACACAAGGGCCTTTAAAAACAGTTCATTAGGCCAGGTGCGGTGCCTCATGCCTGTAATCCTAGCACTTGCTGAGGCTGAGGTGGGCAGATCACTTGAGGTCAGGAGTCTGAGAGCAGCCTGGCCAACATGGTGAAACCCTGTTTCTACTAAAAATACAAAAATTAGCTGAGTGTGGTGGTGCACTTGTAGTCCCAGCTACTCAGGAGGCTGAGGCAGAAGAATTGCTTGAACCTGGGAGGTGGAGATTGCAGTGAGCTGAGATTGCACCACTGCTCTCCAGCTTGGGTGACAGAGTGAGACTCCGTCTCAAAAACAAACAAACAAACAAATAAAAAACCAAAACCAAAAACAAAAAATAGTTCATTATATTCATGTAACTCGGATAAGCATATCCTAGACTAACATAACTCTTGGTCTCATGTCTCAGTCTTAAAACTCTCAATAATGAGTAACCATATCTTGATCCCTCATCTCCAGTTCCAGAAATGTTCTCCACATTTCATGACAAATCTGTTTCATTAATGAAATGATTTTCCAAGCAGAGAAGATTAAGAAATTAATATGGAGATAATAGAATAGAGTGTGACACTTAGGTATTAAAGTCAAAAGGATCGACGTTGTTATAATTTGAAAATGTTTTAAAAGTCTTATGCATTTTCAGCAGAAAGGTGTAAGAAAATGTTATTAAGCATACAAATAGTACCCAAATGTTTGAGACAACTTAAAATTTTTATTTGTAAATTTAGCTTATTTATAAGAGGAAGATTTGCTTAAGTTTGTAACTTTGCCTTATCAGATATTTGCAGTACTTAAAAAGAAAGTGTTCTGGTGAAACCTCACCTCTACCAAAAATGCAAAAATTAGCTGGGCACAGTGGCGTGCACCTGTAGTCCCAGCTACTCTAGAGGCTAAAGCAGGAGAAGTGCTTGAGCCTGGGAAGCGGAGGTTGCAGTGAGCTGAGCTTGAGCCATTGTACTCCAGCCTGGGTAACAGAGCCAGACCCTGTCTCAAAAATAATGAAATAAAATAAATAAAAAATAAGAAAAAAGAAAATGTTCAGACTAAATATAGTTAAAAATCTTTAGCTAATTTAATTAACAAAGCTTATAAATGGATCGATTATGTAATGGGATTTTGCTCTATTCAACTTGAGTTAATCAAACATTGACCAACGATCAAGTGAAAGTAAGTTTACACAATTTTTTACATATAATTTTTATATTTGATCACATATATAACTAGTGAGACTAAGACTTTTAGAAGAATAGGATTTAGCCAAGGTGGTTATGTGACCAAATTAGAGTTTCTTTTTTTCAATGGCAGTGACCAGACAGTGCAACCTTGGAACATTGTCACCATGTTTTTAACTTTCGGAAGAGAGAGGCAAGGATCAGGAGAGTTAACAGCCTGTGCTCTGGAGATAGATTGCATAGAGCCAGTTTAATGACATTGAGCAAGTCCACTGATTTCTCTACACTTCAGTGTCTATATCTATAAAATGAAAGCAATAATGATCCCTGCTTCATGAGATTATTGTGATGATCTAATGGACCAAGGCTCTCAAAGTATTTAGTAAAATGTCTGCGTATAGTAAGCACTAGCTGAAGTTTACTTGTTATTAGTAAAGAAAATAGGCCAGGCATGATGCTCACACCTATAATCCTAGCTAATGCCAGCCCCAGCAGCACTTTGGGAGGCTGAGGCAGGAGGATGGCTTAAGGCTAGGAGTTCGAGACTGGCTTGGACAACATAGCAAAACCCATCTCTACCAAAAAAAAAAAAAAGTGCTCTTTCATGTGTCTTATGGAAATTTCATATTAACCATAGCTCTGAATTCCGAAAGGTATAAAAAGGAATACATCAGAATCTTAAGGGAGTAAACTAAAGTACTAACCCAACAATAGAATGTTTGTTTTCCAGAGGAGGTTAAGGCAGGGGTCAGATGTTCAAGATGTCTTTCAATTTAGATATTGCATGTACTGTGATGTAACATCCTGTCTGCTATCTTCTTCATATCCTTAAATTTGAGACAGCAGATTACATGAATCCTAATCCTTACTGTCCTACTTTCTAGCTATGTGACATTTATGGGTTAAATTGCGTCCCCTCAAAAAGATATATTCAAGTCCTAACCCCCATTTTTTTAGAATGTGACCTTATTTGGGGATATGGTAGTTGTAGATATAATTAGGTAAGATGAAGCCATACTGGAGTAGGTTGGGGTTTTAATCCAATATGATTGGTATCCTTACAAGAAGATGATCATGAAAAGACACAGAGACACATAAGCAGAAAACCATGAGAAGACATTAGGTTGGAACAAGGAGGAGTGGAGTGATGCATATACAGCCAGGGAACATCTGGGGTTACCAGGAACTAGGAAGAGGCAAAGAAGGATTCCCCTACAGCAGAGGTCCCCAACCCCCAGGCCACAGACCAGAGCATGAACCCCATTGTGAACAATGCATGTGAGGAATCTAGGTTGCACACTCCTTATGAAAATCTAATGCCTGATGATCTGTTACTGTTTCCCATCAACTGCAGATGGGACCATCTAGTTGCAGGAAAGCAAGCTAAGGAATCCCATTGATTCTACATTATGGTGAGTTGTATAATTATTATATATTACACTGTAATAATAATAGAAATAAAGTGTACAATAAATGTAATGAACTTGAATCATCCTGAAACCATCCCTCCACCATCTGGTCCATGGAAAAATTGGATCCACAAAATGACTTGCTGGTGCCAAGAAGGTTGGAAACCACTCCCCTACAAGTTTCAGAGAAGTATGGCACTACTGACACCTTGATTTTGGATTTCCAGCACCCAGAACTTTGAGACAATAAGTTTCTGTTGTCTTAAGCACCCAGTTTGTGGAACTGGGTGCTTAAAAGGAAAACTAATACTAGGAAATGAATACAGTGACCTTGATCAATTAGTTCACTGTGCCTCAGTTTTCTCATGTTTAAAATGGGAATAATAAGTCTGCCTATGTCATAAGGTTGAATGATTATATGAAGTAACCAATGTAAGCAGTGAATATATTCGTTATTTTTCCAGAACTGGATGTTTAATGATTGTCGGCTTACAAAAACACTGACATGAAGGTCAGACTATATTTCTGAGTATCAGCCTAGTACCAACAGCTCTTAGAAGCATTTGTTATCACCTGAGGGATTCGTCTTGCTTGCTGCACAGACAAAACCAATTCACTGAGACTGGTGTTGGAGTAAAGAAAGAGTTTAAATAATGCAGTGCTGGCCAAATGGAATGATTGGAGTTATTACTCAAATCAGTTGCTCTTTGAACTCAGGTGTTAGGAGTTTTATGGGTAATTTTGGTGGATGGGGGCTAGGGAACAGGTGCTACTGATTGGCTGGGAGTGAAATTATGGGGGTGTGGAAAGTGGTCCTTGAGTGTTGAGTCAGCATCTGGGTGAGGGGCCACAGGGCCATTTGAGTCATAAGTCACAGGTCTAGGTAGGGTCAGTTTCCAGAATGCAACAGTCTGAAAAAAAATCTGAAAAGCTCAATCTTAGTTTCTGCAATAGTGATGCTGCTAACTATGGGAGCAATTGGGGAAGTCAGAAAAGTTGTGATCTCTAGACACGACTCCTGAGCAGTAAGGGATTATAGAAACAATGCCTATATCTTTGAAGAATTCAGGCTCCTCCTGTAATCCTAATCTCTGTCCTTTCATTAGTTGTACAGAGGTGGTCTCTAAACAAGGAGGGGAGCAGTTTTAGTGAGGGACTATTATCCTTGCTTTAAAAATTAAACTAAATTCCTCCCATGGTTAGTTCAGCCTATGCTCAGGAATGAGTGAAGACAGCCAGCTTGTGAGGCTAGAGAAACATGGAGTCAGCCATGCTAGACTTCTCTTGCTGTCACAATGTTTGCAAAGGTGGTGTCACTGTCAAAACAACATTGAAAATAATAGAGTAGAATCCTGTGATTATGTGAATCAGGATATTTTGTAATTGGTTATTGACTTTCATTTTCTGTCCAGCTTGCATTCTCAAATCAGGGTGGATAAAGCAGGAAACTCAATTTTGGGAAATGGCAGAAAAAAGGAAAGACTTGTAGATACAGTATTTTTCTTCCTCAGTCTCCCCAATCACACATGTGAATTGAGAACCAGCCAATGAGGAGATTCTTGGAACTGCTGCTTGAGTCCTGGAAGTCCCAGGGAGCCATGGAAGCCAGAATTTTCCTGTTGATATTTAGGTCAGATCAGACCACTAGGTTAGTGGCACCAGTATAAGTGGCACCAAATGACAGCTGGGGCCAGTACGGTGTTGATTCATACAGCTGGACCCCAACAACTAAGGATTTGCTATGTGGGCAGTTCTGCCTGGTTATTCTCTTGGAATAAGGTACCTCTGGATTTTATACAATTTGAACTTTTGGACTCCTCTTGTCATTTAATGTTTAGCAAAAATCCACCAGTTTATTAAAAACCTTGAATATTTTCAGTGTGTTAATCATTTTATCAAATGAGTGTTTGGAAATACCTTGTGTGAGTCATTTAGTTGATACCTTTGTATTTCAAAACAGAAACCAATTATGCAGCTTAGTGATATGAATACCAGTATGTGTGCAGTTCTTTTCTTTAAATATCAATAGATATGCATATTGCACTCAAAATTAGAAAGATTGACATGGGACTTTTTTTTTCCCCAAGGAAAATGAAATGCAAATAAATGGTCCATTAGCACACAGATTAGTGCTTCTGATTCATGCAGCGTTTCCACCTGCTTAGATATTGTGCTCTCTGAGATGAATCATCCAGTTATTTGATAGATTTCCTTTCCCTCCCCAAACTTTCCTGGCTGTTTGGACATAACAAGATCTAGGCTTAAAGGGAAACGTTTGACTTGGAACTTAATTCTTAAGGAGCAAATTAGCTAGATTATATGTTGCTAAAATAAGACAAATTAAGAGTGACTTGGATCTCCACCCAAGTGGCAGAATTAGAGGAAGGATAAATAAGTGATCAGCTACTCTAATTTCTGGAAGCAGGAACCATAAATGATTAGATGGAGACAATCTAATCAGTGAGGAGGTCTCTGTACCTCTCCCTAATGCTCTCAGATCCCTTTTATTTTCCAGAGTCATACAGATTAAAGGCACTTAGCACAAACTCAGGAGTTCTAATTTTAGCCATGTGATTGGTATTAGAATCCTGAAGACTGAGAATCTATTCTCACATGGTTGACAAATTGAAAGGATCAGCAAAATAAATCACTAGCAACTGAAAACATGTGTGCGTAAGTGAGGGCCTGGAATCTCATTGATCGCATTCCTCATAGAAGGCTCCATTTGTTGAACTTCACATTCTTGCATTCTACTAACACATAAAGTGGTGTGCAAATGACATTTCACAGTAATACCGAGGGCTTGATCCTTTCCTTTGATATCCTTTGAGCAAAAGGACATTCTCTAAGATTCACTGAGACACAAGTGGGCGAGGGCAAGACTAACCCCTGGCAGGGCTGCTGCTTCTAGCCTGCCAAACGATAAGTCAGAATGTTTAGAAAGGCATTTGAAAAGAAACATTGAGGATCATTTTGTAGTTTGATGCAGTACTTGACTTTTTACTTATCCCTACATTGTGGTGATTAGTTGTTGTACTAGCAGAGCAAGACAATGGTACATTCTTTAAACTAGAAGTTCACATACACATGCATATTTCCAATAGCACATGTGATTCTTCTTAAAACCCAGAGTCTAAATATGTTCCAATTGACATTATGGTCTTTACACAAAGGGAACATCTGGTTATCTATATACAGTGTGGGAGGCACCTTCACTCAGATATGTATTAAAATTTTTAATTTTTTAATTCAATAGCTTTAGGAATACGGGTGATTTTTGGTTGCATGGATAAACTATATAGTGGTGAAGTCTGGGATTTTAGTGCACCCATCACCTGAATAGTACACATTGTACCCAATGAGTAGTTTTTCTTCCCTCATCCTCCTCCCACCCCTCCCCATTTTGGGTCTCTGATGTCCATTATATCATACTATAGGTGTTTGCATAGCCATATTAGCTCAGATATTTAAAAATTTCATGATTTGGAAAAGCAATGTGAAGCTTGAACATTATGAAATTGCTAATATCAATTGTATTTGACCTAAAAAATGGTAATACACATGGTTCAAACAAATATGGTTCCAAAGTTGGGAGTGGAGAGAGAGATTCATTTGCTGTTTTTTCTTTTTCATTCTGAGAACATATAAGCAAAGTGAATGAAATGTTCAGTTTGGTTCAGGAACACATTTTTGATTCTAAACATGAAGTTGTTCAATCTCCCTACCTTAATTAAAACTATTTAATAAACTTTATTCTGTTTTAGATGTATTTCTAATTCCTACCTAAATAAACCAGAAACCTAATTTATGCTACTTGCTGTGGCATGATCACTGCTCACTGCAACCTCTGCCTCCCAAGCTCAAGCCACCCTCCCATTTCAGCCTCCTGAGTAGCTGGGACTACAGGCATGCACCTCCATGCCTGGCTAACATTTAAAAGTTTTTGTAGAGATGGGGTTTCGTCATGGTGCCCAGGTTGGTCTCCAGCTGCTGAGGTCAAGCGATCTGCCTGCCTTGGCCTCTGGAAGTGCTGGGATTACAGGCATGAGCCACCATATGTGGCCTGCCTTTTTAATCTTAGGTCATCTTTCTCTTTGGTTTTAGAGGCTCTGAATACACTCAAGGAAGGTGAACCAATATGTTTGAAAAGAAATATTCTGCTTACATCTACATACTGAAGTAACCTATTTAAATTGATCACAGATTAAAGGGGAAGAAAAGCCAGATTATTTGTGCTTTTCTCTCTGTGGTCCTTCTGCCATTACAGAATGTAGGAATGTGTACCTTTCTCATCTCTTTGAACACAGCAAATGCCCAGTGGGTTAGCCACAAAAAAAGAGGCAGGCTTTCCTTAGTGTCATTTTGCTAAAGGAATTGCAGAAATCTTCTGGGAGGTGACATGCTTTGGGGTTAACACCCACATTAATAATAAAAGATGGCATCTGCTATTTAAAGGACTCCTGTTAAGGATACATTTCTGGATTAAAAATTAAATTCCATCTAATCTTTCAGTTAGCTCCATTCCCCCCAGAGACTGTCTCCAGTAAAAAAGCATTTGATTTACTAAAGCTGTATAGCATTTTCTTGCTGACAGCTAAAATTAGGACTTTCTGGGCAGAGTGAGGGGAAGCCAGCAGGAGAGAAAAAAAAGGAGATGAAATTTCAGTTGCCCTTTGGGAACTTGTTCAAGTTTGTTGTAGTCTAACAGACTTTTTTATTTTTACTTTGTCTTTCTTCTTAAGTCAACTGGAATCAGAATTTGTGGTTTTTTTAGTATTATTGTTTTGAAGCAAACTAATTTCCACGTGTCTCTTTGTGACAAATAGAGAATATATTTATGGGAATATTCGCTTTGGAATTTTCAATTGGAGCACTGGGAAAAAACCTGAAAGTTTAACTGGGTTGATGGTTTTGCTTTCCGTATAATTTCAAAAAAAAAGTATTCATTTTTTATTTTGGCCTTCTTTATGGGCTTTTCTTTTCAGTTTGTACCTGTTGAGGGTATTTTACAGCATGGAATGGTTGTAAGTATGATTTAGCCATATGAAGGACAGTAGATATTCGCTATAGTAGTAATTGGATTTTTCTACTTACACAATAATATTAATTCAATGATTTTAAAGCACACTCTAGCTAGTTTTGTTTACAAGTACTAGTGTCTATTTTAATGATGACAGAAAACAATGGAGAAGTTAGACATCTTCCCTAGGGTTTCAAGTACAATCATTGATTGTTACAGAAATGCAATTTGAAAGGCAAATGATTCTAAAAGGCTGTATGCTCTCAAATATACTCAGAAAATAATAGGATTCAAAGGCTTTTAAATGTTGTATGGTAAAAGTCCAGATGGAGTCAGCATTTCAATTTCTTCTACAATATCCTGGTCTAGTGTTTGTCTTACTGTTACTGATACATTTGCTTTCGGGGCAGCCTACTCCATATAGTGAACCAAAACACAAAAGACAAAAGCATTGCAATCACGTACACAAATAACTGCACAAGTGATGGGAAGCCAGTTTTCCGATACATAATCTGCATAGACAGCTGGAGGAGGAGTTTCACACTGGAGGTAGGTTCACTGGATGATGATGATTATTTTTTGTAAAGTACACAGAACATAAAATTGACATTTTAACCATTTTTAAGTGTATAGTTCAGTGGTGTTAAGTACATTCACGTTGTTGTGCAACCCTCACCACCATCCAACTCCAGAACTTTTCATTATTCCAAACTGAAACTCAGTACCCATTGAAGAGTAACTCTCCATTCTCTCACCCCTAGCCCCTGGCAAGTACCATTCCACTTTCTGTCTCTGAATTTGACTACTGTAGGTACCTCATATAAGTGGGATCATACAGTATTTGTCTTTTTGTGATTGGCTTATTTTGTGTAGCATAATGTCTTCAAGATTCATTTATATTGCAGTATATGTCAGAATTGTATTCGTTTTTCAGACTAAATAATATTCCATTGTATGTATATACCACATTTTGTTTACCCATTCATCTGTTGATGAACAGTTAGGTTGCTTCCATGTTTTAGCTCTTGTGAATAAAGCTGACTGGGTGCGGTGGCTCATGCCTATAAAACAACACTTTGGGATGCCAAGGCAGGCAGATTACTTTATAGCCTAGGAGTTGGAAACCAGCCTGGGCAACACAGCGAAACCCCTTTGCTATAACAACTATAACAACAACAACAACAGCAAATTAGCCAGGCATGCTGGTGTGTGCCTGTTGTCCTAGCTACTCAGGAGGCTGAGATGGGAGGATCGCTTAAGCCTGGAGAGGTCGAGGCTGCAGTGAGCTGTGCTTGTGCCACTGTACTCCAGCCTGGGTGACAGAATGAGACCCTGTCTCAATAAATAAATAAATATGCTGCAATGAACACAGGTGTACAAATATCTCTTAGAGACTTTCAACTCTCTTGGGTGTATACCAAGTAGTGAAATTGCTGGATCATATGGTAATTCTGTGTGTAATTTTTTGAGGAACTGTTATCCAATTTTCCACAGGCTGTGTCATTTTACATTTCCACCAGCTAAACACAAGGGTTCCAGTTCCTTTACATCCTCACTAATACCTGTTATTTTCTGGAGGTTTTTTTTTTGTTTTTTAATAATAGCCATCCTGATGGATGTAAAATGGTATCTCATTGTACCCTAGGATTTATTTTGTTAGGCCGGGTGTGTAAATTTGCACAAAGTTTTATAAAAATTAGATTTAGTTGGCAATACTGAAGATCAGAAGCACACAGGTAAAATTTCACATTTCTGTCTTCTCATGAAAAATCAAATGACCTGGTGGGCACTGCACTCTAATTCTTGCATAGATATTATTGTCTAGAGATGAATGGCTGCTGCCCCTTCTGGATATGGTGGGAGGTACACTCTAAGTTTTCTGCAGATCCCACCACTCCTTATTGCAACCCTCTTTCACACCCCAGATGATCACTTATTTAACTGGCTAAGCTTAGAAGCATTCGAATTTGCAACCAGTTTCTGACTTAAAAAGTATTAAAGATAAGATGGTCTTGTGAAATGTTAAATGTAGAACATTGAGTAGGAATATTTTTTTTCCAGGATTACTCTTCTCAAGAGTGAAGAATAAAATTTATTTGAAAGAAAAGTTGGAAAACTATAGCAATAGAAAAAGATATATAAAAAGATATATATGTATGTGTATATATATATACATTTATATCTTTTTATATACACACATATATCCTTTTATGCATAATATGCTCAACATTTACTATATACATACATATATAATATGCTCAACATTTAATCCACAAAAAATATTTGCTGGGCACCTAAATGTACCAGGTATTGTTGTAAGCACTTGAAAGATATCACGGAACAAAATAAGCATGAACCTTTGTCCTATCTTTGTAACACTTATATTCTAGTTGAAGGAGGGGTGCACAAAATAAACCATAAGCATAATTAAATAAGCAAATTATATTATATATTAAGTTTAAAAAGCAGGACACAAATTAGTAATTATAGTTAATATGCCAGGTAAAAACATACGTCTTTTAAAATGTAAAATAGTCAAAAATCTTAATAATTATATAGTTTTAAGATTTTATATCTTTTTGTATTCCAAAATTGTATTTGCATTGTTTTAATTCGGCGATTTAAAAATAAATTTAAATTTTTGTGGAAAATTAAAAAAAAAGTAGTTCATTCAGTTGTTGGGCACTAATTTTTTCACAAGAGGCTAAAAATAAATAAATGGTGTTCGGCCATCTGGTGCCCCAAATTCAGAGGTAGAGATTTTGCTTCTGCGTCCAAATTCGTGAATTTTTTTTCTATACTTAAAACAATACAAAGATTGATATCAAACTTGAACTTTAGGAAAACCTTATCTCCCAGAAACAGGAATCCTCAGGGCTTAGAGCAGGCATTCTATTTTTCCAGGGGTAAAACACATAATCTTAAATCCACATTTATTTGGGTTGAATATCTTTAATATTGATAAAAATGCTGATTTAGGAGCCACTCTTGGCATATATGTGTTTCCTTATTTTTCAACTAAACTTTATAATGCCTCCACCTTTAAATCTTTCTGAAAAACATTTCTATTGATGTATAAGTATATATATGTACATATACAGCTATGTATATATACACACATGCTATACATTAAATATATACACATAAACATATGTAATTTGATGAAGTTCTGCAAACAGAACATACCTGTTAAACCAATGCTAGATAAACAAAGGGAACATTTACAGTTCCCGAAAAAGCCCCCTACTGTCTCTTTCCAATCACCAAGCCCCCAAGGCTAATCACTTTCTGAATTTTTAACAGCACACTTTAGCTTTGGTTGTTTTGTGCTTTATGTAAATGGAAGCATAGAATGCCTCCGTCTGATGATGTGATTTATTGGAACCATATGTGGAAAGCTCAGAATTACAAAATTGTTTATATTCAGCTTCACTGACTTTGTTTACTATTTGATTCAAGTATAATTTGTTTCAGGGTTTCTAGCACTTGCCTGGTGGTAGGAATGACAAAGGTGTCACTAAAAGGTAGAGTCCAGGTTTCTTTCCTGAAAATCCTAATCCAGCTGGTAGGATTGGACCCGGGAGTCTGTATTTAATTAAATAGGTGATTCTTATCAAGAATTCTGGGAAATCCTGCCGCAGTGGTATCCCTGGTGGCTGGCCAGTTTTATGATAGCAGGTAGGGATTGCTGGCAAACAGTTCAAAAGAACTAAGTCGGTGTAATCAAACTTGCTTGATAAGAATGAAGTAGAACAGTTACTTAAAAGAGGGATTCCCAGGGCTCTTCCCTGGAGATTCCAACTCTGTAGAGCAGAGGCTGGTTCCAGGAATCTATACTTAACAAGAACCCTGGAAACATGTTGCTAATTAGTTAAAATACATGTATGCAAAAACTGTAAGACTGGTCCCTTGGCTTCTTTGGTCATAAGAGCAATGGCTGGAATTTGGGGTGCTTTTTAACATTCCATGGCTCCAGGGGTGTCTGTGTTTTTGGTCCATATCTCCCTAGTAGACCTCAAGCACTAAAGCAGACTAGTGCTTAATTTTGGTGTCCCATTTATATCCTAATATTTAGTTTTCTACTGAGAATCTTACATTAGATCCTAAACTGAAATGCTGGCAGGTCATTGGGCTAATGGCATTCTATTTGTTTTAATTTCTGGAGTGATGCTGAGACTCATATAGGTAAGTCTGGCTTCATGAATGGAAGGGTGCAGCAGCAGCCTGGTTTGTCCACACCTTGTTCTGCCTCATAAAAGAGAAACTTGATGGAGATCTAAGTTTTACTAAGACAAAAAAGGGGGAATTTTCCTGCCAACTGTTCTTGACTTAAAAGCTAACAAAGGCAACTACGTGAAATGAATGCTAAATGTTGCTATAAACCTTGGTGTTGGGTACTGAGTTCTTAAATGTGGGCAAATTCAACTTCACATTCATCACCATGAGCCCTTGCTTACCCACTGGGACAAAAGTGATTCCATTGCTTTCCTTTCTCTAATTAGCGAATAAGAGGTACATCGTTCGGAAGGTGTGGGGTCTAAGTTCAGTCTAAAACTGCATATAGTAAAATTTCTCTTAAAAATCTTATAGAAAGGCACGTTATTAAGATTAACACACTGGTCTTACTTGTGTTTCTCCAACGAACTCTGCCCATTCCCTCCTTTGGGCTTTCACCCATGCTATACCTTTTCACCAGAATGTTCTTCCCTTTGACATTCACACATTCACACCACAGCTCTTTTTTTTTTTTTTTTTTTTTTTTTGCGATGGAGTTTCACACTTATTGCCCAGACTGGCTCACTGCAACCTTCCCCTCCCGGGTTCAAGCGGTTCTCCTGCCTCAGCATCCCGAGTAGCTGGGATTACAGGCATGTGCCACCATGCCCAGTTAATTTCGTATTTTTAGTAGAGACAGGGTTTCTCCATGTTGGTCAGACTGGTCTCGAACTCCTGACCTCAGGTGATCCACCTGCCTTGGCCTCCCAAAATGTTAGGATTACAGGCATGAGCCACCACGCCCAACCCACACTGCAGTTCTTTATCATGGTTTGAATCCTGGTTTAAATGTCATATTCTCAGAGAGACCTCCTCTAGACACCCAGTCCAAAGTAGCAAGTCATTCTCTACCACAGTGGTTCACAAAATATGGTCTGGGGATGCCAGGGATTCCCCAAAATCTTTGCAGGGGGTCTGTTACATCAAAACTGTTTTTATAATAATACCAAGTCATTCTTTGCCTTTTCATTCTCACTCTCTTCCAAGTATAGAGTAGAGTTTTCCAGGGACTATATGATGGGTGATCACATCTCTCTGATGGACAATGGAATGTGTGCTTGAGTGTTCTTCTGTTTTACACATTTCTCAGTTTTCATTTCTAATACTGTAAATATTGCTATGTATACATAACCCACAGTGGGTTCTCCATAATTTTTAAGAATGTGAAGTGTTCTTGAGAATGAAAACTTTAAGAACTCTGCTTTATGCTTCATCCTATTACCCACCGCCACCCCCCCCACCCTTTTCTTTTGAGATGGAGTTTCACTCTTGTCCCCCAGGCTTGAGTGCAATGGTGCAATCTCGGCTCACTGCAACCTCTGCCTCCTGGGTTCAAGCGATTCTCCTGCCTCAGCCTCCCGAGTAGCTGGGATTACAGGCGCCCACCACCATGCCCAGCTAATTTTTGTGTTTTTTAGTAGAGACAGGGTTTCACCATGTCGGCCAGGCTGGTCTTGAACTCCTGATCTCAGGTGATCCGTCCACCTCAGCCTCCCAAAGTTCTGGGATTACAGGCATGAGCCACCGCGTCTGGCCCATATTACCCTTTTTAAGTAAATAGCCTGCAAAACTCTTCTACTGTCAGATTATTTCTTAACTTTTTAATTCATTTATTATATGCCTTCTCCTATCAGCACCACAAGAGCAGAGATTGTGCCTATCTCCTTTACTACTCTATTTTCAGAGTTTTAGATAAAGCCTAGCACATAATAGTTGCTCAATAGATATTTGTTGAATGAAAGGAGAATGGATAAGGAACAGGAAAAGAAAAAAATTCAAGAAAAGATAAAAACAACCTCAAATGCATATAATAATGTTAAATGTTGTCTGTACTCAAGGAAATAGGACTTTAAATGAAATTTTTAATGAAGATATCAAAGTGATAGTACTTGGTGCTGGTAAGGCTATAGTGAGATGGGAATTTTTATTCCCGGCTGAGTGTACTGTTTCACTGTTTTTGGAAAGCAATAAGAGCCTTCAAAATGTGCCTACCCTTGCTTTTTTTTGTGCCTACCCTTTTTGAAGCAATAATTATACTTCTAGTGATTATTTTTTAAGGAAATAATTTGAAATATCAAATGTATTATTTATAGTAGTAAAACAGGAAAAAAATCTAAATGTTCAAAAATGCTTCAATGGTTACATCAATTATAATATATCCATGTAATGAAATATTTTACAGCCATTGAAAATAACATTTGTAAATCATGCTTAATAGCACAGAGAAATGATTATGTTTATAATTTAAATGAAAAAGCATGATTATAATTTATAAACACTGATCTCAACTATAAAAAAGTACCAAAAATACTGGCATGAAATACATCAAAATTGTAATAATAGTTATCTTCAGGTGATAAGATTATGGATGATTTTTATTTTCCTTATATTTTTCAAGTTTCTCACAATAAGTCTCTATTAATATAATAAGAAAGCTATTTTAAATCACAATACATATGCTGCAGTTTAATGGACAAAATGTTTAAAATTCTCAGTTGTTAAGCTATCATAAAAACAAAATTGGAGACACAAAATGGCATAAAAATTATGATTTGAGCATTATGAGTCAGTCTGCCTGGATTTGACTTCTCAGCTGTGAGATTCACTTGCAAATCATTTAAATCCAAAATCTCAATGTTTTCATCTGTAAGATGTGATAATATGGCTTAGAGAGTGGCTATCAGGATTAAATTATGTGTGTGTATATATATATATATATATATATATATATATATACACACACACACGCACACCCACACACATACACGCCTAGTACTTGATATCTGCTAACACTGAATAAACATTACTTCTTATTATTATATTTAACTACTTTTTAATCTGGACATATTTCGGAAAATAAATTTCAGATCTCCTGGCTTCCCGATTGCTCAGCTAATCAATATCCACTGACAAGATCACAGAGGTCTGTTTCTCATAGCCTGGATCTCCATGTACTTAGAGGAATATACCAAAGAAGATAATACAAATACTCAGAACATGAGCCTATGGGGAAATTGGTGAAAGCTGATAAATGGACACCAGTGAGGCATCGTTAGTTTTTAAACTTTAAGGCTTAAAGGTGGCTATAAAAGGCAAGCTAAATGACAGAAAGCTCTGGCCGTTAGAGACTCCAGCTATGCTTGGGGCTCTTAGCAAGTAGGGAGAGTTTTCTCACTGCGCTGCCTGGGACACAGACAATTCTCTTTTTGTGTTCTCTATCTAATGCCTGTTTCCTCTCTCCTGGAGCACCAAGTGCTGGGGAGGACCCAGCCAGCAGCCTGGACACCATCTTTGACACCTCTCCCTTCCCCTCTTTCACAGAGTTGAATTCATCTCAAAATCCTGCTGTTTTGACCCCCTAAACATCTCTCCTTAATCTTCCCACTCCTTTCTGTCCTCAGTGCCTCTCGCCTGAAACTACAATCTCCTCAACTGTCTGCCTTCCAGCTTGCCCCTGTCCTATCCTCCTTACTATTATAAGGCTCCTCAAGAATTATATGACATTGTGTCCCTTCTGTGGTAAAGCATTTCTATGATTTCTCATCATTGTTGCTGTTTGGATAAAGCCTAAACTTTTGCTGAACTCATTAACCTTCTAGTATCCAAACACCTTAATTATGGAATTATGTTCAGATCCTTGAAATCAACAGGGTCTCAATTCTATATTTTTTTCCTGAAATCTCTCCATGCTCAAACTCTTTCACTCTTCCCTCCCCCTACTCATATGCTATGGACTGAATATTTGTGTCTCTCAAAATTCATATGTTGAAGTCTCAACACCCAATGTGACCATATTTGGAGATAAGGCCTTTATGGAGGTAATTAAGGTTATATGAGGTTATAAAAGTAGCACCCTGATTTTATAGTATTAGTGTCCATATAAGAAGAGAAACTAGAGAATTCACTGTTTCTTCCTCTTTCTCCCTGGCAGGTGAGAACACAAGTGAGAAGGCAGCTGTCTACATGCCAGGAAGAGAGCCCTCACCAGAAACTAACCATGCTGGCACCTTCATCTTGAACTTCACAGCCTGTAGAACTTCAAGAAATAAATTTATATTGTTAAGCCACTTTGTTATGACATCCTGAGCTGACTAAAACGCAATACTCTGAAAGCCTTCACTTCGTCTCTCATGACATCTTTCAAAAGACCTCAACCAAAGCAACCTTTTCAGTGGGAAGCCTGAGGGAATGAGTGCTATCCTAAATTACTCATCTGGATACAGTACCCATCCCCTGGCTCTCAGAGAACCCTGAGTTATTACCATTCTCTCTCTCATAACATTATCACTTGCCAGGATTTGAATATGTCCCCTCCAACATTCAGATGTTCAGAATTAAAGGACAATGTAATAGGATAAACAGGTGGGAACTTTAACAGGAGATTAGGCCACAAGGACTCCTCCCTCCTGAATGGGATTAAGGCCCTTATAAAAGAAGCTTTGCAAAGCATTTGGTTAGCTTGTCCTTCTGCCAACTGCCATGTGATGATATAGCTTTGCTCCCCTCTGGAGGTTGCATCACCGAAGTACCATCCTGGAAGCAGAGAGACTGGGCCCTCCGTCACCAGCCAGTACTTTGATCTTGGACTTACCAGCCTCCAGAACTGCGAGAAAATACATTTCTTTTCTTTATAAATTACCCAGGCTGTGGTATTTTGTTATAGCAGCACTAATGAATGAAGACATCACTTCATGTTTAATATTTGGACTCCCCATTGGACATAGGCACCATGAAGCCAAAGAAGCCTACTCTGCATAGCCCCAGGATCTGTCATTTGGTCTGCTATGGTGATGTCTCTGTGAATATTTTGTTGAATTGATTTGACTGTTTGAAAGAGCAGGCTATTTTCACTCATTCTTTCTCCTTCCTAGCCATGTAAAATCTGTATTGAAATTTTTGAGAAATATATTGAAGAAAGGATAAATAACAACTTTCTTATTTTTATTTATTATGTTTAAAGAAAAAGAACAACTTTAAGGGCAGAAAATTAACTTATAATAGAGTGTAAGAGAATGGTTTTTTAGATGATTTATCAATATCTATGAGGCTAAAACCAAATCAAGGAAGAATTATAAAGTGTTGCTAAGACCACCTGGGTGCAGCAGCTCAGGCTTGTAATCCCAGCAATTTGGGAGGCTGAGGTGGGCAGATCACTTGAGGCCAGGAGTTTGAGATCACCCTGAGCAACATGACAAAACTCCATCCCTACTAAAAATACAAAAATTAGCGGAGCATGGTAGCATGTGCCTGTAATCCCAGCTACTCAGGAGGCTGAGGCAGGACACTCGCTTGAACCCAGGAGGCGGAGGTTTTAGTGAGCCAAGATCATGCCACTGCAATCCAACCTGGCCGACAGAGCAAGACCGTGTCTCATAAAATATATATATATATATTCTAAGACCTTTATGAGGACTTTTTAATTCCCCTATGAATTGCATTACATAGTGGCTAAGAGAGAAACAGGTTTGGAGTCAGGCTGCCTTCAGAGGGACCCTAGCTCACCACTTAGCAGGTGCCTGACCTTGAGAAACGGACTTAATTTGTTTGTCACTCAATTTCCTTGGTTGTACATTGGGGATAATAATTATTACCTGCTTCCTAGAATTATTGGGAAAATTAAATGAATAATCAGAGGTCTTAGACTAACAGTGAGCACAGAGCACGTATTAAGTACTTAATAGATGGGAGCAACTATAATTTTTACAATTAAAGAAGTTTAGGAAAAGGCAAAAGTTGGTTTTGTTGCCCAACAGGCCACAGATTATGGGCTGGAAGTATGTGTTAGGCACTGTTAAGAATTATGATTTCTTGGGCTCTCCTTCTGAAGTTACCATGTCTGGCACACACTACTTTATTTTATTTATACCCCTCTGTGTTTCAAAAAAGGTTTGAGGGCGCTTACAGATTAACATAAAATACAGCAAAGTAACATGAGTTAAAGGCAGAATGAAAGAAGAGAAAAAAGCAAGAGCAGTGACAGTTGGGCTAGAAATAAATACTATACTACTGAAAATTATGAGTATGTTAAGGCTTATGATGAAATACTGAATCAAAGGAAGCTGGGGTAGGAATGTTATTTTAATTTCTCCTCTATCAGCCCCCTTTTCATCTTATCTTTCTTTTTCAAGATGATTTAAATAATACTCTAATTTTTTAAATCCCAAAGTGTTTTAGTTACTTTAAGCATCAAATCATTCTACACCTATGGATGAAGACAGATTTTTAAATGTATATATATAGACAGAGTGGGTCTCCCTATGTTGCCCTGGCTGGTCTCAAACTCCTCAGCCTCCCAAAGTGCTGGGATTACAGGCATAAGCCACCACAATCAGCCCAGATTTTTTTTTCACATTTTGGAACATATAGCTATATTTAAGCTTTGTGAATAGGTGGACATATTAATTAATGACGATGAAGGAGCTTAACACATTATGCCCCTGTGACCTGCTGGATACCAGTCCAAACTTTCACTTAAGTTGTTTTTTGATATCACAACTTTGTAAAGTAATTAAATATTCCATTTTACAGATGAAGCATAGAAGGGCAAACTACTGTAGTTATAGGTAGCTAGAACTCAAATCCATGTCTGCCTCTGATGCCTAAACTGCCACCATCATATCAGGCACAGCTATTTCAAGAGGTAATATACATATTTGCCCAAAGACATCAGAACAGTTCTAAAAAGTCCTTGAAAAGCTCAGCTACTTGAATTTATTTTCCTATTGAGAGATTTTCTTGGTAAGTGATGCACATCATTACTTGACTGGGTTTACATAATTTGCCGTACTGGTAGCGGGAGAGAAATTTAGGGGTTTGCTGGGAATAAACTGTTGGCATAGATATGCAGGGCTACAGGAATCACTCAGAAGTTTCCAGATCATCTCGCTCGAGTGTGGAAAAAAACAGCAATAAAATAGATTTCAGATAAGCTAATGAGTGTTAAGATTTGGGAACAGATATAGCAGAGCTAAAAACCCATGTCAGGATCAAAGATCTTTAGAAATATAGTTGAAGCCAAGGGGCAAATTAGGATATTAAAGCTATAACGCTTGTTTTGTTCACATCTGAACACTAGGAAATGACTAATTGGAAGTATGAACACTTCTTTCACTCACAGGTAACTTAGACTCAAAAGGCACAATGGAGGAAAAAGTTGAAATTGAAATGTCCCTAGTCATTTCTTCCTCATTCCCCCAGTAAGATACAAGAAGACTGTCATTAATTTATTACTACACAGGAACAGTGGGATTTAGCTTATAAAACATCAGGTCTGGTCGGGCATGGTGGCTCACGCCTGTAATCCCAGCACTTTGGGAGGCCGAGGCAGGTGGATCACCTGAGGTCAGGAGTTCAAGACCAGCCTGGCCAACATGGTGAAACCCCATCTCCACTAAAAATACAAAAATTACCCAGGTGTGGTGGCACGTGCCTATAATCCCAGCTACTAGGGAGGCTGAGCAGGAGAATCGCTGGAACCCAGGAGGCAGAGGCAGAGGCTATATTGAGCCGAGATCACGCCACTGCACTTTAGCCTGGGTGACAGAATGAGACCCTTTTTTTTCTTTTTGTGGAGAACAGGGTCTCGCTATATTGCCCAGGCAGGTCTCAGACTCCTGGGCTCAAGCTATCCTCCTGCCTCTGCATCAAAAAAAAAAAAAAAAAAAAAAAAAAAACCATTCAGGTCTAACCATATTAACTATGTACAATTCTCTGAATATTCCATGAATTTTTTAATTTTTAATTTTTTCCTGAGTGTAAGTACATGTGTCTTTTGATCTGTCTTGATTATACGGTTCCTCCTGTGACCCACTATCTTCTTTCACTCATCCTTTAGGTTTTAGTTAAAATAGGACAAATGAGTTATACACTGCCCTCCTTATACCCAGTTTCTGGGTATGGCAGGGATTGACAAACTGTGTTCAAATGCAGCTGCATGCCTCTTTCTTTTTTCTTTTTTTTTTTTTTTGAGATGGAGTCTTGCTCTGTCGCCCAGGCTGGAGTGTAGTGGCCTAGTCTTGGCTCACTGCAACCTCCGCCTCCTGGGTTCAAGCAATTCCCCTGCCTCAGCCTCCCAAGTAGCTGGGACTACAGGCGTGCACCACCACGCCTGGCTAATTTTTTGTATTTTGGTAGAGACGGGGTTTCACCATGTTGGCCAGGATAATCTCGATCTCCTGACCTCATGATCTGCCCACCTCAGTCTCCCAAAGTGCTGGGATTACAGGCATGAGCCACCGCACCCAGCCCTGCCTTGTTTTTGTCATTATACATCTGCTGGACCATAATGATGCTCAGTTGTTTATGTATTCTCTCTGGCACTTTTGCACTTTATTGGCAGAGTTGAATAGCTGTGACAGACGCTGTCTGGTCTGCAAAGCCTAAAACATTTGCTATCTCACCCTTTACTGAAAAAATTTGCCAACTCTGGTGGTAATGAGAGAGAGACTTTTATTTCTCATTTTATATTGCAAAAAACAAAACAAAAAATATGCAATGGAGGTGATTTGTGTGTGTGTGTGCACTTTTCTGTATATACATTTTCTCTAAAAATATTTTTAATTAAAAATATTTTTAAGTCTGCAGCTCAAATTATATTTCTGTGAGGCCTTCTATTATGGTCTGCCTCCTATATGTTTCTAGAGAGGTATTAGAGTTTTCTATATTAGTAGCTATTATATTGCATGGCAATTAATGTTTCCATGTCTGTCTCTTAGACAAGCCCATGAAACTTCATAATGACTGAGACTGAGCCAATTATTTTTTTTCTAGGGGCTAATCAAGAATATGATGGTTTTACAGCATAATGAGAGAAAATGCTTCTTTACTTTTTTACAAAGTTTTACAAAGTATTTTAGTAATGATTGTTTAATCATCTTCCAGTTTTTGCTCAAATATTACCTAATCAGAGAACACTTCTCTGAATACCCTACATAAAAGAATAGCCAATTACACTCTAATCCCTTTATTTCACTTTTTATTTTTAAAAATCAATTTTATTACATTTATTTAGGGTATAAAACATGAGGTTATTAGATACATAAATAGTAAAAGGATTACTCTACTGAAGCAAATTAACATATCCATCATCTCACATAGTTACCCTTTCATTGGGATAAGAGCAGCTAAAATCTACTCATTTAGCAGAACTCCCTAATACAGTACAATTTTTTAAACTATAATCCTCATGTTGTACATTTAGGTTTCTGGACTTGTTCATCCTATATATCTGCTACTTTTTTTTTTTTTTTTTTCCTGAGATGGAGTCTGGCTCTGTAGCCCAGGCTGGAGTGCAGTGGCACGATCTTGGCTCACTGCAACTCCTGTCTTCCAGGTTCAAGCGATTCTCCTGCCTCAGCCTCCTGAGTAGCTGGGGTTATAGGCGCGTGCCACCATGCCTGGCTAATGTTTGTATTTTTAGTAGAGATGGGGTTTCACCATGTTGGCTAGGCTGATCTCAAACTCCTGACCTCAAGTGATCCGCCAGGCTTGGCCTCCCAAAGTGCTGGAATTACAGGCGTGAGCCACCATGCACCATGTCAGCTACTTTTTATCCTCTAACCTAGATATCCTCATTTCTATCCCACTCTCCCCTGCCCCTAGCAGCCACTGTTTTATTCTCTATCTCTGTATATCTGTATATTTGAATTTTTTTTTTTTTAGATTCCACATAAAAATGAGAGCCTTCAATATTTTTCTTTCTGTGGTCTGGATTATTTCACCTAGCATAACATTCTCCGGGTTTATTAATGTCTGGCAAATGGCAGGATCTCTTTTTTTAAGGCTGAATAATATTTCACTATGTATGTATACATATACATAACAATTTAGACATTCATTGATGGAGTCAGATCGTGTCCAGTTCTTGGCTATTAGGAATAATACCGCCGTGAATATAGGAATGCAGATGTCTTTAGGAGGTGGTGATTTCACTTCCTTTGGTTATATACTCAGAAGAGGAATTGCTGGGTCATATGGTAGTTAGTTACAGTTTTAATTTCTTTAGGAACCTCCATACTGTTTTCTATAAAGGCCACACTAATCTATATTTCTAGCAACCATGTACAAGGGTTCCCTTTCCTTCACACCTTCTCCAACATTTGTTATCTCTTGACTGGCAATAGTCATGTCAACAAATGTGAGGTGATTACTCACAGTAGTTTTAGTTTGCATTTTCCTGATGATTGATGATGTTGACCACCTTTTCATATACCTGTTGACCATTTTTATGTTTTCTGAAGAGAAATGTCTATTTATGTCCTTTGCCCATTTTTAAATCAAGTTATTTGTTTTACTACTATTAAGCGGCATGAGTTTTGGATACTATCACTTTATCAAATGTATGGTTTGCAAACACTATTTTTCAGTCCATAGATTGCTGTTTCGTTTTGTTGATTGTTTCCTTTGCTGTGCAGAAAATTTAGTTCGATGAAGTCTCATTTATTTACTTTTGCTTTTGTACCTGAGCTTTTGGTGTAATAGCCAAAAAACTATTGCCAAGGCCAATATTAAGGAACTTTTCTTCTATGTTCTCTTTTGGGAGTATTAGGATTTCAGGTCTTACGTTTAGTTATTTAATCCATTCTGAGTTCTTTTTTTCTTTGTAGACACAAAGTCTTGTTATATTGTGCAGGCTGGAGTGCAGTGCCTATTCACTGGTGCAATCATAGTGCACTATAGCCCCAAACTCCTTGGTTTAAGCAATCCTCCTGCCTCAGCCCCTTGAGTAGCTGGAACTATAGGTGTGTCCCACCACGTCCAGCTTTTGAGTTTATTTTTGTGTATGGTGTAAGACAAGGGTCTAATTTCATGCAGATATTCTACTTTATAATTTTTATAACACATATAGCTACTTGACACAGTAAATATTTATTAATTTATGTCCCCTCTCTTCTCACTCCACTAAAGTGTCAACTCTCCATGGGCAAGAACTTAGTCTTTACAGTTTGCTGCTATATTCTCAGTGCCTAAACCACTGCTTGGAACATAAGAATGAAACAACTATTCTTATCTTCATTTAATATAAGATGCTCCTTTATTTTATGTACCATAAGAAAGCAAAATTTCTACCACTATGCAATGTATGCATGTAAGAAATCTGCACTTGTGTCCTCTAAATCTACATTTTTTTAAAAAAGCAAGAATATTTTAATAAAACTACAAAATGCCACTGATTAGTAGATGCACCTTAGCTTCAGAATTGTTAAAATGAAAAAAAACATGTGTCTTGGAATCAACGTAATAAAGTTAAGAACTACCTTCACCTCCCACCCCCAACAACAATGACCATTTGTTGATGAGCTACTGGCTTTCATAACTGCCCTAAGAGTTTTCAATCCTTATAACAATTTCTGCTTTCTGGAAGAGAACACTGAGTTTTGCAGTATCAAAGAAATTTTCTCAAGATCAAAGCATGAATCTGGGATTTAGAGTCCATGGCCACCATGTCCATGTGATGGGAGTCCAGCAATAGAGTACCCCCTTGGCAATATAAACTTGCCATTAATTAAAAATTTATAATAATTTAGTGATTATCTCCATAAGACATGTTTAAAAAACATAACCACGATATTATTATCATACCAAGAATTAACAATAATCCCTTTATGTCATGTGATATTCAATCGAATTTTAAATATTTGATTTAAAAATTTTAAAATAACAACTTTGAGATGTAACTTACATTCCATAAAATTCATACTTTTACAGTATACAATCTGATGATTTTTAAAGTATATTTGTGCAACCATCATCACTATCTAATGCCAGAACATTTTTATCACCTCTAAAATGAACATCTCATACCAATTAGCAGTCACTCCCTATTTACCCACAAACTTCCCAGTCCTAGGCAACCATTAATCAATTTTTTTCTATGGATTTACCTATTCTAGACATTTCGTATAAATGGAGTCATGAAATATCTGACCTTTTGTGTCTAGTTTCTTTTACCAGCATGTTTTCATGTTTCATCTATGTTGAATAATATATAATTACTTCATTCTTTTCGGTGGCTGAATATTATTCCATTGTATGGATATACTACATTTTATTTACACGTTCATTAGTTGATAGACATTTGGGTTGTTTCTACTTTTTGGCTATTATGAATAATTCTGCCATGAACATTTATGTACAAGTTTTGTGTGGACATATGTTCTCAGTTCTCTTGGGTATATATGTAGGAGTGGAATTGCTGGGTCATATGGTAACTCTGTGTTTAACTTTTTGAGAAACTGCCATATTGTTTTCACAGTGGCTGCATCATTTTACATTCTCAACAGCAATGTATGAAGATTCCAATTTCTTCACATCCTCACAGGCACTTGTTATTGTTTGTCTTTTTTATTATTGCCATCCAAGGGAGTGTGAAGTCGTCCTATTGTGGTTCCATTAATTTTTAAAGTATTGGTGTCTAAGTCTGCAAACTGTTTATAATTGATCCTTGTGATTGTGATCTCTGAAAATTTGGCAAATTGTCATTACAGCCATATGTGTACACAACCACTTCTATTAAATCCCCAGGGCTCAATCTGATGGATTTTAACAATACTCCTGTGGAATAAGTTGAGAGGAAAATCATCATCTTCAAGAGGTATAAGCTGAGAGAGACTGCCAGCCAAAAGTATTCACAGTTTGGTATTTTATTACCAGGTCGCTCTGCCCATAGATAAGGAATGGGAGAAATAAGAGACACAGAAAAGACTCACTGAATTATATACTCCATTAGAATATCTAAATCTAAAGCAGAACTTGCATCTACAATATGTCTTTTTATGATTTGTCCATTCACTTTTAAAGCCAGGAAGGTGACAATAAAAAGACTCTGTATCATGTAAAGTGACACATTTTATTTTTCGTATTTGTTCCCCAAAGAAGTAGCATTGCAAAGAAATGGCACCTCTCTAAAAGCCAAAGCACTTCCATCATTCATGAGCTCTCTGTGGTGCTGGCAGAAAAGCAGATATTTCAGTTCTCAAAAATCAAGACACAATTTAACTTTTATCAGGGCCTTGATATAAATTGTCCATGTGCATGTGTATACAGATCCGTTTTATATTAGATACCTCAGCCATAAGAAATCGTTGCCTACTGCTGTTTGTCAATCAGAATAAGACCGTAATGTTTATATGAGGTTTCTTTTATGATAAAATAGTGGACAGAAGCAAAAGGACAACGAAATACCATGCCTCCCCAACAAAAGCCCAAATTGTAGTCTTGCAAATATCTATTGCAAAATTTATCTATCCAATGATCACTCTCAGAAAAAAAGGAAACAAAAGGAGACCTTTTACATTGTTAAGTAACAACACGTAAATGTATATTTTATCAAGAAGGTATTCCTAAATACTTTTAATTTTTCCAGGTCAACCTACTGTTATGCCTACATATTGATTGTGCTTCTCAAACTAATCAATTATTTGTATACTTACTTCCATGAATACTCACTGCATTAGTTAACTCATTGAATATATATTGAACATTTACTATGTGCAAGGCACCAGGCAAGGCTAAACTTCTCTTGTTGGTCTAGCTATTGAAAGCACTGAGAACTTCCTTGCCATCTGGATTGACCCCAGATAACCACATCATTCACTTCAACTACTTCACATTTGTTTAAATGGTACTTCGCAGTTGAGAGAGCACCCTGTCTAAAATTCAGCTTTCTCCCATACCCCCACCTCAGACCATCTCCTTCTTTGTCTTGTCTTCAAAATAGTTATTATCTTCTGATCTCTTACATAACGTACTTATAATAAATAAGTTAATTATGTAAGATCTATGAGGGTAGGGATGTCTGTTTGTTTTCTCCCTCCTACCCGCCCCTCATCCTCCAACACACTATGTTATTTCTAGGGCCTGAACAGCCCCTGGTACATAGTTGGTGCCCAATAAATATCTGTTGAATAAATGAATGCATGGAAATGGCCACTACTTATTGGTTTTCCCAGTTTTTGACTTCCCTGATGCCTTTGACATTTTTAAAAGCATACACTTATTAGTCTCTTTTCATTCTAGATAATTTCCCCATATTTGTTTTTGTTTCTAGTTGCTTATTTGAGTTTGTTCTGCAGCTGCTTCTTTTCTCATTCTACTTGTTCTCCCTTGTTATCTAAGCGACCCTCCCACGTTCATCAGGTTGGTGAGTCCCAGTGCTAAACCCTCCCCTATACGCTACTGCCTATAGGCCATCTCTGCGATAGGCATCTTAAATGGAACATGTCCCAAACAGAAATGATCACCTCCCTGTAAAACCTATTGTGAACTTATAAGCTTCACCTTGGTTAATAACATCACTAATACCTGGCCTCCTAAGATAGCAATATCAGACTCCTCAGTTTCTCTCCCTGATAATCTTATGAATTCTACCTCTCAAATATCTCTTGACTCCAGCTTCTCCATGTCCACAGTGTCTAGTCCCTTACCATCTTGCCCCAGACCACTGCAGTCTTCTCTCTACTAGTGTCAGGACCTCTGTACTAGATGTCCAGGAAGCCTCAGGAACCTACCACACTTATAGCCATACTGGGAGGAAGGAGGCTGAGATACTTCTGGCATAAGATATGGTGGTTTTTGCAGCATTCATGGAATGGAAGCTTGCTGCATGCATGAAGCCTTGCTACATGCTGGATCTATGATCAGACAGAAGTTAAACATAACCACATGTGGGCTGGAAAGGGGGTAGGGGTGACAATCATCTCTGAGGCAGCTGGAGAGAAAAAGAAAAGCAGTCCCTAACATGGGGAACCGGCCTGACTCTCACAGCTGTGTCTCTGTGACCTGGCATTCACAGCTAGACGTGTTGTTCTCAGGTCTCTCGGAATTCTAACATCAGATAGGATCACTCTTTGAGTGTGAAGAAGTGACACCAAACAAGCAACAAAACAAAAAAAAA
This sequence comes from Homo sapiens, assembly GCF_000001405.40. Taxonomy (NCBI): domain Eukaryota; kingdom Metazoa; phylum Chordata; class Mammalia; order Primates; family Hominidae; genus Homo; species Homo sapiens. The sequence goes on along the minus strand of NC_000007.14, from coordinate 21,283,540 downwards.
CTTTATACTCTTATCTAAGCACAGATGAAAACACTGTATTCATCATTACTGGTTCACTGTGTAAACCATAAAATACCAAACCTCCCCTCTCCCAGCTAATATGAGTGAGGGGTGCTTGTCAATTACAGACTTGGCCTCATTTTTAGTCTTCCCTTATTCTAGATATGATTTAAGATACCCAATCATAGAGTTACCCTGCACTTCCTGAGAGCATCCAATCCAGAGCAAAGCCCTGCTTCCTTGGTCCCTCCCTCAAATTACCTAACACCCATTCAAATGCCATAAATGTCCTTTCTAACACTCTCTGAGATGCCCCACAGTTCCTTATGGGCATGCATTATCCATTTGCAAGAACAAGTAATTCAGCTTGCCCAGCTCTAGGTTTGTTCCTGGTAGACTTTGGCTGGAGAGCATGGACCTTAGTATGGGAACTCTGCTTCATAGTTGACTGAGCCAATCAAGCCATTCCTTTTTGGGAACATGAAATGCTAGGTGGGCAAAGATAAAAAGTGAGGGACTCAAATTCAGGTGATGATCCAGATGCTTGAAGAGAGTTGAATTTTGCAATGTTGAGAATTCTAGTACCAGAGTGAATGTAGGGTCAAAGAAAAGACATCATATGCTACCTCAGATTTTCATGGATTATCGAAAAAAACCCTCAGGGTTTCAGATATCTTATGCCTATAGAGAATCTAAAACTGAAAAGAAGAAGCAATTGCTGACTACCTTGGATATTTGGACTGAAACTCTGGCTTTTTTTTTCATATATTTGAAAAAGATTTCCAGAGTATGCATGGTGTTCCGAGCATTTTTCCAGGAAGTGCAGATATAGCAGCAAACTAAACATACAAGCTTCCCCTTTGTTCTCTTGGATTTGCAGTCATGTCCTGCTTAACAACAGGGATATAGTCTGAGAAATGTGTCAGTTGTTAGGTGATTTCATCAGTGTGTGAACATCATAGAGCGTAGTTACACAAGCTTACAGCATATGGTCTAATACACACCTACGCAAAATGGCACAGCCTATTGCTCCTAGGTTACCAACCTGTACGGCATGTTACTGAACTGAATACTGTAGGCAACTGTAACACAATGGTAAACATTTATGTATCTAAACATAGAAAAGATACGGTCAAAACATGACATAAAAGATAAAAATGGTACACCTGTACAAGAGGCCACTTAGCATGAATGAAGCTTGCAGGACCATAAGTTGCTCTGGGTAAGTCAGTGAGTGAGTAGTGAGTAAATGTGAAGGACTGTAAACTTTATTAACGCTATACATTTAGGCTACCCTAAATGTATAAAATATTTTTCTTCCTTTAACAGTAAATTAACTTTAGCTTACTATAACATTTTAACTTTATAAGCTTTTTAATTTTTTAAATTTTTTTATTCTTTTGTAATAACACTTAGATGAGAACACAAGCACATTGTACAGCTGTACAAAAATATTTTCTTTCTTTATATCCTTATTCTATATGCTTTCTCCTATTTTTAAAATGCATTTATTTTACTTTCTAAACGTTTTTTGCTAAAAACAAGATGGAACACATTAGTCTAGGCTTACACAAGGTCAGGATCATCAATATCACTGTCTTCCCCCTTCACAACTTGTCCAACTTGAAGGTCTTCACAGGCAATAACAGGCATGGAGCTGTCATGTCTTAAGATAACAATGCCTTCTTCTAGACTACCTCATGAGGGACCCGTGTGAGGCTCTTCTTGAGGAAGTTTCACTCTTTTCAGAAATATGGCCATGATGATTTGCTTGGTTTGTTTCATTTTTTCATTACAGATTTGCTTGCAAGCAGATAATGCACCATGAGCAACCCTCTATTAATGAAAACACTTTGGAGTTGGGATCCATGTTTTTAAACTTTTTAAGAAGCTGTTAAGAAGCTTGGTGAGGCCTGCAAAAGCTTCTGCTAAACCCTTCACTGTGAATCTTCTTGGGGGTTCTTCTTTTTTCTTCTCTTGCAGTTTCCTTGTCTCTTGCCTCTTCTTCAGCTGTGGGTTTCTGTTCCAGTTCCAACAACTCCTCATTAGCTAATTCCTCAGAAGCCACCTGCAGCAAAGCCCCAATATCATCCTCATCCACACCCATCTCCAACCACAGCCTCACTGATTTTGCAATATCCTCATCTTTGGCAAATCCTTTGAAGCAACTGATGAATGTTGAGTGTCTCCTCCCAGATGCCATTCAAACACTAATTGGTGACATTACCCCTATTCCAAGCAAGGCTCTTAACATAGCTATAGATGATGTAATCCTTCCAGAATTGCATCAGTGTCTTCTCAGTGTCTTCCTCAGTTTCACCATAGGCTGGGCAAGGACCCAACTCAGGGAGTAGGCCTTAAAAGCAGCTATAAGTTCTTGATGCATTCATTGGATCAAAGAGGTGGTGTTTGTAGGAAGAAACACCACTTTAATATTGGAATGAAGATTGCCAATGAAAGAAGGATGTGCAGGAGGATTATCAATAATAAGCAATATCTTGAACGGTATGTTATTCTCCAAAGAGTTCTCCATTTCGCTGGCATAGCCATTCAGGGGGACATCTTGGAAGAGGAGCTGGGTCATCTATGACTTCTTATTCTCCTGTAGTACACTGGAAGTGTGCATTTATTGATATGTTTGAAGGCCATGGGGTTCTCACTGTGCCATATCACAAAGGATTTCAATTTGAAACCTGCAACATTGCCTCGAAGCAAAACTGTTATCCTGTCCTTCAAAGAATTGACAGTCGGCGTTAACTTGGCTTCCTTATGGATGAAAGTCCTCTCAGGCATCCATTTGCAGAATAGGAAGGTTTCATCCCTATCGATTTGCTCTGGCAAGTAATTTTCCTCCACAATCAGCACATCCAGAGTTTCCAAAAATTCTTCAGCTGCCTTCACATCAGCACTCGCAGACTCACTGCTCATTTTTACATGATGCAATGAATAATGATTCTTGAATTGTTTAAACCACCCAGAGCTGGCAGCAAATTCAACATTGTGATCAGGTCCAGCCTTTTCTTTCAACATCACAAACTTTTTGCTTTGGCCATAATTTTCATGGTGCTGAGAAGGATATGCTTCTGTGTCTGGTCTCCAATCCAGGTCATTACAAGTTTCTTCATATCTGATATAGCCTTGCTTAAATTTTTGTTGGTCTCATTGCCTTCAATTTGAAGCCTGAAACATTGCCTCCAAAGCAAGACAGTTCCTTCAACAGATGCCTCTAAGCAAGCAGATCCTTCAACAGCTTTTGTCTTTGTTTTTGTTCTTTAAGATTGCAGTGATACTATTTACAATAGCAAAAACATGGAATCAACCTAGACCCCCATCAACAGTAGACTAAAGAAAATACAGTACATATATGCCATGGAATATTATGCAGCCAGAAAAAAAAGAATAAAATTGTGTCTTTTGCAGCAACATGGATGCAATATCCTTATCCTAAACGAATAAACTCAAGAACAGAAAACGAAATACTGCATGTTCTCACTTATAAGTGGGAGCTAAACGTTGAGTACATAAGTACAAAAAGATGAGAAAATTAGACATTAAGAACTACAAGGAGGCAGAGTGGGAGAGGGTCAACGGTTGAAAAACTTACTATTGGGTACTATGCTCACTACTGGGTGACAGGATCATTTGTATACCATAACCCACCAACATGCAATTTACCCATTAAAATCACTTTTAATTTTGTGTCCAGGCCAGCCACTCAATGTGGTTTCTTACCAGCAATGTTAGCAGTGGATTTTGTACCCTTAGAAGCTAGGATAAGCAAAACTACATGAGACTAAATAAAGTACAGAGGGAAAATTATAACATCAAGAGACTTGGTAAACATGAGATGTATGAGGCTGCTGGCCTTGTAACATGGCATGCTGTTTTACAGTAAACTTTTTGTTTATAAGTAGAAGAAGTACCCTCTAAAATAATGATTAAAACTATAGTATAGTAAATATATAAACCAGTAATATAGTCATTTATTATCATTATCAGGTATTATGTACTGTACATAACTGTATGTGCTAGATTTTTATGTGATTGGCAACATAATAGGTTTGTTTACACCAGCATTACCACAAACAAGTGAGTAATGCATTGTGCTGTGACATTAGGACAGCTATGATGTCACTAGGCTACAGAAATTTTTCAGCTCCATCGTAATCATGTTGGACCACCATCAGACATGTGGTCCATCGTTGACTAAAACATCATTATGAAGCACATGACTATATATTATAACTGGGTATGAAAGGCAAAGCACATATATGAATAAGTCTAATAAAAGAAAAATATCAGAAGGTATTAAGTAATATGAAGATTGTTAAATCAGGGAATGTTAGCGCGTGTCTTTAGAGTTGCTGTGATTGGGTGATATCAGTGAAGGTCTATTTCAGGAGGTGAATTTAAGCAGCAATCTGAATATGGAGAAACAGTCAGGCAACCATGGATCAGAGAGCATTCTGAGCACAGTGATCATCTTGAGCAAAGGCTCTAAAAACTATGAGGATTTTCTCAGTTTACTTTGTAGAGAAATGTTAGTCCTAGTTCAGGAGAGAGACAAGGCATTAGGCTATTGGAAATAGGTAGACTTCCTGCCTGTCATTGGATAAACAAAACGAGCATTATGTGGACTAAATGATTTTTTTCTTTTTTTTTTTTTTTTTTTGAGGTGGAGTCTTGCTCTGTCGCCCAGGCTTGGGTGCAGTCGTGTGATCTCGGCTCACTGCAACCTCCACCTCCCAGTTTCAAGCAATTCTCCTGCCGGACTACAGGCGCCCACCACCAGGCCCAGCTAATTTTTGTATTTTTAGTAGAGATGGGGTTTCACCATGTTGGCCAGGACGGTCTTGTTCTCCTGACCTCATGATCTGCCCGCATCGGCCTCCCAAAGTGCTAGGATTACAGGCATGAATGATTTCATATTGTACTGTGGTGTTTCACTTCCAAGTTGTTTACTTCTGGATCATGAATTTTTGAGTTTAGGAAGACTCTTCTTCATGGGCCTCCCAAAGTGCTAGGATTACAGGCATGAATGATTTCATATTGTACTGTGGTGTTTCACTTCCAAGTTGTTTACTTCTGGATCATGAATTTTTGAGTTTAGGAAGACTCCTCTCCTGGTTCCTGAGACCATACTAAAGGCTTTGACAAATATTTCATTCCTCTTCCTAATGGTAACATTTTGAGTTCTCAAATGTAGTGGATTGTACCTTCTTCTCACTTCTTAAGGCTGCCAGCCACCTATTTCTTCAGGAAATCTCCCTTGACACAAATGGATATGAGGTATAATTTCTCCCAAGAATAAATGTTAACATTAAACAACATGTCATGTCTATATACAAAAAAACTAGCTGCATGTAAATATTTTCAACAGGTGTGCTCTGGCGCCCCCAATTAGGATGAAAACTTTTGAAAGTCAGGGATCAGAAATTGTCATGCTTTAGAACCACACGTGAGAGACTTAGTACCATAACTCTCATGCCGGGTGTTGGTAAATTGTTTTAAAAAGAGCAATCAAATAGTAATCCTAGTTACTAACAAACATTTATTGAGATCATACTATATATGTTTCTAAGCACTTTATCATTTAATCCTCCTCATTATCCTTTAAGGTAGGTACTATTTTTATGATTTTTATTTATTGATAAAGAAACGGAGGCACAAAGTGATAAAGCAATTTGTCCAAAGTCATACTGCTGGCAAATGGTGAGTGCAACATTCAAACCTGGGCTTTCTGCCTCCAGTTCTATATACCTAGCCACTAATCTAAAGGCATTGTGTTTCCCAGTGCTACCTAGTAGAACCTTCTGTGAGATGAAAATGTTCTATATTTATGCTGTCCAATATGGTAGCCACTAGCCACATGTAGTTAATAAGTCCCAAAATATACCTAGTGAAGTCTGGAAAGTAAATCTGTAATGTAATTCAATTGTAATTAATTAAATTTCACATTTTATATAGCCACATGTGACGAGTAGATACATTATTGGCAGCACAGGAGACCTTTACCTCTAACCCTCACAACAGCCCTCACAACAGCAAGGTAAATATTATATCCACTTTCCAGATGAGAGAACTGAGACTTGGAGATGGGCAATTACTGCTTAATCGATAGGTGTTAATTGCTGGACTAATACTTAAGTGTGCCTAACTGTACAAAAAAGCTCTTGCCTGTAAAGCAAGCTGCCTTACAAACGTGGACTTTGTTGAATAAATGAGTGGGCTCTGAAGTCAGACACACCTGTGTTCAAGACTTGACTCAGGCACTTACTAGCTGTATCAGTCTGTTCAGGCTGCCATAACAAAATACCTAGAATTAAGTAATTTATAAACAATAGGAATTTATTTATTGCTCACAATTCTGAAGGCTGGGAAGTCTAAGATCAAGGTGCCAGAAGATTCCATGTCTGAAGAGGGCTTGCTTTCGGCTTCAGAATGGTCTCTTGTGTCCTCACATGGCAGTAGGGAAGAAGAGCCGAAAGGGACTGACAGACTTCCTCAAGCCCTTTTACAAAGGCACTAACGCCATTCATGAGACTGCAGCCCTCATGATCTAATCGCTTCCCAAAGTCCTCACCTTTTAAAGCAATTGCACTGGGGATTAAGTTTCAACTCGAATATTGGAGGGACTCAAACATTCAAACCACAGCACTAGCCTTGGGATCTCGGGCAAGTCTCTAATTTCTTTCATCAGTCGGGATGTGTTTGGCTGCAAAGGACAGACTAACCAACCCAAAGCAGCTGAAATAACAGACTAACCAACCCAAAGCAACAAAGAGAGTTTATCTTCCTCATGCAACAGGAAGCCCCCAGGTTAAGTGGGCTCAGTGGTGGCAAGGGGCTCAGGCAGCCTCCCTACATTCTTGAGGCCTTTTTCTCAGGGCTGCAAGTGCACTGCTGTGATCCTAATGTCTCAGATTCACACTGCAAGGCCCCAAAACAGGAAAGGGAGTAGTGGCATCTCCTGAGGATTGTTCTTTTAAGAAGGAAAATCTTCCTGAAATCTTCCACTTTTAAGTCACATACCAACCTGTGACATTGTGATATAATAAGAAATATGTACTTGGTCTTTGTCCCCAGTTCCAGGCATAGAGCTCCTAAAACTCTTGGCATTTCCCTAGTGATCAGGGTGAGGGGACTGTTTCTGTTATTCATAGTAAGCCTCTTTCAACCATACCCGAGTTTATGTTCATGAGGCGACTGGTGGCTGGAAGCCCCTAGGTCACTTTGGGATGGGGACTGGTTGCTAGAGGAAACAACCATGTGATTAACCTCTGGGGAGGGGAGGAGGCTGGGGATTAAGCCAATCACTAATGGCCAATGATTTAATCAATCATGCCTATTTAATGGAACCTCCATAAAAATCCTAAACAAAGGGGTTTGGAGAGTTTCCGAGTTGGCGAATGCACCCACGTGCTGGGAGGGTGGCTCACTCCAACTTCACAGGGCAAAAAAAAGCTCCTGCGCTTGGGACCTTTCCAGACTTTCCACTAAAACCTCCTCATCTGGCTGTTCATTTGTGTCTTTTATAATGAACTGGTAATAGTAAGTGAAGTGTTTCCCTGATCTCTGTGAGCCGTTATAGTAAATTATAAACCTGAGGAGGCAGTCCTGAGAATGCCCCATTTGTATCTAAGTCAGACTGAAGTGGGGAACATGGAGACACATTACCAGTGATTGGCATCTGAAGTGGGGCAGTCTGGGGGCACTGACTTCTTAAGCAGTTTGGTTTGCACTAACTCCAGGTATTTAGTGTCAAAACTGAAATAAATTGTTGAACGCCCAGCTGATATCTGGAGAGTTGGAGAACTGGTTGTTGGGATGAGGAAAAACCTCACACCTTTTTTGTCAGAAAAGTTCTTGGGTAGAAACAAATCATTGGAGTAATAGTACTACCTTTTTGACAATGACTGGAAATGGGAATGGCATAGTTAGGATTCACTTGGGCCCATAATTCCCCCCTCAGTCTGGGTGCGCTGCTGTCCCATTTCTGAGATAAATTAGGTTTCTGTTAGCAGCGATGAATGTGGCTGTGAGAGGCAAACAATGTTGTTTGCCCCAACTCTTCAAGTTTCAGTGTCCTCATCTGTAAAATGGGAAAGTAATAATAATATCTCTCTATAAGCTGTAGGTGTTCAATGAAATTGTACCTGTAAATTTCTGAGCATAATGAGAGGCACGTAACACAATACTTAATGCATTTTAAAATGATGTAATCATTAAAAAGACAAAAATTGAAGAACATTTCCAGATTTCTTTCCATGTTTTCCTAAAGCACTGATGTCTAGAAAAAGATTAATGAAGTCTCTGGGGAATTTAAAAATAGCTGAGAGTTTCTATCTAGGATTCAGATGTCCCTTGCTTAAAATATAAATAAAATATTCTTTTTAAAGACAAGTTACAAGTTTTACATTCTGCAGACAATCCAAGTTCACTTCTGGCTTCCTGTTCTCCCTCTCGTTACTCCTCTTGCTGAGGGCCGATCACTCTTCACAATGTCTTTCCAAATATTTCTCATTTCAAGTCCCCAGATATCATCCCATCTTTTTAATTAATCTTCCTACAACCAATCTGGCTCATTGGAATTCTTCTCCACTTTAGTGCTATTTAAAATATTTAAGATATAGTGACAAAGGAAGCTAAAAATACAGCACTTGAAACAAGACAGAATTTTTTTTGTCTCTGTAAAGTTTAGAGGTGGGCACTCCAAGCCTCATAAGGAGGTTTTACCATCCTCAACACATGGCTTCTATCTCTGGGTCCAAATTGGCTGCTCTAACACTCACCATCACCCAGCGGTGGGAAGAGGAACAAGGACAGGAGGAGTATACACCCAGACTTTAAGGGTATTATGTGGATAGAACACACATCACTTCTGGTCACATTGCATTGGTCATTCACATCAAATTGATCACATGGCCACACCTAGATGCAAGGGAGGGTAGGAAGTATAGGCTTTAGCTGGGTGACTACTTGTCCAGCAAAAACTTTGGAAGGAGAGAATAGATATCAGGGAATAGTAAACAGATACCTAAGAGTGTGCCACATCTAGGCTGAGAGCTGGTCATATGGGATTAATTTTTGATCTCGTTATAGTGTTCCAATTAAGGTTGAAAACGGCTCATTGTTCACTTGGGTATATAGAAGGGAGAACAGTGAAATGGACAATTCAGCTCCATTCCCAATATACACACATGACTTTCTAACGTATATGTGCATGGCTAACTTGTGACCTAGTGATGCTGTAGGCTTTGTGAGCACAGGGACCACGGCATAGACTTTTGTATACCCGTTAAAACACCTAGTATATATTAGCATGCAGACCTCAGTCAATAACGTTGAGGAGGGAGCATCTCCCTTTATTGTTCATCCCTCCTTATTAACAACTCCTTGAGGGAGAAAGAGCTGATCTTCTCTGGGCCTGTTTTCCTTAGTGGACAGGCTCATTTTATAAACAGTGTTGAATATCCATGTGTAATTTCTCTGTTGCTCTTCTCTGCATCTGGTCAGGCTGAATTATTCTTCAATTTGGTCATCTTTCTTTCAGGGGAAGACATAAGGCAACACTTACAACTTCCAGTTCATATCCCATGATCTCTTACAGTTTTTTTCCAGAGCTCTGCACTGAATGTAAGCAAGCATTTGTTGAATACTAATTTTAAAACAGCATTTTTCCCCATCTATGTATTGTTTCTTATGTGCTTGGGGCCCTTGGATGTAGAATCTGGAGAGAAAGAGAGGTAAGTGGTAGAATGCCAAAGCCCACCCTGATCCTCAAACAAGCAGATGTTGAATTGAAAACGGCTTCATCTTGAAGTGCCTTTTTGTAACTGTATTTGGTGAAACACAGATTTCGTTTTACTTCTCTCAATTTGTATACCTAGGCTGGGCCACATAGTGAGACCCCATCTCTACCAAAAAATAATAAATAAATAAATAAATAAATAAATAAATAAATAAAGAGCCACTAGTGGTGGTATGTACCTGTAGTTTTAGCTACTTGTAAGACTGAGCGGGGAGGAGTGCTTGAGCCCAGGAATTTGAGGCTGCAGTGAGCTGTGATTGTGCATCTGTACTCCAGCCTGGGTGATACAGATCCTGGAAAAAAAAAAAAGTATACCTGCTCGTTTTTCGTGAGAAATTCTCTGTTAACATGCAACAGCCTAGTTTTACAAATATGTTTTAGTTTTTACTCATATAACGATCACTCTTAACAATTCAGCTAAGTTCAACCTAACCCAGTGACTATCAGTTTAATTAAACTAAACCTCTTACTTGCTTATCCTGCTTCAGTCTCTGGGCTGGTATCTGGGGACACCCAGACAAATTAGCCAAAACCCTGCGTTCACATTCCAGCAGGGAAGAGGAACAAACAGGTAAGTGTTACAATGGTGATGTGCCACAGAATAGACAGGAGGAAGCATGAAAATGCCTACAAGCTCAAAAGTTGTTCCGTTCTCAGTCCTTTCTCTTTTGTTGCCATCTCTGCACTCCAGTTCTGATGTGTTTCATTCTGGGGGCAGGGAGTCAGGCTGGACTGCTTATAGGTAAGTAACTCCAATCTTTTCGTATCATATTTCCAAAAGCCAATATACTGTTGAGATTCAAATAGGCCAATTGTGCTTTTAAATATAAATCAAGTTATAGAACTATTAAAAGCATGTACTATATGGCTTATAATATATCACTTACTGGCTTCTGCCAACATGGAGAACCAATGTGGAGACTAGAGAGAAAAAGTCTAGTTACAAAATCATATTTACTTGGGAACCCAGTCCCAAAAAAGGAATTTCCCCAGAGCTTTTAACAGTATGATGCGTTATTGATTTTAGTATCCTAGGGGCCTTTCTAGGGCCTGCCTCACAGGGCTCAACTAATGTTTATTAGTCAATAGATGGACTGACTAACTTTTTCTCCATTTTCATAAATGCTTAATGAAAAGAGAAACACAGTGTATAAAGAACATGGGCCTAAGTAACACAGGTATAGCCTTTTGTAAATTTTAATATTTACCTATCAAAATCAACGTCAGCATTTACTTTTTGTTATTTCTAGAAATAGAAAAAAAATTATCCATAACGCTTTGATTTTTGTGATGAAAGCAAAAAATATTAAAAGTTTAGTTTGCTTGGGTATTTTCCCCCTCCAAAGGCCACACTAACTTACCATCTTGACAGCTCTTTGAAGACAGACGTGTCACTTTGCCAAACAAAATGGGTACATCATTCACATCTTAACCTTGTTTTTGACAGCACAGCTTTCTATCAACAAAGAGGTCTATCTGTTTCTCCAAGAACACAGAGACTAGTCGTATATTTGGTTTCCTGTAATGTCAGTATATTCACTTTGTATATGCTATGCAAACTCTATTCTTTAATATATTAATTATTTAATATATACTCTTTATTAATTTCATGTAAAATATAGGGAAGCCTATAACAGATGTGAAGAAATGCTAAGAAATAGAACAGTAAAGATACAATTGAAAGACACTTTGTACCCTTCTCTGTTGTTCTACCTCTCCCTGCATCCCCAAATATAACAAAACACTAAGCTCAAGTGGGTACCTGTCCTTCTTGATCATGTTTTAATGATGTTAGTACAATTGTATGGATTCAGAGAATTATGTTTTAAAATAAAAATTTAGGCTGAGCGCAGTGGCTCATGCCTGTAATCCCAGCATTTTGGGAGGCCGAGGCAGGTGGATCACCTTAGGTCAGGAGTTCAAGACCTGCCTGGCCAACATGGTGAAACCCTGTTTCTACTAAAAATACAAAAATTACATGGGTGTGGTGGTGCAGGCCTGTAATCCCAGCTACTCAGGAGGCTGAGGCAGGAGAATTGCTTGAACCCAGGAGGTGGAGGCTGTAGTGAGTTGAGATCATGCCACTGCATCCCAGCCTGGGCAACAGAGCGAGACTCTGTCTCAAAAAAATTAAAAATTAAAAAATTACAATAAAAAATAAAAAATAAATAAATTTAACACAATAATATCCTCCTTTAGCAGTCTGAAATTTGCTTTTATTTTCCTACTGTAGTATGTTCTCAAGATATATTCACCTTCTTTTTTTCTTTTTCTTTCTTTAGAGATGAGATCTCACTATATTTCTCAGGCTGGAGTGCAGTTGCTATTCACATGTGTGATCATAGTGTCCTACTGCCTTGAACTCCTGAGTTCAAGAGATACTTTTGCCTCAGCATCCCCAGTAGCTGTGGCTACAGGGTCACCCCACTGTGTCAAGCTAAGATTTTAAAAGGGCAGATCTACTTCTTCATTTCAACTACTCTGTAGTATTGCATGGTATTAAAATATAAATTTATTGATTTTTCAAGTTTATGGATATTTAGATTATCTATAAAATTTCTTTTCACAATCACTGGCTATATTGCAATGAATAACTTCGTATACAGTTTCTCATGCACATGCATGAGGTTTTCCCTAGTGCATACAATGGGAAGTGGCCTTGTAGATCCTACTATGTCTTCTGCTTCACTACATGCTGCAAAATTGGTCTCCAATGGGTTGTACATTTATAGTCCTCCTGTTCATCTAAAATAATTCCAGTTTCCCCACATCTTTGCCATAACTTGATATTGTCTTATTTAAAATTTTTTGCTAATGTGTCTGACTGTTTTAATTTGTATGTTCATTAATTATTAGTTAACTTGTCAACAGTAAAAACCTAAGAAATACAATAAAGAAATATTTCTGGCTGGGCGTGGTGGCTCACACTTGTAATCCCAGCATTTTGGGAGGCCGAGAAGGGTGGATCACCTGAGGTCAGGAGTTCAAGACCAGCCTGGCTGACATGGTAAAACCCTGTCTCCTTTAAAAAAAACAAAAATTAGCTGGGCATGGTGGCGTCCGCCTGTAATCCCAGCTACTCGGGAGGCTGAGACAGGAAAATTGCTTGAACCCAGGGGGTGGAGGTTGCAGTGAGCCAAGATCACACCACTGCACTCCAGCCTGGGCAACAGAGTGAGACTCTGTCTCAAATAAAGGAAAAAAAAAAGAAATATTTCCTAGAGGTATGAATATGAAGTTAGGTTTAAAGTCACTGGACATATATGCTCATAATAAGTTGATTTCATAACAGTCGATGACATGTATTCTTAATTTGTAGAGATTTACATTGTTTTTTAGTTCAAATGTTTTGAATTACAAACCAAGGAAACTTCACCTTCTCAATTTTGAATGTTGTACTTTCCAAAAAATAGACATTTATATTCTTGGCTGACACCTGGGAGGCTAGCACTCTTACAGTTGTTTATGAATCTGTAGCCCTGCTAAGGATAATCAAAAAAACAAGAGAATGGAATTCTAACACAATTGATTTAATTCTGGAATCAATATTTCTTGTATTTGTTCTCCTTAAAACCTTAAGTCCACTTTACCAGAATATATTACCTTCAGATTTCTCCACGCAAAGCAGTCACGCACTTAGTTAAGTAGACAAGAGTGCTACTGCCTGTTTGTGGGAACATTTCTCTGGTGTATTACTAATCAGTCAGAAGGAGAACCAAAGTAGTTCTTATGTAGTAATAGTGCACCAAATGTGAAGTTTATTTCTTTTTAACAGCTCCTGTCTGTCTGGAGATGGGCCATCCACGGATATAGTCTGGTTTCTGTAAGGTCTCCCTCATGAGGTCAAGCCTAATAATAGGCCCAGTCACTCTAGAGAAACAGCAAGATGAGCCCCTTAATGGAGAAACCAAAACTCCGTAAGTATCAACTGAAACTTTATTTTGTCTGTGCCATAAGAGGTTCTGTGACAGTTAGGCCTGATGATAAAGGGTCATGACAAGATTTTCTAAGGGGACATGTCTTAATGCGATGGACACCTCTGATAAGATAATTAGAGTCATGTAGGAACAGGGAAGACATGAACTCTTCCAGAAACAAACAATGACAATGGCTATGTCTATGTGACATCATTAATAAGAATACAAAGGAATGGTATAATCCTAGGCTTACCTTAATGGATCCACTAGAAAAATTGCTGCCATCTGTCAATTTCTGAGCAGGGAAAACTATAGCTACAGTCAGAGAAATACCTTAGGACAGGGGCTCCTAAGCCTTTTCGAATATCAGGTTTCCTGAGGAGCTTCAAAATAAATAAGGTATTTTAAAAAATACACTATGGTGGGCCGAATTATAGACCCTCAAGTTAGTACATGCTAATCCCTGTGAGTATTGTACCTTAGAGTCTTTGCAGATGTGATTAAGTTAAGGATTTTGAGAAGAGAGATTATCCCGTATTATCTGACAGATCCAGTGTAATCTAATCACAAGGGTCCTTCTAAGAGCACGGCAGGAGTGTGAGAGTCAGAGCAGAGGACTAGAAGATGGAAGCAGAGGTCCCAGTGATGTGGGATCTGGAGCTGAAGAATGGACAGCTTCTAGAAGCTGGAAATGGCAAGGAAACAGATTCTCCCCAGAGCCTCGAGAAGGAACACAATCCTGACTATTCATTTTTTTAAAAAAAACTGCTGGGTGCAGTGGCTCCCTACTGTAATCCCAGCACTTTGGGAGGCCAAGAAGGGTGTATTACTTGAGGTCAGAAGTTCAAGACCATCCTGGCCAACATGGTGAAACCCCGTCTCTATTAAAAATCCAAAAATCAGCCGGTCATGGTGGTGTACACCTGTAATCCCAGCTACTTGGGAGTCTGAGGCAGGAGAATTGCTTGAACCCGGGAGGTGGAGGTTGCAGTGAGCCGAGATTGCGCCTTTGCACTCTAGCCTGGGCGACATGGGTGAAACTCCGTCTCAAAAAAAAAAAAAAAATTTATTGTGTATATTTGAGTCTTACATGATGTTACAGGAAACATATAGATAGTAAAATGGTTACTATAGTGAAGCAAATTAACATATCTATCATTTTACATAGTGACATTTTTATACAGGAGTAGCTAAAATCTACTTATTTAACCTGCTTACTCATTTTATTGTAAAATATTAAATTTGTGTTGCTTTAAGCCACTAAGTTTATGGTGATTTATTACAGAAGCACTAGGAAACTAATACAACATTTTTATTTTTATTTTTGAGACTGTATCTGGCTCTGTCACCCAGGCTGGAGTGCAGTGGTACAATCATAGCTTACTGCAGCCTCAACCTCCCAGGCTCAAGCGATTCTCCCACTTCAGCCTCCCAAGTAGCTGGGATTACAGGCACGTGCCACCATGCCCAGCTAATTTTTCTATTTTTCTGTAGAGACAGGGGTCTCACTATGTTGCCCAGGCTGGTCTCAAACTCCTGGGCTTAAGTAATCCTCCCACCTTGACCTCTCAAAGTGCTAGGGTTACAGGCATGAGCCACCACATCCAGCCTAACATTTTTATTATATTTCATTTCACAAATCATGAAAGTAACAAGTGTTTATTGCTACAATGAGATAAAGCAAAGATACATTTTTAAAAATCCCTCACATTAAAAAAAAAAATTCCTCACCTTCTCCATTTGGTAACTCCCCAAACTCCATCTCCAAAAAAAAAGAAACGATATTAACAATCTGGTGTTTATCCTTTCACATCATTTTCTTATGTCTGAACGGCTATATACATACCAATATACAAAGACTTATAGAAGGGTTTTGCAGAATCTTTTTGTTTTGTTTTTTTACAAAATAGTCTAACGGCTACACATTTTTTTCTTACGTAATACGTCATAGGCATTCCAGACCAATTTATATAGACCCAATTTATTCCTTTTAGTAGCTGCTTAATACTCAATAGAATGTCTATTTTGCAGTTTTCTCCAACCATTTCACTATTAACGAGTTTCCAGCTTTTCATTACTGTAAACAGTGCTTCTGTCAACATCCTAGTATATATAAATGAACCACTGGTGATTAATTTCTATAGGATCCATGTTAAAAAAAAAAAAAGGGATTTCTGTGTCCAGAGGAAAGTGTGTGTTTTAGCAGATGCCGCCATATTTCTTTCTATAGCAATGACAGTAGTGACGAAACTTTCCCCTGAGAATCTCTGAAAGCACAGCTTTCCAGAGTCCTGGCCATATATGGGTGTTTTACTTTTTAAAATCTTTGCTGAGTCTCATGGATATAAAATGTTCTTTTGTTCTAGTTAATTAATCTTAGTTAATTTGAATGTTCCTGACTGCTCAAGAGATGATCTTTTCCTATGTTGGTTGACCATTCCTCTTTTGTTAAATCTTTATTCATATCTTGTGATCTTTTTCATATGGCATTGTTTATTGTTATTCATTTCTAGGTGCTAAAAAATACATTGTGGCTGAGTGCAGTGGCTCACGCCTGTAATCCCAACACTTTGGGAGGCCGAGGAGGATGGATCACGAGGTCAGGAGTTCAAGACCAGCCTGACCAATATGGTGAATCCCCGTCCCTACTAAAAATACAAAAAAAATAGCCAGGCGTGGTGGCGCACACCTGTAATTCCAGCTACTCAGGAAGCTGAGACAGGAGAATTGCTTGAATGTGGGAGGCGGAGGTTGCAGTGATCTGAGATCCCACCACTGCACTCCGGCCTGGGTGACAGAGTGAGACTCCATCTCAAACAAACAAACAAACCAACCATTGCTATAGTTTGAATGTGTCCCCCCAAATTCATTTCTAAGAAACTTAATAATCCTCAGTGCAACAGTACTTTTAGGTAAGAACTTCAAGGGGTGATTAGGTTATAGGAGCACCACCCTTATGAATGGATTAAGGGTGTTATATGGAGAGTGGGTAAGTTGCAACCCATTTTTCCTCTTTTCCTCTCTCTCTCTTTCTAGGCTTCCTCACCAAGTAATGCCTTCTGTTTTGACACAAGAACACCTTCACCAGATGCATCTTCTCGATCTTGGACATCCCAGTTTCCAGAATTGTGAGCCAAATACATTTATTTTCTTTATAAATTACTTGGTCTATGGTATTCTCTTTTGGCAGCAGAAAATGGACTAAGACATACATATTTCTGGAGCTCTTTCCTAGAAATCTGATTCAATAGGTCTGGCTTAAGGTTTCAGGAATTGATGTTGAGGCTTTCTCAATGATTCTGATACATGCTTTGCACTAGTGGAAGGGCACTTGGAAATTTAAGGTCCAGGTTTGGCAGGGAGGGAGGAAATGAGGGTCTGGAATTAGCTACATACATGGACAAGTTCTTCCAAATAACTTGCCTAAAAATCTGAAGGAGGTTGCAATACTGGCATCTACCTTCTAACTACTACATTCTCGGTATATTCTACAACTGATACCTTTACAGCAAGTTTATATTTGATAACACATCTGTGTACATGTAAGGGTGGGTACCTGTCTTTAGCAAGCTGGATCTTTGGAAACAAAAAACAAATAAACATGGAGGAATTTCCTAAGCATTCAAAGATGACCCAAAATAATTTCCACTGTTGCTATTTTCAATTATTGCTACTCATTGTAGGATGATCAACCACACTGGTTTTCCTGAGACTGTCCCAGTTTTAGCACACAAAAAATGCCATGACCCAGGATGTCCCACTATTTGTAGGCAAGCCACTCAAGTTTTTCTGTGCAGACCCAGTACTGGTAGTTCTAGCTCCCCAGTTAACTGCTTTTTAGTTTATAGCAGTTCACTTTAGGTATTGAGGCCTGTAAATTAGATAAACTACACTACTAACGTGTTCTCTCCCTGAGAATAGGAGATTGCACCAATGGCCACAAATCATTCCCCGCTGTCTATCCACACCCTTTTGAAATGTGATTTGCAGCAATTTCTATCAATAAATAGACTCTACTTCCCATACTAATTCTGGGCTTTGCCAGAGAATTTGCTTTGGCCAATGGGACAATAGCAAAGGTAACTCAAGAAGAGGCTTTTGGGCATCTTTCTGCTATTATGTGAATTATGGGCAGCCATGCCAACCCACAGAATCATGACAAATAATAACTGTTTGAAGTTTTTGTTTGTTTGAGACAGAGTCTCACTCTGTCACCCAGGCTGAAGTGCAGTGATATAATCATGGCTCACTGCAGCCTTGAACTCCTGGGCTCAAGTGATCCTCCTGCCTCGGCCTCCCAAAGCACTAGGATTGCAGGCATGAGCCACTGCACCTGGCCCTGTTCGTAGTTTTAAGCCACTAAGTTTTGAGATGACTTGTTATAAAATGAAAAGTAACTGATTGATTCATTGAAGTCTTTGACAACTACTCAGGTGCCAAAGGAACTGGATTTTTCTGTCTGGGTCTGAATTTCTTAATTCATAGAATGGTATGATTTGTATATTATAGAATGATATATAAATAAAATCCATATAAAGCTGAAGCACCCTCTAATGCAATTTAAATAAGGAGTCACATTCAAAGATATAATGGTAAAGCAAACAAATAAGCAAACAAATAAATAGATAAAATTAAAATCAACTAAAATATTTTATGAAATTTATGGAGAAAATGTCAAAGGGGAATTACATTAGTGTGCACTATAAAACTTTTTCAAATCCTCTAGCCTGTTTTTGTCTCTTAATGTCTCCCATATATGCCACCTGCCCTGACATCTCTCTTCTTTATTCTAAGATCTCCATAATTTTTTTCACCCTATGCCCATGCCCATAACTGTTTGAATTTATTTATTTCCCCGCTTCTTTCTAGAGTAACTCCCTGCCTTTTCTAATATAAATTATCAAGCAGGCAAGTACACCC
Source organism: Homo sapiens (assembly GCF_000001405.40). Classification (NCBI taxonomy): domain Eukaryota; kingdom Metazoa; phylum Chordata; class Mammalia; order Primates; family Hominidae; genus Homo; species Homo sapiens. The sequence goes on along the minus strand of NC_000007.14, from coordinate 21,264,892 downwards.
CTATACTTTTCAACTTGCCCATTTCCCTGAAACGAGTATCAGTTGGCATCAGAAACACAGTTGGAAAGATAGAATAATACTTTTAGAAGTGTGTGTGGGGAAGTGAGGGGTGGAACTATGAGCTATGAGAAGTCTGTGAATAGTCACATAAATATATAAAGACACCAGTAAAAATATGCTTCAGTTTAAACAAAGTGGCTGAGATGTTATGGCAAATTGGTTTTAAAACTTTCCGAAAAAAATAGTAATATAGAACTAAGGCCAGGTGTGGTGGCTCATACTTGTAATCCCAGCACTTTGGGAGGCTGAGGCAGGCAGATCAATTGAGGCCAGGAGTTTGAGACCAGCTTGGGAAACACATGGTGAAACTCCATCTCTACAAAATACAGAAATTAGCCAGGAATGGTGGTATGTGCCTGTAGTCCCAGCTGTTTGGGAGGCTGAGGAGGGAGGATAGCTTGTACCCAGGAAGTTGAGGCTGCAGTTTGTGGAGTTTGTGCCTCTGTACTCCAGCTTGGGTGACAGAGTGAGACCCCTGTCTCAGAAAACAAAAAACAAAAAACAAAAACAACTAAAATTCCAGGTGATCTCAGCTAAATATAGGAATTACTGGTAGTTGTAGAATGGGGTGGGAGAGTAGGTTATGACATAAGTCTTGATATCGATAGAGAAACACATTTACATTGTTTTGTTTAAAATCTAAGGAAAAATACTAGAGTAGCAGATGAATAAATATAACTTCTTAGCTAACAGAATGGGAAAAATCTAAGATAATTCAATTAATCCAGTTAGAGACAGAAAATACTTCAACTGGAATAACTTTAAGCTCATCAATCAATTTTTTTTTTTTTTTTGAGACAAAGTCTCACTCTGTCACCCAGACTGGAGTGCATTGGCATGATCTCCTCTCACTGCAACCTCTGCCTCCCCGGTTCAAGCAATTATCCTGCCTCAGCCTCCTGAGTAGCTGGGACTACAGGCGTGTGCCACCACACCCGGCTAATTTTTGTATTTTTAGTAGAGATGGGGTTTCACCATGTTGGCCAGGCTGGTCTTGAACTCTAGACCTCAGGTGATCCACCCGCCTCGGCCTCCCAAGGTGCTGGGATTACAGGCGTGAGCCACCATGCCCAGCTGGTCATCAATCAATTTGGGATGAATTATCTTCATATTATTTGGGCTTTTATGGAGACAAATTTTTTAAATCTTCAGAGAAATACTTTGTAATTTATTTATTATGATTTATGCACATTTTTTTAGCATTTATTCCAGGTGTGTTTTTACACATTGCTATGATTATAAGCATAATTAATCTTAGCTTTTGTATTTTTAACATTTTTATACTTATTTAAAATAGTGGTTGACTGTGCAGATTCATCTATCACTTTTAGTGAAATTCTTAATGATTATGAGAGATTTTTATGGGCTTTCTAAGTATATAATTTTGTTCATGAAAAATAATGATAATTCCCCTCCTTCCAATGTTTATTCCTCTTATTTCTAATCTTATTTTGAGAACTAGCCAGAATATTCTGAAAACTGTTATTTAATATTTATGATGGGACAATCTTTTCTTTATCTTTTTGAATTTTAATGGAAACGCCTTTGGTGTTTCACCATCAGACATGATGTTGGCTCTTGGCTAAAGAGAGATATACTTATTAAGAAATTAGCCCTTTTTGGCCAAAATTTTAAAGAATTTTAAAATATTAGTCAACATTGAGTGTAGAATTTTAAGCTACTCTTTAAAGCAACCAAAATAGGTTTGAAATATATTTTAATATAACTTGAATGTGTCCAATTAAATTAAAACCCTTTTATAAGTAGTACACAGTTTAATTTTCTATAACACGTAGAAAATTTATAATAAACTGCAATGTGCAGGTACTACAGGAAGTTTTCGCTCCACTCTTTTATTTAAGCTTAAGTAATAACTCAAATTCATGCTTTTTAATATTATGCTTATTCGATTAGTTTTGAATTTCTGTCACAATTTTTTTCCCTGTATGTTACAATACATCACAGTTGATTAATGCAGAAAGCTCTGACAGATATTTTAGTGGGTTGATTTGTACCTCTTAATGTTTGAAATTTATATATTTGGTTGACAGCCTGGCTAAGGCAATAAAATACTGAGAAGTAAAAATACAAGCTCATTCTTAGTTAACATATGTTTTCTGTATCAGCATCATAAAATTCCACATTTGCAAATTTTGTTCATATGCTGAAGTTTTATTGGAAGTAAGAAACTGTTGTCATATGGATTTCTCTGAGTTAAAAAGTGAAACTCTAAAGACCTAGTTTTCTGCACAGCAGTATACAAATTCGGCTAAACAGTTTTCTTACAATTATGTAAAAATAACAAACTAGGCTTAGAGGGAAACAGACTGAAAGGAAATGTACCAAAATGTGTTTCCTTTCTCTCATGTCTCAGCCTAGGGGTACTATCCTCCCGGCAGTCTCTGTTGACGCTCTAACTGGATTGGGCGCCCCTCCTATGTGCTTCTGGCCCCTTCTTCCTCTGTCACACTGTGGTAGTGGTGCATGGCAGGCCATCTCCCCCAGGTACTGTCAGTTCTAGGAGTGAAGGGACTGCTTTGTGCATGTCCTCATCATCTGTCTATTGCTCAGTTAACATCTGCATGGGGAATAGATTCATGAATGAATGAATGTGTGGATGTTTGGGTGTTACACTATGGACATTCACAAAACATTAATAGCTCAAAATTTGTGTTTCTATTTTCCAAATTCCCTTTAACATACACATTTTACAATGTTTGGTTTTCACGTGAACGACAACGTCAAAGGCAAGCATCAGAATAGCAGAATATGTTGAAAAGAGACTTGTTTTTTTCTTTCTGAGATGCAATTTTTATCCCAGTACCACCAGCCATGAGGGTGGTATATTGAGTATTTCCTGCTTTCTGCTCTGGTGGGACCACACTGCCTGGCCCTCTTGTGGTGGGGTAGGATAAGGCCATGTTACTTGTTCTTACAAGAGAGATGTAGGAGGTAATAATAGCACATGTCACTTCCAGGTCAAAGTATTGCTGGTGTGAGCCCCTCCAGAGTTTACTTCCCCTTAGCCACAGTGACCAGAATATTCCAGATATTGCTGTCAGCCAGGTCTCAGCGTGAGAACCACATGAATGAGAGTTCCCTGTCAAATGGAGATGGATGTGTTCTGTGAGCGAGCAGTTAACCTTTGTAATGTAAAGTCACTGAGATCTGGGGAGTGCCTGTTACTGAATGATAAGTTAGCTTTTCCCAATTGGTACTGTGTGGCAAACTTTTCTTCCTTATGCCTTATTCAGAGATAGTCGCTGAGTTCTACAAACTAGTAAACTAAGCACAGAAAAATTAACTCTCTCTCTAAAGATGGAATACAGTATAAATGCTGAAAGATTAAAAAAGGAAGTACTTCTGCTTTGCAACCCCAGTACCAAGTTGGAATGCCTTGTAGGCTTATGTCCTGAGGCTTTCATTTTTCTTTCCCTCCGAGCCAGTTAGACCAACGATGTTACCTAATTGGTTAGTAATTAGATGCAGTTCTTGACTGTGACATTTGGGGTCTTTTGAACATTTTCTATTTAAGTCCAGTGGTTGCAATATCGGGAAAAAAAAAAAAAAAACAGAATGTGGCCAATCATATTACCTCAGGGTTTGTTTTTTTTTTTTAGCCCTAAATGTCAGTAGCTAGATTGATACATATCACTTTCTGAAGTACAGGCTGTAAAACTAGGAGTTATAAATGTCAGTTTTGATGTGTGTTTTAGTGGCTTCAAACATCCCCAGTGGAGGAAACAAGCAGGCTGTTACTATGGAAGTTCCTTGTATTACACAGGGACCTACCAGGACTGGCAGTAATTGGTAACACTTGGAAAATCTATGGGGAAAGCAGTTCCCAGATCACTGAAAAAATCCTGGGCTTAAAATCAGAAGATCTGGGTCTGAGGATCAGCTATTTCATTCTGTGTGTTACGCTACTTTATGAGCATCTTTGAGAGCTTGGGGAAATCTCTTTACCTACACCTCAGCTGCCTCATCTGTTAAATACCAGGCAAAAGGCGTTCTCATGAAAAGTGCATGAGATGATGTGGAAACTCAGAACTACCTAGACTCAACGGAATTAACTTCACTCCTAAGGTTGGGTCCATGGATCATGTACCTGACCAGGAATGATAGCAGATGTAGATGCTACAGACAGACCTCTTGGCTAAATCACGACTAGACAATCCCAAAGGGTAAATATCAAACAGGGGCCATTTTTCATTTTTGGTGTTGGTTCAGGGATCTCTCTCAAAAATAAATGGTGGCCAGACATAATGGCTGACGCCTGTAATCTCAGCATTTTGGGAGGCCAAGGTGGGAGGATTGCTTGAGCCTAGGAGTTTGAGACCAGCTTGGGCAACATAGAGAAACCTCATCTCCATGTCAAAAAAAAAAAAAAAAAAATTAGGTAGGCATGATGGCATACACCTGTAGTCTCAGCTATCTGGGAGGCTGAGGTAGGAGCATCACCTGAGCCCAGGGAGGTTGAGGCTGCAGTGAGCCATGATCTTGCCACTGCACTCCAGCCTGGGGGACAGAGTAAGACCTTGTATCAAAATAAAATAAAATAAAAGGAAAGGAAACTGTCCATCACATAAGTGGCTTACACATCGGTATATGTGGCCATGCCTCAGCCCATGTGCTCTAGTGATTTCTGCCACTCTGGGCAATAAGGGCAAATTTGCATCCACGCCTTTGGTCTTTGAGGGGGAATGGCTCACAGTCTTCCTGGTTTGGGAACCTGCAGATAATAAGGAGGCCTGCCCACCGCAGAAGCATTTGCACAGTGTGAATGCCTGGAAGCATGGTGCTAATGTTTTAGCCAATTCCTCTGGCTCTTCCTCACCATCCCATGCTTGGAGTCTCATCAGTCAGCTCTCATCTCAAATTCTGACATTCACTAAGTTGGGCCAACTAAGAGGGGTGCTTAAATTTGGAGCAGAAATCATTTTGAGGAATAAATTTGGAATTAGCATCTTGGTACTGGCTCCAATTAAACAGTCCCTGAGCACAAGTGATGGAGCATGAGTCCAGAGTATGTTTTTCAAATCTTCATAATTTAGTATTTATAGGTATTCCTAGACATTTTGTAGGAAAAAGAAGACTGACCAGCAAGGGATTATAGTTTGCTTTGCCCTCTGTTAGACTTCCTTCTCTCAGGGCTTTATTTTATTGGGTTGCAAAAAATCTGTCCCAATAAATATTTGTTTGATCTTTTAAATTTGCTTTCCAAAAATTTCCATTCAAATATAGCCAAGAAAAAGATTCATTTAGGGTTTTCTTCATATGTGTGTATCAAGATAAAGATAATATAACCTGGAATCCTCAAAGTTCTTAGACACAGAAGTCTAGCATTAAAATTTGAGTTTGTCTTTTTTTTTTTTTTTTTTTTTTTGAGACTGATTCTCGCTCTGTTGCCCAGGCTGGAGTGCAGTGGCACAATCTCAGCTCACTGCAGCCTCTGCTTCCCTGGTTCAAGCGATTCTTCTGCCTCAGCCTCCCAAGTAGCTAGGATTATAGGCCCCCACCACCACACCCAGCTAATTGTTGTATTTTTGGTAGAGACAGGGTTTCACCATGTTGGCTAGGCTGGTCTTAAACTCCTGACCTCAAGTGATCCACCCACCTTGGCCTCCCAAAGGAGTTTGTCTTTTATAGCAATGTAGGATCTGCTATTTTCTCTCCCTTTGACCTTGAGGTCCTCATTCAAGCAAGGGGGCATTTCTCTCTGACATTTATTAAGAATTTACTATTTGCCAGGTACATGCGTATCTATGCTATTTGAGACTACCAAATAGCTCTGTGAGGTAGATATTTTATCCTCATTTTACTGATAAGAAAAATGTGGCTTGGGTGGACTAAGTCATGCCTAAGGTCACTTGGTTGATACATAGCACAGTTTAGGTTTGGATTCTGGGCATGTCACTCCTGAGTTAGTTGCTGTGTCTCAGTGGCAGTGATAAGATAGGTTCAGGAGTCCTGAAAAGTGGATCTGGGTAAATTTTAGGAAAACATGGAGAGGGAGAAGGGAGTTCTAAAAAGATAATGGGATCAGCAAAGTTGAGATAGTTTGAGGTATATTTACATGTGAGAGGACACAAGCAACTAGTTTGGATACCGGAGTTGTTCTTTCTGGAAATTGCTCTTTCCAGAAACATGGAACTACGCACCAATGAAGAAGGTTGGTAAGTCCATACAGCAGAATCTAACATAGCCCTTAAAAAGCCAAGAGATTAACATGTGGGGTCTGTGTGTTGGCCACTAGTTAATCTCTTTTCTCTTCTAAAAAAATGGGGGAAATAATAGTACCTACTTCATAGGGATGTTGTGGAAATTAATGGAACAACTCATGCAAAATGCATAGAAAGGTGCCTAGCACATGGTAAGCACTCAGTAGATGTGAGCTGTTATTATCTACACATACTGACATGAAAAGATGTCCATGATATCTTTTATATCCATGTGAATAGAGGAGGCTGTGAAACAGCAGAAAGAGTGTGATTCCACTTTTGTAAGTATGTATATGTGTATAGGAAATATCTGGAAGCATACATATCTTAATGTTAGCAGTGTTAATCTCTGTGTTTATAAGATCATTCTTTTCTTTTTTAACTTTTATTTTAGGTTTGGGGGTACATGTGAAGGTTTTTTACATAGGTAAAGTCGTGTCATGGGGGTTTGCTATACAGGTTATTTCATCACTCAGGTATTAAGTGCAGTACCCAATAGTTATCTTTTCTGCTCCTCTCCTTCCTCCCCCTTTCCATTCTCAAGTAGACCCAACAACAGAGTCTTGAGTAGACTCAACAATAGTGTCTGTTGTTTCCTTCTTTGTGTTCATGAGTTCTCATCATTGAACTCCCACTTATATGTGAGAATATCTGGTATTTGATTTTCTGTTCCTGCACTAGTTTGCCAAGGATAATAGCCTCCAGCTCCATCCATGTTCCCACAAAAGACACGATCTTGTTCTTTTTTGTGGCTGCATAGTATTTCATGATGTATATGTACCACACTTTCTTTATCCAGTCTGTCCTTGGTGGGCATCTAGATTTATTCTATGTCTTTGCTAAGATCATTATTTTCTTATAAGCGTGAATAATTTTTATAATTAGGGAAACTTGGGTTCCAAAACCAATAAAACAAAAATAAATAAACAACACAAGGAAAAAAAATCTTTAGCTTCTTTGTTTCTTAATTCCAAGGCAAGTGAGAGAAGAGGAAAATGACAAGGTATAAGTCTCATTTCTGTTACCTTGACCAAGTTATTTAACATGGGTCTTATACCTCACAAGATTATTATAAGAAATCTAGCAAGTGAGTATCTGAAAGCACCTCAGCTCTCATAAATATTTCTGTTCACTCATGGCCTCTTTTGCAGACTTTAGGAGAAGGATTTTGTTTTCAGGGCTCAGAAATTTGACAACCAGAATTTTGCCAATAATAATAGTAATAACAACAATGACAAAACATTGTCCAAACCTCAATGACTCTTATTTATATTTATTTATTTATTTTTTAGATGGAGTCTTGCTCTGTCACCCAGGCAGGAGTGCAGTGGCATGATCTTGGCTCACTGCAAGCTCCACTTCCCGGGTTCATGCCATTTTCCTCCCTCAGCTTCCCGAGTAGCTGGGACTACAGGTGCCCGCCACCACGCCCGGCTATTTTTTTTTTTTTTTTTGTATCTTTAGTAGAGATGGACTCTTCTTTATTTTAAATAAAATAATACATGCAAGGATTTCAGTGTTCTTTTAATCCTCTTCTAAGTGGATGTTATTATCTCTGACTATTAAGGTGACTGGAGGCAACTTAGTGCCCAACACCCCTAGAGTTTACACAAGGAAACAAACCATGTATTCTCCAATCACCATTCATATGTTCCAGAATCTCTTCTGTGTCATTTGTATAATAATATTATTAAGCTCCATTAAAACCCACAGTAGACTCATTTTGGAATTAGTAGGAATATACAGACAGGTGAGCAAGAAAACAAAATCTCTCTTCTCTCTTTCTCTCTTAGCAGGAGCTTGTCCCAAAGTCTCCACTGATTAGAAAAAAAATTAATGCACCAAAACATCTCAAATCAAAATAAATCTTACTTTATAACCAAACATAAATATCACAATGAAAAGGTTGAGTGTGAGGGAGTACAGAAGGGCAATTGTTAGAATTGTTAGTCCTTTGGTGATTTTTTATCAAAATGGTTTGAAGCCTCAGGCTTCTCAATCTCAAGTCATAACTTCACTTTGTTCACCTCCTAGATGCAAGAAGTTATGTGATTTAAATAGATATTTTATTTAAAACTTAGCCATCATAATAAATTTATCTATTTCCAACACGTTAGACTAAAAGCTGACTGCCCTCTGGTGGGCTGTTTCTAAAATATTTAGCACCTCTTTAACTGGATTGTATCGTAAAATATTACACAGTGCCATGAGATTATTTTATAATTCAATTCATTTAAATAACAAAATTATCTAGGGAAGGGGAAAACTTTAAAAGGTTAAATATACTTTACGTTATATATACTTTATTAATGTATAAGCAAATTATACTTTGAGTTTAATTTCTAACTAAAAATTAGTTTTCCCTTTAAACAGAATTTATTTTAATTTCCAATTTCAATTAAAATGGTGGAAAAGAAAATGTTTGAGACTTCATTGCATTTTTGAAATAAAACAAAATGAAAAATTTTGAAATGAGAATATTTTGATAATTTTGTTATTTTTCAGTTGTTTATAGCAATGGGAAAAGTGTTTATCATACTTAAGTTTTGTTCCCTGTCATTGTTTAAATGTAATCTTACTGTTTGAAAAAAGCAATAGAAGTGAGATCATTATATTCCTGATCAGAAAGAAAAACAAAATGATTATACTGTTTAAGGAAAGAAAAAGCTTGAAAAATATCAGATCAAAGTGTAAGGGCTAAGCCGAGAATAAGTAGGAAAGCATATTTAGGGAGTATTGGTAAAATACTTCGGAATCCTAAAAATCCCCAGTGCAGTATCATTCCTGTCATACAACAGGATCTCATTCTCTTCTGTTTGCAATTCCTCTCTAACGCAGAGGTTTCAGTGAGCTGAAATCTCAAGCACACCAACGAACTGAAGTTCTTAGTTTTCATGTTGCTATTTGGACTGTGTATATTAACAAACTCGAGCCATCACTGGCTCCATTTTGTCAGACTGTTACCACTAATCGAGAATTCCAGCTCACATTTTAAATGATTTCCTTAGCACATATCTCATTCTTATGCCAACAAACCTTGTGAATAGTATGTGAATTCACACTTAAAAAAGTGATTTCATATAAATAAAGATTGGGTATGAAGAAGTCAAGAATTGGCAAACTACTTAAAAAAAAATCTCAGAGCCTCTGTAAGGAAAATGAAAATGAGTACCAAACAATTTATCTGGTTAATTTCATCAGTACCAGCAACAAATCTGAAAACTCCATTTAACATCCTCTTTCCTTTTCTTCTAGGTAACAGTTTCTTGGAAATGGCATAAAGATTTTTTTTGTCTTAATTCCATTTAACACTTGCAAATAAACCTTGAAAGAAAACTCTTCCTTCATAACAATAAAATTGAAGATTGCAATCAAGTCATTACAATAGGTTAATTCTGTGGCTGCAAATACTCAAATTTAAGTGAAGAAGCAGGTAGAGGAGTATTTAAATCCGTGCAGATCCCAAAATGCAACCTCTCAGGCAGAAACATTTTCAACTTGCAACAGCAACCAGAGTTTATTTCTCCAAAATAGTCAAGAAAGTCACACTTTAAAAAATGTTAACTGCAAGTATTTGTGCAAGCTAACATTTTTTCATGTTGCTTTTAAACTAATTAACATATGAAATGGCCTTAAAATGTAAAGATATCACTTCTGTGAGATTTGATTTTTTCCATTTCAAAAGAAAGCAAATAGAAACATGGAAGTGAAGAAGTGAGTGCTTAGTGAATTACTGCTTTAAAATTGTGATACAATTTACTGTTTTATGAAGGCTCACTGGAACTTAGTTTGAAAGCAGTAACAGCAAACCAGGCTATCAATTTTTCCTCACCCTGCAGAGACAACGCTGAAGCTAAAGGCTTTTCTCAGCGGTTTTGCTTTCTGTTGATTTCCCTCCTTAAACCTGAAGGAATTAGAAATCTCTGTTCAGCGGAATTCTTACAGTTTTTCATTTTTAACATTAGTTAAGTGTATAGAGCCTGAGCATGTAGCATCATTGTTCATGCTAAATGTTCTATTCGGTTGCAGAAAAATTTGAAACGAAATATTTGCTTGTGTAGGTTGAATCTATACTGCACAGAGTAAAAAAGGAGTCGTCTTACGTAGCATTTCCAGGTATGTAGAAACTGAATAACTAGCGTGTTTATGTGTGTATCTATCTAAATACATAATTCCAACAATTGTGTCTGAATTTGCAATCATCTGTACTCTCTCAATATTCATTAAATCAATATTTTTATAATTTAAAATGTGATTTTTACATCACAAATGTGTATCGGCTAACGGGCAGCTCTGCGACTTCTAGTAGGAAAGCTTCTCTCTGTATCCTCCGCTGCGCATTACTTTTTCCATCAACAGAGGGCACTCTGTCGTTTGCCAAGGAACTCTGCTACGTTAGGGGGCTGAGGGCTGGGAATGCAGCATCTGACAGAGGAGGTTTGCAGGCTTTGCTCCAATAACGGGCAGAAGCTCTGCCAACTGGTCAGTGTATAATTTATTGGAAATGCTACTGATCACTGAGACAACATACCTGAATGAAAGAGAACCCCATGATTTACAAAAGTCGGATGCAAGTGACTTTTAAGTCAGTGGTGTGTTATAATTTGAGTATCACCCAAACGGTTAGTGTTGGAAATCACCATATGCATACAATCCGAATGCATGCTCAAATACAAGCTCACCTTGTAGAGAGAGTGACAGCTTTGTTTATGTTGCCTGCCCTAGCCCTGAGTGCAGGAGTGTCTTTACCATGCTTCCTTCAGTACAACTTAAAAATATTATAGCTGTTTTATATTTGATCCAAGAAAAATGAAATAATTCCTCATATAGTAATCTATCTGGGTTGTAATTGACACGTTAGAAAGGTTCTAGGAAGCTTTTCCTCCACCACAGGTTATAGAGAAGATTTCAGGTACCAGTGCTATTAATTTTTCACCAGTCAAAGGCACTAAATTTAAACTGAAAACTTGAAAGAATGAAAAAAGATGCACTTCAAGAGAATTAGATTTTCTTGGGGTATTTGTCCAAGATCTACATTTACCGATATGTAATTTATTAGATGCTTCAACACAACGAAGTAATCATAACCAGGTAGTACGAGGACTGCATTTACGCTCTGTGGAAGGAAAGTTTTCCGAATGTCTTAAAGCCGTTGTAAAAGCAACAGTGAGAAATCCTAATAGACACCAGAATCAACATATTTGACAGAAGTGTGTGCATTATCATGGCCCATTATTTTAAATGAGAGTGTTCTATCTCAAGAACTGGAATGATACCACAAATAATAGAATAAATGGGAATGTACAAGTGAAACAGCATGACAGCAACTGCTCAGACTCAGAAGAAAAGAGCATTCTCAGACACAGAGGTGTTCTAAAAATCCTCTTATGAGAAAATGTGCTCCATTATCACAGAAGGAAAGAACTGCAAGTTTTTCTTATGTTGAATGTATGTTTGTGTAATGTTAAGGATGACGAAGCAAATATTTAACAGCTAGGATACTGCATTACGGCTAACAGTCATTCCTTTATCATTTACCCGACTAGAAGATAAGTGCCGTTTTCCTTCTTTTGCAAATATATTTGCCAGCAGCTGTTTCAACATTTATAAAGACCATTTCCACTGATTGCCAAATAACCATAAATTCATTTACGCATATTTTTGAGTTGAAGGCATAAAAATAATTACATGTCTGATTAAATCCACTTCTGCCTTCATGTCTTACTAAATCTACAATAGATATGAATTGTTACACCGTATTACATCTAAGTGCATAAATAATACAATGCAGATGTAGAGTCCAGCTTTCCTACAGCAGAATGTGCAGCAATAATTTACACAAATACAGTTGGGATGTATTATTTAAAATAATTGATTTTAGAAATTGTTATGGAATCTCCGACACATAAAAGTAGGACTTCAACTTGAAAGCTGAAGAAAATGTTCTTGTTCATTATGGCTTCACTGTCCTGAAATACATACTAAATAATTATTTTAATAAGCTTGTCAGTAGACAAGAATAACTGAACTGAAAATTCCATGTCTTAAAACGCAAACTATGGAAAAATCATATATATACTTCCAAGTTGGGTGAATTCCTGAGGTATATTAGTTGCTCCTTCCACAACTTCTCTGCCTGCCAACCTCCCTTCATCACTCCATCCACCCCCACCCACCTCCTCTGCCACTTCTAACCAAGGTAATTTAAATGATTATAGTATTTGGAGAAAGGCTTTAAGGGACTGTTGAAAGTTAAGAATCACAACGTGTAGAAACAACAGTTTGATTCCACTCTTAACTCCCTGAAATAGAGATGGAATTTTGCTTTCTTTTGATCGAAACTCAGCTTATAATAACTTTAATCACATAATATTTAACCATATTTGTTATACCACAACACTTGGTAACACTTCATTTTGAGTGTTCCAGCATTATTAATTCATGTGGTATTCATTGTAATAACACAGATCATAATGAACTCATTTGGTATTCATGGGGATGTCATAAGTACTTCCATAGGAATTCTATTGCATTTTAGCATTAATTAAACATACTCCCTAACTTTCTTAGAAAAACAGAAATATACTGTATTTCCTAAGTACTATGTCTTTCAGTGGCACATAAACTGGGCTGATTATTAAATTCTACATTAAATTATCTGTATACATCTTTATGAACATATTATCTTATATGTGAAATAGCTAACAAAGATCAGTGTCTAGATTTTTGTGGATTATGATATATATTCTTAATAATCAGCATTTCATGAATGCAGAGAGAAGTGATATTTACAATGATGTTTCTCATACAATGAAGAAAAGACCCTATGTTGATTTCCAGATTAACATTTCTTTAATTTCTTAAAGAAAGATGTATATCTTTAAGAACAAGTAAGCAACCAACACTCAGAAAATGCAAGCTATCTAACCAGAGAGAGCTTTGCATGATGGCATTTTCCCTGATCGCTGCTGCCCATGCCTCTGTGGACTTTGTTCCTCTATGTTTGTCATCGTGGAGTGCAACTTGTGTGATGTCATTGACACAGCCAGGAAAAAATACCAGTCCCTATTAGCATCCAGAGCTGGCAAAACAAAGTGACTTCTCAAAGAATAGTACAAAACCATTTTAAAGCAGATCTCCTGAAATTTACTAAGCTTCAATCACATCAAGGTTTCTGAAGTTATGACACAGGCTTTAAATGTGTTCATAAAAGTAGCTGATTCTATTCTCTTTTCTGCCAGCAGAGATCACATTTCTCAGCCCTATCTTACTCTCTCCTTATGTTAAAGAAAAATAAGACCAGATTTTTGCGTATAGAAGATCCTGTGAGGAGTTTCAGCTTCCAGCACCAGGAGGCCCCTATGTTAATGTGAGGGGTTGTTTTTGTTGTTGTATATGTGTTTGATTTTTATTTATCTTTTTGTTTTGGCTTGTCACTTGTCTGGGAACTAAAATCAGGCAGCAGCATTAGGAAGTAAACCCTTGTAGGGAACTATATTTTCCCCCTACTACTTGACTCTGCAGTTTTCATGGGGGTGCCGGGAGGCAGGGCAGGGGTGGGGGCGCATGTGGGGTGGGCTGGGGAACTGTTTATCTCTTAAAGCACCTAAATGTGTCTTAAAGTAGAAATGTCTAAATACTAGTTAAACCTCGCATTATCTCTTCACTATTTCTCATTTGTGATGTGAACAGAAAACCACAGTTTAAAGAATAACGTCTTTACCAGGGAAACGTTCAACGATGTGGTACAATTGCAAGAGTCCTAACACTTTGAGAGTTATAATTTAAAAAATATTTTAACTAACACTAGCATTGCATGATCCCAAAGCAGAAAATGAGAAGGACAAGTGTGCAGTTAATGTTTATTTTTCCAGTACATTGAAAGATAATTCAGATGTTTTCTATGAAACCCCAGGCAGTGAGAATATTCAGTTCACAATTCTAATGTTGCAGAGGAGACAGATGCATTTTTTTCTCCTATGGTTTGTAACTCCAGCTACATTTAATAGGAACTGTGCATCAAGGTGTGGGAGAAAAAGCAGACTCCTGTTCTGTAGCTTTGAGAATTACCGACTATTCAGAATCTCCCTGACACCTGGATACAGTGGGGCAGGTTAAAAATGTTGCTTCCTGTGAATTCGAGGCTTTTGCTTTTTTCAACATTCGAGGCAGGCTTCTCATATACAAAAAGTACTTCAAAGGTATGCAATGTATTTTTTTGCTTGTTTGTTTGTTTAGGTTTGCAGTTCTCTCTTGCACTGAAATAGATTTAGTAAGCCAGTGTTGATTACCTTGATGTGGCCTGTTTAATAGCGGCAGATTCTGTTTTGCCACTGGTGGCAAACAATTTAATTAGGAACACAAAATAGCTGCCTGTTTTATTTCCCCCCTGCAAGTGTCTGCTCCTTGTCTAAGAATAAGAAACTACCACTGTAAAAATCTCTTCCTTTGAGCTGTCTCTAATGAAACTTCGCGATTCCACTTGTTTCTCTAGCTTTCTCTGCAACAATTTATTCTTTCTTTCTAAACAGTCCTTTAGGTATGCGAGGCCATTTGTAAATTACATAGTGTTCATAATATCATGAAATATCATGACTGCAGTTTATGGGCAGATGAAGGGGGATGAGTTGTAACAAGCATAGATGACACAAAATACATTGGGAGAGGAGTGAGGGGACACTGGTGCCAGCACAATTATTAAACTTTGAGTGGTACTTAATGAAGACACTAAATTAAGTGACCTTACCAATGGAGAGAGATAGCAAATGGGATTCTTAGGGAATTATCTTCCATTATCTTACAAAGAAATGAGGGGACACATTATCACAGACCAAGATGAAGAAAGTACGGATGAGCTGAATATTAGCAAATAAAGCAGTTTTGCTGAAAAAACAATGATCCCTTTAGAGTTGTCCTGAATGTGGTATATAAAATCACACGCTGTTGAAAAGAATATAATTTATGGTTTGGGGAGACACATTTTATACCGAGTTTTGCCTTTTTACAAACGTGTCTGGCCTAAGGCAAAAAAGCTTTTATTGTTTCTGCGATTAGTATAAAGTTCTGAAGAACACTGAGAACTAGAAAACCAGTAACATGCTATAGATTTCTCTCTCTGCCTTACTTAATCTGTCTGTGAAATGGGGTGGTAAATTCTCACTAACCTTTAGAAACTAAGTGAGGAATTATGAATACATGGTTGGATATATATCGGAGAAGATAGGCATACGTATGTATATATGTATATTTGCTCCCAGATGCCTTTCTATTGCAGTAGAATTAATATAGAGTAAATGACCAAATTTTACATGTATAGCTCAATGAGTTTTTGCATATGGATACACCCTTTTGACTACTACCCACATCAATATTTTCATTGCCTGGGAAAGGTCCCTCCTGCCCCTGTTCACTCCTCCAGAGCGAGTCACTCTACTAACTTCTGTCACATTAGATCAGTTTTTAATATTCTTGAACTTCACATTGATATGTAATCACAGAGTACATTCTCTTTTGGGTTTGGCACCTTTCAGACTCAACATAACTTTTTACTGTCACTATCTTCCATCATTAGGGATTGAGAGAGCTGGGAAAGCAGGATTATCTGCAGTTTAAATGTTGACCCTGAAAGTATCAAACAGCCTCCCCTTCTGCCCATTGTTTTTTCTACTCTACATGATTACAGCACAGTGGTTAAGAGTGTTGGCTCTGTCATCCTTGGGCTGGGCGTTAATTTTAGCTCCATCACTACCACCTGCGGAAACTTGTGTAACTTGCTTAAAACCTTCAAGCATTAGTTTTCTAAGTAGAAAAACGAGATGAACAATTCCTTCATGAATTTGTGGTGAGAGCTAAGTAAGATAATCAACATCAAGTGCACAGTATAGTGTCTGGTCCCTAAATGACAACATTAAGACCAGCCTGGAATATAACAAGTCAAAAATGGAAAGCTCTCTCTCTCTCTCTCTCTCTCTCTCTCGGGCTTCTCATAAAGAAAACAGGCAGAAGTCTTAAGATTTCCAGGCTCTAAAAACAATGGTTCTATTAAAAGAGAAATGGTTCTGTCAAGCTAAACTTACCACACCCCAGTAGGGCAAAGAAGGTTGCAGGTGAGTATTCTTTCCTAGGTATAGCTGTGTCATTATTCATCGTTTTTGAATAGAGGAAACACTATTTGTTTAAAAATGTATTTACATGGATTTCATAATTACCAATGCATATTAGTTTATTTTGAAATAACTGCCAATAAGAATTGATAGATTTTAGAACTAAAAAGGATCTTACAGAGTGTTCAGTTTGTCCTCATTTTATAGACAAGGAAACTGAGACAAGTTGATTATTTGCTTAAAATCAATGAAAAAACCAAGATTTCTGTTTCATAGTCTAAGGGAATGCTTCTTCAAGTGTGGTTCCCGTGCTAGTACAAACAGCATCACCTGATGCTGATAGAACTTGTTGGAAATCCACATTTTCAGACCACACCCAAGACCTATTAAACTGAAAACTCTGGGGATGGGGTCCAGCAATCTACTTAGCATTCCCTCTAGATGGTTCTTACCTGCTAAAGTCAGAACTTTTTCTATAGCCTTGTTGCTGAAAGAATGGTCTGTGGACCTGCAGTATCCACCTCACTTGGAAGATTATTAGAATGTAGAATCCCAGGCCCCAGGATCTACTAAAGTCTGCAGTTTAATAAGATGCCCAAGTGATGTGCATGCAGTTAAGGCCAGGAAGCACTGATGCAGGTTATGGTCAGAACCATCTGAGACGAAATAATCTACCAGGATCTGCGCCACTTTCTGCCGTCAGAGTCCATTGATCCTAGCCCTTTCTCAAATTTCTCCTGAGGCTTACTCCTGCCCCAGAGGATCTGCCAAAACAAACAACTGTAGTAATACCCAGAATTAGTGAATTCCCTCCAAGTGCCAGGTTCTATGCTAAGCAACCTCTGCAGAGCCATTTATTCCTGTAATATAGAATACTTCAAATTTCTTTAATATAGAAATAATTATCCCCATTTTAGTAACAGGAAAACTATCTCAAAGAGTTGCTCACCCAAGGTTATGCCTTAGTAGGTAGAGGAGTTGTGGTAAAATCTTGTCTATTTTGGACCTTGTTCCGTGATATCATGAGACAGCAGGTCCTTATTCTCACTGGATTAAGCACTCTGGTAATTACCTAACCCAGGATCTGCTTATCTGCTCTTAAATCAATTTTAATTTGCAGGACTCATAAAAAGCCTAAGGGCTTGCACAGGTATGACATCTCAAGTATCACATTGGTAATTTTTGAGGGAAGAAACTAGTGACAGTACTAAGGGTAATAAACCAGGCCGGTGTTTCTCAAGCGGCCTGTGATGAAGGACTGTTCAGCACCCCCAACCCAATCTGTCATACACCAATTCTTTTGAAAAATACAATAAAGTTAATTAATAGTACAATTAAGAAGACAGAAAAGTCAAGCCATTTTTAAAAGAAATTTAATAGATGTAAAATTATACTGTCAAATTGCTATAAAAATATCTAAACGCTTATTCTCAATTTCTGTACTTATATTGTCACAGGCCAGCAATGGGGATAGACTGATAGTGTTGCAGAAAGTACACTTTGAGGAGCAAGAAATAAGGCAATCCACTAATTAAGCCTGAGGCATAGTCTGGACCAGTTTTTAAATTTCTTTTCAATCTCTTTTTAGAGATGGGTTCTTGCTGATCAGCCTGGCCAACATGGCAAAATCCCATCTCTACTAAAAATACAAAAATTAGCCGAGGATGGTGGTGCGTGCCTGCAGTCCCAGCTACTCGGGAGGCTAAGGCACGAGAATCTGTTGATCACAGGAGGTGGAGGATGCAGTGAGCCGAGATCACACCACTACACTCCAGCCTGGGTGACAGAGCGAGACTCTGTCTCAAAGAAAACAACAACAACAACAACAAAAAACGGCCCCCCCACTGTCTGGGAAGTGAGGAGCATCTCTGCCCGGCCCCCACCCCATCTGGGAAGTGAGGAGCGCCTCTGCCTGGCCGCTGTGCAACCTTCCAAGTGTGAAGTGACAGCCTTGTTTGTGATCTTTCTGTCTTCCCCAAGTTTGCATTTTCGAAATTAAAGTTTACTTTTTAGTTAAAGAGACAGAGAGAGAGAGAGAGAGAGAGAGAGAGAGAGAGAGAGATGGGGTCTTGCTATACTGTACAAGCTGGCCTTGAACTCCTGGCCTCATGCAATCCTACTTCAGCTTCCCAAGTAGCTGGGACTGTAGGGATGCGTCACCAAGTTTGGCTGGATTTTTTTTTAATTTTTTTATTTTTAGGGATCTAGGGGCACAAGTGCAGTGCAGTTGTTGTTACATGGATATATTGCATAGCGGTGGAGTCTGGGCTTTTAGTGTACCCATCAGTCAAATAGGTAGTATTTCATTCCTCTAAATCAGGTTTAAACTACTATGTAATTGGTCAATGACTCTATGACTCCATATTTACATCCATAGAAAGGTATGGAAGGCCACGGACACTTTTTCCGGAGTCATCCCTAGGAAAATCAGTAACACTTCATTTTTTGGTATGCTAATTCAACCAACATTTAATAATTCATGATATGCCAGATTCCTGGGATACAAAACTGACTAAAATGTGCTCCTTGTTTTTAGGAGCTTACATGGTAGTAGATCATAATAATTTCCTTGTTTCTATCTCTTCATTTACTTTCCATCCATACATCTGTATTTTTCCCCTTCAAAAACGAATTTAAAGTATATCTTACTTTTTACAGTATGAGATGAATATAAAACTAGTAAGAGTTTTATATTGTATAGCATTTTATTAGTATCTCATTTTATCCTCACTGTGAGGTAAGTAGGACAGGTATTATTATGTCCATTTTAAAGATGAGAAAAGAGGATCAGAGGAGTTGCCTCATGTGTCCAGGACCCTACAGATTGTGGAGAGGAGAGAATCAAATTTAGGTTTGTTGCCTGTCAGCCCAGTGCTGCACTCATAGCCCCATTCGCTGTGGTTGTTTTCCTTCTCAATTCTTCATCCACTGTCATTCTTGGCTATCATTTTGATGCCTGTCCATCCCCAAGCATCACAACCTTATGACCCTCCTGGAGGTAACCAGCTCTCACTGGGGCTTCTACTTGCAGTTCACTGGAGCTAAGGGTCTTTTACTCTTTTTTTTTCTTTTTTTCCAAATTCAGACTGAACTGAACTAGATCCTATTCACTTTTGATCTCACTCTATGCTGGATGACAGCACACCTAAAAAATTTGAATATATGTCTCTATTTAATGGTAACCAATGACCAATTACTTCCTTTCTATCTGGGGGAAGACCTAGTTAAGACTGTGAGATAGGGGAAGTTCGTCTTCATTAACTTCTACCTTCTTGGTGCTATGTCTTCATCCTCAAATCAGTGACCTACACAGGAATACTCTTTTTTCTTCATTCCTTTGGTAAAATAGTCTCTCAGAGCATTCATTCATGTAAGGGTGTCATGGCCGCTAGCAAAAAAGCATTGACCACTTAGAAGTGCTTTTGCATTCTGTTTTCTTTACTGCTATATCGCCATAGCCCCGTGTCATATATCCCACATGGTAAGTGCACAGGAAGTATTTATTGAATGAGTGTTAAAAGAATGCCTAATTTGGTAGCAATAAACCTTTTCTTTTCCTAAAGGAACGGAACCCAATATGTAAGCGTCCTTCGTTTGCCCCGTTTAGTGCTCTTGTGCTTCTTATCTGATGCATTTCTACCTCATTCATCTCCTTGTCTCTGGTCTTACTTCCTTCCAATCTGTTCTCTGCATATAAAATGCATATCTGATTATGCTACCTCACTACCTAAAACACCTTGTTATACCTCTATTGCCTTCAGGTTATAATCCAGAAACCTCCTCAGGTGATACTTAACACAATAGCCATGGAAATGGGAAGAAGTGACTAAATACAGAGTTATTTAGAGGGTGCAATTGGATGAGTAGGGTGAGAGGGAGGAAGGCATTGAGGATGATGTTACATATAAGGCTGGTAAGGATGATGCCGTAATAGGCCATGTTATGAAAATACCTATGTATTTCTCCAGCCCTGTTTTCCTCACTTCACTCTATCTTCTCTCAAAATGTACAAAGTCCAGAGAAATTCCCTGAGACTCATTTTGAAATTTGGTAATAAATTCAGGGATGATAAAACACAATTATAAGATTTTTTTTTTTTAAAGAAAAAAGGATACTACCTTTCCCATGTTTGTTAGTTGTAGGTATTTAATCCTCCCACTGTGTTGGCAGTGAAACCCTTAAAACTATACACTCTACATACTTTATTTCTGGGTAAGAAGAGGAATGGATGGGGAGAAAAGGTTATTTAGATTGTGTTTCACTTCTTTGTTGGTGTTGGTTGGAAACAAAACCCCAGAACAAGATGGGTGGTGAAAGCCAACAAGAGTAAAGACAGAACCCTGGCAAACTGTCTAATAAAGATAAAAGGCACAGACAGGTATTGATTGTGGTGGTTAATGACATGAGATCTGCCATCAGAAGTAGCTAGGAACCCTGTCTACCATTTCCTTATTAAATGGGTAATTCAGGCAAGTTACTTACCCTCCTTAAGTTACAGTTTCACCTTATGCAAAATGAGAATTGTAAGAGTGCCTACCTCATAGACCTGTTGTGACGGCTAAATAAGAGTTTTCTCAACACAATGCTTAGCCCAGCAAATGCTCAATAAATATTAACTATTATTGCAATAATTACCTGGTTTAGCAATAGAAAAACCGTGATGGTGTCTGTGGCATATCAGCAGGGTACATAAACTTACAAAATGCTTTGCTGTCCGGAAGATACTTATCTTTCAAGATTTCCATGTGGAATTTGTGTTCATTGTGGTCTTTGCTTCACATTGTTATAATCAGGAGAAAATAGACATAGTTAATATCATTTTCAAATACTGAGAAAGCAAACCTTTTCATCCCTATTAGAATAATCAATAAAAAGCAGAACAGATTTCTGGGACAGTGAGAAAACAAAACTGATTTATGAGCTGATTTATTTCGAGGTATGCTATAGAATGAGAAGGGTTCCTCTGTCTGTTTCCTCCTGCTCCAGATAGAAAGCCAATGTTAAGCCACTGGGTCACAGGGATAGATGTTGCAAGAAGCTGAGAGTGCTTATCAGAGGCATTCTCATTCTGATGGGTGCTTTCTGAAGCTCTGAGACAACAGCTCCCCTCTACGGAACAGCGAGAGGGTCCCAGAGCCTGCATCAGAATTTCTTAGGCTCATAATGCAGATTTATGGGTCTCAGCCACCTGTCTGATTTCTAGGTCTGAGTGGGACCAATATTTTGCATTTCTGACAAATTAAAGTGATGTCAGTCATGCTGGACTGGAACCATACTTTAAGAACCATTGCTTTAGAGCAATGTTTCCCCATTGAAAGGTTATTCCCCAATTAAAAAGAGTTTCAAAGTACAGGCTCTTCTTCATGCACTGTTAGCATTATTAAAGAAAATAAAGTTATTTTCTTCTTGGAACAGTCCCTATTTATGGATCCTGATGTTTCAACCCACATTATCAACGTGTCCTTTTGCCCTTTTTCCTTTTCAGCACTTTAGTTTCTTCAACTTTCCTTTCCAGAAACCTGGCCAATACATTTTTGGATAGTGCTTTGGTGTGCTTTGCATTGCCATTCCTGCCGTTTGTCTGTCTTATAAGTTTTGTTTACTTTACAACTGGAATTTTCCTTTTGCTCTCACCTCTGGCCTAAGTTTCCCCCAAATTCCTTGCCTCTTTTTTTGTATTCAGAACATATGTATATCTAATAGAACTAACCTAATAGAAACCTTCATCAGAATATGCTTAGCACTTAGCACACATTATTTTTTGATCAAAATCAAAACTAAAACTAAAATTCTAGCATTGTGACTGATACTTCAGGCTATGTGGAATTAATAGACTTCCTTATAATTTTTCCTAAATATTTTGTTACTGCGTTTGTTTTAATTAAGGGTACTTATGCTAGAAACCCACTGAAACTTTTTTTTTTTTTTGCTTTTAAATAACTTTCTGTTTTTGGTTCAAATGTAAACCTTAATTTAGAGTTTGTTTATGGCCAAATATAATATTTAAATATCACTTTGCAATACCCTCTCAGTTGGATCTCTCATTGTGCCCAGTATTCTACTTTACTTTTCAGAATGGTGAAACATAAATTATTTTTAAATTGTTGCTCAAATATAAATATATGGCCAGGTATAAGAATTCAGTGAAGTTTTAGCTTTAACTTAGTTTTACTCTCTCAAGTGAGAAGCTGACATGGATACCTGCATTTTACTTATCACAATTGGCTGCCTTCTTTCACAGCTGTGAAAAAATGAACAGCTTGCCATATTCATCAAAGAAAAACCATTGACATGTGTGTTTGTGTGTGTGTTTTTGTGTGTCTTTAAAAAATGCTCCATCCGTGCTACATTGTACTTAACCACAATGACAGTGACTAACATATAATAAAAGACATGAATTGGTGCTGTGCTTCAGAAAAGTGAGCATTTAAGTGAGCTCCTCAGATTCAGGGAATAGGTTTCTTTCCTAAGGAAGAAGAGAAAGACGTAAATTAAAAGTCAACTGCAAAGCAGAATTAATATAAAGGATGATCTGGCAAACTGGTTAAAAGAAAAACAGAAATGTCCTATTTCTTATTAGCTGAACTTGCTGTAAATTCCAAAGACTTTAGGTTTTATCCACTTACTACACTTCGGATAACCATACTAAGAAAAAAGAAAACTTAAATAGAATAGTCTCTTATTAAACTGGGAAAAGATGAGATTGCAGTAAGTAAAGACAACCCAGGGGAAGGAGGATTTGGCTGAAAAAGAAAGGGAAGGGAGAAAGGCCTCAAATTCTCCTTTCGTCTTCTCTGGCTTATACTTCAGATCCCTTGTAGATGAATTCTCTACATATAAAATTTGAAAATTCTTTTTTTTGATGAGTAGTAAACCATTTCAATGATCTTACTCATCAAATTTAGCTCAAATGTTCTAAATAAGAACATTTTCACATTTAATAAAACTTTTCAAATGGCGGTCTTGAAAAAAAAAATAAGAGCTCCTCCATACTTTGTAATACCTGAGAACATTTCTAAACCTTTCATTTTGGCAAAGATCAATTTTGATAATATACTGTGGTGAGAATATGAAGTTTCAAGCACACTTACATTGGTGGTCGTATAAATTGGTACAAACTCTGTAGAGAATGGTTTGTAATATCTAAGATAAATAGGCACATACCCTTTGACCTAGCAATTCCTGTTCTATGAATTTAAGCTACATATATGATTTCTTATATGTGGAAACACATATGTTCCAATAATATCCATTGAAATGTCATTTGTAATAACATTTGTTTATCAGTATATAAATGATTATAAATTTGGTTTTATCCATCTGATGGTATACTATGCAGCTATTAAAACAAATTCAGTATTTACTGGTATGGAATGATCTCAAAGAGATATTACGAAAATATCATGTCTGTATTTGTTTTACATATAATTCCTCTGAAATGTTGTAAAAGAAACTAGTAAAGGTAGCCACATCAGGGAAGTTGTTATGCAGGGCAGGAGACCAAGGCGGAGGGAAATTTTCATCACATTCTCCTTGAAACCTTTTGAATTTTATACTCAGCATCTATTTGAATTCTTATTCAAAATAAATTAAATTTTAAAAGTATGGAATCTCAAGTCACAAATAAATCTGAAACAAACTGGGTTAATTTAACTTATTTCCATGACTTCAGTAGCCCAAGAACAGAAAGTCTAAATTATCTAATTCTGAATGTAACCGAACTTTTATAAAGAAGTCTTATCCTAAGCCATGCAAACTCAGGGCTAGAGAGTATTTCTTTTTAATGACATATTTCTTAAGCAGGCGTTTGTAAAACTAAAGTGCACCCATTCTTTACTTGCTTAGTAAGTTTAAAGCTTGTCTCTGTAAGGTAAAATAAAGGAAGCTTTGTAGCCATCATTAAATGTCTTCACTGTAAGATTTATTACCATAATTGTGACAGAGCAAATGATTTTTTTTCCTGGCAGCAAAAATAGTTTTAAAAAGAAACTAGGTATTGTTTTTTCTTTTCCAAGCAAAGTATAGATACCCCAAAATTACATGGTGTCACAGAGCATGCCATAGTTAGAAAAAATGATGCACTGCCTTTTCAGTCTTATTAAGAAAATTACATAGTTAACTCTTTGTACCTTTGAAAGATGTCTCTGATGAACTTCGTTATTAGAACAACATTTAGCTGGAAATTGTGTATTAAAACTAACTCAGTTTAGAGTTAACAAAGTAGATTGTGAAATTAAATGTCATAGCAATAGATTCAAATTATACAACTGTGGCTGAACATTCCAAGACTTTTAGCTATTGGCGGAAGGAACAACAAGAAATGTAAAGGATCTGTATTAGATGATTGACAAGTGGTTTATTAATGTACTAAGGGAAGGACCATGTCATTTTTTGCACTACTATCTGCACAGACTAATATCATGGGGTTCATGCTAGTCACTCATTCACTCACTCATTTTTCTTATTTGGTCAATCAGTCCCCAACCCCTGATTTTATTGTAGAGGACACAGAAGTAAATGAGGCAGTTTCTGTTCTTCAAGAGCTTACAGGTTAGTGAGAGGGAGGTTGGGGGGAGATGAACACAAGACACAGATAAATGTAATGCCATGTAATAAATAAGAGAGAAAACTCTTAGGACTCCAGAGGGAAGTCCTCTCATTCAGCTTGAAGTGCATGTCTATTTATGGGTCTTGGGGAGGTGGAGTGGGGAGGATCAAGAAAGATTTCCAGGATGGTGTGATGCTTGAAGGGAGTTTCAGTGCTATGTGGAAGTTCAAGTTCACTGTGTTTAATGGTGGTTGCAGGCCTGGGGAAAGGCATAGGCAAAACTCCAGGTGGAGTTCACAACATTACAAAGATAAGGAGGTGAGAAATATCAAGGTGAGGGCTGGAGGAGGAGGTCAGCTTCAAGCCACTGTGTTGCTGAAACCTACGGGAGAAGCAGGATCCACAGAGGAGATTTCTAGCAAACTAGCTGAATAAGAATGGACTATGAGAAAAACGCAAAAAGAATCATAATTTTCAGTCACCCTTGAAATTTGCTTACTTCAGAAATGTAACTACAACTTTAGATGCTAACTATGTAATTTAATTGAGAGAGGGACCGCCATTATCATAAATTGAGAATATGGTAATAATTAGGTTGCTTTCTGATTATCTAGAAATGTTAAAAAGAGTATTTGCACTGTAGAAAATATTGTTTGTATGGCACTGACTGTCATGCCACAGGTTGCATCTGACAAGCACAATTCATAGAAACTTCACGAGGCCTCAGGGAGCTTATGTGTAAAGTCTGAGGGTGTTGCTGCTAGGTGGTGCTTTTTATTTGGAAACACTCCTAAAAATCTGGATTTTTAAAAATTAAAAATACTGAGTAAGTTATTAGAAGAAAAATGTATCATGAATACTAAAAAGGTAACTGTGGAAAAGTAAAAGTAGTTGTGGTAGGATAGGATAAAGCAATGTGAAGTTCTGTCTGTATATATATTTTTTATTGTGGCAAAATACATGATACATAGCATAAAACTTTCCATTTTAACCACTTTTGAGTGTACAGTGCAGTGGCATTAAGTACACCCACACTGTATGCAATCATCACCACCATTTATTTCCAGAGCTTTCTCACCTTCCCAAATAGAAACTCTGTACTCATTAAACAAGAACTCTCCATTACACCCTCACCCCACTCCGGTAACTACCATTCTATTTTCCATCTATGAATATGACTCTTTCAGGCGCTTCCTAATATGTGGTCTCATTAGCTTGAGTGTAACTTTGCTAAACTTCATTCTCCCCTGAGAACCTAGAAATGTGTTCATAAATAGGTTTGGCTTCAGGAGATGTGACCTACAGCCTCAATCACTTTTTCAGGCTTGACCCACAGAGAAGTATGGAAGCAGCTGATGAACTTTGCACTCATAGCTACTGATGTACGCAAGTTATCTCTATGTGGCTGATAATGCCGGTGAAACTGTTAATGTGGGAAGGCCCTTTCTTGCTGGCTTCTTGAGCTCCCAGATTCGACTTCAGATGGTGAGGCAGCTCATTGCTTCTTCAACAGGGATAAATTGGCAACCATTTGGAAATATTAATATGTCACTTCTTACTTTACAGATCTCTGTGGAGGGGAAGTGTTCACTATAACTGATACTACATATATAAATAATTTCAGAGCTGTTGCTTTAAAATATATTGAGAATCCTTAAAGAGTAAATAGAAATCTTTCCAGTCTCCAAGTAAATAATAATGTTTAGTACATTTATGTTACATTGTTGTTCTGAAGAACAAAAATATGCTCAAATACTGGGGGAATGGGATGTTTTAGTCCATTGATTATTTATAGTTTCAATCTTTCTGGTTAGATTTTTATAGAATGCAAGAGCTGCTTATCTGCTTGTGTTACCAATCAAATAAACTGATTGTGTATATCAATCAAATAAAATAATTATTACTGTTAATCTAATTCACTTTTAGCCTCTGCAACCACTAAAATAATGCCTTTTTAAT
Organism: Homo sapiens; assembly: GCF_000001405.40. Lineage (NCBI taxonomy): Eukaryota > Metazoa > Chordata > Mammalia > Primates > Hominidae > Homo > Homo sapiens. The sequence continues at coordinate 21,238,001 of NC_000007.14, read as the reverse complement.
TTTTTTGTGGTTGAAAAATAATGCATGAAAATTATGTAAAATGTGGATGTTCTAAATAAAATTATTTAAAAATCAACCATAAAATGCTACCACCAGGAATAATGACTGTCAGTTTTGTTGCATTGCCTTACATACATATAACACGTATCCAGAAATGTGTATCTTTATCCTGTCCTTTGCAATAAAATTTATCAGATTTTTCTGTTATCTGTTCTTGTTTTGGAACTTTTAAAAAATAACTACAATAATATTTTATCATATGGCTATACAGCAATATATCTACTTTTTCTATTCCCCATATTGTTGGGCATTGAGAAGGAAGAGGCTATTTACCTGAGGATTCAGAGTGGGAGGCATCTGACAGACCTGGATTGGAGCATCCCCTCTGTCTCCCGTCTACTATGCATGACTCTGGGCAAGTCTATGGAAACTTTTAACATTGCCTCTACTGTGAAACTTGAAAAATCGAGATTACTTCAAAGAGTCGTTGTGAGGATTAACTATGAGTATATAAAACACAGCATGACATCTAATGTAAAAGAAAGAGGCCAGGCATGGCGGCTCACGTGTGTAATCCCAGCACTTTGGAAGGCCGAGGCAGGCGGATCACATGAGGTCAGGAGTTTGAGACCAGCCTGGTCAACATGGTGAAACCCCATCTCTACTAAAAATACAAAAATTAGCTGGGCGTGGTGGTGCACGTCTGTAATCCCAACTACTCAGGAGGCTGAGGCAGGAGAATCGCTTGAACCCGAGAGGCTGAGGTTGCAGTGAGGCAAGATTACATCACTGCACTTCAGACTGGGCAACAGAGCAAGACTCGCTCTTGAAAAAAATTAAAAAATAAAGGTATGTGTTTTCATTATCTATTGCTTTCAAATATAACACTCCAAAACTTAGTGGTTTAAAATAACATGACTTATTCTTTCTCATGGTTCTGTGGGTTGGCTGAACTGAGCCGTACAGTTCTTTGATTCACATGTGTTGTCTGGGGTCACTCGTAGAGGTGCACACAGCTGGCAGCTGGGCTGCGCTGGAAGTTTCAAGGCAGCTTTTCTCTTATGTGCTGTTGGCTGGAGCACCTCAATTCTCTTCCTTATGGCCTCTCTCCCCATGTGGTATGTCCTCTTCTGAGGCCTCTACAAGTGACCTCTGTCTCCAGCAACATAACCTGGCCTTCCTTAGAGCACGGTGCTTCTTCAGTCCAAGACCCAGAACAGACATGCTACTGCTGCATTTAAATTTATTTTTTAATGAATAAATAGAAATTGTATATATCATATATGGCATGTTGTTTTGAAATATGTATACAGTTATTATTCAAGGGGGATTGCTTCCAGAATCTCCCTCCCTTGGACATCAAAATCCATGGATGCTTAAGTCCATGATATAAAATGACACAGTAGGCCAGACACAGTGGCAGTGGCTAGAGCAGGTAATCCCAGAACTTTGGGAGGCTGAGGTGGGTGGATTGCTTGAGCCCAGGAGTTCAAGACTAGCCTGAGCAACATGGCTAAACTCCATCTCTACAAAAAATACAAATATTAGCTGGGTGTGGTGGCGAGTGCCTCTAGTCCCAGCTACTTGGGAGGCTGAAGTACAAGGATTACTTGAGCCTAGGAGGTTGAGGCTGCGGTAAGCTATGATGGTACCACTGCACTCCAGCTTGGACAATAGAGAGAGACTCTTGTCTCAAAAGTAAAAACAAACAAAAGGCAAAGTATCTGCTTGTAACTTATGCACATCCTCCCATATACTTTAAATCATTTCTAAATTACTTATAATACCTGATACAATGTAAATGCTATGTAAATAGTTATACTTACCGTATTGTCTGTTATTTGTATTATTGTATTGTTATTTATTATTATTATTTCCAAATATTTTTGATCAGTGCTTGGTTGAATCTGCAGATGTAGAACCAGTGGATACAGAGGGCCATCTGTACATTGTGGAATAGCTAAATCAAGCTAATTAAGACACGCATTACCTCTCCAATTAAAAGACACAGACTGGCAAATTGCATAAAGAGTCAAGACCCATCAGTGTGCTGTATTCAGGAGACCCATCTCACGTGCAGAGACACACATAGGCCCAAAATAAAGGGATGGAGGAAGATCTGCCAAGCAAATGGAAAACAAAAAATCACAGGGATTGCAATCCTAGTCTCTGATAAAATAGACTTTAAACCAACAAAGATCAAAAGAGACAAAGAAGGCCATTACATAATGGTAAAGGGATCAATTCAACAAGAAGAACTAACTATCCTAAATATATATGCACCCAATACAGGAGCACCCAGATTCATAAAGCAAGTCCTTAGAGACCTAGAAAGAGACTTAGACTCCCACACAATAATAACGGGAGACTTTAACACCCCACTGTCAATATTAGACAGATCAACAAGACAGAAAGTTAACAAGGATATCCAGGAATTGAATTCAGCTCTGCACCAAGCGGACCTAATAGACATCTACAGAACTCTCCACCCCAAATCAACAGAATATACATTCTTCTCAGCACCACATCACACTTATTCCAAAATTGGCCACATAATTGGAAGTAAAGCACTCCTCAGCAAATGTAAAAGAACAGAAATCACAACAAACTGTCTCTCAGACCACAGTGCAATCAAATTAGAACTCAGGATTAAGAAACTCACTCAAAACTGCTCAACTACATGGAAACTGAACAACCTGCTCCTGAATGACTTACTGGGTACATAATGAAATGAAGGCAGAAACAAAGATGTTCTTTGAAACCAATGAGAACAAAAACAGAACATACCAGAATCTCTGGCACACATTTAAAGCAGTGTGTAGAGGGAAATTTATAGCACTAAATGCCCACAAGAGAAAGCAGGAAAGATCTAAAATTGACACCCTAACATCACAATTGAAAGAACTAGAGAAGCAAGAGCAAACACATTCAAAAGCTAGCAGAAGGCAAGGAATAACTAAGATGAGAGCAGAAATGAAGGAGATAGAGACACAAAAAAACCCTTCAAAAAATCAATGAATCCAAGACCTGGTTTTTTGAAAAGATCAACAAAATTGACAGACTGCTAGCAAGACTAATAAAGAAGAAAAGAGAGAAGTATCAAATAGACGCAATAAAAAATAACAAAGAGGATATCACCACTGATCCCACAGAAATACAAATTACCATCAGAGAATACTATAAACACCTCTATGCAAATAAACTAGAAAATCTACAAGAAATGGATAAATTCCTCGACACATACACCCTCCCAGGACTAAACCAGGAAGAGCTTGAATCCCTGAATAGACCAATAACAGGCTCTGAAATTGAGACAATAATCAATAGCCTACCAACCAAAAAAGTCCAGGACCAGATGGATTCACAGCCAAATTCTACCAGAGGTACAAGAAGGAGCTGGTACCATTCCTTCTGAAACTATTCCAATCAATAGAAAAAGAGGGAATCCTCCCTAACTCATTTTATGAGGCCAGCATCATCCTGATACCAAAGCCTGGCAGAGACACAACAAAAAAAGAGAATTTTAGACCAATATCCCTGATGAACATCGATGCAAAAATCCTCAACAAAATAATGGCAAACCGAATCCAGCAGCACATCAAAAAGCTTATCCACCATGATCAAGTGGGCTTCATTCCTGGGATGCAAGGCTGGTTCAACATACACAAATCAATAAATGTAATCCGGTATATAAACAGAACCAAAGACAAAAACCACATGATTTTCTCAATAGATGCAGAAAAGGCCTTTGACAAAATTCAACAGCCCTTCATGCTGAAAAATCTCAATAAATTAGGTATTGATGGGATGTATCTCAAAATAATAAGAGCTATTCATGACAAACCCACAGCCAATATCATAAAGAATGGGCAAAAACTGGAAGCATTCCCTTTGAAAACTGGCACAAGACAGGGATGCCCTCTCTCACCACTCCTATTCAACATAGTGTTGGAAGTTCTGGCCAGGGCAATCAGGCAGGAGAAAGAAATAAAGGGTATTCAATTAGGAAAAGAGGAAGTCAAATTGTCCCTGTTTGCAGATGACATGATTGCATATTTAGAAAACCCCATCTTCTCAGCCCAAAATCTCCTTAAGCTGATAAGCAACTTCAGCAAAGTCTCAGGATCAAAATAAATGTGCAAAAATCACAAGCATTCTTATATACCAATAACAGACAGAGTCTAATTATGAGTGAACTCCCATTCACAATTGCTTCAAAGAGAATAAAATACCTAGGAGTCTAACTTACAAGGGATGTGAAGGACCTCTTCAAGGGGAACTACAAACCACTGCTCAGCGAAATAAAAGAGGACACAAACAAATGGAAGAACATTCCATTCTCAGGGACAGGAAGAATAAATATTATGAAAATGGCCATACTGCCCAAGGTAATTTATAGATTTAATGCCATCCCCATCAAGCTACCAATGACTTTCTTCACAGAATTGGAAAAAACTACTTTAAAATTCATATGGAACCAAAAAAGAGCCTGCATTGCCAAGACAATCCTAAGCCGAAAGAACAAAGCTGGAGGCATCACGCTACCTGACTTCAAACTATACTACAAGGCTACAGTAACCAAAACAGCATGGTACTGGTACCAAAACAGAGATATAGACCAATGGAACAGAACAGAGCCCTCAAAATAATACCACACATCTACAACCATCTGATCTTTGACAAACCTGACAAAAACAAGAAATGGGAAAATGATTCCCTATTTAATAAATGGTGATGGGAAAACTGGCTAGCCATATGTAGAAAGCTGAAACTGGATCCCTTCCTTATACCTTATACAAAAATTAATTCAAGATGGATTAAAGAGTTAAATGTTAGACCTAAAACCATAAAAACCCTAGAAGAAAACCTAGGCAATAGGCATGGGCAAGGACTTCATGTCTAAAACACCAAAAGCAATGGCAACAAAAGCCAAAATTGACAAATGGGATCTAATTAAACTAAAGAGCTTCTGCACAGCAAAAGAAACCACCATCAGAGTGAACAGGCAACCTACAGAATGGGAGAAAATTTTTGCAATCTACTCATCTGACAAAGGGCTAATATCCAGAATCTACAAAGAACTCAAACAAATTTACAAGAAAAAAACAAACAACCCCATCAAAAAGTGGGTGAAGGATATGAACAGACACTTCTCAAAAGAAGACATTTATGCAGCTAACAGACACATGAAAAAATGCTCATCATTACTGACTGTTAGAGAAATGCAAATCAAAACCACAATGAGATACCATCCCACACCAGTGAGAATGGTGATCATTAAAAAGTCAGGAAACAACAGGTGCTGGACAAGATGTGGAGAAATAGGAACACTTTTACACCATTGGTGGGACTGTAAACTGGTTCAACCATTGTGGAAGACAGTGTGGTGATTCCTCAAGGATCTAGAACTAGAAATACCATTTGACCCAGCCATCCCGTTACTGGGTATATACCCAAAGGATTATAAATCATGCTGCTATAAAGACACATGTACACGTATGTTTATTGCAGCACTATTCACAATAGCAAAGACTTGGAACCAACCCAAATGTCCATCAATGATAGACTGGATTAAGAAAATGTGGCACATATACACCATGGAATACTATGCAGCCATAAAAAATGATGAGTTCATATCCTTTGTAGGGACATGGATGAAGCTGGAAACCATCATTCTCAGCAAACTATCGCAGGGACAAAAAACCAAACACTTCATGTTCTCACTCATAGGTGGGAATTGAACAATGAGAACACTTGGACACAGGAAGGGGAACATCACACACCGGGGACTGTTGTGGGGTGAGGAGAGAGGGGAGGGATAGCATTAGGAGATATACCTAATGTAAACGACGAGTTAATGGGTGCAGCACACCAACATGGCACATGTATACGTATGTAACAAATTTGCACATTGCGCACATGTACCCTAGAACTTAAAATATATATATATATATAAAAAAGATATGCATTACCTTACATACTTTTTTTGTGTGTGGTGAGAACATCTAATATCTGCTCTTAGCAATGTTCAAGAATAGGATATATTGTTATTAACCATAGTCACAATATTGTATAATGGAGCTCTTGAACTTATTCCTACTATCTAACTGAAATTTTGTATCCTTTGACCAACATCTGCTGCCTTTTTTCAGTCAAAAGCAAGTCATAAATTGGCCAGGTGTGGTGGCTCACGCCTGTAATCCCAGCACTTTGGGAGGCTGAAGCAGGTGGATCACTTGAGGCCAAGAGTTTGAGACCAGCCTGGCCAACACAGTGAAACCCTCTCTCTACAAAAAATACAAAAAAAATTAGCCAGGTATGCTGGTGTATGCCTGTAGTCCCAGCTACTTGGGGGGCTGAGGCATGTGGATCGCTTGGACCCCGGAGGTCAAGGCTACAGTGAGCCAAGATGGCACCACTGCACTCAAGCCTGGGGAACAAAGTGAGACCCTGTCTCAAAAAAAAAAAAAAAAAAAAAAGCAAGTCATAACAAGTCATAACTTGAGTCCAGTTGGAGAAGGACTGGGGAAATAGACTCCACCTCTTGGTGGGAGAGAAATGGCAAAGAATTTGTGGGCATCTTCAATCTACCACAGTAGTTATATTTAAAAATTTGAATTTATGTACCTAAAAACAAAACAAAACAAAATAAAGAAAAAATTCCTTTCTATATTATGGTTGTCTGTAAGGACCACATGCTGTTTTTGGTTTCTTTAACCAAATTGTCTTTCCATGAGACTGAGGGTGATGGGATATGGAAAGGTGGTAAGTTGTTTAAGCTTCTTGATAAAAGTGCTGTCTTTGTTTTCTGTTTTCTGATATTTATACAATTATTCCTCTATTAGTGGCTTTTATAATTATTGGGAGTGGGAAAATCTTGAATAAACTGTATAGTAGTCTGGGTATATTAAATTTATCGTATTCTGAGACCTGTATTTCTTTACTTCTTTAACTCAATAAATATTTATTGAATTAGTTAAAAAATTTCTTTAATTCTTGAGGTAGTAACAAACACCGGGAGGCGGAGGTTGCAGTGAGCAGGGATCGCGCCACTGCACTCCATCCTGGCGACAGAGCGAGCTGGGTCTCATAAAAACAAAAAACAATGACCAAGATCCACTCTTTTTAGAAAGGACACACAGTGATTTATGCTTTAAATCCTTGCCTGACTGAAACTCTTGGGACAGGCGTTAATATCCAGATTTTATGTGGAACTGTTGTTTCTCAAGCTTTTAAAAACATTCTATAGCTTTCACCCTTTAAAAAAAAATATATTTCCATAGGTTATTGGAGAACAGGTGGTGTTTGGTTACATGAGTAAGTTCTTTAGTGGTGATTTGTGAGATTTTGGTGCACCCATCACCCGAGCAGTATACACTGCACCCTATTTGTCGTCTTTTTTTCCTCACCCCCTTCCCACACTTTCCCTTGGAATCACCAAAGTCCACTGTGTTATTCTTATGCCTTTGCATCCTCATAGCTTAGCTCTCACTAAAAGAATGAGAACATATGATGTTTGGTTTTCCATTCCTGAGTAACTTCACTTAGAATAATAGTCTCCAATCTCATCCAGGTGACTGCCAATGCCATTAATTCATTCCTTTTTATGGCTGAGTAGTATTCCATTGTATATATATACCACTTTTTCTTTTTTCTTTTTCTTTTTTTTTTTTTTTTTGAGACGGAGTTTCACTCTTACTGCCTAGGCTGGAGTGCAATGGCACGATCTCAGCTCACCGCAACCTCTGCCTCCCAGGTTCAAGCAATTCTCCTGTCTCACCCTCCCGAGTAGCTGGGATCACAGGCATGCACCACCACGCCCAGCTTATTTTGTATTTTTAGTAGAGAAGGGGTTTCTCCATTTTGAGGCTGGTCTCGAACTCCTGACCTCAGGTGATCCACCCACCTCGGCCTCTCAAAGTGCCGGGATTACAGGCGTGAGCCACCATGCCCGGCCTATATATACCACATTTTCTTTATCCACTTGTTGATTGATGAGCATTTGAGCTGGTTTCACATTTTTGCAGTCGTGAATTCTGTAGCTTTCACACTTTAGTTTTTTTTTCAATTAGTGTTGAAAAAGTGAAATTGGGACACTCTGATTGTTGTTTCTTTCTGATTTATAATTATATTATCCCCCTTTGTTCTTGAATTTAAGTTTTGAAAAATATGACTGTTAATTTAAATGTAGGTCCTTTTAATTAATTTTGCCTGGATCCAGGTGAGTCATTTCAAGTCATGATTTTTCTTCCAGAAACTTTCCTTCTTCTATTATATCCTTTACTATTGCTTCATTCATTATTACTCTGGTTTCTGGCTTTGGAAAATTATTTATGTCTGCTGTCAAATCTGTCTTTCATATTTTTTCTCATCTCTTTTACCTCCGCATTTTTAACTCTGCTTCTGGGAGAGTATCTGAAGTGCATCCTCCACAGTACACATATGAATTTACAGATTATTTCAGTAGTTTATACTGAACATCAAAACAAATGTACATTTTTCATCTCATTTTCTTTTGCATTATTTTCTTACATTAGCTATATTTGCATCTGTACGTATCACAGCTTGATTTTTTTCTATAATTGCCTGCTCTTTTTTCAAAGAAATTTTCTTTTTTAATCATTTTGCGGAGCCAAACATAAATACTCTCTTATTTCTACCAGCTTATTATAGGGTAAGTCATGCTCTTCCTCTGAGGCTTTGGGGGAAATATCCCAACTTTGCCTTAAGTGGCAGATTTATTTATTAGCCTTCTTTTCCACAAAAGTGGTTTTCTAGATTACTTGAACTGCAGCAAAATAAATAAATAAATAAATACATAAATATTCAACTAGAGACAGAAAGAGAAAAATCGAAAATTCCTACCCTGAAGACTCCCTCTTTCATGTTAGTGGACACATATTAGTGAGCATCCAAGATAAGATGTGCTAAGATGAGGAAGAAATTGCCCCTGAAGCTCATGATAAATGGAATTCTCTACACCATAATGATTAGAGTCCTTAACAATATCTGGGAGAGGTATAATGTCATGTGGCTAATGACGGGTTAATGGCCTTACCTCAAAGGCAATTCAAGTCTGGAAATATTTAGAATGTGTGGAGGGTTACATGGGTTTCATTTACTTCTTTGAATGATTCCCCCAAAAACTTTACTTTCCTCAATTTTTGCTGAATATTAGGCAGCTGTGATTTTGAAATTGTTCTCTTTGGCAATTATCTGGAGTGTGATTGTTCTCTATTCCCAATTAAATTTGAAACTATGCATTAGTAGAAAGTCAAGCCAGAAGCAAGGTTGACACTCTGCTGTGAAATTACCATAGCCTAGGAAAACCTACATGACTGAGAAAAAGGCACATACATTGATTCTACCTTTATACAGAGAATTACCTAGGAGGCAAGGCATTACTCATGAGCAGAATGAAGCTTCTTAGAAAATAATTTACATCTACTTTTTTTTTTTTTTGAGATGGAGTTTCGCTCTTGTTGCCCAGGCTGGAGTGCAATGGCGCGATCTCCACTCACCGCAACCTCTGCCTCCCGGGTTCAAGCGATTCTCCTGCCTCAGCCTCCATAGTAGCTGGGATTACAGGCATGTGCCACCACACCCAGCTAATTTCGTATTTTTAGTAGAGATGGGGTTTTCTCCATGTTGGTCAGGCTGGTCTCGAACTCCCGACCTCAGGTGATTCGCCCGCCTCTACCGCCCAAAGTGCTGGGATTACAGGCATGAGCCACCATGCCCGGCCTTACATCTACTTTTTAATATAATTTAATTTTTTTGAAGCAGGGTCTCACTCTGTTGCCCAGGGTAGGGTACAGTGGCATGATCTCAGCTCACTACAACCTCTGCATCATGGGCTCAAGCCATTCTCTCAACTCAGCCTTCTGAGTAGCTGAGACTACAGGAGTGCACCACCATGCCCAGCTAATTTTTACAGTCTTTGAAGAGAATGGGTTTTGCCATGTTGCCCAGGCTTACATCTACTTTAATGCACAGACAAATGGAAAAGTCCCAAAGTTCTACTTCTAGACTTTGGGCACAACAATTTTAGCATGAAAATCATTAAGGCAGGTGTACTCAAATACTCCACAGTAGTCAAAATACCAACTCAGTAGAGTATTCAGAATGCATTGTTTTGAGCAATGCTGCTTCATGGTGTGTACACCAAAAAAACTCTTGCTAGCTAAATACAAAACAAATAAATGAGTTGATTATTAAATATAACTATGTTAAAACTTCAGGAGTATTATAAAAGTTTTTTTTTTGGCTTTAAATTAATTGAGAGCCCTTTGGAGAAATGATCAGATGGGAGAGCCAGATGTTCATTACAGCACTTTGAACATGACAATGAGATCCAGATCCTATCTTTTGTATATGTGAAAATTCTTATTTTTTGTGTGTTGAGGATTCTTTCCAAAGCATATTAGACAACAGCCAAAATGGCCTCACCTAAACTTTTGTAAGTGCTTTGATTTTTTTTTTTCCTTTCTTTTAACTTTGGGTCCTCCTATGGGATAGGGATAGTGTAATGACAGTAACTAAAAAATTAGAAATTAAAAAAATAAAATACCTCTAGTTGGATCATTAGCCTCTAAGTGTTTATAAACCTTCCAGTTTTGTGTTCTTGGGTACATTTTCCCCAGAAAGATTCCAAAATCGTTTGTAAAGAAGCTTTTTCCAAAACTGCCTGGAAATGTCTATTTTTCAACAGAGAGAACTGTCTCTCCTGGGGATTTGAGGTCAAGATAATCCCACTTGGAACAAGTCAGCAGGAAAATCATCCTGTGTGCTTTCCCCCGCAGTCAAAAATCTGATAGATAGGTGACAGGTGGGTGGGTGGGTAGGTAGGTAGGTAGGTAGGTAGGTAGATAGATAGATAGATAGATAGATAGATAGATAGATAATTATGGAGAAAGGATAAAATGAGTTTCATTGTGAAGCTTGAAGGTACAAATCATAAAGGACACTATGCAGCTCCAGGGGGAAGTGGCAATGGGATTGTGCTTAGGAAGATGGAATGAATACAAGATTCTCCTACTGGCACCTTCCCTGAGTCACCATAGAGCTAATGGTGGAGAGGTGGTTCCCTCAGAGAAGATCCTAAGCTATTTCCCTCAACAGTGCCCTCAATTTGTACCTTCAGGAAATCCTTGGCTGTATATTATCACAACAATTTCACTACAGCTGTCCTCATAATAAACAAGAAAAACATTTGTTCCACTGCCCTCCCCAACCAAAACGGTGTTTGAGTGTGTGTTTGTGTGAAAGGATACTATACTCAGCAAATTTTTCATGCCTTTTCAAGTATCAGTGCAAAATATGGTAAAAGGTGCAATCCAATTATCCCTTCGCGTTTCCAAAGGAAAGAGTTTTCTGGTGTGAACCTGACCCTTGTGACAAATCAGAATGAAATGGTGCACTTTAAAGGGAACGTTCTTGGTTGGGAACATATAAGCAAGGCTGCAAGTGCTTGAAGGGGCTGATGAAGGCTACAGCATGGACTCTGCTCCCATGTCTGTTGTCATCACTTCTTAAAGGCGTATTTCAACATTGTGAACGTCATTCCTATTATGTGACAAGATGACAAATACTATCCAATGAACCACAACACATAAAAGGGAAAAATAACATTTTCTTACCTTAGGAGGGCTTGAAAGGTCCATCTAGCCGAAGACACCGGCTGATAATACTTTGCCAAGATGGTTTCAACCTGGAGAGATGGGTTCAAAGAGCAGAATTTTAACAAAGAAGGAGGGTGAGATAAAATAAGGATTTAGCAAGAAGCCAGCCTGGGAAACACAAGATGAACTTTGACCAAATATTCTAAATCTGAATTCCTAAAGGAGGCTTTTCTCATTGCCCTTTTTAACATCCATATTGAAATAGGTGAATAGGTGAAAATGGTTTCCGATAGTCAAAGCAGAATCTCTCAAAATATAAAAAAGTGAAGAAATTTTCTAACAAACATAGGCCTCCAAACATTGTGTTTTCAGTTCTGACCCTGCCTGGGTATCACTTACAGACAGACAGATTTTTTAATTGTTTCTTTGGGTTGCAGCTCATATGTCTATATGAGCTATAATCATTCTGTGAACTGGCTCCACTTGCGGATTCAGGCTCACACAGCAGATCTGCTGCCAGTCAGTCATGCAGTCCTGACTGAATAGTTTTTCACAGCCTGATCAATCAGATATCATCCTGAATGGTTGTTTTCTCCTACTCGGGGTTGTTTGTTTAAGTTCAACAAGTGTCAGGGGAATTTAATGGACCATGTGGTGGCAACATCAGCTAAGTGAGTGATTCTTTGATGTTCCCTGTTCTTACAAGAACAGGGGATAAGATTGAATGTTTACAGACTTCAGAATAAATTTTGGGGCATGGGGTGGTGAAATTGTATTCTGGTAAAAACTGGGCATGATTAAGGAGTTTTTTTTTTTGTTTTATTTGTTTTGTTTTGTTTTTTTTCTGAGAAGGAGTCTTGCTTTGTTACCCAGGCTGGAGTGCAGAGGCATGATCTTGGCTCGCTGCAACCTCTCGCTCCCAGGTTCAAGCAATTCTCCTCCCTCAGCCTCCCAAGTAGCTGTGATGACACATGCACACCACCACATATGGGTAATTTTTGTATTTTTAGTAGAGACGGGGTTTCGCCATGTTGGCCAGGCTGGTATCAAACTCTTGCCTCAGTTGTTCTGCCTGCCTCGGCCTCCCAAAGTGCTGGGATTATAGGCGTGAGCCACTGCGCCTGGTCGGGAGTTTTTATTTAATTTAAAATGTACTACCTTAGTTCCTAGGCATCCCTCACCTCTGAAGATCATTTACAGCAGGACAATATTCATATGTATAGAATTATTAGATCTTGGGTGCTTGGAGGGACAAGGGATTAACACCAAGCTCTGGAAGCCCGATTTTGTGATTCCATGGATGAAGTTTACATAAGGGGTGAGAACAATGGTTCACATTTCAGAGCATCAGGTTTTGCCTATACAACTGTAGAAAAATTCATGTGTCTTCAGAGCTTCCTCTATATATAGGTCTCACATTGTTGGCTCTGTATTACCTCTTTGTGATGTTATTAAACCCCATAAAGTGGTTTGGGATTTCAAAGCTAAAAATAAAAGGCTCAGAGAAGTACTAATTAAGTGCACAGGCTCATGTTCATGCTGTCAGGTTCATATCCTGTATCCACCCATCATCTATTAATGATTTAGACCTTGGACAAGTTACTTAACCTCTCTGAAGCTCAGTGTTTGCAGCAGTAAAAAGGGGATAATAACAGGTATGTCTCAGAGGAGTGGTGTGAGGATTAATTGGACTGATGCCTGTATAGGTCCTAGCACAGTGCCTGCCACATAGTGTTCACTGAATAAACAATAACCACTCTTTTAGGATGTGACACAAGTAATCTTTGGGAAACAGAGCCTGCAGAGGAGATGCTATGTCCATATGAACTGACTAAAACCAACTTGATTACAGGCCTGATTACCCAATTTCCACATTTCCTTTTGCGTGCCTTTCCTTTAATTTTCTATCCATTCATTTCTATCCATATCATTGCATAATTCTCAACACAACCTAGTGCAGGATAATTCTGCTAGAGAAAAGGCAAACAGAGTGAGATGGGCTCCACGCGAAGCTTAGTAGAGTGAACAGATAAAAGGAAACCCATCATCTGGTTTACTGTAGAATGGTTAGTAGGGGGATTGGTGGAAGCAGACCACTGAAATATATTTTTATATGATGTGAGATATTATCTTGATTTTCTTGGCCATAATAAGCATGGACCATCAAGGGGTGAAGTTAATCTTCTGGGCATCTTTTCACACAGGCATGGGTGTGCTCATGCCTAGCCCCCCCAAGCACACACACATATGTATTTGTGTGCATATCAACACAGCTGCACATGCACATATGCAGAACATCCTTCTGATATTAGTGCCCTTTCATTTGCAATAAATTCTGCCTTCAATCCTGTATGACATAGCTGACAAAAGGACACAGTTACTACATAAGTGTTTGAGGCACGGACGGCAGCCCTTGGACTCAAACATTGATTTGCAGGTGTTCTGCCATCCTCTATAAAGAAAAGACCGTGTCCTTGGCATCAGTGATAGAGAAATCTTCAAAGGAGAGGTTGGTTAAAAATAAGCATTTTAGAAAAAAAAAAAAACACTTGCTATTCCACTGTCACTGCCCGAGAGAGGAAGATGTGGAGTCAATTTAGTGAGCTTCAATTGTAGCTGACTTTGGAAGAAATAATATACTCATGTCTCTTTGGATGCATACTGAAGAGGGAGCTATGTGAAGGGCTGCGATTTTGCAGATTGCAACCTGATCAGACTTCCAAACACAGACTATTACCTAAAAACACAGAGAGAGAAATCCCTGTATCTTAGAGGACCAGTGATTTAAGGGTTTCCCAATTCATTTCTAAAATGTATGTGGGAGGTTCTCTATTTTCATAATTTTCTTGTCAAGCTTGACACCAGGAAGAGGTGTGAAAAGGGCCAAGCTTTATTGGCAGGCAAGGTCAGACACTTCCTTTACAGGGAGAGTTCAGAGGCATCAGAAGGGCCTCTTATTCCCTAGATCCCATAAACACTACTTGATACCTAAAATGCAACCACAGAATCTACATTTAAAGTCATTTGCTTGGAAGTCACAAGTTAGGAAGGGAGGAAGTCCAGTCTCCAAGGTGAAGAGTGGCTGGGGAGGGAAGAGTGTATACAAATATCTTCCTCAGGCATAGAATTGGCCAAAAGACAGATTAAAAAAAATGCTCCACATGACTTATCACCAGAGAGATGCAAATCAAAACCACACTGAGATACCATCTCAAAATGGTTATTATTAAAAAGTCAGAAAGTAACAGATGATGATGAAGATGCAGAGAGAAGGGAATGCTTATACACTGTTGGTGGGAATATAAATTAGTTCAACTCCTGTGGGAAACAGTATGGAGATTTCTCAAAGAACTAAAAACAGATCTAATATTCAGAGCAGTTTCACTGCTGGGTATCTACTCAAAGAAAAAGAAATCATTTTATCAAAAAGACACCTACACTCATATGTTTATTGCAGCACTATTCACAAAGACATAGAATCAAAACCTAAGTGTTCATCAATAGTTGACTGGATAAAGAAAATGCGGCACATATACATATGGAATACTATGCAGCCATAAAAATAATGAAATCCTGTCCTTTGCAGCAACATGGATGGAGCTGGAAGCAATTATCCTAAATAAAATGACTCAGAAACAGAAAATCAAATGCCACATGTTCTCACTTAAAAGTGGGAGCAAAACAATGGGTACATATGAACATAAAGATGGAAATAACAGACACTAATGACTCCAAAAGAGGGAAAGGTGGGAAGGGGATAACGGGTGAAAATTATCTATTGAGTACAATGTTCACTATTTGGGTGCTGGGTTCACTACAAGCCTTAACCTCATCATCACACAGTATTTCCATATAACGAACCTGCACGTGTACTCCCTGAATCTAAAATAAAATAAGTTGAGCAAAAAAAGTCTTCCTTATCACAGTTCTGCAAAGAGCTGGCCTGCAGAGGTATCAACAGTGAGCAATCTTCAGAGAATGAAAGTGGAAGGCCACAGAGTGGGTGCATTGACAATGAGCATTAAACTGCAAAAGAGAAATGCAACTGAAGGTAAAGTTGGTTGGCTCTATATTAGGGGAGAACTTTGAAGAGACATCCCACATGCAACCTGACTCCCTGACACTACCATATAATAATTTTCCCTCCTGGAGGAAGTGGATACAATAAACAGATTGTGAGTATCTCAAGAAGAGTATCCCAAGGGCTCCGCTATGAAAGGTTTTATCTGGTTGCAATAAAAGAGAACGTGTAGCATCATTAAACACCCAATAAAAGCCCCCCTTCTTGAAATCACACAATTTTGCCTTTTATATTTATATAAAAGAATAGACTGACACTTATTCAACCATGTTTCAAGTGAGGCATAAGAACGCTGTATATGGCTGTCACCATGGCCTTTATTTCTACCTCGAGTGGAACAAAAAGAGAGATGAGAAAATTGTTTCCTAGATTATCTAGTGGTGACAGCAGGGACTTGGCTATAGGTCTTGAGCAAAATCCTCTGGGACTCAGCAACATGGTCCAGTGTCCTACATGAGCTTTGATGCCTGTGACTCTCCATACAGCTGAAAAATCCCACTTCCTGGCAGAGGACAGGGAAAGGTTTCAGGAACACCTGGCTTTGCAACTGATAAGGGATGAAGAGAGAATTAAATTTTCGAACTGGTTTCAGCTTCTTTGCCTCATTATATCTGTCAGAAGGGAATATTTTCTGTGAAGTTTTACTACGTGGCATGGCTAACTGAGCCTAGAAACCCTGTTTACTAGATGAGCCTGGAAAGCCACCATCTTGGGAGGCTTGGCCATGGTATCAGAGAATAGTTGGCAGGTAAAAAAAATTGCATATAGCCCTGCTCTGTCGCCTGCCGCCTCTGCCCGGGCCCGAGTGGTTCACTGCACCCTGAAGACAGATTCCAGACGCCGGGAACTCGTGCCTCTAATCCCAGACGTTATGTCCAGCAAAGGCTCAGTGGTTCTGGCCTACAGTGGCGGTCTGGACACCTCGTGTATCCTCGTGTGGCTGAAGGAACAAGGCTATGACGTCACTGCCTACCTGGCCAACATTGGCCAGAAGGAAGACTTCGAGGAAGCAAGGAAGAAGGCACCAAAGCTTGGGACCAAAAAGGTGTTCACTGAGGGTGTCAGCAGGGAGTTTGTGGAGGAGTTCATCTGGCCAGCCATCCAGTCCAGCTCACTGTATGAGGACGGCTACCTCCTGGGCACCTCTCACACCAGGCCCTGCACCGCCCGCAAACAAGTGGAAATCCCCCAGCGGGAGGGGGCCAAGTTATGTGTGTCATGGCTCAGGTCTGGTTTGAGCTCACCTGCTACTCACTGGCCCCCCAGATAAAGGTCATTGCTCCCTGGAGCATGCCCGAATTCTACAACCACTTCAAGGGCTGCAGTGACCTGACGGAATACACAAAGCAACACGGGATTCCCATCCCAGTCACTCCCAAGAACCCGTGGAACATGGACGAGAACCTCATGCACATCAGCTACGAAGCTGGAATCCTAGAGGACCCCCAAGAACCAAGCGCCTCCAGGTCTCTACCCGAAGACCCAGGACTGGCCAAAGCCCCCAACACCCCTGACATTCTCGAGATCGAGTTCAAAAAAGGGGTCTTCTTGAAGGTTACCAACGTCAAGGATGGCACCACCCACCAGACCTCCTTGGCGCTCTTCATGTACCTGAATGAAGTCACGGGAAAGCACTGCGTGGGCCGTATTGACATCGTGGAGAACTGCTTCATTGGAATGAAGTCCCGAGGTATCTACGAGACCCCAGCAGGCACCATCCTTTACCACGCTCATTTAGACATCGAGACCTTCACCATGGACTGGGAAGTGCGCAAAATCAAACAAGGCCTGGGCTTGAAATGTGCTGAGCTGGTGTATACTGGTTTCTGGCACAGCCCTGAGTGTGAATTTGTCCGCCACTCCATCGCCAAGTCCCAGGAGCGAGTGGAAAGGAAAGTACAGGTGTCCCTCTTCAAGGACCAGGTGTACATCCTCGGCTGGGAGTCCCCACGGTCTCTCTACAACGAGGAGCTGGTGAGCATGAACGTGCATGGTGATTATGAGCCAATTGATGCCACCGGTTTCATCAACATCAATTCCCTCAGGCTGAAGGAATATCATCATCTCCAGAGCAAGGTCACTGCCAATTAGAACCCTGTACAGGGAGAAGCTGGGGCTTCCTCAATTTGCAGATCCCCCAAGTACAGGCGCTAATTGTTGTGATAATTTGCAGTTGTGACTTGTTCTCCCCTGCAGGCAGCGTAGTGGGGCTGCCAGGCCCCCGCTTTGTTCCCTGGACCCCCTGAAGCCGGCAAACCTGGTCATCAAAGGGAAGGGTGGGGGGCAGCTGCGGTGGGGAGCTGTAAAATGACGATTAAAAGAAAAAATTGCATATAAACTTAGGGATCGGTCACTCTCCTTCTAACCATGAATATACTCCCCACTTGTAACTCTATTGAATAATACAAATGTAAGTTACCATGCACATATAAAGAAAAAAATGGTGGAAAAATTCCTTAAGAGTATGAGCAATAACAGCCAGTAGTACACCTAAAAAAAAGCTAGTGTTACTATGGTTAAGCATTGGTTTGGGGGTGGTCACTGAACTCTATTGCTTTCCAAGTTCTTCCAGCTTGGTCTAAGTGAGTGCATAGTTGCATGTCTATTGGACTTGAAGAAGTTTCTCCAGAACCGAGAAATTTGAAGAATTTTTAAAGTTTGTATTTCTAATTCATTCATCCATATGTTTATCCAATAAATATTTATTTAGAGCCTACTATGTGCCAGGCACTCTCCAAGTAAAGGGGATTCAGTGGTGGGGAAAAGCAATCCAAATAAATCAGCTTTATCTCTGCTCTCATAAAACTTATATTCTGGATATGGCAATAGGCATTAACAAAAAAAAACCCAATTATACTAACAAATGTAAAATTCCCTCCTGACTTGGTGCTAGGGAGGAGAGGAATATTGTGAGAGCATAAGAAGTGAGTGGTTGATATAGCCTGAAGGGTAAAGGATGGTTACTTCAAGGAAACAAAGACTCAGCTGGAATCTAAAGTGTAAGTTGGAATTATTTAGTTAAGGAGATGGAAAGGAAGAGAGTCCAGGAAGAGGAGACAGTATATGCAAATGCCTTATGGCAGGAAGGATCATAGCACATTCGGGGGCCTGAGCGAAGCCTGGTGCGTGGAGCGAGCATGGTGGGGATGTGGCTGGCAAAGGAGGTCTGGGCATACAGGACTTTGTAGGTCCTTTCAACTATATCATTTGCCCCAACATTAATGGGAAACCTAGAAATACTATTGGCTTTTAAAACTAACTGGTAATGCCATAATACAAGACATTTTTTTCTTTTTTTTTTTTCTTTTTTTCTTTTTTTTTTTTGTTCTTTTGAGATGGAGTCTCACTCTGTCCCCCAGGCTGGAGTTCAGTGGCGCGATCTTGGCTCACTGCAAGCCCCGCCTCCCAGGTTCACGCCATTCTCCTGCCTCAGCCTCCCGAGTAGCTGGGACTATGGTAGCTGGTGGCCCGCCACCATGCCCGGCTAATATTTTTGTAGTTTTAGTAGAGACGGGGTTTCACTGTGTTAGTGAGGATGATCTCGATCTCCTGACCTCATGATCTGCCTGCCTCGGCCTCCCAAAGTGCTGGGATTACAGGCGTGAGCCACAGCGCCCGGCCTATTTTTAAATTTTTTTTTAATGCTGCAGACTCCTTACAACCGTGAGTGTTTCTAGAAAGTAGGGTAAAGTTCAGCCCTGCCACATGTGGCTCCTTGGGTTGTTCACTGCATATTCACATCACACTCCATTGTGACCAAATGGGCTTTCAGGAGGTGTATGGCGAGGCAGTCCTGGTTAGACATCCTCTCTTCAGCAGACAGGGTTGTTTTCTCTAAATGGAAAATCAAAGGACACACTTGAAATTGAAAGTTGTGTGAAAGGAATCTAAATTGGTTAAATGTCAGATACATCCATGATTTATGTCTCCTTTACATCTCATTGCTGATAAAGCTAACATTCCTCTATTTGTTGGATTTGTATGTGTGTTTGTGTGTAGGCACATGCCTAGGGAAAAAATTCCAAGGCAAGGAGCCCGTGGAGGTCTGTTGCCTTATTTTTACTGGTACCATGGTAAGGTAAGGGAAACATCTGGCCTAGGAAAAATGCAAATTTCATGCCATGTACTAGGCAACTCCCTACTAGTTTTTCTTTTTTAAAAATATTACATAAGCAATTTATATTCAGCGTAACAAAGTTACACTGTAACAAAGTTAGGGAATTTGTACGACCAAAAAGAAGAAAATTGGGAACTCTTAATTCGATTAACATTTTGGTATACATACTGTCAGGTGTTTTTTTTTTTTCTTCCTCCATGTGTGTACCTTTAAGATTTCTAATACACTTATGTTATTGAATGATTGACATGCTCATTTTTAATAGAAAAATTCTCATTTACGATGGAAATTATTCTGGAGGCAACTGGAGACGGAAAAGTCACAGCCTCCATCATGAGATGAGTGTTTTTCTGCAAAACCCAAGTTCCACAACGAGCAATTCCTGCTTCCCATTTTCAACATAATTATTTTCTTTCAAGCTGTAACTTTAGATGACAATGAGGATAAATAAAAAGCATATCATGAGGAAAGGTAAGTCAACATACTTAGACTTTTGGTAATCAAAAAGAATTCTCCAGAGTGGAAGTTTCTCACCTATGTCTCTAGAGGCTTGGGAAGTCCTGGCTAACATTGGCCCTTATGCAGAAAGCAATTTGAGGTGTGGTTATTTTACAAATCTACATATACTGCATGTATTAGTTTCCTAGGGCTGTCATAATAAATGACCACAAACTGGGTGGGTTTCAACAGAAAATTCATTCTTTCATGGTTCAGGAGGCCAGAAGTCCAAAAGCAAGATGTCTTCAGGATGGATTCCTTTTGGACACTGTGAGGCGAGAACTGGTCCCATGTCTTTCTCTGAGTTTCTGGTGGTTGGTAGCAATCCTTGGTTTATAGCCTCTTGGTTTATAGTTCCCTGGTTTATAGCTGCATCACTCCCTTCGTTGCCTCCATTGTCACATGGCCATCTTTCCTGTGTGTGGTGTCCTCTATGTCTCTGCGTCTAATCTCCTTCCATTTTTCTCATAAAGACACCAGTCATCAGGCTTAGGGCCTGCCCTAATCCACTATGACCTCATCTTCACTTGTTTACATCTGTAAAGACCTTATTTATAAATAAAGCCACATTCACAGGTACTGTGAATTAGGACTTGAATCTTTTTTAGAAACACAATTCAACCTGCTAAACTGCATATCTTATGATCCCATATATAATAATTTATATCATTCATAACTAGCATCATCATAGAAAAACAAAATTGCAAAGCAGTTTTATTTTCATTTATATTGCATGGATCCTAGCTACAATTCCCCAATCCACACCAGAAATATTGAATAATATCCAGAATGAAACAAACAAAACAAGACAAATTGTTTCTTTTAGCACACTGTGGAAAGACCCTAGACCAACATCAAATTAAATCTAGGCAATAGAAGGGACAGATAACAGATTCATGAGTTCTAAGAATGTTGTCTTCATGTATTAAGGATGTATTAATGTATTGATTTAAGGAAGAAAAACACAGATAAGAGTATCCTGTAGTGGATGAGCTTTTCATTTTTAGCATAGGAAATACTGCTGTGTACAAAACAACAAAGCAAAACAAATATGTTATTCTGTAATTTTAATGTAATTGGAATGGAGCTTATTTACAGAGTGGGATATGATAAGGTTCAGTTTCACTTTAGGTAGGATGCTTTAAGAGAAAGTTTGGTTTTCTGAGACTTTGGGATATAGTATAATGGTGAGCACAAATCCAATAAATTACAGTAAAATTTGTTATTAATCTGTACTTAATTTTCCATATATAATTATTTTTTCTATAAAATTAAATTTTTCTGTAAAATAAAATTCTGTGCATTGAATTACATTTGCCCACAGATTTACATTTTTTAGATGAACTGCTGTATTATGATAATTGTCATTATGAAGGGATATGATGCAAGTAAAGGGAGGGAGGGTCTATGTTCTCTGAGTGGATCTGCTACTTAATAGCTTTGCTTCTCCAGCCTCCATCTGAAATCCTGACACCCAGCCTAAACCCTATGGCTGTTGCAATAGACTTAATTCTCTTTGTTGTACTATTTCTACAAAACACCTAATCAGCAGTTTGAATCTAGACTCCTGCTGTAGAAAAGTGGGAAGAAAAATTGCATGTATGAATGGGTGACCCAACAAGTTCCTGGTGTCCACCTGGGACTTCCCTGTTGACCTGGGATGGCTGAGAGTCGCCTGAGCCAGTGTCCTCCCCAGTGTACTGCATCTTCTGGAGGCATTCATTCTCTGCAACGCAGACTTTCAGAAGGATTCACTGCAGCTTACAAGATCCCTTCTCTAATTGATTTAAAAATGGTCAAAAAAGGCTTAGAATCTATATCCAGTGATTTTAACAATTATAAAATACTCCATTTACTGGGAGTGCAGTCACACCTGCACTCCTGGCTACTAGGGAGACTGAGGTGGGAGGATCACTTGGGCCTAGGAATTAGAGGCTGTAGTGCACTATGCTGGTCAGGGGTCGGCACTAAGTTCACCATTATGGTGACCTCCCTAGAACAGGGGACCACCAGGTTGCCTGAAGAGGGGTGAACTGGTCCAGTTTGGAAATGAAGCAGGTCAAAGCTGCTATGCTGATAAGTAGAGGGGTGACACCTGTGAATAGCCACTGCACTCCAGCCTGGGCAACACAGTGAGTCCCTATCCCTTTAGGAAAGGGAAAGGGAAAGGGAAAGGGAAAGGGAAAGGGAAAGGGAAAGGGAAAGGGAAAGGGAAAGGGAAAGGAAAGGAAAGGAAAGGAAAGGAAAATAATTTAAAAAAGAAAAAAAAAGAAAGAAAAAATACTCCAATGGGAGGGAAGTGCTAGTAACAGCAAAGGAAAATAGCTGGCAGATTCGACCACTAGTATAATACAGTAGAATAACAAGTTTCTCTATGTTCTACTGTCATGAATTGCATATTAAAATGAATAAAAGTACCCAGCTGTAGCTTAAGAGTATATGTTGACTGATGTTTAAGGGTGGTCTGTGGTGTAGACTTGAAGTCTATTTGGGGGCCTTTCTGCGCCTTGTCTTAAACTGCTTTGTGAAAGGGTAGATGCAATGTTCAAACGCAAACACTCTGGGTTCCTTTCCTTTCACTAAGGGGAAATGGAGAACTATTACATTCTATTGCTGGCAGTTGAGGTTTCCTGGTTGTCCTCCCCCAACCCCATAAACCATTAATAATTTTTTGTTAGATTGTATAATTTATAGTATCAGTTTTGAATGCATAATGTAATACTGTATACTGAAGGGTAGTTAGTCTTTCTTCAAATAGGTTACCGAAAATGAAATAAATACCTAGATTAAATTTCCATACTAGGGAGAGGAAAATGAAATAATTTGCTGACTTGCAAAAATATGTAATAGACATTGTGGAGATAATCTACATTCTAAAAAATTACCTCATTGTTTTAGTCATCTCAGATGGTTTCACTGTAAAGGCAATTCTTTAGAAAAAAATTTGCTGCAATTGTTGATCAAAAATAATTCTTTTTAAATAAAATGAGATGAAAAATGTTATTTAAAAATATGTTATTATAGAATAATAATCTCTAAATAGTAATAAAATGAGGCAAAATTAGTTTGGGAACTTATAATGTGATATAAAAAGGTGACCAATTTATTTTAATGTCTTTGATTTTGTGAATGAATGCGTTACGGAAGCTTTAAAATATGATATTTTAAGCAAGAGCTGAAAAAATTTTGTTTTATCTTTATATTTGGTCCTATGCTTTGTTCTAAGAAAAAAATTACTAGATACTTAACAGTTCTAAAAACTTGTTTGTATTTCTAGTTTTGTACCTGTAGTTTTTCTGTGGTTGTAGAAAATATAATTCATGTTTCATACTGTGAGACATCTACTGAAATTACTACCTTTTTCCATGCCACCAGCTGCTCCTCGCTGGTGTCTACTATAAATTAATAATATTATTTAGTCCCTTTCCTTTTGCTATTATTATTATATTTTTCATGGATTCAAACCCCTTATTTTCCTAAGCTTTTGTCTTCATGATAAACTATCAAACTTCATCTGTGGGATTGGTATTAGATCCTATGGTAATCCCAAATAGAATTTGAATTTTCTCTGGGCATTGGTTACCATTTGTTGTTTATTCCTCTGAAATGGTATTACTTTCATTATAATAATAGGATTATGTTCATCAGGACATGTGTTGTCTTCCTTATTGTAACCTCACTTTTCCCCTTTTAAAGGAAGGAAGACAGGAGTAAAGAGAGAACTTGTTGAGCATAGACAAGCATGTAATTAAAGGATGGTAACTAATGACTGTTGGATGCTTTAAAAATAAGTATATATCAAAATAATTAGGGAACTCTAATCTGTAAAAGTAACAAGTTTTGATGATGTATATAAATGAATTGCTTCATAAAATTCTTCTATTGAACCACTTAACGATCTTCTGAGGTTGTGTTTGATACACAGATATTTTTGCTTTTAAAATGTACTGTCCCCCATAATGTTTTAATACTTCCATGTAGTCAGTAAATGCTCTCAAACATACAAAACAATTTTGTCTAGATTGTTTATTTAGTGTGACTTGTAAAAATAGCATATCTCAGATTATTTGGAAGTCTGACATTTTTCCATATTCATAAGTACTCTGTTAATAACACCATCAGCATCGTTACAATTAATACTCTTTAAGATGAAACTCTGGGGAAAAAATTAAGTGTTGAATTCATCTAACATTTTTACTCTCTTTCTAAACATAGGCTGATTTACAAAGGCTTAGTAATTTGATGATATTTGTCTAGAAATGTAAAATTCACTACATTTCTAAATTTAGAAATTATTTGCTAAAATGTTTAAAACATTTCCTAATTTTTCTCCCTAATCATGTTTTGATTGTGCACAAAATAAAGGGACTTACTCAAGCCAGATAAATTATACATAACCTTGATAAGCTTCATAATGCTAATGCTGTTTTGATAGAGAAAACCACAAGTAATGCAAATAGCAGCCTTTACTCTCCAGTACAGGTGTGTAATAAACACATATAATTAAACCAAAGATACATAATGGTTTGTTGTCGGATACACATTTACAACAGCTGACTACGTTCTTAATGTGTGGTTCATGAGTTAGTTAGGTAATTTTCTTATGTCTCCATTCCTTGAACAGAATATTCCTCATGGGCTCATATATGAAACGATTCTGTGCTTTTTACTCAGTAGCTTCCCACTGCTGCCTGTAATTTAGCGTCTTTGCCATATCAGCATTACCTAAAGATGATTAAAAAGAGCATGTAAATTCACAAACAAGTCATTTTATTCTTCAACTTAAATAATTTAGAAATGCCCCCCAAAAGGAAAGTTATCAAAATGTAAGCCTTTCGACATGGTTTCCATCTTAGTGAAATATATCAACTGTGCATTTAATCACTGTTATGCATAAAATATGGTTTATGGCTCTGCTCTATATATCAAATAAACTTCTTTGTATATTATGAATCTGAGTCCTTTAAAGGGCATAAAGCAAAAAGAAAAACTAGTACCAGATTTTTAAAAATCAGTATAGAAACACAGCAATGCCAAAGCTATATTTAGTTATTTTAAATTCTATACTTCCATTGAGGTTTCTTTTTTCTTTTTTTTTAGTAATTCAAGACACATACACATATATACAGTCTTCGGATTTTGAATTGGGCAAACCAAAGATAATAGTCATGAATCTGTATAAATAGTGTGTGAATTTCTTAATTTTAAACACTTCTAATCCTTTTTCCCTTCCATTGTGATGCTATAAAAACACTGTGACATTATAAGACATTCTATCATACAGGCGCAACTGAGATAATGTCTCTTACCAGATTTGGCCAGAAGAGTCTGTCTACTAATGTTGATAATGTAGAGAAAAATAAGTAACGTAAATTTGTTTTTTATTTTTTAAAAAAGGTATATCTTAACAAATGTATTAAACTATAGTGCTTGGTAAAAGTGGTCATGATAATATCTGAGCTCAATAGCAATTTCTCATAAATTGCTGTGTAGGTACCATTAATCATTGTATTCAAATGCTAAGCATCACCTGTTTAATTCAGTTGGTTCTGATTTATACATCATTTCAAAGAATGCAAAGGAAACACAATTGAAAAGTTTTACTTTCCACATTAGCTATACAGCTCATCCTCTTCTAGCCATATCTCAGGACAGGAACTAAACAATCAACTTCATTTCTTTGTCTAACTTTTAAAGGCTTGTTTGCAACTAATTTTAGGCAAACCCTTCATTTTAATTGAGTTTCTAGCATGAACTTTAAGGAATGGAATTTAGTCCCAAAGCAGCCATAGTTATTCCTATTGCTATTGTCATTTTGGTTCCTCATGAAATAAACTAGTTATTCCTCCTCTGTCTTCTTTTTTATGACCTTGGGTATGTGTGATTTTGTATGTGTTGGAGGAGCCAATATGTCCTCTGCCTATATAGAAAAGCCTGTCAGGCTGGGGGCAGCGGCTCATGCCTGTAATCCCAGCACTTCGGGAGGCTGAGGAAGGCAGAACACCTGAGGTCAGGAGTTTGAGACCATCCTCGCCAACATGGTGAAACTCCATCTCAACTAAAAATACAAACAAATTAGCCGCTTATGGTGGTGGGGACCTGTAATCCCAGCTACTTGGGAGGCTGAGGCAGGAGAATTGCTTGAACCTGGGAGATGGAGGATGCAGTGAGCCAAGATTGTGCCATTGCACTCCAGCCTGGGCTACAGGGTGAAACTCCATTTCAAAAAAAAAGTGAAAAAAAAAAAAAAAAAAAGGCCTGTCAGTGTTAAGTTTCCTTTTTAAAAAGAGAAGTTGCCAAAAGGGAACTTCCTTACCTTCCACCACCATGTGTAACCCTACCTCTATCTGTTCCTAAACCCTCCTTTCTTCCTCCTCCTTTCAAAGATCAGTGAGTCCAGATGTGCTCTGTGCACCATCCTTCGCTTTTCTCACGGACCTCACACCACCGGTTACTTTCCTGGTCTCATTCGTCCTCTCCCCTGCAAGGCATTTTCAATCTTTCTCTCTCTAAAGGACGCCTCCCCTCAGCACATGCTCGCATCTCATCCAAATTATAAAAGCCCACCCAGACCTTAAAAGCTTTCTCCAGGTCTCATCTTATACTTTTCTTTTTCTCCTTTTTTTGGGAGTGGTTGGCGGGGTGGGGAACAGGGTCTTGCTCTTTTACCCAGGCTGGAGTGCTGTGCAGTGGTGCCATCTTGGCTCACTGAAACCTCTGCCTCCCAGGTTCAATCGATTCTCGTGCCTCAACCTCCCTAGTAGCTGGGACTACAGGCATGGGTCACCATGCCTGGCTAATTTTTGTATTTTTAGTAGAGACAGGGTTTCACCACGTTGGCCAGGCTGGTCTTGAACTCCTGACCTCAAGTGATCCACCTGCGTCGGCCTCCCAAACTGCTGGTATTACAGATGTGAGCCACAGCACCCAGCTCACAGACCATTTTCAATCCTCCTCTCTTGGGACACTAGGATTATAGGCATGAGCCACTAAGCCCAACCCTTTCCTAGCTTTCGTCTAAATCTCTGATGATTCCTGGTGGGTTTTCTCTTTGGAACTCTTCCTCCACTCCCTGAATTTGAAATATTAGAGATACTCAGGACTCTGTCCTGGATTCACATCACATAGGTTCTTATTCTTCGCTCTCACACATTAGGCGAGCTTATCTAATTTTGTGTCTTCACATAGGATCTGTATGTCCATGATGTCCCAAGTTTTACCTCTAGTCCAGTCTTTTTCTGAGCTGCAGGCCTATGTGGCAAACTTTGTACCTGATTCTTTTTTGGATGCCTCACAAGCATCTCAAGCACATCGTGTCTAAAACACAGCTCACAGTTTTCTCTTCAAACTCCTCTTATCTTGCCTCACAAGCATCTCAAGCACATCGTGTCTAAAACACAGCTCACAGTTTTCTCTTCAAACTCCTCTTATCTCTCCTCATCCTAGTAAAAAGCATACAGCTTCCAAGTTGCTCTGCCAAAGACTCTAGGATCCATCTCTATATATTCCTTCTTACTTTTCCAACTTGCTTAATAAATTTCTGAGTTCTAAATAGCATTCAAGTCTATCCACTTCTCTCCATCTCAATAGTCACTATTTTAGTCCAAACAATCATCATTTCTCACCTGGACTGCTATAATGCCTCTGGTTTTTCCTGCATCCACTCTTATCTGATTCCAATCCATCCTCTATACAGCAATTTAATTCTGATAATAAAATGTCCTTGCTTAAAACTCTTAAATGACTGCCCATTGCTCTTAGGATAAGAATAAAGTCTCTAACATGATTTAAAAGGCACTACTTAATTCGGGCTCTGCCAATTTCCCTGGCCTTAATGCCCCCTCTTGATCACCATGCTGAAGCCTGGTACATAGTAATATCTCAATAAATATTTGCTAAATAGATGAGGAATACATTGGTGAAACAATGGATATGTGGATAAATGAATGCATACAAGAATGAATTAATGAAGAAATAAGATAACCCAAGTCCATCTTGAAAAGTGTCATACATTTTATAATGTTCCTTCTCATACATTTTCATCATCCCAAACCACACTCAAAACTTTATTTTTATTTTAGATGATTATATATAAGATTTCTTAAATATTTACCATTGATTTTTGAAGAATTTTGAACTTCATGACACACACACATTTGACACATCTTCTAAACATCAACCTGAAGTAGATAAGGAGCCAATCTTGTGGTTTTATTCCAGGTGAGAAAATGGTGGCTCATCCCATGCAGAGAGTGTCCCCGTGATCACTGAAAAGGTCAGTGGCAAAGGTCTCTTGAGTTTGAAAACTTCTATTCTACTGAAGATCCCTCTTAGAAATCTTGATTTATATGGCACTACTTAATTCAGGCTCTGCCAAACTAGAGTACCATAAGTGAATGTGGCAGAAGCAGCAAGGAGTTCACAAACTTAAAGTTGTCTCCTTAGTAGACAACCATTCATTTTGTAACCATTTGAAGGATAAGATGGGGGTTTTCTGAAAGTTTCTAAGGAAATTTTGGAATGTAAATTTCATTTTGGGTTAAAAATCAATAGACATTACTACTGATATAAAATAAATATTGACGCAAAAACCTGTCAATTAAAAAATGATTATTTTGGGCTGGGCGCGGTGGCTCACACCTGTAATCTCAGCACTTTGGGAGGCTGAGGCGGGTGGATCACCTGAGGTCGGGAGTTCGAGACCAGCCTGACCAACATGGAGAAACCCCGCTTCTACTAAAAATACAAAATTAGCCAGGCATGGTGGTGCATGCCTGTAGTCCCAGCTACCTGGGAGGCTGAGGCAGGAGAATCACTTGAACCCAGGGTGGGGTGCGGAGGTTGCAGTGAGCTGAGATGGTGCCATTGCAGTCCAGCCTGGGCAACAAGAGCAAAACTCCTCTCAAAAAAAAAAAAAAAAAAAAAAAAAAAAGATTATTTCTACTACATGTTCGCTGTATAAAAAAATCAGAAATGCTGATAAGAAAAAAGTTAAAACAACCTTTGGACCATTCATCAATAACTATGATTATCTATGTTTAACATTGAAACCTATGGTTATAAACTTTAGTTATGTGCAAACACAAACATTAAAAATTTAAAAATGGTATTATATGCGCATATAATGTTTTATAACTTGCTTCTTGAGTGGAGTCTTAATAATATATTTGAAATATTTCCTATGTTAAAAAACATTTATTTTTTCTTTTAAATAACTTTTATTGTAAGATATTTCAAATATATATAAACATAGTATAATATAGCCAACACAAAAGTATCCATCACCCAGGTTTAACAATTGTTGACTGATAGGGCTTTGCTCTGTGTCCCCACCCAAATCTCACCTTGAATTGTAATAATCCTCATGTGTACAGGGCAGGACCAGGTGGAAGTAACTGGATCATGGGGGTGGTTTCCTCCATGCTGTTCTCATGATAATGAGTGAGAGATCTGATGGTTTTACATCATGAGTTTTTTGAGG
Source organism: Homo sapiens (assembly GCF_000001405.40). NCBI lineage: Eukaryota > Metazoa > Chordata > Mammalia > Primates > Hominidae > Homo > Homo sapiens. The sequence goes on along the minus strand of NC_000007.14, from coordinate 21,208,203 downwards.
ATATATTTTATAACAATATGTAGATTAAAATATGTATTTTCAACAGAAGTAATGATTGGCTCCAATGCAAAGCTGAAAGGTTAGGACAAACAGTTTTGGGATATTTGATATTATATATTATGAACACAGATACAGATATCAAAATATGCTATGGCACTCCCACTACACCACAAATTTTTTTTTTTTTTTTTTTTTTTTGAGACAGAGTCTTGCTCTATTGCCCGGGCTGGAGTGCAGTGGCATGATCTCGGCTCACTGCAACCTCTGCCTTCCAGGTTCAAGCAATTCTCCTGCCTCAGCCTCCTGAGTAGCTGGGATTACAGGTGCGTGCCACCATGCCCAGCTAATTTTTTTATTTTTAGTAGAGACGGGTTTCACCATGTTGACCAGGCTGGTCTTGAACTCCTGACCTCAGGTGATCTGCCCGCCTCGGCCTCCCAAAGTGCTGGGATTACAGGCATGAGCCACCATGCTAAGCCCACCATACATATTTTAAATCTGTATGTTGTTAGGTGTGTCTTATATCTACCACTGGAAACAGTTAAGTGCGGTCACATCTAAGAAACCTCAGCTCAGAGAGCAGGAGTCAGAATGCCATCAATGCTAGGTAATCTCAGTGGGTCACCTGGTCTACTTCTTAGCTTCTGGATATGCAAATCAAAGAATCTCTCCAAAGAGCTATTTTTCTTGTTCTTACAGACCTCTAGAAATGGAGGTGCCATGGACTTTTTGGTAGACTAATATGATGCCTGTTACTGTTCTTATACACTAAGTGGTTTGTTTTTCGGGAAGAGAAGCTGTGATGATTTAACAGTTATCTTCATATACAGGGCTTTCCTCTTTAAGTGAGTTTGAAATGATTCTCCTGATTCTCTAAAGGCAACTCTCCACAGTTAAAAATTAATCAAGAATTATATAGGTTAAAATCTAGTAGGCCAGTGAATTGTACTCACCTTATTGATACACGGAAGCACCACATTAGCCAGTAAACAAGACTGACTACCATTTTTATCGGAATTAGTCTCATTTTCCATGAGTTTTGAATATGTGAGGGTCTTAGGAATGCTTTTGTCACATAAAATGGGACTTCCCTCTGTCCAAAGTGCTGTCAGGTGGAGGAAGATTAGATTTCTTGGGCATTGCTCCAGAGGCCAGGCAAAGAGTAGTGGAGACACATCATGAGAAGGGATATTTTGATATAAGACGAAAGACTTACCAACAGTTAAAGCTGTCCAAAAATAAAATGGGCTGTCGAAAAATCCAGTGAATTCTCAATCTCTGGAATTATTCAAGCAAGGATAAAATGATCATCCACAAGGCTTTTGTGAGGGCACTCACTGGTAAAAAGAAGCTGGGTGGGATAGCACTTTAAGGTATTTTCCACTCTAAGGTTTTATGACCAAATGGCTTAACTACATTAATCTTTCCTGATGAGAGCTATCAATCTTCTATTTAAAAAATAATCTTTGTTGTCATTTATTAATGTTTTCCAAATTATTTACACATAATATCTATTTTTAATATATACATGTACAAACAACACTTAGCTATTTATCTCTGAACATAACAATATATATTTTAAATCAGATGTTTAAATTACTCCTAATATTTAAGCAGAAGCCTGAGAAAGCTCAAATGTAGCACAAATATTAGTTTTTTTTTAAGAGGTATCATGCAGGGTTTGTGCTCAGAATAGGGGCAATTGTACAAACTCCCAAGAACAGCATGTCCTAAATCAAACTCTCTGATTTTGAATGACAGAATCAAATAAGACACAATTATGCTGGCCTTGCTTTTTCATTGTGTATGCATTCTCCACCAGAAGAAAACTGAACTGCTAACTGCTTTTCACAAAGTCTTGAGCGTTCCCAATACCGCGTTCCTTTCTAAGTTGGCCCAAAATGACAGTCTTTTCTGACATCAAAATATTTTTCCAGAATGATGTGTTAGTGGCAAAGTGTCTTCAGCTAGGGAAACTTCCAAATCCCAGACTATAGCTTAATGAAGAGAGCAGTAAGCATGTTCCACAGATTTTAATCCCTGAGAATCAGAAGAAATGGCTCAAGATCTTTTCAGGTTGAGAATATAGAAATTGTGGTCAGAGGGGGTGACGTGATTTGCCCCATATCACACAATAATTTAATGCTAAGATCAGAAATAAATACAGATTTACTTACCAACTTTTAATCCATCATCCCTTCCATACCATGATTATAGAAATATAGAAGATGTACAGAATATAAAGAATGTAGGCTCTGGAGCCAAACTGCTGGGATCTCACCCTTGACTCTCATTTACTATGCTTCACTCAGTGCATCAGCTCTCCAGTCTATAAAATTTAATAAAAAAACTACATATCTATATTATAGGGTAGCCATAAATTATAAATTAATACATGTAAAATGATTAAAACAGTGCCTGGCACATAGTAAACAAGTGATTTTTTGTTTCTATTTTTCAAGGCCATGGAATATCTCAGATTGTTGAGCTAGGTAAGAATTATCTAACATTCTACTCTATTCTACTACTTTCTTGTATGGTTATTCCTTTTTCACAAAAACAATCATAGCCTTGGGTTGTTGTTTTTTTTTTTTTTTTTTTTTTTTTTTTTTTTGCCTTGTTTCTCGGTTATCTGTTGTATTTTCTTCAAATGTTCCAGAACTGTTGTTGCATGTTTATTGATATTTTGCATTATTAAAACCCAGCAATTCAATTTCCCTTCTACTTTCTGCCTGAGACCCTGTAGGAGCCCTCTGGCCTCTGCTCAATCTGGAGTACCTGCCGTCTGGGTCAGCTGCACAGAGTTCACAATGAAACTTCTCTTCATCATTCTCCATTATCCTATCCTACCTTTTCTGATACTATGTCTCTCTCATTTGGTTAACTTCTTGTTTTGTAAAAGCACAACCGCAAGGAGCTTCTTAAGAAAGAAAGATTGAGAAGTATGTGCTCTGGTTTCTTCCCTTTCTGTAGAGACTTTATTTTTGCACTCGGTTGATACCATGGTTGAGTAGAAAATGCTAGGTTAAAAAATTATTTTATTCGGAAGCTTGAAGCTATTGTTCCATTGTTTTCCAGGATTTTGTTGTTCTTTAGAAGTCTGCTATCATTCTGAATTTAAATCTTTCAAATGTGACCTGTTTTCCTCTCCAGAAAACTTTTAGAACCTTTTCCTTATTTCCGATGTTCTGAAATTTTGTAAAGATAAAGATCTTAATTTTTTTTTCTTGGATATTCAGGGTTCCCTTTTAATCTGGAGATACCTGTCTGCCAGTTCTGAGAATTTTTCTTGTATTTTTTTTGATAACTTCCTCTCCTGCATTTCTCTGTTCTATTTTTCTGAACCAAAACTTACTTAAATATGGATTTCCTGGATTATTCCTCTAGTTTCCTATAAAACTTCCATTTCTTTTTCTATTTGGTCGAATTTCAGGAAGGTTTTGTTTTCATGTTATCTCCCAGTTGAAATTAAAATTTTTATTATATTTTAAATTATCAAGATTTAAATTATAAATTTTCCTTTTCTTTGTTACGTTTTCATAGTATTCTCTTCTTGCTTTATGGGAAAAAATGCTTCTTTTATCTCTGATGATTCTCTCTCTCTACACACACACACACACACACCTATACAAGCTTGTGAATATGCACTTGTGCATGTGTGTATATATTTATATATGTGTGTGTACAGTAGTCCTCAGATAATGTCATCAATAGGTTCTTAGAAACCACAACTTTAAGTGAAATGATGTATAATGAAACAAATTTTACCATAGGCTAATTAATAGAAACAAGAGTTAAGTTCCTATGGCATATTTGTTGTCACAAAAAAATCACCAAACTTCTCAATAAAGACCAAAATGCTTCTAATATTAAACAATAAAATAAATGTGAGATATACATGTAAAAAAGATTAGTGAAAACAAGATAAATATTTACCCAGTTATTCCGGCTCAGGGCGCAAGTTAGGAACCAGCCCTGGACAGGATGCCATCCCATGGCATGGTGCGCTCACACACACGCCCGCACGCACTCACATGGGAACCATGTAGACATGCCAGTTCACCCAACAGGCACATCTTTGGGATGTGGGAGAAAACCAGAGGAACCAGAAAAAACTCATGCAGACATGGGGAGCAGGTGCAAACTCCACACACACTGTGGCCCAGACTAGGAATCTATCAATGCTATAACAAAACAATGTTGAATAAAATGATGTTAATTGAGGACGTGTGTGTGTGTGTGTGTGTGTGTGTGTGTGTGTGTGTGTGTGTGGAGAGAGAGAGAGAGAATGTATGAGGTGACCAAGATTTTAAAAAGATATTGCAGAGAGATGAAATTATCTTCTAAAAGCATGCAGCTCCTTTCTCCTGACAGGTGTGAGGCTTGAGAGGCAGCAGCTGGGAGGACTTGGGTAGGGTGGGAGAGGTGCCCTGGGCACCAACTGATGTCACAGACTTTCAATTAAACCCATTGGTTCCCACCTAGCCCCCAACTCCCATCTTCTCTGGGTCCTTGGGTTTCTTAGTCTGACCCTTTCAGGAGCTGCAGGGAATTGGCTACCTTATGGTAGGTAATCACTGCTGAATGGGTTGCTACACACTCATTGACTTCACTTATTCAAAGGTACATTGAAAACTCTCGTATGCTGTTGTCTTTGCTCTCATTCTTTTATATATGTGAGTCAATATCTTTAAAAATGTATTTTCTCTTATGTTGGCAGGGCTTAGGGGAAAAGAGGAGCCATATACGCATGTGGTTAATCTGCCATTAAGATCGTGGGCATTATTTTGCTTAATTTTTAAATAAAATGACTACAGGCCAGTTGCAAAATACATACTATTAGTGAATACAATTCGTGTCTGTCCACAAAACACTAAAAAATCTGCCTCAAAAGTAAAAAGCTTAGCAATATAATTGGTGGTTTTGTGGCTAAATAATAATTTATTCTTTTTATTGCTTTTCAGTTTCCCAGGAACCCACATTATAAATCTTGACATTACCTTTGATTTCTCTTTTCTTCCTATTCCACATCTGTAAAGCCTATTGCTTACACTTCTGTAATATCTTTTCAATACATTTCCTCTTTCCATTTGCATTGCTGCCTCTCCAATTCCTCTCTAATATTGCTCACCCAGACTATGACAATAGTTTCCTATCTGCTCTGCCCACCTTTATTCACTTACTCAAAAACATGTAATGAGTGCCTACTATGTTCCACTTGGGGCTACATAAGTGGGCAGCAGCAAAGACGCTGTCCTCAAAGAATCCATCCTTGAATGGAGAGACAGACTAAACACATCCTTCTCTTTCAATCTATCCTGTACACCAGAATCATTTTCCTAAAAATTATGATGATTTTATCACCGTTTAAAAACCTCTGATGGCTTTTTGCCCTGAAATTCTAGGTGCTCCATGGACTTGATCTAAAATCCATTTCTAAGCCAGTATTTTCCAACCACCTCCATTTTTTTTTTCATTTGGTTGAGAAAACACTGACACATTTCCAGTTCCCAAGCTTTACCTGTATTTCCTCCAACTCCTTATTCTCAAAGCTATTCTTTCTACAGTGCAAAGCCATCATGGTAGGCAGAATTCTCAGATGGGCCCCAGAGTTCCCACCTTCTGGTATAGTCTCCTAACCTTGAGTGTGAGCAGAACCTGTGAAGATGATGAGATGTCACTCCTGTGGTCCCATTACCAACAGTCAACTGAGTTAATCAAAAGGGAGACCATCTGAGTGAGACTGACCTAATCAGATAAATGCTAAAAAGGGACGAGGCCCCTCCTAAAGTCAGAGATTACTCCTGCTGGTCTTGAAGGAGCAAGCTGCCATGTTGTGGAGTGAGCTACATGGCAGGGAACAGCAAGTGGCCTCTAGGAGCTGAGAACAATTCTCAGTTGGCATCAATGAGTGTGGATGGAGTCTTACAACTGTAAGAACTGAATTCTGCAGCCAGCCTGTGAGTTTAGATGAGGAGCTCAAGCCTCAGATGAGACTGCAGCACCAGCTGACTCCTTACTTTCAGCCTAGTGAGATCCTGAGCAAAGGATATAGGAAACCCAATTTCCGATCCACAGAAGCTGTGAGATAATACATTGGTGTTGTTGTAAACAGCTAACTTTGTAGTAATTTGTTAGGCTGCAAAGAAAATGAATACGGCCACTTTCTAATTTCACCTGGAACTATCCTAACCATCTATCAAGACCCAACTTCTGTGTTTATGTCGTTCATGTTTGCCCCGATGTCCCCATCCAAAAGTGGCCTGTTTCTAAATTTCTACAGAACTTTGTTTCTTTCTGATGGCATTCCCTACTTTTATTATAGTTATCATGTGTGTCTTCTTTCTCCTCCTGAATTGTAAGTTCCTCAGAAGAAGAGATGGCCTTACCTATGCACATATGCACACATTTTATAGAATCATTCAACCAAGCATTCACTTTTATAGAATCATTGAACCAAGTATTTATTGTGTATTTATCATTCACATTGAACCAAGTATTCAGCAAGTGAACATTTCTCAAGCATTAAAAAGTTAAAGCTTCAGACCAGGCACAGTGGCTCATGCCTGTAATCTCAGCGCTTTGGGAGGCCAAGGCAGGCGGATCACTTGAGTCCAGGAGTTCGAGACTAGCCTGGACAACATGGTGAAACCACATCTGTACTAAAAATACAAAAATTAGCCGGGCATGGTGGTGCGCACCTGCAGTCCCAGCTACACAGGAGGCTGACACATGAGAATCGCTTGAACCTGGGGGCAGTGGTTGCAGTGATCCAAGACTGTGCCACTGCACTCCAGCCTGGGTGAGAGAGTGAGACTCTGCCTCACAAAAAAAGAAAATTAAAAAAAAAAAAAAGAGTTAAAGCTTCAGGCTTGAGCTTCACCCTGATTTTTCTTGTGCTTGGGAGTAGCTTCACCTGACTAAGCACAAGTACAGAATTTTGTGACCTCATCCTCCCTAAAACTGCCACCCAAAAGGCTAATATTTTTGTCAAAGACTAGACAGCATGCAAGTCAATCCATTAAAAATTCAAAGTTGAAGGTCATTAAAAACAGATTTATGAGTGTGGAAATTTGCAGATAAGCCTTTAGCCGCACATACCTCCCCCGCCCAGCCCCCGGCCCACCCCGGACGCTGTGATCCTTGTTGTGCAGATGTGAGGTCTGTTTGCATCCGTTGCCATTTACGTATGTTCTCCCTTTTCCTAACATCGAAGGTTCTCTCACCTGCATGTGCTTCAGTGGGTTTAAATAATAAATAATGAGGAACCCAGGCTCAGAAAAGAGCTTCCCCCGGCAGTGGAAGCATTACGGCCAGACTTGGTTAATTGAAATCATGCATCGAACTAAGTTGCCACTCTGATGCGATCTGACAAAAATGATCATAGGATAAAATTGCCTCTTGCTGATCCCCACCTATCTTACATTTCAACTTGCAGCAAGATTGAAGCAAACTGCTCCAATTTACTGCTCCCGACCTGCTGATAATGGACACTTTGCCGTGCACTCTCCCTTCATTACCGCTCAGGTCAGGGCTGTTAACAGGGACTCTTGCCACTTTTGACAGATAGTCACTACCAAGATGAATGGCGGGAGCCACATGACCACTTAGGACCAGGCCTTCCCTCTCCAGCACCTTCAAAATGCCTTTTTAAAAAATAAAATAAAATAAAAATAAAAGACCACACTTCACTGTTTAACTCTTTATTAACTAGGAGAATCAATAGAAACCAGGCATCTGTGACCTGGTGATTCCTTTACTGCAGTGCTGAAACTATTGCAAAGAAATCGTTTAACAGCGTTTGAAAAACAAACTTTCTAGTGAAGTTGCCTCTGTGCATTTTGTTCTACTGGGGAATAGAAATTGGGCTGTAAATTGTGTTATTTGGGGAAGGGAGAGGATTATTAGCCCAAAGTCTCAAGGGTGCTAAATCCTATGAAGTGGCCTCTTGTAGGAGTTAAAATGGGCTTAAGAATGATACAAATTATTTATTAGGGAAAATAGGTCATTTTTACCACACAGATGAATGGAATGTGAGAACCTTGTCCTCCATCTGTTCAATTGTTCATAAATAATCCTTCATGAAGAACTTTTTAACACAAATATTTCCAAATTATTCTACTTATTTTTAGAAAGAAAAGAACAGTGAGAGGACAATGCATATCTCACTCTGTGTTGTCTTCCTTAATAGACATACCACAGCTTAGATAGTAAGCGCTTAATGAATAAGTTTTAAGAGCAAGCTAAACAGGAATAGAGTCCATATGTTTTATGTTCCTTAAGGCTTATAACTTAATTCTGCATAAAAACTAAACACAATTCATATAGAATGCTTTAGTTTATATCTAATTCCTGATGTGCTCATTCATTTTTGCATTTGACAAATAGTCAAACGAGCCCTCACAATTCTTATTAGATTTACACTGCATTGTATAATTCACTTTGCCTCATGAAATTAGATGAACTATTAAATACCATAATCTGTTATCCACCATTAAAATTAATTGATTTTCATGTCACTTTAGAACTAATGAATTGTCTAGAGATAGTCTCATAAACTACCTAGCATAGTGGGAAAGCTATTTTATTCCCCCTCATTTCTAGTAAGGTTGAGCAGAGCTATGACTTTGCTGGTTTTGCTCTCAGCAGAAATCTCAAAAACATAATTATTCCAACACCGTTATTTTTATTGCTTTACAATCATGCTTGCAAATGGTGTAGCTATATTCAATAATTATACTTCATGGATAAAAGCCACATTTATGAAAAAGGTTTTGAAGATGTGGATAATGCTTAACATTGCTCTGGGAGAGTTTAGTCTGTTATACAGAAAGATACTTCCATGTACAGTATGGTGTTGCCATCAGGATAATATAATTTGAATGGACATGACATTAAACAGAAGTAAAACACTACCAAATAGTAATAGTCATAAAGTAAATACACATGGATAGCATTTTATTGTGTTGCCTGAAAAAATCTTATTTGAAATTTTGGCTCAAAGATTGCATAGCTATATTACAATATAATGCCTCATGGTTATTGAAAATGTATCATGTGCCGGGAATGGTGCCAAGCATTTTCAACATGCATTGTTTTATTGAATCCTCAAAATGCTCCTATTATAGTTGGGCTTGATTTGTATTCTCATCTTACAGGTGGGAAAAGTGAGGCCTACAGGGACTAAGAAACTTGTCCAAGTTCACATAATTAATAACAAAGGAGTTGGGAGATGAACCCAGGCAGTCTCACACCAATGTCAAACTCCTAACTATGATACTCTACTGTCTGTTTAAAGGATGGTATGAGGGCTATTAATTGTTTACCATTTTTATTCTCTTAATGTTTATGAAAACATTAAATCCTTTTTTACAAAAATCCTTCCACTTGTACCAAATTGGCCCATTTAAGGATAAATATCACTTGTTTTTTAAAAATATCCTTCAGTGTCAATAAAATTACTCCATGTAAATTTTAACAAATAAAGCTCTGGATTTAACTGCATTTCCCTCACCACCGCCCCCCCCCACCTTAAGACATTAAAAGTGGTCAGGAGGTACATTGTGTATCCATACATGTTAAAAAAAACATTGATAAGTGAGTTAAAAGATGGTCCAACAGCATCTCGGGCTGAATCAGGGGATCTCATGTTCTGATGTGTCTGGAACTGTCCTAATTAAAGAACACGCTTTTTTTCTCAATATTGTCCCAGTTTGAGTAATACATTGTAGGGTTGCCTTAACCTTAAGATAGAGGTTAGTCTGCTGAGTAGTAATTTCAGCTGGAAATCACCTCTGCGAATCTCACAGAGTTGAACAACTCGAATACTTGAGAGAGCTGTAAATATTTCAAAGGCGGATGGATGTTAGAGCATCAAGTGGAGTAGACGGACCTGCAAAGCCTGACGCCTTGCTTGTCCTTTTCTATTCACTTGGTTCCTTTTTTTTTTTTTTTCTGAGATGGATTTTCGTTCTTGTTGCCCAGGCTGGAGTGCAATGGCATGATCTTGGCTCACTGCAACTCTGCCTTCCGAGTCTGAGAGATTCTCCTGCCTCAGCCTGCTGAGTAGCTAGGATTACTGGCGCCTGCCACCATGCCCAGCTGATTTTTTGTATATTTTTTTTTTTTATTAGAGACAGGGTTTCACCATGTTGGCCAGCCTGGTCTCGAACTCCCGACCTCAGGCAATCCACCTGTCTCGGCCTCCCAGAGTGCTGGGATTACAGGCATGAGCCACCGCACCCAGCCTGGTTTCTTTTCCTTTGGTCACTGAGATGGTCTTTGTGATGTGTAACCTTGGCTGGGCTACAGCCACTAGTTTTTAAATCAAACTCTCATTTAAGTGTTGTGGTGAAGGTATTACTATTTTTGTAGATGTGATTAAAAGTAAAAATCAGTTGACTTTAAATCGAGGCGATGATCCTAGGTAACTTGGGTGGGCCGGACTCAGTCAGCTGGAAGGCCTTAAGAGCAGAGCCTTCCCTGAAGAAGAAAAAATTCCACCTGTGGACAGCAGCATCCACCTGTGCCCAAGAGGTCCCGACTGTTCTTCCTGACTACCTGCACTGTGGATTTCAGACTTGCCTAGCCAACCCCCACAATTGTTCCTTGCAATCAGTCTCTTAATATACATTTCCCACTGGTCCTGCTTCTCTTGAATCCTGACTGACCTGGTCATTAGTGAGCGTTGAGTCTTGCTTCAAATATTTCACATACTCCTCCTGCCTTCTTTCACTTTATGCCTAGATAACACCCACGGCTCTCTGCCTCCTCTTGCTCCTCCTTACTCTGCCATCAAAACCAGATTCATGATCCTAGAGCAATACTCTCATAATTTTGCATCTAATCCTTAATGAGGGTTAATATATCCCAAGGACTCTGTTAGATATCAAGGATACAAAGATAAATGGAGTCTGTCTTTTAGGGTCTCATCACTCTGTCACCCCAGTAAAAATTTTCAAAGTCTCTTCCATTGCTTGAAGGGCATGGAAAACCATTCAGTCCAGCAAAGTAGGCACCACTAATTTCAGTCTCTCGTGGGACTCACATTCATAAGTGCTTAACACATGAGCCTGGCTGGTCTCTTCATAACCTCCATCACAGTGGGTTTATGTCTATATTTCTTTTGCCTTCATTTGTCAGCTAATGTTTTGTTGTAGAGAGCAAAAACTGGCTATTTAAAATAGAATGGGGCTAGGCGTGGTGGCTCATGCCTGTAATCCCAGCACTTTGGAGGACCAAGGTGGGAGCATCACGAGGTCAGGAGATCGAGACCATCCTGGCTAAAACGGTGAGACCCCGTCTCTACTAAAAAATTAAAAAATAATAATAATTTAAAAAATAGCTGGACGTAGTGGCAGGCACCTATAGTCTCAGCTACTCGGGAGGCTGAGGCAGGAGAATGGCGTGAACCCGGGAGGCGGAGCTTGCAGTGAGCCGAGATCACACCTCTGCACTCCAGTCTGGGCGACAGAGCAAGACTCCATCTCAAAAAAAATACTAAAAATAAAAATAAATAAAATAAGATAGAATGGACTGGGTGCAATGGCTCGCGCCTGTAATCCCAACTACTACTGGGGAGGCTGAGGCAGGAGCTCACTTAAGCTCAGAGTTTGAGACCGGCCTGGGCCACATAGTGAGACCCCATATCAAAAATAAAAGATAAAAAGATAAGAAAGAATGGGATACAGACAACTAGCCATTTTTGAAATCACTGGAAGGGTTAGAGACATGGGCTTTTAACTGGGCCTCTAGGAATGACACCTCTCTATTGGCCCATTGTGGTCATGGGCCTGCTCCGCCACAATCAGGAAGGTGTAAAATCCACTGAATTTCACTGGAACTTTGATCCCTGGGGTCAGGAAGCTGTTGCTTGCCACCAACACTACGTCTGTCTCTCAGCTCCCACTGAGAAGCTGCTACAGGAAACCAGTATCTTCATGATGACTCTTACCAGCACAAAACTGGTGAAGCAGCAGGAAGATGGCTTCCACTTTACTTCCTGTGAATGCATCCGACTGGCATTCAGAAATCTAGCCACAAGGGATTCTGGGAAACAAGGTTTTTCTTTTAGCTTCTCAGCTGCTCATAATACAAGAAAGCTCAGCAGAAGGCTGAGTGTCATCACTCATTTTTCCTCACAACTGCTTTTATCTAGTCCAGAAAGCTGTTATGCCTATCTTACTCAGATAAGGAATATTTACTTAAATCAAGTCTTAGTGTCCTTAGTACTTTGTGTAATTTTTACCACAGACAGTTGTTTCACATATATATGTTGAATGGATGAAACACAATTATAATTTATTCATTTATTCTGACACAATCATAAATTGATGTAATTTGTCACAAGTAAAACTTTTCCAATTAATTATAGAAACTGTATCCTATATAGTGCAACTTACTGGAAGGCACTCAGTAAGTATTTATTGAATAGCTGGATAGGTCAATGGATGGATGGATGAAGACACTGCTGTCAGAGTGTCATCACTATACCTCAAATAGACCCGCATAACCAATGTTTATGTTTCTCTAGGACACTAAGCCATTGGACTTGAAGGTAATATTTACTCTCCTATGTTACAGAAACCTATGACATAAATATTGTCTCTTTGTTTAAAGATTTGACCTCCTAGAAATTATTTTTATTGGATACCTATTCTTGAAATTGTAGCTTAGTGAGAACAAATTAATTCTATACAAAAGTAATATAATTTTCGAATACCATACTTCATTTAAAAAGACTAAAGGCAAAGAGGATTTTTATAATATTCTGTTACTCATTGCATTTGTAGTGAGATGAAAGGCAGATAATACAGAAGTGAGAGAAGTCATTCGATGTGATCATAACAAGTACAATCAACTGTCAGAAAGAAGGGAAAGATGGCCTTTGCATAGATGGAATCAAGTTTGACAAGAGAAAGTTGTAGTTAGAATGGATTTCATCACTCTGAAATCTGTCCCCACACATGTGGCATGCTTGTCATGCATACGGTCCTCTCAAACATCTTTCAATAAAAGGAAAGAAAAGAATGCTGTAAAATTGGATTATTTGACATCTGTATTGTAGACACTGCAATAAGTCACGTGATCTACTGCCCGCAGGAGAATCAGTAGCACTTCATACACGCTATCTGCACTTAAAAAATGTCATGGTATCTATGGGCTGGTGAGTTGCTTCTGGAAAGGTTGGTTTACTCTATTATTCTTCATATTAGGCTAGGGGTATCTTTTTTTTTTTTTTTAATTAAGGACAAATCTGAGATGGCAGACAACCACTCCAACCCCTGTTAGTCTGCATTAGATTACCACATAACTACATAGATCCCAATATTTGGAATTTACATTTCACTATTTCACCAAAGTTTTATTAAACTTTCTTCATTTTGACTCAGTTAAAATGGAGCTATTTCAGTGGAGTGAGTCTAAGTTTGTCTTTCAGGCTTACATGGTGGAGAAAAAACCACTATAAGTCTTGCAGGAAGCTTGATCTTATTTTATCTTGATCTTATTTCTCTCTCTTGTAATAGAAGAGAGAGGTAAGTTGCATTTTTATTGCCTTTGCTTCTCTAGCTCTGTCATTACAGCTTGAACAAATGTCCATTGTGCCAGGTCATTTGATGGACCCTGAAAAGGGATGGGGCTGTCCCAGGGATTTTTTTCTATTGGCACTTGTAACACTATCCCTAATGGCATTTGGGGAAACTCCACTTTGCTCATGCCTTCATGAGGGTGTTCTTGGACGCTCTGGTCACACAAATCTTCTAGCTTGCAATCCTCTATCTTCTGCCTAGTCCCAATCCTTTATACTTTAGATTTCCTGACACAAAGATCCCACATACTTAATCTTTTTGTCTTGCTTTTAAAACATGTGCTTCTCTGTTTAGAGAATGTCCTTTAGTTTTTTTTTTTTTTAAATCTATTCTCAACTATATGTCATATGAGTACAAAAAAACCCTGAATTTTTTTCAATGTCCCCAAAGCTTAGTTGGGACTCAGCAGCACACACATTCCATAGTTACTACCTGACAGCACAGGCCCTGAGAACGTGAGGATAGCATCAGCCAGAGGTTACTGATACTCCCTTTGCTTGTGCTCGAAAAGCATGCCCTTCCCCCACTGACCACCAGGAACACACTTAAGTGACCCAACTTCTTCCTCTGCAGCACCTATGGAAGCAAGAAGTTTTCCTGTACATACCCTGGCCTGGGCTGAAGCAGTCCATGACCTTGTAGATTCCCCAGGGTGGTTAAACATTCCAGTAAGGCCTTGATCTCTGCAATAATGCCTGCTTTCTTCAGAGCTGGCCTTTGTGGTGAGTGGCCTTTTCTATAATGCTGAGCCCAAATGACCCACTGTGTCTGACCCTGCTCAACATATGTCGGAGGGAGTTCCTGAGGGTACCAGGTAACAGAGCAAGCCCTGAGGTAGGCTAAGTCAGCATTAAAGCAAGCTTTGAGGTAGGCTAAGTCAACACTGCAGCACTCCGTCCCACTTGATCATCAGCAGAGCCACTTATGGTTCCACCATGGGCTCCATTTTGCGGGCTCACTACACAGAAGAACCCAAGAAGGCAAGTTTATGGTTAGCTCATCAAGTTGTCTAAAGTAACCATGAAGCTAAGGACGGACCACTAGGGGAATGAAACTACTGGTTAATAAAATAATACACACCTTGCTACCTACTGCTGTGTCCCTTCAGGGCTTCAGCTGAACCTGATTCTGAAACAGACCCATATTAGCATATTGCTACATTTATACAACAAGGAGCAACTGGGTATAAAAATGTCTTTGCAAACTCCAGCATTCAAAGCCAACATCTATGATACACAAATTTCTTTCAGAAAACAACAACAACAACAACAACAAAACCACAATAGTTTTATGTTCAGATTGGCTACAGTGCATTGGAAACAAGGGAATCTTAACTGCTTATAGCCTTCTATGCCAAAAACCTCAGTGAGCCTCATAGCAGACAAGCAGCCATGAGAAATGACCCCTGTGAGTGAATTAGAATTTAACAAGTAGAAGATGTGTTGAGGTGGAGGCTGGCAGAAAGGAGAAGTGGACTTTTGTAAGTTAGGGAATGACCTGTGTTGTTTCTCAGATGGGCTTGTGAGTTGTTGATCTAGGAGCAATATTGGGAGGTGAAACACCTCCAAAGTTGTTTCGACTAAATCCTCCATAGATGGAGTGCTTCACAGGAGCCAGACAGCCATGGAGACACGTGGCTTCCTTATGCTTAATATGGAAACATGCTTCTTTCTGGTTCCTTTAAGAAACAAATTCTTTGGTTAACCTGGTGAGGAATTCCTTCAGCAAGTATTTATCTTGCTAGATATTTATCTTGGCACTTGCTAGTATTTGGCACAGCAAGCATTTATCTTGGCACTTGCTAGATTCTAGGTGTTGGGGATACAGCTGTGAACAAAACCAAATCTTTACTCTTATGGAGCTTACATTCTAGCAGAGGAATAATAACAGCCAACATTTTGAACTCTTATTATTTGAGCTATGGGCCAGACATTGTTTTAAGCCCTTTACATGTATTATTTCAATCCCTGCCACAACCCTGTATATAAATACTATTCATATTCTAATTTTTTTTTTTCTTCTGAGATGGAGTTTCACTCTTGTCACCCAGGCTGGAGTGCAATGGTGCAATCTCAGCTCACTGCAACCTCCGCCTCCCAGGTTCCAGCAATTCTCCTGCCTCAGCCTCCTGAGTAGCTGGGACTACAAGCACGTGCCACCATGCCTGGCTAATTTTTTGTATTTTTAGTAGAGATGGGGTTTCACCATGTTGGGCAGGCTGGTCTTGAACTCCTGACCTCAGGTGATCCACGCGCCCTGGCCTCCCACAGTGCTGGGATTACAGGCCGGAGCCACCGCACCTGGCCTATTATTCTAATTTTACAAGTGCAGAAACTGAGGCTCAGCAAGTTAAACAACTTGTGCAGGCAGCTTAGCTTCAGAGACAGAAATGTCAACCATTCTCTCATCTTTCAGAGAAGAGGATGGGCTTACTAGCAAGAGGGATTGTGATGGCAAGGCCAAGTTACTTCTTGTGAGTCTGGACATTTTGATGCCAATGCTGTAATGCTTAGCTGCAGTTCTTTAATGTTGCAGTAAAAACGGACTTCTCATGCATCCTATGTCTGTGTTTGTAGGCTGAGATGTAAAACAAGATTTCCTGTTGATCCAGGCCAAACTCTACTCACTCTGCTTATGTAACTCTGCTCCTGTGAAACTCTTTTCCAGGGAATTTAATCTGTTCATTCTGTGCCTGGGGAGTCAGGCTTTTTTTTCTGATGTACAGTCACTCTCAATGACTCCCTCCACCAGAGAACCTGTTTATCAGGAAGTAACATGGTAGCGTAGAAAGTTTTATGTCATGGAGTGCACAACGGAGAGAGTCCATGAGTGAACGTTCCAGGGCTAAATAATGAAGCTGCAGTGACAAGATGATGAAAATAGAATCACGTGCAAACATGAAGCACCAAAACATATATACACACACTTATCCATTTCATGTCCAATAACAACAACAAAAACAACAAAAATGGCCACACACAGCCAGATGTATGCGTTTGCAGTGAGAACAAAGGCAGCTATAAATATTCCAAGGAGCCAATAAAAAGAAGAAGATGAAGAAGAAAATGGGAGTGGTTAACTCTCCAGTGTAATGGGCCCCATAAAAGCTTTTATTGTTAGGGGAGTTACTTTACTAAGAGCTATATGAGGAAAGTTGAATGAATGTGAAAAATTGCATGCAATAACCTGCACTGAAAGATGATTATCAACCTCTGAGTCCTGTATTTTGGAGCGAGTTAGTGCTGCTATTAGAAGATTGCCTTTGTAGTTAAAGAAAAGCTTGTTTTGTACTTTTCTCCCCCTTCTGGGTAAACGGACAGTCAATATAGGCCTCTCCTCTGTGCTAGTCCATTTATTTGAACAATTATTTTAAAGATGTAGTCCAACCTTACTGTCTTTCTGAAAGTATAATTTCTGTAAACTTTTCCAGCGGAGTTCTGCACACACAACTTGCTAAACCAAGAATTATTTCTAGCATGTCCTGCTTCCCTCCCCATCTGCCCTCCACCCTACTCCATTCTTTAACCATCTGTTTGTTTTGTCCTTGGTAATTGACAGGATAGTGAGTGACATTTAAGGGAGTTGACCCATCTGCACTTCAACCATTCAAAGGCTAGCCAACTAGAATTGTAAAAAATGGAAAGCTGGAATATCTTTTTTTGGACATTCTTCTCTTAGGCTATTAGTGTGGTTTTTCTGTACTCTGTTTGAAGGACCCTGCTTTGTCCTTTCCTGGGTAGATGGAGACAGAACAAACCTTCCAAAATAGTAGAGGTGGGTGGTGGGGGAAGTGGTAACTTTTTTAAGAGATGATATAACAGATGTTATTGATGTTTCTGGAATTCTATTTGAGCCATTAATATATTCTGAGATAACGGTTGCTTTATTATTGCTTTAAATTTACTTTGATTGGGAGTTATCAAAGTAGCAGGTATATATGCAAGACATGTAATAATATGGTGGAAACTACTTGGAAGGTCCAGATAAACTCGGGATTAAACTCACTTCATCAGATATCAGGAAGATGGCTTGAGTGCCTTTAAAACATCTCTCCTAAATATTTCAAAAAAATATTTAGATAGAGCATGTGGAAACTTTTTCACAGATTATATAAACAGCAAATTCAACTTTAATAAGCGAGGCCTTGACCTGCGAGGGAAAGGTGGCTTTTCCTTTCCACATACAACACTCTAGGGCTCCCAGCTATCCACAGTGCTCATGCGAGCCTGGAAAAGTGAAGGCTCATTAGCTTCACAGGAAGTCCATTTTGGCTTGTTCCCTTATGATGCATGGGCTTCGAGTAATGATAAATATACATAATTCAAATACACCCTCCCAAGTGGATCCTGAAGTATGTGGAAGGGAAAGATATGGCCAAAGATGACCCATGCTGTCAATTTCTTTTTGAAATAAGCACATATGAGGGTATATGAGTAGAATCTGATATAAAGTGAAGCAGAGAAGACTGGTTGTCTGCCCTGAGTGTTAAGTCAGTCTCCTGGGAGGGAGGCAACATAGGGGAAGAGAGGAGCAAGCAATTCTGACTAGATTAGTGACATCTCTCAGGGGACACAGCTTCTCTTTCCCTCCCCCACCTCTAGATTTCTGCAGAGGCCATGTAACATGCATCTAAATCCATGCATCCTGAGGAGTCCTTTTTGCAAGTGCTGTGAGGGTCTTGAATGTATTTTGAAGGTAAAACTAACAGAACTTGCTAATGGGTTGAATATGTGGTATGAGAGGAAGAGAGTAGTCAAAGATACCTCCTATATTTTTGAACTGAGCAGCCAGAAAGATGGAATTGCCATTTTCTGAGAGGAAAAAGCTGGGGAGTGTGACTAGGGTGGGGTCACGAGTTCAGTTTTGGACATGTGAAGTTATATCTCCAAAGGATGCTGTCAAGTAGGCACTTGGATATACAAATCTGGAATTCAGTGGGAGAGATCAGGAAAAGTGGTGTTGGTAAGTGCTTAACAACTGGCTCTCTGGGAGTGGGAGGGAAAGAGGCCCAGTATGTAGCATTTGCCAGTTTCTTTGGTGTAATTACTTTCCCATAGCTGAATTGTGAAGTCACTGTCACTGAATACAGAGTTGAGAAGAAATGAGTACAATCTGCTCTTGTGAATCCAGGTGAACTGGCTCATGCATATTTACTGGGAATTGAGACATAAATTTGCGAGTCATCGGAATAAAAAGATTCTTTATACCATGAAAGTGGAGGATGCACTTAGGGAGTATGAAGAGGAGAAATTATAAGTCAGAGCCTAGGGCACTCCAATGTTAAGAGTTGGGAAGATGAGGAGGAACCAAGAAGAGGAAACCAAGAAGGAGGCTAAGAAAGGGTTTCAAGAAGGAGGGAAATGTCATCTGTCAAAAGCTATTGGTGGGCCAAATAAGACAAAGACTTACAATAGGCCACTGATTTTGGCAGAGTGCGGGCTTTGAAACCTCAATAGGAGCAGCCTCAGTGGAATGGAGGGAACAAATGGCTGAGATGGTTTAGAACCAACGAAATCTTCTCAAAATAGCAACTCCTGGAGGCAGGTGGCCTTGGCAGCTGAACCCAGCATTAAAATATTTTAAAGGCACTTTGAACTTTTGAATTAGAGTAGATTTCAGAATCACATGATGTTGGGACTGGAAAAAAGTCCAGTAGATCTCTTGGCTCGAAGCCCTAGGAAGAACAGAAAGGAGGGGACCAGGGTATGCTCAATAGTTTGAAAAGATATTTAAAATCTGTACACACCTTGAGTCCTGTAATTGCCTATTGGTTCATGTGCCTGTAGGAATAAAAATCTGGGCCTTTCATCTGAATTCACTGATTAACACTTTTTTTCTTTAACACCACAGAGAATGCACGAAAATTAGGGAGAACATTTTCTTAGAGTCTGAGCCTGTTTTTAGCTCCTGCTTTACTCTCCTTGTTTTCTTCATTCTTATCCTTTCACCTTTTTAGTACAACAGCAATGAGGTAAATCTGGAGTACATATTCACAGGTAAATATTATCAGTGTTTCTCTATTTCTAGGCAAATCTATTATTTATGCAATCTTGTTCTAGGGGTAAAACCAACTAGTTTTTCTTGACACAGCTGTTTACTGTCTCTCACTTGATCATTCATTCACTTACTCACTCACAATCCAGGAAAGAGAAGTGACTGGGGGCTGTGGGCAGAGAGGGAAATGTTTTCCAGAGAAAGGATCAGCAGGTGCAAAGACAAGGCAGCCTAACAGAACATGCTCTAGAAACTAGTTGAGGAAGGCCTGCAGATGTGAGGTTGGTGAGCCTGAGACTAAAAAGGTAGGCTGTACTGAAATTCAAATGATGTTGAAAGGTGGATTTTATCATGGAAACACAAATGCAGAGGAGTATCATGATCTGATTTGTGTTAGGACTTGTGACAGAAAGGCCAAGTTAGAAGAAGCAATAAATGATGATCTTAAAACAATAGCAGTGTGATGGGTGGGTGGAAACAGGATAGATTTGAGAGATCTTGGAGGAATATCGACTGGGCTTGGTGAACAACTGGATGTGGTTTGTAAGAGAGGTGGAAAGACGAAGGGAGATGGAGTTGGTAATTAAACTATCAGAAATCCTCTTAGACTTTGACCTGTGATACCACCGTAGTTTCTGCAGTTGTTCCCAGGTCTCAAGCTCAGTCCAGCTCCCTGGGTCACCCCAGCCAGGAGATTGCCAAGCCTCATGTCCTTTTGGCCAACGTCTTCATCAAATTGTGCTGCTATAAGAGAACACTGTAAACTAAGTGTCTTATAAACAACAAGATTTCTCCAGTTCTGAAGGTGGGAAGTCCAAGATCAAGACCCTGGCGGATTTGGTGTGAGGTGAGGGCCTGCTTCCTGATTCACAGCTGTCTTCTTGCTGTAGCCCTACATGGTAGAAGGGGCAAGGGAGCTCTGGTTTTTCTTTTATAAGGGTACTAATATCTTTCAAGAGCCAACCCTCTCCCGAAGGCCCCTCTCCAAATACTATCCCACTGGGGATTGGGTTTTAACGTACGTATTTTGAGGGACCACATCCAGTCTATTCAGCCACTAGCCAGTCCCTTCCTATGGTCGGACAAAACTGTGTTCTTTAAGCTACATCTTCACTGCTCTGTTAGGTCTTGGGCACAGCCTTGTAGCATCAGCTTAAGCATTACTGTCTACCTACAAAGGATGAAGGCTCTCCTTCCATCTGTCCCGGTGAGCCAGTGGAGGACAGTGCCCGCGGGGTCAGCTAGGCTGTCTGGCGCCCTGAAGCCCCCGAGGTCCTTACGCTGATCTCTGCCTCAGGAACTCTGTGCAGAAGAAGTGGGCATGGAAAGACAGAACAGCAGAGGCATTCTTTCCCTGACCCTATGCCAGGTTGGAAGGATATCATGCCTGTCTTTGGGGAGAGAATGTAGGATTAAATAATTAGATTATTTCAGGATAAGTGCTCCTTTCTTTAGAGAATAGGGTCCCCAGGTCAGAGACTCTTTGGTTTAAAGCACTTACAGAGCACTTGGGGAGTCTGCTACGGAGGTAGATTCCAGGCTCTGTCCAGAGGTTTTAAAATCAATGGGTCATTTTTCCCACTTCCTGACTTACTTGACACGG
This sequence comes from Homo sapiens, assembly GCF_000001405.40. Classification (NCBI taxonomy): domain Eukaryota; kingdom Metazoa; phylum Chordata; class Mammalia; order Primates; family Hominidae; genus Homo; species Homo sapiens. The sequence continues at coordinate 21,187,017 of NC_000007.14, read as the reverse complement.
GGGACACTTCTCAATTGTAATTTTGAACCACGCGGCCATAGGAGGGAAAATAGCTCTGAAAGTCACTTTCTCTTTGATTTGATGAGTACCAATCCCCAAGTTTCATAAGCAAGTTCAGCCTGCACTTGGGGTGTGTGTGTGTGTGTGTGTGTGTGTGTGTTGGGAGACTGGGTGGCAAAGATGAGAAAAAGAAAAAGATAATCTGAATCTAGACTCAGTCTAAAAGTGAGGAAAGGAAAAGGAATGTTGCGAAGTGGGACTGTCATGGCTTGGGAGACCCAGCGTCTAATAACAGTTGAGATGGTATCTAAGAGATAAGCAGCTTCTCTGAGATTCATGCTGATTGATATGCTTCATTGTGTCCTAAAGCTTAGAGAAATAAGAGAAATACAGCTTGATAATTAGCAACAGTAAGGAAACCTTGAAAACATATGACAGGTAAGTAGATTTATTAAAAGCAATCGTGACATGCCCATTTTTCAGAGTTCAGTGTTTCACTAGCAGAATATAAAATAAAGAAAAAAGTCCAAGATTTATTTCCCCATTTCACATGCTTGATTTAAATGAGAATACTTCATAACCAGGCAGCTTTGTGTCTACTTGGTTTTGGGAAAGTATTTTCTGAAAAAGCTATAGGATATCAAAACACATTTCATTTCTCCCTTACCTAGTACTTCCAAGTTTAAAGTCAACATAAAAAGACATGACAATACGGTGAAGCAAGGGACTAACATTCACAACAATCCCAGGTAAAACACGAAAACAGAAGAGATTTTCTAATTTTTTTTTTAAATTTTCTCCTCTAGCCCTCTGCTTTCTTTTGCTATGAGAAAGGGGTAAAAGTGTTCATTTATACTCAGGTGTAAATGATTGATAATACTTGATGTATTAGGTTGGTGCAAAAGTAACTGCGGTTTTGGCATTAAAAGTAATTGCAAAAACCGCAATTACTTTTGCACCACCCTAACATCCTGTCTCTCTTAGGACTTTGCATTTGCACAGAGTTCAAGAAGATGAGTCAAAGGGAAAAAGACACTAAGCATCCAAATGGAAAAGTCAGTGATCTGATGGGGAAAAGAATTTCTTTGGTCCTAAAATCATCCCCTCCCCTTTTTTCTTTAGTCAATCTGTGTAATTATTCTAGCTTTCTTCTCACTGATTCTCTCATTCAACTCATTTACAAAACACCACTCCACCCATCAGAGAGACTCTGAACCCTTTCCAGCAGACGGGTTTTCTTTTCCACTCTTCTCTCTAGGAAAATGAAAGCTGCACAGAATGAAAGAGACCAGTGAGAAAAGAATTATGACCGAGAAACTCAAACTTGAATGGGTTGCTAAATAATACTGAAAGGGAAAACGTACATACCTGATGCCGTAATTGGGCAGGAAGGCTGAAGGCTTCATCTTGTTGGAATACATTGGGTCACTTGTTGAGCCACGGTAGAATATTTTGTTCATAATGAGACCTTATTGGGTTTGGTTGCTGTAAGCTTTTCAGCTTCTAATTATGGTGTTTAGAAGAAAATGGGGACAGCTTAAAATAATACGAATGCTGCTAAAAGTAAGATTGCTGCAGTGTTACAAAGAGAAATGTTGGCTCTCTGTGTATAGTATACATTTAACCTGTCAGCAAACACAGAGCATTTTACAGGTAAAATGAAAAAGGATGCATTTAGGGGCCATCACATGAATGATGAGGTTTTTAGTTTTGCTTTCAAAACGAGCTGCTTAAGTTATAATACTAGCTTAATATAAATTAGAGTTTATCCTTTTGAAACCACTTGCAATTTGCTTCTGTTAGGCCGCAGGTCATTATGATGCAAAGTTAAAGGTTCTTGGAACATAATGTGATTCAGGCCTGCATTCTTGTTGCCATGTCCAATTCAGCTGAAAATGAGAATTATAGTGAGAGCATTTCCTGGTCTTTGACCCTTCGTGTGAGCTTTTTAAAAGCAGGGTTTATGCAGAACACTAACCTCCTCAGACACTCAGTTCCAACTAATATTAGCCATGTTAAAACTCCTAAGTACATTGGAAATTGTTAACATAAAAACCAAAAAAAAAAAAACAAAAAAAACCTCATTCCAAGTTTAAAAACACTTACCTTCTGATTTCTGTCCTTAATATACAGAAAGGTTTGCTTGTGACATACATGATATTTAAATGTTAAAAAAAAAAGATCTCTTTTCACTCGCTGCCACAAACACAGTCAGGCAACAAGAGGACAATTGTTTAAAAAAATCTCCTGTCTGTAACTGAGGAGAGATAATAAAAATAGTAAGAAAATAATATCCAACACATAAGTACATTTAATAGGCCTTCCAAGTTCTATTGTAAGGACTTCAGTATTAACTCCCTTGTTTAATTTTAACAATAAGCCTATTACTAAGACCTCCATTCTGCAGATGAAGAGACTGAGGAGCAGAGTGGTTAAGTAACTTGCCCGAGGTTACACAGCCGGTGATTGGCAGAGGGGAGATCAGAACCTAGAAAACGTGGCTCCTCAGTTTATACTTTTAACCCCTACCTCTCAGGGTGGGAGATAATCTGAGAGGAGGCTACCTAGATTCTTTGGGGTTGTTGTGATGCATAAAAAACATTTCTTTTTCTTTTTTGTTTTGGAGATGGAGTCTCGCTCTGTCGCCCAGGCTGGAGTGCAGTGGCACAATCTCAGCTCACTGCAACCTCCGCCTCCCGGGTTCAAGCAATTCTCCTGCCTCAGCCACCCCAGTAGCTGGGACTACAGGTGCACGTTGCCACACTGGCCAAATTTTTTGTATTTTAGTAGAGACAGGGTTTCACCGTGTTGGTCAGGCTGGTCTCAAACTCCTGAGCTCAGGCAATCCGCCTGCCTTGGCCTCCCAAAGTTCTAGGATTATAGGCATGACCCACCGTTCCCAGCCAACAATACCATGTAAATTTTTTGAAAAACAAACAAAAAGAAAACAAATGAGCAATTCATGAAGTAAATGAAAAGCCTGAGCACCATCCCCTTCCCCCCGCCCCAAGACGGAGTCTTGCTGTGTCACCCAGGCTGGAGTGCAGTGGTGCAGTCTCAGCTCACTGCAACCTCTGCCTCCCGGGTTTAAGCAATTCTCTTGCCTCAGCCTCCCACATAGCTGGGATTACAGGCACCTGCCACCATGCTTGGCTTATTTTTGTATTCTTAGTAGAGATGGGGTTTCACCATATTGGCCAGGCTGGTCTCGAACTCTTGACCTCATGATCTGCCAGTCTTGGCCTCCCAAAGTGCTGGGATTTCAGGCATGAGCCACCATGCCCAGCCCCTAAGCCCCTTAGCCCCTTTTTTAAAGTTAATTTAAAATCAAGTTTAGCTGGCCACTGTGGCTCACACCTATAATCCCAGCATTTAGGGAGGCCGAGGTGGGCAGATCGCTTGAGGAGGAGCGATCCGGAGTTTGAGACGGAGTGATCCGGAGTTTGAGACCAGGCAACATGGTGAAACTCCATCTCTACAAATAATAATAATAACAATAAAAATCAGCCAGGCATGGTGGCATGTAGCCAGGCGTGGAACCAAGTAGTTCCAGCTACTTGGGAGTCTGAGGTGGGAGGATCACCTGAGCCTGGGGAGGTTGAAGCGACAGTGAGCTGTGACTGTACCACTGCATTCCAGCCTGGGCAACAGAGTGAGACCCCATCTCAAAAATAAAATAAAGTCAACTTGCCTTTGTTAACTTCTCTAAGTCTATTTATAGTGAGAAGGAGAGATAATAGACTCTTCTCTGGCAGATATATGTCCCTCTACTACCAAATATTGCAGTTGTCACAGGTTCTCCAAAGTCTGTTCTGCCTCCCTTTCATTAGTGTACGGGATACTGTAGTTTCCATGTATTGTACAACAACAGTCTGTGCCAGTTACTTAACTTTGTTCCTAACATTTGTTTTACCTGGATAAACATACGTTGAATGAAAAAAAAAAAAGTCATGCTCAGGATACATGAGATTTAACTAAAACACTCATATATGCTGTACACTCAGTCAGAGTACAACTTTTTACAAGATCATAATGCTACACAGGGGCCCAGGAGTAAACAAAGGACTAGCGTGTGAGTGCCAGTATTTAGTGACAAAAGTGAGGGATACAGGGGCCATAGGGCCACTAAGTTGACCTGCTCTTCCCACTTCTTCAGTCTGAGTGCACATCCTGGGGACACAGATTTTGCAGGAGGTGGTACATTGAGTGAAATCATCCCAAAATGAATGAGTCAGAACAGACTTAACTGTGTCTCAAAATATTGTGTTTTTTTTTTTAAAGGCACCAGAAAAAAGCAAAATCAAGGGTCAGAACCAAAACACAGTACCTAAGAAGCTTGGGTTCCTCCAAACACCTGTCCTGGGACTGTAAAAGAAAGCTAATTGGTATGAGCTGCTTACCAGTCAGTCAGAGAGGATTTACAGGGTAAGGTGGAAATCCCCCAGGGCCTTGGAAGCTCTGGAACATCAGACAATGGATAGATCCCCATAGGATTTTCACTGAGGAGAGTGAAGAACATTTTCAGCTTTCTAAACCCAGGAACTCAGGGTCCAAGAGGATACTAGAGGGTATTGTGAATTAGGTAGATGGGCCCAAGATGTTTCCAACAGTTGATTGAAACTGTTGAAATGTTCCAACAGCCTCTATGCTTATAGGGTTATTTGATTGAGGAAAACCTTGCCTTCTGCCAATAAGAAGATTGGAACATCAGCTCTGATGAAATTCTGCTTTGAAAAACAGATGTGGTTGAGAGGAGTCAAGATGGCCAAATAGGAACAGCTCCGGTCTACAGCTCCCAGCGTGAGCGACACAGAAGACGGGTGATTTCTGCATTTCCAACTGAGCTTTGAAGACAGTAGTGGTTCTCCCAGCATGCAGCTTGAGATCTGAGAACGGGCAGACTGCCTCCTCAAGTGGGTCCCTGACCCCCAAGTAGCCTAACTGGGAGGCACCCCCCAGTAGGGGTGGACTGACACCTCACATGGCTGGGTACTCCTCTGAGACAAAACTTCCAGAGGAACCATCAGGCAGCAGCATTTGCGATTCACCAATATCCGCTCTTCTGCAGCCAGCGCTGCTGAAACCCAGGCAAACAGGGTCTGGAGTGGACCTCTAGCAAACTCCAACAGACCTGCAGCTGAGGGTCCTGTCTGTTAGAAGGAAAACTAACAAACAGAAAGGACATCCACACCAAAAACCCATCTGTATGTCACCATCATCAAAGACCAAAGGTAGATAAAACCACAAAGATGGGAAAAAAACAGAGCAGAAAAACTGGAAACTCTAAAATCAGAGCACCTCTCCTCCTCCAAAGGAACGCAGTTCCTCAACAGCAACAAAACAAAGCGGGACGGAGAATGACTTTGACGAGTTGAGAGAAGAAGGCTTCAGATGATCAAACTACTCCGAGCTACAGGAAGAAATTCGAACCAATGGCAAAAAAGTTAAAAGCTTTGAAAAAAAATTAGACGAATGGATAACTAGAATAACCAATGCAGAGAAGTCCTTAAAGGAGCTGATGGAGCTGAAAACCACGGCACAAGAGCTATGTGATGAATGCAGAAGCCTCAGTAGCTGATGCGATCAACTGGAAGAAAAGGTATCAGTGATGGAAGACGAAATGAATGAAATGAAGCGAGAAGAGAAGTTTAGAGAAAAAAGAATAAAAAGAAATGAACAAATCCTCCAAGAAATATGGGACTATGTGAAAAGACCAAATCTCCATCTGATTGGTGTACCTGAAAGTGACGGGGAGAATGAAACCAAGTTGGAAAACACTCTGCAGGATAATATCCAGAAGAACTTCCCCAATCTAGCAAGGCAGGCCAAAGATTCAAATTCGGGAAATGCAGAGAACACCACAAAGATACTCCTCGAGAAGAGCAACTCCAAGACACATAATTGTCAGATTCACCAAAGTTGAAATGAAGGAAAAAATGTTAAGGGCAGCCAGAGAGAAAGGTCAGGTTACCCATAAAGGGAAGCCATCAGACTAACAGCTGATCTCTTGGCAGAATCTCTACAAGCCAGAAGAGAGTGGGGACCAATATTCAACATTCTTAAAGAAAAGAATTTTCAACCCAGAATTTCATATCCAGCCAAACTAAGCTTCATAAGTGAAGGAGAAATAAAATACTTTACAGACAAGCAAATGCTGAGAGATTTTGTCACCACCAGGCCTGCCCTAAAAGAGCTCCAGAAGGAAGCACTAAACATGGAAAGGAACAACCGGTACCAGCCACTGCAAAAACATGCCAAATTGTAAAGACCATCGATGCTAGGAAGAAACTGCATCAACTAACGAGCAAAATAACCAGCTAACATCATAATGACAGGATCAAATTCACACATAACAATATTAACTTTAAATGTAAATGGGCTAAATGCTCCAATTAAAAGACACAGACTGGCAAATTGGTTGAAGAGTCAAGACCCATCAGTGTGCTGTATTCAGGAAACCCATCTCATGTGCAGAGACACACATAGGCTCAAAATAAAGGGATGGAGGAAGATCTACCAAGCAAATGGAAAACAAAAAAAGGCAGGGGTTGCAATCCTAGTCTCCAATAAAACAGACTTTAAACCAACAAAGATCAAAAGAGACAAAGAAGGCCATTACATAATGGTAAAGGGATCCATTCAACAAGAAGAGCTAACTATCCTAAATATATATGCACCCAATACAGGAGCACCCAGATTCACAAAGCAAGTCCTTAGTGACCTACAAAGAGACTTAGACTCCCACACAATAATAATGGGAGACTTTAACACCCCACTGTCAACATTAGACAGATCAACAAGACAGAAAGTTAACAAGGGTACCCAGGAATTGAACTCGGCTCTGCACCAAGCGGACCTAATAGACATCTACAGAACTCTCCACCCCAAATCAACAGAATACACATTCTTTTCAGCACCACACCACACCTACTCCAAAATTGACCACATAGGTGGAAGTAAAGCACTCCTCAGCAAATGTAAAAGAACAGAAATTATAACAAACTGTCTCTCAGACCACAGTGCAATCAAACTAGAACTCAGGATTCAGAAACTCACTGAAAACCGCTCAACTACATGGAAACTGAACAACCTGCTCCTGAATGACTACTGGGTAAATAACGAAATGAAGGCAGAAATAAAGATGTTCTTTGAAACCAAGGAGAACAAAGACACAACATACCAGAATCTCTGGGACACATTCAAAGCAGCGTGTAGAGGGAAATTTATAGCACTAAATGCCCACAAGAGAAAGCAGGAAAGATCTAAAATGGACACCCTAACATCACAATTAAAAGAACTAGAAAAGCAAGAGCAAACACATTCAAAAGCTAGCAGAAGGCAAGAAATAACTAAGATCAGAGCAGAACTGAAGGAAATAGAGACACAAAAAACCCTTCAAAAAATTAATGAATCCAGGAGCTGGGTTTTTGAAAAGATCAACAAAATTGATAGGCCGCTAGCAAGGCTAATAAAGAAGCAAAGAGAGAAGAATCAAATAGACGCAATAAAAAATGATAAAGGGGATATCACCACCGATCCCACAGAAATATAAACTACCATCAGAGAATACTATAAACACCTCTACGCAAATAAACTAGAAAATCTAGAAGAAATGGATAAATTCCTCGACACATACATCCTCCCGAGACTAAACCAAGAAGAAGTTGAATCTCTGAATAGACCAATAACAGGCTCTGAAATTGAGGCAATAATCAATAGCTTACCAACCAAAAAAAGTCCAGGACCAGATGGATTCACAGCCGAATTCTACCAGAGGTACAAATAGGAGCTGGTACCAAACCTTCTGAAACAATTCCAATCAATAGAAAAAGAGGGAATCCTCCCTAACTCATTTTATGAGGCCAGCATCATCCTGATACCAAAGCCTGCCAGAGACACAACCAAAAAACAGAATTTTAGATGAATATCCTTGATGAACATTGATGCAAAAATCCTCAATAAAATACTGGCAAACCAAATCCAGCAGCACATCAAAAAGCTTATCCACCATGATCAAGTGGGCTTCATCCCTGGGAATGCAAGGCTGGTTCAACATACACAAATCAATAAACGTAATCCAGCATATAAACAGAACCAAAGACAAAAACCACATGATTATCTCAATAGATGCAGAAAAGGCCTTTGACAAAATTCAACAACCCTTCATGCTAAAAACTCTCAATAAATTAGGTATTGATGGGACGTATATCAAAATAATAAGAGCTATCTATGACAAACCCACAGCCAATATCATACTGAATGGGCAAAAACTGGAAGCATTCCCTTTGAAAATGGGCACAAGACAGGGATGCCCTCTCTCACCTCTCCTGTTCAACATAGTGTTGGAAGTTCTGGCCAGGGCAATCAGGCAGGAGAAGGAAATAAAGGGTATTCAATTAGGAAAAGACGAAGTCAAATTGTCCCTGTTTGCAGATGACATGATTGTATATCTAGAAAACCCCATCGTCTCAGCCCAAAATCGCCTCAAGCTGATAAGCAGCTTCAGCAAAGTCTCAGGATACAAAATCAATGTACAAATATCACAAGCATTCTTATACACGAATAACAGACAAACAGAGAGCCAAATCATGAGTGAACTCCCATTCACAATTGCTTCAAAGAGAATAAAATACCTAGGAATCCAACTTACAAGGGATGTGAAGGACCTCTTCAAGGAGAACTGCAAACCACTGCTCAACGAAATAAAAGAGGATACAAACAAATGGAAGAACATTCCATGCTCATGGGCAGGAAGAATTAATATGGTGAAAATGGCCATACTACCCAAGGTAATTTATGGATTCAATGCCATCCCCATCAAGCTACCAATGACTTTCTTCACAGAATTGGAAAAAAACTACTTTAAAGTTCATATGGAACCAAAAAAGAGCCTGCATCACCAAGTCAATCCTAAGCCAAAAGAACAAAGCTGGAGGCATCATGCTACCTGACTTCAAACTATACTACAAGGCTACAGTAACCAAAACAGCATGGTACTGGTACCAAAACAGAGATATAGACCAATGGAACAGAACAGAGCCCTCAGAAATAATGCCACATATCTACAACTATCTGATCTTTGACAAACCTGACAAAAACAAGCAATGGGGAAAGGACTCCCTATTTTATAAATGGTGCTGGGAAAACTGGCTAGCCATATGTAGAAAGCTGAAACTGGATCCCTTCCTTATACCTTATACAAAAATTAATTCAAGATGGATTACAGACTTAAATGTTAGACCTAAAACCATAAAAACCCTAGAAGAAAACCTAGGCAATACCATTCAGGACACAGGCATGGGCAAGGACTTCATGTCTAAAACACCAAAAGCAATGGCAACAAAAGCCAAAATTGATAAATCAGATCTAATTAAACTAAACAGTTTCTGCACAGCAAAAGAAACTACCATCAGAGTGAACAGGCAACCTGCAGAATGGGAGAAAATTTTTGCAACCTACTCATCTGACAAAGGGCTAATATCCAGAATCTACAATGAACTCAAATTTACAAGAAAAAAACAAACAACCCCATCAAAAAGTGGGCAAAGGACATGAACAGACACTTCTCAAAAGAAGACATTTATGCAGCCAAAAACACATGAAAAAATGCTCATCATCACTGGCCATCAGAGAAATGCAAATCAAAACCACAATGAGATACCATCTCACACCAGTTTTAGAATGGTGATCATTAAAAAGTCAGGAAACAACAGGTCCTGGAGAGGATGTGGAGAAATAGGAACACTTTTACACTGTTGGTGGAACTGTAAACTAGTTCAACCATTGTGGAAGTCAGTGTGGCGATTCCTCAGGGATCTAGAACTAGAAATACCATTTGACCCAGCCATCCCATTACTGGGTATATACCCAAAGGATTATAAATCATGCTGCTATAAAGACACATGCACACGTATGTTTATTGTGGCTCTATTCACAATAGCAAAGACTTGGAACCAAGCTAAATGTCCAACAATGATAGAGTGGATTAAGAAAATGTGGCACATGTACAGCATGGAATACTATGTAGCCATAAAAAATGATGAGTTCATGTCCTTTATAGGGACATGGATGAAACTGGAAACCATCATTCTCAGCAAACTATCGCAAGGACAAAAAACCAAACACCGCATGTTCTCACTCATAGGTGGGAATTGAACAATGAAAACACATGGACACAGGAAGGGGAACATCACACACTGGGGACTGTTGTGGGGTGGGGGGAGGGGGGAGGGATAGCATTAGGAGATATACCTAACGCTAAATGATGAGTTAATGGGTACAGCACACCAACATGGCACATGTATACATATGTAGCAAACCTGCACGTTGTGCACATGTACCCTAAAGCTTAAAGTATAATAATAATAAAATAAAATAAAATAAAATAAGAAAAGAAAAACAGATGTGAGCATAAGAAGTAGGTGTCTAAGATAGGTAGTCAGGGAAGCATCTCTCTGTCACCACATCCTTGTGGGCTGTTCTAGACAGAAACAAAACTGAGGGCAAGCAGGTCTCCAGTGCCGAAGTATTGATGTCTCTGGGAGCCTGTGTATTTGTTTCTTCCCTCACTGTCATAATGAAAGCACTGCAAAAGGGGAGGGGCTGGGACTGGAGAAAGAAAGTTTTGAGGAGGGGAAAAAGTAAACACCCGAGGAAAAAAATAAATGGTGACAGTGAAACCACAAAGAGGAATCATCTCCAGGAAACATTTTTAGGAATAGTTCTGTAGAGACACCTTTATAATTTCCATTTGTTGCACTTATAAGAGCCTTGGACCAGGAGGCAGAGAGCTTCGATTCTGTCTTAGGTCCAGCACTTCCTTGATGTGTGACCCTGAAAAGGCCACTATACTTTCCTGAACCTCAGTTTGTTACATGCACTATAAGCAGTAACACATAGTGACATTTTTAAACTGACATATTTTATGAATGTAAGTGTCTCCAGGCAGGTTGTGGGAAAGACTTTGACATGGAAGTTTATACGCAGAAAGTTTATTGGGAAGTCTCTGGGGATCAATACCTCTAGAGACATAACAAAGACAGGATTGCTGAGAGGGAGGAGTTGAACTGCAACATAAGGAACAAGACAAACCTCAGCCAGCCCCACAGGGAGCTCTGGAGCTGAATGCCCTTCCCTTCAGGAGCTCCACACTGAGGCAAGGGGCTTGAGCCTCTTGTTGGGAGGTGAAAGAGGGCACATGTGTCTGGGGACAGAAAGGGGCATGATGTTGAGGAGCTAACCCTAAGCCCCTACCCTTCATGGGTAGGGCCAAGCTAACCCCTTCTCCATCAGCTTCCCAAGCAACCAATGTCACCTCCAGCCAAAATTCAAACTGGAACTGGGATCCTGCCTTCCGCCACACTATTTCCCCTCCTCATCCTGCCTTCATCTCTCTAGATACTTGTCACCCTCCCTCGCCCTCCCACATGCCCCTGGGTGGATGAATGAGAGAGAAAGAAACAGAATCCACACTCCCTTGTCATTATAAAAAAATCCATCTCCAAGTTGAGTGTAGAGCAGTTTTTTACTCCCCAATCAACCAAATTTTGGAGGTAGGTTGCTCCCAAGGAGGCGGCTAACGTTGAGAGAAGTCATCCCTTAAGCAGAGGACAAAAATTCCTAGAGAGGATTTTGGCTGAGAACCATCAGCAGCCAGAGGACTGAGTGTGGGTCTTGAGAGAGGTGGGTGCTCTGAGCAGTGCCCTACAGTAAGAATTATTATCATTACTACTGTTAATGAATGTTTTACACTGGGGAGGGTGAAAGCATTACAACTACCACCTAGTGTCCATCAGAAGAAACAGGCTTTCAAATCCCCGATCTTCCACACACTCGTTGCTCTGGAGGCAATCAAATATTAATATTAGTTCCCTTCTTCCTGTAACACCAAAATCTGATTTGTTAGGAATTATTGCGCTAACAGCAGGAATCTCATTGTTATATACTTTTCTGAAAGTCTTATAAGTAGTCCACTTTCCACACTACACCTACAAAAAATATCTACTAAAAAACATCTACTTTGGACAAATAAAAAGCCACTCCCCCCATCACGATTTTAAAGTTAAATTGCTACTGATGTTTGTCCTTGAGAAGTGTGAGAGAAATGACAGCTGAAAGAAAAATGTTAAGACAACTCAAAGATAATGTGAATGTGATTGGAAGGGTCCGGATAAGAATTTTGGAAGATGGAAATTTTGAAGTTGTCCTTGGCAGTCATTTTGTTTAAGAAAAAAAAAAAAAAAAAGCAATTAGGCTGGGCGCGATGGTTTATACTTGAAATCCCAGGACTTTGGGAGGCTGAGGCAAGAGGATCCCTTGAGGTCAGGCATTTGAGGCCATCTTGGACAACATAGCAATACTCTCACTCTTCAAAAAATAAAAAAAAAATTAGCCAGTGTAGCTGCGTGTGCCTATAGTCTCAGCTATTTGGGAGGCTGAGGTGGGAGAATCACTTGAGCCCAGCAGTTTGAGGCTGTATTGAGCTATAATCGTGCTACTGGACTCCAGCCTGGGTGATAGAGCAAGATCTTGTCCAAAAAATAATAAAAGAAAATATATCTTTAAAAACCCAAATTTTCCAGTGATCTTTAAGAATTGGGCTTTTTTTTTTTTTTTTTTTTTTTGAGACGGAGTCTCGCTCTGTCGCCCAGGCTGGAGTGCAATGGCGCGATCTCAGCTCACTGCAAGCTCCGCCTCCCGGGTTCATGCCATTCTCCCGCCTCAGCCTCCCAAGTAGCTGGGACTAGAGGCGCCCGCCACCGCGCCCGGCTAATTTTTTTGTAAGAATTGGGCTTTTTATTTCTAACATTTAAAAAGCGCTGGAAATAAAAACACATCACGAGAAAGCTCATTTTTGTTTCCTCAAATCTATAGCAATCTTTGAGTCCGTGGAGATCCTTGTCCTAGACTTCTGGGCAAAATGACTGCCCCAGAAGTTCCTACCATCTTGGGTAAAGCATTTCTAAAGATTGGTCATAGCACTTCAACAATTATCATGCTACCCATCTTAGAACTGAACTTGAGCATCTTTCAAGTTCTCAAGCAGAAACTCATATGAACTTGACTCAGATAGAGTAGGTGTGGGGAGGGGAATTAAGTAGGAGGGATAAAGCACGGAGCAGAGGTGGGGAATTAGAAGACAGGATCTAGGGGATATCTTTTGAGGGACAGGAAAAGAGAAATGGGCACAGCTCAGAAGGGCCCATGGTCTGAGGTGATCTGAAAGCAGTGCCCTAAGCAATGCAGTTGTTCCATTTTACCTAGCAGGTCTTCTCTCCTAGACTTCAACATAGACCAAGAGAGCAAAGCTCTTAGCAAAGACAGAACAGATGCTGCTCACCTCCATTCCCTCTGGAAGCTGTGTGTGCAGCTGTTGCTAAGCCACCAACAATTCCTCTCTGAAGTCAGCACAGCCACGCCTGGATTATGCAAAAATAAAGGGAGAAATCTAAGATGAAAAATGAAAAAATAAAATGAAAATGTAATAGAGATACAGCCAGATGTCTTAATCTTCCAGTGACATCCATGTGCTTCTACAGACCCTCATGCAAGGGAGCACAGTGTACTGAGAAACAGCAACAAATCCAATGTGCCTGGTCTGATCCACTGGTCACCATGGCAGGCTCTTTCCACTGACAGCGATGGACATTTGAAAATTGTCCGATGCCTGCTTTATGACACCTTCATTTCTGATGGGGCCTGGTAATCTGTGAGAAATGAACTTCAATTGCTTTTTCTGCAAGTGCTAAAAAGTTACTCTTACATCTCTGGAGGGCTCCGGCAAAGCACATGTCAAGGACCTGTAGGGTCAGTAGGACTGAAATAGCAGCTATGAAATGAACACTTGATACTGTATATAAATTGAATGATCAGCTGGGTGATTTTAGAACTACCTGGGTGGAATTTATGTGTCTTCTGGATGAGATGATGGTTCTAGGCCAGTGGGAATACCTCTGACACATAGTACAGCAATCAGTGCAAGGCGGGAGGAGAGCTGGGCGGGAGGAGGAGGGCGAGTGCCTTGACCTCGACCTTGTTCTTTTTCACCCCTCTCCTTCTGACTCATCCTTCAGCATGAATGCTAAAACTCTGCAGAGCAATGGCCTCCTTGCTATGTGCAAGTGCCCGAGATGGCTCAGCATTTGCTGGGTGTGATGGTCAAGTGCTCCTTGACATCTAAGGTCCCTAGCAGATTGGGAGATGCTGCGAGTGAACCTGCCAATTCACAGCTTTTACTTGGAAAAGCAAATTATTACAGATTGATGATCCCCCCAAAAAGGCAATTATCCACATACTCAGCTTTGATCTTGTAATTTACATCCTGGATTTTCAGAGAGAAATAGAGACAAAGAGCCAGCAGACATGGAAAAACACACACACTGGGAGAGACAGAGATGGGGACACACTCAGAAGAGGAGCGAGAGACAGGGGAGGGAGGGAGGCAAATGGAAATATGGGCAGGGTGACAGGAAGGAGGAGAGGGAAATGGAGAGATACACAGATAAAGGAGGAGAGAGGGTGAGCTGGAAAGACAGGGGGAAGACAGGGAGAGATATCAGAAAGAGGGAGAACTGAGCAAAGCAGAAAGAAGAGGCAGAGAGAAAAAGAGGCTTCCCTAAGGCGTAATTCCTGCTATTACGCAAAATGCTGACTTTCACATTAAAACTCACAATTTCTTTTCTTGCCAGTTATCCTTTTTTATTGTTCTCTCATCAGCATTAATTTGTCTTTTGATGAGGATAATTCCCTTCTTGGCTTCTAAATTATCTTACCTTGATATCAAATCATATCACTTATGACAACAAACAACTGAAATCACATGAAGATTATTTTTAAAAATGGTAGCATCGGGAAAAATGAAAAGAGAAAAAAAGGGAAGATGGAGGAAAGGAATTCTCACCAGCCACCCAGTAATCAGGAAACTGGGATCCTTAGATTAGTGCTCACAGCCTTGGGATGGCCTGGACTTACCTAATTTCTCCCAGAAAGTTTAGATGTTTGTAACAATCTTCTCATTCAATTTTACCCACTGAAAACAGCTTCCCTTGTAACAATTACTGGATCACAAGTGTAAATGGAGAAAAAAAAGCTAATCATGGAGGGCTATGGCGATTGAAAGTTGTTTCCAGAGCAT
Source organism: Homo sapiens (assembly GCF_000001405.40). Lineage (NCBI taxonomy): Eukaryota > Metazoa > Chordata > Mammalia > Primates > Hominidae > Homo > Homo sapiens. The sequence goes on along the minus strand of NC_000007.14, from coordinate 21,171,884 downwards.
AGGGTAGGAGAGAACTTTTAGTTAGTATCTGTTCTGTGTCAGTCCTGTGTGTTCCACATACATGATGTCACCTTAATCTCCACATTAACCACGTGTGCTTGATATCTCATTTTACAAATGGCATCTCATTTTTGCCAGTTGAAAAAGGTTAAGACATAAAGCAAGTACTTTAACAAGTAGAATATATGAACAAAGCATATATAGCCTCAGTTAATTCCTTGTGTCAAAGCAGAAATGTTTAAAGCATAAGTTGTTAATTTCCCACTGTAGATAAGAGACAAAAAGACAAGTTTAAGAGAAGTCTACTGTATTTTGGTAGGTAGAGATTCTCAGGTAAATCTCAATAGATAAGCCAGCAATGGACTCCATAGGCTAAATTTCAAAAAAGCCTCAAACTTATGGAGAACACTTGTGCTACCTCCAATTCACACATGCATATTAGTACTTATGCTCACAACTACTTGATTTGCAGTGAATGAAAAATATTTCATTCCACTGTCCTACCAGACACAGGCAAAAGTTGTAGATCTTGGGAAATCAGACTTCTCTACTGAGCTCAAAGTATTTCTATTTTACACAAGTAACATGTATTGAAACTTTCCTGATGACATATTTAGATACATTTTCTGGGTTGTATTTTTTCCTCCAGGGAAGAACACATATCAAGATATTGGGCTACATGGGTAGGCTGCTGAGATTCACTTAGGTGGACTTTGCATTAGAGAAGAAATTTGCTAACTTATTAATTATTCATGTTCTATCACTTCACACTTTCTTAGTTGTAGCATCAAATACATACACAGCAATACAGACCTTAGGTTGCTTTTTTTCCTGTTGGATATTCACTTAAGATGTCTATTCCAATTCTATAAATTGGGAAAAATAATTTTTGCAACAAGAGGCTGTGGCAGTAAGCAAATGCTGAACAGCTGAAAGAGCAAAATTACAAAGATATTTAAACCTGAAATGTTACACTTCTAGATGCAACACTGAGATAGTTCTTGCAATTATCATATAAGCATAATTGATGTGTAGGTAAGAAAACACAAGTAGATATGAGTTATAAATACGTTAAACAGGGGCTTACATTTAAATTTTTATTTTCTAAAGGAAAAAACCATATTTAGGCCCGGGATAACAATGTCAAATAATTGCTGTGTCTACTTGATGTCATGTTTGCCAACTTAAAGGGGACAAAACATGGCTTACTTTCACATTTTTATTCGCCTCTAATTCCTGCTCAGAAACCTGCCCTGGGGATGCTCCTCTGCTCCTGTGTGTACTCCCAGGACAGCCGCTCCACAGTTGCAAAAAAAACCAAAAAACAAAACATAGATTGAAAAAACAGAATAAGATCACTAATTCCCACAAATGCAGAGATGCAGGAAAGGGGGAACGCGCTCAGCCCACATCCCAGGAGAGGCCCGCATCTGCTGGTTTTCTCTGATGAGCTTTGCAGAGCGATGGCAGTCAGCCGGGCTTTTCACCCCGTTAGTAATGAAGACACAACACCGACGAATCTCTGCGCTGTACATACCTTTCTCTGAGCAATTTTAACTTTTCCCATGTCCATTAGGCCTTACAGCCTAATCTTGCTCTGCCAATTGCTCCCATGGTGAGATCATTAAGTAAATTATTTTAAGATCAAACACCCTGCAGGGACAATGGCGTCCCATGTAAGGTAAATGCTTCAAAGGCCCCCCTTTCAAATTACAGCTCTCCGGAGTTATTCATCACCCCTCCGCAGGGCTTGCCCGGTCATTACTTGGCTTTTTGCCGCAGGCGAAGGTAGCACTGCTAATTGGCCTCTGTAACAAAACTGACCTGTGGACAGGATAAAACTTGTTTGGAGCTTAGAGGCAAAAATTATTCAAGGTTAAAAACACATGAATGCCCCAGCTACGTCACCAAAAAAAAGGAGTGAATGAATGTCTTCCCCTGCGGTTCCTAATGTGAAAGAATGTGCTCCTGGCGCGCCTGAGTCAAACAAAAGCGCCTTCAGGTAGCCGAGCCAGGCCGGGGCTCCGGGATTCTTTTCTCCGGGTTGTTAACCCCTCTCTCTACTGTCTCCTCGTCGTCCCCGTCTTCTTAAACTCCAAGACAGGGAGCTCCATCCTTTGCTTTGGTCCTCGGGCACCCCTCCCAGGAAGGGCCTTTGATCTCCCGGGCTAATGGCAGATGGAACAATTTAACTGCTTCGTACAGGTGCAGAGAGTTTACTTGACAGGTTGGGGCTTTTATTTCTAGCACATTAGCCGGGCGCATACAAATGGGTTTTTGACAGACTCAAGCAGGTAAAATAGCACTGAGGCTCCGCAAAAAAGCGGTCACACCTGCCGGGATGGCACAATTGGAAAATGCTGCATAAATTAAAGACAGGTAAAACCTCGGAGTTCCCTGCTGTGAGTGGGCGCTGCTGCTGCCTTCTCTCTCTCTGTCTCTTTTTTTTTTTTTACAACTTGTGTAGATGGTGTGTAGGGGGTGAATCTCAAATGAGTAAACAACAAATGAATTCCTTGATCTCCCGGTGCTCAAAGGAAGCAAGGCTCGGTCAGGGTGATTCCCAGTTGGTACTCCTGCGGTTGATGCTGCTCACACTTCATTGATATTCGCCAACAACGAAAGGAGAAATGGAAAATAAAGAAAGGCCCTCACGATACTTCCCCTAAGGCTTACCTCCAACCCCCTCCCGTTCTTACCTAGTCGCCATTTTTCCTCCCCAGGTGATAGATCGTTATAAATTGTGCTTAGGTAATGACACGGCTTCTTCATTGAGAAAACTTTGGTAAATGTTCCATTCTAAAGATAGTGAATACAGTCAAGAAAGTTTCCTGGGTTATCTTAAGCGCTTTTTTCCCATGTAAAAACTATTTCGTTGATGGTCAAGCCCTTGTTCGGTTAGTCTTTTCTAGAAAAATATCTCAAGTAGATTTTTTTAAATTCTTACAACTTGAGTGCGCAAATCATTTCCTGACAACAAAAGTATTCCAGGACACCCCTTTGGGGACATCTCATGTTGAGGAAATTTAAAAGTTGCATCACATGTTATTTGGTGAGAGTTTTTTCTTTTATTTTCTCATTTTATGTATGTGTTTGTGATAATATTCTTGTCTTCAAATTAGATTGTAAACTAATAATTTAGTTTCCTTTACTTTGCTTCTCTGTAATGAAACAGAAGTGCTAGTGTTTGGAGACAGCATTTACAAAAAGGAACAGAGGATTTGGTTCGATCTGTAGAAAAGGTGATCGCCTAACAAAGGTGCTCTTTGGAAGCCATGGCCTTCACTCCTGCTTCTTGAGCAGACTTTGTACCTAGGACTTGCCAGTCTTTCTTCCATTGAAATCACAATCTTGGCCCACTATTTCACAGAATCATAAGATTTTAGAGAACACTTAAATTACTCTCCAGGTTTTATGGAAGAACTATAAATAAGAAGGGAAATTGAGGGCCAGAGGTATAAAATGAGTTTTTTTCTACGGAATGGTTTTCGTTTGTTTGTTCCATAAATTCCCCCACCATTGCTGAGTGCCGCTACATGGAAAGCACTAGGGGGCATGTAAGAGTGAATAGGTGATCAGAATGAGGTCCAGAAGCCCCCTCTTTGATAGGAATGTGTGTGGGTGTGTGCACCCACACACACGTGCACACGTAGGGCCCACACACATGTTGCATGCATGTACACCCCCACACACATGTGCACATGGATGTGTGCAACCAAAACACAGCACATGTGGATATTATGGGTAAATGAATTAGCACATGGTACATTAAAGACTAAAAGTTTTTTAGTACAGAGCATGCTACAGGAGCATAGAAGGATGAGTAACCTACTAGGAGGGAGTTCATGGTGACTTCACAGAGGAGATGATTTTGAACAAAGGTTTACTGATAAGTAGGAGTTTACCTGGCTGGAAAAGAAACCATGTTTATTTGAAGCAAAGACCCAAAGACATGAAAGAGCTCAAAACTGTTTGCTAGAGGAGATGGATACCCTATTCTCCATGATGTGCTTATTTCACATTGCATGCCTGTATCAAAACATCTCATGCACCACAGAAATCTATACACTTGCCATGTACCCAGAAAAGTTTTTAAAATAATAAAAAAGATTAAAAATTAAAGAATTCGAACTGTTTGGAAAACAAGATAAAAACGCATGTGTTGGAGGAAGTCACAAGAAAGAGCCTAGGGAAGAGACGAAGGTCCCCTGGTATTTGGCAGTTGCAGTGTATTGCAAATGAGGTCAAGTTCAACATACACATCATGACGGCCTAATACCATGTGGTACTGTGCAGATAAGGGCAACACTCCAAGGATGTGAGAGTGACATAAAGAAAGTCTGTGTCCAAAATTGTGGAACTTCCATACCAGTTCTGGAAGACTAATCTTTAAAACAGTTTTATAAGATAGAAATCAACTTCTGTACAGTTTATGTACCTGCATTTTGGATCTCTGTTATAGCAACTTGATTCTCTGTCTTAACTAATAAACAGTGGTGGGCTGAACAAGAATGTTGAATGCTCAGACAGATATTACCACTATCAGAAATGAAATGAAAATGATCTATTCTAATGAAGGTGGAGCGGTGGCATCTTTGTAAGAGAGCGAACTACTGGAACTGCCTGTGCATCTCCTGTCAGCCAGGGGACTCTCAGAGCTTGCCATTAACCTTTTATTCAGACTGAACTATCTAGCTTTGCTCTGGGGTTTAAAATTATATCTGCAATGCCACATTTTTTTTTTCACCCATAGAAACTGTCATGTGTCTAGGATTGTGATTTTGGAAATTGTGAAGGTGTACTATATGAGAAAGAAGGATCATAGAGCATCCGCTAGGTCTAAAGCCAAAATTGCAGGGTCAGCTAAGCCTTCATGTGGGGGAGGAAATGGAGGGGATTTAGTAGGCACTTGAGATTTAACTGATCATCACAGACTCCCTGCCAGTGAGGTGATCTGGCTCTCCTTGCCAGCTGAAGAAGTCAAAACTTGACCAAATTCAGATTTTCTAAGCAATTTGTCCAAGATCATTCGTCTAGCAAGTGGTCAGGCCAGAATTCAAACCCACTCTGCGATGGCTGGAATTCTGCCACTAAAACACCATCTTTTCTTGGTACATCTAGTATCAAGTAAATTACCTAATGGCGTGTTTATGAAACTTGCTGGCTCCAAACTGAAGTGTCTCCTAGTTATTCACAATCTCATCACTTGATTTTGTTTTCCTCTATTAGTTTGAGTTTAACCTCATTTTACTTCCCACCAATCCTTTTGCAAACTATCCCAAAGCATCATTATCTTGTATCAGTCTAACAAATTGCACTAAACAAGAATTTCCAGCTAATGACATTAATCCCTAAACTTCAATGATGTGCCTTGTTGCTTTAAAATGAAATGCCTGTCTGGCACCAGGTGGCTGATACAGGTGTGTTCCTAAATTCTGCCAATGGTGGTGACTCTGTAGAAGCCTATCTATCCCCACCCTTCCCTGGGAGGACACAAGTCTGAGAGATCAAAGCCTGTTTCAAATGAAGAAGGGCCACTTCGTTTCAAGGGCCTCTGAGCATTAACTCAGCTCTACAGGGGAACTTTTACATCTAATTCAGCAAGGGGGTCTGTCACCATTTTAGGCTGGGAAATTGTGTCCCACCAAGGGATATTAAAGCAGGATGTTGGGAAATTGCAAAGAAATTGCTCTCTTCAGTAGAACACATCAGAATGTAATAAGATGGTTAAGATTTTTATAGTGGGTACGGAGCACCAAATTAAATTATATAAGCCTTCACCTCCTTCCCTTTTCTTGTTCTCAAATACCATTAAATATTTTAAAATCATTATTTCATCTATTTCTTTCTTGTTTAACCCAACTTGAGCCTGACTGTTTCAGACTTTCTTAGGATCTAGGCCTTTTAATGCTTATTTTCACTCTTAGACAATTTTATTCAGCTGTACTATCCCAACCACCATCTATGTGTTAGTGATTCCTAAACTTATATTTTCCACTCAAACCTCTCTCATAAGTCCCGTCTCCATATAACAATGGTTTACTTTATGTGTTTACTTACATGTCTCATAGGCACCCTAACCTCCAAACTTCCAAAATGGGAACTTAGAATTTCCCCTTATTCCCCAAATCTGCCCTCTAGTATTTCCTAGTTCATGGATGGCATTTCTGAGCAACTTGAGGCTCAAGCCTCAAACCCTGCAAGTCTTTCTTGACTTCTCTCTTACCCTCATATTCCACATTAAATCAATGTGCAAATCCTGTTTTTCTTGTCTTCTAGATGCCTCCTTATTCCATAACTTGGTTTTCACTTATAGCCTCCCTGGTCTAATAATGTCATCTTTCAGGTAGACCTGGTTAGTTTAGGTAGACTGCTCCAAAAACCTGGTTATTATTCACCGCACAAATTCTCTTGCTTTTCTAGAGTTCATTCACCACACTGTATCCAGATTATCTTTCAAAAATGGAGACATGTTTATGTCACTTCCTTATTTAGACACTTGATATGGCTTGGATGTGTCCCCACCCCAATCTCGTCTTGAATCGTAACTCCCATAATTCCCACGTGTCATGGGAGGAACCTGGTGGGAGGTGATTGAATTATGCGGGGGGATTGTTCCTGTGCTGTTCTCCTAGTAGTGAATGAAACGGAATTTTCCTACACAAGCTCTCTCTTTGCCTGCTGTCATCCATGTAAAACATGACTTGCTCCTCCTTGCCTTTCACCATGATTGTGAGGCTTCCACAGCCATGTGGAACTGTAAGTCCATTAAACCTCTTTCTTTTATAAATTGCCCAGTCTCAGGTATGTCTTTATCAGCATGAAAACGGACTCACACAACCCTTCATTGCTTTTCACTGCTCCCAAGATAAAATACAAAAGCCTTAGCATGTCCCAAATGCCCTGTGGCATTGGTCCCTGCCAACACGCAAGCCCCACTCAGAGCCACTCTCCTGCCTACTCTGCCCAGGCTCAGAGTCCTTCCCTGCTGTTGTCTGTGTTCTAAATATTCTTTCTCCTCCTCTTTGCCTGGTTAAATCCTGTGCACCCTTCAAGCCTCAGCTTACGTATCATTGTTCTCAGGGGAACTTTGCCTAACTGGGACTGTAGCTAAATTAGATCCCCTGTGCATACCTCGTTCATAACTCTTGTCCCACTCGTTACCATCATACCTCTATACCTGGCTCAGCATGAGGCCATAGAAGGGTCTCAATGATATCTGGTGAATTAAAGAATGGATGGTGCAAATTACTATGGATTGAGCCTGAAGTAAGCCAGACCATTACTATGTAATATTTTAAATTAAAATAGAGCAAAGTAACTCAAATTAGAGGGATTTATTTATGCAAGTTGTTGGTATATGTTGTTGTCTTATATAGCATGGTAGTATCTATCAGATAGAGTTGGAAAAAAATCAGTAGGATGAAACTACCATTTAGACAATATAAATGGGCTTAAAAAATTTCCTTTACACACACACATACATATACATACCCATAAATGCAAAGCAAAGCAAACAAAGAAATATTTAGAAATAAACCTAACAAGAAATATGCAGGACCTGTGGGAAAAGACCTGAAAAATCTGAAAAATAAAGCATATAGAAGAATATTTGAATAAGTGGACAGACATATCCAGTTCCTGGATGAACATCAATCTTGTAAAGTTGTTAATTCTCCTTAAACTAATCTATCTATCTATCTTATAAAATAACAATTAAATTCCAATAGGATTTTTGTGAGAACTCAACAACCTGCCTCTAAAATTTACCTGAAAAAAAAAAATTGAAAAGGCAAAAGTAACCAATAATGTATTTAAAAAGAAGAATCTGGTAGGAAGACTTGCACAGATGATCAAACCATAGTATGACACAAAATAATTGAATTGGTGAGATAATATTATAAGAACAGAGAGAAAGCACAAAGGAATGCAATAGAAATCCCTGAAACAGATCTGCATATATATGAGATTCTATTGCATGCCAAAGAAGGCATTTCAAATTAGTCAGGGAAAACAAATAATAATTTTTTTTTCAAAAAATGCTAATGAATAATTGTTTAATTACTTGAAATCATTAATACAAGTTCCTTACCTCTTTTTATACCAAATTATTAATTATGAATTAAAGATGAATTATAGTATCAAAGTCAGAAATAGTTTTAATCTTCTATCACAACCTACCATAAGTTTCAAAATCAAATAATAAACGGAAAAAAGCTATAAACATATGATAGCAAAATGGGAAAAGATATGAATGGATAATGCATGAAGGGAGAAATACAGATAATAATATGTTCAATTTTATGAGTGACCACATGAATACAAAGGAAAACAAGAAAGTACAATTTTTGCCTAATAAATTTATCAAGGTTGAATAAAATGATAATATCTATGGCATCATGCGGTTTTATAATGTCTACAATTCCTGGTAAATTTATGAAATGGAAACTATATGTTGCTTCCTCCTCACAATTATTCCTCATATCTAGCACAAGCTGGCATATAGTAGTTGTTCAATAAATACTTTTTAAAAAGAAATGTACTTTTTAATATTGTAGATTTCAGAGTACAGGTTCTTTCAAAAACTATGGATGTAATTGGTATGCTGATTTTGGATGACCTTAGGTAAAAACTACCAAATGTATTAATAGTTTATATGTTTTGACTAGTGGAATCATCTATGACCCAATTTGCCACAGATAAGCCTGGTTTGCACAGATCTTGTCTTGGAATAATGAACAATCATATCTCCTTTCACTTTCAGAAGTGTCCCAGTTTGTAAGATAAAGTATATGGTCATCATACTCAGTAAAAGATAAGTAACTATGGGTATATGCTACAAAATCCTTTTAAACTTAATCTTTTCAGAGTTATATGTAATTGTAAAAAACAGAAAATGGCTTACCTAAGAAAAGATAATTAAAATAATTAAATAATTAAAAAGATAATTAAAATAATCTTTTCTTTAATTATCTTTTCTTACGTATCTTTTCTTAATAAGAAAAGATAAAAAGTCAGTGTTTGCCATCATTGATTGACTATTAGAATCACTTGGGAAGTTTTAAAAAAATGCTGATGCCCAAGTCCCTCCCTAGACCAATTGAACAAGACTTTTATGAGGTAAGACCTGATCATCTGTATTTTATAAACTGTCCAAGTGACTATAATATGCAGCCAGAGTGAGAATCCCTGATTTAAATAATCTAAAGTACATACCCACAAAGCAGAATATTTTATAGCCATTAAAGATGATATTCTTGAATTGTATTGGCTGACATGGAGAGATACAGTACTTGTAATATATCAGGTTAAAATAAGAATGGAATAACAAAGGAGCATGTTCTTTAGCATCTCATTTTATTTTAAAAATGTGTGTTTTTAAAATAGTGATAAAGCAGACATGAAACTTATTATTTTAGCCATTTTTAAGCGTACAGTTCAGTGGCATTGAGTACACTCACACTGTTGTGCAAACACTACCACTACCTAAAAATATGTATTTTAATTATATTTAAGTACATTTCATTATACTCAAGCCTGATATGTAAAAATCAGCTATCTATGATTATATACAGTCAGCCTCCATATTTGTGGTTTCTGTGTCCGCAGATACAACTAACTACAGACCAAAAATATTTGAAAAATGGAACAGAATAGAGAACCCACAAAATCTGTGGGGGCCCTGGAACCAGCCCCAGAGGATACTGAGGAACGGCTGTGTTATGTAAGTATAAATCTCAAAAGATGGACACCAAAGGTTAAATGTGATTATCTTTCCATTTTGTCCTTTTGTTTATTTGAATATTCTATTTTTTTTTTTGGTCTGTGGTATATTAGTTTCATATTAGGAACAGCTTATTTTAAAAATTCAGTAGGATAAAATATACTTTTCTTCTATATACGTAAGCATATATGCTTAAGCTTTGCTTACGTAGAATTTAGCTTAATATAGGACACTGTTTAGCTCAATTCACCAGTTTCATTTGTGAGAGGAAAAAGAACTTAAAATTCTCACCTTTAACGTAGGCCCCATGGAGTACTCACAGGATGGATTTACCAAAGACTCAGGGTGGGGACCATCATCGGAAGTTGATGGATGGGGGAGAGAGAATAAGAGGCTGCTTCTGTAAAATTATCATGTTTGGCAAAATAAGGAGCTATGCTGATTTCGGTGACTTTCTTTTAAATCCATAAGGTTGGGCCATACTTTGGGCAGAAGCCTTCATTCTAAGATTTGCAGTTTGTCTTCTCACACTAGTCCTGATCCTATAAAACATAACCAAATACTAGATTATCCCTCCCAAATATTAAAGGTAGAGCATAAACTGTATGTGTTTTAAAAATACTTAACCAAGTTTGGATGCAGGGACTATTTAAGACCGTGTTAAAGTTTCTATTCATTAGGCTTGCATACTGAAGAATAAAATATGCCTCATCCAGCCATATTTCTGTTAAAGCTACTACAGGTTTATGGGACTGCTAAAATGGTGTAGCAAACATGGAAATTAGTGTCCCCATCTTACAAGAATTTTATGTATTGCTCTCATTTTAGGGAAACATATGATGGTTATTTGGCACCTTCAGATAAGTAGGCTTGTTTTTCAGATTTGAATTCCTGTCAAATCCACGGCCAATCCATCATTCTGGTTTTCCACAGCCCCTTTCATAGACAAACACCATGAAGCACTTCAGAAATATCAGATTAACATTATTACCTGATAGATTAGAAACCAGACAAAAGTGGGCTTAGGAAACACTGCAAGTGGAGCTAAGGGTAGGTGTGCATCATATCAGTTTTCTCCAGGGCTCAGCTTTTCAGAAATTTGAGGGGTGACAGACTCATTGAAAAATATTTGCCATTTTGATGAGCCTTGGGGCTCTGAAATCATTGGAGGAGAAACCAAATAGCTTGTCCAGGACAGCCTAAGAAGCTCTTCACTGAGAGGGGCTCAGGCCCAGCATTCCAAATAGAAAACGTCGTCTTCACTTTCCTTTGTCTTGGACCCAATTTCCTTTCTTTCTCCCCTCCTGTACACATTAAGTCGGACTATGGATGCAGCTGCCAATCCATTATGCAGCGGAAAAATTCCGTGGCTAGCACTCCAAAATATAAAAGCATTATACACTGACAGGACAATGACTTTGGCTTATAGGTGCAAGGCGGAAAAAAAAGCCCATCTCATCAGCTATTTAACACACAGATGGATACAAGGTGAAAAGGCAGCCAATGCCCACACTTGTCTCTGATGTCATTTGGCATGTGTTTATGACTTGCAACAGTCCTCAGGCATATGCAGATAGTAAAATTGTAACCACCAAGATGGCTGCATACTATTTACTCCAGTATAAAAATTCCTGTACGGGGTATTCATCTGTCTTTCTTGAAAGTTTCTCTGCCCAGTCTCCTCTGAGGCACAACGGACTCAATTCTCTGCATTATGTTAGCCTCTTTGCTATAGAATCTAAATTCGTCCAAAGCACATCACATTTTCTCAGGCACCTTTTACATATTGGCTCATGTTCTTTTTTTTGAAAAGCTCTCAAGGGCTCTTGGTGGAGTTTAGATAATTAAAAATCCCTCAGATCATTATTCCTGTATTCTAAAAGGCTGCCCAAATCAATGGCACATTATTTTCATTTCCAATAGTTAGTCTATGGACTTTTAGAGATACAAAGTGTAATCACTCATGAATCTGAGGTAGAAATTAATGATGCAGCTGTTTATTGCCCTAAACACTGATTTGTGAGCTATTGTTATATTTTAGATAGATCTGTAATCCATTACTGTTGACAGTATTACATTGTCTATTCTGTGGCTATGAAAATATTCATGAGAAATATTGTGTAACTGGCCACTCTTTTTTTTTTCTTGCCAGAAAGGAAGAAAACCAAAAAACAACCCTGTTAATTTCTCGACTATATCATATTATTAGTCTTTGCAAAGTATGGTTTCATGGTTTTCTTATTCTTTCCTCAATACCACTCTCCCTTGTTTTCCTCCACTATTCTAACAACCTCTCCAGTGATTTATTATGAGGAGATAACATGTTTTAATGGCAAAATCAAGAGGAGAGAAGTCAGGATGCAACTTGGTTTCTCTGAGGAATGCAGTCAATCCTTTCATCTCCTTGGCTATCAAATCTGTTTTAGAGACTATCAGTCCAGTCATATGGTACTCATCCCCTAGTTAATTATTCAACTGTCTTTGTTCTCTGGAATATAGCTGAGAGTGAGATATCTACTTCCTCACTCTGAATCCAAAATAGAGTTTCCAAAATCCATGCACTGAAGTGTGGTTGTTTTACTAATACATGATTCTGCACTCAAATTTATTTTTTCAATGCTACTCGAACAAACTGAGATGTCTGCTTTTCAGGTCCATAGCAGATTTAAAGACACATAATAGATGGTCAACAAACAATTGTTGATTAAATAAGCTAAATTGATGAGAGACGAAGGGAGAAGGCTACTGGAAGTAGTAATAGCAACATGTAAGAGAAGAGAGAGAAAAATGTTACAGACGTAATGTAAAAAGTACAGCTACCTGGTTTCAACTCAGTAAAAGTGAAGAGTCTTAAGCACCTTCATAGCTATTTAAGAGTTAATATTTTATAGACTGTATAATGATCTGGACATCATAATGAACTTCTTCTACCTGTTATCATAAAGACATTCTTCAATAAGGATTTGACACAAAAGGACTTGTGGTTCTTGATTACTTGGGAAATTAAATGAATGACAATCATTATTTTTATAGGTGCCTATGAGACATAAAAACACCCATGTAAACTATGTATCAAACTCTGAAATCTAAGCATAAATGAAGGGGGTAGTTGGGCAGAATCAGTTAGGGTCTGACTACCTCCTCAAAACCTGCCCTATTCATTTACTCAGTTCATTCATTTGTTCAGTCACACTAATTCAGTTCACACACGTTGAAATCCAACTACGGGCAATGCCACATGCTATTTACTATGGGACATGGCAAGATCTGAAGAAACTCCACCTACCCTCAGAAAAATTATTCTAGTAGAACTGAGACACGTGTACACAGTGCTTACAGTACAAAGCCCTGTGTGAGGAGGGCAGTGACAGCAGTTAAAACCCAAAACTCTAGATATTCCAAACAAGAAGAGACCATTCTCTGAGGCTGAGGTGATCAGAGAAGGCTGCCCGACAAAGACAGCACTTTACTTAGTCCTCAAATGATAGTTAGGATTTCTACAAACAGATTGAAAGGTGGGATATTACACTTACATCAACATTTATTGAGCACCAAAACCACAAACCCACAAACACTCTGGGGAATGCGCAGATTAAAAAGACATGACTCTGGACCTTGTGGATTGATAACAAAAGTAGAAATAGAATCAACTAACTTAACAGGAAAGCAGAACAGCACAAGAGCGATGGCAAAGGAACAAGCCAATGACATTACTGGTTGGAGGAACAGCATAAGTCACAGTTTGCAGGTGAGAAAACCAAAGGCATTTAGAGACAAGAGTGGGCCAGTGGTACCCAGTTGCTAAATTCACTGTCCTGGTAGAAACCAGGTTGTGCAGAGAGGCCAGTCATGGGGTTAGGAAGCTCTATCACACCTGAGAGTTAAGAATAGAGGGAGGCAGGGCCTGGAGTGAGTGAAGACCTACAGGGTGGCAGAAAGGAAGGAGGGGGAACTAGAAAGGACGGGACATTGGTCTATAGTCCCCTCTGAAGAGTGTCAGTCTTAGACTCTGAGGCAGTGCAATATAACGGCCCAATTGCTTGTCTGTTTTCTTTAACACGTTTGTGCTAACCTTGAAGACATGGCTCTTACTAGGCCTGTGTGTCCTTTGCCCCTGTGACCCATCTCTGTGCCTAGCACATAGTATAAACTAAACCCCATTTTCTTAATGAATAAAATAATGAATGAATGAGGCGGAGCTATCCCTGCTCCTTAGCGTGTATTAGATGCTGATGAAATTTAGGAGATCCAAGAAGATTCTTGACTCCTAAATGTCTCCTGGAAAGCTGTGCAGTACGTTTTATTTTATTCCCTCAGGCAACTTGAAAGTGGCTTGGGGTTCACAAGCTTTCTCTTTTTTTAAAAAAATGTTATTATTATTATTTTTTTTTTTGACAAGAAGTCTCAGTCTGTTGCCCAGGCTGGGGTGCAGTGGTGTGATCTCGGCTCACTGCTACCTCTGCCTCCTGGGTTCAAGCGATTCTCCTGCCTCAGCCACCCAAGTAGCTGGAACTACAGGCGCACACCATCACGCCCGGCTACTTTTTATATTTTTGGTAGAGGTGGGGTTTCACCATGTTGGCCAGGCTGGTCTCTCTCTAACTCCTGGCTCCAAGTGACCTGCCCACCTTGGCCTCCCAAAGTGCTGGGACTACAGGCATAAGCCACTGTGCCCAGCCTATAAGCGTTCTCTTTTAAGATGTGAATCATTCTAAAAAGCACTCTCATTTGTAACCCACTTTTTTAGTTAGGTAGCATCTCTTCTATCATTTTGGGGAAATGAGGGACCACTGATGGAATCAGGTTTTGATGGGTTATAGACAGGAAATGGAAGATGCCCCTATGGGAGGGCAAAGCCTCAGGATGGGCTCTGGAGTGGAGAAGGATGGGCCTCAGGCTAGCTATTTGGAGCGAATGGACTTACTCTTGGGGCTATGAGATCTCAAAGAGATCAGGTATTTAACGATTGTGAGCCAGCAGCCAATTTGTAGAACACCATGTTTCACTGACACGTTTTGTTTGGCCAGTACAGTATCTAAAACATGTTTAATTAGTTGCTAAGATTCAGAAACTGGGAGATTCATGTACAAATTAAGATTTCTAGATCCTCTTGAATAATTGGATGATCTGACTTAACTGGGGCCTCATTGTCATATGGTATCAATTAGCTAGAGTGGAGTAGGTGGCAGATCCCCTCAGAAGGGAATGTCCTGTGACAGTCACCACAGGCCCCACCTCTCCCTGCTGCCTCACACTCTACACTTCCTTGTTTTTGTATGCAACTGAGTTTATGGAGCATGGACTATATTATCCTATTTCACCAGGCTCCATGTAACAAAGCTAATCTTTTTGGTATTGGTGTTATAGCTGCCTCCCCATGGCATCCAGGAATGGATTCAGATATTGTGGAGTTGAAAGTCGTATAATTAGAGAGCCATCTTTAATGAAAGAATACCAAAACAAATTTTTACTTTTGAAGTAGTACGATTTTTTAAAATTTTGTATTGATATATAATAGTTGTACATATTTTTGGTACAAAACATTTTGACCATGTGCACATATTGTAGGGTCCCTTCCCAGGTCCTCAGAAAGGGTTGGAGCAAGTCAGGGGCCCACAGCTTCAGCTTTAATTAGCTTTCTGGTAAGTCGCCCTCTGTGGACACCCTTCCTCTATGAACGGTTTGTTGTTTTGTCCTTCCAGTCAAGTCCATTCTTGAATTTCCACTTGGGAATTCCTTTCTGGATTTTATTGGGAAATTTGTTTTTCTAAATGTTGAATCTTGAGAAAAATCAATTGAGAAATTGGGAAAATGAATAAAAGTATCATAACTCCTCCTTTAAGCATTACAGCATAACAATCAACATATGTAATTGGGTTGAAGGAATCTGGCTTTGAGTCAAAAACTAGAAAAGAAAACACTGATAGAGAAAGTAGAAGGTTAAGGTGGATACTTTAGAAACTGGGACATGGTATCAATGAAAAGAATCAACATGATCTAACCATCAGTCTTGCTTCTAGCTGTTACATGCCTGTGATGGTGGCCCTGTCTGCTGCTAAGTATAAATTTATAGGAATAGCATACTTTATTCAAATCTTATGAAATAAGAAATCCAAGAAATTACAAGTTTGAAAGTGAACTAAGATCTTAAATTGGCAGTTTTGATGTGTGGTTCTGTGTAGTGCCGTTAACCTTGCCAGGAGGTCTGAATGTTATGTTTTGCGCATCCCACCTAATAATGATCACAGTTTTTGCCAGTGTTTGAATATTCTGTATACACTACAGTTCTTGTACCAAAGTACACAAACTATCAAAGTTTTTGTACTTTGATAGTTACAAACAATATTACTTACAAACTTAACATTTCTTATTTACCAAATAACCTTTTAAAGATATCTGTGATAATGAGTAAAGAATATGATCAATGTTGGACTATTTTAGAATAACATGCATTGGAGAATTCTCAAGAATTACTGGGAGTTCTGATTTCTTGTTCTTATATTCCAGAGATTAGTATCTGTCAGAAATTTGGAGACACTATTTCACTCTTATCTTTGATTTCCCACATGCACAAAAATGCATAAAAGTTTTAAAAAGTTCTATGTAGCTTCAATTATTCCTATACTTGATGGAGAGGACTGGAGGAGGGAGTGAATAACATGAACAAAAGAAGGAAAAGTCAGTAAAGTGGATTCTGAGGTAACATTAAGACCAATCTCCAGGAAACATTAATTTTTGTTTATGACCCAATTCCAAATTCACTGTGGGTATATATCCACCTATCAGATCATAAGGAGCTAACCAGGGTACATAGAGCTTGCTATATGTCAACACTGTTGTAAGCCTTTAAATATATCAACTCGCTGAATCCTCCCAGCAAACCAATGAGGTTTCCCACCTTCCAGATGAAAGAACTAGGGCACAAGAGAGTTAAATAACCTGCCACGAATAAGTGGAGGAGTCAGAATTTCACGATGCAAAGAATCTGTGTTCTTAATATGATATATTGCTTAACACTGAATTTAGACAATATGTTCAGAATTACAACTTTAATTAATATTAGGAAACTCGATTCAGTCTCCCATTCTTTCGTTGTTTTCAGGGATAATAGGTGTCAAATCTAGAAACCTTCCTATAGGCATCAGAGCATCTGGGCACAGCGTCTACTGGGATTTCTTGTTCAGGTAAATGAATTATATACAGCTTTGGTACAGGGAATTCCCCTAGAGTTGCATGGGTTGACAATCTGGCCCCTGTATTTTTAGATTCTTGTATAGCTGGTGACAACTCCTGTCCCACAGCAGCCTGATTTATTTCCTGACATAAGCTGAGATCCTGGCTCACAGTGTTTTGTAGCCTTCTGGAAACGACCACACCTACAATAAAAGGCAATTGCTGTAACAACTGAGCATGTGTGAAATACTCAAACAGCATTTGCTCATCCTCTCCAGGGTGGTAAGTGTATCATGGCTTAATAATGTGAGTGCCCCAGCTTCACACTTAAGTTGCTAGAACAAGGAAGTCAGGATGTTCCAGATTTTCTGTAGGAAAAGGGTACATCCATCTCAACCCCAGAGGCCAATTGAGATTGGAAGGTCTTGAAGGACTGAATCTACAATAAAAGTCTGCCCCCCAAAATTCAGACCTTCAACACTAATTTCTTTTTTAGTGATTTTTTGCACCTAAACTGGGTTGAAGATGTGCTGGGGAAAAGGAAATAAACATGAGGCCTCTTTCTTTGAAGTTAATTATGGGCCTCCTTGGGTGATTCAAGGGTTGGGCCATATTCATAATTTGGACCTCACAATGTGGAGTCCACAATTTATCTCACTTTACTTTCTAGAACCTTCCATGAATCTCTTCCCAAGAGCCTTAGATCCTCCTCTGTTATCAAAATTATAGTCTCCCATATATACATATACATATGGAGTTTTGCTATGTTGTCCAGGCTGGAGTGCAGTGGCTATTTGCAGGCATGGTCATCGACGTCTATACTCTCAAACTCCTGAACTCAAGTGATCTTCCCACTTAAGCCACATGAAGCTGTGAGCCACCATGCCCACCTTCCATATATTTTAAAAATAAACTTTCCATGAATCTGCAGCTTTTCTCTTGCCAGTATCTTATTTTTCTCTTCCTTCTTCCTACCAAATTTCTGTGTTTTTACCTCGACTTAAAATTTTTTACGTAAAGTTTTAAGATTTTGTATTGACAAATTATAGTTGTGTGTATTTATGGATGCAAAATGACACTATGATTTTTGTAATTTGAGTTTTCCCTTCTAACGGGCTTCTTAATCTCTTCTTAGTCTTAATCAACTGTTACCACTCTGATGCTTTCTGCTCAAACAAAGGGCATTAATGACATTAGTCAAGCTTTTGCTGTGGCCCCAGAGCCCCTATTCCTTGCATGACTTTCTGTACTTCAATGCAACTCATATTTTGAAAACTGGTTTATTTCTTGGTTTGCAGAACCCCACACCATTCTGGCTTCTCTCATACTCTGAGCATTCTGCTTTCTGGTGTTTTTCATACTCTGAAAATTCCATTTTTGTTTCTTTGTTTGGTCTTTCTTGCTTCTCCTGGCCTTTTTAACAATAGGCGTCATATTCTGAAATTCAATTTTTGGACTTTCTGCTATTCTTGTTTTGAGCTCGCTCAAGCAAATTATTCATTATTTCAGTGCAGAAGACCCTTAAATCTATATTTCCACATCATTCTTTTTATCTAGGTGGCAGTCCTATATTTCAGCTGTCCTAGGGGATTTCAATACCAGTATCTTGCAATCAGCCCAAACTCATGATTTTTAAAACCAGACAAGCTCTTCTTTCCAACACAGGATTTTGTTAAACAGTTTCCCTTTTCACTTCACCAAGTTTGTTATCCCCAAATCATTTTTATGTTTTTTCACTATTTAGTTATGAAATGCTGTCAACTCTTCCTTTGAAATGTCTTCCATGTCTCTTCACCTCTCAAAGTCTCAGCATCATCATCCTAGCCATGGCCCTTTTCGGCTCATTCCTGGATTATGGAAACGGCCACCTATGTGGCCTCCGTGACCCCAACTTTCTCCTCTCCAATCTCACCTTCCTGCCACTGCCAGACGAATCTTCTTTAAATGCTGCTTTCATCTTGTCACTGTCCACTGAATAGCCCTTTAATCACGCAATTGTGAGTAGAAGGAGACCCTGGTGATCATCTCACCCAACCCCTCATTTGACAGACAAGGAAACTGAGGCTCAGTGAGAGTAAGTGTTTTACTCCAGGTCAATGTTAATAAGCTACAGAAGTGGGAATCAGAGCCAGGCTTTCATTTTGAGGACCTGTGCTCTTTCTATCACAGGCCACCTTCAAGACTTTTCTCAGATCTTCCTACTGTTTATATCACTTCATGAATTGGTCATTGTTCAGCTCTAAAAAAAAAATGTATTTTTAAAGTAAATGCTATATCACAGTCATGAAGAGAAAACCATTATCACTTAATGGAATTAGAAGGTAATTAATTTAAAGTCGATACAATGGAAACACTATGTTATTAATTTATTATGTGGATAGTTTGCCAGCCAAAGGTGTTGTTCCTGAGGTTTGTTTTCTCTTTTCCTACAAAGGGAAATTAACAAGTGATGCAGATGTGGCAAAGTTTTACTAGTACAATTAAAAGAACTGAAAGGGGAATAACTTTCTCATAAAATGATTCAATGTTCCCTAATGCTGTGTCCACATGCACCTAAAATAATCTTTCCTGCCACATGTTACAAGCTTCTGATACTTAAACACAGCAGTTCATTATATTTCCTTCCACCTAATGCCTAAACTATTATTTTATTTTGTAATGCTCTTCTATCTGATTTCACCTAACCAAAGCATATTCCCATGAGATGCTAGCACATGTCTCTGGGCCAGTGACACAATTCCCCTTTCTGCGTATTCATCTTCATATTGATTCTCATGCTTGGAAGATCTTACTGATCCCTTCCCATCTGGCCAAACTTCATATAGTTTTCAAAGCCTAGTCCACATTCTAATTACAAACTTCACAATCACTTCTGAATAATCCAATCCTCTTTGATTTCAGCCTTTTCTAAATTCCCAGCATGTTCTTTCAACTTTGGAGTCAATTATCTCCTCTGGAGTATGACTCAGTAATTATTTTATGTGTTAATTTCATTTCTGTAACAACAATGTAAGCTACTTGAGGACAGATAATTCTTTTTTATATTACTTCCACGTCTCAGTAGACCTAGTTGTGTGCTAGGCACACACAAAATGCAATACCAGTTTAGTTATGACCACTGAGTTGCTTAGAATTCTCAGCATGTTGTAAGTGCTTAATATGGGGCTCACCAATATTTTACATATTTGAACATTATCAGGGATTTTGGGTCTTTGGAATGGGAGAGAGCCTACATGTTATCTTTTCTGTAATCGACAAGAATTTATATTAAAATAATCATTGTTTGCTTCAGTAAAGCTTAGTAATTTCTTTTACTCTTTAATAAAAAGAGTAAAAGAAACTATTGCCATGAGATAACAGTTTAGAAACATTTGCAGTAAAATGTAACTAGTAAAAGAAGGATGACATTAAAATCACTCATATCATTTGGTTTAGAGTCAGATTTTTTTTTTTAGTGTGGTAAAAGACGTGACATAAAATATATCATCTTAACCATTTTTAAGTACAGTAGTAGTAAGTATATTTTAAGTTCGGTAACATCAAGTACGTTCACATTGCTGTGCAATGATCACCACCATCCATCTCTGGAACTCCTTTCATCTTGCAAAACTGAAATTCTGTACCTATTAAACAATAATTCCTCATTACCTTCTTCCCCAGTCCCTTTCTACCACCATTCTATTTGCTGTGAGAGCCAGATCTTTAAAACTGGAAGAGATCTGTGAGATTATAGATGATCTCATTTTGCAGGCAAGTAAGAAACCAAAACTAGTGGATGAGTTGCTTGGAGTTTCAAAGTCACTTAGAAACAGAGTTTATAGTCAGTCTCCCCAACTCCACAGTCATCTTGTGTCTCAATTTGCCTGGAATAGTCCTGGCATATACCTGTTGTCCCAGCCTCTTATTAATAGTGCCTCTCCTCACTCTCAAAAGTGTCCTGGTTTAGGTGATATCTACTTAATACATATGTTCACCTACTTAACTCTTCTGTCCAACATTCTTTTTCCTGTATTAAAATAAAAAGCACATTTATATTCTTTTGCATTTTTTGTATTAAATATTCCTTAAATATTTTTGACGTTGTTTTTACACCTCAATTGACCAGTTACTGTCAGGGAAACCAATGCTCTTTTAAGGGTGGTTTGAAACAAAATCTGCAGTTTTTCCACTTATGGAGAGATTTTCTATGTGCAAAGATCTTAGCAGCTAAATTTACATGAGCAATAGATGAATTTTCGACAAGCCCATTTGGTTACTTTAATAGAAACAGAGGTCTAGTGTGTTATTACTGTTACTATAGAAAGTGAATGACTTATTACAATTAACAAGAAAACTGTTCACCAGAATTTATGGATTTTGTTCTTTTTAACCTAATGAGCACTGCAGCGTATTATCACTTATATCACTCTAGATTGCCCAATCATCCTGCATAATATTACTTCAATCCATTTTGAAATAGGTCCAAATTGTCATTTTTTTTGTTCGAGTAATAATCAAGTATTGATGTTTCTTGAGTTCATACAAATGGCTACAACCTCCTTGGACGCAGCCTAGTCAATAGAGTCTGATGTTCACATTAGGGATTTGGAAATCAATGTAGTTTTCCTGTTATTCTTTTATGATTAAATCAATTGAAGTTATTTACTCATAGCAGAAAATATGGGTGATTGCCAGCCCTATGGCTTAGTGAATTGCTTTCTCACTACTGCTGCCCTGTAATGAGAAGGTACATGTTCGCTTCAGGGATTGACTAAAACCTGTTCATGTATAGCAGCAATTTGAGATGCAGAAAGTGTTTATTATCAAAGGCTAAGAGTGTTGAATGCCAAAGGGCATCTTTATCATTTGGCATTGCATTAACATTGACAAAGGAGGGAAACACGCCCAGAAAACCCCTCAGCATTGGCCCAATGGTGCTCAGTTACAGAAGAGAAGCCAGGCAGCAGCCAATGGATGATCTTGCCACATCCTCCCTTGTGTACACTGTTATGCGGAGACCTCAGTGAAAGACAATGGAAATGTCAATTGAGCTGAATGGACAGAGCCTATTTGTTGATGGGTTTTCTCTCTTTAACATGTGTTGGGTGACCTGCAGTGTTTCGATGTGGGAATAAATAATGGCTTTATAACATGGGCTGCATTTAATGTGCTTGAATGCAAAATGGTATAAGGGTGAAAGCAAGTCGAGACAGCAGTGGAGAAGGCTATGGAGGTGGGAAGAGGCTCTGCAGGGAAGCTGCATGGAAGTAAAATCACTTTCAGCCAAGGAGAATGTCATTTGCTCTTGTATTCTCTATCCGAAGTGAGTAATAAGCAAACAATGGAAGAGCCATTTCGTTTTTAGACCAGTTCTGTGTGAACAGCTGCATTGGACCATGGTGATGCCAAGTCCTTTATAGTTACTTGATCTTTCTACTCTGTTTGATGAGAACAGTGCAAAAGTGGGAAAAATGGGTTGCTCTGGCCAACTTCTAAATGTTCTGGATATCGCTTAACGTCTTTCACTTCCTTCCTCAATAAAACCTGCTCATAGGAGACAAAAAATAATCACTCCGACAAAGCCTTATCAGAAATTTGGCTTTAAAGCTTGCCTTCTGCTCTTGGGGAAGAATGATGAAATATTCTATATTTTTACAAGAAAGGTCCTGGTTGGCTGGAGTGGAAATTCAGATACACCTGGCTGGGGGAGGCAGACAACAGCTTACTCCCCCTACCTATACATGTCCATTAATTTATCAAGAGAACAAGGGCCTTCTCTGAAAAGTCTTTGAGCCATGTCCACGTTTAATATTCCAGAATGCAGACATGTCTTATGATATGGAGTGAGGTGGAGATTGGGAGGGGAAATAGAAACCAAATTCCATGAGAGGACTCTGAGATGCTTAAGAAACAATACAAAGAAAAAAAGGGCAGGCATGATGACTGAAACCCAACCTTCATTCATCCTCCTCAGAGGAGAACGTGGTTCTGGAAGACAGCATGATGGTTTTCACTGAAACTTTCCATGATCCAACCATTCAGCACATACACATGTAAGGCAGAATAGTGTGGCATTAGAGACACACATTTTACAGCCAGGCTGCCTAGGTTCCAAGCCCAGCTTTCCTCCTCACTAGCTCTGTAAGCTTTATTCTTCAGTGGTCTATGCTTCAGTTTCCTCATCTATAAAATGGGAGTGTTAGTAATAGAAGCTACTTCAGACTGGGTACAGTGGCTCATGCCTGTAATCTCAGCACTTTGAGAAGCTGAGGCGGGTGGATCACCTGAGGTCAGGAGTTTGAGACCAGTCTGGCCAACATGGTGAAAACTCGTCTCTACTAGAAATACAAAAATTAGCTGGGCGTGATAATGGATGCCTGTAATCCCAGCTACTCAGGAGGTTGACACAGGAGAATCGCTTGAACCGGGAAGATGGAGGTCGCAAGGAGCTGAGATTGCACCACTACACTCCAGCCTGGGCGACAGAGCGAGACTCCATCTCAAAAAAAGAAGCTATGGCAGAGTATTGCAGAGTATGTCTGTAAAGATGAAATGAGTAAACCCAGGTAACATACTTAGAACTGTGTGTGGTAAGCACTCAACAAATGTAATTATTAGTATTATTACTTTGGAGTTATTACTATAAGAATGTTGAATATCAGCCCCCACTCTCTTCTGGCTTATAGGGTTTCTGCAGAGAGATCCGCTGTCAGTCTGATGGGCTTCCCTTTGTGGGTAACCCCACCTTTCTCTCTGGCTGCGCTTAACATTTTTTTCCTTCATTTCAACCTTGGAGAATCGGACTATTATGTGTCTTGGGGTTGCTCTTCTTGAGGAGTATCTTTGTGGTGTTCTCTGTATTTTCCTGAATTTGAATGTTGGCCTGTCTTGCTAGGTTGCGGAAGTTCTCCTGGATAATATCCTGAAGAGTGTTTTCCAGCTTCGTTTCATTCTCCCCGTCACTTTCAGGTACACCAATCAAACATAGATTTGGTCTTTTCACATAGTCCCATATTTCTTGGAGGCTTTGTTCATTCCTTTTTATTCTTTTTTCTCTAATCTTGTCTTCTCTCTTTATTTCATTAAGTTGATCTTCAATCACTGATATCCTTTCTTCCGCTTAATCGACTCAGCTATTGAAACTTGTGTATGCTGCATGAAGATCTCGTGCTGTGTTTTTCAGCTCCATCAGGTCATTTATGTTCTTGTCTACACTGGTTATTCTAGTTAGCAATTCTTTTAACCTTTTTTCAAGGTTCTTAGCTTCCTTGCACTGGGTTAGAACATGCTCCTTTAGCTCGGAGGAGTTTGTTATTACCCACCTTCTGAAGCGTACTTCTGTCAATTCGTCAGACTCATTCTCTGTCCAGTTTTGTTCCCTTGCTGGCAAGGAGTTGTGAGCCTTTGGAGGAGAAGAGGCATTCTGGTTTTTGGAATTTTCAGCCTTTTTGCACTGGTTTCTCCCCATCTTTGTGGATTTATCTACCTTTGGTCTTTGACATTGGTGACCTTCAGATGGGGTCTTTGAGTGGACATGCTATTCGTTTCTGTTTGTTAATTTTCCTTCTGATAATCAGGCCCCTCTGCTGCTGGTCTGTTGGAGTTTGCTGGAGGTCCACTCCCAACCCTGTTTGCCTGGGTATCACCAGCGGAGGCTGCAGAACAGCAAAAATTGCTTCCTGAGCTTTCCACTAGAGGCTTCATCCCAGAGGGCCACCCACCAGATGCCAGCCAGGGCTCTCCTGTCTGAGGTGTCTGTCAGCCCCTACTGGGAGCTGTCTCCCAGTCAGGATACACGGGAGGAGGCAGTCTGACCCTTAGCAGAGCTCGAACTCTGTGCTGGGAGGTCTGCTGCTTTCTTCAGAGCTGTTAGGCAGGGATGTTTAAGTCTGCTGAAGCCGCGCCCACAGTCACCCCTTTCCCCAGGTGCTCTGTCCCAGGGAGACGGGAGTTTTATCTATAAGTCCCTGACTGGGGCTGCTGCCATTTTTTCAGAGATGCCCTGCCCAGAGAAGAGAAATCCTGTAGTCTGGCCACAGCAGCCTTGCTGACCTGCAGTGGGCTCCACTCAGTTCGAACTTCCCAGAGGCTTTGTTTACACTGGGAGGGTAAAACTGCCTACTCAAGCCTCAGCAATGGCGGAAGCCCCTCCCCCCACCAAGCTCAAACCCTCCCAGGTCGATCTCAGGCTGCTGCTGTGCTGGCAGCGAGAATTTCAAGCTAGTGGATCTTAGTTTGCTAGGCTCCACAGGGGTGGGACCCGCCGAGACAGACCACTTGGCTCCCTGGCTTCAGCACCCCTTTCCAGGGGAGTGAATGGTCCTTTCTTGCTGGCGTTCCAGGCGCCACTGGGGTATGGCAACAAAGAACTCCTGCAGCTAGTTCAGTGTCTGCCCAAATGGCCACGCAGTTTTGTGCTTGAAACTCAGGGTCCTGGTAGGGTAGGCACCGGAGGGACTCTCCTGGTCTGCGAGTTGCGAAGACCGGGGGACAAGTGCAGTATCTGTGACAGAGTTCCTCAGGCTCAGACCCTCACGGCTTCCCTTGGGTAGGGGAGAAAATTCCCCGACCCCTTGCGCTTTTCTGATGAGGCGACGCCCCACCCTGCTTCAGCTCCCCCCCCTCCGTGGGCTGCACCCACTGTCCAACCAGTCCCAGCGAGATGAACTGGGTACCTCAGTTGGAAATGCAGAAATCACCTGCCTTCTCCATTGATTTCCCTGGGAGCTGCAGACGGGAGCTGTTCCTATTCGGCCATCTTGCCAGCAACCTCCCTGGAGTTATTACTATTACAGGCTATAGAAAAAGGAAGGAAGCGCACTCACACTCCCTAACACTTCAGGGGACTGAGCCTTCCTGCTGTGGGCCCCACCTAGCAGAGCATATCATACAAAGGGAAAGAGTGAGTCCCCTTCTTAGAGTGCCACTGAGGCCAGGTTGCCTTCAGCACTCAACATTTGGGAAATAATAACAGCAGTGGCCAAAACGGCAGCACACTGTCGTAAACTCACGAAGTAGGAGGGCGTCCAAGCTGGGCTTCTCATAGCAGTGGTAATGGCAGTAGTGCTCTATGACCCACCTGTGGCCCAGCTGTAGCACCAATGGCCACAGCTCAGACTAGTGACTGCTGGGGCCACAGCTGGGCCACATGGGGTGGTCATAGAGCAAGATGGAAGATTCTCCTTGGAATGTCCAAAAAACATTGCAGGAGGGAAGAGGAAACTCAGAGCGTGGGTTGGATCAACGTTTTAAAATAACCCAGATGTGGGCTAAAGATCTAGTTAAATCTGTGATTCAATGACAATAGAACACACTTAAACCAGCCTCTGTGAGGCCTATGGGTTGTTTGAGCTGCATTCTGTGGGGTTCCTCTGGGGTTATTTGAATCCTGGATTGTGCACTTCTGCACCAGAAATTAACTACTGCCCCAGGGATTGGAGCCAATTGATTTGTTTGTTAAAACTCCTCCTTAGGCATAGAGAATGCTCGTCAGATGTTCAGGAGAGAAGAAAATAAAGTTAGTCTTCTAGAACTTGCAGAAAATGTCCATTTCCCTTCTGTCCCTAGGAAGAAACAAAAAAATAGTATGGACCCTAGAAAGTGATGTTTAATTACCCCGCATTGCTTAGAGATTTTTAAGAGTGACTTTTTGCTGGAGAAAGACTAGGTGGCAGGCGGTAGGTGTGGCCAGAATCTTTGCCACAATTACAGTTGTTTTTAGCCCCTGACCCCAAGTATGCCCCCCATGGAGTGAGGCAGTAAGGAATAATATTCAGCAAACTGAAAAAGAGGGAAGAATTGTAACATTGGCTGACACAGGCCACACAGAGTCAAGGAGAAGGTGGTGGACAGCTGGTGGCTGAGTAGGTCTAGCAGGAAGACTGCTATGAGAATGGACAGGGATTAGGCAGGTGTTCAGAAGTATGGCCAGCCTTGCAGGTGGTGTCCTAGGACTTAGTAGCAAGGAGGGGAGCAAGTCTCCCCCTGTATCATGATTAGAAACCCTGTTTCAGAAAGGGCCCTGTGACAAGACACAGTGCAGATTATGCCAGCCTTGAGTAAGCCCTATTTGGTCTAGCTTCAGTATCCTGCTTTGAATCTGGCTTCCAGCTTCCTAGAGGAGAAGGAGGCCACTTCAGTGTCCTCAAAGAGTACTTCAAGACATCTGAAAGAGGCTCAAAATCCCTACCAGTCTTTCAGTTGTTAGAGGGACCAGTCACTGCCCCTCAGGGCATGGTCCAGCATGACTGGAGGCCACTGTACTTAGAGGAAGCATGTCCCAGCCCTCAAAGGCAACATGCTTAGACTCAGCGAAGCAGGCCTGCTGTGATTTTGTTTTTGTTGCTTCAGAGAGTAGTGTCTGAGTCGAAGGTAGTATTGCTAAGAATCAGGCTTAGGGCTCTCTGGGATGGGTGAGGGACGCAAATGGAACTGAAACAAGTGCTACCCTCCCTCCTAAGTGGCTCAGCTAACTCTGGAAAAAATTCCTGAAGGAGAGACTGAACAATCCAGGATTGTGATCCAGCAAAAGGAAAAGGGGAGAGCATGGGAGCAACTCCACAGGCACCACCATGACTTACCACCTCAAGTGAAACTTGATTTGAATTTTCCCCTCAACATCCCAGCTCCACAGTGACGAGTAGGGGAGGGGATGCTCCAAACGAGTACAGGAGCCACTACCTTTGGCCACATGGAATCCAGACCCCCGGTGATAAAATTCACTGAAAGATGATGAGGATGTAGCTGGCGATAAAAGTTGTGAAACCAGCTTGCCCCTTTTGCCAAACCTCAATCTCTGATCTTCTGCCTTGGCAAATCCACTTGCCAGCCTCAGGTTACCCAGAGTGATGAGGAAACGTCCCTGGAACCAGCATAAACTACTTTGCCCAGGACAGTGGTCACCTCGGAGCATCAAACTGTGACCATGGAGGAGCTGAAGGCAGTCAACCCAAGTGGACTGCCCTCTGGAAGGGATCAAATTCCCTAGGAGGGGGAACCTTGGCTCAGAGGAGCATTGGCTCAATCTGATTCACAAACACATGTAATTCAGCTCTAGAGATTTTTGAGTGGGGAACAGACACCCGGAAAGTCCAAGGGTTGAAGTCCTACGGTTACCCGCTGGAGGTAACAAGCTTGAAATTTGGGCTTTCAGGTTAATTACACTAAGTAACAGCTGCTTGTAGGAGAAGCTACACAGAAGGCAATGACAATATGCAAACAGGCTAACTAGTCTCATGTTTCCAACCAGCTTCCTCCATCCAGGGCAGTCCTTCATGGGGAGATTCTTCTGAGACCATGTATGTGTGTGTGTGTTTTGGGGGTGGGGGTGCTACAACGCATCCATCAGGATGATCACGAAACTGCAGACTCACCACTACAGCCCAGGCTTCCTTCTTCTCTTTCTTTATCCTTATCTGGTGCTTCTTGTGCCAACACCCCAGTGACTTATGAAGCCAGCAATAGAAAAGCCAAGAGTACTGGACCCTGTAGCCAAATGTGAAGTATATTTCCTCTTTAATCTGTGAAAATACATGAGGCAAATGAAAAGGGCTAGCTTACTTCTGTCCTTCCTCTCCTCCCTTTCTCTCTTTTCCAAGAAAAGCTTATTGTGTAGTGACTAGGTAACTAGTCATACCTAGATTCTAGGTGCCTACAGTCCAGGAGTAGAGATTAGATACATGCATAAGTAAGACTATTACAAGGCCAAAAGGGATAAAAGCCGTACATCATTCCCAAATTGTGCCAAACGTTTTCAAATACAGGACCTCCACATGCATTCAAGTCAATTTTCAACTCCTTTTCAGCAACCTAGGTATCCATTTAGTATAAAACCAGGTAAAAATAATCTAATGGCTCCATCATGGTATGAAGGAATTGTTCAGTCCCATTTGATCACTTATAGAATTTTAAAACACTTACAGAATTTAAAGCCATAAAAGTGGTAGATCTCCTACTTTTAGAGTGCATGGTGTTTTTTATTTGTGAGACAGGGTGGCATTCTTGAGTGGTTATTTATTTACCGGCACGCAGTCTGCTATCTGGATCTCTATTACTGTACATGGCTCAGGATGCAGGCTGCAGGAATAAGCCTCCAGGATAATTGTTTCATTCCTCCAGAGCCTCCGGCACCCTTTAAAAGAGCATTGGTCCTGGCACATATGCTTCCCAGCTGCATGTGGGGTGCAAGGGTTTAGGCTGCATGGGAATATAATTTACTGGAATAGAATTATTTCCAGGGCAAAATGCAAAGTTGAGGAAGTGGTGTTGGTACCTCCTGTACTGGTTTGGAGCATCCCCTCCCCTACTCCTCACTGTGGAGTTAAGGTAATTTGGAGACTCATCAATTTTATGATCTGGTCACAATGTAGCTGAACACCTACTTCATTTTTTGTTAAAATTATTTGATAAAGAAAGTGAACATGACAAATTCTTATATCCAGGACAACCTATGCTCTGGGGTTTTGTCAGGAGCTGGTGCATCCCTTCATTTCTCTCTTACCCTTACACAGGTGAGCAGAGGACTGGGGATTTTCTCTTAGCTGAAAGAGATAGTTACATGGGTTGTGCTTCTAAGTCTAATATACATCTGGTAGAAGAATATAGAGTTGAATAAATGTGCTTAGCCATACATGCGTTACCAGAAGCAACTTAAAAGGCCTTTGAGAGCTAAATGTTTTCCGTGTCCTTCCTACCAATGAAGGAGGCTGCACTTAGCCGTGAGTCATCCCGTCAGCCATGCGTCACGAAGTACAAACAAGCAGCCGCTACTTTTGGGTGATCACCTCAGGTACGTAATAGAACTATGTAACCCAATTCTTGAACCAGAGCAATTAAAATAAGCTTACTAGTAAAGAAAAAGTAATAAGTAAAAGAGTAATCATTGATAAATAAAAGCAGTTCAAAGGTTTTTAAGAAATAGATTTCCCAAAGCGTTTCCTTTTATATCTCTGAAATACATTAACAAATCCTAACATTCAAAAGTAATGGACTCATCTGTGTTCTTCTTCCTGGTATTTTTAATTTCCAAAAGTATTTGTATACCTTTCCTATTGCTGCTGTAACAGATTGCCACCAACTTGGTGGTGTAAAGCAACACAAATGTATTCTCTTAAGTTTTGGAGGTCAGAAACCCTAAAATCAAGGTGTCAGCAGGGTGCCTACCTTTGGAGGTTCTAGGGAGAATGTTTCCTGGATTTTTCCACCTTCTAGAAGCTGATGATTTCTTAATTCATGGCTGTACATCATTCTGACCTGTGGCTTCCATTGTCTCATCCCCTACCCTGGCTCTGGCTTTCCTGCCTCACTCTGATAAGGACTCCTGTGATTACACTGCGTGCGTCAGATAATCCAGGATAATCTCCCCATGCAAAATCAATTGAATCACCTCTGCAAAGTCTCTTTAGCTATGTAAGTAGGTAACATTATAGGTTCCAGGGATTAAGACATGACCATCACTGGAGGTCATTATTCAATCTACCACAGTCGTTTATTTGGTGGAGTATTTCTCATTATAAATAGGGTTCTTGGTGGCTTTTGTTTCCACATCCAGGTTTTCTTATAATATATTTACCCATCTGGAAATTCAGCCATAAAAGTGGCATGTTCATGTTCTTTCTCTACCTCTCTTTTTACTCCTACGCTACTGAAGCAAAACTAAGAAAAAGCTATAAATATGGTGGGTTGCTGGATATAACTGCCTCAAAATGTGTTGTTTTATAGTTTTATAATTCTTCTTTAGGCTATTTACATAAAATTACATGAGCATATATATCATAGCATTTAATGTAATCATCACTGCTAATTCTTGAAGATGTAGCATGAGGTTTATAAATCAATCAGACGTTATGAAATTTCTTGTGCCCTATAGCACAGTTTCATTCAAGTTTATCATATTCATATTTTCAATTTAGAAAAACAATGAATGAACATTCTGAGATAGAGAAGTAGCATCTTTGTTCTTCTGTACATAAAAATATTGTGAGTGAACTAGCATTTGGGGAGCATAATATAATTTTATGCTGTTTATGAAAAGTAGTGAGTAGGCACTGGATTGAGACATGCCAAGTTTCAGTCAAAAGTAAATTTTATGGCTGTATGTTAGGTCCCTTAAAACAGGAGAGTGTAATGGAAATTGTGACAGGCACTTCCTTATAATGACACTACTCAGTGTGGATATAATAAACCTGTGGGGCTAGTTCATCAACCACCCCAATGCAGCCAGGAAACCTGTGAGTAACAGAACAGTCACCAAACAGCCATGTCTTTTGAGTTTGCTTTAAAAGCAAGTAGGAAGAAAGAAGGCCTCCCAGATTCCACTGGATGTGATTCTTTGACTTGGAGTTCCACGACGTGGAGTCCTATCTTCGAACAGCAAAGTGGGAAGACAGGAACTCTAAGCAGTATAGGGTGTCGCCCATTGGTCCAAAATCAATACTAGTCGGAAATGAAAGCCAATACCTTTAGAAGAGGGTGATTTTGAACGAACGTTGGAATAGATGGTGCTGCCTGATAGGCAGCAGCAATTTCAATACAGGAAAATCTGCTAATAGAAGTTGGCAGTGGACCAGTTAGAAAGGACTTGTAGTAATTCAGTTAGCAGGCAATAAAGGTATGCAAAAGTATCAAAATATCTGAAGATAAGTGGTAGAGAAATGATCTCCATGCACATCTTTCAGGACTCAAGAAACAGCAAAGCCTAGCCTTATGCCATTAAAGACCTGTGTGTCACATTATGGGCATAACAGATAGCATTTGGTCAAGTCTGGAACTAGAGAACTGTGAAAACCAATAAAGGTTATATTTAAGGAAAATAACTTCTTCATTTGATAAGAGAACATAGGATATTGGGTGCCAAATAAATATTCCTGGATGAATTCTGCAAAACAAGCTCTGCTGGACAAGTCAATATGCTGAGGAAAGGAAGAGAGCAAATTGATAGAGTCAGGATAGAACACCAGAACTGGAAGAGAAAGAGGGAGAGAGAGCGGGAGAGAGAGAGAGAGAGAGAGAGAGAATGAATTGAAATTTGTGCTACTCAGAGAATCTAGCTAAAAAATGCAAATTCTGATTCAGTAGGTCTGGGATGGGACCTGAACCCCTGTATTTCTGACAAGCTCCCAGGTAATGCTGATGTTGCCAGTCTGTAGACCACACTTTTCAGAATAAGGATTTCAAGAACTCCCAGTATGGGATTCACAGCACCTTGGGCATTTCTGAAGATAAAAATGGAAGTCAAGCTGGTTTCTGTATTTCACAAAGCTTAAGAAGTAGTGAGAATTTATTTTACTTAGAACAATATGGCACAAGTAAATTAAAATATTGAGTGACTTTTCATCTGCTTGCTACTCACTGGGATCCCGGCTTAAACTGCCCATCTTTAACACCTTCTAACTATGTGTCCTCAAGTAAGTTTAGGTAATCCTCTCTGTCTTTGTCCCATCATCTATAAAAAGGGACTGACAATAAAACCTACCTTGCAGGACTGTTGGAAACTAAATCTGCAAACCTGGGGTACAACTTTCATGTTAAGAAGTCGGGAACTTTTCTGATTGAGGAATGGAAATTTAGTTGGGCTGTTTCTTGACCATGCACACAGCTACTTACAAAAGCAGATCTGAAGTCCAGGTTTCAACCCCCAGGTGAAAAGCTTTTCTTACCTCTTAATTCTAAAAATGCTTTTAAAAGTTTTCCAATAACTTAACCATAAAAATAAATGAAATATGAATCACACTCAAACTTCAAACAAGCAATGCTATATTCATTTTCATTTTCTCATTAATCACTTTCTTCCCAAAATCTTGCAATCTGATCTGTGTCCCTACGTTATTCAGGGTCCACCCTTTCTGCACCCACCATGGCTGAACCTGATGGTCTAATATCAAACTTTATCTTTCTTGACCCTATTGTCTGCCTCTTGTGAAAGTGTTTCTTTCATGACCTTTATAAAGGAACACTACCTTGACCCTCTTTCTTCATCTCTCATTGCTCACTCTCTCTGCCTTCTTGGCTCTCTCTCTTCACTTGTTCTAATGGTAGACCTTCTTTACCTCAACCTTTTGTTATTTATACCCTTTTCTTATCTCTGTTTCTCTTTCTTGATGGTCTTTCAGATAGATTATTCATTCCGGCATCTTCAATCCAAATTTACAGACTTTGAATCTTAGCATTAGAAAAGAACTTAATAATTGCATTTAATAACTTACAATGTGTATTTTTGCAGAATAAATTGAGTTTCAGACAAGATGTTTCCTGAGGGCCACACAGCACATAATCTGCAGAGCTGGAACCAGGATATGTGTCTTCCCAAACAGTTGGCATGGAATAGTCTGGGAGGAGCATGGGCTCTGGGTTCAGTTCATCATGCACGCTCTTTCTGGTCCTGCCTCTTCTTATTTGCCTGTGGAATTGGGCAAGCAAGTTAGCCTTTCTATGCCTCAATTTCCATTCCTGTAAGTGAGATTATCACTGGGTTTGGGCCATAATCCTGAAAGATACAATCCTGAATGCCATAATCCTGAATGTTGAAATCCTGAGCGATCAAAATCCCAAAAATGTAACTCTGGAAAAAATAATTTAAAAACGTTTTAAAGACATTTATTTACTCTTTTAAAAAGGGATTTACTTGAAACATAAAAACATGAAAGAACCCTTCATAGGCCACTTTACATAATAAAAAGGCAATAATAACATACATATTTTTGTAAGTATAAGCAGGTATAGTAATGACAGTTGCACAAGTATAACAGTTACTAGCAGGCAAACCCTATTCATAATAAATAAATAAAAAAGCAAAATGTATCGATGCTTATCACTATGGTTGGTAATTGTGTGCCGTCGGCTTCTTGACTGCGATCATCTGAAATACTGTGACAGACAATCTAAGTCTTTTGATGAGATCCATCTAAAACTATAATGGGTCAACACCACATATTCCTTCATTTATTGAGGAAGTTGTAATGTTTTTACATACATGAACAATGCTTACACACAAAGTCAACATTGTGATAGTGTGCTTTCCTGGAGTGAAATTTGCAAAAATGTATAACACAAGTTATAACTCGAAAAGTCTTTACACAATGTATATCTCCAGTATTGGAAATAAAGCAAAGATGAGATACGTAGCAACATAGCATAGCAAATTGTAAAAAATAATGCTGACAATTTAAAATTGTAAAATTGTAAGAAACAACAACAACAAAAAGGAAACAAAACCCTCCAGCAACTAAAAAGAAAATTTGACATATGAAAATATATTACAGAGATAGATTAGAGACAGGTCCATAAGAGATGATGTCAACTTTTACAATTATTAGCTATACATTTGGCCCTTGAACAACACGAGGGTTACAGATGCCAATTCCCTGCACAGCTGAAAATCTGCATCTAACTTCTGACTCTCCTAAAACTTAGCAAATAGCCCGCTGTTGACCAGAGGCCTCGCTGATAATGTAAATAGTCAACACATATTTTGTTTGTTATATGTGATATATATATATATAGTATTCCACAATAAATATAAGCTAGAGAAAAGAAAATATTGTTAAGAAAATCATAAGGAAGAGAAAATATATTTATTCTAGGAAGTGAATCATCATAAACTCTTCATCTGCCTTGTCTTCATGTTGAGTATGCTCAGGAGGAGGAGAAAGAGGAAGGGCTGGTCTTGCTCTCTCAGGGGTGGCAGAGGTGAAAGAGTGAAGGAAGTGGAAGGAGAGTCAGGAGAGGCAGACACAATTGGTATAATTTTACGAAAATACACCTTAATTTTTGCCTGACTTTTTGTTTCTCTAAAAATATTTTTACATCTTACCAATCCTTTTTCCACCTGATATAGTTAGACTTTGTGTCCCCACCCAAATCTCATCTTGAATTGTAATCCTGGTGTATTGAGGGGGAGACCTGGTGGGAAATGACTGGATCACAGAGGCAGTTTCCCCCATGCTGTTCTCATGATAGTGAGTGAGTCTCATGAGACCTGATGATTTTAAAAGTGGCAGTTTTTCCTGCACTTGTGTTCATTCTCTTTCCTGCCGCCTTGGGAAGAAGGTGCCTGCTTCTCCTTCCACCATGATTGTAAGTTTCCTGAGGCCTCCCTAGCATGCTTCCTGTTAAGCCTGTGGAACTGTGAGTCAATTAAACCTCTTTCCCTTATAATTGCCCAGTCTCAGGTAGTATTCTTTTTTTTTTTTTTTTTTTTTTATTTGGAGTCTTGCTCTGTCCCCAAGGCTGGAGTGCTGTGGCCCGATTTTGGCTCACTGCAACCTCCGCCTCCTTGGGTTCAAGTGATTCTTCTGCCTCAGCCTCCCAAGTAGTTGGGACTATAGGCATGTGCCACCACACCTGGCTAATTTTTCGTATTTTTAGTAGAGACGGGATTTCACCATATTAGCGAAGATGGTCTTGATCTCCTGACCTCGTGATCTGCTCGCCTCAGCCTCCCAAAGTGCTGGGATTACAGGTGTAAGCCACCGCACCCGGCCTCAGGTAGTATTCTTTACAGCAGTTTGAAAACAGACTTAATACACCACCATTTACTTTAGCTTCAGCACCCGTATCATAGAAAGGCCTGTGTCATAAAAGAAGTCAAAAGGAGTCTTGGATAATTAGAGCCCTTCTTCCAGATTGTCTAATATCAATTTGTTTTCTGGCACTGCTTTGCCTACATCCTCTTCTTCATTGCTTGGGAATGGTTCAGAATTTCTCTAAGATCCATATCTTGAAATCCTTCACCCTGCACCTTCTTTGTGTTTGCCATATTCGCAATCTCATTAATGATTTCCTTGATTGGCTCTTTTTTAAATCCTGTGAAGTCATGCACAACATCTGGACACAGTTTTCTCCAGCAGGAATTTGTTGTTTTGAGCTGATGGCTTTCACAACCTTTTCTCTAACAATGATGGCATCTTCAGTGGTGTACTCCTTCCAGGCTTTCATGATGGTCCCTCTATTGGGGTTCTCTTTCGCAGTGTTGGCAATCCTTTCCATAGAGTACTGTGTGTAATGAGGCATAAAGGTCCTTATGACTCCCTGATCTGAGGCTGAATTAGAGACATTGACTTTGGGGAATAGTAGAGCGCTTTGACACCTTTAGTGTTGAATCCATGGGGTTGTGGGTAGCCAAGGAAATTGTCCAATATCAAAATAACTTTAAAAGTTCATTACTGGCAAAGTACTTCCTGACATCAGGGACAAAGCATTGATGTAATCATTCTAGAAAAAGGTTCTCATTGTTGAGGTCTTCTTGTTGTACAACCAAAAGACTGGCAGCTGGTATTTATCTTTGTTCTTCAAAGCTTAGAGGTTAGCAGCTTTATAGATAAGGGCAGTTCCAGTCATAAACCTGACTGCATTTGCACAAAACAGTAGGGTTTGCCTCTTCCTGCCCGCCTTCATTCCTGGTGCTCACTTCTCTTCCTTACTCATACAGGTCCTTTGTGACATTTTTTTCCCCCAGAATAGAGCACTTTTGTCTGCAACAAAAACCTGTTCAGGCAGATATTCGTTCCCCTCAATGATTTTCTTAAAAGGTGTCTGGGAACTCATCTGCTAACTCTTGGTTGGTAGAAGCTGCTTCTCCTGTTATCTTGACACTTTTAAAGTCAAATCTCTTTCTAAAATTATCAAACCATCCTTTGCTGGCATTAACTTCTCTACCTTCAGATCCTTCACCTTCCTTTTGCTTTAAGTTGGCATATAATGACTTGTTTTTCCTTGAATCATATTAGAACCTAGCAGTATGCCTTTCTTGTAGCAATCCTGCACCCACATAAAAGCTGCATTTTTGATACGAGTTAAAAAGGTATTTCAAAACAACTGCCAAGTTATCATGCCTGCTGGCATAGCTGCAGCAATGGCTTCACATTCTTTTGTCCTTTTTCTATAATGGTTTTTCACTGGATTCATTTATCTTGAAATGGTGGGCAACCACAGCAGTAGACCTCAATCTACAGTACATATCAAGAAATCCAATTTTTTCTTGTAATGTCATGACTTTTCTCTGCTTCTTGGGAGCACTTCCAACATCACCAGTAACATTTCACATGGGTCCCATGGTGTTAGTCAGGGTTTATGGTAATGCACTAAACATCAGAAAAATATAGGAGAATCTCGAGAAATCACTTTTCACTGTGACGTGCAATTTACTGGAAAGACAATTGCTCATGCAGAGATGATTAGTGTCACATGGCATTTTAAGTGGATACTTGCAACACTTGACCTCACTGTAATAGCAACAGGAGATGGCTACAAACTTATTACAGTAGTACAGTGTGTACTACAGTTGATTTTGTGCAGTTATGATTTAATACTGCAACTTTACATTTGTTTACTTGACTGAATGGCACATGTATCATCTATAAGTGTTTGTGTACATAAGTTTAGATACATTTTAACTTTTTGTAGTAGATATAAGTATATTTTATGGCAGAAAATAATATAATAGGCTAGTATCTACATGTATTTCTTATGCATTCATGACATAGCTAACTTTTTCTTAATTTTTGGATATTCCCAGGCTGTGGAGTTTGTCTGTGAAATTTCTCAAATTGTTGTAAATCTCCAAAATCTTTTCCAATATATTTATTGAAATAAATCCATGTATAAGTGGACCTATGTAGTTCAAATCCATGTTGTTCAAGGATCAACTGTATTTTAAAGTATTGCATTGCAATGAATAGCTGATTTTTTTGTTGGGGGGAGGGGTGGGGCATGGCTCTCCTTGGAGAATACGTTCATATTCATTTTCTATGTGACACTACTCTTTTTGAAATTCTTCCATGATTCAATACGCACCAATTTGAGCATTCCCTGTTAAAGTTTCTCATCTTCTGTGCCATGCTTCTATGTTGCTTTGGATACTCAGAAATTTATTACACATGCACTGGTATACAGACCACAAATTTGGTGGAAACAATACTGGTAATCGAACAGCAACACTGTTGCTTAAGTGTCTTTTCATCCTACAATGCACAGAATTATTTCTGAAACAGTAACTTTGCTGGCTTCTTTAGGCAAATGTGGCTTTTATCCATCCATTGTCAGCTGGAAAGAGTGCCAATGCAGAAAAATGACACATTTTTAAACTGAAAGTTTGGCCTGGCTTGGTGGTGCATGTCTATAGTCCCAGCTACTTGGGAGGCTGAGGTGGGAGGATTGCTTGAGCCCAGGAGTTTGAAGCTGCAGTGAGCTATGACTGCATCTGTGTCTAGACACTGCACTCCAGCCTGGGCAACATGGTGAGACCCGGTATCTACATAAAAATAAAAAATAAATACACTGAAGTTTTTATTGTTACCCAAGGGAGTGGCCGATCCACTCATCTGAATTTTCTGCCAAATACAAATAAAAACAATAAAACGTAGTAGTTTCTCCTAACGTGATGCAGCTGTCCTGCTACACCTGGAAATGCACTAATCCCTTCCCCAGAATTTGGCTTTTAGGATTTCAATCTTTTGGGATTTCAAATGTTAGGGATTTTAGACTTTAGGGGTTTTGATCTTTCAGGATTTTAATATTAGGTATTATGACATTCAAGATTGTGGTTTTTCTGGGGTTTATGATTGGCATCGATATTCCCACCTATGCCACAGGGTTGTGCTCTGGAGGCCTCAGAAATTTCTCACTGGGTACCTGGCCTAGTGGGGGCTTTCCGTACTGTTCCTTCCCTTCTCCTCTTATGTTTATAGCCTACTTTCTACTCCTTAGGAGATGACTCTTGGGCATTTATCTCAAGTCCTGATCGTTTGTTGGACACCAATCGCCTGATGGGTATTTTCTTTTATGTAGTTCATGATCTTCTCAAATTCAACATGTCTTGAAATCAATTCAGCACCTTGAAACCAAATAAAACAAGCTATTAATGTTGCCATTTTTGATAATACAGTTAGTTTTCAAGTCTCTCAGACACAATTTTGGAACCACCTCTGATATAATTTGTTTGTGTCCTTACCCAAATCTCACCTTGAATTGTAATAATCCCCACATGTCATGGGCAGAGCCAGGTGCCAGGTGGAGGGAATTGAATCATGGGGGCGGTTTCCCTCATACTGTTCTTGTGGTGGTAAGTAAGTCTCACAAGATCTGATGGGTTTATTAAAATGGGAGTTCCCCTGTACAAGCTGTCTCTTGCCTGCTGCCATGTAAGACCTTCACTTCCTGCCATGATGGTGAGGCCTCCCCAGCCATGTGGAGCTATGAAGTGAATTAAACCTCTTTCCTTTATAAATTACCCAGTCCTGGATATGTCTTTATTAGCAGCATGAGAACAATCTAATACAACCTCTAATACCCGTTACTCCATTCCCTACCTTCAATTAGTCAGTCCCCAGGTAATCTTAGTTTTCCACCAAGCCCCATCCTTTTCATGCCCTCTTCCACCATCCTCTTTTACGCCTTCACAATGTCACTCCTTAAGTAATGACAGGTCATCACATTGGGATCCTGCCTTCACCTTTGGGCTTCCTAAGCCAACCTGCATACCACTGCCAGTCTCAGCTTCCCAAAGCACAGTTCCAACAATGTCCTTCTCCCACTCAGAAGCCTTCAGTAATTCTTCATTAGCAATTTTCAGTGTTCTCTGAAGACTTTCTGTGATCCAATCTGAATCTTTCTAGGATTCAGAAACTTAGGCTTTAGCCAAATCCATCTATTTATTTTTCTCTAAATCACCCTTTTCTACCTCCGACCTTTGAAAAAGAACTATGGTAAAACACGCATAACATAAAACTTACCTTCTTAACTATTTTTAAATGTATAGTTCAGTGGCATTAATTATATTCACATGGTTGTGCAACCAGCACCACCATTTCTTATGCAACCATCACAACTACCTTTTAATTCTTGCAAAACTGAAACTCTATGCCCATTAAACAAAAAATCCCCATTTCCCCAGTAGATTGGTTGCCCTGGCAACCACCATTCTACTTTCTGTTTTTATGAATTTGACTACTCTAGATTTATTTTACCTAAGTAAAATTGTACATTAAATCCTTTCATGACAAATTATTTCCCTAAGCATAATGTCCTCAAGGTTCATCTATATTGTAGCATTTGTCAGAACGTCCCTCATTTTTCAGGCTGAAAAATATTCCATTCTATGTATATACCACATTTTGTTTATCCATTCATCTTTCAATGAATACTGTTTGGTTGTGTATTTTGGCTATCGTGAATTATGCTGCTATGAACATGGGTCTACAAATTTTACCTCTGAACTTTGCACCTGCCATCTCTTCCCCTGTGGAATATCCTTTTTTGTTATCTCCACTGATTAGAATTCTACTAAAACTTCAAGTTCCAGGTGGGAATAATCTTTGCCTGAAGCTGTCCTAGATCATTACACCTCTAATAGCAAGTACTGGGAATGCTCACTCGCCACTTATCGTATAGATACTTGTGTTCAGTTTATCTTTTATTGTAGGAGTGTTTTGTAAGCCTTTGAGGCTAAATAGAGTGGGTTTTCCCACACTCTTTGGTTGGTTAGTTAACAGGTTACTGTAGGCCTTGGTTTAGTGATTTTACTAGAGTAGGTATGTAATTCACAAGTTTTAGGGAGATAATTGTGAGGAGAAGGAGGAGATCCAGAAAAAGGTGGGCAGTGAGCAGAGATTATTTCCCTATTGATTGTAAATCAGTATGGTTGTTGAAATGTCAAGTATAACAAAAATACTCTCATTTAATCAGTCCTAACTTTCAGACCTTTTAAAATATACATCATCACACAAAAATCCTATATGTAGTATAAGTATCATTGGGCTCAGAAATGGTTATGTGACTTACTAAAAGTCACACAGCTAATAAATGTTGAACTCAAGACCAGAAACCAGGTCTCTGCATGCCTGTTTCCTCCATCCCCCAGCACCCAGGTTCTAAGAACTCTAGGGTTGCCAGAACCTGACTTCAGAGCCTGAGGAGTATTTTACCATTTTTTTCTCCTGCTCCTTTTACATATATTCTCCTTGTCTTGTGCTCTCATGGGCAGAGAAAACATTTAAAGAGTTTTGACAAGCTCATAATGTGGCTTAGAATAAACTGAATGAAAAGTCAATATGGATGATCATAGCTCAGTGAATTGTGGAAATACACTCTAGAGAATGGCCAGATATTATGCACAGCATGAAAACATTTAGAAGCTGGTTGACCATGGGCTGAACGTGAACTAGCAATGTGGGAACTTGAAGCAATGGTAAAAAATGGATTTTGTTAGGCCATTATAAAAGAAATATAAGATGAATGACCTATATGGTAATTCTCACCCCCTACCCCCACAAGAACAAATGAACCATTATCAGAGAATTTTTTTCTCTTGAGGATTTATGATTTGTGGATGTATCTCGAGGATAAAAACCATAAATGTATTCATCTATTTACTTAAGTGTATTAAATACCTATTAAATAGCAGGCATTGTGGCAGGATTACAAAGGAAAATCCAGTCCCCATCTTAAAAAATCTAATGTGTAGCTTTAGAAATTGGCCGATTTAAAAAATATTAAAATTGGAAAGAGATACATATATAAAATCCTCAAAATACAGGCAACAGAAATGCCTAACCCCAATTAGGCTTCAGGAGTTGGTTAGAGAAGGCTACCTGTCTGAGTTGGGAGTTAATTAGAAAGAAAAGGGGATGAGTGGTTCTTTCCCATAAATAAAGCCACTGGAGCCATGACAGGAAAGTAAGAGAAATTATGGCTGACTCTTGCTGGTTGGTAACGTTTGGCTTGTGTCCCCACCTGAATCATATCTCAAACTGTAATCCCTGTAATCCCTACGTGTCAAGGGACCAGGTGGGAGGTGATTGGATCCTGGGGGCGGTTTCCCCCCTGCTGTTCTCATGAAATGAGTGAGTTCTCATGAGATCTGATGGTTTTATAAGTGTCTGTCATTTCCCCTGCTTGCACTTCACTTCTCACCTGCCACCATGTAAGACGTGCCTGTTTCCCCTTCCACCATGATTGTAAGTTTCCTGAGGCCTCCCCAGCCCTGTGAAACTGTGAGTCAATTAAACCTCTTTCCTTTACAAATTACCCAGTCTGGGGTATTTCTTTATAGCAGCATGAGAATGGACTAATACACTGGCAAAGTAGGTGTGGTTGACATCACAGGTATGAGCCTGGAAAGTGGTGGGAAATGAGGCTGGTGAGGAAGGTATGCCTATGGTCATGAATGGAGGGGTTGGATTTTAATCTGTAACTTACCTTGGTTTCCCTAGGGCAGTCCTTGACCCTTTGGAAAGCATTGTGTGTTTACTGTTTGGACAAATAAGTGAATGCTTCACAAAATCAATGTGAAAAACTGTAGAAATCAAGGTATTTGAATCTGAGGACGGGCTGCCTTTAAATGGCATTTTATGAGGATGGTTTATGACATTTTGTCTATGCGACCCAATGACAACACTAAACAGAATAAAAGGAAACTAACACGGAGAAAGACTTAGGTTCTATGCAAGAAAGAACCTACTGGCTGTGAACAAGTTACTCAGCAAATAGCTTGATTATTCCAACTCAGGGAAGACATTGGTTCTTCCTTGAAGAGCTCTTGAAACATGATCACAAGCCACTCTGGAGTCAGTTTAGGTGCAGTTTTCCCTAACTGTATACTGGTGAAAGCCTTGGCTCTGATCTGAGGAGCAACACCATTCCAGGATGCCAGCAACAACTTCAGTTGCAAGTGCAAGCTTAGCATAACTTATTTCTCCCTGCTGCATCCTGACTGATGTGATTGCAGTTGTATTATTTTGACAGCTTTCAAGGTAACCTTTTCTGCCTTTTATGTGTATTCAAGATAGTTGGCAAGTGGTGCCGCTATTGCTTTGTAGTCACCTGTGAGGGTAGGGAAGAGGAAGGCAGGGATAGAGGACATTTAAAGAAAGAGCAGTTTGCTGCGCTCCCTCTGGAGACCCTCCTGCCAACACCTCTTATTACTTTTACCAACATTCTACTTCTCCACCATAGCTTACCGGCAGCACGGGACACAAAGTGATAGCAGCACTTCCAGTCCATACTCAGAGGCCCCTCAGAGCATCCAGCAGTGTTTCCTACCCATGAAACCTCAGCCCAGCTTGGGGAAATCTTCCTGTTTACAAAAGGTTTTGCACAGAGCCAGCGCACAAGAATATACAATCTGATTTTCATGATAAAAGACGATTTTGCATATTTGAAACATGCTTAAAACCATTGCTTAGGCTGATGGATCCCCAGTGCCATTTTTGCTGCCCCAATGGCAGCCTCCCTGGGCTGACTGGCAGCAGCAGGAGTCAGAAAATGTTTGCATTAGGGCAACCACAGCCAGGATTTGCTAATAGAGACAATACCTTGCCCTGAAGGCAGTTTCCAGCTGCAGCCCTGAAGCACACACGTTGAGAATGTATCACACAGAACTGTCAGTCAGTACTGGAGCCAGAAAATTGTTGTTTCAAATGTTACAGTACAGGAAAATCGCCTCTCTGCACTTGCTGCCAAAAAAATGACAGCTTAATTTATGCCACACTGAAGCTACATTACAGAGCCATTCAGCTTGGCAGTTAAGTACGCTCCATGCTCACATCTTCCCCCTGTGCAAGTGTGCTGGGGAGAAATACACAGGGGCTATAATAAGGACAATTGGCCGTGGGGTTTGCCATGTCAGTGGAACTAAATACAGGTGAAACAGTATCAGCAATAAAATACATCACCCCCACCTCATTTGCAAAACCCACTTCTGCCTGTGCAGTGGCAAATATTCAGGAAGGCTCTGAGGCAACATTGTTATATGCACAGGATAGATTAGGGAGAGATGTGCTCGTGTCAACCCCCTGGGTTTTATGTTAAGGGGAGGTGCTGCAGTATTACCCGTGACTTTGGAAATTATGTCAGTATCCTTGATGCAGACCTTCAAAACTTGGCAATGTTTACCCTTTCTGAAATTAAAAATCTGACGGTACTATACTGTAGCCAAGTATCCGTATTTTTCATCTAGACGTAAGTTAGAGTATTAAAGATAAACTTAATAGGCAAGTTTTTTTAAGCCTATCCAAATAATTATCATCAAGTTTTTATTTCAGCACTATTTCTGTATTTTTCATGCACAATGAACCCTCATCTGCTTGAATGCAAAACACTTTGACTTCTTCCGGCAGCAACAACAGAAGGTAGAGATTAGCTAGAGGTGTTTTTTTCTTCACATTCTCAACTGGGAAACTTCTCTAATGTCATTGAAATTCTAATAGATAAATAGTCTAATTTATATTGACATTTCAGATGAGAAATCAAAGTTTCCTTGACATAATTCTATCATGGTACACTGCTACCATATAATACAAAGAAGTCCAAATTTCAGCATCCCTTTCAGAGATATCCTCTTTCCCAGAATGACCACCTAGAATTGAAACATTAATTGGGCTTCAGAATATTTTGCCAAAAAGAGGTTTATAAGTAATTTACAAAATATTTATAAGGCAACCCTTGTAAAATATAACAGCCCCAAGAAAGCAGGCTCTCTGCAATTGGCTTCTCCCTGCTCAGTAAGCCATTCATAATAAAATGAGCAGCCCTCAAAAGCGAGCAAATGCATTTGCAATGGCTGTTGATGTGCTATAAATCATTCTCAATAAAATGACTTGCAGAGATAAATGATACATATCTATTTAATAATCCATTATCCAAAATAAATATTCTACCTTAAAATAAAGCAAATGCACTCGCACTGGTTGTTGATGTGTTAGAGCTGCTCAGGCTAATGGTAAAATGATTTGTAAAGTGGAGCTCTGATGCTGGGCATTGTGTCCTGTGTGCTCAGGAGATATTAATATCTCTTCATAACTCATCCATAGAAATGCCTTAAAGTAAAATCACCAACCAAAATGTTCCCAAATATCTGTAAGCATGCTCATTTTAGCTTCTTCATTGAGTGCCTTTGTTGTCAAAACACAGGCTTTTTTTAGTATGGGTCTGTATAGGAGTCATGTGCTACTAGGCTATGACAAACAGGGCTAGACAGACTTCTAATCTCTAGG
Organism: Homo sapiens; assembly: GCF_000001405.40. Lineage (NCBI taxonomy): Eukaryota > Metazoa > Chordata > Mammalia > Primates > Hominidae > Homo > Homo sapiens. The sequence continues at coordinate 21,127,022 of NC_000007.14, read as the reverse complement.
AGTTTATCATGTAAAATAGGCCATTGTTAGCCATGCCAAAATCAATGCTACACAATGGGAAAAGCACTCACATTTTAAACAAGGAGGAGGATAAAGAGTTATTCTAAAAAATTGTTTCCCAAATTAAAAATCTCACTGAGTTCAACACACATGGCTCTTTTCCATCCAAATACCCTACTTTTGGCTACTTCTTCTAGCATCCTTTGGTCTGTGTCGCCCCTGGCTCAGCTCTCAAAAGCAGGTCACAAAGCAGAATGACTTTGGACAAGTCAGTTCTCTCTGTTGCTTGCTTGCTGGCCAGTCTGCAATAAGAGGACTCCATCCTAGGTGACCTTTAGAACCTCTTCCAGCTTTAAACACCTGCAATTCTTAGCATTTTGCTTTCCTTTAATGTTTACATTTGTAATCTCACTCTCTTCTCTTTCTTTTCTGGTTCCTCTGTCCAGGATTTTAAAATTTTTTCTAATAAGCCTAACGTTGTCCCACATAGTTAGAACCTTAAAAGGATGACTGTGGTCACAATTATGGGAATGTCATATTCAATTTATTGAACTGATCACTCAAATATTCCCATGTACCTGTTTGGACAGAACATGGATCCGTCTTCCCTTCACCATCCTGAGCCCATCACAGGAGAATTTTCTTGTTCAGTGGCCTCCAGCCAAGTGGCATTTCCTGTCCTTTTTCTTGTCTACTATTCACAATCTTGTCTGTAACGAAGGCCTACCTCTCACAGAACTCTTGCCTAAAGTTAAATGACAGGTGAAGTCTCACCCTGATTAACTGACAGTTCCATAAACTCCTTACACACCCTCATCTCATGCTAGACATTACCAGTTCATGTGCCCAGGGTTTTAATATTCCTTAATTGGAATGTTTTTGTTGCTGTCGATTATATTTTAACAAGCCGGTTGAAAACATTTCAGGTAATCGGTGCCTGATAGGTATACCTCCGTTGAGTCACAGGGAATTCTTTTACAGTAATTTTTCCCCCTAAGGTTGTATTAGTCTACTAGGAAGGAGTCCAAGTTGCAAAAACAAACTGTTTTATTCAACAGGAATTTTATTGAATAGCTGCCATGGCCATGTATTATGCTAGGCATCAGAACAGAGGTTATCTTTTGCCTCAAGGAATATGTAAGTTGCTGGCTCTATAGGTAACGTTTTATTTATAATAAAAGCTTCTTATTACCATGCATTTTGATGCATTTCTATGAAAATAGTATGTAAGTCTTTTCTTCATGAACAATGGAACACCTATGCCTTCAAGTTTGTGCCTTTAACACATTCTTGGCTCTCCAGAGAGAGCCCTAGAAGGTAGTAGAGTATAGTTATCGCTTGGCCAAAGTTTCAATTCCAGGTTTCTCGTTGAATTATCTTAATATAAATGTAGGTTCCCACCACTTTAAGATCAGCTATTCCTAAAACTATGGAAACAACAGGAGTAATTGCCATCAATTAGCATGGCAAGGCATGCAGCTTACCTGCAGGCTGGGCCACCTGCTTGACTGCCTGACGCTTCGCCTCCTGCTGGCCTCTGCATGGTTTCCCAATTTCACTCTGAAAAAGCGCCTTCTTTCTTCCCTGTCTGAACCGTTTCTTCTTTTTAACTTGGGAAGTTAACTTTTCTTTTTAACCTCTTAAGAGGAAAGTAATCCTATAAGGTTGTTTTTTCTAAGGCATAGGATGCTGCATGTTGCATCAAGGGAACTAAAGTAAATATTGAGAAACTCAAAGAAAAATGACTCTGACAAATCAAAATAAGGATTTGGCCAAAACATCTAACTTGTTAGAGACCTATTTTTGAAGGTGACTAGAGACTCTTGTTTCTTAATTGGAGCTTGATTCACAGTTCCATTGGTAGGAAGCTCGTAGGGTTCCTCATAGAAGGTTTAAACTTTATTGTGTGCTGCATCATGAGCTCCGCTATCAGAACATGATTATGTTTTGAAAACTCTACAAGACCATTGCAAGAAAAATAGTTGAACAACATGCAGACACACGGAAACCTCTGTCTGTTCCAGCAGGACACATGATATCCTGATGCAGCCATTTTGATATAAAGCCAAAATGTTCATGATCAAATGTTCTATCCTCAGATATTAATTGTGACTAATATCTAACAATTCTGAATACTAATTAGAAAATTGAGTTATTGTCTTTAAGTTCATGAGTAAGTGCAAAACCATTTTGTCTTTGCTTTCATCTATCCCATTTCCGTCCCATTGATGGCAACGCTGACGGCAGTGTCAGCCCCATGGTTCAGTCTGACCCTCTAACCCACACTGACACTCCAATGTCAGGAAAACACCCAGTAACACCAAGCTTGCTGCAACCCAACTCTGATTTTTTAAAATCAAGCAAAGGTAAAGGAGGGCTATTTACAGGATTTTAGCATCTGAGCTGAAAGATTTCCAGGTGGATCTTGCCTAATGTGGGAACTGACTGGGTGTGGGAACAGTTTATGACACAAGAGCTTTGTATTGATGGACATAGCTAGGAGAGGGTCTTGAAGAAAGTTTTGATTAGCTCGTTGTTTTGGTTAGATCACAATCTTATCTTTCAAGATAAGCTTAGTATTTTATATCTGGTCCTAGCATCGCTTAATCTAGGGGCAAGGAATTATGACGGTCTCAATTTTCAGGACCTACAACTATGGATTAGTTACCTTCCACTTGCCTAAACAACATCATAGAGGGAAACAACTCAAAAGTTCTCAAATATACATACTTAGATGACCATATTTATACAACTCTCCCCTCTGGCCTCCTTCCTTAGTTTTTTTGATTCTGTCCTAGATTCTGGGCCAATACCTCTTTTGGGACATTCTTATAATGCCTTCTACCTGAAACAATATGTGCCCATGAATTCTGATCCTGTCCATTGTCATGTCATTATAATACAAAGGAAGCTTGGTATTTAGTGTTCATTTTTGTTCCCTGGACAGTCTTTTCTTAGGATAAGACCTAATGTTGACTGGTTTTGAGTATTGCAAATCATATGATACTTCATTGACCAAAACTATATAAGGATGATTTTTCTCTTCCTGCCATCTCTTTCTGACCATAGTTCAATTCTGAGCTTTTATAGAAAATGTTCCATAGCCTCTCTCCTTGTTCCCACCATACTTCACACCTCCTGGTTGGTTTTTCCATTACTCAACTCTTCACCTCTGACTAATCATTGTCTAATACTTGAAACTGACAATATATTTATGTTGACCTTTACTGTTCTACGTTGGTCATGGTTTTTCACTCATAATCTGTAAGTTCTTCCAGTGGCTTTGGGCTATTATTCTGTGAATGCCTTGGTTTCCCTAAGAGGTTGTACTCCTCCTCCCCAATTCTGACCTGCTCCTCCACTTCATTGTGTTAGAATAGATAAGGTATTTCCCATAAGCTGCCAAAATTGCTGCTTTAAATGTGCTCCATTCTCTTAGGAGTTACTTCTAAAATTTAAAACATCTAAATATACATAAACATAGCAACACTGATAAGATTTTTTTTATTGCAATACTCTAATTCCTGCTTTAAAAAAAATGGGAAAGCTCTTGGGATTGGATGTAGTTAGCAAGACAGTGAGAAAGTTGACCTGCACTTTTAAAACAAATTTAGGATGTTGAGCCAAAAGTGAAGATGGCTGTGGAAGGTAGCTCTAGGTGTTCAACATAGCATGAATAAATAAATGAATGAATGGATGTAGCAACTATTGCATTGCCTTAGCTCCAGTTCCGGTTTCACTTTTGGATTCCTGTGACTGCTGGCAAATTGCTGTTCCACATTGGACTAGACTTGCAGAAATCTATGTAACGTCTTTCTTCCCCAGAGATATTCTCTCATCTGTGTTTTGGCTCAGGTGGCCTCCTAAGTTTGTGCCAACATTTTCAGCATAGGTTGATGAGGAGGATGTTATTTTCTATTTGTAAAAATGAGTTTACATATGTAACTGTTCAAGTCACTTAGATCGTTTGAATAATATATTTTTCACAGCAGAGTGTTAATGTAACTCTTAGCAGTTATATTAACTATGAAAACTAGTATTCAAATGAATAAAAACAGATGTTATATGAAGAAACTTGCTGCTGCTACACTAAAGCAAGGAAAAGTTTTCACATTGCTGTATCTGACTTAAGAGTTTGCAATGTGGTGATTGGTAAATAAGCAAAACTTTGAGATGTGTATTCCTTGTGCTGGACTCTACTCTCATCTTTCGTAGGTAAATCTAGCACTTGGGTTTTTTTGTTTTTTATCCCCCAAGTTATTTAATAAACACATAACATTAAGTTAGGTTTTGTTTCTGTTGTTGCTTAATCCATATAAACCACTGTGAGGTGGGTAGTACTGTGGTCTTTGGTTTGCAGATGAGGAAATGGAAGCACCAGGCAGTCGAGTCCATTGCCCATGGTTATACAACTAGTCAGTAATGCGCTGAAATTGGAACCAGGCAATCTGGCTCCAGGATTTCTATTAACCACCATACAGTGCTATCTCAACAAGGAGATATAAACTGTTTAAAATGGCTTATGTTATAACACAGTTCAGCATGGCCCAGAATTCCGGACAAGGCAAGATTTGGTTGAATCCCATCCAGGGATTTTGGGGCTCCCAGAGGGCCTCACTCTAGGTCCATCTCACAGGCCAGCTTCTCCATTTCTGTGTCCCTAGTCTAGCACAAGGCCTGGAGCAGTGAAGAGGATTGTTAATACTCTGGTACAGAACTGAGGTTGTGAAATGAGAGACCAGACCTGTGATCTGTGATGGACCATGACTCTCAGCACAACTCAGTGCTTAAATGCATGTGTTCCAGAAGCCTTGGACTTGAACTCTGACTGTGGACCATGGTGGTACCAACTTGGACAGGGGTGGTGGCTATAGCTCTAAAATCTCCCTCAGGCTTTGCCACCCTCATAAGTCTCTATCTTTCAGCAGAAACATGCCCCTGACTGCAAATGTAGCTTTAGGGTGACTCTCCTGGCTTGCACACCTCTTTCAACAAAATTGCCTTGGCCAAGCCCTTCCCATGTCAATATTCTGTAACCCCATTTACCACTGATGCTGGGCAAGTTATCTGACCTCTCTCACCCTCAGTTTCTACATCTGTGAAGTGGGAATCGCAGCAAGGATGAAATAAAACCATTATGTAAATCACTTAGGACAGTAACTAACCATAGTAAACACTTAGGAAACAATATTCAAACTGGTTTTCCCTTTATAGGGGACTATAAAGGGAAGAATCAGGATCTACAAATGCTCATTAATATTTCAAACAAGTCCCTGGAAATAAGCGACTTATTTTCCGGAAGGCTGAATAGGCTAAACATCAAGTTTCTTTGCTTTTGCTGGTATTAAATATAGTGACTTTTTGTGTGTGCCCCTAATTCAAAAAGTAGAAAAACAATTACATTAAATTGCAGTGTGATGTACATAAATTAAGCATTTTCATTTACTTACACAGGCTTAAATGTCCAATGTTATTAACCGTAGTAATAAAATTATAGTTCTGTAGACTTTTGTTTATTAACTTGTTATTGTTATAATGCTCGAAGAGCATTTATGAAACACCTACTTATTTAATTAAGAATTTAATAAGCACCAGGGGCCATGCAAAAATGTCTGGATTTTAAAGTCTAGTTTGCTGGTTCCTTAAGAGTGGAAGTCACATCTTCTATGAGGACAAACTAATTTGTTAAGACACTGATTTGTATTTGTTCTGACTATATATTTTTATATCCCCCCAACCTTCAAGCATGTTTTGTTTTCTTTTTTTCTGGCTGGTAGAAAAGAGACCTATCTGGGGCAGGGGTTATTTTTGTGTACAGAGAAAACTAAAGCCGCTTAGAGTCAACAGCAGTTCTGTCCTTCTGCACGAGTCCAAGTTCATCGGTAACGCTACTTATTTGTCTTGGAGGGCAAGAAGAGAGAGGAAGGTATCTCTTCAACTGCAAAAGGGGCGAAAAGAGAGAGATGTTTTTTCAGGCTAAGAATGGGGAGAAGGCCCATAGGTTGCAGGAACATTATAGACAGCCCTCAGCCCCCACAAATACACTCCTTGGCATCATCACCCCAGGGAGGTGGCAAGTTCTCCCGGGGAAATGACTGTGTGCGCACACTTCAGAAGAAGACGAGACGCACACAGGCATCCAACTGGTGCTTCCATCCTCTGCAAAGATTTCTGTATCTCACAATAAAACATGGAAACAGATTGCTGCCAGAATTTAAAGACTGCACTGACTAGGATATGGGTGGTCACTTAATGGTCCGGAGGTTTCTGTTGTTTCGGGTAGGTCTTCTGAGTTTTTGTAGAACCTAAAGGGAGATGGAGATGGATAGAGCCTTAATGCTGCTTTTTAAGGTAGAGAGTTCAGGGTCAGTTCTGAGTTTCTTTAGATAATATAGAGACTTGCCTTACAGACCTTACCATCTGTAGACTAACAGTCTTACTGCTATGCATGCCTAAGCCTGGTACTTTGCACATATTAGGTGCTTAATAAATATTTTTTGAATTGGTGTGAAACTGAACCTGGAAATTTATGGTAGCAATGCTAATTGAGGTTTATACAATAAAGTAGACACCCCACCCCCAAAAGAGATTAGAAATTATCTAGAAAGCCATTACTTCAGAGATTAACAATGATGTTGCCATGAGGCAAATATTCTACAAACAGAATATGTAGAAAAGGGTAAGCAAAATATTGCCAGTTCAGTGTGAGGATCTTCGTGTCACTTGACAGCTGAAAGCATGAGTTATGCCCTTGTTTAATTTGTCAGTGTTTCAATTAGAACATCATTGGTGACCCTTCCTTCTGACACAGGCCATTTTGTTCTTGCAACACACTTGGCCATTGGCCACATTTCCTGTTATTGATGATGCGAATTTATGTATTGCAGATATAAATGATTTAATTGCATATATAAATGATTTAATTGCAGATTAGATAAATATGATGTAGACATTCCCAATCACATAATTATTTAAAAGATGATAATAATTTGGTCCCATTTGTCAAATAACATTACTGCATTTTAATTTACATTTTCAGAAGATTTAATTAACCAAGTTCTAGGAACTTAGATAGGAACAAGCCGCCTTAAATCCTTCCTGGAGCAAGGCAGGATACAAATGAATAAACAGACAACAGCAGATTGTCCCTTTTACTGATAAGATTTCTTTCCTTTAAAGGTTCCTTTTGTTTTTCTTTCAGAGGAGAATATGGTATACTTGTGGGTGATTCATCAAAATTACAATTAATAATTAGGAAAAATAGAATTGTATCATCATTTAAGGCTAACATTTTAAGATCTTCTTTTTTTGAAACTGTTCTTTAACATTAACTTAGACCAGGAATACTTAACTAAAATTGGAAACCTGAGAGTTCTTAAACATGGATGGGGAAAGAGTTACACCTTTATACCTTTATTTCCACTACCCTCTAATGAAACTTAGCCTTTTCTTCAATTATAAATATAGGCAACAAATCACAGGAGAATTTGTAGTACCTGTGATATCATTGGTAAGAATCTCATTAGATCTCGTGTTGATAAAACGGATTGGGAAAAAGACATTTATTTTCTGTATTTCAATTATAAATTTTTAATATTGATTTTCTATGTATTTGACTTTATTCGTATTTGTCATCCTATGTATTTGACTTTACAGATTTCAAAACATTCTGAGAAGGAGTCCATAGGCAGCACCGAACTGTCAAAAGGGTCATGGCAGAGAAAAGTTTAAAAACCCCGTCTATTTATGATGTTTTGAGAGGGATTCCAGGGTTCCAGGCCTCATCAGGGAATGACAGAGACCATCTTGTAGGCCTTTGCATTTCCACACTTAGAGCAAGTTCTGCACACAGTAAGTACTTAATAAACACTTGCTAAGTACTTAATAAATGTACATATATACCTCAGTATATGATATAATAATAAATAGTACAGACTGCATATTCCTCTTAAATCAAAAAATTATTAAAGAGATATGAAAATGTCTCATTTTTTCATGACATAGTTTGTGCTTAATACATATTTTTGGCCAGGTAATGAATCCTTTAAATTCCATTTTTAATAACACTAATGCACACATTGCATCTTTGAAGATTTTTCAGCAAGTCATCTGGCTTATATAATATACGCTTCAGAGAGTGAGAAGGAAGTAAACGATTTTAAACTCTTAACAGAGATTTTCTGCTAGGCCAACAACAATTTAAATATATGTCTTGGCTTTTACAGATCAAACTCAAGCATTTGTCCATTGCCATAAAGGAGAGAAGAGGTACATTTTTAATGGGAGAAAATAACCAAAGCTTATTTAGAAAGGGGTTAATTTCATTCAGGGACATAGACTCTTTCTGGGAAGTTGTTCTTTCCCAGCTGAAGTCCAAAGGCCAAATAGATCTAGTGAAAAGTAGATCTAGTGAAATACAATGACCCCTGGGTTGAGGCATCACCGTGGTTAGGTGAAGTGAAGGGAGAAATATTCAAGGAAATAGAGAGCTTAAAGAAAAAACAGTTAAAAATTCAGGAAACTTTGGACACACTTTTAGAAATGTGAAATGCCCTGGAAAGTCTAAGCAACAGAATGGAACAAGTAGACGAAAAAAATTCAGAGCTCAAAGACAAGGTCTTTGAATTAACCCAATCCAACAAAGACAAGGAAAAAAGAATTAGAAAATATGAACAGAGCCTCTGAGAAGTCTGGGATTATGTTAAATGACCAAACCTAAGAATAATCGGTGTTCCTGAGGAAAAAGATAATTCTAAAAGCTTGGAAAACATATTTGGGGGAATAATCGAGGAAAACTTTCCCAGCCTTGCTAGAGAGTTAGACATCCAAATACAAGAAGCACAAAGAACACCTGGGAAATTAATTGCAAATAGATTGTCGCTTAGGCACATTGTCATCAGGTTATCCAAAGTTAAGACGGAGGAAAGAATCTTAAGAGCTGTGAGACAGAAGCACCAGGTAACCTATAAAGGAAAACCTATCAGATTAACAGCAGATTCTCGCAGAAACCCTCCAAGCTAGAAGGGATTGGGGCTCTATCTTCAGCCTTGTCAAACAAAACAATTATCAGCCAACAATGTGAAGGAAAGATACAGTCTTCTTCAGACAAACAAATGCTGAGAGAATTTGTCATTACCAAGCCCTCACTACAAGAACTGCTAATAGGAGCTCTAAATCTTGAAACAAATCCTGGAAACACATCAAAACAGAACTTCTTTAAAGCATAAATCACACAGGACCTATAAAACAAAATTTTGAGTCAAAAAGCAAAAACAAAAAACAAAAGAACCAAAGTACACAGGCCACAAAGAGCACAATGAATGCATGGTACCTCACATTTCAATACTAATATTGAATGTAAATGACCTAAATTCTCCACTTAAAAGACGGAACTGCAGAATGGATAAGAATTCACCAACCATCTGCTGCCTGTAAGAGACTCACCTGACACATAAGGACTTACATAAAGTTAAAGGAATGGGAAAAGGCATTTCACGCAAATGGACACCAAAAGCAAGCAGGGGTAGCTATTCTTATATTAGAGCATCTAGCACTGCCGCTATACTTCAAGAGGCATTATTACCCTAGAAGGAATTATTTATCCCCATGACTTGAGCATAGAGTTCAAAGAACTACCTATGCAAAAGAGACTAGAGATTTTGACCACAGTCCTTTTTGTCTTTAGGGGAGAAGGACAACTTAAGAGGGCTTAAGAGAGGTGTTAGGTATATATTATCACATAAGTGTGAACTTAATCAACTGCCCTGCCAACTTGCATTTACTTAACTAACACTAGTTCTGAATTAAAGACTTTTCTTGGCTGGGCGTGGTAGTTCAGATCTGTAATCCCAGCACTTTCGGGGGCCAAAGTGGGAAGATCGCTTAAGACCAGGAGTTAGAGACCAGCTTGGGCAACAAAGCAAAATCCCATCTCTACAAAAAATATCAGAAAGTTAGCTGGGCATGGTGATATGTGCTTGTAGTCCTAGCTACTCAGAAGGATGAGGCAGAAGTGTGGCTTGAGCCGGAGAGGTGGAGCCTGCAGTGAGCTGTGATAGAGCCACTGCACTCTAGCCTGGGAGACAGAGCAAGACCCTGTCTCTAAAAGGAAAAGAAAAATAAATAAAATACCTCTTTATCTATGAAGACTATGAGTAAATCCAACTGAAAACCTGGTCACATTTTGTTGAGTTTGCTACGTTTTATTTCTCATCAACACCAGTTCCATATCAGATGCTTAAACAGGTAAGTTTCCCTAGCTTGGATATTTCCAGGTAATTTATTCTTAAGCTTCCACTTTATAAAATAGCTTTGGACCATGGCATTATTTCCACATAGACTCATCAAATACAATCTTATTATCTCAGTTTGAAAGCAAGTTTTAAATAGATTGCCAAATAATTGCTGAAGATTTTATTTATTTTTGAGTGAATTCTCTCTTTATAATCTTGTTTTTACTGGCACTTCAGAAATGTCTCCTCTAGGGTCAATAGGTGCAGCAAACCACCATGGCACACATATAACTATGTTACAAACCTTCGTGTTCTGCATATGTATCCATAACTTAAAGCAAAATAATAATTAAAAAGAAATATTTTCTCTAATTTTAAAATCTCAAAAATGGATCTAATAGTAAATTATCTTTTTATCTGATAACCAGTAGTCTGTACTTTGGCCCTTTGATCTAGTGATGTGCAATTTGCCTCAAAGAATATAAGAGAACATCCCTGATTTTTTCAAAAGCTTCTGATAAGGAAGGCCCAATATTGATCAGTAGGTTAAAATTATATCACAAACAACTCTCCTTGGTTTGTGTATTCACTGTTGGCAAAAGACCCGTATTTACAGTAAAGAGATAACAAGACAGTCTCTGTCAGGGGCTTGAGCACTTTATTTTGAAAATAACGCAGGGGCTGCCGACTTGGCAGAACAAAATGTACACCCAGAACAAGCAACAGCTAAGAAAATGCTACTTAGGATAGATTTAATTCTGCAGAAGTAATTGATCGTTTTAAAATGTAAGTTTATTTCTGGTCACAACAGTCTGACTTCTGATAGCAACTAAATGTATTTTAGCAGTACAGCTTTGAAAACAGTGACTTGTTGTGATTGTTTTAAACTTTACAGTGGCACCCCCTTAAAATGAGATTCAAAACACAATTTAACAGTTTTGTCTCAATTTATTATAAGAGTTTCATAATAAAACAGGAATATTTCTAGTTACCAAGAGACCTGCCTTTAAGGTGAGCACCCGTACTAAACAAAAGCCTTATAAATTATGGTTTCTAATTTTTGGCTACAATTATGATGTAGCTACCTTCTTAATAATATGTCTTACTATATATATGCTACTTAAACTCCTAGTGCATGTTATTTAAATAAATAAGCAAATATATTTGAATTGTGACAGTTCTTTCTGAATGTAAAGAGGGAAAATAAGGACAACTTAAGATACACATAATTACAGTACAGTAGAATTGTGTGTAACTGTCTCCAATACACGGCCCTGGCCCTTTAAAAATGAAAAAGCTAAACAGGCAATATGTTTAAATAGAACACACTTTCTATTGATTGATTTTGTATTGTCTGTGCCTTTGATCACCGTTTAAGAGAACATGGCTTCAGGCCAGCCATAGAACACCTAAAGATAAACCTTTAAAGACTCAAGTGATGTTTTGTCAAGGAAAGCAAGCACTTAGCCAAAGGGCATCATAAATAAATTTGATCTTTCTTCAGTGGGTGCCCCTGAACTGGCTGTTAGAAAGTGTCCCTTTAATTCAGCTCAGTCCAAGAAGGAAACTGATTAAACCTGCATCCAGGTAAAGGTGATGAAGCTGAAGAAGAGCTTACAGCTTGGAGACAAGAACAGAAACACTCTATGCTGTTTCAGTCAGCCAGTGGGCAAAAGGCTGTGGGAAAGTTCTTATGCTTGGACATGAAATAATTCAATGGCAGAACTGAGTCGTGTCATTGGGAATTCATATTATCCTTTATATTGAAAGATAAGAAGCTGCAGGCTAAGAGTGGTGCTACCCTTTCTGTACTGCATCCATTTTATCTTGAGAGCTCAAAATTTAGGAACCATTTGGTGCAGTGTGATGCTCCTCAAATGATCTGTGGAGTAGACCAGCTTTTGCCTCAGCATTTTTCCCCCAATTTGTCATGGATCAATACTTTAATGAAATATACTACAAACATATTGCTAAAATATGAAATGAAAAGCAAAGACATTCAATTTATAAGCCTGGAGTTTTTACTATTACATTTAACAGGTATAAAATTACTTTGTCAAGGCATCCAAAATTATCTACAACACTGCCTCCTAATTCCTGGACTCATCTCCTTGTAGAATGGCAAAGGGTCTGTAGACCACACTTGAAGTGTTACTGGTGTTGTGGGTAGGCTTTGGTTTCAGACAGACTTATGTTTAGATCCCTTTTGTCACTTCTTTGTTTAACTTGAGAAAGTCACTTGTTTAAGTAATGATGCATAAGAGACACAGAATCAGCACACATTTCCTACTCTTACTAGTATCATGTACAAGATCCATTCTGTAAATGTGAAAATATTGAGACATCCTGTATTCTTTTCTTCATTGCTGCCACCTGAAATTATCAGCAGAAAACAGATATTCTCTAGGTTTCTTCCATTTCTGTTAAGATATCATTCAGTTCATCACAGGTACTAATAAGGCAGGGACTTGCTAACAATTCAGCCCAAATAAGGTCACAAGTTGGTTTCTGGTTGGGTGATTGGAAAGACAGCCTAACCACAGCTACAGCAGATTGTTTAAATGAGCAGTTCTAGTGACCAGATGATGTCTTGTCTTAGAGTGACCTATGGCTGACCCGAGGGGAGGGTAATGAGCAGTGGAGAACTCAATAAATATTTGTCAAATGAATGTTGGGAGTAACTTTCTGAGTTGACAACAGATTTGCCTTGGGTGAAAACATAGATAATATGTTACTTCCTATCCAATATCATTGTTATGTTATTAGTGCAAGCATATGATCTTCTAGCCACACACTAGCCTACTCACTGAAGAAGCAGTTTTTTAGCTGTGAAGCTTTATCTTCAAATGCACCCTTAAATGGAATCCAACTGTATAAAAAGATGAGAGCACAGTTGTGCTGGTTGAAGCAGGAGGAGTTGAAAGACAGGGCATTGTCTATTTTGCCTTCCTGATTCAAATGCCTAAGACTCAACAGAGCACAACTTGAAACCATTGCACTAAAACACCACTGAATTCCATGGATAGTTCAAATGATGAGTCAAATGAATGGCCAAATTGTTGAAAATAGCCAAGCGTAGTTTCCATCTATAATTGGCAGGTGTTCCCTTAGTTCTCCGTTCTCCATCGAGATATCTCGAAGATGTTGCCACACATTGATCATGCTTCACTGAAGCCCACTACCAACTTACCTGCAAAAGACTAGCTTCTCTCAGGCTTTTTGGTCCCTTCCTTTGTTTCTAAAAATTCTACTCTAATATCTCCTCTGCTATAACCCAGCACACTGTCTTTCTTATTAAAAAACCATTATACACTCAACTCAAGGGCTCTGCTGTATTATCAGAGACTGCAGGTGTAACGGACAAAGAAAGCTTAGACAACTGGTCCACACTCTTTTCTTTCGTAGTCTTCACTCTTGTCTGGTTAGAGCATTCAGTGTGCTTTTTTTTTTTTAATCAAAGATTGCAACTGTGAGTATCAAGGGAATTAAGCATAACATTGATGTAATTGAGCTTGTATCTATTGCTGTGGGGGATAAACTGTCTATATAATTCTATTTCTATAGGTCCTTAACTTTACCACTTCAGATTCAGTAATGAATAGAGGCAGTGTTTATAGTAACCCCATATATTTAGGGATTTGATTGGATTTTCTTTTTTTTTTCTTTCTGAGCTTTTGTCTTTTAGTATGTGACCATAATAGCTGTTGTAATGCAATTACTTTGCTAAATCAACGTAAATGAAATCAAAACACTATCGTTACATAATATTTCAGAACACAGATGACAGCTTCATTGTATGCATTCAGGATGAACTATCTTTTCAAATGAGTAACATCAAGAGAGTCCCTCTATAGGTCAGGTCAGCCACATTCTACAGCTCTTCAAGATAGTAGGCTTTAGTCAATCTCATATTCGTGATTTTCATCCAAACTATTTAATCTTGCTCATTTACAATGGTATGGTTTAGACCTTCCTTTTGGTTTCCTTTCTTAGACCTTATCCTTAATAATTTCTGAACTTGCTAACATATAAACAGTATCGTGTTCACTCTTACAAATAACTCTCTTAGAGTGAATTTATTTATATTTGTCTGGATTATAGAAATCAAATAATAAAACATTAGGCAAATAAAACAAACTATCTTGAAAATATATTTCTTTTCCTTCTATGCAGAATTTGGGAAGATAATTAAAAACAAATTCTATATAGCCTCTGAGGTTTTTAAATATTACATATACCGAACCACTTAATGTTTTCCAAGAAACATTAGTATGCTATATCAACTCTATAAACCCTCTTGAGAATTAACTAATTATTTTGAAAGAAAGTTTGGTCTCAAATTTAAAATAAATATCAAACTGTGAAGGAACAGGATTTTCTGGAACTGTTCTCTGAATAAACCCCAGAATAAATCTATGCATTTCTTATAGGAGTTGAGAGAATTACCTGATGCTAAACCACAAAAGAACACCCATACTGTTAAGCAAGGCCGGAGATTGTTCCACAGCATGTAGGTGCTGAGTGGAAGAAGCTAATGAGAAAAAGAGTGATTGTGACAAGCAATTATGTCACCTATGTGAACAGCTTAATTTTCTAAATTAGCCACTTTGATAATTATGACATCTCATTTGTCTTTTAATTCCATGAGCCCTGAAGTTTACGTTTGATTTTTTCCAATCAGATAAGAGGCTTTGATAAGCCAAGGGTCTATTATGTGTCTGAAAAATTCAGATTTCAGGCTGATTGGCCTTGCTATTGCTTGAGCCAGAGCAAATGGGTCTCTCTACAAGAGCTCTCCAAGCCTTGCTTTCCTCGCTTCTGTTTGCAATAGAGATGGAAGAGAAAGGGGAGGGGGCAGAAGAGGTTGCAAAGCAAATTAATAGTGTCAACAGGACTAAAGAGAAAACTATTCAGCCTCCTCCAGGGAAAAGGCAAACTGTTTTTCAAGTACATTAAAAATCACTTTAGTGGCATCCACTTTACATGCATGCCCCCAAATTACCAAGCTAATTACAAATTATTCTCATCTGCTTATTGAAGCACTTTCAAGATCTTCCAAAGGATACATATTTTTTGTTGTTGTTCTTATATTGACTTGGGAGGTTTTATAAAAAAAGTTGGGGCCTGTATAGCCAGGTATATTAGAAATATAGATTTCATGAAAGGGGAATCCCAGTGACCTCTTCAGACTGGATTTCTGAAGCTGAGTTATATACACAATGAGGAGGAGTCCTGACTTCATCGATTTGCAGAAATTTTGTAACCAACTGCTCTCTCATACTTGAATGTGTGTATGTGTACTTGGCAGGAGGATGCCCAGATATGCCAAACAAGGTGACAAGATATGTGCACATGGTCTTCCAGAGGTAAGGGCCTACATTGGGAGTTCAGATCACAGTGTGGTTCCCAAAACACTTAGGAAAGTCAGGAAAATTGATTTAGCCCATCACATTATGAGGGTGGGTTATCCATAGCTGTGTATAAAAAGATAGGGCTGTGGCTGAAGGAGGCAGCTCTCAGGAATGAAGAGATGGCTTTGCTCTTCATGCACACACATCATACCCGCATACATATATATGCCTATATCCCACCATGGCCTGAATAGACACCATCAATGATTGGGTGACACGGTCTCCTATTTTCAACATAATCCAAAGGCAGTATGTTATCTTGTGTCTTTCTTATACAGAGTTTCCCTTAAGGTTTATTTTAAGTGGATCTTACCTAGAAAAAGATTTTTTTTTTTTTGCATATTCCTGGGCATCTCGTATTTTAGGATTGGTATTAAAGTAATTGATTTGAACCAGTGGTTCCCGAACCTGAGTGATCAGATTTACCCTCTTGAACGTAAAATATTGGGCATCCTAGCAGTGGTCTGGAACCCTTCCTCATCTTTGAGACTGTGCCTAGATATTCTTGGGCTTCTGAAGAACTCTGCCACTGTGACTACTTAGAATATAAGAAATGTCTTGGGGGTTAAATCTCCAATGATGTGTGGCGGGCCTGGAGTTGTTACCAGCAGTAACATCAGAATGAGAAACTCTGCCACAAAAAGAGCCAGGCACTCAGTATTATTTTTTTTAAACTACCTGTTTTCTTCTTCTTCTTCTCCTTCTCCTTCTCCTTCTCCTCCTCCTCCTCCTCCTCCTTCTTCTTCTTCTTCTTCTTTTTCTTCTTCTTCTTTTTTTAATATACTGAAAGTATTTATAAAGGATATTTATAAATAAATTTGTCAAACTTATCATTAGCCTAAATACATCTGTCAAACTTAGCATTAACTTATTTATCATTTTTGTTTTTTTAATGGAATAGGTTCTTAATATATTTTTTATTCAGGTATAATTTACATAAGCAAAATTCACTTTTTAAAAAAAGTGTATAGTTCTGCAAGATTATACAAATGCATACAATTATGTAACCCACACTACCATCAAGAACAGGTCTATCAGCCCAAAAAGTTCTTCCATGCCACTTGTAGCCAGACCCCTGGGCCCCAAACCCCTGACAACAACTGGTCTCTTTTCTTTAGAGTTTTGCTTTTTCCAGAATGCCATCTAAATGAAATCGTATAGAATTTAGTGTTTTGCTTTGACATGCATTTGCGATACATCCTTGTTGTTTTGGGTATCAGTACTTCATTCCTTTCAACTGATGAGTATTATCCCTTGTATGGATGAACCACGGTTTAACCATTTATACACCAAAAGATATTTGAAATGTTTGCAGTATTTGGAGATTACAAATAAAGTCACTATAAGCATTCATGTATTTGAATTGGGATTTATCAGACAGATTGAGCTTCCAGAATCGAGGATTAGTGCTAAACAAATTCACAGGATGATGTTTCACAGAATGAATCATTCCAGCACCTGATCTCCACCTTCTTTGGACACTGGGTCCTCCAGGTCTCCTGGGGAGACTTATTTAACTTCTTGTGCAAAACTTCTGAAAATTCACACTAGAAAAAGTATTGATATCTTTTGTTTTCCCAGAAGTAAATTTTCTAAACACTAATTAATGAAGAAATATACAGTCGTACCTTGGAATCTGAGGAGGACTGGTTCCAGGACCTCTCTTGGATATTAAAATTCACAGATGCTGAAGTCTCTGATATAAAATGGGATAGCATTTTTATATAACCTATGAACATCCTCCCATATACTTTAAATAATCTCTAGGCTACTTATAATACCTAATACAATGTAAATACTATGTAAACAATCATTATACTGTATTGTTTAGGAAATAATGATAAGGAAAAAATGCCTAAACATGTTCAGTATAGATGCAATGGTTTTCTCTGAATATTTTTGATCCTTGATTGGTTGAATCCATGGGTGCAGAGTTCATGGATACAGAGGACTGACTGTATGAGTAAGTCCTATAATCCTTACTTATTGCTTTGACTACATTTTAAAAGAAACATTTCTTAGTTGTTCAGGGTTCCAACACCTTGAACTAGTCTTTCTTTCTTTTCACATCTGGTATATTGTGGAGTATGCTCTTGACATTTAAATGGAGACATTTAGTGATTTATTTGGTTTAGTATATTTTCAATTTCCCAGTAGGATGAAAATCTTACTGTTTCTGAAAATCACAGAAATCATGGCTGAGAGAAAGAGAGAGAGAGAGAGAGAGTAAATGTCTAGAAAGAGTGCTCATGCATGACCTGAGAGCTTTGAAGTCATGTAATACATCTAGCCTTTTAACAGGTGATCCCAACTTTAAGGAATGGCAGTATGAGAAAATCCTAGTTAATAAGGATGCATATCAGGTTCTGGATAGTCAGCTCCAGAATCATTTCTTTCAGAAAGCATTCTCCAGTGGTTTCTGTTTGGAAAACAACTCTCTCATCTTTGTAGTGCTTTTAAAATGTCCCCGTTCCAGCAGCATAGCTATTGCATCAAGCAAGATAAAGCATAGTTTTATTTTTTATGGTAGTTTTATTTTATTGAAGGGTAATGACTACTCATCCTCCATGTATTTGGGGAGTGGGAGCTATGAGGGACTGTGGAAAATAGTGAGGCCTGTTGATTTTTTCATGAGATCATTTTTCCCTTGACATGCAATTTGATGCTTAACAATTTTTCTCAAAGTCAAAAGGAGTACTACGTTCTCTAATTTTCACAGAGCTATAAATAGCCCCTCACAAAGCGTAATTGTATAAAAGAGATGACACTTCTTTATGAAAGAATTTCCACTGGAAAGATAAAAGGAGGTCAAAACTCTTATGTGAGACATGTATTTTCAAGTATTCATAAAAATAGAAATCATCAGCAGTGGGAAAATTCTTCATGATAGACAGTCACATATAAGATACTGGAGCCAAAGCCGTTTTTACAGGCGCCAACTGTAGTTTGAATGGAATCCAGCCAGGAAGCGGCTGCTGGGCATTTAACTAAAGTGCCAATAAAAAGGAGGAGCATGCATGCTAGCACACACACACACACACACTCCGGCTTGTGGAGGTATTTGCCAGAAACATTTTCAGGCTTCTGCCATCTGGGTCCTACAACCAACAGTCAGGTCCTGTGGTAATTCCAGCTGCTGACTCCTGCTCCTAGAGGTAGAATAATGTGGAAAAGATGAAAAGGGGAAAAATCAAAAGAGCATGCGCAGCAGCTGGAAGGATCTGCTAGAGAGCATTTAGATATCATCGAGATCCCAATTAGCTTGTAATGATTCCAATGCCATGAAAACTTTAAGATGTCCACTTGCAAGTGATTAGACATGCACTGGTATTGTTTTTGTTATTTATAAATCACCAGAGATACATAGGACAATTTATAAAACATTAAAAAAGACCAGGACCCTGTCTCACTGGGTTTATGGGCATGCAAAAAAATAAAAAATAAAAAAAAAAAAGGTGGACAGGCTGGGCATGGTGGCTCACGCCTGTAATCCCAGCACTTTGGGAGGCTGAGGCGGGTGGGTCATGAGATGAGGAGATCAAGACCATCCTGGCTAACACGGTGAAACCCCGTCTCTACTAAAAATACAAAAAAAATTAGCCAGGTGTGGTGGCAGGCACCTGTAGTCCCAGCTACTCGGGAGGCGTGAACCCAGGAGGCAGAGTTTGAAGTGAGCAGAGATCGTGCCACTGCACTCCAGCCTGGGCAACAGAGCGAGACTCTGTCTCAAAACAAAAAAGGTGGACAACGTATGAATTATATAAGAAATCACTGGTGGTCATGACACTGAGCCAACTTGTCTTGTGTCCTTCCCGTGTGCCAGGCACTGAGTTAAGACTTTACATAAACTCTCAATTTTAACCCTTACTACACCTTATAAGGAAGGTGTTCTCAGTAGACGCATTTTACGAATGAGTAAACTGATTTTTGAGGAGTTAAGTCGTTTGCTCAATATCCTACAGCTTGTATGAGGTAGTGGCAGGATTTGAAACCAGGTTGTGTCTTATTTTAGAATGAATGTTCTGAACTTCTGCCATACTGCCTGCCCATGGGAGTGTGCTGAGTCATTCCTCCATGAACTAAAAAAAGTTTCAATGGGCCCTGAGGCTCAAGCCTATAATTCCAACACTTTGGGAGTCCGGGGCAGAAGGATCACTTGATCACAGGAGTTCCAGACCAGCCTGGGCAACATAGTGAGATCCTGTCTCTATAAAAAAAAATATGAAAAATTGGCCAGGTGTGGTGGTACACCTCTAATTCAGCTACTCAGGAGGCTGAGATGGGAGGATTGCCCAGGAGGTTAAGGCTGCTGAGAGCTATGATTGCTCCACTGCTCTCCAGCCTGGGCTACAGAGCCTTTTCTGAATTTATAATATGGGCATGCTAGACCAGCAAAGCATAGACACTAGACAATAGTTCTTCTGGCATTTCCCATGCAAATGAGTCTCTTCAAGCCACCCAGTTCCGCATGAGGTTACTGTATTCTATAGCCCTCTATGGGGCACAGAAGTCAGATACCTCCTTTTGATAAAAATGATTACATTGCCCCAGCATCCTTTATCTACAGGGCCACTGCATTGGGTGCTTGGACAAGTTAGTTCTCGCATAGAGAGTAAAGCATCACTGTTTACTTCTTTTTTCATTCTTATGAGGATGAGTGTTGAGGCTGGAATTAAAGCTGAAAGTTGGGATTACTTCCTGGCAGGAAATGTTGTTCTGTCTTCTCTTCAAGTGTCTGTGCCCCTCTGTTGATTACCTCCTGCCACACCCTCGTTATTACACACGACAAAAGGGTGGGGAGGGTTGCAGGGAGAGAAAATAATTTAGGCGGGGTCAGGTTCTTGTTCACCTCATCATTTGGTTCATTTCTTCCATGCTCAGAACTCCCTTTGTCATCAAGGAGAAAGAGAACCCGGGGGAGGAAGGGAAAGATGACTGGGCCTGAAGTAATTTATAACCACAGGCAACTAGATCATTTTATACCTAAATGATGCTTTCTCAAAATCTCATCATTCATACCAGAAGTATTTCTTATGGAGTAATATTTCTGTGCTTATGAAAACATTGTGTACAGTTGAACTTGCTCAATCTGTGAACATTTTGCCTCTTCAAAGAGTTGGGGAAAGGGTATTATGTCATTATAGTGTTAAAACGCGTCAGTGACTTGATCATTTGAAATGCTTTAATAAAAATGAATCCTATTAGCTGATTCTGATTATCTAGCACCAGACTTTATAGGCTTTTAAGACATTTTCCAGTTGTCAGATTTTTTTTTTTCTGTGAGACATTTAAATATTTAGATTCCATTCTTTCTGGGTATTCTAAATATAGGAAAAAGATGTCTCAATAGCAGAAATATTAACAGGATTACTCTGTGGACTGTCTTCCCTAATGTCCTTTTGAAAATCATATTATTGGATTATATATCAGACATCTTTGATTTAAGTCAAGTAGTGGGTAGAGACCCAAGATTCAGTCCCGTTAAGAGGAGGTATTTGTTTAAAAAAAAAATACATTATTATGTCTGGTATGGTTTAGCTGTGTCCCCACCTAAATCTTATCTTGAATTGTAGTTCTCATAATCCCCATGTGTCATGGGAGGGACCCAGTGGGAGGAAAGTGAATCATGGGGGTGGTTATCCTTATGCTGTTCTTGTGATAGTGAGTGAGTTCTCACAAGATCTGATGGCTTTATAAGGGGCTTTCCCCCCTTTGCTCAGCGCTTCTCCTTCCTGCCGCCATGTGACTAAGGATGTATTTGCTTCCCCTCCCACCATGATTGTAAGTTTCCTGAGGCCTCCCCAGCCCAGCAGAACTGAATCAATTAAACCTCTTTTCTTTATATAAATTACCCAGTCTTGGGTATGTCTTTATTAGCAGTGTGAGAATGGACTACTACAATCGCCAATTAGAAAGAGCAAAATATGGCTCACTGAGCTCATCCAAAAACTTCCCCAATAGTAGTAACTACCAATAAAGGCTATTTTGTGTGACAGTAAAGTATACATTTAAATGTGTGCTTCTCATATATTTCTTGGACTCTTCAGCAAAACTCATTTCCATACATGAACAGGTACATTATACATTCCTGTGTGGGTGCGTGTACATGGGCACGCGTGCACATACACACACACAAACACACACACACACACACACTGATTTTTATGATAAAGTAATAGGAATCCTGCAGGTGGAAATAATTTTTATATACCAAGCAGTTACACTTTTCATTGCAAGTTTTTTCTTCTTACCCTGGGACTTTACTCCCATTTTAGCTAGACCAGGAAGAATCCACTTTTTCAGGCGAGGGGGGTCTTACCACAGCAAAGGAGATAGAAAGTGTCTGATGCACCACAAAGAAGACTCTAAGCACAAGTTGGAAGAAGCTCCCCCACAATTCTATGCCCATTCCCAAGTGCATATACAAATTCATGGGATAGAGGAGTGCAGAGAAAGTAAATGAGAGTATTGGACTTGGAGGGACTGAATAGAGAGCAGAGTAAAATCAGTATATAGAACATACCCCCTCCACACCCTCCTAATTGGTACTCCCCTCAAGCCAGGTGGCTCCAAGAGCTTGTGATCAGTGCAGTCACACAGGGTCCTGTGCTTAGAAAGGCCCACACTTAAGATCTAATGCTCTGGGCCTATTGTCTTAAAATTCTCTTTATCTTTGATTTTGTGTTTTGGCAGTGAAGTCTAATAGTACAATGGAGCATGGACTCTGCATGGTCCCACTTCCTGTCACTCCCAACTTTCCATGGATGGGTTCTTGGACACACTCGGGTGCCCTGGCTTCTCCCAACCACCTTCTAGTTTCCCAGAAACTTCTACTACTCTGTACAGCCCACCCCAAGGACCTGGTTGTGAGCATGGGGAGGGTCGGGGTCTGGTTGTGTGTGCCTCAGGGGGTCTCCAGGTGAGGCATGGTGGTGGCTGTACCAAGTTGAAGCTGGCATCACCACGTGTGTTTGGCAGGCACTTTGACTGGGCCAGCCTCTTGAAACCACCTTTGCAAAGATTATGACGGTAAGAGAAATCTAGCATGGCTGACTCAATCTTTCTTCTAGTTTCCCAGGGTGACTGTCCTTGCTTATTCCTGGGCGTTGGCCAAGCTAACCATGGGAGGAATTTAGTTTATAGTTTAACCTTAAAGCAAAGATAATAATAGTCCCTCCCTAAAACTGCCCAACTCTTTATTTGGGTGTTGAAACTGCCTTTGTAAAACTAATGAAAGGCCATGAGATTAAAATTATGTAAGTGGCCCGAATTCTGCTAAAATGTGTAGTGTAGTTTCTGTAATTTCTTACTACTATTGCTGCAAAATGAATTACCACAATTCCATGCCTGAACACAATACATATTTGTTATCTCACAGTTTTTGTGGGTCAGGAGTCTGGACACAGCTTAAATGTGTTCTCTGTACAAGGTCTCACCAGGCTGCAATCAAGGCATTGGCAAAGGTGTGTTCTGATTTGAAGGTTTGCCTAGGGGAAGATCTATTTCAAAGATTCCTCTCATGGTTGGGAGAATTCACCTCCTTGTGATTGGAGGACTGAGTCTTCACAGTTTTTGCTGGCTGTTGGCTGGGGACTGCTCTCAGCAAATAAATGCAGTTCCCTGCCGTGTGACCCTCTTCATGGGCAGTTTCTAACATGACTATCTGCTTGTTTAAGGCTAGAAGAATAATTTCCTCCTTTCATTTGATCACCTTTACCATATTCTACTAGCCGGAAACAAGTCTGAAGTCCAGCCCTTACTCAGAAGGGAACAGATTATGCTAGCATAACAAAAGGAATCAGAGATTACAAGGCCACTTTAAAATTCTGTCAACTACACCCAGATGTGGTTCCTTTTTTCAAAGAGTTTATATTCTAGCTGAGGAAACAAGACCAACACTTTCAAAACATTGAGACGTGGAAGCAAACATTTCCATGGTTTCCTGGAAGGCATCCTCCTGCCTGCCTGCTTTTAACAGTTCTGAGAAGGATTAGCCAAGGAGTGATTGTAAAGCACCGGGCCAATTCTGCAGTCATGTGTGTGTCAATAACTTACTTGTTTGTGCCACCAGAATGATTTGGGTAAATTACCTCCTCTGGTGTACTAGTTTATTCCATTTTTATAACTTAAAGAAAAGAAATGTCTTCCTTCCTCTTTCTTATGCCTAGTCCCAGACAATTCTCTAAGAGGATGCTGAGCATATAGTCTTCTCTGAGTCTGGGTCTGCAGCTTCTCTTCTCTACAGCCATTATTTAGCCTGCAAATAGGAAGAAAGCCTCCACCTTCCCCGTTGATTGCCAAGTGGGACTGGAAGCCAGCTGTCATTAGAGAGAGTTCATCCAGCATTTGGTGGATGCAGGTTTGGAACAGGATCAGAATTCTACTGTCAGGCCAGGTAAGATTATAGCATTCTGGAGATGTAATACAAAGTGCCCAGAAAATGGAGAAAGTTTCTATACAGTAAAGATGGGAGTCAGCTGCAACAAGGAAGAATGGGGTGGGGACACACAAGGAACAAAAAATTCATCTTAAAAGTCTCAGATTTTGCATTAAAATCTAATCTTGGGACCTGTGAAGACTAGACTGAATCCCAGGAGTGTCTATGTTCTTAGGAGGTGGAACAGCCCCACATCCTGAATGGAAAGGACTTTCATAAAGGCAAATCCTGTGGTAGAAAAGCCACTCTACCCAATTACCGCACCACAATAATAACAATGTATTTTAAATTGCAGAATGTATGCTGATCAATTTCATAGAGTATTCTGAAACTCCTTTAAATCAGAGAAGTATTGTTTATACCAAAATCGGAACATCACTTACTTTTCCAGAGCACCTTCAATTTCTGCTGTTAAAGTGACTTGTCCAAGATTCACTCCATAATTGGTAACTTGTAGACAGGGACTTGGGATATTTTATAGAAAATTTATTTTAAAATACATGTTGTAACTGTAATTTACCTTCTTCCATGGTAAAGAATGGTAGGCAGACTCTGAACTAATGCCCAGTGGAAAAGGATGCTAGGCATTAGGAAGACAATACTGTAGCATAAAATGCGTTTAGGCAGATTTCTCTGTCTTGCATTACCCACAGAAAAACCAGCACAATGACACTAATACAGAACCCTCTGTGTATTAGTCGGTTCCCACACTGCTATAAAGAAATATCTGAGACTGGGTAATTTATAAAGAAAAGAGGTTTAATTCACTCACAGTTCTGGAGGCTCTACAGGAAGCATAGCTCCTTCTGCTTCTGGGGAGGCCTCAAAAAGCTTCCAATCATGGTGGAAGGCAAAAGGGGAGTGAGACACATGGCCAGAGTAGGAGGAAGAGAGAGAAGGGGGAGGTGCTATACACTTTTAAATGACCAGATCTCATGAGAACTCTATCACAGTACAGTACCAAGGGGGGATGGTACTAAACCATTCATGAGAACTGCACTCCCATGATCCAATCACCTCCCATCAGGCCCACTCCAACACGAGAGATTACATTTTGACGTTAGATTTGGTGGGGACACAGATCCAAACCATATCATTCCACTCCTGGCTCCTCCAAATCTCATGTCCCTCTCACATTGCAAAATATAATAATCTCTTCCCAATAGTTCTCCAAAGTCTTAACTCCTTCCAGCATACTCAAAAGTCCAAAGTCCCAAGTCTTATCTGAGACAAGGCTAATAGTCCCTTCCACCTATGAGCCTGTAAAATAAAAAACAAGTTAGTTACTTTTTAAATACAAGGGGGGTACAGGCATTGGGTAAACACTCCTGTTCTAAAAGGGAGACATCAGCCAAAAGAAAGGGGCTACAGGCCCCATGCAAGTTTGAAACCCCAGCAGGGCAGCCATTAAATCTTAAAGTTCCAAAATAATCTCCTTTAACTCCATGTCTCACGTCCAGGGCACACTAGGGCAAGGGGTAAAATCCCAAAGCCTTGAGAATTCTTTATCTTATACCATGCACATTTTGGGCCAAATCTTTATTCAGCAGCTCTCTGGTGAACTTTTCTTCTACCACAGATTAGACCTTATTCCTTATTTTCACTAATTTAATAATTATTTAAGTACTCCCTCTAGGCAAAACACTATGCTAACGTAACAGAAAAAGCAATAAATGATAAACACAGATGAGCCGCCCCATCTTGCAACTTACATTCTAGACGACACAACTTTCTGCTTAGAAGTCATCTTTCTTTCAAGTCTTGTGTGATAAAATGTTTAAAAGAAGTTGTCTGCTCATATTTCAGTCATAAACACACAGTTTTTCATTCAAGAATTTGTGTGATGATTTTTCCTATGGTCAATTACCAAGTCTAAACACTTACTGATCTTGTTTTGTTCCAGTGTGATTTTCCTTATCAGTCCTCCACTCTCTCTTTGGGGGCCTGAGTCAAGCATGATATTCTTTTTATTTGTGTTTTCATTACATTGTTATCCTCTTAATATATACCTCTTTGATTGCTATCAACTATAAAAAGTGTTCTTGGCTAAATACAATAGAAGTATTTCTGAAAGATTGCATGCAAATTGGATTTTTGTAAATTTTAGACTATGATTTCAGAAGTGTAGTACAAAAGAATGTACATTGCTTCAAGAAATGGTCAAATAATTTCTGATGCCTACTTGCAGTTATTAAATGGATATGCCTGCCTCTTTTCATTTTGTATGGAACATACAGGGTAGGATCAATAAAGCAGACTTAGAAAAAAAATCCACTGTCCAATGAAGGTAATACTTTACTTCAATATTGAACACATTTTTCTGGAAACCCTACCTGCATTTCAAACTTAGGATTCTGAATTAGAGTTAGTCCTTTCTTTGACTGTGGTTGATTCAATTATTTCACTCTGAAGAAACAGGCTTGGAGCATGTTCTCTACCATCTAAATTTTGCTGTCAGGTTATTCTGACAGTTTGGGATTATCATCTAAAATATTTAATCCATTTCTGTCCTTTTCTTACACCTTGCAAGTGTTTCAAATTTCTCTCTTCCACACAAGTCAATATAGTTCCAAATGTAAATCCTGCTGAAAAATTCAAATAGGAGAGGGATATAGGTGTAGAATGGAACTAGCTTATGTTGAATATCTTTGTGTCAAGTCCAAAACCAGGTACTCCATATGCATACATTAGTTCTCATTTCATCATACACCAATGCTAGGAAGAATATTAATGTATTCATTTTACAGTTGAGGAAACTGTACTGTGGTTTTGAGACATTAAGTAACTTGCCTAAGGGCACATTATTAATAGGTGTAGTGTGGTCCAGGGGAAAGAGTAGGATTGTGGGAATCAATCAAACACTGGATTTGAAAACCTGCATGACACAGGAAAAGATATTTCAAGTCCCTAAGCCTCAGCCTTTTTTCTACAAAATAGGGCTCCTTCCAGATTCATTGTGAAGATAAAAATAATGTATGTACAATGTCTAGCAAATGATAGGTGCTCAATAAATTATAGCAATGGTTTTATACAAAACCCACCAATTCCAAATTCACATCCAGTGTTCCTCCCAGTACCTCACCCATTTAAAATGGTGATTTAGCTATGGAAACCAAGAACACAGAATAATCCCTCACACAATGTTATTCTTGGGAAAGTTTTGGAAAAACTAGGGCATCTTCTTGATTTCCCTAACATCAGTCAGCAAAAAATGTCAGCAAGAAAGCAGACTGTACAAGCTGTCCTGGCTCTAACATGAGCTGCATGACCTTGGGTGAGTCATCTAATTCTCTGAGTGTCAGTTTCCTTTTGCCCTAAAATGGCAAAGTCAGAAGAGATGACCTCTAAGGTGCCCTCTGGCTCTGTGATTCTCATTTGACCAGGACCTGGGGAACATATTCTGAGTTTTCTTTGTGTGACTCCTTTCTTTAATAAGTCTGTCAGGCAGAAACTAAACCTAGAGAAGTGAACGATCAGTTGATCATTTAAAAGCCCATTTCCTCATTCTCTGTTCCAGTTTATCAGGGATCTTGTCATTGAACCACACAACATGTAGGCTAGAGCCAGAAAAAGTACCTACAATAGAGCTGCTTTCAGCCAAGATGGGTTGAAAAGTACCAGAGAAGTTGATGATGAGAGATAACTGCTGGTCTGCATGTATCGTCGACCATGTAACTCTCCTTGTCAAATTAAAAATTGAAAAGGCCCTTTGAACAACAAGAACAGCTTTTCTGTAGCTTCGGTATCTGCCATCAGGAAACAAAATTAACCATCTGAAGGCCATTCAATAAGGAATCACCTTCTGTTGCATTTTGTCAGGTTGCAATGGACAAGATATTTCAGCATCAGCCGGTGTCTAAAACCCACATGGCCCAGTGCTCTCTTCAAAGGGATACTACAGTGGCTATGTACTACACCTGAAAGCTAAATGTATAATTTATTAAAATTATCTTGACTCCTGATTCTTTTGGTTTATGTGTTTTCAATCTATATCTTTAAAAAAATATGATTCAAAAACTCTACTCAATAAATATCAACCAAGTGTCTGCTGTTTTCCAGTGTCTAAGATAGGTATTAAAAGGATGGAGCAAAGAAAATGGCATTTAAAATAAATAAAACATGGTATCTGCTTTAAAGAAGCTAAGAGTTTAAAAATTGCCTTAGCTACAAAGTAGTTTTGAGCCCTAAGAGTTGAAAATGAGAACCTAGCTAAACTTTTTTTTAAAGGATTGAAATAATTTTTCCTGTAGATGGAGAAAGCTCAGCCCATTGGGAGGTATGTTGAGGGGGTGTGACGGAAGAAAAGCAGCTGGTCCTCATTCTCTGTCCCTGTATCTGTCAGGATTATTGGTTCTTCTCATATTTCTTTGAGTTTTGCGATCCTAACCAGAGCATGGAGCAGGGAAGGGACTATACGTGTTAGACAAAGTTGGCAGTTAGTAATGTTGCCTTTTGCCCCATTCTGATTTATATGTATGAGAATAAATAAAAGGTTAAGAAAGACTTGCTCAGCCACCAAGTAGCTCGCAATATGGCTTTTGCCATAATCAAGATTCGGGCGAAGGGAGAGGCAAGCATGAGAGGTGAGAAATCATTTATCTGTCTTTAGTTACCCTCTCAGTCATGAGGTGAGAATTAGGCTATGACATTTTATGACCTGATTTGATGACTAAAATTTAATTTAAAGGCTAGTATCTGAACATTGACTTGAAGATTCCACTCCAAGTATGTTATCTTACTGATTCATATAGTTTATAATCAGAAACTCTGATTAAATTTTAGATATGTTTTCTTTATACATTATTGATATACTTACTAACAAATCATTCACAGGAAGCATATTTTACTTATCCATATTACACGCAATGAAGAGAATGGATTCTGGACTATACTGAATATATAACTGCTAAGCTTTTAATATTACTCTTCAGGTCTGAAAAAATCAGAACTGTATAATGATCTGCATTTTGAACTTCCTGAAGACAGTATTGTAATTTTTTCTCCGTGAAATGCAGTGAAGAAATATGAAACCGTCAATGAGTTTTCACAGGGAAAATAATTGTTCATCATCATCCTGCTACTCCCTTCCGGCTATCCCCACTAACTGCATCCTGATTTAGGATGCAATGGCCTCTGCAATCACTTCCTGTCTTGCTCATTCTTTGTTTCTCTCTTAATTTTTTACTCTTTCTTTCAGTCTTGCTCTGTCACCCAGGATGGAGTGCAGTGGTGCGATCTCAGCTCATTGCAGCCTTCACCTCCCAGGTTCAAGTGAGTCACCTGCCTCAGCCTCCTGAGTAGCTGGGATTACAGGGGTCCACCACCATCCCCAGGTAATTTTTGTATTTTTAGTAGAGACAAGATTTCACCATGTTGGCCAGGTGGGTCTCGAACTCCTGAGCTCAAGTGATCTGCCTGCCTCAGCCTCCCAAAGTGCTGGGATTTCAGGTGTGAGCCACTGCACTTGACACCTCTCTTCTCTTTTCTAATCCCTCCCTCCCACACCTGCTAGATTAATAGTCAAAATTCCACATTCTTCGTAACATTTACCTGTGCAGTCTTCAATGTCTCTCCAGTGCTTGCAAGACACAATTGGAAATACCTGAATTTCATACTCAAAGCTAAACTGACTGGCTCTGGTATAGAAGCTCAGCCTTTCTGTGGTCCAGAAAAGCTGGACATTCACTATGGTGCCTTCCTGGACACTGTTCTTTCCTGCCAGACTTCTCCTTCTCTCATTTGTCATTCTTTATATCCTACGCATTCTTCAAGGTCTTCTTACAACTCCTGCCTTGATCACTCTAGCCAGCAGATGTCTTAGGCATGCATTCCACAACAGTCATGTAACAAGCCATCCTCTCCTGCCTTCTCATTTCTATTCAGTCTTACCTGACTTATGTCTTGCTTCTGACGCAATTGGAATTTAGAGACCATAAGTTATACCCTTTTCTAATCTCCAAAGCGTAGAGCAAAAAAGAGGCTTTGTCAAGACTGTGGTGTTTAATTTTTTTATCTTGATTAATTTTTTTAAAGCAACCAGTTGCTCCATTGTTATGAAAAACAAACGAACCATACAAATATAGAAGTCAAATAGAGGAGTAATAGTTACAGTCCTCAGAAGGTCAAAGTGAACTGTTTTTCACAATGCCAGTAATTGACTGAACATACTTGGCCAGTTATTTAACCCATCAAGCAGGTGTTGGCAAAGTTTACATGTTACTTGTCCCTGTTGGGGACACAGCGAAATGAAAGTGATTTCACTTGTGTTACCACTTTTCTTGATAATACCAATTTCCAGCAGAGTCTCCAAAGGAGACTCGTTCAGTTGGAGGGAAATGAGAAAAATTCAGTGAGCTAATCCACATGAATTAGTATGAATGGAAACTGCAAACTCCCTTAACAAAATAACATTGAGAATTCCAGAGCTGGCAATGGAGGGGGAAAAAAAATCACCAAGTAGGGAGGAGCCTCTATACTCTGAGTTCCTGAAACTCAAAGATTCTCCATTCCCTTGGGAAATTTCTTTAATGATTATTGCCTCCAGCAACAGAATGGCCTCAGGAAAATAGCTCTGCCTTTAAAGCCTCAACTCAAGCATAGATAAAACACTCTCTCCTCAATTAATCGTAACATTTTCTGGAAAGTTGAAGGATAAATCTCCATATGGGCAGAAAACCTAATCCATACCTGTGAATTCATGAATTCTTCAGAAGTTCTTCTCTTGTTGGGTGGCCATTTCTGGTCCTACCACATTTGAAAAGGAATATGCCAGCTTTCTTATGCTAGCTGTCCAGAATTGCTGAGAAGTGTCCAGAGATAAAAACATCATGAAGGACAGCTGGGGTGGCTCCTCCTGGCATGCAGGGAGGTTGGCTCCTCACCTCTGGAATAAGAATTAACTTTAAGATGATGCATCAGGATGAACATCTCAACTCATAGTCTTACAAAGGAGAAGGGGCTGGACTTGTTCTCATTCTTCCCACATAGAGTTCTTCATATTCATCTTCAAACTTTGCCGTATCTTTTCCCTAACAAAGTAGACTACAAAGTTTGGATTAGAAGGAGACAAGAATGTGATTTTCCTAAAAGAAAGTCCTAGCTTCTGTACCTTCTTGTTTGAGTAAGTTATAATAGGACTGAAAAAGGAGGAAAATGCATCCTAAGAGAAAGATTTCAAAAAATAGAGGTATATATACACTTGTTCACATCTGTCTGATTAGTATCTACCTAATTTCTAGACCTAATGCATAAATATTTTCCTTATAATATATACTGATGTGCAATAAATGTGTTATTAAGCACTGGTGCCTATGACAATACTTGGCAATGTAGGTGCTCAATAGTTGTTTGTTGAATAAATGAGAGTGTTGGAAACTAGTGATGCAGAATCAAAGATCATAATAATCGTTACCATTTGGGGACTTAGTACATGTCATTGAGAATCTATTATCTATAATCCTCACAAGAATAGAGACAACAAGTTTATTACTCCTATTTTTGCAGGTGGGAAAATAGGTTTATTGAGGCTAAGTAATTTGCTTAAGGTCACCCAGCTAATGAGTGGTGAAGACAATGTTTGATATTAGCGTTCTTACTGAAAAATGTGCCCTTTTTTCCTACCCACTACACCAATGCTGTAAGGGGGAAAATAGCAACTCCAGTAAGAAAATGAAGACTCTTTCCTCTGACAAATTTCTGCTATCCATTGATCCTCACCGGGTCTACTCTTACCCTACTCCTTTCCAAGATATTGCTACTGTCAGAGTACAGAGTACATTAAGAGAGTCTCAGAGCTTATTTGCCCATGACTTTGGACAGCCTCCAAGAGTCTTCTAGATTCAAAGGGTCTCACAGCTAAAAACTCTAGATCCAGAAGTATTTGGATATTGGTGTTAAAGCTGCTCAGGG
Organism: Homo sapiens; assembly: GCF_000001405.40. Classification (NCBI taxonomy): domain Eukaryota; kingdom Metazoa; phylum Chordata; class Mammalia; order Primates; family Hominidae; genus Homo; species Homo sapiens. The sequence continues at coordinate 21,095,034 of NC_000007.14, read as the reverse complement.
CCTAAATGGAGCATGCAGGGAAGTGTTCTATTTAAGAGTGCAGGTCTTAGGCTTGTAACAGTTAGGATGCTTTTGGCCTCAAGTAACAGAAAAACAATATGGAAATTTTCTCAAAAGACAGGAAGTTCAAAGGTCAAGTAGGTTCCAGGCACAGTACAATCAGCTGCCCAATGATAACTACCAAGGACCTAGTTCTTTTCATCTCCCCTTCTGCAGTTGTCAGGCTTTGTACTAAGCTGATTTACCTTGTAGGTGATGCAAGAGGACTGCCAGGGCTGGATGTTTCTATGACCTCATGCAGTGAGAGAGAGAAGGAGAGTGAAAGAGAGAGAAAGAAAGAAAAATGGGAAAGGAACCTTGGGATATAATAGGACATAACTTATTTTCTTTAATCTAATGAGGGTAACAAGTCACATGTTTACTACTAGCTTAATAAGGATTGCCAAGGGAAAATCGTGCACTAATTTGGAGTAGATATCTGGGGAAATGGGGGAAGGGTGGTATTGCTAGGAAGATAGGGGAGCATGGACTCTGGCTGGGTGAAATTAAGGTGCCACTGTTAGGAGTGGCTCAAATGATAAAAACTAGGTAGATGCTAATGGCCCCATGGTCTGTGACCTTGAGGCCGATCATCCCAGCCCAACATGCAACTGCAATTTGGGGAAAGTGTGTAACATACATATATACATACTTCAGCTTTTTAAAGAATGAGTCATAATATGTTTTAGGCATTCAATTGATAAAACTTTGATAAATAGGATGTTATCAGAGATTTACATAGAAAAAATAGCTCTTATGCAAATAACTAACATTTGGGAACATAATGCTATTCACTTTGAATAGTTTAGATAACTTTCATAAAATGATCACTTTTTGGTTGCTGTTCTATGTAAATTTCTGACAACATCCCATTTAACATGCCTATACATTCTCTGTTTTTATTATTACTATTTTTTTTGAGACGGAGTTTTGCTCTTGTTGCCCAGGCTGGAGTGCAATGGTGCAATCTCCTGCTCACCACAACCTCCGCCTCCCGGGTGCAAGTGATTCTCCTGCCTCAGCCTCCCGAGTAGCCGGGATTACAGGCATGTGCCACCACACCTGGCTAATTTTGAATTTTAGTAGAGATGGGGTTTCTCCTTGTTGGTCAGGGTGGTCTTGAACTCCCAACCTCAGGTGATCCGCCAACCTCAGCCTCCCAAAGTGCTGGGATTACAGGCGTGAGCCACCACACCCAGCCCAACCTGTACATTCTCATTAGGAGACAGCCCAATGTTATGGTTAAGAGTGTGTACTTGCGGGGTAGGTGGCCTGGGCTGAATTCCCTATCCTGCCACAACAGCTAAATGATCTTGGGCAAGTCACTTAACTCTCCATGACTTGGCTTCTCATCTATATGTATAAAATGGTGATGTTAAGAAGAGCAATGATAAGGTCACTCAGAGACCTAAATGAGTTAATAAATGTGAAATGCTTAGAACAATGACTGGCCCAGTTTTATGATAGGTAAAATAAACATCCCAGTGTTTACAAAGAAATAGTCTACCCTGAATGTATTCATGTACTGTGTTGTTCTCACATCTTTCCCAGTATGTCCCTGGCCCGTGACAGCTTTTTCCGTTCAGCTTTCAAGGTGGTCCTCTTCCTCTCCAGACCTAGATTTTTCTCTCTTTGTCCCCTGCTTAAATCAATGGTCCCAAATCTGCTATCATCTGACTTCATAGGTCAGCCTTTCTTATTTCATAGAAAACAAAATGGAAGATCAGAATTGCCAGCTGTCTGGTGTTTAACGGGGAATTTCCCCCACCCCACACCATTTTTTTTATAGTTCACCTATCATACTCATGTGCAATTGAATGCCTCTCCCATACACTATACTTGCCAACTCTATCTCCAGTAATTATTCTGTTTTAGTCCGCTGCAACGTACCTGCCAACAATCTGAAATGTGCAGGTGGTGGCTGCGCACGCTGTCTGCTTTGCTCTCTCTATTTGCATGCATCTTGTGGTGGCAACCTGATGTGATGGCTCTGACACAGCTTACAATGAAGACAATGACAGGGGCCAGGGCTGCACAAGTGCCTCCTCTATTTACCATCAAGACGATGATTTTTCTTTTTTTTTTTTTTTTGCATTCTCTTTTTCTTCTTTTCTTCTGGAGAAGACAAGGTAAGGAAGGGCCTGCACTATGCTTTAGGCTGGTATAAAATACCTGCAAAATATATGAAGATAAACTACCCTCAGTGCTTCAAGAGGAATATATCTCCTCGTCTCTCCTTCCCTCTTTCTCATCCACATCTCATCAACCCTGAGCAATTAAATGTATCACAATTTGTTGGTGACTCCTTTTGACTCAGGAGAGCACATTTTTTCTCTTGACTTTTGTCAACAAAGATATCTTTAAAAAAATGTATTCTGTATTCCTTTAGGGACTGTGACAGATAACAGCTAAAAACGATGGTTTTTGCTCTAACACGCCATTGTTGCTCATTGATTCCTTTCTCTTTATTTTCTCCAAAAAAAAAAAAAAAAAAAAACTTTGGGGCTGGAATTTTCTAAGATTGGACTGAACTTAACCATTATCTAAAAAAAATTCATTATCTCAAAATTGGTGAGCTACATTCTTTCAATTATTTTTGAATTATGGAAAAAATACAGTTTTTTCACTCTGACAATGGACTCCAGCTATTTGCTGATGTGACTTGAAAATAGTGATCTGTTTCAATCTGACTAGACTGATCCTTCGTGAAGAGTGAAAGGGAATCCAAATTTGAAGTAGTGTGTTTGGAGCCCTTAACATTGTGAATTTCTGAAATTACAAGCCTGAGTGTGCAATTATTACATTTTTGTCTCAATCTTTTTTAAAGTGCTTCTGTTAAAACTCATTTTGAAGCAGCCCCGATAAAGTATTAGTGACAAAAATGCAAAAAGCCTCAGATGTTTTCAGAATTTGCCATCTGAGTAAAAGTGTAGATCAAAAGCCTCTGTCCATTTTCAGAGCTGTGTCCTTGACCACAATTCTCTTCTCTTACACCCACTCTTCTCTCCAGTTGCTTCTGATCCTTTTTCTCCAGGCTTTCCCATGTTCCCTTCAAAATGCTAGCCTCCTTGGCTATTTTTTCCTACCATTATTATTATTTTTTCGAGGGCATAATACAAAGACATATGGGCAGTACTGGTCTACACTGGGAGGCTAAAACCCTGTGTCCACTCTTTTTCTCTCCCAGGTGCTCCCTCTCAGATCAACTTAAGAACCTATTAGATATCTCAGCACTCAAGAAGTCACATGGCTTCTAACATTAACAAAATTCTATAAGGGTTGCTTATTTTAGGTGTCTTGTGTGCAATAATCAAAGAATATAGTTGGGAAAGAAATTTGGGGTTCATACTACCTTGGGCTTTGGCAATCAAGGGCTAAGTTAAAAACACCCACAACTCAGGAGAAGCTTACTTGTAAGGAGGAGGCTCATAAAAATATCATTGTGACCCACATGGTAAATGCAAAGAAAGAAATGCATGCTGGATGCACAGAGAACTCCAGAGGGGTCTCTGAAGCCAGGCTTCACGTTTGGAGGGTGGGGCCTATGGAAGGTGAAAGAGCTGCTTTATTGTGGGCTATATGACCACTGAGGACACCCAGCCTCTGATGGCAGAAGCACAGCTGGAATCCAGGCGTTCAACCCCCTTTTCTGAGTGCCTGGCACTTCTCTACTCTTCCTTTGACATCAGGTACATAAATCAACAGCATGATTTTTTCCCCCACTTTTTTCCTTTGCTTTTGGACATGTTTCCCCTCTGGCCACCACTTAAAAACTTGGGAATCAAACTCCAAATCCATCCTAGCCCAAACTGGATAGTCAGAGTGCATGCCCAATAACTAAAAGCTAAATACTACATTTCCTGGGGTAGCACTCACTGGGTTATGCTCCTTATTTTGATTTGGAGATGATCGTTTCTTTTTTTTTTTATACTTTAAGTTCTAGGGTACATGTGCACAACGTGCAGGTTAGTTGCATATGTATACATGTGCCATGTTGGTGTGCTGCACCCACTAACTTGTCATCTAGCATTAGGTATTTCTCCTAATGCTATCCCTTCCCCCTCCCCCAACCCCACAACAGGCCCCAGTGTGTGATGTTCCCCTTCCTGTGTCCATGTGTTCTCATTGTTCAATTCCCACCTATGAGTGAGAACATGCAGTGCTTGGTTTTTTGTCCTTGCGATAATTTGCTGACAATAATGGTTTCCACCTTCAACCATGTCCCTACAAAGGACATGAACTCATCATTTTTTATGGCTGCATAGTATTCCATGGTGTATATGTGCCACATTTTCTTAATCCAGTCTATCATTGACGGACATTTGGGTTGGTTCCAAGTCTTTGCTATTGTGAATAGTGCTGCAATAAATATACGTGTGCATGTGTCTTTATAGCAGCATGATTTATAATCCTTTGGGTATATACCCAGTAACGGGATGGCTGGGTCAAATGGTATTTCTCGTTCTAGATCCCTGAGGAATCGCCACACTGTCTTCCACAATGGTTGAACTAGTTTACAGTCCCACCAACAGTGTAAAAGTGTTCCTATTTCTCCACATCCTCTCCAGCACCTGTTGTTTCCTGACTTTTTAATGATCACCATTCTAACTGGTGTGAGATGGTATCTCATTGTGGTTTTGATTTGCATTTCTCTGATGGCCAGTGATGATGAGCATTTTTTCATGTGTCTTTTGGCTGCATAAATGTCTTCTTTTGAGACATGTCTGTTCATATCCTTCGCCCACTTGGAGATGATTGTTTCTAACTGCAGTAATTACAAAAGAAAGAAAATAAATAAGAATACAGTTGTCTAGCTCATCTTTTGTTTCTAAATGTCATAATAAATATATGTCTGGAATTATTTTTATTTTGTTGATTTATTTATTTGTATTCAGATTCAATTCTAAAAGACTTTGAGGTGAGATATAGAAATCCACACAATGCAGTAAGATTAAATAGATAATGCAATCATAACCAAGAGAAGAATAGGGCATAATAAGATCCAAGGGTACACATTTAAAATATAGATGCACTGAAAATATGTTGTAACTACAACAGCCCAGGCAAAGAAAAAGGAGGTTAAGATGCAAGTCTGTCTTTTTCAGGCATAGTTCAGCAGGTGCAGTCAGAGTAGCAATCCCGCCTTAGAGGTCAGCAGCTGTGGCCTTGCCTGTTTCAGCCCCAGAATGTCCGTTTACCACAGCTTCTGAAATGGCAGGTTGATTCCCATGCACTGGTTGTTTTGAAATTGAAATTTGCTTTCGATTTTCAAAAAAAAAACGTTTTTCCATACTGAAATTTGCAGTTTTTTAATTATAAAAACTACTGTTTTTTTTAAAGCAATAGAAAATAATATTTTAAAAATATACTTACCACATGTAAGTTAAAATGATCATACTGAATACATATTTACAGTATCCTACAGATATGGTGGATTTGATCCTTATAGTAGTACCATTGCTTTAATAATTACACAATTATGAAATAAAGATTTTGCTGTTAATCATTTACTTATTTAGCTGGTTTGCTATTTGGTGGCAGCAGAGGCATGAAATGTGCAGTGTCACTTACACAACATTGGCTGTAACTAAAATTCAAATACCGGAGCATCTGACTTCCAATTCTTATTACAAAAATGATCTCAGCTCCTATTCATTTATTCTTCACTTTCATGATGTCCCAACCACATGCTGGGCACTGTGCTAAGTGCTAGTAATGCAGAGAGGAAAAAGGCATTGTTTTTCACCTTGAGAGGTGGTGGAGACCTGTGTTCGAATTTGTGCATCAGGATGCATTCACAAAGAGGATTAGAAGAGAGCAGGGCTGAGTGAGAATATTGCAATAATCCATGTAAAGAATGAAGAAATGTGGTGGCCGTTGAGACAGAGAGGCAAGAATCTATGAAAATGATGTAGCCAGGAGATGAAATCCATAGGATTTAATAATTGAATGGGATGATGGGCTAAGTGATGAACAAGAAGAAGTCTAGGGTAATTCCCAGGTTTCAATACCTAATGTCTAAATGAATGATCATGCCATTTTGCTGACTTAAGGAATAGGAAATAATTTTTTAATTAAAAAAATTTTCCCATCTTCACACTGAAAGTTAAGAATTTTGGAAGCCAGTGGAACTTCCAGTGGGACTTTCTAGTGGGCTGTTGGACACAAACATTGGAGCAAGAAATAAACATTTGAGGATCACTCAAATGTTTGAGGGAAGAAGACAAGTGAATGGATTGCTTGACCAGGATGTGTGTCTCTGATAGATTAGCTCCTATGACAGCACAATTAAGGGATAAGGTGAGAAAACAAGGAGTAGAAGTTGTCGGAGTGTTAGGAAGAGATCCAAGGAAAAGCAACTTTGCAGAAACAGAGAATGACAAGCAGTGTCAATTGCTTTTATTGAGATGACAAACTATGGACTAAAACTGCATTGGAACCAGTGGTTGGGAGGCCATTGGTGTCTTTAACAAGGGCAATTATAGTGGAATCATAGATATCAAATGTCTCTAAGAAGACAAGATGAGATGGAATAGAATCCAGGTTACAAATAATATCAGCATTGCTTTATTGCTCAAGCTCCCAAATATGAAGTCCTCTCTACTTATTTGCTTACCCAGATATGTTCTGCCCCTCCAACCCTTCCTCTGCTAATCCAGGAAATCAACTCCTACATAATCTATCTCCTTAATATTTTTCCTATGTGTCCCCTTCTTTCTCTCTCTCTCTCTCTCTCTCTCTCTCTCCACAGCCACTGTCTCATCACAGACCCTCATCCTTTTACCCCAGGTTACTACAAAAACCAATTTTTAATTTTTTTCCAAAATGAAAATAGCCTTATTGTTTAATCTGATTATAAAAGTATCACATGCTCATTATTTAAAAAGTAGTCAACAATACAAAATAGAAAAAGTAGAAATCATCCATTACCCCAACACTTGGAAATAAGTATGATATGGTCTGGCTCTGTGTTCTTCCCCAAATCTCATCTTGAATGGTAATCCCATGTGCTGGGGGAGGGACCTCATGGGAGGTGTTTGGATAATGGGGGCGGTTCCCCCATGCTGTTCTCATGATAGTAGGTGAGTTCTCATAAGATCTGATGGTTTTATAAGAGGCTCTTCCCTGTTTGCTCTGCACTTTTCTCTTCTGCTGCCTTATGAAGAAAGATGTGTTGCTTTCCTTTCCACCATGATGGTAAGTTTCTTGAGGCCTCCCTAGCAATGTGGAACTGTTGAGTCAATGAAACCTTTTTCCGTTATAAATTACCCAGTCTTGGGCTGTTCTTCATAGCCGTGTGAGAGTGGACTAATGCAAAGCACTTTTAACACTTTAGTGCATATCATGCCAAACTACAGAAGTAGTATCTTGTAATTTCCACTATTCACTTAACATACTGTTAATGTCTTTTCATGTTGTGGAATGATCAATCAATACAGCCATTTCATGAATCACTATAGGGTAGTGGTTAAGAGAATGAAGTCTGGAACCAGACAGCATGGCTCTGAATCCAGCTCTGCTATTTACCACCACTGTGACTTTACACAGGTTACGTAAACTATGTCTCCCGCAGCTCTTTATTTGTAAATTGGAAAGACCAATAGCACCAACTATTGTAATAAGAACTAATTTAGTTTCTATATGAAAAGTACTTAGAATAGCACCCTACACTTAGAAATACTACATAACTATTAGTTATAAAATACATAGTATTCCATGGCTTATGATATGTACCTTGGGTTTATTTCAACACTCTTATTGTTACATAAAATATAACAGGTCTTGATCTCCATTCTCATCTCTATCTAATCTATTTTCACAATTATTACCTAGAAGTTAGGTGTTTCTGTAACAAAATTCTGAAATGTGGAGCACTGGTTTTAGAACTGGGTGGCAGTCAGAACCTGGAGAGAATTGAGGAAGCTGTTACTAAAAGCTGTAGAGGCCTCAAGAAAACCATTAGTGAAGGCTGGAAAGACAGTGAGGAAAATAGTGTTAGAGGCTGAATTTCTGTTATGCAGTGGTGGAAGGTTTGGCTACCTGCCACCTGTGGTCACATGAAAAATAGAAAGAATGCCTAATGCCTAATGTGTTTATGCACCTGGTTGGGCAGATTTCCAAGCAAGATATAGAAAGTTCCAACTGGCTTCTTTTCACCCCCTATAATAAAATATGAGAAGGTAAAAATGAACTATCAAAGGAACTAGCAGAAGTTAGAGGAAATGTAGTAAGCCCAAGATAGTTTCTTGAGGCAGCAAAAGATTCTCAAAGTAAGAAATGGCCTTAAGGCAAGGATTGAATCTAGGGCAGTAAAATGTTGTTTCAGGGTAAAGTTGAAGTCAAGCATGAGATTATGAAACTTTGTAAAGACCTTAGAAAGATAAGATTTCTAGACACTTTTCTCTAGACAAAAGACCTTCTAAAGATCTTAAGGATGTGCCTTTAAGCCTTTTTTGATTAAAGAGGCTTCTAAAAATTGTAGAGCAGTTGTCCCCAACCTTTTTGGCACCAGACCGATTTCATGGAAGACAATTTTTCCATGGATGGGGCATGCCAGAGGGAGATGGTTTTGGGATGAGAGGATGAAACTGTTCCACCTCAGATCACCAGGCATTAGTTAGATACTCCTAAGGAGTGTGCAACCTAGATCCCTCACATGTGCAGTTCACAGTTGGGTTAGTGCTCCTATGAGAATCTAGTGCTGATCTGACAGGAGGTAGAGCTCAGGTGGTAATGCTCGCTTGCCTGCTCACCACCTGCTGTGTGGTCAGGTTCCTAACAGACCATGGACTGGTACTGGTCCATGGCCCGGGGGTTGGGGACCCCTGTCTGAAAGCCATTGTCTCACAGCAGCCTCTCAGGAAGCCCTAGATAGAGAAAGACTTACTTTGAAAGGCTTTGTGGAATGGAATATAATTTGATGTACAAGTATTCCCTAAAGTTGTTAAAGGAATTATGTCAGCTTTGACTCACATGTTCAAAATGAAAAGAGTATACTTGCTACCAGAGCCCTGAGCCATCATGTAAGAAGTCTGTACACCCTGCTGGTGAGGCCACGTGAGCAGTTCCTGAAACTATTTGGAGAGATCCAGTGGCCCAGCTGAATGCTGCCTTCCAGCCAAGACACCAAACTGGTGACTGAAGCCTTTTTGGACCCTCCAGGCAGACTAATTACCAAGTCAGTATCATCAAGTGACCCCAGTTGTTGCCACATGAGGTGACCACAAGGGAGTTTGCCAATATAGGTGCTATAAAAGCTTTAGAAGAAAAGAGTTGCCTCTCCATAGTGTAGTTTCCCTTTAATTTAAGCCCTATAAAGCAAAATCATGAAAAAACAATGGTGCTTTATTAAAGAGTAAAGAAGGCCCTACATCTCCTTTTGTGGTAGATGGAAGGATGTCCAAGTTACTTTCTTCTCTGCATGTAAGTTATAATCGTTTAGAACGGGATCATGGTTTTATTTTAAGTGTTTTCCCATGAACTCTTAACATTTGGTCTATTTTGCAAAGACTGTCTTTCCTCTGTCTTGCAGAGGTTCATACCTGCATTATCAGCAGCAGCCATTTCCCAGTGGACCAACCTGTCTTCATCCAGGGAAGGCTGGGACACTTGCCATGCTTCAAAGGAGCCACAAGCTTTCCAAAAGGAGCGGGAACAGGTAGGTTACCTTTGCCACAAGTACAGAAGACAATTCTGGAGTACTCAATGTGGCTTGTGCCAAAGCTCTGCCTTCTAGGGCTGCACTTAGATGCTTCCTGATGCCAGCCCCTCTACTTTGTCTGTGCTCATCTTCATTGGCTGTGATGCCATAAAAGCCTGTTTCATTGACACAAACATTACTTTTTCTTTCTATTTCATTTAATACGGTTTTGTTAAAGAAAAACAACCTTATTAAAGGAAACCCTCATTACTGGTGCCCACTTGGAGCATTATGGCTGGGACTCAGTTATCACAACATTTAAAATAAACCTTTTTTCCCAGAGTTGTGTGTTTTAATTTGGTCATAAGAAACATTTCCTCTTAGTGGAACATGACACCTCCCAACTTGGGGATACTTTTTGAGTAAATGAATCTACTTGGCAATTTCTAATGAACATAAATAAGTGGAAATTATTTATCCCTGTGCCATTCTCCCCCAGTTTTATTGCTGTCTTTGGTGACAGAAGTACCAATTTTTAATGCTTCAGAACACAGTAATTGAAAGTAATTTACTTTGTGTTCTCATACTAGAAAGTGAAAAACATCAAATCACACAAAGGCATATTTGGGTCCATATGGAAAAAAAATTCCAGTAAGTTTTATAGTCTGCAACATCCTGAGGTAATTCCATGCCATGACTCCAGTTAGTCTTTCTTTACACTTTGATGACGCAGCACCTTGTATATACAAGGCGCTTAACAACCAGCTGTTGATGTGGAGGTGTGATCTAGGAGTTGGCCTTAAATGTGAAACATACATCACTCTTTCCATAATCATTCAGAGACTCATTCCATAGTCTCATCAGTCAGAGACTGAAAAGTCACCTGCCTGTTGCGACAGAATGACCTCACCACATGAAGTGGGTGAATGAAGTCCTTGGTCTGACGTACAGGCGTGTTGCCTTTCCCAGTTGTACCTTTGCTGTCCTCGTTCCTGACGTTGATACACTGAGCTGGACACAGGATTTTCTTTTATCCTGCTGTTCTTCACCTCAGTGCTGCTGCAGTTAAGACCAGGGAAATAAAATCCACAAGGTTAAGTTTCTATAAAGTTTGCACTCATTGTTTGGGAAGGACATGGTTGTAAATTGGAAGCTGCCCACCAAATCCTATGAGATTAATGAATTGGAGAAAGTGCCATTGCTCTCTTGGGAGGGGTCACTGCCTCAGTTTAAATGAAAGGCATTTGGTCTACGAGGGGTGGCATGCTAATGGGCTGCCTTGCTCCCCAAATCACTTTACAGATTCCTTAAGCATATTAGCAACCCAATTCCATTTAAGAGCAGGTTACCATTTTATACAAGTAAACTGAGCTTCCTTTGTTCTAATGACATGAATATTAGAGAAATTCCAAAATATTTAGATGTATGCCAATGACTACATTTGTTCTAAAACACACCTTCTTTTGTAATAAGCAGTCACTACCATTTTCATTACAGCAGAATGTATCACGGTTGTGATTTATTCTCCAGTTGTGACTGACGAATTATTACAGCAAATGACTTTGGGAATTTAGGTAAGTAAAAAAAATTGTTAAGAAAATTTTATCTTGGAATTGCTAATATTCTACATATTCCTTATGGTACTCTTTGCCTCTCTTGTAGATTTGATATTGTCATTTTGAGAATTTTCTGTTTTAAAAGACATTGCTCTAAAGGCAAGCAGTAGATTGGGGAAGTATATATACAAAAAACATTGCACAAAAAATATTAAAGAGCTCATACACGTTGATAAGAAGAACACCAAGCCCCTGACAGGTAATCTAGGAAAATTTAAGAAGAACAAAAGAAAAAACAAAGCTAGTGCACATATGGTAACATGTTCAACTTTATTAATATTTGAATAAATGCAAATTAAGAGGATATAATTTTTACCTTTTAAATAATATGCCACACTGGAGAAGATGTGTTAAATTTGGGACTTTTGTTCTGTATAGTGTGGCTCTTTCACTGAAATAGGTTAAATTTGCTAAAGTCAATCACCTAAGGCTCTTTCTTGCCCATAGGTTTGTAAGGTCATTATCAGGTAACAGCCATCAAGTAAGGCCAAGTATTTAAAAGTATACTTTTAAGGTAGGCACAGTCACACGTGCCATAGTCTCAGCTACATGGAAGGATTGCTCGAGCCCAGGAGTTCAAGGCTGCAGTGAGCTATGATCATGCCACTGCACTCCAGAGCCTGGCAACAAAGCAAGACCCTGTCTCTTAAAAGTAAAATAACAACTTTTAAGTAAATGACTTAAATAACTGTCCATTTCTTGAACAACAAATACCACACTAGTAATATTCAGAAGAAACAAAACATCATGCACAGGCCAGAGTGCACCATTTCAATGATTTAATTCCTAATTTTATCACCATTCATTCATTTAACACATATTTATTGAACAACTACTATATACCTACCATTGCTCCAGGTCTTGGAGGTGCAGGAGTGGGCAAGTCAAAAAGGTTCTTTTTCTCATTACTCTTACATTATATTTTGCAATTATATCATAACTCCCTTACTTAGGAAAACAAACAAACAAGCAAACAAACCCTGGTTTCTACTCATATTTCAGAATCACAGCACTTAAAAGGTTATTGCTGTTTGCTTTTTAGTTATTTTTAAAGTTTTTGATATTTAGCCTTAACAAGAAAAAGCACATCAATCTTGAAATTGTCAGTTCCTTTTTACATGTTTTTAGGTTTTCTTCTACAAGCTTAGAAAGGAAAACCAAACAAAGCCATCTCTTTCCCCAGTGGCTTACTTGTGTCTGACTCCTAACATTTCCTGACTAATCAGCTCCAATTAGTGGAGTCATTAAGATTCTGGTGAGGCGATCAAATTTAGATTCTCTTCCATCTCTTCTAGTAGAGCACCCTTGATGGTGGAAGATTAGAATGGGGCAACCGCGGTCTGGGAATGAGGACTAGGATAAGGTGGTTGTTAAGAGCCTGGGCTTTGGATTAGGAAGTCTGGGCTGGGCCCTCCACTTACCAGCTACCTAAGCAGGGGCAAGTCAATGAACTGTCCTGTGCCTTGGCTGCCTCATTCTCAAACAGACAATAAGAATTTCAACCTCATAAATTCCTTATGGGGCTTGGATGAGATACCACTTCACGCAGCACTCAACCAGTAGCTTTTTAGTACCTTGAAACAACATTCATCACAGTCACAATTTTCTAGAAAACTAATATTTTGCTCAACAATTTATATAAATATTATATTCTATGATAATATAGGTATAATTGTTTTAATATAAAAAGATTTTCCTATAGCTCTACCAATTCTATATACATTTTTTTTTTTAGTAAATTGACCTTTTGGGAAGGAGTGCCATGTCCCTTCTTGTCTTCACCTTCCATTTTGCTATCCTGGTTTATAAAACAAGACTTTTTTCTTGCTTCTTCCATGGTTTGTGCTCTCCCCATTGTCTGCCCTTACCCTCACCCCCACCCCTATAGTATAAGGTATTATTTATCCAGCACTATAATTGTAGCCTTTTGCAGGCAGCTCCATAGCCAACCAGTCTATTTTTTATGGTGTACTTTTTAAAGGGTCAATCCCTTTTCTTTTGAACACCAATGACTCTATGTAGATGTTGAATAGGCTCTGCCAGGAAGGCATAATCTGGATAATAGCCCTATCCTAGCTGGCAGAAAGATAAATTTATTCTCACATTCGTGAGACTTCCATAACAGAGGGACTTTCTATTTATTCAGTCTGTATATTACAGAACAGAACATCAGCCTTCCAATTCCTGCTCTATATTATACTTAAGAGAAGGTGGATCTTTTGTTTCATTCATCCATTCATTCATTTTTAAATTAAATATTATTGAGATAAATATTTAAGATAATGGATATCCCTATTATCATGATTTGATCTTTATGCTTTATGTGAATGTATCAAATTATCACATGTATTCCAAAATATGTGCATTTATTATATATTAACAAAAATTATTGAAAACCTACTATGTCTAAATGTCATTGCTTTGCTATTTGTTAAGTCTCCTGCCTGGGAGAAAGATCCTTTCTTGCAAAAAAAAAAAAAAAAAAAAAAAAAAAAAAAAGGACATGTTTTAACAAGGAAAAAAAAAAGGAAATGGGAATTTGGGAAGTATGAGTTACATGAACTGGAGTAAACTATAGGTTACCTATAGGACTTGCAAGCCCCTACAATTCTGTGAGCAAATGAGCAAATTTCTTAATATAAACCTCTCTCTCTCTCTCTCTCACACACACACAGACACACACACACACACACACACACACAGGCATGCACATACACACGCCCTGTTGATTCTGGAGAACCCTGGCTAATAAGTTACATGTCACTTTTACTTCATTACAGTTATTAACTGCATTTATTACCTGCTACAGTTTGAATGTTCCCTCCAAAATTCATGTTGAAATTTAATTGCCATTATGACAATGAAGAGGTGGGACTTTCAAGAGGTGATTAGGTATTGAGGGCTCTGCCCTCATAAGTGGGCTAATGCCACTGTGGAGAGAATGGGTTAGATATCTTGGGAATTCAGGCCCGTTTTCCCTGTCTCATGTGCCTGCTTTCCCTTCCTCCGTGGGATGGCCCTGTCGGATGCTGATGCCAGGCTCTTGGACTTCCCAAGCCTCCAGCACCATGAGCCAAATAAAACTGGTATTCTATTATAGCAGCAGAAAACCTACTGATACCTTGCCTTACATTGCTTTATGCAGAAAAGTCTTTTCTTCCTCCAGAGAATATCAAGATACCTCAATGATGAGGAGCAGATGCCTTTTACTTTTTTGTAGATGAGTTTGGGCAAAGTGACAACAAAGGGCCTGCAGTACTGGGGTCCCTGATGAAGACGTATTTGGTGATATCTGGAAAGCAAATTTGTGCTCTGGGAATTCAATTATTAATACAAAACTAGGGATGGAAAGAATGTTCTGGTCAAGCCCATCAGGGCAGAAGGATCAACCTACATGTATTGGCACAGTTTATTTTAAGCAAGGGAATAGATAATAGCTCTGGAACCTGACATGCTTAGGTCTTCTCACTGCAGCTTCTAAACTGCAGGCTTAGCCCCTTCCCAGGCCCTGATCTAATCCACCTCAAGACAACTAATAAGATTCCGACTATATCTTGAATACTCTGCAGATCTGCTCCTGGGACTGTGCCTCGACCTAGAATGCTTCTCAGGACCCTGAATCAACTGGATGAGAACTTATGGGGACCTACCAGACTATTTAATATCTTGCTTCAAACCTACTAAGAATCCTAACTTCAAGCATGGCCACTGCTCTGAATCTCCTGTACCTGTGTCCCATTTACCACCCCTAAGATAAAAAGACTGACTGATCCAAGTAAAGCTTGAGTTCATGTCCACCCACCCTCAACATCCAGGTTGGGATTGCTGAGCACAACCCTAAGCTCACTGTCCCTCTCCAGTTCTGCTCTTCTCCCTTACTAAGATACCAAGGCAACTACACTGTTGAGGTCCCAGAAGCCTCTCTGCCAAATCATTCTAAGATAGGGAGAAGAGAATCTGTGCAGTGATTTGGGACAATGAATCTGTTGGGTGAATATATCTGCTGCATGCTGGGTCCCTGAGAGGCCCTGTGTCATTTGGAGAGATAGACATCCTCTATGGCCCAACTTAGGAGACCCATCCTCTGGAGATTTGCTTCAGCCACGCTAACTAAACACGCTCATTGCCCCTTGATTTCTTCTTTGAGGCCCTCATAGGCAGTGATCAAACAATCATTTGCATAATTTACATTATGACTTGCACACTCAGGTGAGTCCTCCACTCTACCAAGGGCAAGGGCTGTATTTAATTTGTTCACCTCTGTATCCCTAGTGCCTGACACACAGAAAATGCTTAATAGATGTTAGATTAATGAATGAATGAATGAATGAAGTAGCTGGCTGAGAATTGTATTAGATTAACCATGATGCCTAAATACATAGTGTAAATTATTTCATTCTAGATTAAGCTTAAAAGTGTAAGAGAGGCAACTGTGTCACCTGATTGAAATAATGATTTGTTGCTAATTAGTTAGAAATAAAGAAAATCATGCAGATATGATGAACTATTTGACATTTGGCAAATTACCATCTCTAAGTTTATTTCTTTGCCTGTAAAATAAAGATACTAGAACTTACCTCATGAGAATAAATGAAGGCTAAGTGGATAATATACATAAAATGCTTAAGATATGTACCCAGCATACCTTAAATGCTTTGTAGCCATTATTATTTACATATATTTATTTACAATTAAAAATTATTTAAAAAGCGAAACAAAACCTATAATAAGTTTTATTTTCTTAATGCTTTGTCTTAGACTAGTTAGGCTGCTACAAAAGAATAGCAAAGACTGGGTGGCTTATAAATAACAGAAATTTATTTCCCAAAGTTCTGGAGGCTGGAAAGTCCAAGGTCAAGGTGCCAGCAGATTCAGTGTCTGGTGAGTGCCTGATTCCAAGTTCATAGATAGAAGTCACCTCATTGAGTCCTCACATGGCAGAAGGGATCATGAAATTTTCTGGAGTCTCTTTTATAAGAATATTAATACTATTCATGAGGGCTCTATTCTCATGATGTACCTCCCAGAGGCCCTACCTCCTAGTATCCTCAGACTGGGGGCTAGGATTTCAACATATGAATTTTGGGAGGACACAAACATTCAGTCTATAGCATTCCACCCCTGATATCCCCAAATTTATGTACTTCTCACATGCAAAATACATTCCTTCTATCCAAACAGCCCCAAAAGTCTTCGCCTGTTCCAGCATCAACTCAAAAATCTAAAGTACAAAGTCTTATCTAAATATTATCTAAATCAGATTTTGGTGAGATTCAAGATACAATTTATTCTGAGGCAAATTCCTCTCTAGCTGTGAAACTGTGAAATCAAATGTGTTGTGTGCCTCTCAGAAACAAATCTGGGATATGCATAAGATAGACACATCCAATTCCAACAGGATAAATAAATTGTATCTTCACCAATGGGAAATGAGTCATAACAACAAAGTTCAGCCAGCCATTGGTGTAAACATTTCCTCACAAATTAGTGAGAATTCCTGGAGCTCAGGCTTAACACATAGGAACACCATAAAGACTGATTGGGTTTCAATAAAACATCAACAGTCCTCATGAAAGAAGAAGGCAAACCTGACGAGCTATGTGACTTTTGGCAAATTACCCACCATCTTTAAGTCCATTTCCTCAAATGTGAAATTTTTTTAATTAAAAAAAATTCTTAAATGTACTTAAATGGATGTTTTCCATAGTAACCTTCAAAAATGAACCCAGATGCATATTTCTTCTTCCTGTGTGAGAAAAAGATGAGAAAGAGAAGAAAGAAAAACAAAACAAGCATCAACGTTGTTTCTAAGCATTTTCCCAGTGAAGAGTTGGTCCCTTGCCCTCACCACTCCATCGAGCCCATGAAGTATAGCTCAATGAATAACTAACAGATGATTACATTTATGAGGAAAGAGTACTCAGAGCAGACAGCTACTTCCTACAGGTGACAAGCAATCTTCTGCCGGGGCTTCACCTGACGAGTCATTTTGGGACGTGATCACAAGGGTTGGAGACTGATGAAATTATCCTGTCCAACATCAAACACAAAGTGGTTGTAAATCAGCAGAGGCTGTGGCAGAAGGAGAGCAGCTCATTCTTTATGCTTTGCAGACAGTCTTCTACCTGGGGGCTGCATCAAGCATCCTAACAATATCATTAAATGACCCTATAGAGATTTAATTAAAAAAAAATCAGACTATCTATTGACTTGAATCCTTCAGCTGTCCTGAGGAAGTTGACTTGAAAGCAAGTTCTATGATTTAAAAACTTGAATGTGTTGAGGCTAACTCCTCAGCACACAGCAACATGTATAAATAAATAGACGCCTGTCTGTTATAACTCTCCATTTGACCTTGCCAGACAATTGTGCGCTGAGCTTAGACTATCATTGTGTTTTCTGAGGGTTACTTAGAAAAAGGCAAACCAACATAAAAAAGCAAGCCATCTTTAGTTTAAGCTGGTAAAGGGAGCTCTGCAGAATCAAAAATTGATCTTGCAAATGCATTCTATAAAAAGAGAGGGGCTAAAATATGGATGATTTATACACGGTATCTGCCGAACAGCACTTGATTTACACAGGATCTAAAGAAATGTGGAGAAACCATTTTGAAGTTGCCCTGTGGATGGAATCGTATTTTAAGAGTAAAAAATTGGCAGATTTCATTGAATAGAGAAGGAGCTTTCTAAGGATCCCATTTCCCCATCACTGCGGAAGGGATTTATATGCATTGTTCCCTTTAGTGGTGTTGGGAAGTTCTGGTGTAAATCCTTTAGGGTCACTGTAAGAACCAGCTACTCAGAGGTTCTCAATGCTTCATGATTTGTACAAAATTGTTTTGCTTTGTTTTGTTTTTTAAAAAAAGAATGGAAAAACAATTTTTTAAATGGTTATGCTGGAAAGGTAATCGAGCCTACGGGGGTCATGTTGCGGTTTTATACAATCCTAACGCCTTCCTGATTTACTTGCAGAACCTGCTATGCAAGGGCATTTGAGTGGCTCTGCCTGAAAGGCCTGTGCACATTTAAATAGGTTGTTTGAATAGGAATTGTGACTGATGTAAAAATACCCTGTGTATTTTATTTAGTTCTTAGTTACCGAATTGTAATTGAAATGAAGCTTCTAAATGCCTTGGTTCCCTTAAATTTTATGAAATATACTTTGAATCTCCTAACGGTGCTCTTCAGGTAATTTTGCATAGATAATAGATGGAGATATTTAATTTTTTAAAAAATTTAGAACTACTTATAAAATACTCAAAAAGTGAGGAAAAAAATAGCTCTGAGGAACTGTATTTGAAAAGCAAAGTGAATGTAGGAAGGAGCGCTCAACGTTCCCAAGGAGCTAGCTCTCCAGCACTTTATTGATGGCTATTTTTGTGCAGGCTCTGCGGTGCTCTCTCGGTAGTTGCTCTTTAATTATCCTGCACTTTGTTCGGAGAAGGTATGTATTGGCTCCTGGCCAATGTGGGCTAGGACTCTTCTTGTCACTACAGTGTCTAACAGCATGTACAGAACAATATCCCAATTAGATCTTTAAGTGTTAGAAACATGATACACCAGTGCATTTTTTCTCAGAGGCTGATCTGTGGGAAGTTTCAAAAACACACAGAAGCTAAGCTTCAGTCTAATCCTTTAAACATCAGCCCAAGAAGGCAGCCCAAAAAGCTGAAAATATAACAAGATAATGTCAACATCTCTTTGGCTTGTAATTTTGTTTATCTTAACAACAACTCTTAGGTGAGAATGATCAAACCATCATTTCCGAAAAGCTTTTTTTTGTTTGTTTTTGTTATTGTCACCTTCCCAGATACAACTTTATTTTTCTGGTAACAAAGGGAACTTTATTTTTCTGCCTCTAAATTCGTAATGTTTTATTGCCAGCTGAAGATTTCTGATCAATTAACATAGGGGTGCTTTAAACAAACATGTGACTCACATTCCTTTTCAGGTTAATTCTCCAAACTAATAAAGTAACATGCATCTCTCTCTTCCTCTCTCTCTCTCTCTCTCTGTCTGTCTCTCTGTCTCTGTCTCTGTCTCTCTCTCTCTCTCTCTGTCTCTCTGTTTTTCTCTGCCTCCCGCCTCCCCACCCTCAGAGATGTCAGGGAAGGTAGGAAAAAACCTGTGGCAAAGGAAGCAAGCTCCTTTTATTCTTCTATCCTGTTGAGACAATAATTGTGTACAATGTCTGGACTAAGTTAAAATGTCCAAAGACAGCCTTTAATTTACACCCTGCAATGGGTTAAGAGTCCAGTCAGTCTTCTCCTCTGTTTCCATCAGTCACTCCCCTTATAACAATTGATCTAAGATATCTTAAATGGTTAAGTATTTAAATTCTCCCCATTGGGCTTACAATCAAACACCACATGTACTATCAGCCCCCGGGTAACCTTAACTTGCTTTTCAGAGGAGAGTGAAGGCTTTGTATACTTCTTTGCTGATAATAAGGTTTACAGAGCAGGTAGATGGGGACCAGTTGTCACTGGAGAAGCAAGAGAAAAGTTAAGTTCAGATTTCTATACGTCCATGTGTGATCTCTCTCTCTCTCACACATACCATGCAATCAGACTTTCTTTACGATTTCAGTACAACAGAGGCCTTAAGTGGGATTATTTGGTCTGATAGTTCAAATTTTCCTAGCTCAAATAAAAAAGAATAAAATATTTCTGCTTTCTGTCATTTATGATTTATAATTACTCCTTTATGAAATACTCCATTATTACAAAAAAAACTGGGCACAGTACTTTCAAGATATTGGCTAACATTCAAACAAAAATGAGTGTTCAAGATTCTATAAAGGAAAAGATGGAATAATTATTGGGCAAAGGATTTAAATGAAATTTCAAGTTACTAATATCAGGGTAAAATCTGATTAACATAGCCAATTAGAAAACTCTGAGATGATTGTGTGATGCAAAACAACTTTCTTCATAAATCTTCTTTCTAATGGCCTTCACTCCAAAATTGACTAGCAATGACCTATGTCTCTGATCCCATTGTCCAGTTTTAGTTCTATCTGGATCCCCACAGGAATGGACTGTTTAGCTGGAAAGGAGTGAGTCATGTAAGATCACACATTTTAAGAGCCCAAATAAGCTGGGATAATGGTATGCACCTGTAGTTCCAGTCACTTAGGAGGCTGAGGCAGGAGGATCCCTTGAGATCAGGAATTTGAGGTAACAGTGAGCTGTGATTGAGCCATTGCACTCCAGCCTGGGTAAAAAAGCAAGACCCTGTCTCAAAAACAAACAAAAAACTAAAACAAACAAAACGTTAATTAAAAGCAGAGGATTAATAAACTCTCAAGTCTTTTATGAATCCTCAAAGCAGATATAATCTTGGCAGGGAATGAAATAGAATTTACCACCAGCCCTTGGAGTTGAAGTCAGGGCCTCTCTCGTACTCAGATTAAGGAGGCAAAAGGTGACCTAATGAAATGTTATTTGGAGAATCAACAAAATAATTAATAATTCAGGTTAACCTTGAATAAATACTCAATTCAACACCCAAATCATCCATTTTAATCCATCCAAGTCCCTTGTTGATATGGGCAGGTTCCAGAAATATCTTAAAATGTTTATTTTTCTCCAACATCCT
Source organism: Homo sapiens (assembly GCF_000001405.40). Taxonomy (NCBI): domain Eukaryota; kingdom Metazoa; phylum Chordata; class Mammalia; order Primates; family Hominidae; genus Homo; species Homo sapiens. Next base: position 21,074,140 of record NC_000007.14, on the reverse strand, counting down.
TTTAAGGATGTTGACTTGAGAAAGGAAAGTGACATGAGAAAAGTCAAATGACTTGCCCAAGGTCACACAACTGTGAGTGGCAGACCAGGACTACACCCTGTGAGTCAACTACCACCATCAGCTCCAATGTGTTGCTCCCAAGCACAATTTTCACAGCATTGACAACACATGATAGATTTCTGCTTCCAGAAGGTGTTCAGCGTACCCAAATAGAACCACCGAAGTTACAAAGATAGCGACAGGCTCCCTTTAACTTTCTCTTCCACTTATTTCAGTGTATACTGGGCAGTTCCATGCTGAGCCACTCTAGAACAACAAAATCAGTAATATCAATCTTGTTTTTATTTAAAATGTTGATATTTTCCTCATCATGAAGTTTTTGCAGTAATTTTAAGTTTTAAAAATATCATTAAAATATTATTTATTCTGATCACTGAGTTTTGGGGCACCTTCCTCATTTCCCCTTAAATTTTGCACCCCAGGCAATTACCTTACTTGCCTCTTCTAGTCCCTGATGCTTTACCCATGACCAAAAACACTGATGCAATTTCTCCCAATCAAGTATTGTAGACAGGCTGACTGTATTTGATAAATTAGAGGAAGGGATCATTCACTTCAGTTTTACTATTGGCTCCTTTCTGTGGATTAAGGGTTGTTGTTCAGGCTTACATGCTCCTAGATGGAGGGGTGTCCTCCCCTGCCCAGGAAGGAGGAGGTAAGTTAGGAACATTAATTGCTCTGGATTTCTTGAAATAAAGGAGCTGGGACCTGCTGTGGGTCACACACTAGAAAAGCAATTGTCCATCTGTATTTTCTCTATTGCTCATCCATATTATGTTTAAAGCAAGAGTCCATTTGGGGCTCTACTGTGAAGGGCTGTGGAGGGAGAGTGACTCTCTAGGGTGTCATGATGTATTATCACAAGCTGATGGATCCCTATCCCAGAGTGTGCAGAGATGGGCACCACCCCATTCCCCTGCAACCCTCCTCTTCAAAAAAAACCCTGTTTTGAAAATGTTTGTGGAAATACAGCATTCACTCAATGTATACTCACTAGTGTGTCATTTTAAGAAGCCAGAAACTCATTTTACAAGTATTTTCTTTGCCTAGACAACTTGTAGAGCGAAAGGTAGTATAAAAATAAATATAATAAAGAAGAAACTTGAAATGCTACATTTTAATGAATTCTTTCAATCAAATGTAAATTGTAAATTCAATTATAATAGTAGTAACAACTTCCTAAAAATTATTCTTGCATTTAGCCTGGCATTTAGCATTCATTTCTTCATGTACCTGGTCTTGTTCCAAATTATAGGGTCCTGATTACAGATTAAATGAGAAAGGATGTAAGAGAAGAACAGAAAACTCACTAAGGGGGTGCTTGACAACTACTTGACAGCTATTAGATACCGTTTCTGCTTTTCTGCTAAAACAACATTCTGGGGCAAAGTTCTAGTCTGCAACAGAATTTTCTATTACTTGTATTCTAACCTACTTGAGTGAAACGGTTACTTTAAAAATTAAAATATTTACATTTTAAAAAGATATTTCAAAAAAATTTACAGCTACATGAAAGGAGAAAAAAATGGATACTTTTGGTATCTCATGATCTTTAAGTTATGTCTGCCTTCATGGATTTTGATAGCTTACATTTGGCCCAGTTTTCATTTTATCTTAGCTAACACCCCAAACAGAAAACACAGTGAGTAAGTAAAAAAATCATCTGTGAACCATAATAAATGGATTTCTGCCAATGACAGGTCATGATACAGAAAAAAATCTGTGATGACCCTCTTTCCTCTACACTCATTTATCTCTTCCTAGTGTCCACTGATAGATTCTTGCTGTATGATTTATTGCAGAAAAACACCACTTAGAAATGGGCATTTGATAAAATTGTTCAAGGATTCCTGGACAATAAATCCTAATCTTAACATGCAATGCTGCAGAATGTTTCACCTTTCTTATGCTGTAAATAAAATATGCCAAATGTGATAATAAATCCATACATTTAAGCACTATCTATGTAGTGTAGGAAATAAAGTCATAGTATGTACGCCTGATGTTAATAGCAGCTCTAAGCCTGAGGATATTGATGGCAGTATTTGTGCATTTGCCATCCAAATTTTTAGCACTCTACAATGCTTATGAAATTTCATGGCTTTTATCTGCCTGGGAAGGCTGGCTCTGCAAAGAGCATATGTAGGTTAAGCATAATCAGTTTTTGGTGGCTTGAATTGAAAGAGATGTTTCCTGAACACAGACAACTCGCTTTGGCAGACAGCTGAAATTTTGAGTTCATGCAGAGACCTTTCTTCATAATTAATCATCTACTGGAGGAAGTGATGAGAGGCTCAGTCACCTTATTGTGACCCCACTAGTGACACAGGGTGTTAAGCATCCGAAACCTGATATTTAGGCTTCTTCTCACAAGCTCAAGGACAGGTATCTGACCTCCATGTGGTAGAAGGGTGAGGGAGCCAATCTCTACTGGTTTGCTTTGATCTTATTTGCTCCTCACTGTGTGGAAATCTAAGGACTGATTTTAATCACTGAGCTTCTATAGCTTATAAACTATTGCCAGCATCCATGTGGTTAAAAACATGGAGGCAATACCTTAATCTAGCTCTGGTTTCTCAATCTTGGCACTATTGACATTTGGGGCTGGATAACTGTTTGCTGTGGGGGGCTGTCCTGAGCGTTACAGGATGCTTAGCAGCATCCCCGGCTTCCGCCTTGTAGATACCAGCATCCTCTCCACCTCCCCAGCTGTGATAACCAGATGCCTTCTGCAGGGCAACATTTTCCCTGATTGAAAACTACTGATCAAGCCTGTAAGAGATATGTTAACAAAAGCTGTGATATTAAAGAGAACACAATTATTTGCAGAAAAAGGAAAAAAGAGTCAGTTCAAAAGTAAAAGGTCCTGAGTTTTGGAATGAGAGTAAGTTGGCTTTTATTTTAAAGCGAGTCGAAACATTTGTGGAATGATCTTCCTAGTGTCATGCCCAAAGAAAAGGAAAAGTCCCATAAAATGCTGGTGATTTGGCCAGCTGCTAAGAAATCATGTGTTAAATACCACTCTTGTGTAATCATTTACATTGAACCTGACAGAATTAGGATACAGACATAAAAATAGTGTGTACTTGAAAAGGGTAACCACACTAGAAAGAAAGAAATGGAAATGAGAATCAGAGAACTTAAGAGAAGTTTTTTCTTCAACAAATTGAAAGTGGAGAAATCCATTATATCATGTGTAGCTTTCTTTGTGTCCTCAGATATTTATTGAAGGTCAAAGACAGAGATGCCTAATGGGTTATGATTATGTGCAATGAAGTGAGAAACAATGTTTTATAACAGCAAACACTTTTTATAGTGACAGTGTATTATGTTCACTAAAACATCGTACAGCTGCCTTTTTCCAGTATCCATGGCTCAAAGCAGGAAAATAATATGTTATTCAAAAAATACATAGAAATTGGGGGTGTGACTTGTTCAGAGCCAGGGCTCTTGTCTCAAGACCTAAGAAAATTTCCCACCATGCTTCATCCAACTTGAATAACCATTTACTCTAAAAAATATTACTTGCTTCTTTCACATCATTTTTTCCCATCTCAGTTCTGAAAAAACATCCAGGTATATTTTAGTGATAAAGAATTTATGAACATTTACATTAGGGCTCCCATATTTGTGAGCTTGAAAATACCTTTACAATGCCCAAAGTATGTCAGAGTCTTCCAAATAATAATAATATTAGTGATGCCTTTATGTCCCTAGTTATTAAAGTAAAACAACAAGCTGTTATCAATTCAATAACACTTTGTAAATGAACTTGTATTTTATCAACCACAGTAGCATCTACATAAATTTTTAAAATAAATAGAACATAAGCATGAGTATTATTTACGTAGGATAAAGCTTATTGGCTAGAAGCCCTTTGCAACAATTCCACCTAGCCCACAGTTTGGAGCACAGGACATTTTCTTGATGTGTTTTTTTTTTTTGTTTAGCAAATGGCATTTCTCCACTGAGGCCTTCCCTGACCTGTCTCACACAGTCCCGTGTAATTTTCTTGTTAGCACTAAGCAGTATCAAATATTTCCAACAGGGCACAACAGTTTATGTGTGTAATCTCAGCATTTTGGGAAGCCGAGGCGGGAGGATCGCTTCAGCTCAGGAGTTCAAGACCGGCCTGGGCAACACAGGGAGACCCTGTCTCTACAAATAATAATAATAATAATAATAATAATAATAATAATAAAAACTTACCTGAGTGTGATGGTGCATGCCTATAGTCCCAGCTAATCAGAAGGCTGACATGGGAGGATAGCTTGAGCCCAGGAGGTCAAGGCTGCAGCGAGCCATGATCGTGTCACTGCACTCCAGCCTGGGTGACAGAGGGAAAAAAGAAAAGGCAGATATTTTCTTGTTTATTTGCTTCCTTGTTTATTGCCTATTTTTCCCAAAAGAATGCTTGTCCCATGTACACAGGAGTCTTGTAAGCCATGATCGCCACCTTCATCCTACTATCTAGACTGCTTCTAGATGACAGTAGACACTCAAATATTGGTGGAATGCTAAAGAAACCAAACAACATATGTTAATTATAAGATGTAAGGTGCTAGTAAGGCAATAAAACATTGTCATAGAGAATAGCAAGGGGAGATCTATAAGACATTTAAGAATTCGCTCAGAAAGTAACATTTAGGCTAAAGCAAGTGCTACTGGGAATAGGGTGTGCACAGGCTGCAAGAGAAAACAAACTTTTTTCTTTTAGGGGACTCAAAGGAAGCTGTATGATTGGAGTGTAGTAAGCAGAGGAGAGAATAGAGAAGTAAGAGGAAGCATGTCATGCACAGCAGAGGTTGGCACTGTGAGGTAAATCTGGCCTGAAATATGCTTTGGTAAATACAATTTTACTGGAACATAGACATGCTCATTTTTTCATGTATCATCTACTGTTGTTTTCTCACTAATAAAGCAGAGCTGAGTAGTTGCAACAGAGATTGTCCTTTCGCCCATCAAGCCTAAAACATTTACAGTATGGCTTTTACAGAAAAGGTTTACCAACCCCTACGACCTTGAGGCTGAGGAAAGAAGCTTGGAGTTTTGTTTTAATGCAACGTGTGGTTGTTTTCAAACATGTTTGCAAATTCTGTGAAATTCCTTCCTTTTAAAGGTGAATGTCTTTTCCCTTGGAATCTGAGCTCTGTGACTTCCTAATATTAGAATACAGAAGAAGCGACACTATGTGAGTTTCCGGGCTCAGGCTTTAAGAAATTAGCAACTTCTACTTTGTGTGTGTTCAAACCCAGCTTCCATATTGTGAGGAAGACCAAAGGGCCCATAGGCAGTCTGTAGGGTGAGGCCCACGTGGGGGCCAAGAGCCAGCACAAACTTGCTGGCCTTGTAAGGCAGCCCTCTGGAACGTAGGTCTTTTAGCCACTAGCAGAGCCATCCACTTTATACCATGTTGAGCAAAAAGGAGCTCTTCTTACCCAAATTGCAGATTCGTGAGCAAAATAAATACTTATTGTTGTTTTTAGCCACTATGTTTTCACACATTTTATTAGGCAGCAGTAAGAAGCAGAACAAATGGGAAGTCATTAATGTCATTTCCTTTATATAGTCTCATATTTCCCTAACGTAGATAATGTAAAACCAGCTAATATTTATCCAGTCTCTCTGTTTCCCTTTCAAAGTATCTTTCAACTGATTACACAACTTCACTCATTCCACAAATAATTGAGTGTCTACTATATGCAGTAGTCTTCATCATAAATATTCATTGCTTGGTAGTTTGATATTTGAACGGGGTATTTGGTTTGAGAGTGAAAAGACCATAATACCAGTACTTCTATCAATGCAAAGGAATATGTATCTAAATAATTATTTACACAAAATGATTTTTCCATTCTTGACTTTTAATTGTAAAATTTAGTAACCCTTTTTTGTCATTTTCTAAAATTTCACAAAACAGTTTAGTGATAATTGCAGAATTCTCATTAATAGGTAAAGCTGGCACTTCATAAATATCAAATTATCATTCTATTTATGAGTCAGCCATTTTCCTTTAAACACATACACTTAGTGTCAGTTTTTTCTTAATATATAAAAATTCAATAATTACAAGGAGAATTGGATGTTAAAATTAGTACCTGAACATGAGCAAAATGAGAGTTCCACCTGTTGTCCCATTTGGAAATCTGGCCTGGTACTCTGAAGTAGAACAGATATAGAAAAAGTGGATGGAAAAATTTCTTTCATGCTGTGCAAATATTTAGTGTAGGAAGAAAACTATGTTATCTGCCTGTCTATTAAGAATAAAAATCACTGGGCTTCTTTTCCAATCTTTTTACTGTCCAAGCCACAATAATGGGGCAGGTTAAAAAAAAATAATAATTTTCTGCCAACTTTATGGGTCAAACTCTGAGTAAGGCTGAGATAATTTATGGTGGAGAAAATGACTGCATCTGGAATCTCTAGTTGAACCTGCCACGTGACTGAGCTAGTTTTTATAAAGAAGCTAGAAATCTGGCGCCATGGTAAATGAAGAAAATGAGTGTAATCACTTAACAAGCTTGCAGCTTTGGATCCTGATGTTTGGAACTGAATGAAACATAAGGAAAGAATAGCAGGTAGGAACATTGAATATCTTAGCACTACCACGGCTGCACATGCCAAACAAGTCAAAACAAGCAAATATCCAAGGAAATGGAGGAAAGTGAAATACACAATCATGAGATTATGAGTGCAAAAGGTAAATTCTGTCTGTTTACACGAGAATGGTTGATGAGGTGGCACCCGGAGGGATATGACATTGGCCAGTAAGGGAGAAGTTCCTGGTGCACCAGAGTAGTCTCACTTTGATCACAAGCACACACTTAGATGGATAAAATGGGGATGTCATATTAAATAGCTCACCCAAGGTAATACCATAATAAGTGTTAGAGGAAGGTTTTGAAACCAGATCTTGTAACATTAAAGCTAGGTTTTTTGGCTGGTCGCGGTGGCTCATGCCTGTAATCCCAGCACTTTGGGAGGCCAAGGCAGGTGGATCACGAGGTCAGGAGATCAAGACCATCCTGGCCAACATGGAGAAACCCCGTCTCTATTAAAAATACAAAAATTAGCCAGGCGTGGTGGCATGAGCCTGGAGTCCCAGCTACTCGGGAGGCTGAGGCAGGAGAATCGCTTAAACCCAGGAGGCGGAGGTTGCAGTGAGCCCAGATTGTGCCACTGTATTCCAGCCTGGGCAACAGAGCGAGACCCTGTCTCAAAATAAAAAAACTAGGTTTTTTGTTTTTTCAATGATATTGTGGTAGGGAAAATAATGCCCCCCGCCCCATAAGATCCTCACATTCTAATTCCTAGAATCTGTGAATATGTTAGTTTATATGACAAAAGGGACTTTGTAGATTTGATTTAACAATTTGGAGACAGGGATAATATCCTGGATTATCTGGGTGGGTCCAATATAATAACAAGGACCCTTATAAAGAAAAGAGAGCAACAGGAGAGTCAGAGAAGGAGATGTGACAAGGAAAGAGAACAGAGACAGAAATTTGATGCCATGCTATTGGCTTTGAAGATGGAGGCAGGAGCGTGAGCCAAGAAATGCAGGAGACTTCTAGAAGCTGGAAAAGGCAAGGAAATGGATTCTATCCCAGAGCCTCTGAAGGGAACGGGCCCTGCTCGTACCTTGAATTTGGGCCAGTGAAACTCAGCTTGGACTTCTGACCTCCAGAACTGTAAGATAATAAATTTGTGTTGAGGTAAGTCACTAAGTTTACAGTGATTTTTTATAGCAGCAATAAGAAATGAATATAGCTGCCATTGCTTCTTCCGGATGTTTATCACTACAAATTATATTGATTAATAAAATGATTGAACATCTCAGGTTACAGAGTGGAGGGTTAGAACATTCTTATGATGATATTACAAAGCATTTGTACCTCTATCACAGCTTTCACCCCTTGTATTCAAAACTCTGATGAAGTGCTTGCCTTCTCTTCTAGCTCTGTTACTTTGAGTAAATTACTTAATGTTCTGTACCTCAACATCTATAAAATGTAGACAAGTATAAATTATATGTATAAAAAACTGCATCTGTGTTGTTTAAGGGTTACATGAGACCATCCATGAGAAGTACTTGGTACACACTTGTGACTTATTTTTAAGGTTCGGGTTAGGGAGCAGATATCAGAAAATGACATTCCAATCGACTGTAATGGAACAAGAATGGTATTGGATGCACAGAAGATGACGAGCATGATTTGCAAAATGGGATAAAAGAGGATTCTGGAATGAATTTGAATGAAATCTATTCTCTAACCCATACTGTTAAGGAGTTTCTATTAAATTCCTCACCCTATTATAGGACATTCTAATGAATTGCTTTTGTAGTTTGTTGAATAAAATTGCAGTTTTGTTAACAGTATAGAAAATGAATATAATTCTTATTCCATGCTATGGGTTCAGTCATTCTCAACATTTCTGAAAAAATACCTCCTGTAAATGTATTCATTTTTATCAAAGGAATAAATGTAAGAATGTTAGAGACCACTTCCTACGGGTTACCATGGCTCAAACATCCCTGACCTCCCAGGAAGAGAGCAAAAAATGGGAAAGGACGGAGTGGTAATCAAGGCAGTTACTTTCTCTCTCCCTATCCTGGAAGCAGTCCACGACAGCCTCCTGTTATCATGCAGACATCCCTGGACGGAGTTATGCATTCAACATAGGCAGATATTACCTTGATAAGGTTGAGACCTTACCAAGATTAACTGGTAGGCAGTTGAAAGCCAAAATGGGACAAATATTGGGCTTATAAAGTAAAAGAGGAAGGAAGACTTGGTTATGAAGTATAAAAGGTAAGCACTATGGGCTTCTGTAATTGCTGAAGACAAGCCTCTGACTCATCTTCCAATAAAGAGTAGACCAGGTCATGGCCTCTCTCCACTGCCTCTGAAGTCATTATCCAAACAACCATGCTCCAAATCAAACAACCAGTACCTCCAACTCAAGAGTCCTTTAGAATTACACAATCAATATCTGAAAGAATTCAAAATCATTGCCTGCTAGAGTAATCTGAAGAATTAGTGAAGACTCTTGAATTAGAATATATTTTCTTCCTAATAAGAGATGTGAATTGGGTCATGAAATGCAAGTGTTTAATCATCAAAACATTAACTAATGAATTCCAAAGACTCACTCAGAAGTCCACTCCTTAATGATGAAAATAAGCACAGAAACACAGATAAGGATTACAGCACATTGTAGGAAGGATTACAGCACATTACTAGGAAGTAGTAAGTGCACCAAGGGAAAATAAGATAAGTCATGGCAAGTCGCACATGACCAGGAGAGGACAACAAAATAAGAGTGGATGGGTCGCACACACTCCATCCCAGAAGAATAGAAAATTTCTTCCTGAGAAAATCTGTGGGAGTCAAAATCAAGTCTTACAAATTGATTCTAGTGCCCCTTGTTATTTTATGTGTAGAAGAGGGACTTCAGCATCCTCTAGTCCAGGAGTTTCCAAACTTAGCTGCTTATCCAAATCCACCCAGGACACTTTTTAAATTCCAGATTTAGAGGACCTCATACCAGAATCTCTTTGGATGGACTCCCAAACCTTCTGGTTTGGGAGTCAAGCTTCTGGTCCAGGGCCTTTTGGTTGCAATGGCTGTTGAGTTTTGAAACATTAATATTGAGATGTGTAAAGGATACTACAGCAAACACCCACACACTTGGCACTCCAAATCATCAAATAATAACTCTAAAAAATATTTACTTCCATATATTTTAACACCTTATTTTGAAATAAACACTTTTGCAAGTAGAATACATGGAAAACCTTTTTTTTAAATTTAAATATTTAAAGTTCATCAGAAGTTGAAAAACAAAATCTTCCCATAAGTCTCAAACAACCAGACTGAGATCTTAATTTTAGCCTTTTTGCCAATTGAATAATTCATGACAAAGTTTAAACTTTGCATATAGCAAAAGCAAAAGCAAAGCAATGTTGGCGTCATACCTTTCTTATACTTTCATCCCCACCCCCACAACACTAAACATTAAGCCAAAAAAAAAGCACATTTACGAAGTTATTATTTTTAACAATAAAGTTGTTTTTAAAATAAAGTTATTATTTTTAACTTTATATTTTGAAATAATTATAGGTAAACAGAAAGTTGCAAAAACCATTGCAGAGAGGTCTCATCTATTTTCCACCCAGTTTACCCTCAAGGTATCATCTTATATAACATCTCGCATAACTGGTATAATATCACAACCAGGAAATTGATGTTGGTAAAATCAATAGACAGTATTCAAATTTTACCAGGTTTACATGCACTCATTTGAGTGTGTATGGTATGTGTATAATTTCATGCAATTTCAGCATCTGCATAGGGTCAGGTAGTCATCATCACAATCAAGGAACTGTTCTATAATCACAAAGATCCTTCTTGTTACCCCTTTAGAATCATACCCATTCCTCTCCTCACCCTTCTTCCTAAGTCCCCCATCTCATCCCCAACCACTGGCAACCACAAATCTGTTCTACATCTCTTTAACGTCATTTTGAAATTGTTGTATAAATGGAATAATAAGGTAGGTAACCTTTCAAGGCTGGTTTCTTTCACCCGGTATAATTCCATTGAGATCCTTCTAAGTAGTTGCATGTGCCAATTGTTTGTTTATTTTTGTTGTGAAGTAGTGTTCCATGATATGGATGTATCATAGATTGCCTAACTATTCACCCACTGAAGAACAGTGGATTGTTTCCCGTTTTTGGCAGTTGCAAATAAAGCTGCTATGAACATTCATGTACATATTTTTGTGTGGACAGAAGTTTACATTTCTCTGGGATAAATGCCCAGGAGTGTCATTGTTTGGTTGTATAGTGAGTATATGTTTAGATTTTTTAAAAACTGCCAAACTCTTTTCCAGACTGGCTGTAGCAGTTTATGTCCCCACCAGCAAAGTATGAGTAATGGAGTTTCTTTGCATCCTCACCATCATTTGGTATTGTCACTATTTTCATTTTAGCTGTTTTAAATGGTGTGTGGTGGTATCACTTTCTGGTCTTAATTTGTGTTTCCCTGATGGCTGTTGATGTTGATATACATATTGCCATATGTATATCTTCTTTTGTGAAATGTTCATTCATATCTTTAGCACATTTTCTAATTTGATGGTTGTTTTTTCACTGTAGAGTTTGGAGAGTTCTTTATATATTCTAGATATGAATCCTGTCATTATGTGGTTGGCAAATATTTTCCCCATGGGTAGCTTGCTTTGTCATACTCTTAACAGAACCTTTTATAAAACAAAAAGTTATAATTTTTATAAAGTCCAATTTATTATTTTTATTTTCATTTTATGGAGCCTGATTTTTATATTATACCTAAGAACTCTTTGCTTAGCTCTAGGTTCTGGAGATTTCTTTGCATATTTTCTTCTAAAACTTCTATAGTTTTACATTCTACATTCAAATCTATGATACATATTGAGTTAATTTTTGTATAAGGTATGAGGTTTAGGTTTATTCAGCACCATTTAGTAATAAGATTCTCTTTCCTCCACTGAATTGCTTTTGCATCTTTGTCACAAATCAGTTGACCATGCGTATGTGAGTGTACTAGGCTTTCAATATCAATTTTAGAATATACACTATATATACAGAAAGCCTTGCTGGGATTTTGATAGTAATTGCATTAAATATATGGATTAATTTAGGTTAGAATTGACATCTTTAATGTGTAGAGACTTCTGATCCCATGAGCTCAGTATATCTATTTATTTATAGCTTGTTTTATTTATTTCATCAGTGCTATGTAGTTTTCAGCATGCCAGTCCTGTACATGTGTAATTAGATTTTTTTCCTAAGTATTTCACTTTTTAAAATCATTGTAAATGGTTTTGTGTGTTTACTTTGACTTTCTATGTGTTCATTGCTAGTATATAGATATTCAATTGATTTTCGTAGGTTGATCTTGTATTCTGTGACCTTGCTGAACTTCTTGGAGTTTTGTGTGATTGCTTGCAATTTCTATATAGACTATCATGTTATCTGCAAATAGGAAAAGATTGATTTCTTCCTTTCCAATCTGCATGTGTTTTATTTCTTTTTCTTGCCTTGTTGAACAGGCTAGAACTTTCATCACTCTGCTAAATAAAAGCATTGTTTAATTAATGTATAATTTAAAAATATTTTACTTTCTCAGGCAGCAAACATTGGAACTCTTTAGATAGCACTCAAATCATGTGAACCAAGACTTATTTATGCTCATGATGCCCCAATAGATCATTCAACTATATTAGAAATTCAGAATATGTTATAAGGTTTCAACATTGTCCTGACTTATTGCATGACCTTGAATCAGGTCACTCTCTAACTCTAATGTTTCAGTACATCATTTCAGAAGAGAAAAAGAACATCGTCCTACAAATATTTCAGTAAATTTTATGAGTAATAAAATTTTATTGTAAATAAAATCAAAATACCTATTCAGTTAGAAAGTTCTCTAAAATTCTAATCCGCTCATAGATTGATGGAACTCCTTACTGAAAAGTAAAAACTCAAATAGCTTTATTTTTCTTAAAAAATTACCTTTTTTTTTTTTCAGATGGAGTCTCGCTCTGTTGCCAGGCTGGAGTGCAGTGGCATGATTTCTGCCCACTGCAATCTCCGCCTCCTAGGTTCGAGCAATTCTCCTGCCTCAGTCTCCCGAGTAGCTGGGATTACAGGTGCAAGCCACCACGCCCAGCTAATTTTTGTATTTTTATTAGAGATGGCATGTTGGCCAGGATGGTCTCGATCTCTTGACCTCGTGATCCACCTGCCTCGGTCTCCCAAAATGCTGGAATTACAGGTGTGAGCCACCATGCCTGGCCAAACAATTACATTTCTGATTGTAATTGTTATATGGGGGATTAACTTATACATACATGTTAATGTTATACGTTCATGTTAATACATGAAATAGGAGACAAAAATAAAAGTTCTCATTTTAAAGAAGTCAGTTTCTAATGGAGACAAAATCTTTTGCCTATCAAAATCCTTTTCTTTAAAACACTGGGTTACTCATATCTCTTTCTATCTACCTCTTGTGTGAAGATTTCTTTAACTGTGTCTTCCTTCACGTTCCCATAGTTCATTACTTATATATCTTTATTTTTAACACTTAAGGTTTCTGTTTTCTTTTGGGGGGGGGGGCTTTGTAATTTAGCTGGTTTTTGTCTGTCTCCATTCTCTCTGTCATCACTCAAATGTATTAAGTGCTTGTTGGCCTTATCTCACTCCCAGGTCCTAACTGAGTGCCTACCACATGCAAAGAACTCAATAAATTTTGAAGCGATTTAAAACAAAATCATGACAAAGATAATGTCAAACTATCACTATTTTAAAATTTATTCTTGAACACATTCCTTTTTGCCTGTAATTTGCCTCCTTGTGTTTTCTCTAATAATAAAATTAGGTTACGTTCCTTGAACAATATCAATTGAGGAAGCCAGGAGTCCACTATCTAACTACGCTGAGAAGTTTGAGAAGTGCCTATAAATGGATTCAGTGCTGGTAGTTTGCTATCTTTAAATTCTGGGTTTACCTTTGCCTCACTCTGTCTCTCATTGATGCATGACTTTAGTTAGGTGATAAAAGGATTTTGGTGGGGATTCTGCCAAGGAGAAAAAAATATCCAAAACACCTCTACCACAGAGGAGAAGAAAGAGTCCATTAATGTGTAAAGAATAGGAAGGAGTCTCTTCCTCATGGCTTAATATTCCACCTCCTTTCCAGCATTATTTTAGCTGTGGCCTTTCTGTGTAAACCTCACTTGGTCCTCTTCCCTCACCTTCAGCCCTAAAGCCTCCTTATCCTCATTAATGCAACACATATTGGAAGGTTGTACTGGCCTAGGAGTCATGCTGGGGTCCTTTTTTTACACTTGTCCTCTCCATCTAACTAACCCCCATCCCTATTTCTAATCTGAACTAACACTCACTTGATTTCTACCTAATCCCATGTCTTGGTCTTGGGACCCATATCCTAATCTTTTCCCTGGGACTGAAATTCAGTGTTTTAACTTTAATTTGGGATTCTAAACTGCAGTTTCTCAAGGCATACTCACTTCTCTGTCTCTCAGCATCCTTATAGACTCAGGTATATCTCAAGTCCTAAGGTTCTCCACAGTAACCGTGGGTCTGGCCTGTCCTGGCTAGGCCAATTCATTTTTTCTTTCTTCAGACCACACAAGAGAGCAAAGGTTGGGGTAGAGGGATTCAAGCACATGCTTCGACCTCTCTACTACATAACATCAGCTTTCACTCCACTTCAACAACTCACTCACACAACCATTACCACTTGTCAATCTTCTTCCATGTTGTAGGCACTTTATCATATTTAACTTATTTAATCCAAAATGTTTATCCTGAGTTCTGTGTCTTGGAGAGGTGATACAAATTGCCCAAGTCTGCAAAAAAAGTGATGTTAGCAAGAAAGGTGGAATAAGGCCCTCCAAAAAGTCTTTTCTTTGTAAAAGCAACGAAAATCCTGGCATAAATTGTTAAACTTTTTCAAAACTCTAAATTAACGAAAGACAACTTCAGTCTGGAGAGTATGTGTTCAAGAAAAAGGTGAAATCTTGGTAAGAGCTGGGCACTTTGTGGCATTTTAACTTGCACTGTTTCCATTCCCCATCACTAGTTCTGTGGAAGCCTTAAAAACCAACGGCCTGCAATCACAGTGAAAACCAGCAGCCTAGGAGCCACAGGAGGGGGCAGAATGAAGCTGGAGCTTCTTTAAATCCCTTTCCCAGAGATTTGTCATTATTTGACATGTCTGGCAGCTCCACTTGCAGGGCTTGTCTCTATTTGCCCTGACTCAGAGTTCATCCAACGCAAATAGTTTTCCCTCAAGGCATTTGTTGAAAACAACCCATGGCAATTGTTTAGCATCACAGCTGCCTGAGGAAACAAATAACAAGCTAGCCACAACACTTAAAAGAAACATCTGGGAAATGAGATGAACAAAGGGGATCTGAAAAGATCTCACATGAACCTGGGAATCTTGGAGATCATGCATATATACAGAAATAGGTGTGTGGCCAGAGCTGTGTGTATGCTCAGGAAAGACCTTAGAAGGCCTAAACTCTCACCTCTGGATGACCTTGAGGCTCTGCACAAGTAGGAAGTGAAGGTTAAGGTAGAGTTGTAAACTGCCTGCCTAAATGTTTAAGGTATGCCCCAACACTCACATAAAATATAGGAGATAAGGGAGACTTACTGGTTCCAGGCATTTAGGGAAATCACTGCCCAGTCATCAGCTGACCACTAAGCTGACTGAGCAAACTCTTCAGCAGCCACACATAACAAAGAATATACAGACTTCGCAGGGTTAGTTCAAGAAAGTCACACAACAAACTTTCAGCAATAGCAAAAACAATAATAAACAGCAACAACAACAAACTCAGGAGAGGAAGGAGAATTTCATTTTCAGAGTTGCCACATTATAGTATTTAAAATGTCCAATGTTCACTAAAAATGATGAGACCCATATAAAGAAACACAAAAGAATGTTCCATTCTATAGAAGCTGTGTCTGAGGAAGTCTGAATCAGCTCAATGATACTCGAGTGTCTAAGATGGCCCTATGCACGTATCAGGAGTCTTGGTCCTGGTTGTTGGCTGGGGCACCTCAGTTCTCTTCTACAATTCCCCCTCATCCTCTGTGGTCTCTCCTTATTCATAGCTTATTTCTATGGCAGCTAGATTCCCAACAGATTCCCAGGCTCAGAAGTCATACATCACTTCCACCTCATTCTATTGGTTAAAGTAGGTCACAGGTATAGCCCAGATTCAGAAGGAGAAATAGACTCCACATCTTAAAGGGAGGAATGGTGAAGTCACATTGCAGAATATGAGATAGGAGGGATTATTGGGCTCATCTCTATGCCTCCTAAAACAATGGGCCCTGGTGACTGATGAAAGAGATGGCAGAGGCTGGGTGCAGTGGCTCACACCTGTAATCCCAGCACTTTGGGAAGCTGAGGCAGGTGGATCATGAGGTCAGGAGATTGAGAACATCCTGGCCAACATGGTGAAACTCTGTCTCTACTAAAAGTACAAAAATTAGCCAGGTGCGGTGGCATGAGTCTGTAGTCCCAGCTACTCAGGAGGCTGAGGCAGGAGAATCACTTGAACCCAGGAGGTGGAGGATGCAGTGAGCCGAGATCGTGCCACTGCACTCCAGCCTGGGTGACAGAGTGAGACTCCGTCTCAAAAAAAAAAAAAGAGAGAGAGAGAGATGGTAGTCCACAGTCACACTCTGCCATCATTCCAGTCACACTCCAGAAATGACTTAACCTCTGTATTCTGTTGAAATGCACCTGCAGAGTGTGCAGGCAGTTGCAGGGAAGACACAAGCAGCAGCTGCAGGCACCTGCCCGGGGTTTCTCCAGCTAGGCTGCCCCTTGCCTGCTGCCTGCTTTGACAACTTAGTTAATTGGGTCTCCTGGCTTCTCAGTTTGTTTCAGTGCCATGTCTTGGTTTCCTGTTTCTATCTAGACTTATTGGCTTTAAGTTCCTCACTCCCTCAAAACTTAACTTCTGGGATTTGCCCTCAGTTGTACATTCTACAGTCATTAAGCAAGAGGTGCCTCAAATCTCCACCACAGGACCCAGACCAACCTGAGCTGCGCTGAGATACCTCTGGGTGTACCTTTTTAGGGAAGAGGAACCCAATAGCCTTCTACGTCTGAAAAATAATGATGATCAGATGTGAACTCTGAACTCACCTTCCTTTCATTTTCTTATTGGTCTCCATCTATCCTCACTTATTTTGATCTAACTAAGGAAGAATGTGCCTCTTTCTTTTCAAGACCAACTTATGCTCTTGATTCAATTTCCACACACTCACCTGTTGCAGGATCTCAATAGTCTCTTCTCCCTTCTATGTTCTTTTTCTTTCCAGCTTTGTACAGCCGGATGGCTCTGCACAGCCAGTAAACAGGATGAAGTCTCTCCCAGCCATCCCACTCCCACAGACCAAGAATATTCTTAGATTTCTACTTTGATTTACCACATAAGTCCTTGAGAGGAGAAGCCACACACCCTAATTCTGTTCTGGTTTTTATCCAGGTGGTTACCTTCCTTCTTTATGATTCCACCAAGACAATTCCTGAAAGCAGCCTTTCTGCGGGTCCCATTTTACCAGACCTCTTTCAGCTTATGACAAGCTGCTGTTCTCCCCTGGTGGTCCTCAGACTTCACATCACTCTCCCTTCACTTTGCCCACTCCTCAGATCATGGTTTCAGGCTGTATTTCACAATAGAATCATTGGGGAGTTTTTATAACTTGCCTATACCTGGGCCCCACTTTAGAAATTCTGATTCATCTAGGGGAAAATCCAGGCCAGTCACACTTCTTATAAATCACCCAGTCGGTCCTAATGTTTTCTAGGTTTTCTCAAGATTCTACCCCTAGTTCTCTTTTCTTCTTATTTTCTCCAACATCTACAGGCAATTTTATCAACTTACATGGCGTCAACTTTTCTTAGAACCTCTAGTTATTTCTAAGTTTCTAAATCTCCAGACCTGAGTTTCCAACCTTCTGTTGGGTACATCCCTCTGCATATTCTGCACTGACTTAAACATGATTCTTTCCTGAACAGACTTATTATCTTTCCTTCCAAATCCGTTGTTGTTCTTTTTCGTTTCTCTCTGTCTCTGAACAGTATTATCAACTACCCATAAACTAAGCAGAAAACCTTAGTCAACCTTGATTACACCCCCATTACATGCTAACAACTGCTTACTTACCTAGCGCTAGCTCTTAACTATGAAACATCATGGCTTTACACTCAAGCACATCTCAGTTAAATTGCAGCCCCATCACCCCTCACTCATGAACTATGTTACTGTGTCACTAACTTTACATCTCTAAGACTCTACAGAATGGGCACAATTATGCTATCGTGCAGTGTTATTCTGAAGAGTAAATAAAATAAGGCATTTAAAATGCCTCTCATAGTAAATGACAGTTGTGGCCTTTGACCACTCTTCCTCCCACAGTAACTGAGTTCGAGCCATTATCCTTTCTTTTTTGGGCAAAGTGATATATCTCCTCCTGCTTTGTCTCAGAGGTATCTTTATAAAATGCAGATCTGATCACATCACATACCACTCAGAAGACTTCAGTGGTCCCACCATTCTCCTAAAGCATAGGAACCAAGCACTGAAGAACCAGTGACAGCAGGGTGAGTAGATTGGGAGATCTGATCACATCACATACCACTCAGAAGACTTCAGTGGCCCCACCATTCTCCTAAAGCATAGGAACCAAGCACTGAAGAGCCAGTGACAGCAGGGTGAGTAGATTGGGAAGATTTAGACTTCCATGAACTTGAGCAGTGCCCATCCATTTTGCACCTCTATGTAAAATGCTACATGAATGCCACTTCATATTCAGATTGCTACCCCAGTCTCTTTAAGATAAGAATTCTAAGGCCACTACTTGCCAACTGGGAAGGTTTTCTTGTCATCCCACTCTTACTTTCTATGTATTGCCCCTCCGTGATCACAGTTTCAGAAGCAGCTGTACAGGCAAAATTCTTGACTCTAGAAGAGGTCAAAACTTCAATAGGACAAGTTGATCACACTCCAGAGAGGGTGGGAACATGGTAACACAAGTAGCTATTCACTTATTTATTTATTTTTATTAAATACTATTCATACACATCTCTAATAACAGCTGCCTCCTTGGTTAGTGTGACAGGCAGAAGCAGGGCAAATGTCAAACTACCAATGATAGTGACAATTCAGTGGGCCCACCATTCACTAAGTGCTTAAAATTCTTTTGCATAATTATGCACATCTCTCTTTAAAAACTGTGTACATATTAGTTTTAGCACAACTAATGATAGCTTTTCTGACATAGGACGTCTTTCATTTTTTAATAAATTGCTATTTTTTTATTTTTTTATTATGGGTTTTGGAATGAAGATTGATTTTTGAACCGTTTTGGGGAGATAATAGCTGACTTTTGTGCTGCTGTGCCATTGCATAGCTCAAATTTCAATAATTAAATATAAACATGCTCCCTCAAAAGTACAGTCACATAAAATATGGCAGTGCTTCATTAATAATCGATTTACAGAATCTCTCACTGTGGAAACGGCAGCCTCCTGAAGCTGTCATGACACTGTCAGTGTTACTAAAGCAGGTAAGAATTAGTTCTTGAGCTCCAGAGTCACAAATTGTCATGGTTTCCTTGGAGACTTAACGCACTGTATCTACAGAACTGAAGTTTCCAAATTAGAGGGGAGTCTCCAGAAATTAATCAGGCTTAATTGAAAAACTTTCAGCTCAGTCCTAGGGAGGAATCCATAAAGAATTGCTAGTGAGGGGGTGACAATAGGTGACATGCTTCCAGCAGGGTGGAGGTGGTCAATGTGTGGGCCTGTGAATTACGTGGCAGCAGAGCCAGGGCCACAGCAGCCTGGTTAGCAATGCTAAGGAGACTGACAGAAGCAGGACTGGCTCTCATTATTAATGAGTCACCCCATATGAAAAGCCTCCTGTATTTCTCAACAAATAATCGCTAAGTCACAAGGCAGAAGGCTACCCTGGAAAGAAGAGACAAAGACAGTGCAAGTCATATTTTTTTAAAGAGGGCATATAATGATTCTGGTTCTTCTTCTTTTCATGTTATTTTCTTTGTGAACCAAAAAAGTTGGTGCCCTTTTCATAATTTTAGAATTCTGCATTATCTTCTTGGATGCTTCTAATGGGACGGCACTTCACCCGCCCCCTTTTTCCCATACTTTTTTTAGTATCCCTTGTAGGAGAGGCTTTTGTTTTGTTTTGTTTTTTTGTTTTTTGGTGTTTTTTTTTTTTGAGACAGAGTCTCTGTCGCCAGGCTGGAGTGCAATGGCACCATCTTGGCTCACTGCAAACTCTTCCTCCGCCTTGTGGGGTCAAGAGATTCTCCTGCCTCAGCCTCCTGAGTAGCTGGGACTACAGGCACGTGCCACCACGCCTGGCTAATTTTTGTATTTTTAGTAGAGATGGGGTTTTACCATGTTGGCCAGGATGGTCTCGATCTCTTGACCTCGTGATCCACCCGCTTGGCCTTCCAAGGTGGTGGGATTACAGGCGTGAGCCACTGCGCCCGGCTGAGAGGCATACATTTACAGGAGAGCTTTGAAACGACTTTAACGCAAGATGCTTATGTATAAACCCCCACTGCCCCTTGCTGGGAGGAGGAAGCCAGAATCCCAGGAATGAAAGGGAGCAAGAAGGAATATAATTTATGAGCACAAAGTAACTGCATATAAGACTGTAGCAATTTCTGATGCATTGCAACAACAACAAAATAAATAATAAAATAAGATGACAACAGAACGTGCTAATATGAGAAGATGAAGCCACCTCCAAAACCTCACGTTCTTTAGAAAAATGCATTTGTCTGAAAGGCACAGCAGCTACTGGATCGCTAGCTGCATTTTTCACTAAATGTAACTTTTAACTTTACCTACTTATAACTACCAGTACTAGGTAACAAAACATGGGAAATATGGACTCGTAATGCCCTGCATTTCTATAAACTAGAGTTTATAAGCTCTGTTGCATCTGGAAGTTGTTACCAGGTACAACTTTTTACCACAATGATTCTTCTTTACTCACTAACCATGAAAGCTGATTTCGTGTAGAAAATGAGGCATACTATGTGCATGATTTTATTTAGATTTACTCATTTCTTTATGAAAGATGATTCAATTACATCTTATAATACTATTCCCTTGAGCAAGTAAAAATGGCTATTATGAATCCCTGTTTCCATGATTTCCGTTTATTAGTGTTTATTTCATGCTCACTGAGGGGCACAAGTGGTTAAGATTTCGAGCCTTGGAACCAGACAGATACGGAGTTCAAATGATGGATGACTTCAGTTGTGCGGTTAGAGGCAAGTCTCTAGGACTCAGTTTTCTCATCTGAAAATGGGGTAATAGTTACTACTTCAAAGGATTGTTATCGGAACTGATTGAGATAATGTCAGTTAATAGAGAATTTAGCATACACACTGCACATAATGAGAACTATTTAATGTTTAGCTGACAATATTTTACATTTGTGACTTACTTGTATTTAATATTTACAGTGTTCACTAATCAATTCTTTGTAGGTTTAAAAACTTACTATCAATAATGTGCTAATTTAGGTTACTTTCATTTATTAAGCTGAATTTTGACTAAATTATGCTATTTTAATTCAATTAAACTTTATAAATTACATACATCTTTTCCAAATGTTTCCCCCCAAAAAAACAATATATTCTAAGGTCGAGCTAGCCCTAACTGTGCCAATGTGCAGTTTATTGAATGCCATGTAGACTAAATTACCTTCACAGTTTGAACTTTGCCAATATAACAACAAAAATTTACTGCTATGTTCCAGGAACTCTATGCTAGACTTCATAAATGTTTTGTAACATGTACTTGTCAAACCATCATCATCATTATTATAGAATTATTCTAAAATGAAATAAAAACAATATATCAAATTTTTCCCCTTAGATTTTTTATTAAAGTCCAGGGCAAATTTAAGTCACGCAACTTTTGTTTGTCTATTCTATTCTAATACCCTGGGATATGTTCATTTCCCAAACATATGCATTTTGCCTTTGTAGATAAATAGCTGAGTATATTTGTTTCCAACGTGGCTCGAAGCCATACCCTTCTAAGACTTCCAAGGTTACTTGGGTAGTAAACAGTTAACTTTAAAGATACTGATCTGTTTTTTGCAGGATAACTTTTGTAACATTCTGATGGTACTTAAATGGTCACATACTCTAACATATTCTAGGAAGTTTTACGTGGCTGAGAAATAAATCGTTGATAATATTTCATGCTCTGTTATTTTTGAATTTATTCATTGCTCTATATATTTGCTAGTGCCTTCATACATTGTTTTTAACATTGTAATATCATCTTTCCTGGAGGTTTGAAATGATGAATCATTGGTGTTAAAGTCCTTTTTGAGCATAACACTTTGGTTACTGTATGGTAAGACTCAGAGCCAGAAGAAAGTCTTGAGCTGCCTAGGTGTGGTCAGTATCTGAAGGGGAAGTAACCCGAAGAATCAAAAAAGTGGCTTTAATCAGCTGGTGCTGAAAACAACAACAACAACAAAAACAAAAAACAAAAAACAAAACACCTAATGTTTATTACTAACAAAGCTTCATTTGCAATTACCACAAAGGAAATAACCTGAATCCAGTTCACGTGACTGACTACTGGGGCAATCTCTCTTTTCTTGACTACATAAATACAAGACAGGAGGCTCCAAACTGTTGACTTCAAAACCATAAAATTAAAGAATTTTAGAGCTGGAAAGGACTTAAGAAATTCCTAACATCTCTCATCATTTTACAAATAAGAGACTTAAGGCCCATCAGAACTAAGTGACCCACCCAAGGTCACGTGGGAAAGCAGGAACAAAGGTTTGAGGATTCCTACTCACTGAACTGGAATTTTTTATCTTGAAATATTGAAATCCAGGCTGGGTGCAGTAGCTCATGCCTGTAATCCCGGCACTTTGGGAGGCCGAGATGGGCGGATCACCAGGTCAGGAGATCGAGACCATCCTGGCTAACACAGTGAAACCCCATCTCTACTAAAAATACAAAAAATTAGCCGGGTGCGGTGATGGGTGCCTGTAGTCCCAGCTACTTGGGAGGCTGAGGCAGGAGAATGGTGTGAACCTGGGAGGTGGAGCTTGCAGTGAGTTGAGATCCTGCCACTGCACTCTAGCCTGGGTGACACAGCAAGACTCTGCCTCAAAAAAAAAAAAAAGAAATATTGAAATCCGGGTAAATTGGACATACAGTGATGGGTGAAATCAAAGACATGGTTTTGCAAAGTTAAACTTCTGTATTAACAAAATGACATTTAGCAATGTTTTCAATAAAACATTGTAGTAAGAAATATGTTTCACACTAAATGTGATAAAATTACTAGTTAAAACGTTTTGATTTTTTATCTTCCTGTGCTGCATATTCACTTGCCCTCTCTATCTTTCTTTACTTCTCTGGAGAATGTAACTTTTGTTGTAGGTCATTCTGTAAGGAAATTATTGGCATATATAACTTCTGAGTTGCTTAATTCCCTTGGGAATATTTCCAGTACTTCTAGATCAAAGCATATAAATGTTTGGGGAGAGAAATCCATGAACAAGATCCCAAGATCAAAGATGATAAACATTGGCTTCTCATAAGGATTATGACTTGCTCAGGATGCCCTCCTCATCTTCGCAGGTGGGAATTCACCATTCATATCCAATGCCTGCCTATTCTTCTTCCTATTCTTGGAATAAAAACTCTTAGCTAAGCCTGTCTTCCTCTTCTACATTTCTCCTTTGGAGAACTCACACGGCCTGACAATGATCAACTTTGTACAGGCGATTTGCAAATCTGTGTTATTACTTGCACCTTTCCCAACTCGGTTTTATATTCTCAATGGCTGGCAATTTCCAGATATCCCTGGCCTCTCAAACTTTAATATGTCTAATGTCAAAGGTTATCTCTTCTTTCAAATCAACTTTTTCTCCTGCCTTACCTATTTATGAAAATGACTCATCCATGCAATTGTTCAAATAATTTTGGAATTACTATTATATGCCAGAATCCGAGTTGGGTACCGGGGATCCAAAGGGAACAATTCAGTTCCAGTCCATGCTCCTGGGGAAAACAGGGGTGGATAGAGGCAAATAAGCAGCACTTACAACACACGAGGTAGGTGCCAAGCTAAGGGAAGTGATATGAGAGGCCTTCTTTTCCCTGATAATTGGTCTTAATATCTTTTAGTGATCTTAGACTGAGCCCTTTATGTCTGTCTTCCCCTACATTTACTGAGCAAGGTACTTTCAGGCATTGCCAACTTTTCATTTTCACAATCCCTGTGGCAAATTAAATATTTGCCACAAATTCTTTGACAATCTTTCCAGTGAGAAGTGGGGTATAACTCCTCTCTCCTTGAATCTGAGCAGATCACAATAAATGTGCTGTTCTGGAGCTTTAGAAGCCAGGTCATAAGAAGCCTTGTAGCTCTCCCAAAGTCCAGCTGCCACTCTGTGAAAAGCCCAAGCCACATGGAGAAGCCATGTGGAGGTGCTCCAGTTAAGCTGAGCTTCCAGAAGACCGCCGCCATGAACTGCACAATGGGAATGAACTATATCAGAGATAACGGCAAGGAAAGGGATGGACGAGAGGAATTTAAGGTTAAGCCGTAAGTAGCAATAGGGACAAGATGGCAGGTGCAGCATGGCTGGAGTTCTACTACTGAAATGCAGAGCTCCTCTCTATCCAGAAATAACTCCTGGGCACTTCCCAATTTTAAACTTAAAAATTTAGGGACATTTATAGACTAAATGAGTGTGTTCTCACAAGTCTCTAGTGTACCCATCATCATAACAATAGCAGTCAACTTTTATAAAGCACTTGTTCCATGTCGGGTACGTACATTTATCATTATTAGTAAGCACTTCATGTTCAATAACCCATTTAGCCTCCACTAAACTTAGATATACAATTTTTACCTCATCTTACCAGTGAGGAAACTGAGGTTCAAAGAAGTTAAGAGTCATATTTCCAAACCCACACAAATGCATGTGGCTAACTCAAGATTCCAGTTGAGGCATGCCAAACTCGAGTTTTTTCTCCTCGCAATGATGCCTCATTAGGTCCTGCTGGAAGCTGAGGGCCCTCACCACCTGCTGCTGTGTTCAGCTGTGTGTCTACACAAGAGTGGATGGTGGTACCTGCAACAGGAACACTCTGCTTGGCCACTGTGTAACCAGGCCAGAAGCTCAGGCCCAAGCACAGAATTCAGGCCATCGTTTCTTAGGGGCACTTGATTTAAAAAGTGTCCATACACAGTAACCTAGGGAAAAGATGAGGGGGTCCTGCAGCTTTCACCCCATAGAGAAAAATGCTTTTAGTTTTCTTTCACAGGAATGTCTGAAGGTAACAGGCATAGAGAAGAATCTTCCTGCAAGCGTGTTTGTGTGTAGTGAACAATGATTCCTCACATTTGCATAGTATTTGATAGTTTGTAAAGCCCTTACCTATAAATCTTCTCTTTGACCCTCAGAAGTCTTCTGTGAAGTACAGGACGGGCCTTGTTATCACTGTTTTAGAAAAATGATTACAACTGTGAAATGGGGATAATGTCTACATTCCTCTCTATGAAAATTAAGTATTAATAACATCATTTGATAGGTCATAGTTTAAAGCATGAAAAAAACTATGTGATAAATAGTCATTGCAGAGGAGTAAACAAGGCTCAAAAAGGTTTGATGATTGGCCCAAGATTATCCCAGGACTTAATGGCAGAGGCCTAGGACCCATGTGGCTCTAGTTTTTATCCAGGGCTAGTTCTTGCTTAGTTTAAGCAGGTCCAGAAAATAAATAAGATTATATAGTCCCCTGAAGGTGGGAAGCTCATCTCACTATTCCTTCAATCCCTAACTCAAGACCTGGCACATAATAAAAGCTTTTTAAATGTTGCTGAAATGATTGTAATTGGAAATTGAAGTCCAGGGATTTCTGCTTTTCTCCACAAGCCACCCTCAACTTTATTCTCTTTGCTCACCTCACCTTTAGAAGTTTCATTCAATCTTCAGATGTTGTTCTGGCGCCCATCAGAACTCAAGATATATTTTGCCACAGAATGATGGGAATTAGGTGTTGAAACTAAAATCTTTTCAACCATTTGCAGCACACAATTCTGTATATCAGAAGCATTAGGTGATATTTTCTTTAGCCTGAGAACTAAACACAGTTAACAAATACTTATTAAGGATTTATTATGTCCTAGATATTATATTCTTCTTCATGGAAAAATAATTTGCATTTCTATTTAACATTTAAAAATATATTCTGAAAACTAAAGTTGGATATTGTCTACATTAAAAGAGAAAAGAGAAGACAACATTAAAGGAAGTTAGTGGCAACTTAATTCCCTTCTCTTCCTAGTACTTAGGAATTCTCCCACGTGAAAGCCTCACACCCCTCAAGAAACTCTATGCCCTAGCTCGGTAGTCCTCAAAGTGTGGTTCCTGGACCAGTATCACAACACCAACCAACTAGTTAGAAGTGCAAACTTTCACCTATCACAGCTGAGTAAGAAAGTCTGCAGTTGGGCCCCCGCAATCTGTGGTTTAACATGCCCTCCAGGTGCTTCTGATTGGGGCTTAAGTTTGAGAATCCCTGAAAATGGTCTGGAAGTACTAATACCAGTATGCCCTTTGATACATTAACTGGTCCATCAGTGGTCTGGAACAATACATGTGCTTGTCTAGGTCCCCAAGCAAAGGTAATGGCTGAGAAATGGCAACAATTTAGCTTGCTGTGCTATAAAATTAAATTTAAAGTACCACATTAATAGCAAGGATTATGTCTTACGAAACACTGCACAAACTGCAGGAACTCTCAGTCACATAAATGTCAGTGTAATAGTAATAAAGCAACAGTGTTTAATCCACTCTTACCTTACAGATTTTTCAGCCTCTTTTATTATGAAAGACTCATATTTTTATTTTTCTTCCTTTATCTATTTTTAACCCATCCATTCTTTCATAATTTTATTCAAAATCACATTATTAAAAATATGCCTATGTGTTTCATGAGTATCAGATGGAATGAAAGTTTTATGGACATTTTGCTATACCTTGGTGAGGTCGGCATGGGAAGTTGTGAAAACTTTCTCAAATCTTTAGTTAAACTCTATTATGGATTAATTTTCTCCTGGGGATTGCCAAGGAAAATCTACATGTTATTTCACTCATTAAAATTCCTTTTACTGATATCTAAATGGCTAATTCTCTACCTAGCTACAAGGGATATGAAATCCCCAAATTTGATCAAAGTTAATCAAAACAGAGGTGTGTGACTCATTCAAAAGACAAAGCATGCCAATTAAAAATGTGCCAAAAGAAGACACACGGATGAAGCTGCTGGAGGCCACTCTAACTTGTGTTATGATCATTTAAAAGGGATTTTAAATGACTATTTACATTAGTATTCAATCAAAGGCACCCTCTATGACAGCCCCCGCATTACACAGAATATTTATCTGGTGCTGAGATGCAGAGCACCTACAGGCTTTCCAGCCAGTCGACGGCTGGATTGCATTTGACCTTTCATTAAATGGCAAGTCTATAATCATATTTAGTATGGATGCCAGCCATAGATTATAAATAAGAAATAACCAAAGGGAAGGACAACTGGGTTATATTTGGTGTGAGCCTCTTGATTGTGTCACCATTGTTTGAGACATGACTGGAATGGCAAAAAGGGAAGAATTTACATGCACTATTTGGGGTCATCAGA
The DNA here is from genome assembly GCF_000001405.40 of Homo sapiens. Lineage (NCBI taxonomy): Eukaryota > Metazoa > Chordata > Mammalia > Primates > Hominidae > Homo > Homo sapiens. The sequence continues at coordinate 21,046,747 of NC_000007.14, read as the reverse complement.
GGACTGATTATGATAGTGAAGCAAAATTATGCCTAGTAATTTTTAATTTCTGTTGTAAACATATGACTTCGTTTTACACTTGATCTTAGCCAAAAGGCCGAGAAGCGATATGACTTCTCTTTAAAAACCAGTGAAGCAACATACTACATATTACTAATGTTTTAAGAAATGATTTTTAAAAACTTTTCATTTATATAGCTACTTTCCTATTCCCAAATATTTGATTTAACCTACAGTACAGTTGGCCCTCGGGATCTATAGGTTCTCCATCCTTGTAATCAGCCAACTACAGAATGAAAATATTTGGGGGAAAAAACAAGAAGTAACAATACAACAATAAAAATAATACAATTTTTTTAACGCAGTAAAGCAACAAATGGTGAACTCCTTGTTATAAATCGGAAGAGCTCTGTAAAGAGGAAAATACCCCAAACTATTCTAAGATAGATGTACTTGTGGATAAAGCAGTTTTAATTAAATCTAGTCTTTTCTGCTTATCTTCTGCTAATAATTACTTGCATTTTCAGGGCCAGAAATGTCTAGCAAAGGTAAACCACATTATAGAAATGACAAGATTCCAGTTTCCAAAGTCACATAGCATGAATATTTGTAGTATCCTTTTATTTATCAGATTTCATGTGAATCTTTTTTTTAGAAAACTCTCCTTGAGGCTTGCAAATGGCTACATATTTTTAAAACCATCAATTACGCCAAAAACCTGAGAGTATGGCCATCTAATATTTAAAATAGAAGGTGAAATGGGGTAGAGGGCTCAAATGAAATTATAGTTTGCTGGGACAACTGGAGCTCCCACCTGGTTTGTCAAGATGCCCATTAGTCAGTGAACACCAATCACCTGTATAGAAAAAGAATTTCACCCATGAATCGACATAATAGAAGCCCACTCGATGGAAAACAGGTTAAAACAACTGGACATGAGAGCCCTGCCTTCGAAGCACCTGTTCGGTATGGTCCAAGAATAATATCTCTGAAAACATGAACACCTATTTTGAATATCTTCAGGCAAGAAGACCTAAAGCTACGTTAATTTAATCTCCTTTCCTAAATGTTAACAGCAGTGTGGAAATGGACGCTGTCATCCCTGTAATCAGTTGCACAGAGCACAAGGGCAGCCGTCTCTTGTGCCTCATCTGCGAGCTAATCTTTCATTTCATAGCAGATCTTTCCATATCAAACAACACAAATGACTTAATTTGCATGACAGGATTTGTAACGGGGCAAATCTAGTGTCAAAGTCGATTAAAGATTACACCAGAGAACTATCATAATCAGTCCTCTAATGAGCCTAAATAGTACATGTAAAGTCTCCCCTTTTTGCCATTCCAGTCATGTCTAAAAGGGAATGTGTTTCTTTTCATCGATGAGCCAGTCCTTTGGTTTGCACATTACGCCCTACGTTGAGCTAAAGTCATGTCAGTCTGGTTTCAGAGGGAGAGAAAGGGAAATAATAAAGCAAACATCACTTCACAAATGACATTGCTTGGTATAAGCCAACGTTTGAAGCCCTTAATTCTTCTAATCTGCAAAATAGTCAATGCTAATGGGTTTTTGCCTTTGTGAAAGCTGATGCATAGAAAGAAAAACTTTAATGAGCTGCCTGGGCCGTGTGCTTACAGATACCTGTCAAATGTCTGTCATCTTAGCTATCGCTGAGGCATTATAAAGAAAGTAAGAAGGAAGGAACGACAGTATTTGTACAAGCATTTTCATGCTAAAATGGCACAATTTTCTTCCTGTCATAATTTCATTGTATCTGAAAGTCAGAAAAGCTTAACCCTTTCCCCAGCATGTCCTGTGTAGTTGTATCACACGATCTTGGAGTGAGCGGTTTAAGAACAGCACAGTGATTGTGTAAACAGCATCTTCTGTTAAATTTGTTTTTGAAAATGGAATTACCTACATTTTTAAAATTGTGAAAACAAACTATTTGAATCAATTGCTTCAAATCAATTGCTCCCAGGGAGATCAGGAGTTTATTAAATGTAAAAGCTCCATAATGTGTGAGGCTGTCATTTGAGTCAATTCTTTCTGAGTTCTTAATTTAATATTTCTTTGTATCTTTGTACACCTAATACACATACCAGGGCTATGAGGTCAACAAACTCCCCTATCTCACCTTCTCTTTTATTCAAACAAGCGAGGAATGCAAATGTATCTTATTACGCCAGCACCTGCGAGCTCCACGAGGAGGAGGTTATATTAGCTTTATTTGGGGGAATTTATAATAACACAGCCATAAAAATGCAATGTGAGCTGAAACTTGGCAGGAATGAAAAGTCTCTAACCAGGTGTGACTTGTTTTTCCTCTTGCAAATGAAAAAGAAATCTAACAGTATAGACACATGCACACAAATACAGAACTTTTAGAGAAAAAATGGAATTTAACCCTTCAGGTTCCTCATGTGGTAGTCATTAGAGTGACAATAAAAACGTCCCGTCCTCTGATCATTTTTTTTTTTTTTTTTTGAGACGGAGTCTCGCTCTGTCGCCCAGGCCGGACTGTGGACTGCAGTGGCGCAATCTCGGCTCACTGCAAGCTCCGCTTCCCGGGTTCACGCCATTCTCCTGCCTCAGCCTCCCGAGTAGCTGGGACTACAGGTGCCCGCCACCGCGCCCGGCTAATTTTTTTGTATTTTTAGTAGAGACGGGGTTTCACCTTGTTAGCCAGGATGGTCTCGATCTCCTGACCTCATGATCCACCCGCCTCGGCCTCCCAAAGTGCTGGGATTACAGGCGTGAGCCACCGCGCCCGGCCCCTCTGATCATTTTTGTCTGCCACACCTCTTACCCCCAAATAAAGAAAGACGAAAGAAAAGAAAATGAAGTGTTTTCTAGAGGAGTTTTTTTCTAGTGGAGCATGGGTGTGTTCAGGAATGCCCTCTGGTCTTCGCTCTGACTTACTGTGGAACTAGGAAAGCTTCTGTGTTTTCACTTCTATATATTTAAAAAATCACGTCAGAATAATCTTCAGAGCTGATAATGAAATGGCAAGAATAAAATGAATATTTGTGAATAAAATAATGCTTGGTGTTCTACACCTGTGAATTTTGTAACTAGCACTGACCTGTACTAGCACAGCCCACAGAAGCCTATTTTGGCATATTACAATAGTTATGTCACTCTAGTCTGCCAATCGAACTCCAACTATGCCAAATGAGGTCGTGAGTATAAATCCCCTCGCAGGTTCCAGGCATTCATCATGGTACTTGATAATAAGATGGTCATCCTTGATTGCTCATGGCCAGGAGTCCCTAGAAGGGTCTGTGTACTCAGAATATCAGTCCCTTCCAAGAAGACACATCAAGGTGCAGCAAAGCCCAGCCCTCTTCAATTGGCCTCAAAGTGCTGTTGTAACACCCTGGGCTTTGACTCATTTGCTTTCCCTCCCTTGCTACAACCTAAAGAGAACAACTTTAATGAGCTCATTGGGCTGTGTTGTTTCCCCAAAAAAACCATTGTGACTTAAGGGAGGAAGTATTAAATGTTTATGCTGCAGGTAAAATCCAAGGGCCCTAATTTGTTCTCACTCCCCCTACTTCCTTTTCCCAGAGTAGTAAGTCAAAACAAACTCAAGCAGAGGGCAAATTTTAGTCAACTGACATTAAAATTTCAAATTAGATAAACGAAGCCAAAAGCTTTAGAATAAAGATGCCTCTAGTATTCAGTGCCTCAATGTGGCCAAAACCGGGTCTCCAATTAGACAGCTCTTAAGGTTGGGTTTATTGAAAATAAATTAGGCCAATGTTAATTTGGAAGTGAATTGTTTTAGCACCCTTTGGTAGAGATGTGTAGCTATTTTGAAAAGAAACAAATTCACTTCACCGGTATAAAAAGCATCCTCCTTGGGCCTTATTCTCATTTCTAAACAAGTAGACCTTTTAAGCTAAAAATGAAAAGCAGAACCAATTTTTGTGGCTGTGGGGTCTTTATTTATTTAACAAATATTTATGGAGGACCCTCAGTTCACCCGCTCTGAGCCAAAGAATCATGTCTCGTAACAAAACCCACCTCTGTGATACTAACAGATAAGTACCCCTCGAAGTTACAAAGCTATCTTTCTTCAAGAAACCTGGACTCTCTGTAAAAGACATGTTCTGCCCACGAAACCCTATTTATCCAGTTAAGTATAAAAATCTATTTAACAGATCAGATATCTAGAACAGTTTCAGCGTTACTGTTGTTGTTGCTTTGTCTTGTTTTTACATCGAAAGGTAATTCAGAAATCCGGGTCCACTTCCATGCCTCTCTTCATTCGATGGTGCGTGTTAAAGCACACCTACTTTATCTGGACATGTATGCATAATAATCAATTTCTACTTAAATTTCAACCTCCTATTTATCAAGATGCCCCCAGCTTCTCCCCCTCTGACCATTGTGTCTGCACTCTAGTCTTTATGCCATGTGGAAAATAGACCGCCTAGACATTAGCACACAAACTTTAATAACATACATTAGCCAAACGTGTAGTTTTCACTCAGATTTCAATCACTTTCCAATAGGAATGATTCAAAGTCCCTGCCCAATTGTTCCTGTAAGGCTCCTATATGAAGATGTGAATTAGAAACTTATAAGCCATATTGCTAAACGCTTTGCATTTTCCCACAGCAGTTGTGCACAGTTAGAAACACCACCATTTGGATTTCAGAGTGCGTTTTTCCTAAACTCGCCTTCCCCTGGAACAGTCCTCTGTGACCCAGTTGCTCTACCTCTGATCCGCTGCACCCCAGAGGCTGTCACAAGTGTCCCTCCTTCCCAGGAGTGGAACACACAATAGAGAAAAGGCCCTGGCTGGGAGGTTCAGCCGCCATTAACCCCTACCAGCTGTGCCTGTGGGGAGCCTTCTGGCCTGAATGTCCTTTCTCTGCGGCTGCCTTCATGCCACTAATCTAACCATTGTTGGGGAGGAATGCTGACAGGAGAAAAGAAATTTTTCTTGTGTCCATGCAAGTGTGTGTATCCATGTGTAAGTGAAGGAAGAGTGAAGGCTAATTTCTATAGTTGGCATGAATGGAGGGATTGCGAAAAAACCTAGTTAAAATGTGTTTACTTGCTTAAAAGCCTCAGTCAATTTAAATAATTTCAGTAGTGTGCTCTATTTTTTTTTAGGGAGGGGGGAGAAACTAGTTACTATTATAATTTTCTTTAACCCCCCTGAGATGTTTGGGCATGTTTAAGACTTTTAAAATTCACTGCCGGCAGGGGAAAAAATGAATTGAAATTCTTAAAAATACTGGCATAAAGTTACAGATGCACAGAATTACTCACTTCTAATGGACCTTAAAAAATCAGGGAAAGAGAACTGGTTATACAGGTCACATTTCCTTCAGAAAACCACTCACATTTAATGCTTACGAAAGTTTAAAAAAATCTTTGGGACTGAAATGGGAAGGGGTTTAACTTATCAACCACTTTTAATGAATCAAAAGACAGCCACTATTTCAAAAAACAAACTTTGTCTTCAATAAGCTTCACACTTCAATAAAGGAAAGTGATTGTTTCTTTACTTTTAAAGAAGACCCACGCAGACAGAGCAGACTTGAGGTGGTAAATTTGCCAACTTAGAAAGGCAGGCAGGTAATAATCATGACCATAATTCTAATGACATTGCCAAGCAAATATTGAACTTATTTGAAAAGTGTATCTATTTTCAATCTTTGAGGATTCCACTGGCTTTTTCAACGGCACTGGCATTAAAGAGAAACTATTCTTAAATTTAGTGCTCCATCTTGTCATTTGATAAAGTTCCGTAAAATACAACAGTTGGCCTATTTGGAATCAAATTAAGAATAATTCATGTAGAAATGTATTTTCTGGGTAATTAGACTGTAGTAGGGCAAATGTCTGATATAATAAAGCTCTACTTTGCATCTGTTCCTGTGTCTAGACTATGGCAATTACTGGTCCTTATAACAGCAGCAGCAAGATAATGCTCTACTCACAGGTTTCAGCCATTAAAATTCAGGATTATCTTTCTTTGCCCCTTTATTACCTCAATCATTTGATTGTGATAAAATAGATTTAATTTAATGAAGTTATACTTTTCTAAATTTGCATGCATACATTTACATAAATGGTGAGTGCAGTATCAGGTACATTTGCTTTCCAAAACATTAGAGGTAAATATCCTGGCACTCATCTCATTAAGGTGCAGTGTATTTGTTAAGCCAAAACAACTACAATAACAACGACAACAGAAACGCTCATATCTTCAAGCACTGTACCTGTTTCTTAGCCACTTCTTAGATTCTTGCACCTCCCAAGAAGGAAATCATCTTAGAGAAAAAATGAATGTTATGGCATATACATTGATGGAATAGATGAGAACAACAATGTAGTGTTAATTCCATTCATTGGCTTATTCATTCAGTCATCCATTCAACAATTATTTATTGAATTTCTCCAGTAAGGAAGAAGACACAGTGCCAGGTTGTTTGGGAGACACAAAGATAAATCCCACACAGCCTGCATTCAAGAAGTTTCCTAAAATGTAAGAATTGCTGTGTTATAGAAGTAACTATAGCATTGAGCAGAAATGTCATAATGCTGTCTGAAGGTGGTGGGTGTTCAGTTAAGTCATTGCAAAAAAAGTCTAATTCTCTCCTCCCCATATGTCTTCTTTAAAAGTAAAGAAACAATCACTTTCCTTTATTGAAGTGTGAAGTCGATCAAAGGCAAAATTTGTTTTTTGAAATAGTGGCTGTCTTCTGATTCATTAAAAGTGGCTGATAAAGTTAAACTCCTCCCCATTTCAGTCCTAAGAAATTCAGTCATAAAACTATAGCAAGAGTTTTCCTACTCTACCTCAGCCCTCCCTGTTTATATCAGTAGAGGTTCTCACAGTCAAAAGAATGTAAATCAAGCCAAACATAACCTTAAAAAATTATCCTTAGGATTTCTCCAAATTATCCCAGCTCTTTGAATATGAACTATGTCCCCAGACTCTCTTATCTTTTGTAGAAAGACTATTGGGTGCTTGGAAGACTTTAGAGTAGAGAAATCACTGAATGTTCTGAGCGTGTCTACTGCTTAGTAAATGGCAAAGTCCTTGCATAGTGGTGATGTACTTCTAGCTACAAACCTCCTTTCTCCCTTATCTAAGAGCTGTAAGAACAATGATTGCTACATGTAAGGGATTTGCTCCAATCCATTTCTCTCCTCTACATAAAGCTACACTCTTTTAATCCTAAATATTGTAGAGATAATAAGGCATTGCTTCAGAAATTTTATTTGCCTCGATCAATCAGTCAATCACCAAAGACAAGGTCTACAAATTAACCCAATACAACAAAGACCAAAAAAAAAAAAAAAAAAAAAAAAAAGAAAATATGAACAAAGCCTCCAAGAACTCTGGGATTATGTTAAATGACCAAACCTAAGAATAATCAGTGTTCTGAGGAAGAAGACAAATTTAAACATTTGGAAAACATATTTGGGGGAATAATTGAGGAAAACTTCTCCAGCCTTGCTGGAGACCTAGACTTCCAAATACAAGAAACACAAACAACACCTGGGAAATTCATTGCAAAAAGATAACTGCCTAGGCACATTGTCACCAGGTTATCTAAAGTTAAGATGAAGGAAAGAATCTTATGAGCTGTGAGACAAAAGCACCAGGTAACCTATAAAGGGAAACCTATCCGATTAACAGCAAATTTCTCAGCAGAAACCCTACAAGCTAGAAGGGATTGGGACCCTGTCTTCAGCCTCATCAAAAAAAACAATTATCAGCTAAGAATTGTGTATTCGACAAAACTAAACATCATATATGAAGGAAAGATACATCATATATAAAGGAAAAATTCAGACAAACAAATGCTGAGAGAATTCGCCACCACTAAGCCACCACTACAAGAACTGCTAAAAGGAGCTCTAAATCTTGAAACAAATCCTGGAAACACATCAAAACAGAACTCCTTTAAAGCATAAATCTCACAGGACCTATAAAATAAAAATACAATTTAAAAAGCAAAAACAAAAAACAAATAACGTGATGAATGGAATGGAATGGTACCTCACCTCTGAATACTAACATTGAATGTAAATGGCCTAAATGCTCCACTTAAAAGATACAGAACTGCAGAATGGATAAGAATTCACCAAGCAACTAACTGCTGCCTTCAAGAGACTCACCTAACACATAGGGACTCACATAAACTTAAGTAAAGGGGTGGAAAAAGGCATTTCATGCAAATGGACACCAAAAACAAGCAGGAGTAGCTATTCTTATATCAGACAAAACAAACTGTAAAGCAACAGCAGTTAAAAAAGACAAAGAGGGACATTACATAAGGGTAAAAGGTCTTGTGCAACAGGAAAATATCACAGTCCTAAACATATATGCACTTAACACTGGAGCTTCCAAATTTATAAAACAATTACTAATAGACCTAAGAAATGAGACAGACAGCAACACAATAGTAGTGGGGGACTTCAATGCTCCACTGACAACAGTAGACAGGTCATCAAGACAGAAAGTCAACAAAGAAACAATGGGTTTAAACTACACCTTGGAACAAATGGACTTAACAGATGTATACAGAACATTCCATCCAGCAACCAGAGAATACACATTCTATTCAACAGTGCATGGAACTTTCTCCAAGATAGACCATATGATAGGCCACAAAACAAATCTCAATACATTTAAGAAAACTGAAATTATATCAAGGACTCCTTCAGTGGAATAAAACTGGAAATCAACTCCAAAAGGAACCTTCAAAACCAAGCAAATACGTGGAAATTAGATAACCTGCTCCTAAATGATCATTGGGTCAAAAATGAAATAAAAAATGGAAATTAAAAAATTCTTCCAACTAAATGATAATAATGACACAATCAATCAAATCCTCTGGGATACAGCTAAGGCGGTGCTAAGAGGAAAGTTCATAGCCCTAAATTCCTACATCAAAAAGACTGAAAGAGCACAAACACATTCTAAGGTAACACCTCAAGGAACTAGAGAAGCAAGAATCAACCAAACCCAAACCCAGCAGAAGAAAGAAAATAACCAAGATCAGAGCAGAACTAAATGAAATTGAAACAATGACAACAACAAAAAAAAGAGATAAATGAAACAAAAAGCTGGTTCTTTGAAAAAAATAAAATTGATAGACCATTAGCAAGATTCATCTAGAAAAGAAGAGAGAAAATCCTATTAAATTCAGTAAGAAACAAAATGGGAGATGTTACAACTGACACCACAGAAATACAAAAGATCATTCAAGGCTACTATGAATACCTTTGTGCACATAAACTTGAAAACCAAGAAAAGATGAATAAATACCTGAAAAATACAACCCTCCTAGCTTAAATCAGGAAGAATTAGATACCCAGAAGAATTAGATAACAGCAAGATTGAAATGGTAATTTTAAAATTACCAACAAAAAAAAGTCCAGGACCAGCTGGATTCACAGCAGAATTCTACCAGTCATTCAAAGAAGAATTGGTACCAATCCTATTGACACTACTCCACAAGATAGAGAAAGACGGAACCCTCCCTAATTCATTCTATGAAGCCAGCATCACCATAATACCAAAACCAGGAAAGGACATAACCAAAAAAGAAAACTATAGACTCATATCCCTGATGAACATAGATGCTAAAATCCTTAACAAAATGCTAGCTAACCAAATCCAACAACATATCAAAAAGATAATCCACCATGATCAAGTGGGTTTCATACCAGGGATGCAGGAATGGTTTAATACACACATGTCAATAAATGTGATGTACCACGTAAACAGAATTAAAAACAAAAAATCACTTGATCATCTCAATAGATGCAGAAAAAGCATTTGATAAAATCCAGCATTGCTTTATGATTAAAACTCTCAGTAAAATCGGTGGACAAGGGACATACTTCAACATAATAAAAGCCATCTATGACAAAAGCACAGCCAACATAATACTGAATGGGGAAAAGTTGAAAGCATTCCCTCTGAGAATGGAAAAAGACAAGGATGCCCACTCTCACCACTCCTCTTCAACATAGTACTGGAAGTCCTAGCCAGAGCAATCAGACAAGAGAAAGAAATAAAGGGCATCCAAATTGGTAAAGAAGAAGTCAAACTGTCACTGCTGATGATATGATCCTTTACCTCAAAAACCCCAAAGACTTCTCCAGAAAGCTCTGAGAACTGAACAAAGAATTCAGCAAAGTTTCCAAATAGAAGATTAATGTACACAAATCAGTAGCTCTCCTATGCGCCAACAGCGACCAAGCAGAGAATCAAATCAAGAACTCAACCCCTTTTACAATAGCTGCCAAAAAAAACAAAAACAAAAAAAACACTTACGAATATACCTTACCAAAGAGGAGAAAGACTTCTACAAGGAAAACTACAAAACACTGCTGAAAGAAATCATACATGACACAAACAAATGGAAACATATCCCATGCTCATGGATAGGTAGAATCAATATTGTGAAAATGACCACACTGCCAAAAGCAATCTACAAATTCAACTAAATCACCATCAAAATACCACCATTATTCTTCACAGAATTAGAAAAAAAAAATTCTAAAATTCATATGGAACCAAAAAAGAGCCTGCAAAGCAAGACTAAGCAAAAAGAACAAATCTGGAGGCATCGCACTACCTGATTTCAAGCTATACTCTAAGTCCATAGTCACGAAAACAGCATGGTACTGGTATAAAAATAGGCACATAGACCAATGGAACAGAATAGAGAACACAGAAATAAACTCACATACTTACAGCCAGCTGATCTTCGACAAAGCAACAGAAACATAAAGTGGGGAAAAGACACCCTTTTCAACAAATAGTGTTGCGATAACTGACTAGCCACCTGTAGGGGAATGAAACTGGATCCTCATCTCTCACCTTATACAAAAATCAACTCAAGATGGATTAAGGACTTAAATCTAAGACCTGAAGGTATAAACGTTCTAGAAGATAACATTGGAAAAACCCTCCTAGACGTTGGCTTAGGCAACGATTTCATGACCAAGAACCCAAAAGCAAATGCAATAAAAACAAGGATAAGTAGCTGGGACTTAATTAAACTAAAGAGCTTTTTGCACAGCAAAATGAACAGTCAGCAGAGTAAACAGACAACCCACAGAGTAGGAAAAAGTCTTCAAAATCTATACATCTGACAAAAGACTAATATCCAGAATCAACAATGAGCTCAAACAAATCAGCAAGAAAAATGCAAACAATCCCATCAAAAAGTGGGTTAAGGAGATGAATAGATAATTCTCAAAAGAAGATAGACAAATGGACAACAAACATGAAAAAATGCTCAACATCACTAATGATCACAGAAGTGCAAATCACAACCACAATGCGATACCTAACCTTACTCCTGTAAGAATGGCCATAAGCAAAGAAGCAAAAAACAGTGGATGTTTGCATGGATGTGGTGATCAGGGAACACTTTTACACTGCTGGCGGCAATGTAAACTAGTACAGCCACTATGGAAAACAGTGTGGAGATTTCTTAAAGAGCTAAAAGTAGACCCACCATTTGATCCAGCAATCCCACTACTGGGTATCTACCCAGAGGAAAAGAAGTCATTATACAAAAAAGACACTTGCACACACATGTCTATAGCAGCACGATTCGCAATTGCAAAATTGTGGAACCAGCCAGGTGCAGTGGCCCACATCTGTAATCTCAGCACTTTGAGAGGCCGAGGCATGCGAATCACCTGAGGTCAGGAGTTGGAGACCAGCCTGGCCAACATGGTGAAATCCCGTCTCTACAAAAATTAGCTGGGCATGATGGTGGGTGCCTGTAATCCCAGCTACTCAGGAGGCTGAGGTTGTAGAATCCCTTGAACCCAGGAGATGGAGGCTGCAGTGAGCTGAGATCGTGCCACTTTACTCCAGCCTAGGTGACAGAGCAAGAGTCCATCTCAAAAAAAAAAAAAAAAATCATGGAACCAACCCAAATCCCCATCAATCAACTAATGAGTGAAGAAACTGTGGTGTGTATATATATATATACATGGAATACTACTCAACCATAAAAAGAAATGAGTTAACAACATTCACAGCTACCTGGGTGAGATTGGAGACTATTACTCTAAGTGTAGTAACTCAGGAATGGAAAACCAAACATCGTATGTTCTCACTGATATGTGGGAGCTAAGTTATGAGGACGCAAAGGCATAAGAATGATACAACGGACTTTGGGGACATTAGGGGAGGGTGTGAGGGAGGCAAGGGATAAAAGACCACAAATAGGGTGCAGTGTATACTTCTTGGGTGATGGATGCGCCAAAATTGTGCACCAAAATGGGTGCACCCAAATTTGTGCTTTTAATCACAAAAGTGTTTAAACAGGCAAATAGCACATCGTGAAACATGGAAACACTATATTACAATTAACTAGTACAATAATATTCCATATAAAAATATTTGTCTATAAAAATAATGTTAAAAAATGAAAAAATGAGGACTTTCATTTTCATTATAGAATTTTATTGAAAAGAATTTAATCTTTAAGTCTTCTTTAAATCAGAAGTTGCAAACTGTATGGCAGCAGGCAGAATTCAGCCCATAGGTATGCTTTACATGTTTTTTGTTTGTTTTTGAGACAGGGTCTCACTCTGTCACCAAGGCTGGAGTGCAGTGGTGCAATCTGGGCTCACTGCAACCTCCACTTCATGGATTCAAGTGATTCTCCTGCCTCAGTCTTCAGAGGAGCTGGGATTACAGGTGCCAGCCACCATGCCCGCTAATTTTTTCTTGTATTTTTAGTAGAGGCAGGGTTTCACCAGGTTGGCCACACTGGTTTCGAACTCCTAATCTCAAGTGAGACACCTACCTCAGCCTCCCAAAGTGCTGGGATTATAGGCGTGAGCCCCTGTGCCTGGCCTATATGTGTGTTTCTAAATTAATTGCCAACAGTCAAAAATAGAATGAGTTCACATAATTCTGGCTCCTCTTGAAAAATCTGAAGGCCCTGGATCACTGGGTCCTCTGGCCCTCACTGAATTATGAGAGGTTGCAGCTTTAAGACAAGCTGTGGATTTTTCCATCACTGTTGCTGCCCTACTGCCCTAGGCTGTGGGTTTGCAAATCCTGCATTACGTAGTAAGGTCTCTTTTTGTATTTTTCTTATGATTTGAATTAGATGAATTTGTCAAGCTAATCTTCCCCAGAATATACTCACTGCTTAAAATCATTTTCAATTACATTGTTTACTCATTTGTTCTTAGAGACTCCCATTTTTCTTTTATCAGTGTTCTAATTATCAGGTTAGTAATTTCCTCCAAATTTCACTCCTCTTAATTGGTCAGCCTCTTCTTTCTTCAAAAATATATGAAGATATTCTAGAACAAACACATTTTATCTATTAAATGAATAAAAACCAATTGAAATAGATGATAAACACAAACTCATGTAGAAAATCATCAGCGAAAGGTGTATATTCAATATTAAAAGATTACAAGTTGTATGTTCAATATTAAAAGATTACAAGGCTTCATCATATTCCTCCAGCATATGTGATTTGATTACAGACACTGGATCTTGTTGGTCTAAAATACATTTGTATGAGCATGCTTTCCACCAAAGACTGGGCCACTTACATTGCGTGGGTTTAAAAGTAGGAAGATAATGCCACCCCAGCATGCACTGAATTATGCTGGAGACAGCTCTGTTTAGCATCACTTGGAAAGTCTTATGCCCACCCTACTACTTCTGGAGTTCTTCAAGCATACTCCTCTGGACATTCGTTCTTGCACTTCTCCACTTGTCCTTGTGCTTCTCCACTTGTCCTGGAATGTTCTCTCTTCAGATATTCACGTGGTTTACTTCCCCGCTTCTTTCAGTCTCTACTCAAGTGTCTTTTCTTTAGAGAGACTCTCATGCACCACTATCAAATAGCAGCCCCAGTACTATCAACCTACTTAGCCTTTGTTACGACTTTTCTCAATAACATTCATTGCTACCTGACACATAGTTAGGAATATCTGTTTCTACTTTCATGTCCCCTTTTGAATGTAATTTTGTGAAGAAAGAGACTTATTTTATCCCAGTGCCTCAAATAATGCCCATAACATTGTAGGAAATATTTGAGGAATGAATTGCTCGATAAGTCTCTAAGTTGTTGCAATTCTATTACTTCTTGTTCCAACATTGGACCTTCAAGAGAGAATTGATGACCATCCTTGTTCATTAAAAGAGACCACTACATTTCCCCACATGAGTTCACGTATGGCTGCAGGGAGAAGCCTAATAACCTAGGATGTGGGTATCTTTTCCTATTTTCTGTCTGTTTTTCCTATTTCCTAACTGTTTTCGAACTCAGTGCTTTTCACATGTCATCCTCTTCATCACGTGTGGATTACTATTCACTAAGCTACTTTTTCACAAATGTGATTTTATATGATAGTTGGGTAAAGAAAATGTTGATGCATCATTCTAACATCCTCTTTGCAGTGGTTAGCACAGAAGGGGAGAAGCGCCGCCCCCCAGACACACCCCTTCATACATACATCCCCCACTTCATCCTTTGAAGGATGGCTAGCTGGCTTCCCTCTTATCAGAATATCATGCAAGGAAAGCCAAGTGGTGAAAAAGAATGGCAAGAGAATTTCAATTCTTTTTCTAAAATACTTTAACTTGTACTTGTCTGTGCTGTAAACATATACAACCCCACCAAGGTGAAACATCAAGGATTCAATGGCTGGTTTTTCAGAAAATGTTGACACAATGGCTACATTTTGAGAAATCAAGAGCCTATTTATAAAAAGCACATCAAGCAGCAGATTCAAAGCATGCTCAGTGAAATAGCCAACCTTTTTGCCCTCCCCTGGAGCCCTTTCAGACCAGCCTAGTTTATCAGTGAGCTGAGCTGCCAGGAATATATATATATATATATATATATATATATATATATATATATATATATCAGAGGGTAAAGTAGACAACTTATTTTCATTCAAAAGTAGTCATAGCACAGAAGTAACTCTCACCCTCACTCAACTTATTCTGTCATCCTTAACTTGAGAAAATAACTTATTTTTCTCTCAAAGAAAATACTCTCTGTCACATGTTATAACTAGGCAGGCTTCTGAAGTGCTTTAGAAAAATACTATTCTGAGCATATTCAATGTACAGAGTCCTTAAACAGCTTAATACACATATAGATTACAGAAGATTTAACATATTGCTATTATATACCATTCATTTGGGACAAGACACTTACGAAGTCTGTATTTTGCTGCAATGACACATAAATTCCCAGATATGCTCTTCCACACAAAGAACTGATAAATGTATAATTAATTAAAGTAAATGTTTTAGAAGTTCCTTTAGAAAAGAGAGAAGGCATATGTCAACCAAGTAACACAGGTTTCTACGATATGTTGTGAATTGGCAGCAAAAACTCGAGTGAAAAGGAACGTTCACATCGTGTTCCCTGCAGAATTCCTTGACAGTGTGAGCACAGAGACTCAATTGTCCTCTGACATCTATGCTTTGATACTTCAGAGTCCCATTCTGGGTGGTACCATCATATAAAAGATCCACCTCATGTCAAAGCATGACTAAGTTAGAATTTCCAAAAATACTTCCCTTTCCCCCCTAATTTTCTAATTTTATGAATATGTCTACAAAAAAGAAAACTAAAAAATGTTTGAAAATGTATGAAATTATTGTAGTTGCTGATGACAAAGTGGAATATTGCCTTATTTGTTATTTCTCCAGGATGATAGCTTGTATTCCAGGAACTGGATGGTACCCACTATTTCCTGAATGTCCATGTGATATCAGAATAATCTGGATCTACAACTGCATAATTTCTGTCCAGTTGCATGCATTGAATAGATACCTTTTACATTATGCATCCATACCAGGTACCCCATAGAAATATGATATTTTAAAAAGTAAGGTTGGCTGTCAGTTTTCAAAGAAAAGATTTTAAAACCTTCTGCTTCAAAGAAGAGTGTAAACCTTTGGAAGACTGGTATCTTTTAGAAACCATGAAGTCTAAGAAAGAAAAAAAATACAACTATTAAAATGCACATACACTGCTGGCTGGCACTGTTGTGACAGCCAGCAGTATCAGCGTCAGTCAATTATCTTCACAAATGCCTCTTGTGCTAATGAGCACTCACAAAAATCAGCAGACTTTTCTGGCAAGGAGAAAAGATCAGTTTCATTGCTTGCAGAACTAATTCAGGGTACAAAAGTGAAGGCTCCGCCATCGCTGCCTCTTTTACTGCTCCTTTTGTAAAGGCTTTTGATGTGCACTGAAGAGTTGGGCCTGTGTTTGGGCCTCTCCATCTCCAGTTCATTGCCTGCCATTAACATACATATCCATATGAAAAGTTCGCTAAGTCACTAACAGCTGTCCAGAAAAGAGTTTGAGACGGAAGGCGAAAAAGGACCTATTCCTTCTCAAAATGCTGACAATACTATTTAGCCCCTTTTTGGCAATGATATACCTTACTTTTTAAAGCCGCCTTTCACTCAAAAAGGGACTAGGCATAATACAACATTCAAACACATAGTGATTTTCATTTTGAAACAGTCATTTGCTGTATTCAGAGGAAAAAAAGTCTATAGTTACCAGATGCAAAGGAAATCCATCATTCAGGATACATATGTATATGGCAGACACACATACACACACACACACACACACACACACACACACGCTCATTCTACATAGTTTTTGCAGGACATTAAATAACCTCACATCTTCCATTTAACCCAGAGGAAAACCCCCTGCAGCAGATGCTCATGAGTGGTTTTATGCCCATTGCCTTCTTCAATTTATGGGACTAACAGTTATCTATGGTCGATTTGTTATCAATGGATAGTATGTTACTGAAAAAAATACTATCAGAACTGTGCCATAAATTTTTAAAATTTTTTGTAATACTTTCTCCATAGAGGGGTTGATTAAAAAAATCTCCTTTCAGGAAAAAAAAAAAAAAGACAAACTGTAGACATTTGTAGATCATGGTTTTGAAATAGGGGATTTGTATTATACATTTTCAAGTTTGAAAATACCGTTCCAGATAGCTACAGTATTGGAAAATTTTGCCGTAACATCCATGGTAAATATTTTCTAAAGAAAGTGATAAGGATCAGCAAATACTCATCTTACAAGAGGGAAATAGTTAACTTTCCTTTAAGAAGATGCTTAGGCCAGAGAGGTAAGAAATAAACAGATTTTAAATAGATCAAAAGGGGTGCTTCCCAATCATTTGGTCTGGGGCTTAGTTTTGTCAAACTCAGAAAGAAAGCATGTGATGGATAAATGCTTTTCCTCCCAACCCCGGGAGTTCATGACCCTGAGGCCATCTCACCGCACATATTGCACCCAACTAGGCCTGAGCTTGAAAATGAGGGGAGGCGAATCTGTCAATTACCGAGGTTTAACATTGTTTACAAGAAGGACATTTTTTCTTTCTCTTTCTCTTTCCCTTCCTTCCTTTCTTTCTTCTTTCTAAATCAGAATCAAAATGCTAAGGGAAATCGACTAGCTCCCAATTCCGTAAAGATTTTATTCCTGTAAGGATCCTCCCACCATGCAAAAACAGCTTGTGCTGTATAAAAACCAAGACTGTAATCCACTTGTTGCTTTCCCCGCCCTTTCCCCCGCAGTTTCTGGTCTCTTGACAGCAGCATCTCTCCCAGATCAGTCACTAAAAATCTTTAACTTTGCCTATTTTGATCTGAAAATTAAAGCTTATTTATTATGCATCCTGTTTGTTGTCCTTGAAGAACCCCAGCATTCATTTAAAGGGGTCCAGAATGACTTCTTAAACACATTTCTCTCTTTGCTGCAATTAAACAAAGTGGAGCTGTGATTAGTCCTCCACAGGGGGGAAAGAAAAAGACACCCTTGAATCAAAATGCGGGGACCTGGCTGGGCATTATTGCCTCACAATGCAGGAGTTTATTGCTGAAACCTGCTTATCCCAGAGCTCTGCACTCCATGGGAACTTCAGTCAGGTGGAAAGTTATTCTCTTCTCTGCAGCTTGAAGTATCGTAAGACCCGCTAAAACCCCTAAAGCTCTTCCTAGTAACTGAGACATTTAGGATAATCTTTATGAGAGTTTTGCATGAGCTTCTGCTTTTTGTGCACTTAGAAGGAGAGTTAATGATGAGCTTTCACTGGCTTCTCCCTTTATTTTTTATCTATTTATTTTTAAATCTAAGCCAAAAAGCGCCTGTTTAAGTTAAGTACCACCTCCCTCCAGCCCTTGGGAAACCACTCAAGAGGGCTTTGCTTGGCTCTGTGTTCATGACACATAATGAAAACAATTTTACGCTGTGGAGGGAAGTATTGAGCAATTACTGATGTAACAGCCACCTGCAGTAGCGAGCCCTGGCTGCAGCATGGCGCGGTTCATGAATATTTTATGGTGTGATGTTATTTTGAATGGCCGGGGCAGGTGAAGGAGGCGAGGGTGTAATAAGTAACTCTGCTGGAGGCTGTGTAGCTGCTGTTTCCCCGCCGAGCCCACAGTGGAACACCAAGAAGCATCCTGACCCCGCCTGGATCGAGGCGAGGGCAGCTGAGGCAAGAGGCTATGACAAGTCACGGTGGGCACCCTTTACAAACCCTTGTCTGCCGATTTTACACACGATGTCCGGCTTAAAAAGCCCTGGCATCAATCTTGTCTGATTTAATTTGATAAATTAAGTGTGGATAAGGATTAAATGAGAATTTTGTAATGGAGAAAACTTGTTCTTACTCTTTAATCCAGTTAAGATAGTATGAGAGAAACCCTATAAAATCTAAAGCGGATGCTAGAGAAAGCAAAGTTAAAAAAAAAAAGAGGGAGAGAATTGCCTTTTCACTTTGGTAACATTATGTTCACATAGAAGTTGAATGAATGTGCTACTTTTTTTGTTTCTGGCATTTGCATGTGAAGTACACGCAACCCAGATACACACATACCTACCATCACACGTGTATTTTATGGAGGGCCTAGAAATACAGGAGGGAAATAAGAATTGTAACAAGTTTTATGTAATAAAATATGGCTATTGAGATCATTTATGAATAGGTGGAATATTTTGAGTATCACTTTCTTTTGCAAATGTTATTTTCCAAACAGGAAATGTCAAGATTTAAACTGAGTATCATAGCATAAAGAATACATTTCTAGCATTTCAGACTTGGTGATTCTTCCTGCTGGCATACTTAAGATTTCAGGCACAAAAATCATATTGTATATGACCAAGATATAAACAGTCTAAAAATTATTTTACATGACAGTAATATGTCTATAGAATGGAGCTATATAAAGAAATACTGGTTATCTAGACAGTTGATGGAAATTCAAAACAATGCCATGTAAGACTCCATTAAAATTCTTTTTTTAATTTGTAATTTTTTTAAAAGAATGATAGAGTGTGCTTTTGAGAAAGCGCCTAAGAAGGTTGTACATTAGACTTCAGGCTGATTATCTTTTCCATGGAGAACATGCTTAGAAAAAGATACAAAAGATTTACAGACTCCTTGGGCATAAATTGGCATAGAGAACAGAAATTCTGAACAGAAGCACAGGAGGAAAATGTAGCCGAGTCGACATTCTGAGAATAGTGTGGGGCAATAGAGGAATTGCCAGAGTGACAATTTGAAGATTATAAAAGATACTCTTTAATTTTTTGTAAGCGATAGGTTTATAGGTATGCTCATAACATTTCATAACATTAATTTAGAGCTTGTACCAGAATGAAATAATGTGGGGATATGTTAAAATTTTCACTTTAACATTCACCTTGTAGTAAAATATTGAAGTATCACTCCTTCCAGTGGTTGACAATCCCATCTGCACTTCAAAAATTATAAAATCAGATGCCAAAGATGATAAGTGTGTATACAATCTGGGCATGAGCCACTTTATCAAATGGCAGTACGTTACCTAAATTCTAATATTATTTAGTATTGGCATTATTATCTAATGTGTCCGTTGGAAGAATTATCTCAGCTGGCTTGACTATGCCATTTATTGTCTATACATAAACTACAATGACAGTTCTTTTTAAATATTGATAGTTTTCATTAACAAAGAGGAAACGATGACATCAGATGATCTTGAGAAAACATGTCATTGTGAGCCACCTCTCTCCACAAATTGTTGAATTCAAGAGCAATGCAATAAAATACCAAATAGTGTTAATACCAGTAATAGTGATAGAAATTAACATATATTCAAGAAACTCCAAAATATTTAGTTTAATCTGACTACATGTACTTTTTCTGCTTCATAATATATGTTAAGGTACCCTGATTAACAATTTTATAAAGATCAAATTATAAACATGCAGTAAATTTTAGTTTCTTATAATTAGATTTTTACTTTAAGAGATGTTAAACTCTGTATGTAAACGACATTATTTAAAAGCCACCCTTGTGAAAGAAAATTGCTGTTTGACAATTCTATAGAATATTCAAGAAAGGTAATTACACTGCTCTGGTTGTTAAAGATGCAGGTGTTGAAAAAAGTCACTGTTTCTGCTTTTGCAAAAACTCCAATGAGAAAGAGAAAAGAGACATGATGACATGACTCGATTGCCAAATCTTTATCATCAGAATATTGGTTCGCATTGTCTCCTTCTCCTCTCACAAGTAATACAATAATAATCCAAAAAAAAAAAAAAAAAAAAAAATCCCAGCCAATCCACCAAGGCTGAGCAGCTGTGATGAAAGAAAGCAGATATCTCTTTAAAATTCACAGGGGATCTGTCTGCTGTTTTCAAATCAGATATTGAAATAAAATGTCAACAATAAAACATGGGACCATTTTAAAAAATCAAAGGCTATATAGTAAAAGAGGGACAAAAAATGAACCACAGTAAAAATTTGTCATGATTGACCCAATTTCACAGAAATGCTTAAGTCTTTTTTGCTCATTTATTTACTCAAATACAGTTAACACTCAGATGCAAATGTAATTTTGAAATTACAAATTTAATTAAACCGTGAACTAAATTCTTTAATTCAACTTTTTTTGTCTTATAATATTAAGAAATACTGGACCTTGTGAAGCCCTAAATGTCTGAATTTTATTGAAGAGTAAGACCATTGTCATGGACTGTAGTATTTTAGACACAGAATTTACATGCATGCACATATGTGTGCTCTCACAGGCACAAACACATTCTGAGTGGCCAGTGTTATTGGAATGGATGTTCTCAGGGATATTGAATCCCTTAGCTTGACAGCAACCACAGGGCCTTTTCTGCATTTGAAAATATATAAAGTCTCTGAAAGACATTTATGTCATCATCTTTTTACATCGAATGAGGAAAGAAGTTAACAGATCATGGGTCAATAAAAATTATACTGCAAAAAGATAAGAACACAAAGGTTCTAGCTGTCGGGCACTTCGCTCTCCTCTTGGGCTTTTCCTAGTGCTTTTAGAACAGATGCTAAGTTTCATTTGAATTGAGAAAGAATAGGCAGGTGCCATAGTATTATTTTTTAAAGTCCCCAAACTATTCCCATGTTAAAAAAAAAAAAGTTTAGAAAAGAACAAAAAAGTCACACCACTTTCTCGTACCCCTACTGAAAGGACACCCAATTATTCTCATGTTCTTAAATTTACTGGAGATCGTTTGTCTCTATTCTTGTTCCCATCAGAAGGTTTCCTTTTCTACCTAGTAGCTGAAATCTCATCCCTTGTTTTCTTCTTTCTTCAAGGTCTCCAGGCACTGAGCTCCTCCATCACTTACTGCCTATCCTTTAATTGAATGTACTTACATTCTTACTTAACCCTTTCAAATGTATGCGTAGACTACAGTGCAAACGATGCCTTCCAGAGCTGTGCTGTACAGTAGCCCCTTAATACATGATCTCTGCTCCCTAGCATAAATTCTAGTGTCTTCATGGCAAAGGGTATATTTTTCAGACTCTCAGCCCCTGTCTTGCTTCTTCAGTGCCCTTCCTATACCTGGCAGTCAATGAAAACAAACTCGCCAATTCAGAACTACTCCATTTCTCCCCACTCCATTTTTATATAGCAGCCTAGGTTCACAAAGCGCTTTCTGCAGATAACAGCTACTTAATTCCCTTTAGAACCCTGTCAGAACAGCAGGGAAATATTTTCATCGTGATTGTACACAAGGGAACTGAGGCTCCAGAAGCAGGCACATCTAAAGCTGAACTCTGTCTCCTTGACTGCCAATCCAGTGCTTTTGCTGCTCTTCCACACTGCCTCTCCCTTTGATGCTTGTTTTCACATCGCTGAATAATTAGAATTTGACTTAAAGTTAAGTGAAAAGCGCCTGTGTATTGGTTATGGCAGGGTTTGGGACACTGCTTCTCCTAGGCTCGGGCAGGGAGTCTGAGGCAAATACAGCAAAACAAAACAAAAAACGGCTGCTGCTATATTGCCTTTCTTGAAAACAGGCTGAAGTCAGGGCTGGGCAGGAGGTGGGGAAGGAGGGAATAGGGTGCCCTTGTGGTTGATAGACTGAATGATTTGAGATCCTTTTGAAGCAAGTCGGTCTTAGTATTCCCCAGCTACCTCTTAGTGACACCTATTGCTGAAGAAAAAAAATTGCCATGGGCGCATGTAGGCATAATGGGAATAGCTTTAGACACTGGGTAGTTTACCTCCTCCTGAACAGAAATACTGTCTGACAAACCTGATGGGCAGAAAATTTGAAGCTTGTTCTATAGTACTCTCACAAAGGAAACTGGCTTTCACCTAATGATGAAAACACGTTGGTTATGATTTCTCCTTTGAAGTCCAACTTCCCCAAAACAAGTCTTCAGGAAATAGCATGTAGGTGTCATGAAGTTTTTATTAACCTGTATAGAGCTGTTGGCCCCCAAGGTTTACTCTAAATCTTTTTAAGACAGAGCAGCTGCACCATTTCACGTGAAAAACATCTTTAGTCTACAGTATACCAAAATTCTAGAATATTCTGTCATTTTCTGGGGAATGCAAATTCTATTTCATTTAACTTATCTCACTTTACCTTTACCCTTACTCAATACATCAGCCACAGAGATTATTTGTGTTCTTAAAACATGAAACTGGTTCCTGCCTTAGGGTCCTTGTACTTATTCTTCCCTTCCAAGGGAGTGCTCTTCCCTGAGTGATTTGACTCACACCATCTTTTCATCCAAGTCTTAGCTTGAAAATCACTCCTCACAGAGATGACCATTTATAGTTGTCCCTCAACTGTCGAAACATCTTATTTTAATTTTCTTGTCAATGATGATTATTTGAAATCTTTTTTTACCTTTTTAATGTCTTTTTCCCACTGCCCCAAGACAGTCTTATCTGCTTTTTTGACTGCTGATTCCCAATGCTTAAAACAGTGCCTGTGCCACATACCAGGTACTCAAAGCCATTTGCCGAGTGTATGTTAATGAACTAATAGCTTGAGTGAAGACTTCACAATTAATATTGCATTACCTTGCATTTATTTAGCACTTCACAATTTACAAAATGCACTCACTTATCTCATTCGTCCTCCTGATAATCCTGTGAGATGGGCCAGGAGACATGAACTATGCCCCAAGACACCTGAGGTTCCGAGAGGTTAATGAACCGTGTTTGGTACTGGAGAGCTGATATTGCACCCTACGTTCTCTGATGATCTTGATCTTTCTACTACCCCAGAAGAAAAGATGGACCTAGGAAGAAAAAAAACAGTGGGGTCAATTTTGTCCCAGGTTGTAGGTAAATCAAATACCAATATCCTCTACAATTTTCACTGAAAAACAATACAACAAAATTTGAATGATTAATGGATATAAAAATATGGGGCGTAAGGTGGAGATGGTTAATGAGTACAAAAATACAATTAGAATGAATAAAATCTAGTATTTGACAGCACAATAGGGTGACTATAGCTAACAGTAACTTATCATACATCTTAGGGAAATGAACTAGTGGAATTGGAATGCTCCTAACACAAATAAATTATAAATGTTTGAGGTGATGGATACCACAATCACCCTGATTTGATCATTACATTTTGTATGCCTGTATCAAAACATCACACATACCCCATAAATATGTACAACTATTATGTACCCATAATAATTAAAAATAAAATTTAAAAATAACTTGAATAAATATGTACCCAGACATGATAGATACAGAGAAAGAGAGAGATGATAGATAGGTAGATTCATACTTGACTAAAATCTAGGTTAAATTGACTTCATAGGTATACTTTATTCAATAAATAGCTAAACTTGTATTTGTTGAGTAAATGTTTAATGATTCTCGATTGTATGCTCATTGTTAAGGTTTAATTAGAAGATATAATGTATTAGTCTAGGGCAGAATTTTAAAAGGCACCATAGTAGAACTGCTATAGCTTTAGCAATAGCACATAGCATATTTAGTACAGCATATAGCCATGTTGTACTTGCCAGTCCAGCAAAGGACACTGTTAGTGGGATATCAGGCGTAACATTTCTTAATTTCTGGTGTTATAAAATAATAAAATGTTTAAAAGATAGAAATATAAATTCTAAGATGTTTAATGAAAATTCCTTCTGTATAATAAATAATGTTACGGATTCTTACAGCTGGAAGGAAACTGTAATTTAAACCTCTCATTTTACAAGTGAGGATGCAGATGCTAAAGAGATTAAGTAGTTTACCCAAAGTCAACACTAGATTGATGGTAAGAGGTGAGTCTCCATCTCAGGTATTCTTGTTTCTGTTCCAGTGTTCTTTCACTTCAACAAATTGTGTCTCCAATATGCAAATCAAAGAAGTTTGAATTGAGTCATTATTCAAAAATTAAAAGCTTGGCTCTTTAATGTAAATGTAACCACTCATTTTCTCTTAAAAAGTGATGGATCAATTCTTAATGATGAGCAAACACTTTTACTTCTACTTACCACAACTGTGTTGTATGAAAGGGCATGATTCCCAATTTTTGATGGAAAACTGTAAAGAAAAAGAAACACATCTGTGTCAATCAACACTTCTATTAAATTTCTATTCTATTCCTTCTTAAGATAAAATGTAGCAACTTTGTGGATTCTCTTGAAGCAGAATCCACTGGAAAAGCATTCCAGAATAATGAAGTATTTTAGATACCAAATCAATACTTGCCACATTTGAGTGACACAATGATTAAAAATTCCATTATAAATAAGCAAGAAACATAAAGTATTCTCTAGATAGCAAAGAATGGGTGGGACTTGATACTTCTGTCACCATCCTCCTATATTGTGGGAATTTATAATGCAATAGCCAACACTATGTAAAGCCAGGGAATGTTATTTTTCAGCACCACGTGAGATGCATAATGCCATCTGATCTGATTAAAAAAAGACTATTTAGAGGCAAATGCTATAGCTCAAAATGTTATATAGTATTTGGTGACGGTGGCTAGGTTTATGTCATAAGAATGGGAAAACCCTATTGATTCAGGGAGAAAGATAGTGGAAGATTTTTGTTGTTGTTATAAATTAAGTTACTTCAGACT
Organism: Homo sapiens; assembly: GCF_000001405.40. Taxonomy (NCBI): domain Eukaryota; kingdom Metazoa; phylum Chordata; class Mammalia; order Primates; family Hominidae; genus Homo; species Homo sapiens. The sequence goes on along the minus strand of NC_000007.14, from coordinate 21,021,314 downwards.
TCTGACTAAGCAGATTATTGAAGACCAATACATCCAACAGGAGATGATAACCTGGATGTAAAATGAAGAAACCCATAAAGAAAAACTATGATCAGACTCTCGATGCAAGGGTCGCAGCTTTATTTCAATCTATCAGCCAAGGTGAACGTGAAGGACTATAAAGGGAGCCTCGGTCATGATTAGGGGAAGGCACACCCTCAATTATGTAAGGAAACAGCAGCTATCAGTGCAGTTATGTGACATGCATTTCTATTTAATGAGTAGATTTATTTATAGTAGTATATAGTATATTTTCACTGTAAATAACTTACCAACACAGTCACAAATGCCTTCATTTTTGTTAAGAAAATAAAAGATGCAATAAATGTTAAGATATTGACTCAGGGACAACATTTAAGCAGTCTTCAGCCATGGTCTTGCAGAGCCAGTGTGGTCAGATATATTAGCCTGTGGGTTAGAGAGTCAGCATTAATTGGTTTTTTTCCATGTCTGCGGTTTGAGAAGTAGAAAAAGAAATCTGACAAGAAGTTTACAATGAAACTTTAGAATATAAATTAAGTGGCCTTTTTTCGTGTGGCTTTGGGCAGATTAATTAACTCTTTAATCTTTGCTTCTTGCAAGAATTAAATTAGAAGGCAGATTTGCTCTGAGAAGAATCATAGCATCACAGTCGAGAGCACAGGCTTTGGATTAAAATGAAACCACCTTTGATTCTTGTTCAACATTTATGTATTATATGATATTGGGAAAATGATTTAACCTTTTTTTGATGCCTGGCACATATAAGTACTTCAGGCTATTATTAATAAGAATGACAAATCAGTTGTATTAAACATAAATTAATCAGAATTGCATATAAGTCCCAAGGAAATTTGTGAGTTTGTTACTGTAATCAGAGTTAAATAAATGTTTGCTATGAATGACTCATGAAAGAGGTGAGTTTTAGAGCTTTATAGGAGAAAAATGTAAATTTGTCTTTTTTTTTTTTGAGATGGAGTTTCCCTCTTGTTGCCCAAGCTGGAGTGCAATGGCACAATCTCGGCTCACGGCAACCTCTGCCTCCCAGGTTCAAGAGATTCTCTTGCCTCAACCTCCGAAGTAGCTAGGATTATAGGCGCATGCCACCACGCCCGGCTAATTTTTTGTATTTTTAGTGGAAATAGGGTTTCACCATGTTAGCCAGGCTGGTCTTGAACTCCTGACCTCAGGTGATCTGCCTGCCTCTGCCTCCCAAAGTGCTGGTATTACAGGTGTGACCCACCACTCCCAGCCAAATTTGTCATTATTTATAAAAATTATAAATATGCACATTCAACCACAGGACTGTGGAATATTGCAGAAACTACAGCATGAACACATAAAACTATAGTACGGTGATATTCATTGCTGATTATTTGAAGCAGCAAACACTTGGAAAAAATAAATTTCAGTAATGAAAATAGTAATTACTAATTTATTGAGTATTAATTATATTTCAAAATATTGTTGTAAGTCTAAAAAACTTAAGTAATAATTTATTTTTTCACAAAACCCCTATGGACTTTTATTATCATCCCTACTTAATTATAGTCATAATCAATAATTATGTATATTTATATGTACTATCCTAAAATGCTGTTCAAGAAGAAATAAACAAGATTCAAAATCCTATTACACACACATGCACTTGCACACATGCACAAAAATTTCAAATTATATATATATATATATGTATGTAAAAATATAAGTCCGGCTACTGTCACCACTTCTAGTCCACATTTCATGAAACTAAATATATTGCTTTATAGAAAATTATGCCCAAACCTAATAACTTAAGACAACAGCATTTTTTTTATATATCACAATGTTTGTGGGTCAGAAATTTAGACAGGCCTTGGCTGGTTTATTCTTCTATTCCACATGGCATCAACCGAAGCCACTCAATAGTACTCAGCTAGAAGATGGGCAGGTTTGGAGGATACAAGATGGCCCCACTCACATGCCTGGTACCTTGGCAAGGATAGCTGAAATGTTTGGGCTCAGCTGGGACTGTTGACCAGCATGTCTTAAGCTGGCCATGTCCCATGGCTTGGGATTCCTTACAGAATGAAAGTCTCAGAGTAGTTTCATTTCATTTTATTTCATTTAAAATTATGTAACCATTTATTATTAGTCAATTAGGTTACATATAGTTTTGCACCATAGTCAATAACAATTTTGTGCATAATGTTTTGTCTGCATTTTCTATTTTTATTTTTTATGTTTGAGTCATACAAAAGTGGAATTAGTAGGAGATAGGGTATGAATACTTTATTTTTTATGTAGCAGTTCAGGGACCCAACAGGGCAAGGTAAAAGCTGCCAGTTCTAGTAATGCCTATCCCCAAAACTGGCCTGATTTCACCTTTGCCATGTTCTATTGGTCAGTCAAGTATAAAGGCCACTAGTAGATCAAGGGAAGAAAGATCAAGGGAAGAAAGGCAGGAAGAAGAGAATTAGATTCAATTTTTAATTGGTGGTTATTTTTAATTGTCCTGTCCACAGAAAGGCAGAAATAAATCTGTTATTAACTGAATTTGACATTATCATCTGTATAAAGTCCAAAAGATCTACATACAACCTATTGGAATCAAACAAGAAATTTGGCAAGGCCACTAGTAGAAGGGCACTATACAAAAATCAATTGTATTCCTATAAATCAACCAAAAGCATAAAAGATAAAATACTAAAAATATCATCTACAAAAGAATAAAATATATAGAGTACTTGCTAGCAAAACATACTAAGGATATTCTACAGTAAATACTGCAAAATATTATTGTGATAAATTAAAGAATATCTACATAAACGGAAGTATATGCCATGTTGATGAATTGGAAGACTGAATCGTATAAAGATGTCAGTTCTCCTCTGATGGATCTATAGTTTCACTGTAGTCCTAATCACTATCCCAGCAGTATGTGTGTGTGTTTGTGTGTTTGTAATTTGAAAAAGCTGATTCGAAAATGTATGCAACATATAAAGGTTTAAGAATAGCAATTTTGAAGAACATAACTTTAGAACCTGAACTACCATATTTAATAATGACTAACAGACTGGTGTGAGTGCAAGAATAGAAAATAAACCAATGGGGAACAAATTAGAATTCAGAAACAGACCCAAACACATCATGACACCTGATGTTTGACAAAGCTGACACTGCAGTGCATTGGGGAAAGGATAACAATTATTTTTTTCAATAAATGGTGCTAGGTCAATTGGATATCCATTTGAAAACAAATAACTGTTGAACTTTTTATCTCACACAATCCACAAAATTCAATTCTAGTTGGATTGTAGATCTAAATGTGAAAGGTAAAAAAATAAAGCTTTTAGGAGAAAACTTAGGAGCATATGTCATGGCCTTGAAATAGACAAAGATTTCATAAACACCAGCCATAAAAGAAAAAAAGAGTAAGTTGGATTACATTAAAATTAACAACGTCTGTTCATCTAAAGACACTATTATGGGAGAAAAAAAGCAAGCAACAGAGTGGGAGAAATTATTTGCACCACATATATCAGACAAAGGATTTTTACCCAGAATATAAAGTAGTGCTGTGAAATGACAATCAAAAGCAAATAAACCAACATGAAAATGGATAAAATTGAGTGCCATGAAACAAAAGATAACCAAGTACTCACAAGAAAACAGAGAAATGCAGATGTAAACTGCAAGAAGACACCTCTACATGTTTACTAGAATGGCTAAACTTGAAATACAGGCAACAAAAAGTGTAGTAAGGATGCAAGGCAACTGAAAGTAACTTACACACATCTGATGGCACTGTAAATCCATACAACAATGCTGATCAACTATTTGGCAGTATCAACTAAACTGAAGGTATACAGCCATATCTTATTTTATTGTGCTTTGTTTTATTTCAATTCTCAGTTACTGCATTTTCTACAAATTGAAACCTTGTGGCAATCCTGTATTGAGTAGATACATGGTGCCTTTTTTTCAACAACATGTGCTCACTTCATGTCTCTGAGTCACATCTTGGTAATTCTCACAACATTTCAAACTTTTTCATTATTGTTATGTTTGTTATGGTGATCTGTGATCAGTGATCTTCGATGTTAGTATTGTAATAATTTGTGGGTATCACGAACCATTCTCTTATGAGTCTGCAAACTTAATTGATGAATATTATGTGTGTATCTGACTGCTCCACTGACCAGTCATTCTCCCATCTTTCTCCCTCTCCTTGGGCCTCCCTATTTCCTGAGACATAACAATAATGAAACCAAGCCAGTAATAACCCTACAATGGCCTTTAAGTGTCCAAGTGAAAGAAAGAATTGTACATCTCTCACTTTAAATCAAAAGCTAGAAATTATTAAGCTTCACGAGGAAGGCATGTCAAAAGTCAAGACAAACCGAAGGCTAGGCCTCTGGCGCCAATTAGCCAAATTGTGAATGCAAAGGAAAGGTTATTTTTTTCCTTTCTTTAAAAAATTGTTTTAAAAATTGATATATCATAGTTGTACATATTTTTAAGGCAAGTGTGATATTTTGATACATGTATGTAATGTGTAAAAAGTTCCTGAAGGAAACTAAAAGTGCCACTCCAGTGAAAACACAAATGATAGAAAGCAAAACAGCCTTATTCTGATATGCAGAAAGTTTGAGTGATTTGGATAAAAGATCAAACCAGCCACAGCATTATTTTAAGCTAAAGGCTAACCCAGAGCAAGATCCTAACTCTCTTCAATTCTACGAAGGCTGAGAGAGGTGAGAAAGTTGCAGAAAATAAATTTGAAACTATCATGGGTTGGTTCATGAGGTTTAAAGAAAGAAGCCATCTCCATAACAAAAAAAGCGCAAGGTGAAGCAGCAAGTGCTGATGTGGAAGCTGCAGCAAGTTATCCAGAAGATACAGCTAAGATATTTGAAGAAGATAGCTACACTAAACAACAGATTTTTAATGTAAACAAAACACCCTTCTTGGAAGAAGATGCCATCTGGGATTTCATAGCTAGAGAGAAGTCAGAATGTGGCTTCGAAGCTTCAAAGGACAGGCTGACTCTTTAGTGAGGGGCTAATGTGACTGGTGACTTTAAATTGAAGCCAATGCTCATTTATCATTCCAAAAATCCTGGGGCCCTTAAGAACTATGCTAAATCTACTCTGTCTGTGCTCTATAAATGGAACAACAAAGCCTGGATGACAGCACATCGGTTTGCAGCATGGTTTACATAATATTTTAAGCACACTGTTGAGACCTACTGCTCAGAGAAAAAGATTCCTTTCAAAACATTACTGCTCATTGACAATGCTCCTTCTCACCTAAGAGCTCTGATGAAGATGTACAAGGAGATTCATATTGCTTTCATGCCTGTGAATACAGCGTATGTTCTGCAACTCATGAGCCAAGGAGTAATTTTGGCTAATTATGTAAAAACTCCATTTTGTAAGCTGCCATAACGTAGTGATTCCTCTGATGGATCTGGGCAAAGTAAATTGAAAACCTGAAAAGGAGTCACCATTCTAGATGCCATTAAGAACATAAGTCATGGAAGGAGGTCAGAATATCAACGTTCAAAGGAGTTTGGAAGAAGTTGATTCCATCATGGATGAATTCGAGGGGTTTAAGACTTCAGCAGAGGAAGTCCCTGCAGATGTGGTGGAAGTAGCAAGAGAACTGGAATGAGAAGTGAAGGCTGAAGTTGTGACCGAATTGCTTCAATTTCATGATAAAATTTGAAAGAATGAGGAGTTGCTTCTTATAAATGAGGAAATGAAGAGGTTTCTTGAGCTGGAATCTACTCCTGTAAGATGCTGTGAATGTTGTTGAAACGACAACGAAGTATTTAGATTATTATGTAAACTTGGTTGATTAAGTAGTAGCAGTGTTGGAGAGGATTGACTTCAATTTTGAAAGAAGTCCTACTGTAAGTCAAATGCTATTGAACACCATTACATGCTACAGGTAAATATTTCATGAAAAGGAAAAATCCATCGATGTGGCAGACTTTAATGTTGTCTTATTTTTAAAAATTGCCCTAGCCACCCCAACCTTCAGCAACTACCACTTAATCTGTCAGCAGCCATCAACATTTAGGCAAGACACTTCATCAGTGAAAAGCTTATGACCTGCTGAAGTCTCAGATGATCATTAGAATTTTTTAGTAATAAAATATTTTTAAATTAAGTTATGTATATATTTTTTTTAGACAGAATGCTATGGCATACTTAATAGACAACAGTATAGTGTAAACAACATGTACTGGGAAACTAAAAAATTTGTGTGACTCACTTTATTGTGACCTTCACTTTATCATGGTGGTCTGGAACCAAAATCTCAGTATCTCCAAGGTATGCCTGTATATTCCTGTAAAAGCATAACTAACATTTTGTCCTGCTAATGTAATGAATAAGCAATATGTATCACATGACACAGAGAAAACAAAATATTTTCCACCCAGAGATACAGCAAGAATAACAGGCACACCTGTGTAGTTCTGGGCCTCAAAATAAATGAAATCTTGAACATTTCCTAGAGCCCTTGCCTGCCCTGTAAAAATATATTTATTGCTGATTTTGTGATGCTGATATCTGAAGATAGGCCATGATCTTTGGAAACATAATAATCATATAGAAATGTTGCTCTTTTCCCACCATGAATAGATGAATCAATTAATGTAAACTTGGAAATTATGCTGATTTTTTCAAATAGTTTGCTCATTTTTTAATTTTTTTTGAGCCTTCTGGAATGAGTCCTTTGCACTACTTTGCAAATAAACTTTTCTTCTTCAAGTCTGCAAGTCTTCTTTTGACAATCTTAAAACACAATAATCAGCTCCTAGTTCTACACCCAACACATTACATGCATAAGTTTAACAGACATGTATAAGACTATTCACAGCAAACCATGAATAAATGCATGTGGTACATAATGAATAGACTAGACTAAATAAATGAATTGTAGTTTATTTGTTCAATGAAATACTATCCAACATAACAATGAGCATGACACGTTGTTGTAAGGAACAGCTCAGCACACATAAGGTTGACTCAGTGTGTGTCAGTCCTGCTTGTGTGGAAAACAGAAGCCATGTATGTGAAAGAAAAAGTTTCTTTCTGAACAAGTTCCTTAGAATCCTGAGTGACTCCAAAAATCTAGAAAGACTTTGGTCATGGATGATGTGAAAGGGTGGGTGGGGGGGCGGTTAGTAGTGGTGTGAAATGGTTGGAAGAAAGAGAATTACATTTTAATAAGAATAAAAGAGAGTTAAGCTTGTAGAGAGAGGAAGGCAAAGGAGAATCAGCATGTCCAGGCATGGTTTTAGCCTTGCCAAGGCTGATGAGCGATAAATCTTCAGCTACTTTCTTGTCTCTTCTAATCTGGCCCATGATTAAACTGATTAGCTTAATACACTTCCTAAACATTTCATGGATGTAATGTCCTTCAATGATAAGTATGAATATAACTGAAGCAGATTATACAACTGCAGATTTATCTAGCTAGAGTTTCTTAACCATAATATGCAAGTGCATGAATCATCAAATGCCATTTTTAATGATCCAGCTCCTATATACATGGGCACTAGAAATACAGAATAAAACATAAGATTTGGGCCGGGCACAGTGGCTCACGTCTGTGATCCCAGCACTTTGGGAGGCCGAGGCCGGCAGTTCACGAGGTCAAGAGATCAAGACCATCCTGGCCAATATGGTGAAACCCCGTCTCTCCTAAAAGTACAAAAATTAGTTGGGTGTGGTGGCAGGCACCTGTAGTCCCAGATACTCAGGAGGCTGAGGCAGGAGAATCGCTTGAATCCAGGAGGCAGAGGTTGCAGTGAGCCGAGATCGCGCCACTGCACTCCAGCCTGGCGATAGAGTGAGACTGTCTCAAAAACACAAAAACAAAAAACCCATAAGATTTGGTTTCTTTACTCAAAAGAGCTAAAAACATACAACAAGAAATAAAGTTGCCACATATAAAACCAGTGAGTGGGTGTAAAAATGACATTTCAGTGTCTACCTTGTGTTAAGGGCTAACACTCAAGTGTCCAGCAGAGGATCTCAGCTGAAATAAGAGACCATGAGGTGCAGCACCAGGAAGCATCTGTGATAATTTTGTAACAACATCACTGGAACTGCATACATCTTTATGCTACAGTAATATTTAGACCACCTGTGGTATTAAGTGTAAGGTTTTACATAGGTGTGGGAATAATCATTATTTTCCAACATACCTAAGTGGGATACCAGCTTGATGACCTTGAGCAAGAAAGCCTATGGATAATTCTAGATTTTGGAATTCATTTTGACCCAATTACTCTGGCAGCTTTTATATGAAATGGAAGGTCAGTAACACTTAGGATCCTTGGCAAATCTGTTATGGGGAATCCTTCACTGACTGTAACACAGAAAGAAGTTGTGTCCACTGTCTCACTTTAAAAGGAACCACTGAGTTAGCACAAGCCATGAAAATCAAGATGGTGCCAGAAGTATTGAATTTCCAGCTCAAAACCAACGCAGCAATAACCAGAGGTGAAGTCCAGCTTTGAGATGGGCACTTGGGTTTTCATTCCCTTGGCAAGTTGCAAAATTTATGAGGATGGATTCACAAGCATTTGTAACGGCCCCTGGAGGATTCCAGAAATGTTTGGGAAGAGTCACCATGAGAAAAGTCTATGTTCTCTTTCAGTGCAGGGCTTGGAGCATCAAAATTGGAGGAATTCGTCTAAGTGTCACTTCACACATTCACTCAACAAATAATTTATTGAGAATCTGTTCCCGTACCTGGCAGGATTCTAGTCTTTGGGGATATAACAGTGAATAATATAGATAAGGAGCCTGCTTTCAGAGAGATTATATTCTAGTGAAGAGAGAGAGAATATATAAACTTGAAAACAAATGCAAAGGTTACAGAAAATATTAATACTTCTGAAGAAAAATTAAATGGTAATGACATAAGGAGTGCCTGGGTTACACTGAGTCCTTTAGTCAGGGCTGCTGGCCAGGCCACTCTGTGGATCTAAATGGTGAGAAACAGGCAGCAGTATGAAGATTAGGGAAGAAAGAACAACACAGCTTCAAGAAGCCTTGGACTTGTTGGTTACAGTATCATTTACTTGGGGGAATTTACTTGACTCCTTGAGTTTATAGACAACTGTCATAAAGGTTCTTGGGGAAGTCCTATAGTCTCTGATGTATGCTAATGGATGCACTGGAATGGCAGGAGAAAGACAATTAGAGAAATTACGCAGAGTTGGCATTGCTCTTGCACTGATGGCATATCTGAAGACAGCCTATCCAAAGACCTCCACAGGTCTCCCAAGATTTACCTCCACAGGTACATGCAGAGCTAAATTAATCACTGAATCTCTGCAGCTCCAACAGTATATTAATACTCTTTTACCAATGCCCTCACATTGAATGTTACTACAGAGGCTTCACGTTTCAGTGAAAAGACTTGAAATTTTGAAGTTTGAAGACTTGAGTTCAGGTCTGGGTTCTACCTGACAAAATTGAGTAAACTTAGACAAGCTACATAATCTTTCTGGTCTCAGGTACTTTATCTGTAAATCAGAATGATAATACTAAGATCATGGAGTTATTGCAGTGATGACATGAGATCAATGTCTACAAAAAATTGTTTTTCATTGCAAAACATGATGCTAATATTTGCCTTCAGAATGTATTCAACCTGAACCAAATCCAACCACAAGGTGAATTGACTATCTTCTTAAATATCTGCTACACAACAGATATATCTTTTATATCTCTCTTTCCTTAGGAATTGCCAACCAAGAAGAGCTGACTGGTATCTCTAGATGAAGCATCTGACTCTAGCCTCTCTCCAAAAGGACAAATGAACTCTCAGCTTCTCGCTGGGTTTATCCAGTGCGTCATGTGCAAGGTCAGGGCATGAATCCATTCAGCCTAAAGCAATTCATGTTAGAAATATTTGAGCCACACCTGTGTTCATTCACCTTAGCTTCCGACAGAGCCCGTGGCCATTCCTGACTCATACTTCCATGTCTTCAAGTGAGAGGGAGGACTACAGTGGAATGTTACCTGTGACAGTGGCCAAGGACCACAGCAATTCAGATCTACTTACTGATAAATAGGAACAGTGGGTCATACTTTTCTGATCTACTATCTTCCTCTGTGGTTTCTTTTTTCTTTTTAAAAAAATATTTGAGTTATACCTTTCCAAAAAATTAAATCACAGGGCTACCCACCTCTGAAAGCAAGGAAGCCTTCCCTTTTTAGTATGAAGCAATTGAAATGCAAAAAAAGGAACATCCACAGAAGGCTTAAACCAAGTATGACAGGAAGCTGTGATTTCTAGGCCACATGTGGCTTGCCTGGCTTTTCAGTAAGACTCATGATCTATTTTTTTTTAATTTGCAAAGATTTTTAGTTAGATATATATATTAAATTTTTTAAATACTTTGGATACATAATAATTGTACATATTTATGGAGTACATATGATATTTTGATACATGCATACAATATGTAATGATCAAATCACGATATTTAGGATATCCATCACCTCAAATGTTAAGCATTTCTTCTTGATGGGCACATTTTAAATCTTCTCTTCTAGCCGTTTTGAAATATACAATAAATTATTTTCAACTATAGTCACTCTACTGTGCTGTTAAACACTAGAAGCTATTTCTGCCATCTAACTCTATGAGTTACCCATGAACCAACCTCTCTTCATCCTCCCCCTCAACCCTTCCCAGCTTCTGGTATCTATTATTCTATTCTCTGTCTCTATGAGATCAAGTTTTTTAGCTCCCACACATGAGCGAGAACTTGCAGTATTTGTCTTTCTGTGGCTGGCTTACTTCACTCAACATAATGACCTCCACTTCCATCCATGTTGCTGCAAATGACAGGATTTCATTATTTTTTATAGCTCAGTAGTATTCCAAAGTGTGTATATGTATATACCACATTTTCTCTATGCATTGATGGAAAGTTTGGTTGATTCCATATCTTAGCTATTGTGAATAGTGTTGCAATAAACATGGGGTGTAGGTATTCCTTTCATATACTGATTTGTTTTTCCTTTGGATAAATATGCAGTAGTGAGATTGCTCAATCATATTGTAGTTCTATTTGTAGTTATTTTGAGAATCTCCATACTGTTTTCCATAATGTCTGTACTAACTTACATTCCCACCAACGGTGTATAATCTTCACATCCTCACCAACATTTGTTCTTTTTTGTCTTTTGATTGTAGCCATTCTCAGGTGAGATGATATTTCATTGTAGATTTGATTTGCATTTTCTTGAAGATTAATAATGTTGAGTATTTTTTCATATACTTGTTGGTCATTTGTATGTCTTCTTTTGAGAGGTGTCTATTCAGGGATTTTGCTTATTTAAAAATCAGATCATTATTATTATTGCTATCGAGCTGCTTGAGTTCCTCTTACATTTTGGGTATTAGTCGTTTGTCAGATGAATAGTTTGCAAATATTTTCTCCCATTCTGTAGGTTGTCACTTTGCTCTGTTGATTGTTTCCTTTGCCATGCAGGTTTTCAGTGTAATGTAGTATCATTTGTCAATTTTTGTTTGTGTTACCTGTGCTTTTGAAGTCTTAGACATACAATCTCTGCCTAATGTCCTGAAATGTCTCCCATGTTTTATTCTAATAAAATAAAGTTTTATAGTTTCACCTCTTACGTTTAAGTCTTTAATCCATTTTGAATTGATTATTTTATATGATGACAGATAAGGGTCTAGTTTCATTCTTCTGCATATGGATATCCAGCACCATTTTCCCAGCACCGTTTATTGAAGACACTGGCTCCTTCCCAATGTATGTTCTTGGCAACTTTGTCAAAATCAGTCACCTGTAAATACATGGATTTATTTCTAGGATTTCTATGCTGTTCCTTTGGACTTTGTGCCTGTTTTTATGCCAATACCATGCTGTCTTGGTTACTATATCTTTGTAATATATTGTGAAGTTAGGTAGTGTGATGCCTCCAGTTTTGATCTCTTTGCTCAGTATTGCTTTGGCTATTCAGAGTATTTTGTTTTCATGCAAATTTTAGAATTATTTTTTCTATTTATGTGAAGAATGTCATTGGAATTTTGACAGAAATTGAATTGAATCTATAAATTGCTTTGGGTAGTATGGTCATTTTGATCATAGTAATTCTTCCATTCTATGAGTATGGGATGTTTTTCCATTTGTTTGTGTCCTCTTCAATTTTTTTGAGACAGAGTCTTGCTCTGCTGCCTAGGCTGGAGTGCAGTGGCACAAACACAGTTTACTGTAGCCTCGACCTGTTGGGCCCAAGGTGGGCCCAGCCTTCTGAGTAGCTGGGACTACAGGCATGCACCACCACACCTGGCTAATTTTTTTGGATTTTGTAGAGATGGGATCTTGCTATATTGCCCAGGCTGGTCACAAACTCCTGGCCTCCAACAATCCTCCTACCTTAGCCTTCAAAAGTTCTGGGATTACAGGCATCAGCCACTGCACCTGGCCAGTCTTCAGTGTATTTTATCAATGTTTTTCCTGTATAGGGCTTTTACCTGCTTGGTTAAATTTATTCCTAAGTATTTTTTGTGTGTGACAGCTATTGTAAATTGGATTATGTTCTTGATTTCTTTTTCAGCTAGTTTATTATTAATATGTGAAAACACTACTGATTTTTATATGTTGATTGTATATCCTCCAAAATTACTGAATTTGCTTATCAACATTACTGAATTTGCTTTAGAGTTTTTGGGTGGAGTCTTTAGGTTTTTCTATATATAGGATTATGTTATCTGCAAAGAAGGACAATTTGGCTTTCTCTTTTCCAGTTGGGATGCCTTTAATGTTTTTTCTATTGTCTGATTATTCTGGCTTGGACTTCTAGTACTATGTTGAATAAGAGTGGTAAAAGTAGTCATCCTTGTGCAGCAGGACAAGCCGCAGACAAGAAGCCCTTCAGACACCAAGTTGTGGAAGGAAAGGGCTTTATTCAGCTGGGAGCATCAGCGGACTCACATCTCCAAAAACCAAGCTCCCTGAGTGAGCAATTCCTGTCCCTTTTAAGGGCTTACAACTCTAAGGGGGTCCACATGAGAGGGTCATGATTGATTGAGCAAGCAGGGGGTACGTGACTGGGGGCTGCATGCACCAGTAATCAGAACGGAACAGAACAGGACAGGGATTTTCACGATGCTTTTCCATACAATGTCTGGAATCTATAGATAACACAAGCAGTTAAGTCAGGGGTTGATTTTTAACGACCAGGCCTGGAATGCGCGCTGGGCTGTCTGACTACTGATTTCTCTTCTGTCTTTTCTTTAACTCCTACTTTTTCTTTGAGGCAGAAATTGGACATAAGACAATATGAGGGGTGGTCTCCTCCCTTATTTGTTTTGTTTCAGTTCTTGGAGGAAAGCATTTCAGCTTCTCCTCATTAAGTATAATGTTAATGGTGGGTTTGCCTTATACAGCCTCTATTATATTGAGTTATGTTTCTTCTATGTCTAATTTGTTGAGAGTTTTTGTCATGAAAAGAAGTTGAATTTATCAAATGCTTTTTCTTCATCTATGGAGATGATCATGTGGTGTGTTATTTTGTTTCTGCATTGCTATAAAGAAAAATCTGAGGCTGAGTAATTTATAAAGAAAAGAGGTTTAATTGGCTCATGATTCTGCAGGCTGTACAGGAAGCATGGTACCAGCATCTGCTTACCTTTTGTTGTGGCCTCAGGGAGCTTTTACTCACAGCAAAAGGTGGAGCAAGAAGTAGTGTGTCACATGGTGAGAGTGTGAGCAAGAGAGAGAGAAGGAAGAGCTCTCAGACTCTTAAACAACCAGAACTTGAGTGAATTGAGTAATTCACTTATAACCACAGGGGTTGTTCTAAAGGGTGGTACTAACCCATTCACGAAGGATCTACCCCCATGATCCAATCACCTTCCACCATGTGATTCCCAGTGTTGGAGGGAATCACATTTCAACATTAGATAAGAAGGGGACAAATATCCAAACTATAACATATGCTTTTGTCATTCATTCTTTTGATGTGATTTATCACATTTATTGATTTGTGTATGTTGAACCATCCTTGCATCTTTTGAATGAATCCCACTTGATCATGATATAATATCTTTTTGGTGTGCTGTTGCATTTGGTTTATTAGTATTTTGTTGAGGATTTTGCATCTATGTTCATTAGGTATATTGGCTTTTAGTTTTCTTTTTTTGTTGTTCTTTCTCTAATTTTGGTATCAGGAAATGCTGGCCTCATAGAATGGGTTAGAAAGAATTCCTTTTTTTTCAATTTTTTTGAAATTGTTTGAGAATAATTAGTATTAGTTCTTTATAAGTTTGGTAAAATTCAGCAGTAAAGCCATCCAGTCTTGGACTTTTCTTTGTTGGGAGACTTTTTATAACTGATTCAATTTTACTACTCATTATTGTTCTGTTCAGGTTTTCTGTTTCTTCCTGATTCAATCTTGGTAGGTTGTATGTGTTCAGGAATTTATCTATTTTCTCTAGATTTTCCAATTTGTTAGTGTATAGTTCTTCATAATTGTCTCTAATGATCATTTGTATTTCTGTGATATCAGTTGTAATATCTCCTTTTCATTTCTGATTTTATTAATTTGTGTCTTCTCTTTTTCTTGGTTAGTCTAGCTAGCAGCTTGTCAATATCATCTTTTCAAAAAAACCAACTTTTTGTTTGACTGATCCATTGTAATTTTCTTAGTCTCTATTTTGTCAATTTCTGCTCTGCTCCAATTTTTATTATTATTTTCCTACTATTAATTCTGGGTTTGGTTTGTTCTTGTTTTTCTAGTTCCTTGAGAAGCATTGTTAGATTGTTATCTGAAACTTTTCCAGGTAGGTACTTATTATTATAAACTTCCTTTTTAGCCCTACATTTGCTGTATCCCATAGGTTTTGTATAATGTGCTTTCATTTTCATCTGTTTTAAGACATTTTTAAATTTCCTTCTTAATTTCTCCATTGACCCAGTGGTCATTCAGGAGCCTGTTGTTTAATTTCCATGTACTTACTGGTACAGTTTCTAAAGTTCGTCATTACTGATTTTTAGTTTTATTCCAATGTGGTCTGAGGAGATATTTAACATAATTTCAACTTTTAAATAAATTTTGATATTTGTTTTATGGCCTAATATATGGTCTATTATGGAGAATGTTCCATGGGCTGATGAGAAGAATATATAGTCTGCAGCTGTTAGATGAAATGTTCTGTAAATGTCTGTTAGGTCCATTTGGTCTGTAATGCATATTAAATCATTGTTTCTTTGTTGATTTTCTGTCTAGATGATTTTCCAGTGCTAAAAGTGGAGTGTTGAAGTACCCAGCTATTATTGTATTGAAGTCTATCTCTCTCCTTAGCTGTAATAGCATTTGCTTTACGTATCTAGGTGGTCTGGCATTGTATGCATATAAACTTAGAATTGTTACATCCTCTTGCTGAATTGATTTCTTTCTTATATAATGACCTTCTTTGTCCCTGTTTATGTTTTTTGACTTATATAAGTATAACTTATATACTGCTGCCTGCTTTTGGTTTCCATTTGCATAAAATATATTTTTCAGCCCTTCACTTTTAGTCTATATGTGTCTTTACAGGTGAAGTGAGTTTCTTGGAGGCAGCAAATAGTTGAGTCTTTCTTTTGATCCATTCAGCCAGTCTGTATCTTGCAATTTGGGAATGTAAACCACTTACATTCAAGTTTGTTATTGATAGGTAAGGACCTACTCCTGTTGTTTTCTTAATTGTTTTTTGATCATTTTGTATAATCTTTGTTTCTTTCTTTCTCTTTTATTGTTTACCTTTGCAATTTGGTGGGTGTTTTTACAGTGGCAACTTTTGCCTTTTTCTCTTCTGTGTATCTACTGTACCAGTGAGTTTTACACGTTTGTGTTTTTGTGATAGCAGATATTGTCCTTTCACATCCAGATGTAGGATTCCCTTAAGAATTTCAAGTAGGGCTGGTCTAATGATGATGAATTCTCTCAGTTTTTGCTTGTCTGGTAAACACTTCATTTCTCCTTTATTTTTGAAGGACAGCTTTTCTAGGTATAGTATTCTTGGCTGGCAGTTTTTTTCTTATTTTAGGACTTTGAATATATTATCTCATTCTCTCCTGGCTGGTAAAATTTCCACTGAGAAATTCACTGTTAGTCTGATGGGAATCCCTTATATAAAACTTGATGTTTTTCTCTTGCTGCTTTTAGAATTCTGACTTTGTCTTTGACTTTTGACAGTTTGATCATAATGTGCCTTGGAGAAGACCTTTTTTTGGTTGAGTCTATTTGGGAATCTTTCGGCTTCCTATATCTGAATTTCTATCTCTCTTCCAAGACTTGGGAAGTTTTCAGCTATTGTTTCATTAAATAGATTTCCTATGCCCTTGCCTATCTTTTCTCCTTCTGGAATTCTCAAATTTCCAATATTTGGTTGCTTTTTGGTTTCTCTTTTGTCATGTAGGCTTTCTTCTTCCTCATTTTCTTCCTTCCTTCCTTCTTTTCTTCCTTTCCTTCCTTCCTTCCTTCTTTCCTTTTTCTTTCTTTCTTTCTTTCTCTTTTCTTTCTTTCTCCTTTCTCTTTCTTCTTTCTTTCTCCTTTCTCCTTCCTTCCTTCCTTCCTTTCCTTCTTTCTTTCTTTCTTTCTTTCTTTCTTTCTTTCTTTCTTTCTCTCTTTTTCTTTCTTTCTTTCTTGACTATATTATTTCAAAAGACCTGTCTTCAAGTTCAGAAATGCTTTCATCTGATTGATCTAGTCTATTGTTGTAGCTCCCAGTTGTACTTTTTGTTTCATTCATTGAAGTTTTCAGTTCTGTGGTTTTCGTTTGCTTCTTTTTTTAAAAAAAAAAAAAGTATCTCTCTTTTTGTTCAACTTATTAATATACTGAATTGTTTTCCTGATTTCTTTGTATTGTTTATCTGTGTTGTCTTGTATCTCACTGAATTTCTTTAATGTCATCACTTTGAATGCTTTTTCAGACATTTCAAAGATTTTCTTTAAATTGAGGTAGTTACTAGATAATTATTGTGCTTCTTTGGAGGTGTCATGTTTGCTTTTTCATGTTTCTTATATTTTGCTGATATTACATTGATAGCTCCACATCTGATGTAACAGTCACTTCTTCCAATTTAATGATTTGGTTTTAGTAGGAAAATACTTTCTCCCATAGATGTACTATCATGTTGGTTGGTTAGGGTGCTTGGCTTTGATTCTGGGTAGGTACAGTAGTGTGATCTCTGTATGATTTATTTGGCTGTTAATCAGCATCATTGGTGTCTGTGTGTTTCTTAGTGGCTTAGGCTGCTGTTGTTATTGGAGGCTGTGGCGAGGCTTTGCTGGGGATGGAAACACTAGGCAGGCTGATCCTCAGGCACCTGTGGTGGGCCAGATATGCCAGTTCTCAGGCCCCAGGGTGACATATGCAGCCACCAGAAGAGGCAGGTCCTGGTGGGCCAGTCCTTGGGCCTCCAGGTAACTTGTTTGGGTGCTGGCTATAGCAGTGGGTGAGGTAAGCAGGGGGCTTCTTTCACCCTCAGAAGGCGTATTTCGTTTTGGCAGTGGCAATAGCAGTAACAAGCCACTCTTTGGATTCCTGAGTGGCACATTTTGGTGTCATCTTGGTGATAGTGGACTGAGTAGGCCAGTCCCCAGTTCCATCAGTGGGACAAGCTGATAAGTTAGTGGAAATCGTGGTAGGCTGTGTGGGCTTATCCCCAGGTCCCTTTCAGCATATTTGGGTAGTGGTGGTGGGCAGGTTGAACCCATCCACAAGCTCCCAGAAGATGTGCATGGGCACAGTCATGGTAGATAGAGAGGAGTTGATCCCTGGGTCCCCGGATGATGAACCAGCAGTGGCAGCAGTGGGTAGGACAGACCTGTCCTCAGGCCCCTGAATGGTATAAGTGGGTGCCAGTAACAGTGTGCTGGGCAGATCAATCCCCAGATCCCCTACAATGTGTGTGGGTGCCAGCAGTGGCAGATGGAATGGTTCAATCCCCAAGCCTTTGGACAGCACACTCAAGCACTGGCAGTGGTGGAAGTGAGCAGAGTAGACCTGTCCTCAGACTCCTGGGTGGTGCAAGCAGGCACTGGCTGCAGCAGACAGGGTGGGCCTTTCCTTAGGCCTTGGGACAGTGCAATCAGATAAGCCAGTCCCCAGACCCTCTAAAGGTGTATGCATGTGGTCAACAGTCCTGTCATTGAAGTGCACAGGCTCCTGTCAGTGTCAGTGGCCTAGTCAGGTGGCTCTCAGGTTCTGGTGAGCACATGCTTTACTCCCTTTGTCTTGGTGGCATTCTCCCTGGTGTGCTGTACCACCTATTATTCCCTTGGGTGTAGGACACTGCATGGGCTAGAATGCTAGAGATTTAGTCACAGTGCTGGGTCCAGCTGGCATCATGATACTGCAGCTTTCTGGGTGAATGTGGGAGGATGTCAGCAGCGCTCCAGGGATCTGGAGCTATTGGGCCCCATGGCAGGATATAATCTGGTGGGGGCTGGGCTCTCAAAATTGCACCATGCTGCAGCTCCTTGGGTCTCAGTTCTTATGTGGAACCCAGCATAAACTTTTTCTCTCTGGAACAATACCTCTGCATAGACTTTAGGAAGCTCCCTGTAGTAGTCACAGGGCCTGTGAGGACCAAGGGGCTTTCCCATGGCTGAGGTTGCAGGAGTGTGCAGTAGGAATGTGGACCACTGGACATCTCTCATATCTCTCATATTTTCCCTGCAATAGGGAATTCCTCCTAGCCAGGCAGACTTCTTTGCTTCCTTCTCCTCCTTTGTCCCAGAGGTTTCCTGTCACTTCCTTGCTGAATTTGCTTCTCTCTCAGAAACTCTATTCTAGGTGTGGTTACCTACTTGCTGTTTGGTTCTTCTTTGTGGAGGAGGTGAGTGCCAGGTCCCTCTAGTCCGCCATTTTGAAGCTTCCTCTGAGGATCTAATTTCAAAGCAAAGGGTTCAAGAGGAAAAAGGCTCCCAGGGGCTCAACATGATATATAAAGAAATCCGATATTTGTCTTCCAGCTGGGTGGTGCAAGAGGTCATGTCACCATACACAAAGTTGAGTCCTAGCATCCGGCTTTTCTGAGAAGTGGCATTTGGTCTTATCATTCACCTGATGGATTTGTTTCTGTTTATTGCTGCTGTTACACATTACCACATACTTAGTGGCTTAAAACAACATAAATTTATTATCTTACAGTTCTGAAAGTCAGATGTCAAAAATGAGTATTATAGGGCTAAAATCAAGATGCTGGCAGGCCTGATTCCTTATAGAATATCCAGGGGAGAATTGATTCCTTGGTCAGTTCAGTTTCTAGAGGCTGCCGGCATTTCTTGAATTGTGGCACATCATGACAATCTCTATTTCCATGGTGACACTGCCTTCTACTACTCACTTTGATATCCTGCCTCTCTCTTAAAAGGACCATTGTGATTATATTGGACCCACCCAGATAATTCAGAATAATTTTTCTATCTCAAGATCCTTAGTTAAATCAAAACTACAAAATCCTTTTTTGCCATATAAGGCAACATTCACAGAACCTTGGTATTTGGATGTGGACATATTTGGTGGTTATAGTTCAGCCTAGCACACTTGGGATGCCTGGTTCAAACCATCCTGTCTACCTGAGGATGAGAGGGACTTTTCCAACCAGAGGAGGAAAGCTCATAGTGGCTTAAATTGAGGGGAAGGTAATCACATTTTCTTCCTTTCTCTATTCCAACACCTTAGCTATTTCTTGACATACAATAGGTGCTCGAAATGACAAAGATGGCTATTGTCCCCCAGTATGCATTTCATGACTTGTGCTTTGTCAATAGAATCCCCTGGTTTAGCCGAGGACAAGGCTACTTGCCAGTAGGTGTTTTCAAGTTCTGGCTAATGGGAGCAGAAGAGATGTATACCACTTCTAGATTATACTCTTAAAGTGAAGCAGAGAGCCCTTCTTCCCTTTCTTCTCCCCTTCTCACTAGCTAGAATTAAAATGTGAAAATGGAAACTCTGGCCATTGGGTTAGCCCATGAGATGGAAGCCATGAGCTGCAGATGAATTAGGCAGATAGAACCTGGATCCTCCACATAGTAAAACAGCCTTGGACTGTTTATGCTCAGACTATTTACAGACAATTGAATTAGAGATCAATAGACTTTTCTCTTGTTTGGGCCTTTGTTATAGCAACCAAACTCTTATCATAAAATAGCACTCTATGTATGAAGTTAATAAAGGAACAAACAAATTTTGTCCAAAGCTTTGCCACAAATTGGCTATATGATCTTACAAAGATCGCTTTGCCTCTCTGAACCTTAGTTCCTTTAGCTGGAAAATAGAAAGGATAATAATACGCACATGATGTGTTGCCAATAACAAATGAAAGGGGACATGTGAACATCATTTTTGAACTCTAAGGCACTTGACAAATATAAGGGTTGAAAGATTAAAATGTAATTTCTGATTTCTCTTCAAACATGCTTGGCTTTTTAAAATTTTATTGTCTAAAAGGCTCTGCCAATTTTCTCATTGACTTTCATTTATTTAATAAGGTCACCAATATAATTTGCAGAACGTATATAAACTTTTTTTCTTCTAGGACTTAATAAGTCTGTGTTTATTTTGGATGGGAAAAATGGGGTCCATTTATTTTTATTCTCTGAATTTGCCTTTGTAAAAATGTTTGCCAACCACAGGCTTAAAAAATGTCTATTCCTCTGTTAGTGACTCTGTGCAAGTGAACATGGCTACCCAATTGCAGATTCAGAATGAACAGCTTAAAAAGGGAATTTGAAAGGCTGCATGTTGGGGTGGGTTAGAGGGCAAGTTAAAGAAATTAGGACTGGCTGTCCACAGAGGGTGAAAGTGGCAAATAACTAACCTTTCCTACACAAAGAAGGTCTGGAGACATACTATGTGGCCCAAGGAGCAGGCAGACAGCAGATTCTGATGTTCTCAATGATGCATATTGTCTTCCAGCTTCAGATCTCTGGATTAAGCCACAGTTTAAGTTCCATATTCAGAAAGTGCTAATAGCAGAGTTTGAAGAGTCCAATGGCGAAGGGAGGAGACCGGCTGCTGGGCATTCCCTCCTAGGCTCCCATTGGCCATTTGGGCCCAAGCAACAACTCCTTAAACCCTTCTCTTGGCTTTTTGATTCTTCTTTATCCTTCATTTTCATTCTTTACCATTCTAGCCTCTATGGGACCAGAGATGAGGCAAAATAAAATGAGCATTTGGGAACCAGAGTGGATAATAATGAACTCTTACATTTTGAAATGAACAGTACTTAAGAAAAAGCATTATCAATGTTTAATATAATGGAAGGGTAAATGAATATATGGTTTACTTGGTTATTCCTTTGTTCATACATGTAAAACTCACATTTGCATTTTTTTCTTTTCTTAACAAAAGTTCTTCATTGACACAATTTTACTATTTTTGTGCAAATTTAAAGACAATTCTTAATAAGCAATTAAATTTCAAGTTTACAAGTCAGTGGTCACACAGAGCTTTCTTCTGTTCCTTTTGTGTTTGGCATACATTGGGCATCTTTTGGGAGCTGTTACACATGTGAAGACTAATTCTTCTGGATGAATAATGAACTAGTACCTGCAAAACCACCTAGTACACTGTAATTATAAAATGGAAGCTCATAATTTGTGCATGAACCACTTATTTTATGAGTTACTTGGGTTCCTTTACAAATTTTCTTATTGTAGAGGCTGTGTCTCCTGGATCTACCTTTAATAATGGTGATAATCATAATAACTGTAATAATACAGCATTATTTTCTAATTAAAAAGAAAATTTCTTCTGAAAAGCTCAAAGCACTTCACAGACATTATCTCATTCATTCTCATAACCTGTCTGGGCTGCTTGTTGGTCACTAGCAACATCACAGTAACAAGAGGGTCATATTCTGCTTCTTAATACTCTTATAAGGCCAGGATGGCAAGGGGAACCTTCAGACTTCCCAAACTCTGGAGGAAATTATTCGTTATTTTTGAAAAGTCTTTATTATGTAACTTTAGACATCAGTAATGAGCTACAAACCATTACATGCCACCTACACCTTGATGGAAAGGAAACTTTAAATGGTTTTGGCATGTACTTATGATCTAGCACCTCTGAGGACACAATGATTTGCAATCCTTTTTTTTTTTTTTGGAGACAGAGTCTCGCTCTGTCACCAGGCTGGATTGCAGTGATGCAGTCTCGGCTCACTGCAACCTCCACCTCCCAGGTTCAAGCAATTCTGCTGCCTCAGCCTCCCAAGTAGCTGGGATTACAGGCATGCACTACCACACCCAGCTAATTTTTGTATTTTTAGTAGAGACGGGGTTTCACCGTGTTGGCCAGGATGTTCTTGATCTCCTGACCTCATGATCTGCCCACCTCGGCCTCCCAAAGTGCTGGGATTATAGGCATGAGCCACTGCGCCCAGCCCAGTGATTTGCATTCTATGTCAATGGAGAACCCCCAAGTGGAAAAATTCACCCTAATTGCTAATCACCTACTATTGCTACTATTTCACAATGTGTAGCCTAATATATTGATCAGTCCTCCAAAACTGGGGTGAGAAAAGTGTGGCTCACAGACAAAATCTGGCTAAGAATGGTTTCTATGGTTTTAGATGGTCACACATAGAGAGGTTGTATGTCACTACATAATATCCTAGATTTTGCCTCTTTGTTCTCAAAGTCTATAGTGTTTACTATGTGATTATTGACTTAAAAAGTTTGCTGACTCCTACTCTAGAGGATAGGACTGAGGTACAGAAGCCTGTACTGTCGGAGGTGAGCAGATGAGTCATGCATGAGGCATCCCAGAGACAGTGGAGGAAGTCTGTGAAGCTGATTTATAAGGCAGTTGTTAACCTGATGGAAAAGGATACATGATTTGCTCTATATGCCCATTCAATTTCAGTGAATTTTTTTTTCTTGGGTCTTAACTATACTTTTTTCCAGAAATCTTACTCTGCATATCTCTAATATGGCTGTGCTGAGTCATATTTCTTTGTTTCCTCTTGAAGGTCTTAGGAGGTCTTTCAATCATTTTACTGCCACACAATTGCTGAGATAGTCACACTTAGTGTATTTTTAACCATATGTCTTGCTTGTCTGGGCTGCTTTTACTAGAAAAAATGATTAAAAGCATAGCCATGACACATCCTGAAGATGTTTACTAGTCTTTACAGTCAGTAAATAAGCAATGGGTATGGAAGTGTTGACTTACTAATGTTCACATGCTGCCTTGCTTTTTATAATCTCTGTTTTGGATTAAGCTACTGCCTAAACTCCAAGGCATTTACTATTCAGAAGCTGTTTAGAGACAGAGGTTGATAAGGATCCCCAAAAAGAGGACCAGCTGGTTGATGGACCTGGCCTTCCATGGTCATAAAGGACTA
This sequence comes from Homo sapiens, assembly GCF_000001405.40. Lineage (NCBI taxonomy): Eukaryota > Metazoa > Chordata > Mammalia > Primates > Hominidae > Homo > Homo sapiens. The sequence continues at coordinate 20,997,904 of NC_000007.14, read as the reverse complement.
TTGGGCCATTTTTTCTGTGTCTCAGCCTGGCACTGACCTCTCTGGTCTCTCAAGTCCCCATGTACCTCTTAGGTTGGCATTTTCATTACTTTTTTTCCATCATGTACATTGTTTCTCACTATTCACCCTGTTGGATCCAAAATATGACCAAATAAAAGAAGAATTTGGGGACTAGCTAGTATTGAATACTTTTATATTTTGAGATCAGCCTTATTTTAACAATGACTTTACAGACAACAGTGGGAGAGTGATTTTTAGGCCTGATTTTGGGGTTTTGTGTTCTGTTGGCTGCACCCGAATTAAATAAAGCTGATCTCTGGAAATAAAGAAATAAAAGGCAAGGTTGAACACAAGTACCTCAAGTACAGTTGTGCTTAGAATGTGAGTATGATGCAACAACAAAGTCAGTCTTACTTATGTGCCTGGATAGTGGATACCATGGAATACCTTATCTTGTCCCCTCTTGTGTTATACAGTAGAAAGAATGAGGTGATATGCAGCTGCTGAAGGAGTAGTCAACAGACTGAACCAATTTTATGTGACTGAGAATCATGTTGGCTGTAAAAAGGGATTAAGCTCCAGTTATGGCACCCTGTAAACTCAGATGGCAACAGATAACAGAAGACAGGAAAGTTGTAAAAATAATTACTGGAAATAAATGATAAAGTTATATTTGAAAGTTTGAACAGTAAGCTTCCATATGACACCAAAAGCATAGAAAATAAAAGAAAAAATGGATATATTGAACTTAAAATTAAGAACTTTTGAACATCAAAGGACACTATCAAAAAAGCAAAAAGATCACCTAAAGAATGGGAGAATGTATTTGCAAATCACATATTGGGATTAATATCTGATATATAAAGAACCTCTACAACTCACCAGCAACAAAAATAGCAAACCAATTCAAAAGTGAGCAAAGAACTTCGATGGACATTTTCCAAAGAAGGAATACAAATGGCTAATAAGCACATGAAAATATATTCAATATCATTAGTCACTAGGAAAATGTAAATCAAAACCATGATAAAATACCACTTCGTATCCACTGCGATGACTATAATAATACTTTTAGGAAAAAAAAAAAAACGGAAAATAACAAGTACTGGTGAGGATATGCAGTAATTGGAACCCTTGTGCATTGCTGGTGAGAATATAAAATGGTGCAGCTACTGTGAAAAACAATTAGATGGTTTCTCCAGACATCAAAGATAGAGAACTACCATATGACCCAGCAATTCCACTCCTAGGCATATATGCAAAAGAATTGAAAGCAGAGACACCAACAGATATCTGTATACCAATGTTTATAGTAGCATTATTTACAATATCCAGGAGGTGGAAACAACCCAAGTGTTCATCAACGATGAATGAATAAGAAAATGTGGGATATACATTCACTAGATGATATGGTTTGGCCTTGTGCCCCAAGCCAAATCTCGCCTTGAATTGTAATAATCCCCACGTTTTGTGGGAGGGACCCAGTGGTGGTAGGTAATTGAATCACGGGGGTAGGTCTTTCCCGTGCTGTTCTTGTGACAGTAAGTCTCAAGAGATTTGATGGTTTTATAAATGGGAGTTCACCTGCACAAGCTCTCTTGCTTGCCACTACGTACCACATGCCTTTGCTTCTCCTTTTCCTTCCGCCATGATTGTGAAGCCTCTACAGCCATGTGGAACTGAGAGTCCATTAAACCTTTTTCCTTTATAAATTACCCAGTCTCAGCCAGGCGCTGTGGCTCACGCCTGTAATCCCAGCACTTTGGGAGGCCAAGGCGGGTGGATCAAGAGGTCCGGAGATTGAGACCATCCTGGCTAACACGGTGAAACCCCGTCTCTACTAAAAATACAAAAAAATTATCCGAATGTGGTGGTGTGCGCCTATAGTCCCAGCTACTCGAGAGGCTGAGGCGGGAGAATGGTGTGAACCCAAGAGGTGGAGCTTGCGGTGAGCCGAGATCACGCCACTGCACTCCAGCCTGAGTGACAGAGCAAGACTCCCTCTCAAAAAAATAAATAAATAAATAAAATTAAAATAAAATAAAATAAAATAAATAACCCAGTCTCAGGTATGTCTTTATTAGCAGCATGAGAACAGACTAATACACTAGATTAAATTATAAATAGTAATGATATTTTGATACATGCTACAACATGGATGAACCCTGAAGATACTAGGTTGAAGGAAATAAGCCAGACATAGAACAATTATTGAATGATTCCACTTATATGGAGTACCTAGAATAGCCAAAAGAAAGTAAAATAGAAGTTACCAGGGACTGGGGGTAAGTGAAAATGGGAAGTTACCAGTTAATAGGGACAGAGTTTATCTTGGGAATGATGAAATAGTTTTGAGAAAAAATAGTGGTGATGGTTATAGAACATGGTGAATGTATTTGATGATGCCGCTGAACTGGCCACATGGTTACAAATGGTTAAAGTGCTAGATATTTATGTTATGTATATTTTACCACATTAAATAAGTTATAAAGTAATCTTTGATATTCACTTTAGTACTTGTCTTCTGTCACAGAGACAATTTTTTAATTCCTGTTTTGGGCTGCATTCTTATCACTAAGAAAGTGGTTTTCTAACTTGAAACTGACAGCAAAGCTGCCTGAAACAGCAGCTGTGATGCTGCACTCCTCTCCAGGCCATGGAACCTTGTCTGTAGTAACAATTTCAACACACATGTGAACTGAGCTTGTAATACGTGTATTATAGAGCCGAGCTACAATTCATCTTAATGATGGTATGTGAAAGAACGTCTCGGCAGGGCACCTTAATGAAATGACAATTGGTTGAAGACTTAGAAGATCAAAAATACCCAAGACTTTCAGAAGCCATATCTATTCTCATTTGGATCCTTTAAGAGATAGTGTAAAATAATGCTCTCTGCCAAACAACAAGAAAGCTTATAGAAAATAGAATAAAAATCCTTTTAATATAGTTTTAAGGATGTAGCCATTAAAAATGTCTAATCAGAAAAGCTAAATATATAAACCAAATTCTCAAGTTAGAATATATCATAGAGACATGTTTCTGAAAGAAACTTCCTTAATAATGGCCTGAAATATTGCTCAAAATATTTAGATTCTCTTAATGTAAAATACTTAGACATTGTACATACTTTTTTTTTTTTTTTTTTTTGAGACGGAGTCTGGCTCTGTCGCCCAAGCTGGAGTGAAGTGGCGCAATGTTGGCTCACTGCAAGCTCCGCCTCCCGGGTTCACACCATTCTCCTGCCTCAGCCTCCCGAGTAATTGGGACTACAGGCGCCTGCCAAGACTCCTGGCTAATTTTTTGTATTTTTAGTACAGACGGGGTATCACCGTGTTAGCCAGGATGGTCTCGATCTCCTGACCTTGTGATCTGCCCACCTTGGCCTCCCAAAGTGCTGGGATTACAGGCGTGAGCCACTGCGCCCGGCATACATTCTTTCCTTTAACCCCAAGAACAGTCTTATGAGGCAAATGGTAGTAAATCCACTACACGGATGAGAAAACTCAGAGATATGAAGTAAATTGATCAAAGCTCATAGAAGTCAAGGCTTCACTATGATTAAGATATAACTAATATCATCTAATAGATAATCATCATGTTGATAAATACTACAAAGAGAAAAATTATGTCAGGTAAAGCCTCCTTTCCTAGGTCCAACATATCAAACAAAAGACAGGAATCCTGTATTCTTTCCCTGGCTCAATTACACTGGATATCTTGAGACAACTTCCCTGCCCCAGTTTTTCACCCAGAGTTACCATTGAGTACCTGCTTATTCCAAGCACTGTGCTAACCATTTTTACATGTTATCTCTTCTAATTGATTCAACCAATTTTTGTTTTCCTTATGCATAGCTAGCAGACATGAAAGGTATAATACTATCCTGTGTGAATGATGATGTGCCATTGTTGACTGATAACATTATATACCACTATGTTATATTATTAACGAATAATATTCCTTGAATTTTTAAAATATTAAAAGTATTCACCAATCTTTAAAATGTTTAAATTTATTATTTCAAAATTGGCAAATTATTTTTAAATTATTATGCAATAGATAATGAGAATCACATTATCTCATATTGTATTTGCCAATAACTTTGACTAATGTTTGTATATCCTTTTCAACTTTTATTTTAGATTCAGGGGGTACATGTGCAGGATTGTTAAAAACATCTATTGTGTGTGCTGAGGTTTGGTATATGAATGATCCCTCATTCGTATCTGTTTCTGTTTCTGCATACCAACAGTGCATAAGTATTACCTTTTCCACAGCTTTGCCAACATACGTTGTTTTTTTGACTTTTTAATAATAGCTATTCTGACTGGTGTTCAATAACATTTCATTGTGGTTTTGATTTGCATTTCTCTGATGATTAGTGATATTGAGCATTTTTCCATATGTTTGCTGGCTGCTTGTATGTCTTCTTTTGAGAAGTGTCTGTTCATGTCTTTTGCCCATTTTTTTTTTTTTTAGCAAGTCTCACTCTGTCGCCCAGGCTCAAGTGCAGTAGTGCAATCTCGGCTCACTGCAACCTCTGCCTCCTGGGTTGAAGGGATTCTCCTGCCTCAGCCTCCTGAGTAGCTGGGACTACAAGCATGTGCCACCACGCCTGGCTAATTTTTTGTATTTTTAGTAGAGACGAGGTTTCACCATGTTAGCCAGGATTGTCTTGATCTCCTGACCTCATGATCAGCTTTTGGCCATTTTTTAATAGATTGTTTGTTTTTTTGCTAATTTAATTGTTTACATTCCTTATAGATTCTAGATATTAGACCTTTGTTGGATGTGTAATTTGCAAGTATTTGTATATCTTTTCAAAAGTAGAGTATTCTGAAAACTTTCTAATATTCATATGACCAGGTGAATTAGAGCTGAAGGCATCCTATCAAGTGTATTCTTAAAGTGCCAAAAATGTAGCAAAGTATATAATTAAATCTACTTTGAGTTCATCTTGTGCTTTTTGTAGAGCCATGATTTAGTATATAATAAGGGACCTAGAAACAAATATTAGCATACACTTATAATCTTGTGGATAGCCTGGGAATTTTATCTAGAGGACATGAGTTAATAGTCCAGGATTTAAAGTATAATCTTGTCCTACTGTGCACTGTGCACTGGTAAGCCTTCAGGTTTTGCTGTACACCGTGTAGCCAGCGTACATGGAAAAGGGATTGTATGATTCTTGCTTTGTTCTCTATATTAAGACAGAACAATTTGCCTTAAACTGTTTTTGTTATACTCCTTTGCCTCTTTCTGTTCTTCCTGGCTCTGACTTCATGATTCAGAACTGCCTGTGCCCTCACCTTGGCTCTCATGCTTTCTCTACAACATTGCTTCTGCTTCAACCTTCGGTTGGCTTCTCTACCATAATTTAGGGTTTCCGCTGACAAGTGAAGCCTGAGTCTCTCTGCATTAAGATCCTGCATGGCCCTGTTTAGAACCTAGAACACTATGATTTGGTATTTTTATCAGCATAGCGCTAACTGTGGGTTTGTGCTGTCCTCTGAGCAGAATCTAGACGTGCTAAATATAATTGTTGTGATGTCGTTGTATCATAGTTATCCTGAACTCAACACCGTAAATGAAACAACTTATTTAAAATCAGATACCAACCCTTGATCTTCAAAGGCGAACTAATTATTCATACCATATTAAGTTATTTTGTTAACAAATACTCACAAACACAAAATTATGAGTTGTCAGATGAAGTGGAAAACTGGATTTTGACAGTCACTATATCATCTGGGAGACCAGTTGAAAACTAATGAATTACTATGGTCAAAGGACTGAGCATAGTGTCTGTGCTCAATTTCCTAACTGGCTGAGAAATCCGCTCTTCTTGACTTATGTTATGTTGCAAAGATTATGCTTACCAACAATGGTTAGGTGTGATGGGTAGCTATAAAATTTTGGAACTAAAAGCGTCATCATACTGATTGAGAACTCAAGAGTAGGCTAGAGATGAGGTGACAATGGTTTAAAAGTAAATATGCAGCTGCTCAATATGATCTTGAAAAAATGCTGATAAGGCCTCAACCCCTAGGGAGGAAGAGAAAAACACAGATTAACTTAGACCAGTGCTTCTCAATCAGGGGTGATAGTGCCCCCCAGGAGACATTTGGCAAAGTCTGGAGATATTTTTGGTTGTGACAACTGGGAGCATGGGGCATATGCTACTGGCATCTAGTGGATAAAGGCCAGAAATGCTGATAAACATCCTGCAATTCACAGGACAACCCCACAACAAAGAATTATTCAACCCAAAGTCCAGCAATTGTGCCCAAATTGAGAAATCCCAGTCTAGAGAAGAATATTCTGAAGCCATCTGGCTGGTATTTCAATGATACAGTTCAAACAAAGAGCTTCATGTGAACACACCTTGCAGAGTATAAGTAGACCCTGGACCATGTATTGTTGTCTTTGCTGTTTTCCTCTTCTCTGACATATTAAATCTACTTAGTAGGTATAGTGTCCTTTGTGATGTCTCTCTATTCACCATTGGGTCAAAATCTTATGAACGTTTCTAAAAAAAAATCAGTCCCAATAAAAAGTGGATTACCATCTCATGAGCATTCTCTCTTAGATGTCCATATATTTTCATAGGGGATAAAACATTAAGAGTCACAAAGAATGAAACTCTAATTATGGAATCTTAGTCTGAACAGACTCAGTGTGGAAGGGTTGAGTTTGAGGGGAGAGTTTAGAGGGGGTAGAGATGGCACCTCCCCCATATGAGTGACCCTTTTCTCCAATGAAGTATGAAGTTATCCCTAGCTAACTTTAAAAGTGATATTGGGCATGATATTTCCAAATAGCAGCCAATGGAAGGGACATCTATTAAAGACCACAGTCATCTGCAAACCATAAACAGCCTCAGAATACCTGATTTCTTAATAATAGTAACATCACCATTTTGAAGAAGATAGCAACTATGTAATTTTTCTCATAAATTCTTTAAAATATGTAATTAGGGAATGTGATTTATTTTTTAAGTTTTCTATCCAAATCAAAGCCTTGAGAGGCTCCTTTAGTTATGTTAAGTGATCTGTTGTTCAAAACAAGTGATACTGAACCTCTGGACTCTTTTTTTTTGCATTATTTTTTTTATTTGAGATGGAGTTTCCCTCTTGTTGCCCAGGCTGGAGTGCAATGGCGTGATCTCGGCTCACTGCAACCTCTGCCTCCCGGGTTCAAATGATTCTTCTGCCTTAGCCTCCTGAGTAGCGGGGATTACAGGCATGTGCCACCACGCCTGGCAAATTTTGTATTTTTAGAAGAGATGGCGTTTCTCCATGTTGGTCTGGCTGGTCTCGAACTCCTGACCTCAGGTGATCTGCCCACCTCAGCCTCCCAAAGTGCTGGGATTACAGGCGTGACCCACTGCGCCTGGCTGAACGTCTGGACTCTTGTGCTCAAAATAACATAAAATAAATTTAAAGTAGCAAATATGCATATAACTATAGAAACACATACAAAATATAAAATGTTAAAAATTAGAATTGTTATGAAATTGGCATAGAATAGAAAAGTAAAGTATATAAATTAAATATTTTGTGATTTCTAGGGCTATGGGTTCAAAATGCCTCCTACTGAGCCTGGTCCTAGAGCTATGCCATGGAAACGTGAGGAGAAGAGGGAGGTGAAGCTGGATTAGCACTGCCTTTATGTGTTTTGTATTTTGTATTTTGACTTTTCATGTAAAACTTTTTTTTTAGGAAAAGGGATTCAATTTTAAAAGTTTGAAACTGATGTTGTAGGGTGTCTCCAGTGTGGAGAATATACTTCAACAATTAACCCTCAAAGACACTTAAAAAGATTCTTAATTTGTTTGAAGTTTTAGAATAAACATACCACGAGAAGTTCAGAGAGATGGAAGAAAATTAAGCCACATAGTTTTACATGTCTGGTTGGTTGGTAATAACTGGAGAAGCCCCTAATGGAAGACTCGGTTGCCCTTTCATCTGTGTTATATTCTAAATCAGCTCAGATAACTTAGTTTTCTTAACTTACATGTCTCTGCATCTGTCTTCTCCACAACACTTGGCTCCTGCCGGACTTGGTCATGTTGGGTTTGTTTTTGAATTTCTAGCATGACCATAGTGACATACACATTACCAAGTCCTCAGTGTGTGTTTGTTGAACTGAATTTTGTCATGAAATAAGTCTGGGTGATCATACTTCTGCCTTCATGTAGAATCCAAACAACATTAAACACTGTAGCTGTTTTTCCCCTTTGTTTGGAAGACTTGTCTCTTGTCCAGGACAAAGTGTAAATTGTTTCTCGAAAGATGGAGTTACTTTTTTTTTTCCCCAAAATTCCCAGAGGAAAATATGCTGCAAATATGACTATTTAACTTTTCCTGTATTTAATAACTAATGAAAACAGAAATCACCATTTCTCAGTCTAAAGGACTTACCTTTTCATACACAAAAATTGGGGAAGCACTTATGCATGTAAACAAAACAATGGGAAATAATTCTGCACATGATGAGCAAGCTGATGAGAAGCAAGGCAGCTTCATAATTTTGAGTGAAAGCCAGGAAAGCCTAAGTAATCTTAGGGGTTTTGGTCCAATTTTCAGGTTCACGTGAACTCCAGACCCTAGGTGTACAAGTCTCCCCAAAAGGAGAAAAGGACCACCACCACCAAAAAAATGTAGGTTACACAAATCTGCATAAACCAAAACTAGTGAATTTCCACAATTCTAGAAATATGACTACCTTATTTTGTTTCCTTTTAATATTTGTGAGAATCATATGGATAAAGTCAACCAATGTATCCTTAAAATATAATTATTTGAAAATAACATGATTCAAACTTATTTACTTATGTTATAGGACTGTAATTGTCTAAAGCAGCAGCCTTCTGTTCATATTAACAGCCACAGAGGCTGAAACTTTATGTAAAAAGGATCATGGAGACTAACAACAAAGAAAAATATAAATAACATGGAAGAGAAAGGATAGTCTCAGTTTCTATTAGAAATATGCTGCAGTTAGCCTCCAGGAATTTGAGATTTCTATAGCATGCTCTGAAATGTATAACCCTTACATTCACTGGCTGTTACTCTCCACCTCTTTCCTAGCTTTTGTCTGTGTTTTACCCATTTCTAGCTTCATTCCCCACTCTCTTCTTTCTATGTTTTCCCTTCCATCTCTTGCTTGAGCTAACCTCTGTTTTGTATTTCTTCTCATTCAAACCCCATCATGTAGTCAAAACACACACACACACACACACACACACTCACACACACACACACTCACACACACACACACGCACACACCAGACACACAAAGAAATACAACTCCAAACACTTCTTACGCATAATGACGATTACTCATTCACTCAGTCTTAATGCAAATTTTAGTTTTTCTTCTCAGCATTAAGAAGCTGATTTAGTTGTGAAAGTCAGACAAGGATTTTAGTCCATGAATAAAATATGCAAAAGGGACATATGCCAGGCATATTGAAACACAAAAATAAATATAACAAATCTTAAAATTAGGTAATGGGAACACATTGAAAATATACATTTTTTCTCATTATAAAAATAATATATAGTCTTACTGAAAATTTAGAAAATGTGGAGAAGTATAAAGAAAATTAAAACCACCAGTAATATTGCCACCAGACATATAATCAATGCTTATCTTGTTATATTTCTTCCAACCTTTTTTTCTACATGATTATATACATATATAAATGCACATATTTAAAAATAAAATTGGGAACTTATTCTATCTATGTACATGTACACGTACACACATATTTAATTATACATTCAAATGCATAGGTAAAATTCTTTAAGCAATTTTAAACATCCTAGAATAAATTGGTTTAAAAAGAGATTTTTAAAAAAGCAAAGCAGAACAAAACATGCAACTGAAGGAATTTGCTATGTATCCTCAAAGTATAGCTGTATCACTGTGATTGGTTAAGAAGCTATAGTATGGGTCTAGAATGGCGTTGCTAATGAGATTAAGGTCATGAGTCCAATCTCTGAATGGGTGAGCTTAGCATCACACTTACAGAAGCTCTATTTCGTGGCACCAGAATACACCCCAACACCAAACAGTGGTTTCATAAATACAAACTATTGTTCAAGAGATGGGCACCCTGAGCGTGTGCATGGCTAGTGAAGTCCAGCATTTTATAAGCCTACCTGGGCTCCAGAGCCCTTAATTTAGAGTAACAACATTTCCCATCCTGAAGAATTACTATCCCACACAGGACACACTTATAGGAAATTTTGATTGTAGTATTTAAACATCCCAGTGTGATAGCATATGAGGATACTTTTGATCTAGTATCACCTAATTTTAGAGATATCATGGGGAAAAGCCTGGATTCTGGAATTAGATAAATCTGAGTTTGATTCCTGTTCTGTTTCTTATTACTTGAATAGATGCATACAAGTTACTTAACCTTTGTAGCCGTGTTTTCCTCCTCCGAAAAAGAAACTAATAACAACAAGTTTGCTTGTTGTAGTTGTGAGGATTAGAAACACTGTAAATGAAGATTTATCAATATTAGCCTCTCAATACACCCTGGATGTCATCTTTATTGCTGCTGTTGCTTTTCCTCCCACATCTACTCTATTCCCCCATACAATCCTCTCCTGGAGCCTAGTGATTCCCCACAGGCATCCTGCCAAGCATCTGCAAGATATGCCACCCCATTTTGACAAATGTGCACACTTAATTTTTGTTACAATAGAATGTGCACTGTTTTTTGCCATGGCCTGTCAGATGGAATGTTCAGCTGAAAGGATATGGGGTGTCCAGTAAGAGGCTAAACAAAGTGTACTCTAAAGTGAGATTTACAAGGCTCATGAGTATACCTCATCAGGGGAGTAAACTATACTACTCCACTACAACCACATTGCTGAAGAGTAACTACTTGTGTGGTGAGATAACTGTGGGCACTTTTATATATGCTGGGAAATATTCTATGAAGGAGTACCAGTTGGGTTATGATTATTGCTGATTTGTTTAATGTCACCTTATATCTTTTTATCCCTTAAAGAGTGCCACCCACACTTCTGGGGTGCTATGAAGAAAAGCACTTGAGAATCACGCCCTAGTCACTTCAAACCACCTACGATCCCCGGACACACCAAGCTCTTTCTTGCTTCTTTGATTCAGCACAAAACAAACATCAAAAAACAATTGACCATGAAAACTCTTCTCCTTGTTTGCCTGGTAAAATCTTACTTTCAGCACATGCCTCCAATGTTTATTTATTGTCTAAAATCCAGGGTAGGGGTAAATGTAAATAGTAGCCTAGAAGATAGAAGACAAATATGAGAAGATAGTAATGCTATAAAAATTTAGAAATGATAGAGAACTTGGTGAACGTAAAAATGTATTTTCAAAATATGAGTGTTTAGACTCAGTGCACGGTTCTCTGTGACAGAATTTACACATTATTGGGTCCAAAGAGGCAAAAACACTGCTCCCCTAGGTACTGCTGCTGCAATGTTTAATGAAACTACACACAAGAAGTGCCAAGGCCCTTAAGTTCATTGCCCAAATGGGATCTGCTTCTCCCTTTAATGGGTGGGGAATATAGCCATGGCCTGGGGAACATGGACCCAGGACAAGTTGTTTAGTTTTTCTACATTAATAATTCTTGAGAACAAATCTTGAAAAGGAAGAACAAGTCTTGAGTTCAAAAGTTGCACCACGTGTTTTCTATCTTTGTTAGTGATTTCATTGTTTAAAATGATCCCTCCGGTGTAGTGCTAAAGTGATTTCTACTGTTCTAAGCTCAAGAAGGCTGCGATGGGCCTTACAGAGAAAACATGTGTGTTACATGCACTTCATTCAGGCATGAGTTAGAGTGCTGCTGGCTGTGAGTTCAATGTCAATTAATATACTATATATTAAATATGGTGCCTTAAACAGAAACACACATAAAACAAGGTTACATATTGATGGGTTGATGAAAATGCTATGGCCAGAGACTCAAAGGAACTTAATCTAATATTTCTCCTAGGAGCAATGGTTCGGTATTTGCTAATTCAGTGTTTGTAGTGACTTTATTGTGAATGACATGAATGGACTGTATTTCCACATACAGTCCCCCTATGGCCCTACGGAGTTCACAAAAGTAATCATTTTGAGTGTTCCTCAAAGCCTGCAGATCCTTTGACAGTCTAGCAGGCTCGGTCTTACTTTTTCAGGTTTGACAAGCTGCTATGGATTGAATTGTGCCCCTCTACCCACACCAAATTCATATGTTGAAGCCCAAACACACGATGTGATGGTATTTAAAGATGGGGCGTTTGGGAGGTAATTAGGTTTAAATGAGTTCTTGAGGGTAGAACCCACATAATGGGATTAGTGCCCTTATTGTAAGACACCCCAGAGAGCCTGCTTACTTTCTTTTCTCTGTCTCTACCCACATCCCAGAAAAAAAAGCTTGTATGAGGACATAGTGAGGAAGGTAAACACCTGCAACCCAGGGAGAGATACCTCAGCAGACATTGGCTCCACTGGCACCTCGATCTCGGACTTTTACTCTCCAGAAACATAAATTCCTGTTGGGTAAACCACCCAGTCTACAGTATATTGTTTTGGCAGCCTGGGCTGATTAAGGCAGAACAGAATCCCCACATAAGCAACCAAGTAAGAAGTTCCAAATCTACAAAAGTATGATTCTGTTATTTCACTAAAAATGTGTGAATTTCCTCTCTTCCCCCTTTCTTTTTTCTTTTTCTTTTTTTTTTTTTTTGAGATGGAGTCTTGCTCTGTTGCCAGGCTGGAATGCAGTGGTGCAGTCTTGGCTCACTGCAACCTCCATCTCCCACGCTCAAGCGATTCTCCTGCCTCAGCCTCCTGAGTAGCTGGGACTACAGATGCGTGCCACCAAGCCCAGCTAATTTTTGTAATTTTAGTAGAGACGGGGTTTCACCATGTTGGCCTGGATGGTCTCGATCTCTTGACCTTGTGATCCACCTCCCTCGGCCTCCCAAAGGGCTGGAATTACAGGCGTGAGCCACCGTGCCCGGCCTCTTTCCCCTTTCTTGATCAGGGCCCAGGTAGGGTCAATCAGAGTGACAATTCAAGCCTGACTAACAAATAATCACGCTAAACCCATGTAATTAATAGCATGAGCATGAAATGAAATCTCCAGATCAGGAGGCAAAGGAACCGAAGAAAACTCACGTTTCTCAGATTTGTCTGTCAGTGGAAAATGTTGGGATGGCTAAAAGGTAGAGAGAGAAATAAGCTAACATGCTGGGCTAGAACCTGAAAGGGCAATTAGGAGATGTATCCCAGAATCCCAAAGAAAAATCATTTCACATTTCCACTGACCTAGATTAAATCCACCCAACCAACAAATATAGAGGTATACCTTTTTCTCCAAAAATAATAAACATTTTTTTCTGATTATAAAAAGTAAGAATAATCATTGTGAAAATTCAAACAATGCAGAGAATCACAGAAGTTATCAACTGAAACTCCATCCATAGGAGATAACTGTTGTTTACATTTTAGTGATCTTTTTTCCATATAATCTCAACAATATGTCCCGGATATCAAGAATTATAAAGCACGATAAACATTTTAAATATATGCATAAGATTCAATTGTATTTACAAATCATAACTTATTTTTAATCACTTATGAAAAAGCAATTAGATTTTTTCCTTAAGCAAGACTGCACTGAATAACCCTGTTTGTACATCTATGTATGCTTGTGGAATTATCTTCTCTGGCTAAATTTCTAAAACAATTATTGCTGAGTCAAAGTAAATGTATATTTAAATTTTAGATACATATTGAGAAAAATAATCCTTTCCTAAGTCTGTCAATGGCATTGAGAAAATTTAGTGTAGTTCAGGTACTGTGTTTGAACTAATAGACTTTCCACGCCCCTCACCGCTTTGAGTTTTCTGGCCAAAAGGAAGTCTGTGACGTCTGTGGTATGAAAGACATACCATTTACATTGGCCACCATTTACATTGCGAGTAACTTTCTCTCCACAATGCCTATGCCAAAATTCCAAAAGGCCTACTTTCTACCAATGCCTTATTCAATTATGAAAGTCCAGCTTTCATAATTTGTGTATTACAAGCTGTGAATGCAGAAATATCAGTAATGATCTGAAAACAGCCTTGCAAAAGATGTCTTAGCCATTTCTAAATTCATCTCATCTCTACTCATAATTGTTTGTGAATATAATACATTCCAAATATTTGTTTTATGTATTTAAAGTTCTAAAATTTGTGAGTTACCACAATTTTGTATTTTCAACACCCTAACATAAATCTTCAACTGGATGTCCTATAGACCCTTTGGACCTAATAAAAAGTAGGAATAATAAAGCCGGGCACAATGGCTCATGCCTGTAATCCCAGAAGATCACCTGAGGTCAGGAGTTCAAGACCAGCTTGGCCAACATGGCAAAACCCCGTCTTCACAAAAAATTAGCCGGGTGTTGTGGCACATACCTATAGTCCCAGCTATTCAGGATGCTGAGGCAAGAGAATCGCTTGAACGCAGGAGGCAGAGGTTGCAGTGAGCTGAGATTGCACTAGTGCATTCTAGCCTGGGGGACAGAATGAGACTCTGTCTTAATAATAATAATAATAATATTAATAATAATATTTCAGTAGATTAAATGTATCATGGGCTGCCACAAAAACACATTATTACTCATTTTCACAATTCCCCATGGTAAAAATTATTACCTCATTTTTATAGATGAGAAAACTGAAGTTCTTCCATAAATGATTTGCCTAAGGCCACCCAGTCAATAAATGAAGGGAAGAGAAGCTATTACTATTAAAACCCAACTATATGTTAGTTGTTTTATATATCTCATTTTTTCATGTAATCCTCATAGTAACCCTGTGGGGTAGGTGTCATCTCTAATGTTTACGTGAAGAAATAGGCTAGAAGGGTTTCCCATTCATTCCCTTTGTTTTCTAGCACATAAGACAGAGTGCCAGGCACACGGTAGGCAGGAGTGAATGAATACTTGAGTGAGGGTGCCCCTGAGCAAACTGTGGATTTCCACATAGTTACAAAATAACCATTTAATTGTCTCATCAAACTTCTTATTTCGGTCCAACTTCATAAACAATCTTCAAGAAAAATATCTTACATTTTTAGGTCTAAGAAACAAAAATTTAAAAAAATATAAGTGATCACTTCCAGTTGATGCCTATCAGCTCTCTGAGAGCAGTATCCTTTATAAAGAATTATGGTGGCACTATATTGATGGTGGCAATGGGGGGAAATAAATAGTAAGCATATTACCTGAGTACACATTTTCCTTTCAAATTTCATCCTAAAATACTTGCATATTATTTATAAATTTCAAAATGTTATTTCATTATTTCGTGATCTCCATAATAAGTAAATATTAATGTTCTAAAGAAGATAAATACGACAAATAATTTCAAGGCCAAATGTATGTCGCTTCTAGATTAAATTTGCAAATCTATTCATTTAGTATGCTCAGTTGGGAAGATGGAGATACAGACTTAGTCCCTTAAGCGACCTTTCCCTGAGAAATAATTAATTGGCATGTGCTAGGCTTTGTTATAGAAAGAAAACACCCTTCATGAATATGAATTTAATGCCTTTGAAGCACATAGATCCAGATTTTTTTAACCATCTCTCCCTTCTTTTTGGACTTTGCAGTTTTGAAAAACATAACAAAATTTTGCATTATCTCTGTAAGTTTTCACAAACAAAAAGCTTCTGGAGCCAACCTTCGATTGATGGATTTCCATGAACAATTATTGGAGCTATGACTTTTGAGAAAAATGTTTAGAATGTGTCTGAAATGAGCAATATCTAAAGAACACTTGATTCCCCACCTCCACTCACAGAAGCCAGACAGTTTTAGACAAAACTAGTTGCTTAGTTTCTGCAGCAGATAGAAACATAGATTGTTATAATGTTGACATTTAACCCAGAATACCATTAAGGCAAGGAACACTCCACCTTCCTTGTCTTCTTCTCCTGAGGAGCAAAATGCAAAACCTGAAACTGGAGGACACGTTTGGGAGCCTATGGGAGAAAACACAACACACAACCACAAAATGGAAGCATTCTGGGGAAATCTCTTGATGTACAAGAAGTTTTAAAGCTGATGAAATCTAAAAATACAACTCTTTAAATGTCTGGCAAAAAAAGCCTTAGATGAGAAACAGAAGGATAGAGGGAGATGATGGAGAGGGAGATGGAAATGGGGATGAGAAGAAGGGGAGGGAGGGGAAGGAGGGAGGAGAGGTACGGGAGCCGCAAAGGGAGAGTGACAGAGAGAGAAGAAAGTTAACCTTCATGGAGTGATTGCGTAAGGCAAAAGGTGTGGTAGTTATTATTTGCCCAAACTATTGTAGACAAATGAGTATATCTCCTGATGAAAAAGGAGAGAGATGGGGCAGGGGGTGTAGAAAAGAGAGAGGCGGGAGAGGGGAGAAAGAGAGAGAATTAATCTTCACAGAGTTTATTATATAAGGCAAAATGCTTGGAATTATTATTTGTTCAAACTATTCAAGACAAATGAATACATCTCCTGATGAAGGGGGGACACTGGAGAGAAGGAGACAGAGAGAGAGAACGAGAGAGAGAGAGGATTACTCTGTCCATTTTAAAGTTAATCAGTATCCATGGTGATGTATTTCTCTAAAATAATAAAATGGATTAATCAGGAGCTAAGGGAGAAAGGAGGGCAGCCCTTTTATCCCCCTGCCCACTTTCAGATGAAATATACATAATATAAGAAGAGGCCCCTGGCAAGGAGCCACAGGAAGAGCACCTGGAAGATTAAAGCTGTGGCCATAACATTAACAAAGTACAGACCACACTGAATTAATGAGCGCGGAGATAGACATTCAGTGGAGTCTTAATTTATTTTCCTTTTCTAGCTCATCCTTTAAGAAAATGACAGTGTCTTCTTATCGATTTTACACTCAGAGATCAATCAGAATTGCCCTGACTCAGACAAAATTTACAGCAGCCTCTGACACTGCCCGGAGCATGTGGGCCCAAACAGACATTACAAGGAAGCAATAGATCATGTTTGTATGTAGAGCTTGACATGCTTAAAAATAAGCTAATCTGTAGTGGAATTTCCTTCTTTTTGACAAGTTGCTCTGCCCAGTTTCTTCGGCCTCTTGTTATGAATTTCTCTCCCGGCTCCACTATTAATTATAACATGCGAAAAGGATTCATGTATTTAGACCCTGAGGGAGGTCATCTGATCTGCAGTTTTAGATAAAATATAAACTAACAGATCACTCCTACTTAAACAATGTGAAATGTCACTCTGAGGCACTCCATAAAAAAAAAAGCTAGAGGTGTTCCGTCAAGAGCTATGATCAATTCTGACAACCCAACAATATCAGGGCTAAATGATGGGCCTGTACATTCCTAAACAGCCCCCAGTGGAAATTGCTGTATCCGGAAGCTCTTTTGTGCAAGTAACTAGCTGTATTAAATGCAATAATTACAGAAAAGACACTGACTGTGGCGCTCGGGCAGTTGTTGGCTCAGCTGACTTGTTCCCACACCACCATTTATCTTGTAACTGGGGCTGCGTGTGCCCTGACTTGACACATTGGAGAGAAAGTCTATGGAGCTTCCCCTTCCAAGCCCGCAAGACGCTCTGGGCTCACCGTATGCCAGTGGAGAGGGTTATTTTGTGCGGCATTTGCTCAACAGGAACAGAGGAAAAACATGAAAACAGTTGCTTGGGGGAAATGTATTTTGTGTGTGGATCCCGCTAGAATGGGGCTGTATCTGCCAACAGCTCAGATACAGGGAAGGCACCCCCTAGGTTGATAACAGACCCGCTTCTATCCACGGCACTTGATGTCTAAACCTCTAGCAGATATAGACACTGGATAAAAATAATGAAACAGCTCCAGGAATACATTTTCCTTACTCTTAGTTGACCAATGGCATATAATAAGATAATTTTGTGCTATATGGCTACCTGGAAGGAAGTAAAACTACCTAGGTATCAGATACCATCTTAATAAAGAAAGTGATTTGGAGCAGTTGGGGAGAAGACCTCTGTGGAATCACTGACCCACTCATTTGACCATATTACAAATGAATTAAAACTAACTTAAAGGCGTCTGTGGAGAACAATATAGTTATTCTCTCCTATAGGGGAGAAAGTCACAACTCCTAGAGTTTGGTTTCCAAAGTTATCTTGTTTGTAAAAAAATCTACCCGCTAGAACATATCAATCTTAGAAATATTCATGTTGCTAAGAAGTAGGTGACAAAGACCTTCTCTAACTTCTTGTAAAAGAAAACACTTTCATTAAGGGTCAAGATGTTTAAAAGAGGCTTTTTTCTTCCCCTATGAAACACCCACACATGGACCCTGATGCTTTATTTTGCCAGGAGATAATAAATACCCATAAAATCATATGGAATAGCAGCAAATATAATTTTAAACTATTTACTGAAACACTCCTCGGTGCCAGGCTCTGATAGACCCTGGGAATACAGACGAAGCAGTTAGGGCTGAATCTCATGGGAGTAAGAGACATGTCAAGAATTATACATTGGAATAAATGTTTCAATAAAAGTGTGTAATCCTGCGGAAACACAATTGAGAGGGATCAAAATTGCCATGGAGAAAAAGCTGTAGTTCAAGAAAAGTACCAAAGAGAACATAACATTTTACTTAGACCAAGTTTGTCCAACCCGCAGCCCACAGACTTGCATGCAGCCCAGGACAACTTTGAATATGGCTCAACACAAATTTGTAAACTTTTTGTGATTTTTTTTTTTTAGCTCATCAGCTATCATTAGTATTCGTGTATTTTATGTGTGGCCCAGGACAATTCTTCCTTTTCCAATGTGGCCCAGAGAAGCCAAAAGATTGGAAACCCCTGACTTAGAACACCCCTGCCTTAGATCTTGAAGGACAATCAGAAATTTTCCAAGGGGTCCTGGGCAGAGTGGGGAGGAAAGGTTTTCTTGTTGGTGGGAAGACCATGAGCAAAGAAGGATATGGAGGTGTGAGAGCACGTGCCAAAGTCCTGAGATGCTAAGTAATTAGGGAGTCCAGTGAAAAAACAGATGGTAGAGGAGTAGCTAGAATTGAGGCCAAGGTCAACCCATGTATCTCACAGGACATAAGCAATAGGGAGCCTGTGTGTGTGTGTGTGTGCGTGCGCACACGCGTGCACATGCACCTGCTCACATGTGCCTGCTTAGCAGGAGCTTAATAAGACTGTTTCTGGCATGTTAACTCCGGCAAAAGTGTGGATGCTGGATGGGTCCATGAAGCAACTGGATGCAGAGAGGCAGTGAGGGCATGGCTGTGCTAGCCCAGGCAAGAGTCACCGTGCCATCGTCTTCCCGTGGGTTTGCTATATTTATACGTTCCCGACATGTTTTCATTCTATCTGGACAGCTTAACTTTTCTTGCTCAAAATTTTTGTAACTCTCCATTTTTTCTCTACAATAATTTTGTTGCACTTGTTCTAGATAAAGATAACAGACACTTGATTTTTGGAAGAGCGAATGAAGTGATTGAGTACTCACTCTGTGGAGCCATGATGATTCCATTCAACTCTTAGTTCCCCCTCATAGCAGCGGTTTGACTTTGGACAAGTTACTTAGCTTTGCTGTGCGAGGGTGTTGTCCGATGTAAAATGGTGATAATAACAGCATCTATCCTTTAGGCTTGTAAGAATTAATTAGTTCACACATTATGTGTTTAAAATAGTGTCTAATTTGCCAGATCTCTTGTGTCAAATTTGAAGGATTTCAAAACTAGCACAATGAAAAAATTATCTAGATGTAAATATTATAATATGATCAAATGTGTTGATCAATGATTTCAGGGAGGTCTCTCAGACTGCTCCAAATAATTTTCTTTCTTAAGATGGAAATTCTGATACTTAGCTGATGTCCTTCCAGGTAGATGTAAATATCTTGATCTATATATTGCTCTACATATATGGATCCATGTTAATACACAATGAAGGTGTTATAAAATATCCTGGAGCTAAAAGGTGAGGTTGCTGAGTCATGTCAAGTGGAGACCCAAAGAAAACAAATAGGATGACAAGAAACCTCCGAAATGAGCACGACACAGTTGTATGCCTTCCCCACTATCCGAGCCAGAGAAAAATCAGCTGGCATATTGCCTTGTAGGAGCAAAGACTCTCCAGAGAGGAAATATTCTAGAAGACAAGACAAAGACAAACAGAACCAACATGGATTGCTTCTGAAAAGCAAGAAAGAAAATAACGTGAATGTGGTATTTGATCACCGAACTTTGACTTCTTTATGGGTATCAAGGAACATAGAGGAGAAACCCTAAACACATTAGTGCGAACAAATGAGGCTACGGTCTTTGTGTCCTTTTAAGTTTTTATCTTTTCCTTTTCTGGATTTAGAATTCTGGCTTAGCCAGCTCTGTTATTTTACACTTTTCATCTGATGGAGAGTTCTGAAAGATGTGTCAGACTTTGTTAGTGTCCACTCTCACACCCCAGGCTAAGGGCTGTGTTTCCCACACTGCATGTAGACTTTTATTATATTATCTATTCCTGTCCCCACCCCCTTCTACAGATTAAAAAAAAAAAAGGCAGTAGAAGTCACCTAGTGGCAGCAAGGATCCCTGAAAGCAAAGCCTGGAAGAGAAATTCACTTTTCACTTTTTTTTTAACCTTTACAGACTTATTTACTTCTGTTGTTCTCTAGAATATTACAAACTATTCTACCTGAATGTGAGTGAACTTGAACTTAGTTTCCAGGCAATAACTAAGATAATTTGAGGATATCAAATTCTATCACATAAGTATCATACAATAACAGTGATCTATAAACTGATGTAAGCCACTTGATACTTTTGAGGAAAATTAAGCTAAAATCAAGAGGCTTGCTTTCCAAATTTATTCTTATTTTGAAAACCAGCTAAACTAGTAAATTTCACGTTTGGTTTAAGAGACACCTGTAACCTCAGATAGTACTGAACCCCATATATACTATTTTTTCCTATACATACATACCTAGACTTTCGATAAAGCTTAAGTTAGGCACAGAAAGAGATTAACAACAATAATTTAAAATTTAAAATAGAACAATTATAACAACATACTGTAATAAAACTTACGTGAATGTTGTCTCCTTCTCTCTCTCAAAATATCTTACAGTGTACCATGAGTAACTGAAACTGTAGAAAGCAAAACTGTGGACTACTGTAATAATTGTCTATCACTTAATACAGTGCCTGGCACACGGCATGAATTCAGTAAACATTTATTGAATGAATGCATCTGATTTATAAAATAGCAATTAATTATATTATGAATTCTTAGCTATTTTTCTTTTTTTATTAACACAAGTTTGCCAATAATACACTTGGGCATATGTCAAACATGTCACTTAATATTTCAATAGCTACCATCATTTGGAAAAAACTAGTCGTCATAAAATGGATGGCACAACAATATGGGTATCTATTACTTTTAGATTTGTGAGGCCTGGAGAATCAGTCTTTGTTTTGCAAGTGCTCAATTTCAAATAATTGAACATCGGCATTTTAAGTTATCATTCCAAAGTGATGGCTAGGCAACCAGTACTTTTGTTCTGATGTAACTCTCAGGCATGTTAATCACTGGACTTGCTTCAGTTTCTTCTGATACATGAGGATTGATTTTTGCAGATGACATTGCCACCTCAACAATGCTTTAGGTTGTGTAGATATCAAATGGGTTGTATACTCATCATGAAATACTGATATTGGAAAATCTGTGCATATATAGGAAATAAAAGCAAATATAATACTTCTTTTACTTCTAACTTTTCACTTTAGTAGAAGGAATACATAGGTGTTTTTACTTGCCCATCCAAATTGTAAGGAGTTACTCTCTTTTTTTTTTTTAATCTAGCTTCATGAAAAATATTAGAACCAATTTATGTTCTATTAAAGAAAACTACATATTTTATGGTTAACATTCTAGAATAATGCTTCACAGTTTCTCCTTTACAGTGACTTGATGACTTTTTGCTTTTACCTTATGTATCTATGTATGCTAAAGAGTATACATAAGTTTCATTTTTAAACTTCTGAATTACATATATAAAGCTCCATAGAAGAAAGAACTATTGAAGAGCTAAACTGGCATATCACAGTGAATATAACTGGCTCCCCAGTCACAGAATTTAATAGTTTTGCTATGTAGCATGTAACCTTATCTAGTTTAATTTAACTCAGTGCTACTGGCTACTGTGTATAAATTGCAGAGATCTGGTCCATGGTCTAAGGTGATGAGGCGAAGTTATATCAATTCATTCATTCTTTTAAAAAATCCAACCCACAAATGTATATTGAGAACTACATGTGTTCTCAATTTGCGTCAGCCACTGCATTACACGTGATAGGTAATTTTATTGGAGCCTATTTTTAGTTTCATCCTAAGAGATATTTCAGTATGTTCACTAACTTTCCCATAAAATCCTATTTCCATTCACTTGTCCTGTCATGTCCATTTGTCCTATGAAATCATTATTTTTATCAATTTGATCTACATATATATCATCTCTTCAGAATGAAGCTCTAATATTTTACTCTGCCATTGGCCATTTAAAGCATTCTCTCTGTGACAAGAAATAGAAAAAAAAATTTGTCTGAAGTATTTCCTAAATTAAGTTCAAATAACCAACCCCACTTAATTTCCTCTCATGCAAAATGTTTCCTGTTTACTAATCAAGTTTGTTTGCCTTCTTTAGCAGCCTAATTGCTACTCACTGGTATAAGGTAAACAACCCAAATGAGTGACTTGAAGAGACACAGGGTAGGTAGAAAATTATTTCAATTCATTAATTTGCTGTAAGTCCCCTTCCAGAGGTTTGCTTACCAGCTCTCTGCACCCCTTGCCTTTTGTTCTCTCACTGATTCAGAATCTCTTGGAACTTCAAGAGAAGTTATCAATATCTCATGTGGATAACGTTCCATGGGATTTTTTTCTGTGCTAATCAAGCTTCCTGATGCAAATACTCAGAAATCATCTTAATTTAGGAGTCAGAACTTTTTTTAAAAAAATGAGTGGGCTGATAAACTCTGTCTAATTAAGTATTCTTGGTAACATTTTATTTTATTTTTTCTTATCTTACAAATAATACATGTTTATTATAGAAAGTACAGATAAATAAAAGCCCAAAGGCATTCATAATCTTAAGCTCACACTCAGAAATAATCACTGACAACAGTGAATACAATTCAGGTCTTGTTATGAATTCTGTTTATATATATTTAAATGTATCTATGTTTACATGTATCTATACTGATTTTTTATGATACAATAATGTGAAGCTATTTTGCATCCTTTTTTTTTTAAATAAATACTCTTTCATGAACAGCTTTCTTACTTGATAAATACTTTCCTTATTTTGTTTTTTATTATGGAAGGTCTATGCTCTATTTAACCAAGCTTATATAATTAGTTTTTTATGTTATATTTAAATCTTTAATATTATAATCTACTAACATTTTCATAGATAAATTTTGCACATAATCTCTATGATTTTAGGGCCCTTTTCTAGTAGGTAAAAATATTTGGTGGAATAAATGGTTGGTAATTTTTTTCAGGGGACTCTTCCACCTTTTTCAAGAATAACTAAAGGACTGAAACTGGCCCACTAAATATCTATTTAAGTATTTTGCCTTCCTGTGAAGGCCAAGTGAAAACTACTTGGAATTTTTTGACCCCTGCTTTCTTTCTACTCAGGGGAGCCCCAGCTTTCTTGGGAGATCATAAAGGTAGAATGAGCAACAGGTGCCGAGAAATAAAGATTGAGCTCTACAAAACTGCCGCCAAAAATGGCTGAGAATTGGTGATTTCATGTAGTTAAATGACTTTATCCAGTAGTGCAAAACAGCTTTTCCTCTTACCCTCCGTGCTTAGAGTGTTTTGCTACTATGATGTGTTTTCGGTGCCCTGAATCAATTTTTATTTTGGGGTTTATGATACAAAATATTGCTTGCCATTTCAAAAGGAGTTAACTAGCTTTTGTACAGCATGTGCATTAAGTCAAGTGAACTATACCTGAGAAATTTAAGTAGGTTCTAAGTATGTTTTTAACAATCCTAAATCATATTAAAAGAGAAGAATACACATGCTCAAACTTAGTTTAAACATGTGCATACTAGTTGTGAGGATGTTCCATTTCATTTGAAGGGAGTGACTATTTCAAAACATCTGGGTGTTCCGGGCTACCTAAACAGATAGATGCTAGTGGTTATACCCTCTGTGCAGAATCTACAATTATGGAAATTCCACAGTGGCATGCTGTGCGGGCTAACATAAAGGTACTGTAACGTATGCCTATGAGGGAAAATATAGAACTTTCATGCATCAAATGAGCAAGGCTTGACAGGCAGTTCCATTTTGATATGGGTCATGCTGCTGATAACTACCATGCTTTTTAAAGGTTACATTTTAAAGGTTACATTAATGCTGAAGTTGTGCATGAAGATGAGTATCCTGTGTAACCATAAGCTTTATATTTCATTCATCTCTTGTCATCTTAAAAATACAGTTAGTGATACAAATGGGACATAACATTTTGAAGAGCTCACTTGGTATGATAAGGACTTGCCCAACCAAGTACCATTTTTTTCTGAGTAGTAATTCCATTAAGGGAAAAAAAATTCCTCTGGCCTGTTTCTTTCCTTTTTGCTTTCAATCACGCCACAATATTACAAAACAAATTGCTACTAACAGTGAGGCTGTCATATTCAGGAATGAAATTGGTGAGCCCACAGAGGCCAGTGATTGGCACAGCACAAGTTTCTTTTTAACGATTACACCGCTCAACAAAATACCAATGTTTTAAAGGGCTCAACAAAGTCGTTCACTAAGATGCACCCCATTCATTCATTGAACATTGGGATGTCCTCGTGGAGCTTCCTTCTAGAATTTACCAATAAGCAAGTCAGAAATTCAATAGTTTTCGATCAACATTTCTGCCTATAAATTGTTAGGTAACTCCAAGAGCATTAAATTTCATAGGGCTCTGGTATTCTTATCTATAAAATGGACATGACAATGTCCAATTTTACTATAAATATATGTGGTACTGCTGTCAACCTGCTGAGGGATGAATCTTAAAATTCATACCTGTTAACAATTTGAGAATTTTTATAAATCTCTCAATTTCCCCCACATTTTACTTTGACATCTTAAAAAGTAATTCATTCATTCACTCAATATTTCCTAAGCACCTGTTGCGTGCTAGGTACTGTGCACACAATAGAGAAAGCAGGGAATTGGACAGACATAGCCCCTCTCCTCGTGGAGTTCATTCTATGAGGATAAGGGTGAACAAAATTTTTCTTAAATTTTCTACGTCTTTCTTAGACATAGACTCTTCTGTTTCATTCCTAACTCTCATTGCTCACCAGTAGTCCATGGATCAAAGTTTAAGATACAGTTGTTGAGCTGAATCACTTCCAAAGTCTGTTCACTGCAGGCCCACAGCTCTTCAGTGGGGAGCTGAATAAGGAGTGGAGGCTGATGAGCAGAGTATAGGAACCCCCCATCCAATTGCTCAGGCACATTCTCAAGTCGCCTGTGGCATAACTTGCAATTTTTAGCCCTTGAAAATTGTAATCAGAGAGCTAAAAAAAGTTGGGTTATCTAATGCAATCCTATACTACATAACAGAGTTTTAGGCAAATAGGACACAGACACGCACACAGACACAGACACACACACACACACACACACACACACACACGCACTTTTTTTTAATAAAAGAGAAAAAAACAGAAAGCCTCACAATGCATACCATAAGGTAAGGGTAAGCTCATGAAACTGTGTGAATGTACATATATATATATACACACACATATACATATATATGTATAAATACATATGTCTGTGTATATTTTTGTATACATGGTCATAAATAAAATGTATTTCTTTGCATGGGTCATGATTAAATGCCATTGATATGTAGGAATCCTTTGCCATTATTATTAGTTGAAGACTCTAATAATAGAACCATAGAATTCTCCTTCCTTCTCTGGATGATACTTTCTAGTTTTTCCAGATCAAGATAGCCATAAAGTGTTATCTGTTGATTGCAAGTTATATTTTTGCCTCTTAACTATTCCTTGTTTCCTCAAGAGTCTCCTCTGTGACAACTTCCAGACCGTTCTGCATCCTGGGTGTTGTCAGTGACTTTTTTAGAATGAAATGGCCATAATTAAAAATAAATCTCTTGTTAGGACCAGTTACATAATGAAAATGAGGGGCCTGTTCTTCAACATTTATTAAAAATTGCAGAACAATGACTGTAGAACATTAAACCAAGCATGGAATCCCTTTAGGCAAAGGACTCTGTGCAACAGTACAGGTTGTATGCCTATGAATCTGGCCCAGGCTCAAGGTACAGGCCGACCACTACAAGGTGCTCTAGGACTTTTGCTGCTGGTGTTTCAGTGATCGCTCCTCTATTATTGCAGCTCTGACTGCAGAAGCTTGTTATTTCCAGAGTGAGCAGTGACTGCAAATATTCCTCCCCTGCAGAAACTCCATCTGGTCTCCCAACACACTGGGAGGAACTCAGCCTGCTTTGTGCATGCTCTTTCACCCTGGTCATACCACCCCCGTGCATCTCTGCTCCTCAAGCATGGAGGTCTTTGATGTGAAATTTCATGCTCAATCTCATGGTAGCCAGACCCATGAGTTATGCGGTGCTCAGGGTTCCAGAGACTGCAGGGTTCATTACTCCTGGCTACTGGGTTCATTACAGAAATGCTTTGTTCAAATAATGAGTTGCTCATTAAAATGCTGTAAGTTGGTAAGATATTCCTTAAATAGATATTTAAAAAAATTTCAGTAAGCATTCAAAAACCCAATACTTCATGAAGACTACATATGATATTACTTAGAAAAAGCGCTGTGGAAGTCTAACTCACATTTAAATATACTAAGATTATTTCATTCTAAAATAATGAAACCATTCAGTTCTTTATCTTAGAAGGACATGATAAGTCAGAAAATCTCAATCCTTTTGAAAAAAACAAAAACAATCTAAACTGTAAATACTTTAAAACAGAGGCCAGTTAAAATGTTAGATTAAATTTGACATTCACTGAATGTCAAAATGCAGTTTAGGGACCAATGACAACTGTATTCTTAAAAGATACCATTGTTAAGAAATCTCCCTTACATCTATTAAAATAATAAGTAGAAATAAATATCAGCATATGAAATGTAATGTCATAAATGTATTGGCACACTTCTTAAATGGACTATTTTAAGTTAAGCAAATCTCCGTCTAATGTAAAACTCTATTCTTGGATCTGCAATTTTTTTCCTTCTTTCCTCACTGCCATTTAAACGTTGATTTTTCTCAAATTGACTTAATTAAAAGAAAATTTCTTCTTCTAAATGGCACTGCATTCTAAAATAAGTCTCTCTTGTGGCTTATGTCGATGTGTACCATCACACTGTGAGGCTTGCTGGGAGAAGCTGGGACTGCTAGTTCTGTGTTGCCACAGTGTTTTGACATACAGAAAGTGCTGGGCAAATCTTTATTCAATAACTGAATGGTTCACTTCACCTGGGCCTCCAGGAATGAAGGTTCTCCTTGCTGAGAAACTATCATTCATTTCCTTGGAGTAAGAAAAGTAATTATCCATTTTGGTTTAGGAATGCCTTCCCAAATAGCTAAACCTGAGTGGTGGGGCTCTCAGAAATTTCTCTCCCTTAAGATCCTTTTACATAGTAACACACTAGATAGAATGGGTGCCAGGTCACTCGGGCAGGTCTAGGCAGAAGTAGTGGGTTATATTCGTCTTGGGGTCTTTGTTTGTTTGTGCTGCTGTGTAACAACATACCTGAGAATGGGTAACTTATATAGAATAGAAATTTCCCCATGGTTCTGAAGGCTGAGAGGCCCAAGATTAAGGAACTGGCAGATTTAGTGTCTGGCAAGGACCAATCTCTCTGCTTCTAAGAAGTGGTGCCTTGTTGCTGTGTCCTCAGGAGGTGACAAATGCTTTGTTCTCACATGGAGGAAGGTGGAAGGGCAGCAGGGAGGAAGGTAGTTCCCTCCAGCCCTTTCATAAGGTCACTAATGCCACTCATGAGGGCAGAGACTTAATCACCTCTTAAAGGTACCACTTCTTGGTACTATCACACTGGCCATTAAGCTTCAACATATGAATTTTGGGGAGACACACTGAGTCCATAGCAGGATTCATCTCTCTGGATTTGAACACTGTTCTCTCTTCTCAGTCTTACCATTTCTTTGTCCGCTGTTCAGCTGACCTAAGATGAGCCCTTGAAAATTCTACCTTGAGAGGGAGAAAGAAGGCCTTTCTATGTAGGGCTCTCCATCAATAGCCTCTTGTTGGCATCATGAAGGTGGAAGTTTCCCTACATTGTGATACCATCTCCTACACTGTTATATAATCGACAAGAATATTTGCCACCAATTTGAGGTTAATGCAATTCTGCATTGACTGTGAAAAAACAACTGAAAAAAAAATTTGTAAAGACAAGAATGATACTAATTCCCAGGCCAGATATGTACAATACTAAGTGACTACCCAGAAGCCTAGGGAGAATTCGAAATTCTATTGTGCATGTTTAGGGATTTGGGAGCTTCTTAATGATAAGATAATACAGCGCTTCGTTGGCTTTCTTAATTTCTGAAATGCCTTCTCTCTTTTTTTTCCTCTTGCCCTTTCCTCCCTCCCTCCCTTTCTTTCTTCTTTGTTTCCTTTCATTTCTTTTCCTCCTTCTCCTTTTTTTTATTTTTTAATTTTTTGGAACAAAGTTTCGATCTTGTTGCCCAGGCTGGAGTGCAATGGCGCGATCTTGGCTCACTGCAACCTCTGCCTCCCGGGTTCAAGCAATTCTCCTGCCTCAGCCTCCTGAGTAGCTGGGATTACAGGCACCCACCACCACGCCTGGCTAATTTTTTTGTATATTTAGTAGAGACAGGGTTTCACCATGTTGACCAGGTTGGTTTTGAACTTCTGACCTCAGGTGATCCACCCGCCTCGGCCTCCCAAAGTGCTGGGATTACAGGCGTGAGCCACCACGCCCGGCATCTCTTTCTTCTTTTTAAATTGGAACTCAGTAATGACTTCCAGGCTATCTGAATCAGAATCTTAGATCTACCACTTACAAACTTTCTGATCTTGAAAATTTTGCTTAATCTCAAAATCCCGTATTCCTCATTTATTAAACAGAAGTGTTAATAGTATCTATCTCAGAGTTGTTGGCTCATAGTAAACCCCAAACACATGTTAGATGTTGTTTATTACTATTGCTAGTATATCAAGTAGTTACAGTCTCCCTAAAATACACAGAGCTAATTAACTATCTCAGAATTTTAAATCCAATTCCACAAATTCTGTGACTCCTCTATAGTGTACCACTTCCATTTGCTCTTAAATTTTATGATCTTTCTGAGGGTATACCACAGTAAAAAAAAAAAATTCATAAATTGGAAATAAGAGATTAGCTATTTTTGTGTATGTGGAAGGGTTTCACAGTTTACTTTCATGTAGAGAAGGAATTAAGGCCAAGAAAGCTCAGAGAATTTCTCCTTTGTAAGCATCCATCATTATTATCAATGGTAAAGGTGTGTTGGATTATAAAAGTTTTTTTTAATAGTTTAATATCCATAAGGGGTCAGTAATACCGGTATGGTCAATCTTGTTTGTTGTTCCTTAACTTCCATCTGTTTGGGGTGAATGGATGCTGCTGATTATGAAGAGGACATTATTTGAGAGAATAAATGATCCTTACAGGTCCACACCCCGCAGGAGTACAAGGAATTGCAGTAGTGGTATTACAGCAAAGAAGAAACAACACAGAGGTAATTTCCTAAAATTGTGGGAAGTCTGAAAACTTTAAGTACAGTTTTTTTGTCCATAAATGAAACAGTATATTAAATCTGTGCAGGGAGTTTGCTAAATAAAAATGTGATGATATTTTTTTTTCTTGAGACAGGGTCTTACTCCGTCGCTTAGCCTGGAGTGCAGTGGCGTGATCACAGCTCACTGTAGCCTTGACCTCCCCAGGCTTAGTTAATTCTCTTACCTCAGCCTCTGGAGTAGCTGGGACTATACGTGCACACCACCATGAATGGCTAATTTTTTTATTTTTGTGGAGATGGGGTCTCACCATGTTGCCCAAGCTGGTCTTAAACTCCTGGGCTCAAGCAATCCTCCCACCTCAGCCTCCCAAAGTGCTGGGGATCCAGGCATGAGCCACAGCACCTGGTCATAAATTACGTAATGAATTTTTACGTAAGTGATTCTTCGGCTAGAATTCCTCCCTACCATCCCCCACCCCTGAATTAATCTTTGGGATAAATCCAGAAATTGGTATATGAGTCTGAGTAAATGGGAATAAAAGGGGTTCTCCAGCTTCTTGCTTTTTTCTAAGTTTTCCTAACATTTTGGTTATTGGACCTTACATATGACTTGCTGAGATAAGAGCATGGAGTTAACTACCATTGAAAACATGAAGGAGTATGCTCAACTCTGCACTGGTTGCCCATGGCAATATGAGCATTGGGATACCAAGCAAAACACCTTGGCTTTCACTTAAATCAGTGCAACAAATGCCTCATGTGCAATCTCAAAAAATATTTCATTCATGCTGTAATTTACTTGTAGATCCCTTGAAATGGAACAACCCCCCCCACCCTCTCACTCTCATTCCAGCCCCCGCCCTCTTTACCTCTTTCACAGGAAGAAATCTGACAACTATTCTTACGGCCATTACTTTGAAAGAGCTTTGAACTAAAACAAAAAGGTCCCACCCATCAACAAACTCAAATAACAAACTCCAAAGTACATTATTTAACAGAGGTGATAAGATGGACTGGATATTTACCATGCCGACAGCATTCAAGAGTTTCTCTTCCCAAAGAAAGGAGAAAGAGAAGGACCATCTACAGGACTCTTTGTGATAGTTGACATATACAGGAATTCATCCTTGTGCATGCAGAAGCTGATTAGAACATCCGAGTTTCTAAGAGTTTTGCATATAAAACATAAATATCAATGCCAAAACTATACCAAGTCTAAAGAGATGAAAAGCATAAAAGATCAAATGACTGGCCGGGCGCGGTGGCTCACGCCTGTAATCCCAGCACTTTGGGAGGCCGAGGCGGGCAGATCACAAGGTCAGGAAATCGAGACGATCCTGGCTAACAGAGTGAGACCCCGTCTCTACTAACAATACAAAAAAATTAGCCGGGCCTGTAGTCCCAGCTACTCGGAAGGCTGAGGCAGGAGAATGGCATGAACCAGGGAGGCGGAGCTTGCAGTGAGCAGAGATCCTGCCACTGACTCTAGCCTGGGCCACAGAGGGATACTCAGTCTCAAAAAAAAAAAAAAAAAAAAAAAAAAGATCAAATGACTTCTGGCCACACTTCTCTATTTTCTTAATAACTACTTAAAATAGTCTTGAAAATCAGATATTTAGATTCTATGTGTTTGTTAGCCAATCGGCTGTCTTTCTTAGCCTAAGAATGAGAAATTTGGAACTGGGAAACAGAGCTCTTTAGGTGGCAGAACACAGGGCTCTAGAGCCTGGCTGCACAGGGTCATAGCCCAGTTTCATATTAGCTGCATGGCCCTGTGTCAGCCTCAAAACCTCCTCAGCCTCAGTTGCCTCATCTATAAAATGGGAATAATATTATTGTCCTAATAGGAATGTTCGAAGGATTTTAAATGAGACACAGTAGTTAAAGGGCTTAGCATAGTGCCTGGCACATTGTAAGCCCTGACTATGTATGCTGTGGTTATTATCTGTGTTACCATCACAGGGCTCAGTACTGATCTAGAAAGATGAAAAGATGAATGATGAGAGTGAGAGTTCACCACCAACCTCTGTCAGTAACACTGACAGTGATAACTGTGGTTCCTGCCAGCCCACGAGTTTTCTCCCATCACAGATCTCCCTTACCCTCCATTCCCCAAGAAAAGTAAAATTGTCTTAAAAGTCTTTCTACAAAAGTTATTTAATATAAAGGCCCTCCACAAGGTGAGAGTTCTTCTGGGTCCTGCTCCAAATTGACAGGACACTTTTTTTAAAATCCCATGTTTTAACAAACACCCGAACAAACGTCATCCTCCCACCTGTAAATACTTGACTATACTAAAAGTCAGACAATTGAATTATGTGTCTAATTTTCCAAAAGAATATATATTGCCGATACAAAGTAATAACTGTATTAGACCTCAATATCACCGTGAAATTGTTTGTTATGAACACTTTTACAAACAGCAGATAATAAACACATTTGTTTGCTTTCAAAGAATAAGTTGCTGTGCTATAAATAAATCATTACATTACATCAAAGGTACTAAAATCAACAATCACCTGATCATCATTGGCAAGCCTTTTCTGAACTCCATTTTTTTCCTAATTAAATGAGAGAAGAGAGTAAAAGAAATCTTTGCAAAATATCCCACATACAATAGAGTTTCTAACTGTAGGGGGTGGAAAGATGCATCCATCTCCACTTAACAGTATTAGAGAATGACTAAATTACTTGTCGCTCCCTTTCTGTACATATACTTATAAGTAATGATATAATTTTCTAAATCACACAAAAATACGTAAGCAGGATTCAATGGAGTTCTATGCCCCATTTTTATGAGAATTCATGTGGATGCTGATTTTATAGAATCTTATTAAGAGAATGTTTTTAAAAGCTGTCTTAGTTCTGTTCCAATTCAGGCTACATATCTGTATTTACGTATTTTTAGCTTTGAACTATAGAATAGTCATGTTTTGCTGTGTCTTGGCATGTATATTCAGAACCTAAGATCTTAAAAATTCACTATTTCTTAGTATGCTCACAACTATCTCTTTTAAAATTAAGCTTTTATTCTAAGTCTGAATATTTGAGTCATTTAAAGCTCCCCTTTAAATGTTGAGTGACCATAAAACTAGCAATGTGAATTTTATTTAAATTGATTTTGTATCTTCATCACCACTCCTTAAAACGAATCTTATTACTAGAGATAATGTATGTGTCAAAAAAGAAGCCTCAAATGCACTTCCTGTGCACTTGACAGGGTGACAAAATATTTCTCCTATCCTTTCCTAATTGAGCTGCAGTACAAAGGAGGACATTATAATAATATTAATAATAGTTACATGGATATTTGTAGGTACTGTGTAACCCTTCAGTCCATTTTCCCAGACAATGGTGACTACAAAGAGGCTTCAAAATAGAACATCGCACAATATGAATGCCACTTTTTTCTATCTTACATTTTAAAAACATCATTGAAATCAGAAAGTTCATTTACAAAGGACTGGCAGTTGCAATCACAGCAATAATGTAGTGCTGAGAAAAAAAGGGTAATTGGTTTGGTAAAGATCGCTTTCCATTACACCATAAAGCACTACACAATAGGAAAGGTCGCCAATTAAGCAATCATGAATACCAAGTACTGAAGCTGATGAAAATAGGGCAGTGGTTTAAATAGATTTGCAAGCAATTTACCTTTTCACAATGTTGGCAATCTGATGCAATTTGCTTGCAATTTTGTCTGCTTTCAGTAGCACTCGAAGCTGACACTACACAGACCAAATGGCAAAGAGGCCCTGCATAGAAAATGTAAAACTATCTTGGCTGCATCAGGAAACCAGAATGGTGGTTCATCAGGAAAATTACAACAATTAACATAAGTGCTGCAAAAATCAACACTTTAAATGTCACACTCACTAGTCTGTCCAAAGACTGTAAAAGTACCATCCCCGTTGCTGGACTAACAGTAAATATGAAGCAATCACCACCAAACCTTGGGCCTGATGGCTTTACAATTGATGTGACATTCTCTGAGTGATAAAATAGCCTCTCATTTTACAAAAGTAAGTATTTTTCTTTTTTAGACTTAACCTGGATTATGTCAACACAAAATTTACGTTTAATTTTTTTCAACTTTTTTGACAAAGCTATTTCATGCCAGTGTGGGTGTAGTTGGTCTTGACATTTAAAAAATAACTGTATATTTCAGAGAATTAGAGCCAAGTTGATAAAAAATAATCCCTCCTCAAATATTGATCTGGTGCTTTCAAATGCAAATCATGCTCCAGATTTATGTCGAAAGCTGTTATACAGTGTGAGGTACAGTGTCTCTGACCAGAGCCTATTTCATTATCTTAGAGAAGGCTCCAAAAAGGCATCTGTGGATATTCTCCTGAGGACTGGTTGGAATTACAGATGCCATCACATGTCTATATCAATGTATTCCCAGCTAAAAGTTAGACACCCTGAAAATAATTGATAACTTCTGCTTTGGTTCCCATGTTTGAAGAAGCTATAAATTTGTCAGGCCTTGAGGAGAATTGGCTTATAGTGTAAACCTAATGATTTCTCAGTGAACTGGGAGGATCTCGTGGTGAGAGAACAAGAATAGAGTGTCAGAAAATCTAAGTTTAATTTTCATCTCTATATTGGCTGACTGAGAGAGTTATTTTAGGCCTGTATCTGTGAGGGCCGGTCTTCCTGTTTTGAGGGAATTGACATCATTTTGGCTTAAGAACAAGGTTGGATATTTATCCTTGTGAATGTCCTTGTCTTGCTTGAGTTCAGAGACCATGATTTCCATACCAGCAAAGAAAGAGCATCAGACATGCATGTATGGGAGATACTCATAGTAAAGAGGAAACAGTTTTATTATGAAGATTTTTATTAGTGAAAAGGCCTCTTGTGAAAATAGCAACTCCGTTTTGTAACAGCTTTTACTGTATCCCAGGGCTCATCTTTGATTCCTTCTGGTCTACAGAAAATAATTTCTCAAAAGGGAATTCAGAGTTGACGTGTAGCATTCAGATTTGTCTGTAACAATGGGACCCAAAGTATTGTGGTGACACATGACTCTGGGATTCTTCTTGAGATGCCCTCTCAAATCATTGCTAATATGGTGCTTCATTCTGTCAAGGGGTACTTCCCTCACATACTTTTCTCACTGCTACTTTGTACCAAACAACAGTATCAACTCCGGGAAAGAGTTTTATCGGCTGCCTCTTCTCATGATCATCTTGAAGAACATCAGCAAGCATTTCCCTACCGCTGGCGTCTCAGAGAGTATTATCTAAATCACTCAATGAGGGTTATCCCTAAGCAATGAGGGCATTGTCCAGGGGACTATGGCCCAATGTTGGCCATGTTGGCTCTTCAGAAACAAGTCCATTACTTGGCTGAAAGTAGAGGGGTTAGCCTCTGTGGGAGCGGCATAGTCCTTTTAGAAGGGTTTACATTTTCTGTAATGTGAAGCTTACAGAAGGATGTAATAATTCTCTCTCTGGATTTAGGTGGCCTGTGTGCAACCATTTTCTGAAGAAATGCATGCATTTTCTAACTGTTCTCTGACAGACTCCAAGAACAAGTCGCTACATGAAGGGAGTGACCTTTTGTTGCCATCCACAATATGACAGGGATGCTTCCATGGAAGGATGGCATCAGCGGTCTTGAGAGTAAATTATAGGCTAGGAATAGCAATAAGAGATTTGCTATCTCACCAGTACAAAACACTCAAAAGTTTGCAAGATCGCTTCCAGAGAAACAAACATTGAGAATTAGCTCCCCACACCCCCGTGTGTGCATGTGTGTGTGTTTAAGTATGTGTGTGTGTGACTCAGGATGTTTAAAGGAGTGATACACAAGAGGATGGGCAGAAACCATAGTTAATTTTGATAAATATAATGACCTGAGGGATTTTCTTTTCTCAGCCTTTGATTGGTACCACCGAAAACAATTATTACTGGTTAATTTAGTTGCTGGCATAGTGCATAGTAAATATTTTTGTTGTATCACTCTTTATTAACTGCAGAAAAAGCCTTTCAAATTTATTTATTAAGTTAGTCAAAATCACACACAGCAACTGTATTAACCATAAAGCATATAGTGTTAGAATCATCAAAAGTATTTCAAAGTCACTATTGTAGTCCTAATTCCTCACAGATAAATTAGAATTTAATGGAATTCACACCTCAGAGACTTGGATTTTAAAGATAAAGTTTCCCAGAGAGGAGGATTCAGAGTCTTTACTAGTTTGGGTTGAACTACGTATTTACATTAATTAGACTTGCCCCATCAAATATAATAACATGAGTAAAAGATGATGTAAATTCTTGTAAAACTACTCAACTGCACTTGCTACCATCAAGCAGGCAAAATGCATAAAAATCATAGCACCCCTTCGGGAGCAATGCCACTTAGCCAAATAGAAGTTTTTTAGCCCTCAAAGTATTTTAAGAAGACAATGAAATAATGATATTTATTTAAAAATCATAAGCACTTAAAAATATAAAAAAAGTTTCTCGAATGGCAGTTGTGCAACCACTTTGGGGTAAAATATGGGTTGAATTTTGGCTCTCATACTTATTAGCTGTGTAGCCAAAGGCAAATCACGTAATCTGAGTCCAAATTTTGTCATCTGTAAAATGGAGATAATAAAATCTTACAGAAATGTTTATGAGCAGTAAAAATATTGCATTAGAAGTAGCATATACTAGATGTTTAAATAAAAATCATTGGTTATTATGACTGTAGTTGTTTTTATTGTGAATGATGATGATGATCAGAAAATCTAACCTGGTAAGCATCCAAGATGATCTATGTTTGTGTTGTTTTCTATGGATAAAAATGAAAAATAGCTACTCTATTCAAATGAGGAGATCTGTATTAAAACATTTGAAAATGTGCCATAAAATTCAGGAAACTTTTAATATTATCATCAAAAAGAAAAAAATCCCTCAAAAGGTATTTTTCAAGCCAGGATGAAATCACATTGCAATTCATCGTCTCTTGGTCAATTATTACAAAGTACTTTTCAAGCTAGAATGAACAAAATTTGAAGGTTTTGCATGTGTTTAAAACAATGTAAATTGCTTAGTTTCTGTAAGCAATTCCACAAAATTAAGCAGAAAATTAAGAAGGAAGAATTTTCTACATTCTTCATTCTTGATAAACCTAGAAACCAGTGTAGAAGACCATAGAGGATGTCGTAGAAAAGCAGAGAGGGAAGTGGGGAGGAAGTCAGACTCACAGCCTAGACAGCTCCAGAGCATCTCTCAGCCCCCGAGCAGGGTTGCACAGCAAATGCAGATCCAGAAAAAGCTGGAGCCAATCCTAGACCAGCAGGATCCATGGTATCCCTCAGGGATCATTCATTTGGTGAAATTAGACAATTCTGAATGCTTCAGGAACGCTTGCTGGCTCTGTGGAGAGGAGTTAGGCCATTCTTTACTTTAGTGGAATGCTGGTGAACATTCCCAAGAACACCTCATACCTGCAAGATACCTTACATCTCTAAACCAGCCTCTAGTGGCCCCTAACTAGCCTGTGGTGGCTGTCTCCGGGCAGCTGGAGATGGCCATGGGGCCCTGTAATTCACTAGAGCTTAGTCAAAATGGTCACATTCCCCTGGAGGCGTATC
The DNA here is from genome assembly GCF_000001405.40 of Homo sapiens. Classification (NCBI taxonomy): domain Eukaryota; kingdom Metazoa; phylum Chordata; class Mammalia; order Primates; family Hominidae; genus Homo; species Homo sapiens. Next base: position 20,960,461 of record NC_000007.14, on the reverse strand, counting down.
ACTATGTTTCAATAGCTCTGATCTGAGTCGAATTCTATTTACTCAACAAACCTTTTTGAGCACCTATTATGGACTATGCTTTATGGGGGATATATATATATATATATATATATATAATCATTGTCGCTCTCTTCAAAGAGCTTACAGTCTAGTATAAAAGATAAGGGGTACCCTATAGCAAACAAATATTTAAATAAAAGTTTATAAAAGACAAGTGCCATAAAAGAAATGAAAACACCATGGTTGGTAGAAGAGGTAGATAATGCATGTGAAACCATAGTACAGAACGCAATGGTTTTGATAAACTTTGCCCTTTCCTTTAAACCAAGTTGATAGTGGTATGGAATATTTGATGTTTGAGATCATACTTAAATGTTTAATTCGGTAAGCTTTGGATAGACAGGGGAAGTACTTCGAGGTGAAAGGAAAAGCATAAGAAGGAAGGAAGAAACAGAAGGAGGGAGGAAAGAACCTCGCCTAGGTTAGACAGCTCAAGTCCAGTTTGGTTGGAGTGCTGTAACAAGAGCATTCAGAATTCTAAACGAGATCGTGCTTGAGTTCACCTAAAAATCCTGCATGCTCTGGGTAAATGAGTTTCCCTGTTTATAACTTCATGCATCAAGCATTTCATAAAGCATGTCCTCAATTACTAAATTTTGCGTACATTGTAATTATACCTCATGTATGCTTGGGAATAACAATCCTGTACTTGAATTATCTTGAAAGGATGATACAAAGTTAGAAAAAGGCTGGTTTTTCATTCTTCCTTGGTCAAATCACACTCTAATAAAACCTAATGTTGTAATTTTATATATTCTTAATCTTTCAGGTTGAGTCTGAATTTGGCCCCAGGCCCTCTAGCTCTTTCAGGAAAGGCTGTTACTGAACAAATGAAGATTTAACCAGCTCAAGCATCAAACCGCACATTCCAGTTTGCTAAAAAGGTAAACAGTTCAAACAGGAAGTTATGATATGTACCCATCCACAGGTCAATGAAAGTTTTTATTTACATTGGAAAACCTTGTGTACACTGGACTAATAAACCCAATAAAATCAGATCTTTTGGTGTCAGTTGCCTCCTGTAGCTGTCTATAGTCAGTTGTCTGGACACTGCAGAACACTGAGCTTCTTTTTCTTTTGAATACCTGATCTTACAGTAACATGCCATTCTACAGCACACTGCGACATTTCAAAATCACCTGAGCGCTATCCCTATTTAAAACAAATGAAACAAAGATCAATTCCTCAGAAGCTGTAGATTACCCTTCAGTCACCACAAGATGATGACTCCAGGATCCTAAGACTTTCAGAGAACGATCTTGAGCCAAGATTAACAAATGTCATAGACCTAACAGATCTAACAGCCTTGCTGCTGTTGAACTACTTCATATATCGGTTCCCAAGTTTGGTGGGAATAAAAATATTGCACAGATGGGACTGTAACTGACCGTAGCCTGCTCCATTGTGTGTCCAACTATCTCTAATTACAGCAGCCCATGAAAGGAAGAGATTTGAAAGGGCAGGTGACAGGAGAGGAGAGGAACCTGTTTGACTTAAACAGCGCAGGATCCCTCACCATCAGGCCTGATGTACATCAGCCTGACAGCTAATTAGGGTAGACATGAATTTTTCCAATGTAACAGATGTTCGCTAATCAGGCCAGATTTGGAGCCCTTGCGCCAGCAACATTTCATGCACAATTTAACTATCTAAAAGGAATAAACTACTTAATGCATTGTACTGAAGGCACAGCTGTTTCACAATCAGAAAATTTGCTGTCAAAGATGTTCTCTTTAAAACTGACATGTTTTTATATAACTCTGATGGGGTGTTTATAATGTATTAATAGTTGTCAGCAAGAGCTGCTGTCATCATCAAGAAGTAAAATATTTCTGAAGGTATATTAAAATGAACAGGCTCCTTTCTCTTTTCCCCAAATCCATTCAGATAATTTAACTAGGTTGAATGTGGTCTGCTGGGTTCCAAAATGTATTTGAAACAAAGAACATCAATGTATGCTTTCAATTTATTCTAAATTTAAGACAAAAACCATGCCTTGCTTTTGGTTTAAAGGTTTAAAACAATCATAGTTCCACATTGGTTTACAAAGCTGGATTTTAAAAATCATTTTACTTTTATGCAAATTCACGAGGGGAACATCATTTCCACACCAAAAATGTTTTATTGGGTAAAATGAAGGTTTGACATCTTTATAAACACAAGCTAATTTGGTAAGGATGAAAAAGGATTTCTCTCTCTCTCTCTCTCTGCCTTTCTCTCTTTCTGTGTCTTTTCATTCTCCCTTGCACTTCATGTACAAAATGACCCTCTATTATAAGAAAAGACTTTTGCTAAATACGAACTTGAAACTTTGGTATTTTTTGACAGTTTAGTCTTGCATTTTTGTTGCTTGTATTTTTAAAATAGTAACACAAAACAATAATTACTACCCTACGAATATTGAAAAGTTTACATCGTTTAAAAATAGAAATTTGTAAGTCTTAAAACTCTGTGTTTGAAGTAGATGTTCAATATTATAAGCTGATGACTTCAAATTCTACAGTAAAGCAGGTTGTAGGGCTTTGTAATCTAGATCGTCTACATAATTTAGCAATTTGCTTATTCTGGTAACTATCAATTTTTTTCCCACAATTTTATGCTACATAATTTGTTTGCATTATTTTTCAACTAATAATGTTAAAAGTATAAATTATGCTTTTTCTGGCAAGAAAAATGGTAGGTAATGTAGTTTCTCTGGAGACTAGGTTACCATGACCCTCCTTTTCACGAGCTGGCCCAAGTGATTTGTGACCCCTGAGAGGTACTATGTTGAATTGATTTGCACCAGTAGCTCAGATCTTCTGGTAAATTCAAAGACACTAACATATTTTAAACCCAGTCTCACTTAAAGAACCATTTTCAGAATTAATAAGGAAGTCTGGGACTCTCTGCTATGGCTCATGAGCATTCTGATGTCACGACTTTTCCACTAAAAACTGGCTATAGACCAATTGTATAAAGAGTCATATTTTCAGAGGATGACAAACCATGCCACATCTAGAAAAGAGTTTTCCCATCTGTATTCCAAAGCAAATCAGTCCTGAGAGATAGTAAAAATTATTTTCACCAGAAGACTTAAAATGAAATGTCTTGATTCGCTCACTCCCTCTTTGGATATCCTATGTCAGTAGGTTGTTTGCCATCTTCAATGCCCATATCTCGAAAATACTTATCTTTGAATCTTCAAGACAATTTCATAACCATCAGTAGTTCTTTAATATAGGCATGTTCTGAACTAAACTGTAGATAAAGCTTTTAAAAAGAGTAAAGCTCCATATTATCACCCACTTCATCATTAAGTAATTCAACTTTGGATACCAATATTTTATAGGACAATGCAATTCTTAAAAGGTTATCTATAGATTGAGATTTCAATTAGAATTAAATCCATACCCTTTGCTACAAGCTAAACAACTCCACATTATCTGGCCTCTCCTACCTTCCAGCAGCATTGTATGCCCATTACCTCCCTGCTCACTGCAATCTAACCAACACTGATCCACTCTCTGAAACGTGAACACACCAAAGTCTTTCTCTTCTTAGGGCTTTTGACATACTTCTCTAGGCCTACAGTGTTCTTCCTTTGCTCTTGGCATGTCTGACTCCTTATTTTCACTCAAGATTCAGCATACAAACTTACAGTTAGAGAAGAAATAAGTTCTAATGCTTCATAGAAGAATAGTGACCATAGTTAGCAACAATATTTGTATATTTCAAACTAGAAGAGAGGACTTAAAATGTTATCAGCCCATAGAAATGATAGATACTCGAGGTGATAGATACTCCAAATAGCCTGACTTGATCATTACACAGTCTATGCATGAAGAAAATCCTCACATGTACCCCAAAAATATGTAAAATATTATATATCCATAAAATTAAAACTAAAAATTTAATTTATTTTCTGTCTTCTCACCTCCTTAAACCTTCTAGAACTGTGATGTCCAGGACAGTAATGACATGCTGTTACTTAAGTTTAAATTAATTAAAACAAAAATTAAATACAATTGCAAATTCCATTCCTCAGTTTTTCTCAATAGCACAGATATAAAACACTTTTGTCTCACAGAAAGTTCTGTTGAACAGTGCTGATCTAGAATATAATCTTTGAGAGCAAAAGAAAGCTCTGACTTTTTACCTCCATTTCTTTTTTTTATTATTTTTTATTTTATTTTTATTTTTTATTTTTTTTTAGACAGAGTCTTGCTCTGTCACCCAGGCTAGAGTGCAGTGGAGCAATGTCGGCTCACTGCAACCTCTGCCTCCCAGTTTTAAGCGATTCTCCTGCCTCTGCTTCCCAAGTACCTGTGATTACAGGTGTGTGCCACCACACCCAGCTAATTTTTGTATTTTTAATAGAGACAGGGTTTCACCATGTTGACCAGGCTGGTCTCAAACTCCTGACCTCAAGTGATCCACCCGCCTCAGCCTCCCAAAGTGCTGGGATTACAGGCATGAGCCACTGTGCCCGGCCTCTTTTTACCTCCTTTCTATGGGCCTAGAATAGCAACTAGCCCATAGTAGTTCTCAATTTGTTAAGTCGATGGATGGATGGATGGATGGATGGATGGATGGATGGATGGATACATGGATGGACACGTGGATGGATGGATAAGTAGGTGGATGAGTGATAATGAATGGAAGAGTGAACTTTCATTTATACATAATTATTGAGAAGTGTGATATTCCAGCTAATGTAATACTCTGGTTTCTATTCAACCTTCTATTCCTAATATTAATTATTTTAATAGGATAAGATAAAGTATATTCATCACTAAAGTGTATCTCATAAAATTTAACCTTTTTTGAAGCACTCAAGGAAGAGATTTCCATGTTAACCTGAAATAGAACCACAGGACCATAAAAATCCCTTTAGAATCCAAGAAGCCTTAGTTAGGCTTTAGATCATGAGTAGGCTAATAGCAGAAAGAGCAGGAGTTTGGACTCTGGTAAACACAGGCTCAAATCCTAACTCTGATTCCAACTAGCTTGCTTTTTGTTTATTTTTGTTTGGAGAGTTTCCCTAGGCAATAAGAACCCCATTTCCTACATGTGTAAAATGGAAAAGGAGTACCAACTTCACAGGGTTATTCTGAGGATTAAATGTCTTGTGAATGTTTGGCTTATCGTAGGCTCATAATAATTGGTAGCTATTATTATAAATCTTGCAGAATTAGTGGCATGTTAGCAAATAGACTTTTTTTAAGAGACAAGGGTCTTGTTATGTTGCCCAAGCTGGAGTGTAGTGGCTATTCACAGGCATGATCACAGCACACTGCTACCTCAAATTCCTGGAGTAAAGGGACCCTCCTGCTTTGGCCTGCCACGTAACTGGGATAACAGCTGTGCACTACCACACCTGGCTCTGGCAAGTAGATCTCTGAAAATCCTGATCTATTTCTTGTCACTCCTTCCCTGGCCTTCTTGCTTTACCCATAAACACCGTGATTCCCAGACTCTCAGAGGCTTGTCATAGACACACAGCATGGGAATGTGAGGATGTAAAGTGCGAGGGGTGTGGAGGAATGTTGTGGGCAGAGAGGAACAGGCCAAACACAGAAAGAGCTGTTTTCCCAATAGCTCCTGGCACAGACTGTCTCATATTTAAAATTTTTAAAAAACCAAAATCCTTGGAAGTATGAAACATTTCTAAGATTCTGTAAGTGCACAGTTCACACACCATATCTATGTTATCACTTAATTTAGAGAGCTACCATCAAGCTTAGGAAGCAGAAAAGATGAACCCTAACAGATTAACAGGGAGAAGGTCTTAGTTGTATGTTTTCTTCTGGTAATTTTTAAAAAGGTAATTTTATATCATCAGAGACAGTGAAAGTCCACAATCCTTATTACAGTTTCCCATAGAAAGAGGGTTTATGGAGGGTCGGTCTACAGTGATCAGAATCAATTTTTTTGGTAAGCCTGTGAAAACAAAACAAAATCGAGAGACAGTACAAACTTGGGAAGGACTAAATTTTAAATCAGAATATGAGTAAAAAATTAGAGCTTTAGTTATTATTTACCTGATTGTTTACATTTCCAAAAGGGTAGAGAGTTGTTTTCTGTTTTTTCTTTTGAGTCTCTGTGTTACCTTAGAGCTTCATCTTCTTCCAGGCCAGGAAGAGTATAATTCTGCCTTAAAGCCCTGATTATTCACCTGTAAAGCACCCTTGATTACTGGAGGTATTTGGAAGTTAAAAAACATGGAATGTTAAATATTTCTTTGAATAGGAAATTAGGATTCCCTTTCTTCCTAAGGAGAGTAGCCTCCTTTTTTGCTTTCCCCCCGCCCCCCCCTTGAGACTTAAGGCAAAAATAAGCAGAATGATCTGTGTTACAACTCTTTGGAATTGGTCAGTGTTAACAGAGACTCAATTTTATTGCTAAATCACATTTAAAAGTTGTGAATTTTTTTATATGAACATTTATGTGATGTGGGTCCAGGAACTGTGAGAAAACAATTTTCTAGAGTAAAAATTCAAGCACTTCCTAGCCCACCACAGAGAAAAACTTATGTGAAGAATAAGAATATTTACTGATTAAATAACAATTTAAGGGAAGAACTGTGCCTTAAAAAGAACATACTGAGGGCTATTCTGGGGGAGTTTTTTATGAGATATCTGCAAGAAAGCATAATATGGCTAAAGGCCCTAAAGGGAAAAATTTCTTTTTTTATGGTTTATAGATGGTAAGAAAGGATGATTTTTAAAAATGCTTTGCCACCATTTAACAAAAAGCCTTGTATTGAGAGAGATGCAGAGCTGTGGTCATGGAACTTTTGACCTTCACTGCTCAGAACAGCTTGGCTGGGCCCACTTACAGCAGGAATGACATTTTTTGCTTGTTTGGTTCATATGTAGGTCTGCTAGTTGCTGTTATCAATGTACTTTCATTTACAAGATTTAACATCTCTCTATATACCTTTTTCTCTCTATCTCTCTTTCTTTCCCACTCTTCTGTTTTCTGGCAACAGTCAACAGTGATTATTCATGTTAAAATGAGAGTCTTGAAACTAAATCAAATTGAGCATTAACAAGAGATGCTGCATGAAAATAAACAAGAGAGAAAGAAAAAAAAATGCTAGGCTAGAAGTCTCAGACACGGTTTCTGTGTGACCCTAGATTGTTCTCTTCACAACTTTAGGTTTGGCTTCCTTGAATGTCAAACAGATCTCAATATGCAACTCTAATGTTGTAGTTCTACTCTAGAGGATCTTTGGGATATTTCTTAGTCATGACCCTTAGTTACATCAGTTTGAACAGCCTCTTGTTATTCACATTTCCCTGATAATGAGTCTCCTCCCTTCCCTTCCTGGTTATCCTTCAGCTGAGTAGTTTCCTTGTACAACCCTGGATCCTGTCTACCTGCCCCTTTGCATGTAGGTGCTAATTTTGGCATCTCATTCTCCCATCTCATTTCCTTCAAGTCACTTCTTTTTCCGTTTTAATCCTCTTCCCATGGTTATTTCCCGGTGTTTGTTCCAGGAATACTTAGCTCCATCTTTAAAGCAAATGCATTCTTTGTTTCTTTTTTTTTTTTTTCTTTGAGACAGAGTGTCGCTCTGTCGCCCAGGCTGGAGTGCAGTGGCGTGATCTCGGCTCACTGCAAGCTCCGCCTCCTGGGTTCACGCCATTCTCCTGCCTCAGCCTCCCTCAGTAGCTGGGACTACAGGTGCCGGCCACCTCGCCTGGCTAATTTTTTTTATTTTTAGTAGAGACGGGGTTTCACGGGTTTCACCGTGTTAGCCAGGATGGTCTCGATCTCCTAACCTCGTGATCCGCCCACCTCGGCCTCCCAAAGTGCAGGATTACAGGCGTGAGCCACCACGCCCGGCCAAAGCAAATGCATTCTGACCTTGAATGAGAACTGAATTATTTCAATGTTCTGGACCTTCCTTCCACTCCTGGCAGGTATCCGGCCACCTCTTTGACCACAGAGTAGAGAATACATCAAAAATACCATTCTCCCTGTGATTGTCAGTTCTCCCCTGTATTTCAACACATGCTGAACGCTATGGGCAAGGCTTGCTTAGTGATTTTACTCGTGGATGAAATCTTACAAACAAAAGCCACAGGCAAAAGAAAAAATAAGCCAGTGCAAAACCCCACTGCTTGCAATTAATAAATGGCTAATCATTGAAGTAGTGCAAAGATAGAGGCAGATGCTTTTAAAAAATTATTAGATGATTAATACATCTTCATAATTCAAACATCAAACATTAAAACAGGTATGGTGAGAGCACTTGCTTCTACTACTGTTCCCATTTGTCAGTTTCCACAGCCTTTCACAGTACAATTTTTATTAGTTTCTTTGTATAATTCCAGAGTTTCCTTGTGCAATACAGAATATGCACTTATATTTTCTCCCTTGAAGAGGTAGCACATTATGCACACTGTTCAGTACATTGCTTTTTTTCACTACACGTACCTCAGAACTTTAGCCATGTTGATACATGGAGAGTTCATTCCATTTTTTAAAATTCTCTTACATGTTATTCCATCACATAGATATACCATTATTAATTTAACCAGTCCACTGTTGGTGGACATTTGGGTTGATACCAATCTTTTCCTATAAAAAATAATGCTACAGTCAATGACCTTGAACATATATGACTTTACATGTGTGCAAGTTTATCTGTAGGAAAAACCTCCATAAGTGGGATTGCTTGGTCAAAGAATATATGCATTAGTCATTTTGAAAGATAATGTTAAACTTTCTTCCATAGATGCATTAATTTACACTACTATCAGCAATATATTAAATTACCTATTTCCTAGTCTTTTTTTTTTTTTCTTTTTTGAGACAAGGTCCAGCTTTGTAGCCCAGGCTGGACTGAAGCGGCATGAATGACCTCACTGAAGCCTCCACCTCCTGGGCTTAAGCAATCCTCCCACCTCAACCTCCAGAGTAGCTGGGATTACAGATGTGCACCACCACGCCTGGCTAATTTATTTCTATTTTTTTGTAGAGATGAGTCTCACCATGTTGCCCAGGCTGGACTTGAACTCACCGGCTCAAGCATCCTTCCACCTCAGCCTCCCAAAAAGCTGGGACTGCAGGTGGGAGCCACAGCACCTGGCCTCCCACCATCTTGAAAACAAAATGCTGGTAAGTTTCTGTTTGGGAAAATCTGGAATTTTGATTACATACTTTTTTAAATTATGGTATCTTTATGTGGTTTTAATTTACTTTTATATTGAGTGAGGTTATGTACTTTTTCATATGTTTAAGAGCCATTTATTTTTATAAACTCTATTCAAATTCTTTTTTATTATAGTTTTAAACTATGTTGTAGAACTTCTTTACACATTAGAGCAATTAGCTATTTGGTTGACATGAAATAATTTTCCTAGTTTTTTGTTTTTCGCTGAATTTTTGTGTTGATTTTGTTTCAACTTAGATGTTTTAAAAGTTATTTTTCTATACATTTACCTTAATTTCCTATTATAATCTTTGGACTTCAGTCATAATTTAAAAAGCCTTTTTACTCCAAAGTTATAAAGGGATTCTCCCATGTTGTACTCTCTATTGTTATGGCTTCTTTTTGAAATCTTTGAACTTTTTGAGGTGTGATATGGAGAAAGGATTAAACTTCTTTTCAGAGAGCCTTAACATTGCCCTAACATTACTTATTGAATAATCCATCTTTTCCCTGACACTAATTTGAAGTCTCACCTTTAGCAAATGACCAATTTCTTACATGGTGTGGGTCTGCAGACTTTCTGCTTCATTAGTCTATACATTCACTTTGGAGGTAACTAGACAGAACTTTCCTGCCTTTTCTCTAATCACCCATGCTCCAGCCACTCAGAACTACCCCGTCTTTGATACGGGAGCATTCCTGTTCCCTCTACACCTTTGCACATGCTCCTTGCCCTGCCTAGACTGTCTCATCTAGCAAATCTTGATTTGTCTGTTAAGACCCACATAAACTGTAACACTTCCAAAGAAATGAGGTACAGAATAATGTGCTAATTATAATTTAAAGGTTGGGGAGAGGATATTATGTATAGATGGAAACGCGAAAGTGATGAGAGTGTTATCTCTGGGAAGAGGAACTGGAAGATGGGAATGGAAAGGAGACATACTTTTGCTGTGTTCCTTTTGTATTATCAAAATCTTCACTACGTGAATGTATTATTTTTAAAATACGTAGTATTTTTTCTTAAAGTATGCACTTTTATGGAGCTATTCTCAAGTCAATGTAATACTATTTTGGAGGGATTTTTATTATTTATTTATTTATTTCAATAGCTTTAGGGGTACATGTGGTTTTTGGTTATACGGATGAATTTTATAGTGGTGAAGTTTGAGATTTTGGTGCACCTTTCACGTGACTAGTGCACATTGTACTCAATATTTAGTTTTTATCCCTCACTCCCCTCTCACCCTCCCACCTTCTGAGTCTCCAAAGTCCATTATATCATTCTGTATGCCTTTATGTACCCATAGCTTAGCTCCCACTTATATGAGAATATATAGTATTTGGTTTTTCATCCCTGAGCTACTTTGCATAGAACATAGAACAATAGCCTCCAGGCTGGGTGCAGTGGCTCATGCCTATTATCCCAGCACTTTGGGAGACCAATGCCTGAGGTCAGGAGTTCGAGACCAGCCTGGCCAACATGGTGAAACACCGTCTCTACTAAAAACTACAAAATTAGCCAGGCGTCGTGGCATGCGCCTGTAATCCCAGCAACTTGGGAGGCTGAGGCAGGAGAATCACTTGAACCTGGTTGCACCACTGCACTCTAGCCTGGGCATAAAGAGTGAAACGCCATTTCAAAAAAAAAAAAAAAAAAAGGAAAAAGAGAAAAGGAACAATAGCCTCCAGCTCCATCCAAGTTGCTGCAAAAGAGATTATTTTCTTCTTTTTTATGGCTGGGTAGTATTCCATAGCGTATGCATACCACATTTTCTTTATCCACTCATTGGTTGATGGGCAATTAGGTTGGTTCCATATCTTTGCAATTGTGAATTGTTCTGCAATAAACAAAGGCATGCAGGTGTCCTTTTGATATAATGACTTCTTTTACTTTGGATAGATACCCAGTAGTGGGATTCCTGAATCAAATGATAGATCTACTTTTAGTTCTTTAAGAAATCTCCATACTGTTTTCCATGTGGTTTGTACTAACAACTTATATTCCCACCAACAATGTATAAGTTTTCCCTTTTCATCCCACCATGCCAACACCTACTGTTTTTTGACTTTTTAGTAATGGTCTTTCTTGCAGGAGTAAGACGGTTTTAATTTGCATTTCCTTGAATTTTGTATAAGGTGAAAGATAGGGATGATTAGTGATGTTGAGCATTTTTTCATGTTTGTTGGCCAATTTGTGTATCTTCTTTGGAAAACTGTGTGTTAATGTCGCTTGCCCACTTTTTGATGGGATTGTTGAATTTTTTTCTTGCTGATTTATTTGAGTTTCTTGTAGATTCTGAATATTAGTCCTTTCTTGGATGTAGAGTTTACAAATATTTTCTCCCATTCTGTGGGTTGTCTGTTTATTTTGATGATTATTTCTTTCACAGTATAGAAACTTTTTAATTTAATCAGGTTCCATTTATTTGTTTGTTTTAGTAACATTTGCTTTTGGGGTTTTAGTCATGAATTCTTTGGCCAGGCCAATGTCTAGAAAAGTTTTTCCTAGGTTATCTTCTAGAATTTTTATGATTTCAGGCCTTAGATTTAAGTCTTTGATCCATCCTGAGTTGATTTTTGTGTAAGTTGAAAGATAGGGATCCAGTTTTATTCTTCTACATGTGGCTATCCAGTTTTCCCAGCACCATTTATTAGATAGGGTGTCCTCAATATATGATTTTTTTATGCTTTGTCAAAAAGATTGTAAGTCTTTGGTTGTAAGTATTTGGCTTTATTTCTGGTTTCTATATTCTGTTCCATTGGTCCATGTCTACTTTTATACCAGTATAATACTGTTTCAGTAACTAGAGCCTTTATAATTTGAAGTCTGGCAATGTGATGTCTTCAGATTTGTTCTTTTTGCTTAAGATTGCTTTGGCTCTTCAGGCTCTTTTTTGGTTCCATATGAATTTTAGGAATTTTTTTAATTCTGTGAAAATTTATGTTGGTATTTTGATAGGAATTGCATTGACTCTGTAGATTGTTTTGGAGCACTATGGTAATTTTCATGATATTGATTCTTCTAATCCATGAGCATGGGATGTATTTTGATTTTTGATTTGCTTGTGTCATCTATGATTTCTTTCATCAGTGTTTTGTGGTCATACTTGTAGAGATCTTCTACCTCCTTGGTTAGGTACATTCCTAGGTTTTTTGTTTTGTTTTGTTGCATCTGTTGTAAAAGGCAATGAATTCTTGATTTGATTCTCAGCTTGGTCATTGTTAGTGTCTAGCACTGCTACTGATTTGTGTACATTGGTTTTGTAACCTGAGACTTTACTTAATTTGTTTTTCAAATCTAGGAGTCTTTTGGAGGAGCCTTTAGGGTTTCTAGATATACAATCATGTCATCAATGAAGAGTGATAGTTTGACTTCCTCTTCTTCAATTCGGATGCCCTTTATTTTCTCCTCTTGCCTGATTGCTCTGGCTAGGACTTCCAACACTATGTTGAATAGAAGTGGTGAAAGTTGGCATCGTTGTCTTGTTCTAGTTTTCAGGGGGACAGCTTTTAATTTTCCCCGTTCAGTGCTATGTTGGCTGTGGGTTTGTCATATATGGCTTTTATTATTGACATAAGTCCCTTTTATGCCTAATTTGTTGAGGGCTTTCATCACAAAGGGATGTTAGATGCTTATCAAATGCTTTTTCTGCATCTTTTGAGGTGATCATATGGTTTTTGTTTTTAATTCTGCATACGTCATGTATCACATTTATTGTCTTGCATATAATAAACCATCCCTGCATTCCTAGAATGAAACCAACTTGATCATATTTATTAACTTTTTGATATGCTGTTGGACTTGGTTAGCTAGTATTTTGTTGAGGATTTTTACATCTATGTTCATCAGGGATATTGATCTGTAGTGTTCTTTTTTTACTATGTCCTTTCCTGGTTTTGGTATCAGGGTGATACTGGCTTCATAGAGTGAATTAGGGAGGATTCCCTCTGTCTCAATCTTTTGGAATAGTTTCAGTAGGATTAGTATCAAATCTTCTTTGAATGTCTGGTAGAATGCAGCTGTGAGTCCATCTGGCCTTGGGATTTTTTTCCTTGATGGCAATTTTTTAAATTACAGATTCAATCTTACTGCTTGCTATTGGTCTGTTCAGGGTTTCTATTTCTTCCTGAGTTAATCTAGGAAGGTTTTATGTTTCCAGGAATGTATCCATTTCCTCTAGATTTTCTAGTCTGTGTGCATAGAGATAATCGTAGTAATCTCAAATGATCTTTTGTATTTCTGTGGTGTCAGTTGTAATGTCTCTAGTTTCATTTCTAATTGAGCTTGCTTAAATCACCTTTCTTTTTGTCTTGGTTAATCTAGCTAATGGGCAAAAATTTTCGCTTATCTTTTCAAACAACCAACTTTTTGTTTTATTGATCTTTTGTAACTTTTTTGTTTCAAATTCATCTAGTTCTGCTCTGATCTGTTATTTATTTTCTTCTGCTAGCTTTAGGTATAGTTTCTTTTTATTTCTCTAGTACTTTGAAGTGTGACTTTCGGTTGTCAATTTACAATCTTTCAGACTTTTTGATGGAGGCATAAGTGCTATAAACTTTCCTCTTAGCATTGCTTTTGCTTTATCACAGAGGTTTTGATAATTTCTTTCACTATTATTCATTCCAAAGATTTTTATATTTCCATCTTGATTTAATTGTTAACCCAAAAATCATTCAGGAGCAGATTATTTTATTTCCATGTATTTGTATAGTTTTAGGGATTCCTTTTGAAGTTGATTTTTAGTTTTATTTCACTGTGGTCTGAGAAAATACTTGATATAATTTTGATTTTTAAAAATTTATTGAGACTAGTTTTATGGCCTATCATATGGTCTGTCTTGGAGCACGTTCAATGTGTTGATGAGAAGAATGTATATTCTGCAGTTCTTGGGTGGAATGTTCTGCAAATATCTGTTAGGTCCATTTGTTCTACAGTGTAGTTCAAGATCATTTTTTTTGTTTTTGTTGACTTTCTTTCTAGATGATCAGTCTAGTGCTGTCAGTGGGGTGTTGAAGTCCCCTACTATTATTGTGTTGTTGCTGTCTATCTCATTTCTTAGGTCTAGTAGTATTTTTTTCTGGTGTCTCATCATAGTTTTAATTTGCATTTCTCACATGATTAGTGATGAGCATTTTTCATATATTTTAAACTTTATTTATTTATTTATTTATTTTACTTTAAGTGGCAATCTGCCACTTCTTTCAAAGGGTCTGTGATTTCTTTCAGATTTCTTGTTAAGCTCCTGCATTGCTTCTTGGAAAAAAAGTTAACAGTGTGAATCTCTACACACTATTTTGTCTTTCCAAGTGGGAGAGGCAGGCTAGCTCTGCTTCCAATTCACCATCTTGGAAACTAGACTGCAATGTTACAGTATTTTTTAAAGAATAGTTTCATGCTCATAAAATTGGCAATTGAACAATCTATCTTTGTTGTCCAGTGAAGTTAATGACGTAACAATGTAATAATAAAAGATCATTAGATAATTTTTAAAGTAATAATACATCATCTCCACTGTGAACCATACCCTCATCAGTGGTTTATTCCTGTTGGCAATTAAAGACTCCTTCTGTTGCATTCCTGTAGCACTTCATACAAATTTCTATTTTAGCATGGTGTGCATTATAGTGTTATAATTCGCCTGTCACCCCACTGAACTATTGGCTCCTTTGGAACTACTATGTCTTTGGAGCTCAGACACCAAACACCAATTTCTGGCTCTCAGTAGTTATACAATAAAGGCTTGTGGAAGGAAGGCAGAAAAGGAAGGAAGGAGGGAGGGAGGAAAGGAGGGAAGGAAGGAAAGAGATAGATATTCAGGGATATTAGAAGAGGTGCTTACTGAGAAGAGGGGAATGTGAAAATGAATAGGGGTATAAATAAGTAGAGAATAAAAAGTAGCACTAGTTGGACCAAAGATGACAGTGTCCCATGAACTGAAGAGTAGCATTTAAGAATTTCCATTTCTCTTATATTCATTGCCAGTCTTTCTAGTGTACATATACAGCTAGATTAATCTTGTTATAAAGGATGTCAGATCATGTTTCTTCTCTGGTTAATCCCCACCCCTCCACCACCCTCTGCCTTACAATGGCACCCAATTTTTACAGACTGTAAGTATTCTTGTAATAGTCAGTGTGGCCGTGCATGGACGGGCTTCTTATCACTAGTCTGACCTCTTTTGATATTCTTCCTCCTAAATACTGTTTTTCGGCCGGGCTCGGTGGCTCACGCCTATAATCCCAGAACCTTGGGAGGCCGAGGCGGGTGGATCACGAGGTCAGGAGATCGAGACCATCTTGGCTAACACGGTGAAACTCCGTCTCTACTAAAAATGCAAAAAATTAGCCGGGCGTGGTGGCGGGCGCCTGTAGTCCCAGCTGCTCGGGAGGCTGGGGCGGGAGAATGGCATGAACCTGGGAGGCGGAGCTTGCAGTGAGCCGAGATGGCGCCACTGCACTCCAGCCTGGGCAACAGAGCCAGACTCCATCTCAAAAAAAAAACCAAAAAACGAAAACAAAACAAAACAAAACAAAAAACTGTTTTTCCCACCCGCACTGGCCTCCTGGCTGTTCCTCCAACACTCTGGACACACCGCTGTTTTAGAACATTTGCATTTGTTGTTCCTTCTGCCTAGAACATCCTTTCTGCCAATAGCTCTGTTACTCCCTTACCCCTTCAAGCTACAAAGAGCACTTTCCTGCTCTCATTTAAAATTACAGCCCCCCCTTATGCCCTGATCTGGTATCCCTCATCCATTTTCCTTGCTTTATCTTTCCTCAAGGCACATTTCACCTTTTAATATACTGTATAATATACCAAATTATTTTGTTTATCGCTACCTGAGTGTAAACTTACGAAGGAAAGAGTTGCCTGGTACAAATTAGGTACCCAGTAAATACTTGTTGAATGATAGAACCAAAAATATTTTAAGTTCTTCCATCAAGTAAAGCTGATCTTGCAAGAAGCAACACTAGATTTACCCTGTGTTCTGCAAACTGCCAGCACACCAACATCTAGCATGGAAGAACTTGGCCTGAGATCAAGTGGGTTTGGGCTACTTTTCTTCTCTCACTTTTCTTGGACAGCCTTGTCCACTGTTGTGAATTCATTTTCCACCCATAATATGAAGTCCCTATCCAAATGGTTCACAAGTAAAACTCTACCCCAAAGCTGTCTCCTGTAGACTCCAGACCTGTAGATCTACCTTCAGATACTTCCACTCTGATGATTTAAAGGCACTTCACCTCCAAAACTGAACTTATCCTCTAAACCTCCTCCTCTAGTTTCTTTCTCAGAAACTATGTTACTCTTGCCAGTTGCCCCAGCCATAAATCTGGGTGTCAGCCTCAACTTCTCTCTCTCTCTTTTTTTTTTTTTTGATACGGAGTTTCGCTCTTGTTGCCCAGGCTGGAATGCAATAGCGTGATCTCAGCTCACCACAACCTCCGCCTCCCAGGTTCAAGCGATTCTCCTGCCTCAGCCTCCCTAGTAGCTGGGATTACAGGCATGTGCCACCACGCTCGGCTAATTTTGTATTTTTTTTTAGTAGCGATGGGGTTTCTCCATGTTGGTCAGGCTGATCTTAAACTCCCGACCTCAGGTGATCCACCCACCTCGGCATCCCAAAGTGCTGGGATTACAGGCATGAGCCACCACACCCGGCCTTCAACTTCTCTTTCTAATCCATGCTTATCCAAACACAAAGGGCTACCAATATTCATTTCTAAACATCTCTGGAAACCATTCACTTTTTTCCTTTTTGTGGAAAACAGGGTCTTGCTATGTTGCCCAGGCTGGCCTTGAACTCCTGGGCTCAAGCTATCCTCTTGCCTGTGCCTCCCTAAGTATTGGGATTATAGGTATGAGCCACTGCACCCTGAACCATTCACTTTTGCTAGTACCTACTCTTACCATTTCCATTTAGACCATTATTCTCTCTCATTTAGATATTGTAACAGCTGCTTCACTTTTACCCCCATTAAAAAAATTGTGATAAAATTCACATAACAGAAAACTGAACAAAGTTAATCATTTTCAAGTGTCCAGTCCAAGGATGCTAAACACATTCATAATGTTGTGCAACCATCAACACCATCCATCTCCATAACTGTTTCGTCTTGTAAAATTTAAGCTCTACACCCATTAAATAATAACTCCCCATTCCTTCCTCCCCCAAGCCCCTGGAAACCACCTTTCTACTCTCTGTCTCTATGAATTTGAGTATAAACTTATCTCATGTAAGTGAAATCATACAGTATTTGTCTTCTTGTGATCGGCTTATTTCACTAGCATAATTCCTAAAAGTTTATCCGTGCTGTAACATATTGCAGAATTTCCTTCCTTTTTAAGGCTAAATAATATTCCATGGTGTGTATATATATCACATTTTTCTTATTCATTCATCCATTGATGGACATTTTGGTTGCTTCCATGTTTTAGCTATGGTAAGTAATGCTGTTATGAACATGGCTGCACAAATATACTGCTTTCAATTCTTTTGAGTATATACACAGAAGTGCAATTGCTTTATCATACGGTAACTCTATTTTTAATTTTTTGAAAAACTGTCATCCTGTCTTCTGCAACAGCTGTACCATTTTACATTCTGAGCTATGATGCACACAGATTACAGTTTCTCCACATCTTTTCCAACACATGTTTTTTCTTCTAGTAGCCATCTTAATGGGTGTGAGATGGTATCTCATTGCAGTTATGATTTGCATTTCCTTTCCATTTTGGATGTCTTTTATTTCTTTTTCTTGCCTAATTGTTCCGGCTAGAACTTCCAGCACTGTGTTGCATAGAGTGATGAATGTGGGCATTGTTGTCTTGGTCCTAATTTTAGAGGAAAAGCTTTCAGTCTTTCACCATTGAGTATAATGTTTGCTGTGGGTTTTTTACACATAGCTTTTATCATTTTGAGATAGTTTATTTCTTTTTTCTTTTTTTTTTGAGACGGAATCTGGCTGTCGCCCAGGCTGGAGTGCAGTGGCACCAACTCGGCTCACTGCAAGCTCCGCCTCCCGGGTTCATGCCATTCTCCTGCCTCAGCCTCCTGAGTAGCTGGGACTACAGGTGCCCGCCACCACGCCTGGCTAATTTTTTGTATTTTTAATAGAGATGGGGTTTCACTGTGTTAGTCAGGATGGTCTCCATCTCCTGGCCTCGTGTTCCACCTGCCTTGGCCTCCCAAAGTGCTGGGATTACAGGAGTGAGCCACCGCGCCCGGCGAAGGTAGTTTATTTCTATTCCTAGTTTGTTGAGCATTTTTATCATAAAAGGTTGTTGATTTTTGTCAAATGCTTTTTCTGCATCAATTAAAAAGATCATGTGATTTTGTTTCTTCATTTAATCAATGTGGTGTATCACATTGCTTGGTTTTCATGAACCATCCTTGCATTTCTGGGATAAATTCTACTAGGTCATGGTGCATAATCCTTTTAACATGCTGCTAAATTTGGCTTGCCAGTATATTGTTGAGGCTTTTTACATCAATTTTCCTAAGGGATATTGGTCTGTAGTTCTTTTTTCTTATAGTGTTCTTGTCTGTCTTTGGTATCAGAGTAATGCAGACCTCATAGAATTAGTTAGAAAGTGTCCCCTCTTCCATTTTTTTGGAAAAGTTTGAGAAGGATTGATATTAGTTATTCAAATGTTTGGTAGAATTCCCTCATTAAACCATCGGGTACAAGGCTTTTCTTTTTTGGGAGATTTTTTATTACTGATTCAATCATCTTACCAGTTATAGGTCTATTCAGATTTTCTATCTCTTCCTATTTAAACTTGGTAGGCTTTGTGTTTCTAGTAATGTACCATCTCATGTAGGTTATCTAATTTGTCGGTGTGCAATTATTTATAATACTGTCTTATAATCCTTTTTATTTCCCTAGAATTGTTAGTAAAGTCCGCATTTTCACTTCTGATTTTAATAGCTTGTGTCTTCTAACTTTTTTTAATCCATCTAGTAAAAGGTTTGTAAATTGTGTTAATTTTTTCCAAAAAACAACTTTTGGTTTCACTGATTTTCTCTATTGTGTTTCTATTGTCTGTTTCATTTATTTCTGTTCTAATCTTTATTATATCCTGCTTTCTGCTAGCTTTGTGTTTAGTTTGTTGTTCTTTTCCTAGTTCCTTAAGTTGTAAAGTTAGGTTGTTCATTTGAAATCTTTTGCGTGTGTTTTTAATGTAAGTGCTTACAGCTATAAGTTTCCCCCTTAGCATTGCTTTTGTTGGGTCCCATAAATGTTAATATGTTATGTTTTCATTTTCATTTATCTCTAAGTATTTTCTAATTTCCTTCTGAGTTCTTCTTTTACCCAATGGTTGTTTGAACGTGTTGTTTAATTTCCACAAATTTGTGAATTCTCTAGTTTTATTTCTCTTACTGATTTCTAACTTCATCTCATTGTGGCTGGAGAAGATATTTTGCTGATCTCTATCTTTTAAAATCCATTAAGACTTTATTTGTTACCTAGCACATGGTCTATCCTGAAAAATGTCCCATGTGCATTTGAGGCGAATGTGTATGCTGTTGTTGGAGACAGTGTTCCATTTGTGTCTGTTAAATCTAGTTGGTTCATTTCATTAAGTCCTCTATTTTCTTTCTTCTTTTTTTTTTTTTTTTTGAGATGGAATCTCACTCTGTCACCCAGGCTGGAGTGCAGTGGCACGATCTCGGTTCACTGCAACCTCTGCCCCCCAGGTTCAAGCGATTCTCCTACCTCAGCCTCCCGAGAAGCTGGGGTTACAGGCGTGCTATAATTTTTGTACTTTTAGTAGAGACGGGGGTTTCACCATCTTGGCCAGGCTGGTCTTGAACTCCTGACCTTGTGATCCACCAGCCTCAGCCTCCCAAAGTGCTGGGATTACGGGTGTGAGCTACCGTGTCTGGCCAAGTCCTCTATTTTCTTACTGATCTTCTATCTGATTGTTCTATCTATTATTGAAAGGACATATTGAAGTCTCCAATTATTATTGTACAATTGCCCATTTTTTCCTTCAATTATGTTAGTTTTTACTTGACATATTTTGATAGTCTGTCATTAGAAGCATAAATGTTTATAATTGTTATATCTTCTTGCTGTATCTCCTCTCATTAATGTATAATATTTTTCTTTGTCTCTTGTAACCTTTATTTGACTTAAAATTTATTATGTCTTATATTAATATAGCCACATCTGTTCTCTTTTGGCTATTATTTGATGGAATATCTTCTTCCGTACATTCACTTTCAATCGATTTGTTTCTTTGGACCTAAAGTGTGTCTCTTATAGAGAGTTTATTGTTAGATTGTGTGTTTTTACATTCTGCCAATCTTTGTCTTTTGATTGGAGAGTTTCATCTGTTCACATTTAAAGTAATTACTGGTAAGGAAGGACTTACTTCTGTCATTTTGTTATATGTTTTCTACATGCCATATAGCCTTTATTTTTTTCTTGGTCCCTCATTTGCTGCATTACTGTCTTTTGTGTTTAGTTGGCTTTTTATAGTGAAATGTTTAGATTCCTTTTCTCATTTCCCTTCGTGTATACCATAAACTATTTTTTCTTTATGGTTGCCATGGGAATTACATTTAACATCCTAATGTTATAACACTCTAATTTGAATTTGTGCAGCTTAACTTCAATAACATATAAAAACTCTGCTTTTTTACAGCTCTGTCACCACCCCTTTGGGTTACTGACATAAAATTATGTCTTTATACATTGCGTACCCCAAAACACAAACTAATAATTCTTTTGAATGCATTAGTCTCCTAAATTATGTAGAAAACAAAACAAAGAGCTACAAAGCAAAGTTTGTAACAATACTAGCTTTAGATTGATAATTTTTTAATGTATTCATTTCTTAAATAATGAAGAAAACAAAAATTGGAGGTTCAAACTGTTGTCACAAGAATACTAATCTTTATAATTGCCCATGTGTTTATTTACTTGTATTGAGATCTTAATTTTTTCATGACAGCTGCCTCACTTTTCCGTCTAACTACTCAAATCTGAAAACAGTAGATAACTTTACTGGGCCTGTTCCAAGCGCTTTACATCCATTTAAACTCCACAACAATCCTATAAAATAAGGAAACTAAGGCACCAAGCATCTTTGTAACTTCTCAAGTTTCCACCACCAGAAAGTGATGGATCTCAAATTTCAACCCATGCAGTCAGGCTCCAGAGCCCATGTCCATTACCTTAGTTTCTTAGGATTAAGTCACACCATTGCTTAAACATTTAATGCCTCCCGTGTACCCTCAGGATGTCATTCAACTTCTTTACTATCCTCTCCAAAAGCTGACTCCTGCTCATCTCTCCATCTTTTTCTCTGACTTCAGCAGCCACCACCTTGACCAAAACTCCCACACTTCTCACCCCTAATGTCTTCCTCATCATGAATGAACTTCTTTCAGTTCCTTGAATGCTTTCGAGCCCTCGCCTGTGCTGTTCTCTCTGCCTGGAACACTTTTATTAACACCCCATCCCCATTTGCCTGCACAGTCACACCCACTTTTCATGTCTCTGATAGACCTTTCTGCGGGAAGTTTTCTCTGATCCTCTTACACCCTTACCTCTAAGGGACTCGCCATTTTGCTTCTGTGCCTCAAGGTTGTGCTCTGGGCCCTTTTTCCTTCTCTTTGTATATGGTCCCATAGCGGGTTCGTCCAGTGTTATGTCCCATGGCTCCTAGTCTCTAGGTTCAGGCTGACCTCTCCCTGAGCTCCAGCCTTATATATCTGACAGCCAACTTGACCTCTCTACACGGAGGCCAAAAGACCTCATTCAAACTTAACCCAGAGAAAACAGAATTTTTGCCCATCATTATCCATTTGCTTGCCAAGTCCCAAATCCAGGAGTTATTTTGGTTCTTCTTGTACTATATCACTCTAATCTAACCCTGAAGCAGTCCTGCCAACACTGCCTGTAAAAATTGCGAACTCTATCCACTTCACTATATCTTGCCTAGAATACTTCAACAGCCTTAGAACTAGGGTCCATTGTTCACTCTTGCCACATTGCAGCAAACAAAGCAAACCCTTAAAATGTAAATCAGACCGTGTACTCTCCCACTCAAAATGTCCCAGTAGCTTTTGTTATAGTCTGAATGTTTGTGTTGCCACAAAATTCATGTTAAAATCCTAGCTTTCAAGGTGATAGTATTAGTAGGTAGGGCCTCCTGGGAGGTTAAGTGAATGGGATTATTGACCTTTTAAAATAGATCTCAGGAGCTTATTCGCCCCTTCTGCCATGTGAGGACTCAGCCAGAAGATGTCTTCTGTGAACCAAGAAATAGGCTCTTGCTCAATCCATTAGTATTTGATCTCGTACTACTCAGCCTGCAAAACTGTGAGAAGTAAATTTCTGTTGTTTACAAGCTACCCAGTTTATGGAGTTTTGTTATAGCAGACTGAACAGACTAAGACAGCTTTCCCTTACATGTTGAATAAAATCCTACTCTCTACCCTGGTTCAGCCATCTCTTTGACTTCATTCTATACAACTCTCTCTCTCTCATTGCCACTATTCCCCAGTCGCACTGCCTTTCCTTCCACTGCTTGGATGTGCATCTTGCATTTTCTAGGTTTGGATTCACCTGCATGTGACAGAAAACTCCAAATAAAGATGACTTTCACTTATTGCTTCTTTCACTTTCCAATAAAAGAGATTCAGAGGTAACTAGTCCAGGGCTGGTATGATATTTCCACAATCATCAGGGTACCAGGTTTCTCCTATTTGTAGCTCTACCATTCTCTACACATGGCCTGTACTATGTGGTCCAAGAGGTCGGCTGGCGCTCCATCCATAACATTCACATTCCAGCCAGCAGGATGACCAAAAGGCCTTTGAAAACATGGATGTTTTTATCCCATTGGTCCAAACCCAGTGACAAGGGAAGCTGCATCAATAGTTCATTCCTTTTCATTACCGAGTAGTATTTCATGGTGTTTATATACCACACATTGTTTAACTATTCATCCTTTGAAGGATATTTAGGTTGCTTCTAGATTTTAGCTATAATAAATAAAACTGCTATAAATATTCATGTATAGGTTTTCATGTGAACGTAAGTTTTCCTTTTTCTGGGATAAATGCACCAAAGTGCAATTGCTGGATCATATGATAAGCACTTCTTTAGTTTTTTTTGTTTTTTGTATTTTTACAAAACTGCCATACTCTTTTTCTAAAGTAACTATCATTTTACATTTCCACTAGCAATGTATGAGTGATCTGGTTCCCCACATTCTTGCCAGCTTTTGGGGTTGTCACTATATTTTATTTTAGTTATTCTCATAGTGCTATGGGAACATTTCATTGTGATTTTACTTTGCATTTCCTTAATAGCTAAATATTTTGGACATCTTTCAATTTGCTTATTTTTCATCTCTATATCCTCTTCAGTGAAATGCCACTTTATGTCTTTTGCCCATTTTCTAATTGCCTTGTTTCTTTTTCTACTGTTGAGTTTAGAGAGTTCTTTATATATTTTAGACACAAGCCCTTTGTCAAATGTGTGGCAAATATTTTCTCTCAGTCTGTGGCTTGTCTTTTCATTTTCCTCATAGGGAGTTTCACAGAGCAAAAGTCTTTAATCTTGATAAGGTCCAATTTGGCATTTTCTCCTCTTATGGACTACACTTCTGGGGTCAAGTCTGAGTACTCTTAGCCTAGACCTAGGTCTCAAAGATATTGTCCTATTTTTTTTTCCTAAGAGTTTTATTGCTTTGCATTTTACATTTAAGTCCATGATCTATTAGGTCAAGGTTTATTTATTTTTACCTATTAATGTCCAAACGCTCCAGCAATAAAATATTTTAAACGGAATTGTTAAAGAGATGGTTGGCCCCCATCCCCCCACAACAGATACACACACACACAATGATGATTAACAAGAGCCAGAATAAGCTTACTAAAACCAAGTTAGGCCAAAGTATCTTCTTTTCTTCTTTTTTTTAAATAAGATCTATATGCTGGGAGATCCAGAGAATGCTAGCAAAATCAAATAAACTTAACACACATACTCCTAGATGGAAATATGGTGCTCAGGGAGTGAGATATAAGAGTCTCAATGTATTTGACACTTGTCATAGACTCTCTGGAGTAGAGCTGTGATTGTGGATGATATATTTTAAGACTACCTCAAGGTGTGTAAAGAAGAAAGACCAAATGTCTGTAGTTGTGTCTTTGGAGGAATGTTGAAGAGCCACGTATTACTTATTTCAGTCTCAATGGAACCTGGGAAACAATAAGCATAAAGAGGACATGAAGCAAATTTGAAATGTTTGGCAGGCCATCTCATGGAAGAAAAAAAGGATGGGTTCTGTACAGCTTAGGGGACAGCAATCTGTATGACAGCTAGATTTGGATGCTGTTATACAATCTAGGACAAGTGGGTAAAAGTTACTGAAAGCTGGATTTCAACTCAATGTAAGAAAAATCTCTCTAATACATTTTGCTAATAGATCATGGAATGCTCTAGCTCAAAACATAGTCCACTCTCCATCAATGTAATTATATGAGCTGTAAAGATAGGTTGACCCAGATGACCTCACAAGGCCAAAGGCAGAATTAGAAATGCTTCAATTTGAAGGAGAAGGGTTTTCTTATATGCTGGAGAAGTCAGGCAAGATTTCATAGTGTGGAGGGTGCACTTTAGGTTTCTTAAATAGTTAAAGGCTTCACACTTTGAAAACATGAAGGTAGGGATCTTTGCTAAGTGAAGAAATAGATACATGGTAGACCAAGATCACAACCTAAGTCTCTTTCCATGAAACCAACACACATGCACCTCTCCAACTACATTTTATATGGAATACGAAATGTTTGAAATAGAATGAGCCTCAGATGCCGTCACTTCTAATTTACCCATTTTATGGGGAGAAGAAACTTGGCTCATAAAAGATCAAATTTTTTACCAAAGGAATGCATCTTGTATCTAGTTTGTGACACATATACAGGTCTCCTTATTCCAAAAAGGTAGTATTTATTGGGTACTTTCTATGTCCAGAGTATTTCAAATGTTTTATGTAACTTAATCCTCACAACAATTTCATAACCTGGGTATTATTATTATGCCCATTTTGCAGATGAGAAAACCGAAGCTCAAAGAAGAAAAATTACTAGCCCCAAATGGCACAGAGAGCGAGTAGAAGAGCCAAGATTTAAACCTAGGATATCAATTCCTAAGATTATACATATTTTTAAACTTTTTAATTTTATGATTATATTGCTTTTAGTTACAAAAGTAATTCAAGTCTAATAGTGCAGAAGTGTATAATGAAAAAGTTAATAATCTGCCTCTCTCCTTTCCCAAAGCACTCTCCTTGGGGTAAACAATGTGTCCAATTTGATGAAAATGATTTTAGACTCTTCTCTCAGTATCACCCAAATCCTTGACCATTATGTTTGTGCTGCCTCCCTAGTTTAGTCTTCTTTCTAGTATAGCAAACTATCTCCAAATGAAAAAGACAAAGGAAAGGGGAAAATTTTAGAAACGGCTTAGTAACTAAACATCAAATGCTCATATTAGATTGATAATTAATAAAGACCCATCACATACCGAACTCACCTGAAGAGGAGGCGGTGATAAACATTTGCTGTTGAGATTTACCCTGATGAGTATGTATATTTAATTAAAATGAGAAGCTCTAAATATGTGTGTGACTGTGCTGTGAGAAAATCATTATTTTGCCTGAATAAAGAACAATTGTTCCTTGTATGACAGCCAGATTTGAATGCTATATTTCACCCTGGAAAATAAATGATCCTGGGTAATTGTAGAAAACTCTGAAAATAAGTATTTTCTAGTGAAAATTCTAAAGGGCTTTATCTAATGTGGTAACAAAGTGTATAACTCTGTTCTATCCTATCAAGAAGAAAGGTACTCTTTCCTTTTCAGAGGAAACCAATTTCCAATTGTCATGTGACAGCTACATTCAAATACCTTTTTCTATTCTGAGGAGGTGACAGACTGAACATGATGAAATTTGATCATTTTTTAAAATCTGAAGTTTAGGGAATAGTGCACAGTATAACCTCACAAACAAAAACACATTTTTAGGCTGAGTGTGGCGGCTCATACCTGTAATCCCAAAACTTTGGAAGGCCAAGGCAGGAGGATCACTTGAGCTTAGGAGTTTGAGACTAGCCTGGGCAACATAGCAAGACCCTGTCTCTACAAAAACCAAACCAAACCAAAATAAAAAAACACATTTTGATTGTTAGAGTTTTTCTTACCTGATTTATCACCCCATGTTACTTTTAAAATAAAAAAGTTACAAAATTATTCTTACATAGTACAATTCTTCCAAAATGTGCTATTTTCAATTTTTTAACCGAAAAGTTTGTCTGTAAAACTTTCTCTAGAATAACGCCTCCCTTCATGGTTTCAAACAGTTTAATAGCAGATCAAAATACAGGCTCAACATCAGCATATTGAGATGTATCCAAAATAGGAACACTTTTTTTGTGTCTAAAAATAAACTGCTACTGTTTCAATATGTGGAACAAATAAAATGGATTTGGAAGGGGAGCTCACAGCACTACTGTGTGACTGTTCTTTTCATTTATTCCTCATAAATTAAACAATGCAAATTTAGCAATAGTTTTGCCCAGTGGTTGCCAATTTGGGCACCAACTTTCTTGAAGAAATAGCCTGATTAGAAAATAATTGTACTTCTTCCTCGCTACTGTTACCATACCTGCACTTTTCATTTGCTATAAGGTACGGTGGCAAAACTGCATCTTTCAACCCTGCCTCTTTTATCTGATGTAGTGGATGACAGGTAATCTAGCTGAAAGTTCCGACAATTGCACCACCAGAAAAACACTGGCTGATGAAATCTGAGCAGTTATCACACTAACCATCACCTGTCAAGCCTCTTGCTTCAATTTAAGGGTGCATCAATTTTCTGAAGAGGAAATCAAGGGCAAAGAATAAAAGCGCTTCAGATAAACACTGACAAAGGCCCTTTCTGCCGTTTTTTAAAAAATTTATGATGGGATGTACTATCATAGGTTGCTCCGTGAGGTTTTATCAACTGTCCTGACACATCCCAGATAGCTCAGAATTCTTTGGCCATTGATGAAGTACTATACTTGCACTTACTGAAAGGGCAGAAGATTTCCAACTGAAAATTACTTTCACTAAATACCACAAAGATATTGAAGGCAGAGACAGCCTGGAGATGGAACAAATGACAGCTGCATATAACAATGAACCTCTCAGTTCTCGAGGCTGGCAGACAAGACTGATTAGAGTAAGAACATGAAATAATGTTTTCTTAAAGCCAGGGAGCATATTGTGTAAAGTGTCAGGTACAAAGAGTTCATATGTTCTTTGTGGTGAATTGGGAACGCCATGCTGCCAGCTGTATTACAGTGTGGCCTGTCACAGCTTCCAGACCAAGATTTTTTTCCTAAATCTATCTGGTTACCACACTCAAAATACACATGCAAGTAATGACGAAAGAAAAGATAAAGGGTTGGAGAAGTAAAAGATATAGTGAAACAGATTTTGTGAGGCGCTTGGAAATTAGTGCTTAACAAAATCAATCTGTTTGTCTTTGGAGATTGAAAGCCATCGGGCTGAGGTGCTGGGCCTTATCTATAATTCTCCTGGGATATCAGGAGAGAGTATTTTCAAGAGGGAACCAACGTGTGGAGTAAATATTAGTTTTGACTGGTCAAAATATTATATATTTATTGGTATAAACTAATAAAATATTAGTATAAACTAATAAAATAAAAAATAAAGCTAATATTTTATTAGTTGATATGGTCTGATATGAGGCCAACTCTGTGAAACATTCCCACTACTGATAGCTCTGACTTCTCTTCCATCCAATGGAACACAGACTTGGTGTATTCTAGAGGCTATTGGAGTTTTTGAAGGGAGAGCCAAGTACTCACTCTGTTGGTTTCTTCAAGTTGTGAGTCATTTGGGAGATAGACAAAACAGTCATGGATAAAAAATATCAGCTATATTAGCATTAAAGTGAGATTGGAGAACAAGGGTTGGACTCACCTGCCTCAGTAGGTTTACCAAGCAAAAAACGAGAGAATGGGGCCAATCTACAAGCTGGCAAGCCCTAAATAAAGGAGGCAAAAAGAGTGTAGACCACCTGCATGCAACTGAGCCTCTTTTCAATAGTCTCAATCCAGTAACCAGTCTCTCCTTTAGGACAGGATGAAAAGGAGGGCAGCGTATAAAAATAAAGACAGTATATTCTGAAAGAATGGACATTTGAATTTTGTGCACCAAAGCCCTACATTTCCCAGTGCCTTTGTTTGTTTATTGATTTCTTGGTCAGTTTGTTTTTGGTGGTGATGAAAGGAGAGTATTAGGAAGCGTATTTTGCCTTAGTCCAAGCCAAATTCCCCAATCCAGTTTTATCAGCAGTAAAACTACGTGATGTCCATATTTCTCCTCTCAAATCTTAGAGTAGAAAGCAGTATCACTAAATTGCCCAGTAGCTCAGACTTGCCCAGATATCAACTGGACATTTTCCCAGTGGCCTATGAGAGTGACTTGATTCAGTGGAAATTCAATCTATAATGGAAAAAATTTATTTTGGAACAGTGGTGCTTTAAGTCTGGCTCAGCTCTAGGAGGTTTTGTATAACAGTCATTGTACTATTGACAAATGATGTACCATTGATTAATGATTGACAAAATATAAAATCACTTCATTCATGAAAATGACCCAACAGAGGCAGTATTATTATTCCCCTTCACCCTAGAGAAATATTTCTGAGGAAAGATGAAAGAAAGGGAGGCAGGTGAAGCAAAAGACATGCAAAGCCCAGTCTTTCCCATTTACTATTAAGCTACCTGAAGAATGAAAATTGTAGCATAGTGTTTAAGAGCAGGAGTGCCAGATGTAGGCGGATCTCAGATTAAATAGGACCACCGCCTTCACTAGCTACTTTATGGCTTTGACAAATTAGTGAGCTACCCACGCCTCAATTCTTCCTTTCCAAAATGGAGATAATAACAGAATCTAACTTGTAGGGCTGTTATGAGGATTGAATTAGATATTGTATTTAAAATGTTTAACAAAATACCTGGAACAATGTGTAGGCCTGCAGTAAATGTCAGCTCTAATCGTTCTTAGCTCCCAGTAATATGTTGAGAGGCCATTGACCTTGAACTCATTTCTCCTCTAATAGAAGTAATTCCTAGAAGACCTTTTCCACTTTTTGAATCATGCAATGTGTCCCCAAAATACTCAGTTCCTTCAGGACAAAACATTAAAACAGACATATTCTAAATGGTGGTTTCACAACAGAAAAACCGTTGGTTGTTTTTGACCTGTCTGTGTAACAGATTTCTTATTTGCATTTTTCATGACACTTTGAATCCAAACCCCAGATATGTTTTGCTGTATTCTCTTGAATAGTGAAATGTCTCTATTATTCAAATGTAAAAGCAAGGTAGGGACTTCCCAAGACCTCATAGTTATCATCTTTACACATTCATTCTTCTTGCTCACATTTTCCCAAAGTGGAGTTCTGTCATAAGATGCCACTTTTTAAATTTACTTATTTCTTCTAAGAAGCTCAAAGCACTTACAGACATCTCATAAATTTGTGCAACATTTCTGTGACTAACAAATCAGCGAGGAGGAATAAAGTTGAAAAAAAATGAGGTACAGAGACAGCGGATGTTGACCAAGTTACCGGATGAAGCTATGCTAAGGTGGGGTACCTGCCAGGTCACTGAGCCTTTCACCTGAGCCTCCACTGTGGCTGGGCAGTGTGGGCATTCCCAAAGTGTGTGGCTATCTGATTTCAATATTCCTCAAAGTCCTTCTTATCATGACTCCTGCCTGTGCATGATGACCTCAATTAGGCTAAGATAAGAACCGATTTTACGTATTTTCTCCAGCACACCATTAGATAGGCTAGAAATGTTTGGTTTTGTCTGTTTTTGCATGATGAAGAAAGCAAATTAACAAATTTGAAAATTATTGGATAGATTGTTCATCGTCTCTATAAGGATAAACTCTTGGGATTCTTGCCCATTTTTCTCCAAAAAGGTGAGAAAAGAAGGGTTTTTTTCTGTTTTATTTTCATTTCTCATCATCATTTTAAAAATATCTTTTTTTGTGATAATCTTGTATTTTCTGACTATTTCCAGCCTCTTTATCCTAGAGATACTACACAAGAGTGAAAGGAAGACAGCAATTATGTTGAGACAAAACTGGGCTTAAGTACCACTTTGTTGGGCAATGTTCTTAATAGCACTAACCCTTGGTTTCTTGTTTGAAACTTAAGTTTGGTGGGATAATTAAATGAGATAACTCGAGGCAGACATACCCAAAAAATCACTTATGAATAGTCTCTTCATTTGCTCATTTTCCATCCTCTATTTAAGTATCACTGTTTCATTTTTTCCCCAAAGATCCTCTAATTGTATTTATGCTTGGATCAATCCATTTGGTTTTTGTTTGTTTGTCTGGGGGTGGGGGAGGAGGAGGGAATGCTTTTATCTATTTAAAGTGGCATTGCCACGGGGCGAGGTGGCTCACACCTGTAATCCCAGCACTTTAGGAGGCCCAGGCAGATGGATCATGAGGTCAAAACATCAAGACCATCCTGGCCAACATGGTGAAACCCCGTCTCTACTAAAAATACAAAAACTAGCTGAGCATGGTGGCAGGTGCCTGTAGTCCCTGCTACTTGGGAGGCTGAGGCAGGAGAATAGCTTGAACCCAGGAGGCAGAGGTTGCAGTGAGCCAAGATCGCGTCACTGCACTTCAACCTGGCAACAGAGCGAGAATCTGTCTCAAATAAAAAAAAATAATAAAGTGGCATTGCTTTCTTACAAAAGTTATGCAGAGCGCCAGTGACCTGGAGGTTGAACCTACAAATGTGCAATATTTATTTTGGAACAGTGGTGCTTATAGTCTGATTTGGCTCTAGGCAGTCTTTTATAATAGTCATTGTACTATTAATTTTGGCATAATGATGGGCAAAAAAATAGGAATCATCTCATTTATGAGTAAGAGTCATCAGAGATGGTATTATTTTTCCCCTCATCCTATTTTAATGTTGGTAATTAAGAATGGGGTGGCATAAGGCATTTTGTCCTGTCAAATTAATTTACAGATTAACAAAGCCTTGAGAATCATTGTTTTACAGCAATAATTACACTTTGGACAGAACTAGCAAAAATGAAGAACCAGGTATTTCTGTGATTATGTAAGTAGGAAAGCAAATTGACTAACTTCTCTCCTGTAAACAGCGTCCTCCTTGGGCAAGGAAGATGTTAGCAGTCATAAAACAAGGTGGGCCAATGGATTTTTCTTTTTATAGTGGCACATCAAAAATAAGACAGCTTTCTCTTTTCTGTGGCTTTGGGGTGGGGTACTCTTTCCATCTAATGGAATTAGAAAGTAAAATTATATTCTTTATATTGTATTTTAAGCTCTAGATGAAAGTTGCTATGTCAAGATAATTGATAATATAACCTGAGGTATTTCTTTCTATTGCTTCAAATTTTTGGGAATGCCCAGCAGGAAAGAAATAAATAAATCTGTTTTTCCACTCATAAAATACCTTGACTTTAATGCAGTTCTTTTCTTCATTTTTGGAACCTCAATATTTCCACCTTTGTTCAGGCAATTCCATTTCACTGCTCCTTCTACAAGTCATTTAGGACACAATGAAAAATATAAATTTACAACAACTTTGATCTTCATAATTTTTTTTTAGAAAGTGGTGTAATTGGTTAACACCTAGTAACAAGTTTTAGGGCCAAAACCATGGCAGAAAATTTTATCTAAAATGAATTCAAATTAATTTACACATTTTTATTATAAACAAATTGTGGTGGATACCTCTAATCCAGAAGACCAAGCATTCAAAATGTTCAGATTGAGTCAAAACAACACCTCTCCTAAAAATCAGTGAGACCCCCTTCCCTAAGAGAATTCTCTTCTCTTATAAGGAATGGCATTATAGGAGCAAGATCTACAGGGAATTCCTTTTTCTGCTTCCATCAGCTTCTGATTGGCATAGCCAGAGCTCAATGCAGCTTTGTTTGCTGCCACTGGTAATTATGACATCTATGACTAAAATGTGGAGGTTGACCTGCCTCACTTATCTTCAGTTAAAAAGCCTTCCTCAGGAAATGCCACCAACTGCACACATCAGTTTGTGAAAACTTACACGATTCTGACCACAGAATAAGCTATTTCTAAATCTTTGGCTAGAGTTAGGCCAAGTACAAAATCTGAATATAAAGAAGTACTGAATTCTCTTAATAAAAGAAACTGCTCTCCTAGAAATATGAAATGCGTGACCACTTTTTTTCTTCCTTAATCACCTAGAGGCTTGTGTTGAATTTGCACATGTGCCTGTCTCCTCCTGGGCCTGTGTTATACCTGCTTGCTCCTTATTTCTCTCCTCAGGTTGCATAATTAACTTTTTTATTCAGCAAAATTATTATATTTTTGTTATTCTAAAGCCCCATTTCAAATAAGAGATGCTAATGGTGCTCAGAATTGCCTAAGCTGAGCTCTCATGCACTTTAACACAAGCAGTTTTTTTTTTTTTAATATTTTTAAGTTCTGGGATACATGTACAGAATGTGCAGGTTCGTTACATAGGTATACACGTGCCATGGTGGTTTGCTGAACCCACCAATCTGTCATCTACATTAGGTATTTC
The DNA here is from genome assembly GCF_000001405.40 of Homo sapiens. Taxonomy (NCBI): domain Eukaryota; kingdom Metazoa; phylum Chordata; class Mammalia; order Primates; family Hominidae; genus Homo; species Homo sapiens. The sequence continues at coordinate 20,927,591 of NC_000007.14, read as the reverse complement.
TCCTAATGCTATCGCTCCCTAGCCCCCCACCCAAAACAGACCCCAGTGTGTGATATTCCCTTCCCTGTGTCCATGTGTTCTCATTGTTCAACTCCCACTTATGAGTGAGAACATGCAGTGTTTGGTTTGCTGTTCCTGTGTTAGTTTGCTGAGAATGATGGTTTCCAGCATCATCCATGTCCCTGCAAAGGACATGATCTCATCCTTTTTTATGGCTGCATAGTATTCCAAGGTATACATCTGCCACATTTTCTTTATCTAGTCTATCATTGATGGGCATTTAGGTTGGTTCCAAGTCTTTGCTATTGTGAACAGTGCTGCAATAAACATACATGTGCTTGTGTCTTTATAGTAGAATGATTTATAATCCTTTGGGTATATACCCAGTAATGAGGTTGCTGGGTCAAATGCTATTTCTGGTTCTAGATCCTTGAAGTATCACCACACTGTCTTCCACAATGGTTGAGCTAATTTACACTCCCATCAACACCACAAAAGTGTTCCTATTTCTCCACATCCTCTCCAGCATCTGTTGTTTCCTGACTTTTTAATCATTGCCATTCTAACTGGCATGAGATGGTATCTCATTGTGGTTTTGATTTGCATTTCTCTAATGACCAGTAATGATGAGCTTTTTTTCATGTTTGTTGGCTGCATAAATGTCTTCTTTTGAAAACCTAGCAAGTCAGGCCAACATTCAAATTCAGGAAATATAGAGAACACCACAAAGATACTCCTCAGGAAGAGCAACCCCAAGGCACATAATTGTCAGATTCACCAAGATTGAAATGAAGGAAAAAATATTAAGGGCAGCCAGAGAGAAAGCTTGTGTTACGCACAAAGGGAAGCCCATTAGACTAACAGTGTATCTCTTGGCAGAAACCCTACAAGCTGCAAGAGAGAGTGGGCCAATAAGCAACATTCTTAAAGAAAAGAATTTTCCACCCAGAATTTCATATCCAGCCAAACTAAGCTTCATAAGCGAAGGAGAAATAAAATCATTTATAGACAAGCAAATGCTGAGAGATCCTTTTACCCCCAGGCCTGCCTTACAAGAGCTCCTGAAGAAAGCACTAAATATGGAAAGGAAAAGCTGGTACCAGCCACTGCAAAAACATACCAAATTATAAAGATCATCAACACTATGAAGAAACTGCATCAACTAATGGGCAAAAATAACCAGCTAACATCATAATGACAGGATCAAATTTACACATAACAGTATTAACCTTAAATGTAAGTGGGCTAAATGACCCAATTAAAAGGCACAGACTGGCAAATTGGATAAAAAGTCAAGACCCATCGGTGTGCTGTATTCAGGAGACCCATCTCACGTGCAAAGACACACACGGGCTCAAAATAAAGGGATGGAGGAATATTTACCAAGCAAATGGAAAGTCAAAAAAAGCAGGGGTTGCAATCCTAGTTTCTGATAAAACAGACTTTAAACCAACAAAGATAAAAAAAAGACAAAGAGGGCCATTGCATGATGGTAAAGGGATCAATTCAACAAGAAGAGCTAACTATCCTAAATATATATACACCCAATACAGGAGCACCCAGGTACATAAAGCAAGCTCTTAGAGACCTAAAAAGAGACTTAGACTCCCACACAATAATAGTGGGAGACTTTAACACCACACTGTCAATAGTAGACAGATCAAACAGACAGAAAATTAAAAAGGATATTCAGGACTTGAACTCAGCTCTGGACCAAGTGGACCTGATAGATATCTACAAGAGCTCTCTACCCCAAATCAAAAAAATATACATTCTTCTTGGTGCCACATGGCATTTAATCTAAAATTGGTCACATGATTGGAAGTAAAACACTCCTCAGCATATGCAAAAGAACTGAAATCATAACAAACAGTCTCTCAGACCACAGTGTAATCAAATTAGAACTCAGAATTAAGAAACTCACTCAAAACCGCACAACTACGTGGAAATTGAACAACTTGCTGCTGAATGACTCTTGGGTAAATAATGAAATTAAGGCAGAAATTAAGAAGTTGTTTGAAACCAATGAGAGCAAAGAGACAATGTACCAGAATCTCTGGGACACAGTTACAGCAGTGTTTAGAGGAAAATTTATAGCACTAAATGCCCATGGGAGAAAGCAGGAAAGATCTAAAATCAATACCCTAACATCACAATTAAAAGAACTAGAGAAGCAAAAGCAAATAAATTCAAAAGCTAGCAGAAGACAAGAAATAACTAAGATCAGGGCAGAACTGAAGGAGACAGAGACACAAAAAACCCTTCAAAAAAATCAATGAATCCAGGAGCTGGGTTTTTTCTGGAAAAGATTAATAAAATAGACCGCAAGTCAGACTAATACAGACGAAAAGAGATAAGAACCAAACAGACACAATAAAAAATGATAAAGTGGCTATCACCACTGATCCCACAGAAATACAAACTACCATCAGAGAATACTATAAACACCTCTATGCAAAAAAACTAGAAAATCTAGAAGAAATGGATAAATTCCTGGACTCATACAACCTCCCAAGACTAACCTGGAAGAAGTTGAGTACCTTAATAAACCGATAACAAGTTCTGAAACTGAGGCAGTAATTAATAGCCTACCAACCAAAAAAAGCCCAGGACCAGACAGATTCACAGCTGAATTCTACCAGAGGTACAAAGAGGAGCTGGTGCCATTCCTTCTAAAACTATTCCAAACAATATAAAAAGGGAGACTTCTCCCTAACTCATTTTATGAGGCCAGCATCATCCTGATATCAAAACCAGGCAGAGACACATCATAAAAAGAGAATTTCAGGCCAATATCCCTGATGAACATCAATGTGAAAATCCTTAATAAAATACTGGCAAACCAAATCCAGCAGCACATCAAAAAGCTTATCCACCACGATCAAGTCAGCTTCATCCCCAGGATGCAAGGGTAGTTCAACATATGCAAATCAATAAACGTAATCCATCACATAAACAGAACCAACAACAAAAACCACATAATTATCTCAATAGATGCGAAAAGGCCTTCAATAACATTCAACACCCCTTCATGCTAAAAACTCTCAATCAACTAGGTATTGATGGAACATATCTCAAAATAATAAGAGCTATTTATGATAAACACACAGCCATTATCATACTGAATGGGCAAAAGCTGGAAGCATTCCCTTGAAAACCGGCACAAGACAAGGATACCCTGTCTCACCACTCCTACTCAACACAGTATTGGAAGTTCTGGCCAGGGCAATCAGGCAAGAGAAAGAAAGAAAGGGTATTCAAATAGTAAGAGAGGAAATCAAATTGTCTCTGTTTGCAGAAGACATGATTGTATATTTAGAAAACCCCATCATCTCAGCCCAAAATCTCCTTAAGCTGATAAGCAACTTCAGCAAAATCTCAGGATACAAAATCAATGTGCAAAAATGAGAAGCATTCCTATACAACAATAATAGAGAAACAGAGAGCCAAATCATGAGTAAACTCCCATTCACAATTGCTACAATGAAAATAAAATACCTAGGAATATAGCTTACAAAGGATGTGAAGGACCTCTTCAAGGAGAACTACAAACCACTGCTCAAGGAAATAAGAGAGGACACAAACAAATGGAAAAACATTCCATGATCATGGATAGAAAGAATCAATATCATGAATATGGCCATACTGCCCAAAGTAATTTATAGAATCAATACTATCCCCATCAAGCTACCATTGACTTTCTTCACAGAATTAGAAAAAACAACTTTAAATTTCATATGGAACCAAAAAAAGAGCCTGTATAGCCAAGACAATCCTAAACAAAAGAACAAAGCTGGAGGCATCATGCTACCTAACTTCAAACTACACTACAAGGCTACAGTAACCAAAACAGCATGGTACTGGTACCAAAACAGATATATAGACCAATGGAACAGCACAGAGGCCTCAGAAATAACACCAGACATCTACAACCATCTGATCTTTGACAAACCTGACAAAAACAAGAAATGGGGAAAGGATTCCCTATTTAATAAATGGTGTTGGGAAAACTGGCTAGCCATATGCAGAAAACTGAAACTGGATCCCTTCCTTACAACTTATACAAAAATTAACTCAAGATGGATTAAAGACTTAAACCTAAGACCTAAAACCATAAAAACCCTAGAAGAAAACCCAGGCAATACCATTCAGGACATAGGCATGGGTAAAAAGACTTCATGACTAAAACACCAAAAGCAATTGCAACAAAAGCCAAAATTGACAAATGGGATCTTATTAAACTAAAGAGCTTCTGCACAGCAAAAGAAACTATCATCAGAGTGAACAGGCAACCTACAGAATGGGAGAAAATTTTTGCAATCTGTCCATCTGACAAAGGGCTAATATCCAGAATCTACAAGGAGCTTAAACAAATTTACAAGAAAAAAAACAAACAACCCCATCAAAAAAATGGGTGAGGGATATGAACAGATAATTCTCAAAAGAAGACATTTATGCAGCCAACAAACATGAAAAAAAGCTCAATATCACTGATCATTAGAGAAATGCAAATCAAAGCCACAATGAGATACCATCTCATGCCAGTCACAATGGCGATTTTTAAAAAGTCAAGAAACAACAGACGCTGGTGAAGCTGTGGAGAAATAGGAACACTTTCACACTGTTGGTGGGAATGTAAATTAGTTCAACCATTGAGGAAGACAGTGTGGTGACTCCTCAAAGACCTAAAACCAGAAATACCATTTGACCCAGCAATCCATTACTGGGTAGATGGCCAAAGGAATATAAATCATTCTACTATAAAGATACATGTATGCATATGTTTACTGCAGCACTATTCACAATGGTAAAGATATGGAATCAACCAAATGCCTATCAATGATAGACTGGATAAAGAAAATGTGGTACATATACACTGTGGAATACTATGCAGCCATAAAAAGGAATGAGATCATGTCCTTTGCAGGGACATGGATGGAACTGAAAACCATTATCCTCAGCACACTAACACAGGAACAGAAAACTAAACACTGCATGTTCTCACTTATAAGTGGGAGCTGAAAAATGAGAACACATGAAAACATGGAGGAGAACAACACACACTGGGGCCTGACAGGGGGGCAGGGGGAGGAAGAGCATCAGTATAAAAAGCTAAGGCATGTGGGGCTTAATACCTAGGTGATGGGTTGATAGGTGCAGCAAACCACCATGGCACACGTTTACCTGTCGAACAAACCTGCACGTCCTGCACATGTATTAACTTAAAATTAAACTAACTTATCTAAAAAAGAAATTTTTGCTTAATACATGGAGGTTATTATTTTTAAGTTAATCATGATAATTTTGTATTCCAACATCCTCCTTCAATGTATAAAATTCCTCTTCAAAGAACAACCAGGCACTCAGAAAACAGTACAGTACTTGGTGGGATTACCGTAGATGTGAAATAAAAGAACAAATAGGGGAACCACCCTGTAGGAAAAGATGAGAGGTCTGATTTTTATTTTTCCTAGTACTTTTATTTTTCACGTTTGAGCTGGTTTCACACTTGTCCTCCCACACACACGTGCACACACACTCACCCAATTCATAGATGATGGGAAGGCTGTGGGTAGTTTAACAGGAATTACTGACTGGTTTATTTTTCCATGATGCTAGTTGTACATACTGAGTTGAGTGACGTGAGTTATAAACACGAAATTGCCTAGAAAGCACAAGAACCTTGGCTAATATTCACAGAGTAGAGTACAATGCTTTAATACAGCTAAATGATTTAATGACAAGTAGGGAATTACTATAAAATATAACGCTGGGGAAAGGCTGCAAGCAGCGCCTGCTGGCTACACTAAGAGATCCAAAATGGATTCCAGGAAGAGAGCACAATGCCCAGCTGCTGCGCTGGTTGCCTGTTCCTCCTATACTGTTATTACTGTTCAACAGTCCTGAAATCTGAATGACAGTGGCCTGAGCCCTTTCAAACAACAGAAAGAAGGTCAATTTTTGTAATGAGGAAATGGAAGTGGTGGCGCCGAAGATCACTGACCCTTACAGTTTCTTGTGTGATGAAGGAGCACTGAAGTGCACCAGGAAATTATGGTGTAGGGAAACAGTGACACCACCATCACAAAACACAGAACCAAGAAACAAGTAACAAATGCACTAAAATGTGCATAAATCAAATAGATGCTATCAACCCTGGGTTTATTCCTATTCTCAAACTGTGAAAAATTGGGCCCAACAGTTCTGCAAAGAAAGGACAAGGCAAAGGGCCAAAAATTAAGTTTGAGAGTCTAAAACGATACTCTTAACCAGGGATATATTTAAAATATTGGGCAACTAGATGGTCTAGGTACTGACGGATCAGAACAGATGCTGGTTGAGATGCTAGAGCAGGATCCATGAGGCCTACAGCCCTGCCTGGGATCACTTTGTTAATTCCCAGATCTAGGCTTGTTTTAGTTAGGGGTTCAGGGAGAAGCTGAGGCAGCTCAGGCAAAGAGGTGGTGGTGAGTGCACTTGGTGCTGGGCTAGTGGTTGCTCACCAATGGGTGCAAAATTATTTCATTATTTTAATATCTAGTACAGGCTACCAGTGCATTCCAGTGGAACATCAGCCACTATTCTAAATTCTGGTTGCATCTACACCAAACCTACTCAGACATTACTTTGTGGTGGAAAGCAAGGGAAGCATAGCTTCTTAGCAGGGCTTATTGAAAACTTGTGTTTGATATCTCATTGCCTTCTTCATGTTTCACGTTCTTCGGCATTATGCTATCACATCATCCTCATATTCAGAACCCAGGAGTTTCTAAACAAGGCAGGAGATGTGCTAAACTTGCTAACATAATTAATGAAGTTTATTTCACAGGGTAAGAATCTGATGCTTGATTATATGATGATTCAAGGAGCTCAAAAGACTTTTTTGTGAGGGCATCCTATACTTCTCTTGGGAATAAAGCAGAATTGTAATTCTGACCAGGTTAGATCAGACCTAACAACATTTATGGAGTTGACAGCTTTACATTTTTATTTAATTTTTATTGATCTAATAATTATGGTAATTTTAAGGGACAAAGTGGGAAATGTTGGCAAATGGGATATAGCATGAAGATTTGGAAATATCAAGACTTGAGAGGGGGTCAGCCGTGGTGGCTCCTGCCCCACCTAGCATGCCCTTCCTAGCACTTTGGGAAGCTGAGGCAGGAGGATCATTTGAGCTCAGGAGTTTGAGACCAGCCTGCCCAACACAGTGAGACACTGTCTCTATTTTTTTTTAAGATACAAAAAAAAAGAGTTGTAAGGGACATAAAGGCCAAGTATTAGTTATCTTGTAATATGGAGAAAACATGATCACTTCAAGATGATTCTACTGACAGTCGCTAAGACCTTAAGAGACACCTGGAAGGATAAGGAAACTGTAACAACAGCAATGATGTCCCTGAATTATTTTTCCCCATGTGACAATGGAGGAAAAGCCCAGCCTAGTTAAAAAAAAAAAAAAGGAGACACCCAGTCACCAAGAGGAAGCCAGGACACACGGCAGCAGTAGGACACAATGTACCACAAGCCTGGAATTTCATTCATAAACATCTAAAAGAAAGATTTAATGCCATGAGCTGAGCTTCCAAGCAGGTAAGTTTTCATAAGGAAAAAAAAGGTTTTTCAGGCTATAGACAGATGAATATTTCAGCCTAATTTTCAAAAATTGTTATCAAATCCTTGGAAAATGCCTTTATGGAGCTAGACACTATCTTTGACTTGAAGTACAATAAGCAAATGCAGAACAAGCATAGGGGTCGGTGGTGGAAATGGGTGAAGACATCATGTATATCTTCATCTACCTTGCAATGTACTAAAAATCAAAGTTTTTTTTTTTTTGAATAGTCAAAAGAAGATAACCTGAAGTTTAAACTTCTTTGAAATCTTAGCCTTCAAGAGGCATCTTCTCTGAGGCTACTCATAAAAGGAGGAGGAACAAAAATGACCATGAACTTGAAAAACTAGGTACCCTCTCATACATTTCAAGCTGACATCTTAAATTAATCATAAGTGAGAAGAGTTGTAAAGAATGTAATATTGACATTTTAAAATACAACTTTATCACTCTTTTCAATAAATTCAATGGAATATAAATGCCACAGTGATTTCACATCTACCAATGGATCACTGAAAAATAGGTTCAACTAATTCTTTTAAACAGTTGCCAATTTTGCATGACTCTTTCTTTCTGTTGAAATTGTGTTTTCACTCCTCTTTTTGCACACAATTTTATCTTACTGTAATAAGTGTTTAATATTTGAAAGTCTTTCATTGATTATGTTATCATACGTCTCTGCAACAACAACAACAAAAATATACACTGAAATTTTTAACTTAAAAAATGGCCTCCCATTATGAGGCTCTAAGCATTAGAGCCATCTGGATAGTTTTTATTGAAAGTATTAGCAATAGTCAATTTAACAAAACAATATAAATACTTCAAAAATATTGTTAGAGATTACTAAATATAAAAAATAAAATTTTATTGGGATTGCCTCTCCTTAAAAGATGGGGTTGATAATTATGGAGTCTTAATCAGAGTAGGCTTCTTCCATACACCAATAGATAAATTGTCCCTTTGGATGGTACCCTGGGAATTTTAAACCCTGGAGCTATTGTGATGTCTACAACTTTTTGGTGTAATGTAATCCCAGCACTGTGTTATTGAATGCCCCACTTTCCAGCACAGTTTCCAGTGCCCACAAGGTGCTCATTGATTGTTGGTTTTCTGGGTCTTCCACTGTTAGTTTTCTTGGTCTTCTTGTTTCTCATCCTTCCAGTTCCCATCCTTGTTGGGGAAACCACTAGCCTAACAACTATTCCATTTCCAAGGGCTTAATTTTAATAGGTTTTCTGAGATAAACAGGTATACATAGAATCTTCTCTTCATGTCACAGCATTTTCGTTACAGCAGGAAACAAAGATTTTTTTTAAAGGCTTATAGTATCGATGCACATTTAGTTAAGTGGTTAATGCAATATATACATATAAATTTCTAAGTCCAATTCTACTGAGAAATCAAGAAGTTCCATGTAAGAGCATTTAAATTACGACATTCATTGCAAAAATACACTACCGTCAAAAGCTCTATTTCTTTTCCAATGCTAAATGCTTACAGTATGTCAAGAAAGTAGAAACTGCACTTGCATATACAATACCTGAAACACTTGATTCATTTTAAAAGCCACAGATGGTGTTTCTGAAAATCTACTTTACCATTAGCATAAGTAGACGATGGTTTATTCACATGCAATGACTTCTGTGGCTACCCATGCCTGAGTGTACCACCCGCTACTGACACAGTCTGATTCTACACCTCTCCACTGGTCTCCCAATCTCTTGTCAGATGGTGAAAGGCACTCCCCTCTGCAGCAACATTTTTTAACTGGAAAAAATAATAGTAATAATAATAATGGCTGGTTTTCTTTCTTTAACCATAGATTATTTACCACTATTATTTTTTTGGCTATGATATTTCTGCTTCTTTCCTAAAGAAATGTGCAAAGTATTTAAAACCCCTTTAAAAAATAAATAACATTTTGTTTCAAAATACAGATGTTAGGAGAAGTTCTTTGTAAAGGCAAACTATTGCATTTTAAATGTCTTTATTTGTTAGAAGCCTTAATATAGCAACTCCGCAGTAATTGCTATTTTATAATCTCCTGAATATTGAACTCTTTATTATGCAAATTAATACTCTTTGGAGTATGCACTCGCCTAGCCATGGAGTTCTTTTTTGTTTACATATTTTACTTTTGCAGCTTTTGCCAGTCAGTGTAAAGAGGCATCTTGATATTTACTGATTCCAGGCATAAACAGATTTCTGCCAGACATGTGGCAGCTACGCTTCATGTTCTTTGTTTTTAAATTAAAGAAAGACATATGGCAGATTTGCAAAATGAGAAAGAAAAAATTTTTTTGGTAACAGCTACAAGTTTTCAGCAGAATTTTACTCTCATTATGACTGCAGAGCTCTGGGGCCATGCTATGACTCTGTAACCCATAGAAGACTGTGGTAGCATTAGAAGATGTATGAGATTGAACCATGTAGAACTGTCATTTCGGGAGTGAAAAGTGGCAAATGGTATGATTTCATATGGCTCAACCTAATAGTTGCTACATATGTGCCCTCTCCTCAGAGGACACTCCACAGCATAGACTTCCTCAGGAGACTGCAGAGGTACCACCCACCCCTCCCCGCCAGGAAATATTTTCTACATTTGGTGAAACTTCATAATACAATTAATTTAAATATTTTCATATATTCTACCAAATCATTTCATGAGTACAGACTTGCTGTTAAAGTAGGTATCTGTTTAATCGTGCACTGTCTTTCTTCTCCTGGGAGGAACAGACCCTTCCACACTTCAGGAAGCCTCAAGGAAGGTCAGTGATGCTGACCTCGGGCAGAAGTTTGAAGGAGTAAACAAAGCAGAATGAAATGAACTTACAAAAAAAAAAAAAATATGTTGAACTTCTTGAAGCCTGGTTCGTGATAGCTGTACTGGTCTAAAATTAATTCTACCTTGCATTTGTATTAGCACACCCAACAAGGTAAGCAAAGTGTTCTATTATTCCCATTTTACATATGAGGACGCTAAAGCTCCAAAATATTAAGCAACTAACTCAGGGTTACCAGTGAGGAAATGGCATAGCCGAGACTAGGATCCCATTCTGTCTGTCTCATAGTCGATTTCCTTGGAAAACAGTACTTGAACATTCAAAATACTGAAAAGAATACACGTCCAACTTCTTCTTTTAGTCCTCCTTTCTATCCTCCCCTCCTTAGTTCCCTGCCCACATGCTAATAAGGGAAAATGACCTCATTAGCGTGGCAGGCTGGATGGGACTCCACAGAGTCAAGCACTTCTCTACTTCTATGATAAGGCAAGAAATAAAAATGGTGAGAAACATATATTTCTTAGGACAGAAGAGAGGGTAAAATAGAAAGTAAGCCTTTTATAGATCTCATGAGAATGAAGATCAAGGATTTTTGTACCAGTGTCAGACAAAGAAAGGAAAGACCCTTTCCCTTTGGCAGAGAGAGCCACAGTATGAAGTTTCCAGGTTTTATTTCCATCATAGTAACATGAGCTGAGTCTACCCTGTGGACAAAGCCCTGTGATATAAAAGAAAGAACACACACCCTCACTGACCTAAGAAACGAGCTTAAACAAATGAAAAAATGCACACCAAAGAAACATATGAGAGTTTAAATACTTGGAATGACAGATGTCATAAGAGATTAGCCATAAAAACCTGAATAGAAATTGGCCCTCAAAAAGCTGGGAATTCTAAGGAGATGCTTAAAATTTCATATAATTGTCAATACTAGAGCAAAGCAAGATCAATACAACACACTTTTCTTTGAGAAAAAGTGCTTACCTGTTTGATGTGCCAAGTGGCCTGGAAATACCCAACAAAACTTAACTTTAAACTCTATTCATCTAGCTTCACCATAACATAACCGTCAATAAAAATAACCTGAATTTGTGTAGTAACTTTCCTCTGTGGACTCAAAGAAAAACACAGGAGAAAATGGTAGAATGTGTTTTAAATAAAGTCCATTATCTCTATCAAAAATATGCTGTAATCAGTACTTCCACTCCAAAGTGCCTTTTTAATTTTGCAATGATGTATAAAATTCTTGTCACATGTCAGAGTTAAATTAATTTTTAAAGTCAGCTAATTCTAAAGGCAGAAGACTCTCATCACTTTGTCTGCTTTTCTGTAAATATGATAGTTTTTGTTAGAAAGCACATTTACCCAGAATCCTATGGCCCCATGTTTCTGACTTTTTGTCCTAGATCAGTTTGTGTAGCCAGCTGTGTTTGTATGGACGTGGATAATAAACTTGACTCTTACCAAGAAAGTAAGATATGAAAGCTTTTGAGTTGTAAGAAATTTGTTTAAAAATAATATGTGGACTTATCCTGTCTCTGAAAACTCAGACATCCAGGCCACTGAAGCCTATGGAGAGAAAACAGCCCCTGACCTCTCCATGTTAATCTCTGGGTGGGCACAGGAGTTCAGGGATTTCGTGTGGGTCTCCTTTTGTAACCTGGCATGTAAATCCAGAAAATATAAATATACAAGTATTCCAACCAAACTTAGATCAACTTCAGAGTTTACTAAACAGAGAGTATCAGACAACTTGAAAATCTTAAATGTGTGTAAAACAATAAAAAATGTATTCATGCTTTGAATGTTTTTAAGTGGCTCAGGTGTCACTTCTAATTTTCATTGTGCACATTACCAAACTATTCTTGGCCAGAGCATTCTGGGGACCCTCAAACAGAGGTGAAACAATAAATCAACATTCTTCTTAGGTATAATGCAAAGGCCACTAGAACACCAAGCTTATATGTCACATCATGTATAAGTTCTTTTCTCTCCTCATTCATCAGATCTCAGTAATGTTCCACTGTGGGTGTCTCTCTCTCTCTCCCTTTGTGTATATCATAATCAATGCACACATATATTTTTATTTTCACTAGTCATATCTATCCCTCAGCCTAGTGTATTAAATTCCTAGGGCTGCCATAACAAAGTACCACACACCAGGTGGCCTAAAAAACAGAATGTTATTGCCTCCCAGTTTAGAGACTGGAAGTCTGAAATCAAGGTGTTGGCAGGGCCATTCTCCATCTAAACCCTGCCACTTGCCTCTTCCTGGTTTCTGGTGGTTTGCTGGCAATCTTTGGTTTTCCGTGGCTTGTTACATGCATCACTCCAATCCTTCGTCTTTACATGGCGTTCTTCCTGTGTGTCTGTTCAAATTTCCCCCCTTTAATCAGGACACCAGTCATGTTGGATTAGGTACCACCCTAATAACATCATCATCATCTGGTTAAATTTGCAAAGATTCTATTTCCAAATAAAGTCACATTCTGAGGCTAGAATGTATTTTTTTAGGGAGGGACACAATTTAACCCACCACATCTGGAATCAAGTGCTCATTTAAGAAGTAATTCACTATCTAAATAATCCATAACCTCTTTAAGGGCATAGTCTGTATCTTCCTCTTTGATTCTTTATGCCCAGTATAGTAGTTTGCATAAAGTAGGTATGTTATAAAACTTTACTGACTGCATTGAGAACGGGAAAAAAAATAATTCCAATGTTGAGATCCTAAACTCTAATCTCATAGGATGCCTCCCACTTCATGAATTCAGCATCGATTTTCAAATAGGTCAATGTACTGAACGGCTGGAGGGACAAGGAAGAATCCACGTCATGAGTCCTCACTCAGTGCAATCTCTGTTTCTGGTAGCGGCACCAGTAGTGAATATCCCACAGCACTGAATAATAATAGCTACCCATTATTATAGGCTTGCTGTTAAGCCAAGCATATGATTTATCATCTACATACAATTTATCATCTCATTTTATTCTCAAAATAACTCTAGGTGGAAGAAACTATTATTATTATTGTTCTCATTATTCCAATAAAGAACTAGATCTCAGTGCTAGAGAGCGTTGGAGGCAGAGGGCAAACACAGGTCTGTTTGCCTGTGCTCCCGCCCAGCGGGCACGCTGCCTACTGCATGAAAACGGACCCAGATGGGACTTGAAGAGCTGTGTCAAGACCCTTCTTGAAGAAGCTGCCATAGCAGTTAACAGAGGCCTCGTGGAATCTCCACGGCAGGAATCTGTGGTGATAGCAACTGGATTCTTTAAAGCAGAAACAATCCCCTTCTCGTCTGCCCGATGGAGCACAGTCCTGAGTTGATCTGCTGTCACATTTGCCTCCAGCTCAGGCCTAACGACTTCCTCTTTAAATCCTCAGCTGCCAGCATGTCGATGGTCTATGACCAGTCTTAAACCAATTTTATTTATTTTATTTTATTTTATTTTATTTTATTAGACAATGTCTGGCTCTGTCACCCAGGCTAGAGTGCGGTCGCACAATCTTGGCTCACTGCAACCTCCACCTCCTGAGCTCAAGTGATCCTCCCACCTTAGCCTCCTGAGTAGCTGGGACCACAGATGTGTGCCACCACGCCCAGTTAATTTTTTGTGTTTTTGGTACAGATGGGTCTCATGTTGGCCATGCTAGTCTCAAACTCCTGAGCTCAATTGATCCTCCTGCCTTAGCCTCCCAAAGTGCTGGGATTACAGGTGTGAGTCACTGTGCCCAGCCTGTCTTAACTCAATTTTAAAATGACATAAGCTCCTCCCAGGAGTGGGTGGCTGGAGATGCTGGCTCTGTCTTCTTCACCATGGTCACCATTTAACTTACAAACTCTAAATCAATTTTTAGAGCCTCACTATGTCATCTAACAGGGAGAGTGTTTGTGGTGAAAGAGACACATCCAGTTCCAGCCATTTCTTTAAAATGGAGGGAATCAAGGTTTAGAGTTAAGTAACTAGCCTAAGGTTAGCAGTGTCAGAACTAAAATCTAAGTATCCCCAATATCATGCAAATTCCCAGAGATGATGAAACATCAGGAGACGTTTCTGATTCTTAGTAGAATCAGAGGAGTTAAATTAGTATCATTACAACAGGCCTGCACCAGCCTCTCAGTGAATCAATCAACCAATCAGGTAATATCTTTTGATTGCCTATTATGTGTAAGACACTTTGTCAGATGGTGCAGATGATGCCAAGATCAATTTGACATTTTTGGCCCTGGAAACCAAACCTTCAGTTAGGATCCTAGGCTGGAGTTTGGAGCAGCTCCCCAAAATCTAATATGACCCGTCATCATAACCCATGTAATCCAGAGTCTTTTGACAGTACCAGCTAAGCCTAGATCACTTAGTGAATTTGCCCCTACTTGGCCAAGTCTGGGACCATGCAAGCAGGAAAAATAAAACAGACTTCGAAGGTGAACTGGATGTGAACCCCAGAACCATCACTTGCCCAAGGTAAGTTACTTACCTGTCTGAGTCCCTTTTCTCATCTATGAGAGTGGCATATTAAATATCAACTATGCAGGATGACAGAGGCCCTGAGATAGTGCTGTAAAATGCCTAACATTAAGTAGGCATTTAATAAAGAGCAGCTGTGGTATCATTGCTGTTATGATCAATAGCACCCAAATCACATCCTAGGTCCAGTTCTGAAACATACAGGTCTCTTGGGGCCCTCTAGATTTAAAGGGAAATACTCACGTTTGTAGAGACTTGAAAGAAGACTAATGGACAATTTCTATGGTAGGCTGGAACAAGGAGCAAGGACTGTTTTTCTCTCCATGTTCATGACTTCATCACACTCTACTGGCAGGTTGTATTAACAGGGATCTTGCTACCTTTTCAAGGTTGGAAAGCAATCCTTCCTGCTTCTGAGCCAGGTCCAGCTGTCATTACATGCTGTGGCCAGTGTTAGTTTTAACATCTTACAAGGATCATGGAGCTATTAGAAAGGTTTACAGAAGAGCGTGCTGATTTAAGGATTAAAATGTGTCATGGTGATAGTTAATTTTAATGTGTCAACTTGACTAGACTATGGGATGCCCACATATTTGGTGAAACATTATTTCTGGGTGAGTCTGTAAAGGTGTTTCACGATGCAATTTACATGTGAACTGGTAAACTAAGTAAAGCAGATTGCCCTCCCCAGTGTGGGTGGGCCTCATTCAGTCCCTTAGAGGCCTGAATAGAATAAGAGGCTGAGTATGAAAGAATTCTTTCTCTCTGCCTGTCTTCCAGCTGGGACACTGATCTCCTGCCTTCAGACTCAGACTTGACTGAAACTTATATCATTGTATCTCCTGCTTCTTAGGCCTTTGGACTTGGACTGGAATTATATTATGGGCTCTCATGGGTCTCCAGCTTGCTGACTGCAGATCTTGGGACTTCTCAGCCTCTCACACATGCCAATTCTTTTTTGTTTGTTTGGTTATGGAGACAGGGTCTCACGCTGCTGCCCAGGCTGGAGTGCAGTGGCGTGATCATGGCTCAGTGCAGCTTCGACCTCCCAGACTCAAGTGATCCTCCCACTTCAGCCTCCTGAGTAGCTAAGACTACAGGTACACTCCATCATGCCTGGCTGATTTTTGTATTTTTTGAAAAGATAGGGTTTTGCCACGTTGCCCAGGCTGGTCTCGAGCACCTGAGCTCAAGCGATCCGCCCTCCTCGGCCTCCCAAAGTGCCAAGTCACTGTGCCCTGCGAAGCCAATTCTTTACAGTAAATCAGTCTCTCTCTCTCTCAACTGGGGTGTGTGTTTGTGTGTGTATGTATGTATGTATGTATCTCCCATTGCTTCTGTTTCTCTAGAGAACCCAGACTAACACAATCAACTGTGAAAAATGGCAGATTGCATACTCCAGGAAACAAACAACAGGTGGCTTTGCCAGTGAGGCGCAAAAAGTGGAAGGTGTCTGTATGGGAGCAGCCGAGCAGTTGAGCACCATGAGGTGGAGGAAATGGGTTTAAACACCACAAACTAGCCAGAAGAAAGAGACCTGACAGCAAGAGTGATTCAGTGCTGCATCTCACTAACAAGAGTTAGCTTGTAAGGGGATACGAGATCTGGAAGAACTTGGGAGAACAGACCCTTTTTTGTTGAAAACTGAAGGGGGGATCTTGCCTAGAAGTAGAATTTGGGCTAAATCACTTCTTGAGTTTCTTTCTGATACTAAGATAGGTTTATTTAGCCATTTGGAAGTCCAGGGAAACTTCTAGAAACACTTAAGTGGAATGATTAAATACAGGCAAAAGAAGGAAATACTCATATAAATAAAAATCCAGGAGTTAGACAATTTGCTATCACTGGCCATGATTATTCTGTATTTATAAATAAATGTATACATCACTCAGACTAGAGGAAAGCACAGCTCAGAGAGTTCATTTTCTGGGAGCTACGATTCAATCACAGAATGCTTTACATATACTCTACCATTTTTCAAACTCTGCTGTTTGTACCTTAGGAGTCACTTAAGGGATCTTTCCTGGAGGAAGAGAATTTAAACAGAATTGGTGGCCCTTGTGGAGAGGAAGAGTTGGTATCCCCTTGGGTCTTCTAGAATTTGCATAGAATGACAAGGTAGAGAATGAGAAATACCCTTAGCATAGCAATTTTCATGTTCTACTTGTAGGACAGAAGGGTTGTATTTTAAATTTTTCTAATAGACTAGCTCTCCTAACCACCTTTGTCCATTATTCTATTCATGCAATCCATCATCAATGAATATATGAATATTTATGTGTCACTCTAATATCTATAGCACTTTAGCAGGCAATTCCCTTAAAGACTGCTGCAGTGTTCTATGAACAAATATCAGTGGGCTCCCATGACCCTCTTCTAGGCCAACTTTTAACCCGATTAATTGGAATTATAATATCACAAGGCAAAGTATAGTGGAGAAACAAAAATATGAGGCACAGTACCAAGACAGTGAGTTATGGACACAAGTGTGAGCCAGAATTCCAGCTCCCTTAACTAAGAAAGTGAATTTCATAGATGTGGTTCAGCGGAGGGTAAGATAAAAAAAAGTTAGCCTTAATACTAGTGGATTATTCCAGGAAATTCTTAAAGGTCTTCTTTGTTTTTACTTTCTATCTTAAGGAACATCTAAAAACTTTATATTGCCATGAGATAAAAGTCCAAGATTTTTGCTTCCCCACATTTTATGTACTGTTATTTTGTTTCCAACAATTTTATGTTTTATCAAGAGTTATGTGTAGACATCAGAGAAAGGGTTGTATGCGTGCCCCCTTGTCCTCACCTTTCCTCTCCGATTCTATAGAAAACAGAAGCCCAAGTCACTGAACTAAAATATGATTGGTAGGAAGAGGGCTCCAATCAGTTATTCCCATTTCCCATCCAAGGTCAGAACGAATTAAGACAAAAAAGGAGACTGGCAGATGGAGAATCCCTTTTCAAACTGTCAGCTTCATTACTGATCCATCACTGAGGAACAGTGCTAAGATGTGTGAGCACTGCTGGATTCCTGTATTGCAGTCTAGAATTTGGCCAGGCCGGTTACCAAGTACTAGCATAGGGGCAGATGGCTTTACTGCACTGCAGATAACAGCTGAATGTGCTCAGCCTGTAGAAGGGAAAATTCAAAAATGGGTGCTTGGCAGGGATGAAACCATACAGGTATGCATCTATAGTTCATCAATTCCATGTGTCCCTGTCAGCCATATCTCCTTTCTTGGAAAAATGGAAATGAAGGGGCAGAGAAAGGTCAGGAGTGTGTCTCTAAACTAGTGGTTCTCAAAGTGTGTTCCAAAGACCAGCAACATAAGCAGCAGCTGGGCACTTACGAGAAATGCAAATTCTCAGGCCCCACTCCAGGAATTAAGAACAGAGGTCTGTGTTTACAAGCCATCCAGGTGATTCTGATGCTTCCTAAGGTTTGAGAACCACCACTCTAAAGAGTGAATTACTTGGAGCCTTTTTAAATGTCCAGTTGCCTACGCCCTATTTCAGATGAATTAAATCAGAATCTCTGGGATGGGACCAGGTGGTGATTAAATATGAAGGCTTTCTGAACATAGCAGATATTTGAAACTAGCTGAATCATGCGCACATTTGTGAGTCTGAAGAAACCTTTCCCCCACCTACATTGCCAGGAATCTCTCTCCAGCAGTTGCTTAAATGAGTAGTTCTCAACTCTGGGCAATTTTGCCCCCTGCCCCCAGGGTACATTTGGCAATGTCCGAAGGCAGTTTTGATTAGCATGACTAGCAGAGAGTGTGCAACTGGCACGCGGCAGGAAGAGACCAGGAATGCTGCTACGATACTGCAATACACAGGCTAGACTTCTGCACAAGGGAGAATTATTCAGTACAACATGTCAATAGTGCTTGGGTTGAGAAATTCTGTTCTATGGCATATATTTCGGAGCCTACTAAATAATTGTACATATCAACATTTGGATGTAATAAAACTGCATTTTAAAATGATTTACAAAACCCTATCCTATAAATCAAGCTAAGTTTTCTCTGTTTAGGGTAAATGAAAGAGGTTATGGATCTTTAATCAACATTTTTTTCGGTCATCCCCTTCATGATTCCATTTCAGTGCAGATGTCTAGACTACAGGCTGACAAGGGCTATCTGCCACGTCTCTTTTCTCACTTTGTAAAACACCTTACACAATGGCCCATGTAGACAGGCACTTGATAGATGCTATTTGATAATTACTAGATTGGCATTTCCTAGTTGGAAAATGCAACTCTTTTAAATGCTAGTGGCACCTTATGTCCTCTTAGTATAATTTCAAAACCATCTCATTATATGCAACCTTTCTATGCCAGGGTTCTGTAATTCTGCAGGTAACATTTCTTGCCACAGCATTGGAATTCCAGAGTGGCCTCCTGTCAAGTGTTCTCAGGTGATCTCAATGTGCTGGGCTCCCTGAACATACCTTTCTCTTCTCTTTCATTTAGCACTTTGAGGAGAATATTGACACACTTCCTGCTAAATATATCCTATTTGGGGTTGCCAGATAAAGTAGAAAATTCCCAATTAAACCTGAATATCATATAAATAATGAATAATATTTTAGCATAAGTATATCCCAAATATTTCTTGGGACATATTAATACTTTTTTTAAAAATCACAGCTATTCATTGTTTATCTGATTTCCAAATTTAACTGGGCATTTTGCTTTTTTGGTCTTTTTAGCTTTTTTGTTTTATTTGTTTTGGTTTGCTAAATCTGGCAACACTAAAGATATTCAGAATTTCATGGACATTTTATGACTTCTCCTTTAGTATATATCATCTCTGTGAAAAAATTTCTGTTATTTTTTCAGTAAAATTACTAAATACTTTTATATTAGGATATTAGGATAAGAGCTGATATTTAGATGGTACACTCCAGAATAGCCATACTAGTTGTTAAAATATTAATATCTCCCGTACCTATTAGGGATAGACACTGCTCTGAGTTTTTTAAGCAGCCCTTCAACTACTCCTTTTGTGTCAGCACTAAAGGGTTAACACCTGGCACTGGGCGGGGCATCTTCGAGACTCAGCTCAGGCACCTCTCCTGATGTCTCTTCTGATTGGTCAGTGCCCAGACAAACTATTGTTACATATTTTTCCTATCAGTACTAAGTGCAACTCTTAATTTAAAGCACATAAATGATTTCCCAAAAATAAAAATCCCAGTGCAGTCATACTTACATTTCATATATATATTTGAATAAACATATTTTCAAAGTTATGTACCCCTTCATTTCCTTTTACCATCAAGTTTTCTCCCCATCTTTCTCCTTTCTAAGTAAACAGTGATGGTGCCTCCTTTTTCGAGGTTGCTTTTGCTACCATAACAATTCTCCAGCTTTCCCAAGGGATTAGCCATGGTGCGATTTACTTTTCAAGGAGGGCCCATTTATCTTCTCCCTGACAAATTTCAACACATGCACAGCTCTAGCATGAACATTTCTGCAGATTAATCCCTCACCCTTCTCAAAGAGAAGAATTATTCTTAAACAATCTATTTCAATACAGAGTTCCTGGTGTGAAGTTAACTTCCACAAACCTTGTGAGCATGCCACCAAAACACCATCTCAGTTATTCACTGAGAACAACAGAAGCCCTCTGGCTTGTAGTTTTTCATCCTTATTGTTTAAATGTAAACAGGAAAGACAGGCCAAAGCATGCTTTTTAAAAAATCAGTGTTTCCTGCACGAACTTGGAATGGTTTCTATGTACAACAGCCTGTGGTCATTAACTATCAATAAATATTTACTCAGCATCTACTATGCAATCTCTACATGTACATAACATGCTATGAAATGAATAGTTATAGTTTACTTATACATATAATCAGATAATATGTAGCTTTGGAGAAGAGCTATGCAAAATCAGCTATGTGTTCAAATCAGTATGCTAAAGACTCAAAGAGATAATAGTGCTTTATAAAACATGCCTGTATTTTGCTGTAAGAAGACATTAACACTTGATTATTAGGAACAGCTAAAAAGTATTTAATAAGGTAAGTACAGAGTAATATACTCTGAAAAAATTACGAGGCACCATGAATACATGATGGGGAACAGCAAGCATGAACAAATAAAATAGAAAGAGAACTATTTTATGTTCTCTTTATGTTTGGCTGTGGTTGGCCACAGCCGAATATGAATCAGCAATTCAGTGCTATTGTGATAAAAGTCAATATGATACCAGCACAAATCAATAGGAGTAAAGTAGGCAAGGCTGAAACATAATTCTTCTTCTCTCCTCCCCATTAGTCAAAGGGAAGAAAGTATCCTGTTTTGGACAGCACACTGAAAAAACTGCAGAACCCAACCGCATTCAAAGAAGAGAGAGCAGACTAGCTAAAGGGATGAAAAAGAAGTCAGGCAAGGTGAGGCCAAGCACTTTTAAGAAGTGGCTCCAGGGTGACTCAAAGGCTGTTTTTGAGTATCTAGAGTTTTTGAGGATCATTCTGGCCAGGGATTCTGATGATAGTCATTCAAATAAGGAAATAAATTATTATTCTAAAATGAACCATAGAGGAATTGCTGCTAGACACAAAGAAACTCTTACCTGGACAACAGGACAATGAAAAAGACAAGTAGAGATTGCCCCCAAGAAAAAGATTGCTGAGTGGTCTCTTTATTTTTTGAATTGAAGATGTTTTAATGCTAATCTTTATGAATTAATTATTCACATGAAGGTTAGGTGATCCCTTACAGTCTTGTTCAACCATATTATAACTGTGCACAGACTACAAGACTCACACATCTGCATGTTAAATGAAACTTATAATGAGGTGCCTGGAGTCCAGTAGAGCAAAGGCAAGCTGGGAAGAGCTGGAATATATTCTACAGCAATTTCTCAACAAACACACATCACTAATATAAAAGCAGGCCATGCCCCTCTCCTGTGGACACCTACATATTCCCAAATTCCCCACTTCTGTTCCTGACCCAGGCAGTCAGCCACACAATAATAGCATAAGAACTAGATCTAACTATGTTCTAGATCATCTGGCAAATTTGCCATTGGTCAAGGAAATTATGTGTGATCAATGTTAATACGTGGCATGCACATTTTTGTTATTGCATAATAGAAAAATCATGCTCATAAATTGACTTTCTGGAAAATTACCTTTTTATGGTTCAATTTTATAATTTCATAAATGTTAAGACCACATTAAATAGGGCAGCAAGAAGGTGGTCTGTTATGATGCAGCCACAGCTTTTCTCTTCAGGAGTCCCTCAAAGATCTTTTTTATTATTATTATTTATTTTAGCATTCATTATTGTACTCTTTATTTTAGACAATCTGGTAGGTGTATAGTGGTTTCTCATTATGTTTTTCTTTTCTTCAACTTTTATTTTAAGTTCAGGGGTCCATGTGCAGGACGTGCAGGTTTGTTACATGGGTAAATGTGTGCCATGGTGGTTGGTTGCACAGATCAACCCATCGCCTACGTATTAAGCCCAGCATCCATTAGTTATTCTTCCTGATGTTCTTCCTCCTCACCCTCCACCCTCTGACAGGCCCCAGTGTGTGTTGTTCCCTCACATGTGTCCACGTGTTCTCATCTTAAGAACATTTTTAAATATCATAAAGAAAATAATAGCACCTTCATCTTCCATTTTATTTTTCTCTCTTCTTGAAACTGCCTTACTTTTACACATTAATATTATGTTCATGTGAATATTACGATACTCATACAAGGATTGGTAGACTCCACAGCCTGGATCATATTTTTAAGGTGATAGAGAATGTTATTTTGCTGCAGAGGATTGTATCAATGATTGTGCATATCACGTGCTAGAACCTAGCAGGTTTATATATAGCATATACTTGCTAGAACCCTAACAGGTTTTAGCTAGAATATGCGACTTCACATTACAAGCTCTTCGGTATTTGAGAATTGTGCCTAGTCTTAGATAAAATGAGCTAGGAATTAGCTCAAATTTTATCTGCACTAATATTTTAACACATACTTGTTATTTTGGCACATAAGATCTGTTCTTGCAGTAATCTCACACATACTCATTCGATGGTCTAAGTAACAATCCCTTTCTAACCTATTGTGGCTTAATATGGAACAGTTGCATGTGAAGAAGTGGAGCCGTAAGAAATATCCTGCTCTTCTCCCATTTATATTTCCACTCTTGTTTTCCCGGGGCTTCCTAAAGAAACATCTTGGCAACTCCCATATGCCAGCTACTGCTGAGTATTAAAAAGAACTCAGAATTAAAACAAGTAACTGTGGGCATAGTGACTACTTGTACCCGGGAAGTACTGAATGCTTATGACAACAGTTCAGACATTGTATTTGACACCCTGTGAAGATGCAAAAATAATTCAGAAACAGATTCAACTTGAACAATTTGAATTCTGGTATTTGAAATACTGATTTTCAAAATTAGCGTTTAAGCCAAGTGTGGTGGCTCACACCTGTCATCCCAGCACTTTGGAAGACTGAGGTGGGAGGATTACTTGAGCCCGGGTGTTTGAGACTAGCCTGGGCAGCACAGTGAGACAACGTCTCTTCAAAAAAAAAAAAAAAAAAAAATTTTTTTTTAATTAAAAAAATTACCTGGGCCAAGTTGTGCCCACCTGTAGTCCCAGCAACTCTGGAGGATGAGGCAGGAGAATCGCTTGAGCCCAGGAGCATCAGGCTGCAGTGAGCCATGATCGTGCCACTGCATTGTAGCCTGGGCCACAGAGCAAGACCCCGTCTCTAGAAAAAAAAAATCAAAATCAGCATTTCATTTTCAACCACACTTTTCGTGCTTATAATAACCTACAGTTGAGAGTACAAATTATTTGTATCTTGAGATAACCTCAATTATCTTAACACTCAGGTGTTCATATAAAGTATTCCCAGTTCAAAACCTATACAAATAATAAATGTTTAGAAAATACTATGAGCAAATAGAGTTACATGGTATTTTTCTCACGATATCAAATTATGGAATTGTATTTATTGGGAAAGATATTTCTTTTTACTCACCAACCTTCACCACTGAGAATCTTAATGGAGGATGTGTGAAGCCAGCAGTCTGGCTTACATATTGTGACTTCCCCCTGAGCAGCAGCTGGGAAAAACAGTGTAACATATGTTTCTGCATTAATGTATAGAATTTTTCAGACAGGTGTCCTAGTGTGGTCCATTCTCTTATATCTTATAGAAAAGACATAATACCCATAAGGGGTTAAATAAGGGGACACTTAACTAAAACTATTGGGTGACAGTATCCTGGGTCAGAGACTGAAATGCAAGTCCTTGTATTTTCAACTCTTTCCCTTTTATTCACTTTTGCGTTTTTGTCATATTCTGTCTCATAGGTATATACTTTTAAAAATCAGGTGCAAAACCATAATTGTCAGCTAAGCTTTCCCAATTAGCCCTTGCTACAGTTACTTCGGGCAGCTCTTTCAAGCACCAAAGTACCTAAGCCTGAAGTTCTGGTCAACAATTTAGTACATTTTGATTTTCAGAAAAAAAAAATCACACATTGTCATTAGGCAGTAAATTCTAGGTTCTAACTCTGGGATTGTTAACCTAAATGTATGTCACATTGGCACAGTCCTAAAATTCAAGCTATGTATTCTGAATGCACAAGATAGAAAGACTTTGGTCTGCAAATGAGTTCGAGGAATCAGTTATACTTTGTAAATGCAACATCCTAAACAGAGATTTTAATTTTCAACCCAAGTACACATTTCTTTCCCTGTTTTCTGATGGTTCAGACTAGTGACAGACCTCCACTTAAAATCATTTCTTTTTTATTGTTCCCTAAGATCCATTAAAACACAAAATTTCCTGAAGCCAAGTCATCAAACCACCATGTCTTAGTTTTCTACTGCTGCTGTAATAAATTTCCAAACACTTAATGGTTTCAATAATACAAATGTATTATCTTACTGTTCTGGAAGTCAGAAACCTGAAATGAGGGTTAAATTCAAAGTATCAGTAGTGCTGCATTCTTTGTGGAGGTTCCAGAGGAGAATTTGTTTCCTTAGCTTTTCCAGCTAAAGGCTGCCTACATTCCTTAGCTCATGGCCTCTTCTACCCTCTTCAACACTTAGCACTTCAGCCTCTGCACCCACCATCCCATCTCCTTCTGCCTTTAATCCCCTGCTTCCCATTTATAAGGACCCCTGTGATTACCCACCCAGATAATCCAGGATAATCTCCCCGTTGCAAAATCTTTAACTTAATCAAATTAGCTGTATTAGTCTGTTGCTGATAAAGACAGATCCGAGACTAGGAACAAAAAGAGGTTTAACAGACTTACAGTTCCATATGGCTAGGGAGGCCTCACAATCATGGTGGAAGGCAAAGAGGAGCAAGTCACATCTTACATGGATGGCAGCAGGCAAAAAGTGAGCTTGTGCAGGGAAACTTCACCTTATAATACTGTTATATTTCATGAGACTTATTCACTGTCATGAGAACGGCACAGGAAAGACTTGTCCCCATGATTTAATTACCTCCTGCCAGGTGCCTCCCACAACACATGAGAATTCAAGATGAGATTTGGGTGGGGACACAGCAAACCAGGCCATCAGCCAAGTCTCTTTTGTTATCTAAGGCAACACAGTGACAGGTTTTGGAGAATTAGGACCTGGATATCTTTGATGGGTTATTATTTAGCCTACCATATACCATTTTACTTAAAATGCCACCCCTTTTTGAGTATTCTTCAGCTACTAAATTTTAATTTACATTTCGAGAAAAAAATCACACACCAAAAAAGAACATACATTATGTATATGTTCAGTTAAGAACAATACAGCAGCCATGTTCCTACCACCAGCCAAACACAGAGCATTACCAGGATGCTTGAAGATATCTCTGTGATGTCCTGGATCTCAGCCTTCTTCCTCTCAAACCAGAGGTAACCTCTATCCTGCCTTTGCTCTTTCTTACGTGTTTCTTACCTTTGTGTATAATCCTTAACAGTATGATGTTTAGTTTTAGAATCATGCTATGTATGTTTTTTTTCACTTATACTTTTTTTCACTTGACGTTTTATGAAATATATCCTTGTCACTCTGGGTAGCTGTTGCTGACTCACCCATTCTTTTACCACTTTCCAGTGTTCCATTATGTTATTTTATGATAATGACTTGTCACTTCCTATTATGGATGTACATTCAAGTAGTTCCCTTTTTTCGTGAACATGGATCGTGCTGCCATGGACATATTTCTGTAGGACTCCTGTACACATCTGCAAGGCTTTCTAGGAGTAGAATTGCCGGGTCATAATATCTCACCTTTACTAGGACAATCAGGCAGGTTCTTGATAGGAAACAGAGGCAAAGGCAGGGTTAAAGAACTACAAGAGATGTTGATAAACCTAATGGGAAAATATGGGAAGGAATTACCACTGCTAGGCCTGAAGATGGTAATTCAGGTCTAGTGGCGGTAATTCCAAAGAAAACAGAGATTGTTGCTGAAACTCAGTGACAGCTGGACCTTTGAAGAAAGGGGCCATTAGCAAAAGATGTAAGTGAAGAAAGACAGACATGGCCAGATGAAGAAAAACATACTTCAAACTCTCTTCTGCCCTCTGGTCTCCTGCCATTGCTTTCCATTAGCCAAGACCAACCAGAAGCAAAGCAGTCCAGCTGATGCAGTCCTCAGCATCAGCCTTCCAGAGCCTAGAGCAGGAAAAAGCAGGGCAGAGAATGAATCTGACGGTAGAGAATAATCAGCACATGAGCCAAATAGCTTTCCAAAGTGATTATGCCAATTTATACTTCCACCAGCATTGCATGATAGTTCCCACTACCACATGGCTGTGGACTGAATTGTGTGCCCACCACCCCAAATTCAAATGTTGAAGCCCTAGCCCCCAATGCAATGGTATTTGGAGATGGAGCCTTTGCGGGGTAATTAGGTTTAAATGAGTTTATGAGGATGGGGACCTCACTGTGGGGTTAGTGCCCTTATGAGAAGAGAGCCATGTGAGGACACGGCAAGAAGGTGGTTGTCTGCAAGCCGGAAAGAGGGGCCTTACCAGCAACTGTCCATGCTGGCACCTCGATCTTGGATTTCCAGCCTTCAGAACTGTGAGGAAAAAAAATTCTGCTGTTTAAGCCTTGCAGCCATACAAATATTTTGTTATGGCAACCCAAGCAGTCTAAGACATATACACACCTGCCAGCATTTTACATTAGAAAATATTTGGAGGCAGGCACAGTGGTTCATGTCTGTAATCTCAACACTTTTGGAGGCCAAGGCAGGAGGACTGCTTGAGCCCAGGAGTTTGAGGTCATCCTGGGCAACTTTGGGAGACCCTGGTCTTTACAAAAAATTAAAAATAATTAGCCGAGGCTGCAGTGAGCATGATCATGCCACTGTGCTCCAGCCTGGGGGACAGAGTGAGATCCTGTCTCAAAAAAATAAAAATAAATTTAAAAAAAGACCAGGCACAGTGGCTCACACCTGTAATCCCAGAACTTTGGGAGGTCAAGGCAGGTAGATCACTTGAGGTCAGGAGTTCAAGAGCAGCCTGGCCAACATGGTGAAACCCCGACTCTACTAAAAAAATACAAAAATTAGCCAGGCATGGTGGTGTGTGCCTGTAGTCCCAGCTACTCGGGAGGCTGAGGCAGGAGAATCACTTGAACCTGCGAGGCAGAGGCTGCAGTAAGCCCAGATCGCACCACTGCACTCCAGCCTGGGTGACAGAGCAAGACTCTGTCTTAACAAACAAACCAAAAAAAATTAAACAAAATAAAACGATGTTCAGAATGTTTCCAATCTGGTGAGTGTTAAATGATCTCATTGTTGCTTTTATTTGTATTTTCCTGGTTTCTGATAATGTTAAGTATATTTTTATATGTTTATTAGCTAATCCTCTTTCTATTCCATAAAAAACTTATTTCTTTTGCCACTTTTCTATTTGTAATTTGTATTTTTCTGATCAATTTGTGAGTGTTCTTTATGTATTTTATATATTATTCTTTGTTTTTTATTAGGGTTTACAGTACATAGGGTTAGATTTCTTTTTATGTATCTTTCTGGGATATGTTTAGACTTTCTAAATTTAAAGATTGGTGTGTCTTATTGTCATAGTCATTATCTCTTGGAATATTGTTTATTCTTCATTTTCCTCTCCTCTCTCGTAGACCTCTGATTAGATCTATATTAAGCCTTCCACTCTTTCCTCTATGTCTCTTAACCTCTCGTTCACCCATCACTCTTGGTAATTTATTAAGACTGAGATTTCAGTTCAATAATTTTATCTTCTGCTGTGTCTAATCTGATGTTTAACACAACTGTTATTTTCTAGTCTCAATTTTTGCAGTTTTCATTTTTAGAAGTTCTACTTTGTTCTTTTTCAAAAGTGTCTGATTATTTTTCTTTTATTTCTTCATCATACCTTGAGAGTCTTTTATTATTTTTAATGTATTAATCTTTTGTTTCTGCTAATTCCAAAATCTATACTTTCTGTGGGTCTCTTTGTATAGTTTTTGTTTATTATTATTATTATTTATTTTTTTTTTTTTTGAGACGGAGTCTCACTCTGTTGCCCATGCTAGAGTGCCATGGTGAGATCTCGGCTCACTGCAACCTATGCCTCCTGGGTTCAAGCGACTCTCCTGCCTCAGCCTCCTGAGTAGCTGGGACTACAGTGGCCGCCACCATGCCTGGCTAATTTTTGTATTTTTTTTTTAGTACAGACAGGGTTTCACCATATTGACCAGGCTGGTCTGGAACTCCTGACCTCTCGTGATCCGCCTGCCTTGGCCTCCCAAAGTGCTGGGATTATAGGTGTGAGCCACCACGCCTGGCCTATTTATTGTTTTTTAATGCAGACTCTCATGCATAGTGGTTTGTTTTGTTATATGCTTGTGATTATTATAAGCTCATATTTCCTGGAACTTTATTTATGGGAAATATTATGGTCTGGATTTAAATTTTGTTGCTCCAAAATGTATTCGCATTTGTCTCTTCCAGGAAAAACAGACCCTCTCAGCCTGGAATCCCTTTAAACTATAAGTCAGCCTGAGTTTTTATCTCTTTTTCCCCCCCACAGTAGTGTAATAGTATAAACTCCGGCCCTAAAGCCTTAGGAGGATGGGCTTGTGAGAATCAATTCTAAAAGGACACTTTCTTTTTAACTCTTTACCTAAGGCCAGGATCAATATAGGCAAGTATCTCTACGTTCTCTCCCTGGGAGAAACAGTTACAGGTCACTCTCTGAACACCCTTTTGGTGTTCCTTCACCAGTCTGCAACCAAACTCTCATTGTTTTGTCCTCAGACATTGCCTCTCGTCTTCCTACAGATGTAGTCCGAGCTCCCATGCCTGCAGAGATCAACTGATGTCTCAGGGCAGACTGGTTTCAATGCTGGCTCCATTTTTAGCATCCTTAACTTATCTTTGTTCCTAGCCTCCAAGGACTTTTCTTACTTTCCATTGAATCAAGCCATGCATTTAAATTATTATTTTAAAAAATTTATCCAGCATTCTTATAAGTTCTCTACTAGGAAAATGTCTCCAAATCTTTAGCCCATCTTAAATTAATTCCCTTAAAATCAAACATAAAAGAATAAGTCTTTAGATTTTAAAAAGTGCTTAAAATATTGAAAAGTACGGTAGATAAATATGTATATCTATGTAGATATAGGTACTATATAGATATAAATATGTAGATATAGATGTACATACAAAATAAAAGTGTACAAAACGGTTCTATCAATTATAAAGGGCATAATATTAAGCAGCATTGCCTAAGACAAACTAAGTGTTTTATTGGTTAATTCTAAGAATTTATAAAGAGGGAGAGAGAGGGAAAGAGAAAGAGCCAGTAAGAGAGAGAGGGAGAGAGAGAACTCAAACAATTACAAAGCCATTCAACAAGGGATTGAGTTCTAAACAAACTAGTCAACAGATAAGCTGAATATTCAGTAAGTGGATGTTAGATGATACAGTTGTTGGTGAATTGACAGTGAGCTGTTCTATATAGAGGTCTTTGTTGCATCTTCCTTCTATATTAGCTTTCATCTTAGTAGTTTATTTTTTTAAAAAGAAATGTGCACAATTATTTTGGACTGAATGACATGCGGGCCTGCCCCACCATTCTATTGAATAAAATCCATTCTTTCCTTCACCAAATACAATAAATACTTGGAAAACCCCACTATGAGATGATTAATAAAAAATTAAATTTTATTTTATTTTACTTTTATATAGCTAAAATATAAAATACATATTTATTTTATATATGTATTATATATATTCACTGATAATATATATTCCCTAATAATATTTTAAGCATACCAGCTAACTTCTATAGCATTTAATTTGATGATAGTATTGTTAGAGATACATGATTGCTATCAACAGAGAACTATTAACTTTCTCAATAACCAGCATCATAAAACAACTGGCCAAGCATCTATGTCATTCAATGATTCTGGCTCCCTCATTTTGAAATTGCATTTGAGTACTCGATGTTGAAAGATGATTGACCACAAGAGATGTTGAAATCTAAAAATACATAATGCAATTGATTCATAAAGCCAAGGTTGCTAATTGGGTAATATTATGCCTGCCTATAAATTGGCTGTTATAAATCTGACTAAGGCACCTTAGGATATTACATGAGTCTTTTCACCCGTGAAGTATATTTCATTTAATTGGACATTGCCTAGCACATTTTGTATATTATAGTTGAAACAAAACTATTATATTACCACAAAACTATTTCTTGAGTCACTTAACCAGCTACCACAAAACTCATGGACACGAAACAGGAGTCATTACAATAGGAAATAAAAAACTGATTAAAATGCCAGAGTTCTGAGCCAAAATGGTTTTTTTTTTCCTAATGGCAATATTAGAGACCTGACATAGTTTTCTCTTATTTGCTTCAAAAGATTTTTAAAAACAGCTCTCCTCTTACTTACACTGCCATAAATGAAAAATCATTTATAAGCAACATGCAGAAATTACATAATATTTTAATAGGATATTGTATTTTATTTGCTCCTTCATTAAATATTGATTTGTAGACTAACTTCTTTTTTTGTGCCAAAAGAAGCTAAGCACCAACTGCCTATGAACTGGTTACAGATATAAGCATTTCTATGTTTCCAAGTCGCTTCTATAGTTAGAGACTATTCAAAAAGTATATGTATCTCCAAATAAGGGGCGTTATTGTTAGGATCCAAATAACTTAATGTAAAAGACAAAAACATATAACATAAATTCACTACATCAAAAGATCCTTAGGAGCCAAGACTGTTCTCCCTTGGCTACCTTCAGCATAGTGCCTTACATATAGTTGATACATAGTGCATATCATTGTAACAAACTACTTAATGTTTAATATGGAGGAGCCAGTTCTTTAAAGCTTACTCTGTGTATTCATAAACACACACACACACACACACACACACAGGATTAGGTTTCCATACTTTAAAAATATGCTCTCTACCTCAATCTCAGCTAACCTTCTGTAACTAAACCAAGACTGAAGAACATTTCAGTAATTTTTAAAAATGCAAACATCAGACATCCATCTTTTAAAAAGTGATCGTAGAATTCTCCTAGCAACAAATCCCCATTAAAATAGCTCCAATGCCACAGAAAACCTTATGTCAAAAAAAAAAAAATTAACAGAGTCTATTTCCTATTAGCTAGAAGAAATTCATGACCAGCATCTGTGGCTGCTCCCTATTGTACCTCACTGTCTTTATTTGGGGAGGGGTATGCAGAGATGGTCAGAGCCATGGGTCTAGGGACAAATTTAAGACATGTTATTCGTTTCCCACCAAAGACCCAGTAGTGAAAGGTTTCATAATAGTGTTGTGAGAATCTACTTTGAAAATGAAAGAATGTTTATTGAATCTCCAATACAATAATCATGTGTTTTCTACCAGCGCCTCAACGGTGAGGAAGTGACTACTTCTTAAATTCAATGCTTGCGTCCAAATGACTCATGAGTCTGGAGACAAGAATATCAGTGTCTTAAGACCCACTTTTTGAAAGTCTCCCTGAGGCTACCCAAGTGTATTAATAGCCGAGACATGTGCTGGGATACTGTCAAATGAGAATTTAAGGTGAAAAAGACCCTATTTATCTTACCTGAAAAATGACTTTAGAAGACTAGTATTTAGCTTCATTTATTGACTTTTTGAACTTTCTAACAGCTGGTGGACTTCT
The DNA here is from genome assembly GCF_000001405.40 of Homo sapiens. NCBI lineage: Eukaryota > Metazoa > Chordata > Mammalia > Primates > Hominidae > Homo > Homo sapiens. The sequence goes on along the minus strand of NC_000007.14, from coordinate 20,895,533 downwards.
TGTGCCTAGTTTTGCAATCTTCTGCTCTTTCTTCCAACCTTCTAAGCACTACATTTTTAAAAGATTATTATTTCTCTGAGCTGAGATTGGAAAATGTTTTATTGAGAAGCATTTTCAGTTGCCTACAACTTGGTGAAAAGGTGCTTACTCTTGCTGTTGAAATTTTGTACTGATACGATATTTGGAGAAATATTGATTAATGTGAGCATATTTTAAAACTGCTTAAGGTTCACTAGTCAACTTTTAGCCTTTCTTTAGGTTGCAGTCCTATAGCAAGTGCACTAAGGAATGATTTTTGCTACTACTTCTCCTCGTCTTTCCTCCAGCTTTTTCTTTTCTACATTTTTTTTACTTAAAAAAAAAAAAAACCTTTAAATTTTGCTTACAGACCCAGAGCAATCTGAAACAACCAACACAACCAAAACAACCACAGTAAAATAAGAAGAAGTATGTGTGGGTATATATTTATTTCAAGCATTTCATAGACACTTACTTTCCTGAGGTTAACAAATATACACAATGAACAATGTGTGGTAAATTTGGATGAGTCATTCCTGTATATAGAATCTCTGGAAATCTCAACCACTGTTTTTGTCAGTCATCAGCTGATTTCATTCTCATAACTCCTGAAGAAAATAATTTTAATTTCTACCATGAAAAATATGTTGTACAAAATGCATTTGCATGAACAGAATGGACAAGTTAGTAATAATGCATGAACATTAATCATGTAATTTACCTTTTACATTTAAACACTGTACTAATGAAAACATCTGTCATTCCCTACTAAGTTATATGTCACTCTCAAAATCAGGGAATTAAGATCCTTCTAAAACCCAAAAGAATCTGGAAATTAACAATGCATCCTTTTTCTTTATTTTTCTATAGGCTATCACAAAAATCTCACTTAAGAATCAGAACAAAAGCTGTACCCTCAGTGTCTCAGCTACCCTTTGCTGCATAACAAACTACTACGAAATTTGGTGGTTTAAAACAAAAAGTCTTCTCTGGGCTTTGCCTGAGCTCACTCATGTGGTTACACTCAGCTGGAGGATCAGATGGGCTGCAGGGTCCAAGGTAGCCTCACTCAACTGTCTGATATTTGGTGTTGGCTGTCAGCTGGGAAGCCTCAGTTCACCTAATGGCTTTTCATCCTCCAGTAAGCACAAGTTTCGTCACACAGAGGTCTCAGGGTAGCATTCTAGGAATGCAAAGGCAGAAACTGAAAATTCTGTTAAGTCCCAGCCTCCGGAACTCACACAACATCACTTCGGGCACATGCTCTTTGTCAAACAAGTCACATGATTAGCCCGGCATCTAGGTCTAAAGAAATAGACTCCACTTCTGGATGGAAGGAACAGCAAAGTCATATTGCACAGGGGCCTGGATACAAGGATTGGAGAAATGTGTGGCCATTAAATAGTCTACCAGACCTGGTTACAAAGGCCAACTTTTCAGTTCATAGAACAGGTCGACATCTCATCCCAGGCATTTGAAATGGCAAATGTCCAATGTCAGTGTGTGTCAAGCATTTGAAAAACAGCTTGTACAACACTTATGAATATTCCATACAATTTTCAAAGACAGAAGACCAATCCAGAACCATGTGTGGTAAATAATGTTTTTCTGATCAAACCAAGAAGTTGACATCATTAGCATCATGCTTTATGTGCTAATACAATATTTCCTATTATGTGAAAGCAACCTTGGTGTCCTGTAAGCAAGTGCAGTTGCTCCGAATTCACCAAGAACTGACCATGGGCCCTCTGGGCTATCACTTCTAAACTGAACTGCACTGTAAATATTCTTTTAAGAAAGTTCCATATGCCAACAACTGTGATAGAAGTTTTTTCCTTAGATGGAAAAAATATATGAGGGGCATAATGAAATGGTAAAAATTTTCCCTGAGTGCTTTGTGAGGACAGAGGAAGGGAGCCTCATCACCCCTAATCTGGAAGATAACTCCAATGAAACAAGGATTTAAAGACCATGAAGATATATCTTCTTTCTCTATTATCACCCTTTTTACTATATTTTTAAATTTTAGATGATGTTCTAGAGAAACTACAAGTAAAAACAAAACTTCTTTTCCCAAAATGATGTAAACAGAGAAGGTTGGGCAAAATTCAGATCCACTTTACGTTATTTAAATTTCAGCAATAGCATCTACATTTTACAGCTTTTAGTAAGCTTTCACTAGCTATGTCCTGATGTATATAAAGACAGATAAATAACAAAATTAATAGTAATTATTTTGTATCATTCAAAGATCTCCATTACTTGTGCTATAAATAACACTGGTCATTAATACTTGTCCACAAACCGTAAGTACTTTTAAATTGTATCTCATTACAGCAAACACCTACAAAACATAGCTTCTTGTCCTTTCCTTCTAGGTAAACAATTGCTGGATTACAGAGAGGTTCATTTCCTACACATATGCATATGGCTTTGTGTACTGAAAGTGGAAGATTTCTTTCAATTTTAAATGTTTCCCTTGGACAATGATCAATTTTTTTGTGAGTGGTGTTTTATCTTTTAATTTAACTGCTTGAAATGGACCAGCTGCAGAGTGGGAAGTGTGTTGACATTTATCCGAAGTCTTATCTTTATTAAATCACTTGTATTATTATACTACATAAACAACTTAATAAACACAGCAAATACTTATCTAACTGGAGTCAGTAAGTCTATAGAGCCAGCCAATTTACTCTTAATTTTCTGAAAAAGATAAAACCTCCTGTATCAGCTGAGTCACTGGGGAAATTAAGTCTTCACTTATCAAATCTGTTACCAAATCCAAAGTACCCCCCATGAGTACCTGAAGTGCTTTTGATTCTTTCTTTTCTATAGATATCCAATGGAACTGGATAGTGACCTTTCTACTCATTCCACTTCACAAACGTAATTCTTTTTCCACCCTCCCCCAATACCTCAATAACTTTCAGTTGTCCTTTTGCAATACTAAAGGATGTTATCAAGAGATTGTTTAGTTTTCTTCAAATATTTATAGTCACATTCATAATGAAAGAAAAATGTGATGGGATCTTCCCAAACTGAAGTCAAACGCAAGGTTTAAAATGTTCTCTGTAGTCTAACACTAGGCTGTCCAATATGGTAGCCACTAGCCACATTAAAATTTAAATTAATTTAAAATGTAAATTAACTAAAATGAAATAAAATTAAAAATTCAGTTTCTCAGTCACACTAGCCATGTTTGAAGTGCTCAGTAGCTATTTGTGGCCTAGTGGCTACCTGAATGGACAACACAGAGACAGAATATTTTCATTATCACAGGAAGTTCTACTTTCAATTGCATGTTAAAGTACTTTTGTTGCATTTTTTAATGCAAAAAAAAAAAGTCTATTGAAGCCTCCTTTGTCCCTCTCTTTAATATAATTTCCTTCATTCCCCATGGGAATTGCTGTCATGAAGTTGAACATCTTTCCCACCCATGTTTTTAAAATAGATATTTTTCCTGGCCGGGCGCAGTGGCTCATGCCTGTAATCCCAGCACTTTGGGAGGCCAAGATGGGCGGATCACGAGGTCAGGAGATCGAGACCATCCTGGCTAACACGGTGAAACCCTGTCTCTACTAAAAGTACAAACAATTAGCCAGCCTGGTGGCGGGCGCCTGTAGTCCCAGCTACTGGGAAGGCTGAGGCAGGAGAATGTCCTGAACCCGGGAAGCGGAGCTTGCAGTGAGCCGAGATCCCTCCACTGCACTGCAGCCTGGGTGACTGAGCAAGACTCCGTCTCAAAAAAAAAAAAAAAAAGGAAATAAAAATAAAATAGATATTTTCCCTAAAGTGGATTCATTAAGGAAGAGTAGCACTTAAACTTTATATTAATAATAATGTCACTTAAATTTTTTACTCAACATTTTAATTTAGAAATTTATGCAAGTTAATAGTTTGTTTAGTATTTCAGATAGGTAGCTAGGTCTCAGATCGTTTTGTATCCCATTGCATGAATATACCCTATTTATTTAGGCATATATGATTTTATTTATATTTTTATAATATCGTCCCTCTCACAAATAGCCATTGTTGTGGTTAGGTGATCAGTATAGAAAAAGATAATGAAATAAAAGTCATGTGGTTAGGTGACCAGTATAGAAAAAGATAATGAAATAAAAGTCATTATTTCATTTGGCAAGTAGCTACTTCTCTCTCCTATTCCTCACAGCCAAAGTGCCACTACCAAAAAGGCTAGGTAATCAGGTGCTGTTAAACATAAAGGCTTCTATGTTTCTCTTCCCCAAATACTGTTTATTTCAAAGACAGTAAACAATTACAGAGATTAAAGGTATAAGATAATTACAGCTTTCAGTGAAAAGAAAAAATTGATAATGTTATCTTGTCATACTTTTGTTTTTGTTTTTTGAGACGAAGTCTCGCTCTGTCGCCCAGGCTGGAGTGCAGTGGCACAATTTCGGCTCACTGCAAGCTCCGCCTCCTGGGTTCACACCATTCTGCTGCCTCAGCCTCCGGAGTAGCTGGGACTACAGGGCGTGTGGCACCACGCCCAGCTAATTTTTTGTATTTTTAGTAGAGACGGCGTTTCACCATGTTGGCTAGGATGGTCTCAATCTCCTGACCTTGTGATCCGCCTGCCTTGGCTTCCCAAAGTGCTAGGATTACAGGCGTGAGCCACCGCGCCCGGCTGTCATAGTTTTAAGTAACGCTACTTACATTTACTTTTTACTCAGATGTAAGATAGGAATATGATCTCTCACATATGGCAGAAGGCACTTGAATAAATCACCGATGCAAGATTAAGGAATAATCATACTGTAATCAGTAGGACTCAACTCACCCTCTTGGAGAACAGCAACAACAAAAAGCTAAATATTTATTTTTAATGTTCAAATTAGCCACTTCAGTTCCTGTAGTATCAAGTTAGACTCTGCCTCCTCCCTGTGAATTGTGCAAAAACCAGATGAGTTTTCTTAGTTTGAAGATGGAACTACTGTTTCCAGTTGTGTCTCCAAGAGAGCTGGAGAATATGCTGAGTTTACCTCAGGTCCTGTTCACCTTTTCCTGACTTCCATACACATTTGGCAGCCATGTTGCAAACAGGCCATCCATACGATGAGAGACTGTCGGTTTTAAGTTTATTTTATACCAAGTATTTTACATATCTTATCCTATTTAATCCTCATAATAATTCTCAAAGGAATGTATTATTTTTATCCCCAGTTCACCCGTGACAAAACTAAGGCTCAGAGAAATGAAGAAATTGGCAAAGATTGTGCAGGAAGGAAATAACATTAAATTTAAGACATTTGTCCGAAATCAAAGCTCTTTAAACTGCATTTTATTCAATAAATAATTACTGAGTGAAATGTTTTATTAAATAATTCAGAAGAATTAGATTCTAGTCTATTTTGACCAAACTAACTATGTGAACCTGGCAACAATGTTAATAATTACAGATCTTTCTAGCATTTTATAAAAAAATCTTTATTCCCCTTAGAGCCTCCATTGTCTCACCTATATAATTAGAAAATTAAATTAGATGATCTCTAAAGCCTCTTCCAAGGTTAAAATTGTGTGAATTTAAATGACAAAATCATTAACAAGTGCTGATTAAGAAGCATTTGTTGTAATAAGACCTGTACAATAGAAAAAACTTCCTGTTCTCAAGGATCCAGTAATCTAAAAAATGCCCATCAGTCACAAATACAAAATTAAAGATAAAATAGAAAGACAAATGTGTGATAAAACTTTAAAATCTAATGAATGCTAAAACTACAAATAAAAATAAATGCTGGAAAATATGAATTATAATTTAACTTTCCACTACGCATTGTCAAATCAGACTTGTTTTTAACAAGTGAGACTGCAAGCTCCCTGAAGGCAAGGGATATTTCTTTGCAATTTGCTCCTCTGCATCGTATACCCAGGGCTTAGAATTATGACTCGCATAAAATGGTCATTCAATAAATATTTCTTGATTGGGGAAATGAATAAATGGATAGACTTTATTAAATGAATGGGCAACAATATCTTTTATATTTTAATTCATTGCCTTTTAGGGCTCTAGGTAGCTTGTTGGCCAGCAGAAAAAAATAATCAATAAAAGGCTGAATTATTAATGCCAGTTTACAGAGGTTAAGAGATTGAGTTTTACATCTGTTCATTTACTTATACAAGGGAGATAAGAATAGGTACCATAATGGAGTCCTGGGAATGTTTTAGATGTTGTTTAGTTGGTTTGTCTGTTTTTAAAAGGTCAGATCCCCTGTCCTCCCACAGTCTGATATGGAGAGGAGCTAGAAGGTAGTATATGATTATGGAGGATTAGAGGCTACTGAGAGGGTCTACCTGGGAGAGCTTACCTGAGAGGTCTACACAGGACTAAGTTCTGTCACTGTGGTGGCATTGGTGAGTGCTCTCAGTACCATGCAGTGTCTGCCAGGGGGTGTGTCTTCATCAGAAGTTCTCACCACTGTGGGGTGAGAACCTGCTTTCCCAGTTTTCCACCTACATCTTCATGCATTGTGAATGAAAGGATTTGCACCTCTTCTGTGACATTTTGCTGAGCTCTATACTAACTACAAAGAATACCACAAGCAAGCACCTCCCTCAGAGGGTAGGACATGATAGTGTGATGGTTAAAGCCCACACCCCAGGTACTGGGTGGGACCAGTGGATCAGAGAACCCACCTCAATTTCATTCGAGTTTCTAGATTTGAAATATTTCAACAGATAATCTATACCAGTGGTCCCCAACCTTTCTGGCACCAGGGACTGGTTTCATGGACAATTTTCCCACAGATGGGGGTGGAGGAGGGATAGTTTCAGGATGAAACTGTTCATCAGGTCATCAGACATTAATTAGATTCTTATAAGGAGTGCACAACCTAGATCCCTCACATGTGCAGTTCACAATAGAGTTTGTGCCCCTGTGAGAATCTAATGCCACTGCTGATCTGACAGGAGGTGGAGCTCAGGCAGTAATGCTCACTTGCCACCACTCACCTCCCGTTGTGTGGCCCGGTTCCTAACCACAGACCGGTGCCAGTGCCAGGGGTTGGGAATCCCTGGTCTATACTACATGTTTGGAAGAGAAAGGAGACAAAGCCATAGAAACCCGACATGTCCATTCATCGTGGATTGACATAAAACATAATATTATTAAGCAAAAATTTCTATTACGAAAAAACAGTTTGCACAATAGAATGATGTTGGGTGTTTATTCTAAATTTTTTATTTGCTTTTATGGCTAATTGTAGTCAATATTTTTTAAATCCCAATATAGTGTGGGAAAATTTTAGAGTAATAACTTGACATAGCAAAATACCTTAAGAACCCCTGCCCATTTCCATATTTTATGAACAAGAAACTAAGGTCTGATCAAATTAATGAAATAAATCAAGAAAACAAGGTTAGAGAAAAAAAATAAAAAGAAATGAAAAAAGCCTCCGAGAAACATGGGACTATGTGAAAAGACCAAATCTATGTTTGATTGGTGTACCTGAAAGTGATGGGGAGAATGGAACCAAGTTGGAAAACACTGTTCAGGATATTATCCAGGAGAACTTCTCCAACATAGCAAGGCAGGGCAACATTCAAATTCAGGAAATACAGAGAACGCCACAAAGATACTCCTTGAGAAGAGAACCCCAAGACACAAAATTGTCAGATTCACCAAGGTAGAAATGAAGGAAAAAGTGTTAAGGGCAGCCAGAGAGAAAGGTCAAGTTACCCACAAAGGAAGGCCCAACAGACTAACAGTGGATCTCTTGGCAGAAACCCTAGAGGCCAGAGGAGAGTGGGGGCCAATATTCAACATTCTTAAAGAAAAGAATTTTCAACCCAGAATTTCATACCCAGCCAAACTAAGCTTCATAAGTGAAGGAGAAATAAAGATTCTTTACAGACAAGCAAATACTGAGAGATTTTGTCACCACCAGGCCTGTCTTACAAGAGCTCCTGAAGGAAACACTAAACATGGAAAGAAACAACCAGTACCAGCCACTGCAAAAACAGGCCAAATTGTAAAGACCATCCATGCTATGAAGAAACTGCATCAATTAAAAGGCAAAATAATCAGCAAACATCATAGTGACAGGATCAAATTCACACATAACAATATTAACCTTAAATGTAAATGGGCTAAATGCCCCAATTAAAAGACACACACTGGCAAATTGGATAAAGAGTCAAGACCCATCAGTGTGCTATATTCAGGAGACCCATCTCACGTGCAAAGATGCATATGGGTTCAAAATAAAGGGATGGAGGAAGATCTACCAAGCAAATGGAAAGCAAAAAAAGCAGGGGTTGCAATCCTAGTCTCTGATAAAACAGACTTTAAACCAACAAAGATCAAAAGAGACAAAGAAGGCCATTATATAATGGTAAAGGGATCAATTCAACAAGAAGAGCTAACTATCCTAAAAACATATGCACCCAATATAGAAGCACTCAGATTCATAAAGCAAGTCCTTAGAAACCTACGAAGAGACTTAGACTGCCACACGATAATAATGGGAGAGTTTAACACCCCACTGTCAATATTAGACAGATCAACGGGACAGAAGGTTAACAAGGATATCCAGGATTTGAACTCAGCTCTGCACCAAGCAGACCTAATAGACATCTACAGAACTCTCCACCCTAAATCAACAGAATATACATTCTTCTTAGCACCACATCGCGCTTATTCCAAAATTGGCCACATAATGGGAAGTAAAGCACTCCTCAGCAAATGTAAAAGAACAGAAATAACAACAAACTGTCTGTCAGACCACAGTGCAATCAAATTAGAACTCAGAATTAAGAAACTCACTCAAAACTGCACAACTACATGGAAACTGAAAAACTTACTCCTGAATGACTACTGGGTAAATAATGAAATGAAGGCAGAAACAAAGATGTTCTTTGAAACCAATGAGAACAAAGACACAATGTACCAGAATCTCTGGGACACATTTAAAGTAGTGTGTAGAGGGAAATTTATAGCACTAAACGCCCACAAGAGAAAGCAGGAAAGATCTAAAATCGACACCCTAACATCACAATTAAAATAACTAGAGAAGCAAGAACAAACAAATTCAAAAGCTAGCAGAAGGCAAGAAATAACTAACATGAGAGCAGAACTGAAGGAGGTAGAGATACAAAAAATCCTTCAAAACGTCAATGAATCTAGGAGACGGTTTTTTGAAAAGATCAACAAAATTGAGAGACCACTAGCAAGACTAATAAAGAAGAAAAGAGAGAGGAATCAAATAGATGCAATAAAAAATGATAAAGAGGATATCACCACTGATCCCACAAAAATACAAATTACCATCAGAGAATTCTATAAATACCTATATGAAAATAAATTAGAAAATCTAGAAGAAATGGATAAATTCCTGGACTCATACACCCTCCCAAGACTAAACCAGGAAGAAGGTGAATCTCTGAATTGACCAATAACAGGCTCTGAAATTGAGGCAATAATTAATAGCCTACCAACCAAAAAAAGTCCAGGACCAGATGGATTCACAGCCAAATTCTACCAGAGGTACAAAGAGGAGCTGGTACCATTCCTTCTGAAACTATTCCAATCAATAGAAAAAGAGGGAATCCTCCCTAACTCATTTTATGAGGCCAAGATCATCCTGATACCAAAGCCTGGCAGAGACACAACAAAAAAAGAGAATTTTAGACCAGTATCCCTGGTGAACATTGATGCAAAAATCCTCAATAAAATACTGGCAAACCGAATCCAGCAGCACATCAAAAAGCTTATCCACCACCATCAAGTTGGCTTCATCCCTGGGGTGCAAGGCTGATTCAACATATGCAAATCAATAAACGTAATCCATCACGTAAACAGAACCAACAACAAAAACCACATAATTATCTCAATAGATGCAGAAAAGGCCTTCAACAAAATTCAACAGCCCTTCATGCTAAAAACTCTCAATAAACTAGGTATTGATGGAAGGAATCTCAAAATAATAAGAGCTATATATGACAAACCCACAGCCAATATCATACTGAATGGGCAAAAACTGGAAGCATTCCCTTTAAAAACCGGCACAAGACAAGGATGCCCTCTCTCACCACTCCTATTCAACATAATGTTGGAAGTTCTGGCCACGGCAATCAGGCAAGAGAAAGAAATAAAGGGTATTCAATTAGGAAAAGAGGAAGTCAAATTGTCCCTGTTTGCAGATGACATGATTGTATATTTAGAAAACCCCATCGTCTCAGCCCAAAATCTCCTTAAGCTGATAAGCAACTTTAGCAAAGTCTCAGGATACAAAATCAATGTGCAAAAATCACAAGCATTCCTATACACCATTAACAGACAGAGAGCCAAATCATGAGTGAACTCCCATTCACAATTGCTACAAAGAGAATAAAATACCTAGGAATCCAACTTACAAGGGATGTGAAGGACCTCTTCAAGGAGAACTACAAACCACTACTCAATGAAATAAAAGAGGACACAAACAAATGGAAGAATATTCCATGCTCATGGATAGGAAGAATCAATATCGTGAAAATGGTCATACTGCCCAAAGTAATTTATAGATTCAATGCCATTCCCATCAAGCTACCAATGACTTTCTTCACGGAATTGGAAAAAACTACTTTAAAGTTCATATGGAACCAAAAAAGAGCCCGCATTGCCAAGACAATCCTAAGCAAAAACAACAAAACTGGAGGCATCATGCTACCTGACTTCAAACCATACTACAAAGCTACAGTAACCAAAACAGCATGTTACTGGTACTAAAAAAGATATATAGACCAATGGAACAGAACAGAGGCCTCAGAAATAACACCACACATCTACAACCATCTGATCTTTGACAAAGCTGACAAAAACGAGAAATGGGGAAAGGATTCCCTATTTAATAAATGATGTTGGGTAAACTGGCTAGCAATATGTAGAAAGCTGAAACTGCACCCCTTCCTCACATCTTATACAAAAATTAATTCAATATGCATTAAAGACTTAAATGTTAGAGCTAAAACCATAAAAATCCTAGAAGAAAACCTAGGCAATGCCATTCAGGACATAGGCATGGGCAAGGACTTCATGACTGAAACACCAAAAGCAGTGGCAACAAAAGCCAAAATAGAAAAATGGGATCTAATTAAATTAAAGAGCTTCTGCACAGAAAAGAAACTACCATCAGGGTGAACAGGCCACCTACAGAATGGGAGAAAATTTTTGCAATCTACCCATCTGACAAAGGGCTAATATCCAGAATCTACAAAGAACCCAAACAAATTTACGAGAAAAAAACAACCCCATCAAAAAGTGGGCAAAGGATATGAACGGACACTTCTCAAAAGAAGACATCTATGCAGCCAACAGACACATGAAAAAATGCTCATCATCGCTGGTCATCAGAGAAATGCAAATCAAAACCACAATGAGATACCATCTCACACCAGTTAGAATGGCAATCATTAAAAAGTCAGGAAACAACAGGTGCTGGAGAGGATATGGAGAAATAGGAACACCTTTACACTGTTGGTGGGACTGTAAACTAGTTCAACCATTGTGGAAGTCAGTGTGGTGATTCCTCAGGGATCTAGAACTAGAAGTACCATTTGACCCAGCCATCCCATTACTGGGTATATACCCAAAGGATTATAAATCATGCTACTAAAAAGACACATGCACACGTATGTTTATTGTGGCACTATTCACAATAGCAAAAACTTGGAACCAACCTGAATGTCCAACAATGATAGACTGGATTAAGAAAACATGGCACGTATGCACCATGGAATACTATGCAGCCATAAAAAAGGATGAGTTCATGTCCTTTGCAGGGACATGGATGCAGCTAGAAATCATCATTCTCAGCAAACTATCACAAGGACAGAAAACCAAACACTGCATGTTCTTACTCATAGGTGGGAATTGAACAATGAGATCACTTGGAAACAGGGCGGGGAACATCACACACTGGGGCCTGTTGCGGGGTGGGGGGCTGGGGGAGGGATAGCATTAGGAGAAATACCTAATGTAAATGATGAGTTGATGGATGCAGCAAACCAACACGGCACATGTATACCTGTGTATCAAACCTGCACATTGTGCACATGTACCCTAGAACCTAAACTATAATAATAATTAAAAACAGAAAGAAACTAAGGTCTACGGGGTGTTAAGTAACTTGTGGTATGGTCGAGATTTGGCTCTGTTGATGCACTCGTTTTGGTCTTTAAGCCTCCGGAGCTCAGAAAATAAATTTGTGTTGCTTTAAGCCACCCAATTTGTGGCACTGGGTTACAACAGCCCTAGCAAACTAATGCAGGAAGGTTCTAACATAGAACTTAGCACATAACAAGAGCTCAACAAATTATTATTATTACTACTACTCAAGAGTGATGTTATATCAAGGTGTCAATAGAAAAAAGAGTGACGTATGTTATGCTTTACACAGCGAGGGATAAAGATACGTTATAGATCATATCATAAGCTTCAGGACCTTTCTTTAACACAGATTTCTTGGAGGGCCCTACACTACACCTTATTCTGTATTCTGAAAGTTGTATAAGCTTCAGGCCCCACAAAACCATGATCCACTTTTTCCTCTGACAGTTTGGAATTCCTGACTTTGAATTTTGCTGTTTCCAGTAAAAGCATGGGCAAGCTGCCTTTTCCCTGCTTTCAAGACTTAGGAAATCTTATGGCCCTAGCCTTGCCCTTGCTGTCTCTTGTGAAGCTGCAGCTCTTTAATCACTTACCAGTACCATGGGTAGGAGCTAAAACCCCTGGTTTGGTGTCCTTGCCTCAGAGTCTCATGAACTTGCTTCATTGACTCCTGTGAAGAGAAAAGTAAAATGGCCCACAGAGAGTCACATTTTCAGCCTCCAGTGCTCTTAAGATTTGTCTCATTTCATCGAATAAGTACAACTATGAGTCTGTTGTTACGTAGTATCAAGGGCTGGAGAATCCGTTTCAGCCCATATTTTCCCAGAAAGTCTATTTCTAGCTCATTCTCAAATTTCTCATAACCATCATGCCCCCAAAACTACCAGTGCTGCTCTACAAGAAGTGCTAGATTTCGTAGGTATGTAGAAAATTCACAAATCTCTTTGTGGCTGCAGGCCCTTAGCTAAAACAAACTGCTCCCCCTTCAGAAGACCCTTAAACATTTAAAATATAGAAACTCCTTCAGAACTAAGCAAATGGATATAGCTTCCCTTTGGTTTCTCACAGGCTCTCAAGGGGATCGTTATCTTGTTTTAAAAAAAAAAAAAACAAGGTTAAATTTGGATTTTCACATATAGTTTTCTTAAAGCAGGTTGTATCTGCCCAGAAGCTCTGAGAAGAAATTTATATGAGTGTCTATCTTGCTTATTAGAGTACACATAGATATGATTAAAAATATGTAGAAAAGCATTTGGGGATGAATTGTTAAGTCTTTCCTCTATTCTTTTAGTTTTTACAATCTAACATTGCACAAGCCAGTAACCTTAAGTTGGGGGGAATTACCCAAATTTGAATGCAGTATTCCAAGGCGATCCCAGCCAATCAGCTTTGTTCACCAATTAGCAAGGCTGCATCTTTATTGCATGATCCCAAAGGAAACACTGAAGAATTCGATCCCTTCCCCAATATGTTTTGCAAAAATCAGAGATTCCTTGGAAATTGCTAAATCACGTCTTAACTAATATCTTTCTTGATTAAAAGGTGAAAATTTGTTTTACCACATCACTTTGTAGGTGAGTAGGGAAGACTTCTAGAAAAGTGCTTCACTAGGAAGTTTTGGGATAGAAGAAAAGGAACACACAAAGGATTGGAATAGTATCTATGTTCATCCCAACCCCTGTTTATTCTACCACCTCCACAGTGAGACTCCACATTTATCTCACATGCAGAACTTCCTTTTACTTCAAAGGGAATTCCAACTCTTCCAGGAATAAAAAGGGATAAGCCAGCAAGGTGCAGTTGCTGTGATGATGAAAAACCATCCTAGAAACATGATGTAGTACCTAGAAGTAATGCAAACTTGATAGCACTGGTACATGCATTTTCATTTCAGGTCAGAACACCAAGATGAAGTTCTAATCATGTTCCAATTCATTTTGACCTGAAAAAGATTAGCAATTGGATTTTGAAAAATGTGTGCCATGCTACATTGTTAAATCACTGTAAATCAAAGGATGATGAACTAACCTGATGTTAATTGTGAATATTGCTTCCAGGCCTCATTTCTTTAATGTGGAACGATGCTTTATTTTCAATAGCTTTTCCAATATGCTTAATTGCATATTATAAGTGAAAGCTCTTTGTAAAATTCTAAAGCCTTATCTATTAAACTTTCTTCCATTATTATTATCTACATTCAATGTTCACACAGAAAATCTTCCCATTTACTACCCTCAAATAAAACTTTAGTAATTGTCAGCCTTCCTAATGTAAATATCTTTACAAAGCCCAATAAACTCCCCTCTCTCTCCTTTTTGATTCATAGAGATGTTAATCTGATAATACAACTCAGAAGGTATCCACTTTAATAAGTACTGAATGTAAAACACAGAAACTTTCATTGTTAGAATATTCCTAAATCCTTTGATTGAAAAGATCCTAATATTAAAAGCATTTTCAAAGGAAATGAGGAAAGACACAATCCCATTATTACATTATTTTCTTGGCATTAAAAAAAAAGTTCCATGACCCACTTTATTAGTGGTTTTCCTAGTCAAGCTTATAATGATTTCTGGCCTCTGCCCTTGGGTGCTTTCCGAGGGATTTAGAGGCATATATCACCTTGACTGATATGCGATATAACTATTTAGTACAGCTATGAAATTAACTGTTCACCCTTTAGCCTGGGGCTTAATGGAATACGGGCTGGATATCACAGGCATTATTTAATAACTCACGCTTTATCCCTTCCCTTTATGAAGTTCAACATTTTAACAAATGATGACCACTTGTTGCTTTTGCTGAGATTCCCCTATGTTAGCCTGACAAAGAACATTCTTCCTTTTCATTCATGAATTCATTCAACAAATATTTGGTTAGTACCTACTTTGTGCAGGGTGCTAGGTGCAGGAATTAATGGTGAACCAAAGAAACCCACTCTTCATGAAGCTTACAGTTAGAGTCTTTCCTAAAAATTATGTAGCATTCAAGGCCGGGTGTGGTGGCTCACACCTCGTAATCCCAGCACTATGGGAGGCCAAGGTAGGCAGATCACTTGAGGCCAGGAGTTTGAGACCAGCCTGGCCAACATGGTGAAACCCCATCTCTACTAAAAATACAAAAATTAGCCAGGAGTGGTCGCGGGCACCTGTAATCCCAGCTACTTGGGAGGCTCAGGCAGGAGAATCACTTGAACCTGGGAGGTGGAGGTTGCAGTTAGCTGAGATCATGCTACTGCACTCCAGCCTGGGGGACAGAGCAAGACTCCATAAAAAAAAAAAAAAATGGCATTCATACTCTTTTAAGGTTCCTATATAGTCTCACCTACTACATTTAGCTAGTCCTTGTTTATCTGAAATTCTGTGTTGTTTTTTCAGTCATCTCAACTTCCTGTGTTTACAATACAGAATTATATTTCCATGGGAGAAAAGTTTAAAAAACAGTCCAAATAATGCAGTTTGTTGTGAAGACTTTGCATTAGATGTGAAACCATATTCCTACACCAAGCATTTCCCAGACAGTCTCAATTTATGAGACTGCATTGAATTCAGTGTTGATATTGTGGTGTTTTGGAATCATCATCTTGTTCCATGACTTTGCCTCACTGTTTCTCATGAACTGGAGGTGGCAGGGAGGCGGGAGAGAATTAAGAAAGTTAGCAACTTTGTTTTAAGGTATCACAAGCATTTTTTGCTATGTGTCCCCACAGTACTTAACATATAAATCTATATATTGCATATTATTTTCCATAACCTGCCTTTTCCATTCCAATTTCCAGTTCCTACCCTGTAATTTCTAAGTACACATAATTACTGCTTCAGGTGCTAAATTCTACATTCACAAGTATCTACACCCCAGCCCTCCAAAACAAAAGACATCAGCTAGCTAAATACAATTACCATATTATAAAATGTACAAATTTCAGCAATAACCATGGCTTAAGAATATTCAAACATAGACACTCTTCCTCAAGGATTTCTTCCTAGTGAAATATAGGCTTTGTTTTAACAATTTTGACTTCAGGATACCTCTTTAATAAGTGGCCAGTCTCCATGGCTGGGCACAGTGGCTCACACCTGTAATCCCAACACTTTGGAAAACCAAGGTGGGAGAATTTTTTGAGCCCAGGTGTTCAAGACCAGCCTGGGCAACATCATGAGACTCCATCTCTGCAAAAAAAAACTTTAAAAATTAGCCAGGCATGGTGGTGCATGCCTGTAGCCCCAGCTATTTGAGAGGCTGAGGCGGGAGGATTGCTGGAGCCCAGGTGACTGAGGCTGCAGAGAGCCGTGATTGTGTCACTGCACTCCAACCTGTGTAATAGACCAAGACCTCCATCTCTAATAATAATAATAATAAACAAGTGGCCAATCTCCAAATGTTAGGAAACAGAAAATAGATGTAACAAGAAAAGTAAGTGTGACTATACGAATATTTACAATTTTTCCTTGTCCTTGTAGGGAAGACTCTGTATTTCAGTTCAATGTTTATATATGTATTCAGCAAGGAAATATTTAGTTACCACTACCAGACATTTTTCTAGATGTTGAAGATATTATTGTGGGGAAAAAGAACAAAACAAGTTCCTGCCCCCATGAAGTTTACCTTCCAAAAAAAGAGGCAGTTAAGCCCCCTGCTTTGGTCATTTTTTCAGCTACATCAGGAAGGAGCTCTATGTGATGTTAACGTTGATAGACAATATTTAATTTTTCTTTGTAATGAATAACATAACATATTTAATATACTTAACATGCAGTCTAAATATAGCACCTTTATGACTACAATTCACCAGTGGTCTCAGGTAACATTTTATTGGTAGTAATGATTATTTAAAAACCATCGAGAGTTAGCTAATTCTATAAATAGGAATAGTAATGGAAAACTATAGTACCTGTCCTCATAACTTATTTAAGGGAGGACAATCAATTACATCTTTGAAGAGCAGTTTGACAATATTCTCATCTGACATGATATATACATACATATATATATTTGTGAATGCATTGAACGTGTCTGTGGCAGGATATGCAAGAAACAGGTAGCTGGCTGTCTCCAGGAAGATCTTAGGTAGCCTATTACCTAATACTTCCAGCTGTCTACAGCCAACATCCATTCTGATGGATTGGAGTCTGTGCGACACTGATTGTTAAATGCCCAAATATCACACTGGCAAAGCTTGCCAAAATTTTAATTAAACGTATTCTTAAATTCCACATATGTGTATATCCTAAAGATATACTTGCATATGTAAGAAATAATCTATGTAAAATGATATTTATTAAAACATTATTCAATATAGCAAGGAATTGGAAACGACCTAAATGTCCATCAATGGAGGACTGCTTAAATAGATTATGCTACATTGATAAAATATTATGCAGTTTTTTAAAAGCATGAAACAGGCCAGGCATGGTGGCTCATGCCTGTAATCTCAGAACTTTGGGAGGCCAAGGTGGGCGGATCACCTGAGGTCTGGGTGGTTTGAGTCCAGCCTGAACAACATGGAGAAACCCCGTCTCTACTAAAAATACAAAATTAGCTAGGCGTGGTGGCATATGCCTGTAATCCCAGCTACTCGGGAGGCTGAGGCAGGAGAATCGCTTGAACCTGGGAGACGGAGGTTGTGGTGAGCCGAGATCGCACCACTGCACTCCAGCCTGGGCAACAAGAGTGAAACTCCGTCTCAAAAAAAAAAAAAAGAAAAGGCATGGAACAACTCTGCGTGCAATGATATAAAAAAAACTCTTCAAAAAGCATTATTAAATGAAAAACATCGAAGTAGAAGACACTGTGCAACATGCTATCATTTGTGTATGTGTATGTGTTGAATGCAGGTGCGTAATATATATACACACATACACATATATTTACATACGTATATATATTTGTGAATGCATTGAACGTGTCTAGGGCAGGATATGCAAGAAACAGGTAGCTGGCTGTCTTCAGGAAGATCTTAGGTAGCCTATTACCTAATACTTTTAGGAGGGAGGAGGCTTATTTTTTGCCTCAAATCCCTTTTGCTACCTTTTGAACTTATTACTATATGCATGTATAGCTTTTTATACTATTTTTTCAAAGAAAACCAATCAAATAAACATGGTGACCCTTATTTTCTTTATACCTAGAGAAAATTTTAACTTCCTGAACATTAAAATGGGGAACAAAAAAATCAAACATTCTCAAGTAGCTTCTACTCTAACCAGAAAGTATGGCATACATATTCATACCGTGGGGTTTTTCCCTCTTTGTCTTGTAATTCTAACAAAATGCCATTAAACTGTATATTTTACATCTTTTCATTATGTATATGTCAGAGGATTGATAAGCAATCTGCACATAGTTTCGAACCAGTGTCTGATTTTCTTCTTTTGGGTTTAATGTTGTCAAATGGGGTATAAAGTTGCCTGCATGCTCCTCAGTAAAAGTTGGTTCTTGGGGACTCTGCATCAAGATGAGGCTCATTACTCATCCCTTGGCATATCAATTCTCACTTTCTACTCAGAGACATACAGAAAAGACTTCCACATATGGGACTAGACCTCTTGTTCTCAGAAAATTCAGAATTTCTTTAGAGGGCACCAAGGTAGATCCTTGCAATGGCTTTAAAAACAAAAAGAAAAGAAATGTAATTCAATTATTTTAAGGGCGATGGCTTTAATTTTTCACTTTACTTATTGTCAACCACTGATGCATATTGACGTAAGTACAAATAGATTATTTTCAAAGACTGTCAGGGAAGATTTTTAATCTATAATAAACAAAGAAAAGTTCGCATCTCCAGAAAAGTAATGAAATTTTGTGTCAAGATAAATTTAGCACATTAAATTTGTTGCAGATTTAAATCAATGCAGATAGTGCCAAATAAAACAAAACAAAACAAAAAATACAAGGGAAGATCCAGAAACATTGATCATGGCCAAAATACGCCCCAACACTGTTAAGAGGTTTACTTCAGTAATATCTGTGGTCATTGACTAGATCAATGAAACTCATTCTTTCAAGAGCATCCAATTATCAGTTTACTGTAGAGTGAGCATTCTAATAAATCAGCATACTTTACATAGAATTAGACAAAGCCAACATGTAGGTTAATAACACCATGCAAAAAAAAAAAATCTAGTATGCATTCCCAGTAAGTCCAGAAAAGTAGTCTTGTGATAAATTATTTTATTTAAGTTTGACTCATACATGCAAACATTTCCAAGCCATGCCATTCTGATAGGTAGTTTATGGCTAGCAGTATTAACAGAGCTTGATTAAGCACTTAAGAGATCAATACACCTCTGTCATATTTACCCAAAAAAACCCCAGCAAGTTCAGGGAGTGCAAATGAACATGAATTGAGGTACTATATTATTCAGAAACTTAACAGTAATATTTTTTACAACTGCTTTGGTCATTTGGAAAATGGCCCTGCCTAATAGAATTCAACAGCTTAGATGCAATGAACTGAAAAATGAGTAAAGTAAGAGAAATATCAGAAACAAAATAAATCAAGTGAGTTAATATTGGCTTGAGATTTTTTTTCCCCATATCCACTGATTATAGGTAAAGAAGATTTTGTTGACAGCTAAGCAAAATACTAACAATAACAAATCGTCTAGGGCATTTTCAGTCACTAGTAGGCCAAAAGAGAAAATTCAGACTTGAAACTAAATTTTGTTCTGGAACATCATAGTCCCTCTTATAAGGCGCATTAACAGTTAAAATGCATGACAAGAAATGTTTTGTTAAAATTGAAATCTGGGCCGGGCACAGTGGCTCATGCCTATAATCCCAGCACTTTGGGAGGCTGAGGCGGGTGGATCGCTTGAGGTCAGGAGTTCGACACCAGCCTGAGCAGCGTGGAGAAACCCCGTTTCTACTAAAAATACAAAATTAGCTGGGCGTGGTGGCACATGCCTGTAATCCCAGCTACTCAGGAGGCTGAGGCAGGAGAATCGCTTGAAGTCAGGAGGCAGAGGTTGCAGTGAGCCGAGGTCGCGCCATTGCACTCCAGCATGGGAAACAAGAGCGAAACCCCGTCTCAAAAAAAAAAAAAAAAAAAAAAAAAAAAAATCTGATTTTTATCCAGTCAGCCTGCTGGATGTGATGGCCAATCCTGATCATTTACATCCCAAAGT
Organism: Homo sapiens; assembly: GCF_000001405.40. Classification (NCBI taxonomy): domain Eukaryota; kingdom Metazoa; phylum Chordata; class Mammalia; order Primates; family Hominidae; genus Homo; species Homo sapiens. The sequence goes on along the minus strand of NC_000007.14, from coordinate 20,875,283 downwards.
GACTGAGACACAATGTACTGATGAATTTAATTCTTGATGATTCAGGACAAATATTTCCAGAACGGAAAAACAGTTTCTAAAAATGAACACCAAGAAGCTCATGGTAATTGCTGTCATTCCTCTAGGATTGGAGGCACTGGAATGCTCCCAGGAGCTGAAGGGGTTGGCCTTGAGGACTTGGACTGGTAGACACAGTCTTGGTCCCAAAAAGTAATCCAATAGAACTGGCTCATGACTATATTGAATCTAAAATTTAGGAGCTGAAGTATTAGACAGAAATGGCAAATTCCAATGCTGGCTTTGCCCTATATAAGCAGAGGATCTGATATTGGGAAGGGGGTGAAAAGAGACAGCTTTTGAAAAGCAGTAACAGTAGAGTAGAAAGATTATGAACTCTGGAGCCCAAGAAATCTGGGTTGATTCTACTAACTATATTCCTGTCATGCCTCAATATTCTCATCTATAAAATGGGGATGGATACTAATTCCACATTTTTGTAATGTTATAAATGTTTAATGAGTGTGTATGGAAAATATCTTACCAATGACAGGACTCAAAAATGGATATTATTTAGGCAGTCCACACGTTTTCTCAGACTGACTCAGAGATACAAAGGAAATTTAGTTTCATTAATGCTGTGTACTTGGCCCTGTAATTACTGCTCTTGGTATTAAATGAGATGTTGGCAGTTTTCCAGTGTAGTATCCATATTATTCATTATTTTGTCTTTATATATTCTCATAACTGGAAGTAAAGAGAGAACTGAGAATAGACCAACTTGTTTTAAAATGTGATGATTTCAAAAATTAAAACCAATGATTCTCATCCATAGCTACTTTTGAGCTTTTACAAATATCAATGCCTTGTCTCACTCTAGATTAATTAAACCAGAATTTATGGGAGTAGATCCCTGATTTCAGTATTTTTAAGCTCCTCAGTCGAATGTAATATACCATCAAAATGGAGAACCACTAATTTATATAGTCTCTGTAAGTATTTTTTAGTCATTTGAATTACTTAGACACTCCAAAGGCTGGGCACAATGAATGCCCCACAGTCTGGATTCTATTAGCAAGATTAGAAGCAGAGAATCACTGCTGGGTAGACAACCAATGCCATCTGCCACATTTGCTAACCATTTGCTAAAGCGATTACCAGTGTACTGTAGCATCCAAACCTGATTTTAAAGACCATTCCCAATGCTGCTGTCTCCTGCTTTGGGGCAACTAACCTTATGACATAATTTTGGAGGCAGAAGTCTGCAAACATGATTTAAGAACAAATTAAAGCGCATCAATTTAATATTTGCAAAATTTTATTCCCTACACAACATTTTAATAACAGCAATGGGAACCATGGCAGCTAGAGTCTGTGTGTGTGTGTGTGTGTGTGTGTGTGTGTGTGTGTGTAAGTACACAAATAAAAGCACGTTTTTGTCACATTTCCCCCTTTATTCTGCTCCCCTATTTCCTCTGACAAACCATGAGGGCAGTATGCTGTTTGTAGATGCAAAAGTTGCTGTACAGTAAAATGCTTTAAGAATTAGAGTTAAAATTACAGGGTACAAAACTCAAGTACTGTGGTCATTCTGTCAAGTATTAGGGAAGAATGCAAATTATTTAAAAACCAGAACAATCAATTAAAATTGATCTTGGTTTGCTCCCCCATTGATTCCCTGGCTGAAACTTGGACAAGAGGGAGTGCCTCCAGGACAAAGTAACTATGAAACAGGGTTCCTCCCACTCATATTCCTAGGTGCTGTGGTATATTGAACTCCCTTTATAAATGGCAGATACTTCAAGATGCAGATCATTTAAATGTGGAAAAAAAAAAACCTTATCTGGAAAAAATGCAAGAAAAACAGATGGTTCCTGTGAGCCAATATTCAACAATATTCCACTCTATTAGTAATCTATCACTATTATTTATATGGTAAGAGAAAACCAGAGATAACATTACTAGCTAAGAGAGGTGTCAATTGATAAGATCTGATATTTGACTAGTTTAATGTATCACTGACCTGTAGATTGTTATTCTGTAAAGAGCTTGTTGCTGTTGTTGGTTTAGCCTCTTATCCAGGTGGTTTCTTAGGCTTAGCTACTTCATCTCTGACAGCCAAATTCTGCGAGGACTACCTTCAATTATTATGCTCTAGCATCCACACTCTTGGTTTCACTACTTTGACTGTCCCTGGGTTAGTCTCTCTAGAATATGTATTGTCATCCCTGCATCATCTGGGAACTTGACAGAAATGCAAATTCTTCTGGCCAAGCTTAGATCTACTGACACAAAAATCTCTGGGGATAGGGGGCTCTGCAATCTCTCTCTCTCTCTCTGTCTGTCTGTCTGTCTGTGTGTGTGTGTGTGTGTGTGTTTGTGTTTTGGGACAGAGTCTCACTGTTGCCCAGGCTGGAGTGCAGTAGTGCAATCTTGGCTCACTGCAACCTTTGCCTCCCAAGCTCAAGCGATCCTCCTGCCTCAGTTCGCCACCCATAGCTGGGACTACAACCATGTGCTATTATGCCCGGTTAATTTTTATATTTTTCTGGTAGAGACGGGGTTTTGCCATATTGCCCAGCCTGATCTTGAACTCCTGGGCTCAAGTGATCCGGCTTGCAATCTGTGTTTTAACAGTTGGTTCTGATGCATGCTAAAATTGTAGAACCACTGCAATATAACAAACTTTTCTCTGAGATCTTTCTGTGAGTGGCCATCTCTTTCTATTTGAGGGTGAGTGTGGATAGCCCTGTGAATACTCCTCTTGATGTCACATGAGATTTTGGCAGTTCCCTCATGTTATAGTCACATGATAGATTGGCTACAGTTGCTGCTCTGTAAACCTTTACTTTAGGCTGAAGATCAATGGAAAATTAATAATACATTCCTGTATCTTGTGCTCGAAAAGACATTTTGAACTTCTCTTCTTTTTTCTTTTTTCTCTTTTCAAGATAGGGTAGGGTCTCCCTCTGTTGCCCAGGCTGGAGTGCAGTGGTATGATCATGGCTCACCACAGCCTCCATCTCCCAGGCTCAAGCAATCCTCCCACCTCAGTCTCCCAAGTAGCTGGGACTACAGGTGCACACCACTATGCACAGCTAATGTTTATTTTTGTTTTTTGGTTTTTGGTTTTTTTTTGTAAAGACAAGGTCTCACTATGGTGCCCAGGCTGGTCTCGAACTCCTGGGCTCAAGCAATCCTCCTCCTGCTTCCGCTTCCCAAAGTGTTGGGATTACAAGCATGAGCCACGGCACCTGGCCCTTTTGAACTTCTTAATATAGATTTGTCTTTGTCTATTGGATGGGTGACAAATGGTTGATGAGTGGGCATTACTGGAGAACTAACATTGCATGTTTTGCATATCTCCTTGTATAGCAGATGGAAGGGTTAGATTATCAGTGAGCAAAAGCTTCCAGATAATTGTCTCTAGAACTTCTCTTGAAGACTGCAATATATAGAACTGAAAGAGCTTGCCAGAGAATGGGAGGCAGCTGCCAGACAAGTCTTCCAGGTAACGTGGTACTTCCTCAATATAAGCCGTGTGAACTAGAACAGCTAGGACTATCATGTCACCCTCATGCTTACAAAGATGGTCAAGTAAATCAGGAAATGTAAGAGATATAACTTTTGCCTTAATTTCGATCATGACACATAGGCTGCCTGTCAAGAACAGCTGATGTCAGTCTGGGTGCAGTGGCTCACATCTGTAATCTCAGCACTCACCTAGAACAAGTAGAACTGTGCTCACCTCATTTACAAATAAAGCATGGCTTTCATGGAATGCCGACGGCAGGAATCCAATCAGCCACATCTTTAAGCAATAGCCTTTGAAACTGCGTGGGTCACCTTAAACTCCTAAACATAAAATCAGAGGATTTGGGGACTACAAGGAATCTTAGGCTGGATGTGGTGGCTCATGCCTATAATCTTAACATTTTGGGAGGCCAAGGCAGGTGGATCATTTGAGTCTAGGAGTTTGAGACAAGCCTGGGCAACATGGCGAAACCCTGTCTTTACAAAAAAAAAGTAATCTTAGTAAACATAATGCACTTCCTTCATTTTATAGGCCTGGCAACCAAGGAGCAGAGATGTTAGTGTTGCTGAGATCATGCAAGTAGATAATGAACAAGCCAAGACTAGAACTAGAATTCTGTCTTTTACCCATTGTCCTAGCACTACACCATGCTGAGCCATCTGAGACCAGCCAGGACACAAAACTGCTTATGCTGAGGGAATACTCTTATTAACTGACATCCTGACATCAACTGTTCTTTTTTTTTTTTGAGACAGAGTCTCGCTCTGTCACCCAGGCTGGGGTGCGGTGGTGCAATCTCAGCTCACTGCAACCTCCACCTCCCAGGTTCAAGCAGTTCTCGTGCCTCAGCCTCCCAAGTAGCTGGGAATACAGGCATGTACCACCACGACAAATCTGTTGTCATCCAGCATTTTTTTGTATTTTTAGTAGAGATGAGTTTCATCATGTTGGCCAAGCTGGTTTGGAATTCCTGACCTTAAGTCATCCGCCCCTCTCAGCCTCCCAAAGTTTTGAGATTACAGATGTGAGCCACCGCACCCAGCCTGACATCAACTGTTCTTGACAGGCAGCCTAGGGGTCAAGATTGAAATTAAGGCAAAAGTTGTATCTCCTATATTTCCTGATTTACTTGATCATCTTTGTAAGCATGAGGGTGACAGATAAAACACTGAGCCAATTGCTGCTTAGTAATTTCTCTTCTTAGAATAGAGTCTGAGAAAATTTTTCAAAATGTGAACAGTGATTTATACCTTTAAACGTGGAAAATATTATAGTTGTGAGACAACAGAAGGATGATTACAGAAATTTTACAACTTCTGTGTAATAGAATGGTATATTAGCATTCTATTATAAGAAACTTTTAATGATATGATTTAAAAAATGTTTAAGCATAATGACAAGTAAAGAAAAATAAAATATAAAAAACTATATGTAATACAATTTCAATCATATTTTGAATTATATAAATTTATATTTTATATTTAGAAAAATCCTAGAAAGAAATACATAGAAATATTAATACTGTTTATCACAGTTGTTTAGAGGGATATTTTCTTTTTACTTCATGTATGATCTACATTTTATAATCTGAACATTTATTACATTTATATTTATAATAAAAATCTTAGGAGGGAGAAAATGTGAGTAATTATTCTCACATTGGTGTTTTTTTTCTTCCTTGTTTTTTTTGGAAATGGAGTCTTGATCTGTCACCCAGGCTGGACTGCAGTGGCATCATCTCAACTGACTGCAGCCTCTGCCTTCAGGGTTCAAGTGATTCTTCTGCCTCAGCCTCCCAAGTAGCTGGGATTACAGGTGTGCGCCACCACGCCTGGCTAATTTTTGTATTTTTAGTAGAGATGGGTTTTGCCATGTTGGCCATGCTGGTCTTGAACTCCTGGCCTCAAGCAATCCACGCACCTCAGCCTACCAAAGTGCTGGGATTACAGGCGTGAGCCACTGCGCCCCGCCATGGGCGTTTTCTTAATTCCCTTACAGGAAAATAAATGTATCTTCAACTTAAACATCTATGTGTCCACCACAAAGCAGCTTTTTAAAAATAAATAAATAAATTTAAATTACTCTCAAAAGTGCCTTTTAAAAGTCCACTGAAGAATTTAAAGTTTAGTCTTCCGTGATAAATCAAATTCCAAAACTTAAGTGGATGACTAATTATGATAAGACAAAGACAGCCTGCAGGAGCTTCTCCTTAGCCTTAGGAATTACATGCCTTAAATTAGAGAAATATAAAATTTCAGAAGTCACACATGTGATTGTTCATACTATTGAATACAATTTTTAAATTAAGTAATGACATACAAACAGTACTTCAACAATTGTTTCAATATAAAAACGCTTCTGGTAGGTTTACCAGTTGTATATGCATGAGTTTATGTGCCCATAATTTAAAACCCTCCTCCAATATTTTGGCTGGCCACTAAAGAACTATAATGTAGTCACAGTTAAGTGTCTAGAATCTTCTCTGGAATAAAGTAGAGTATAACTAAATAACAAAACATAGGGTTTTCTTTTTTAGATAGTCCCATGCTATAAGTGAGAAGAAATTAGTTCCTGAGAGAGGCAATTCTGAAGAAGTGAAAGAAAGTTCAGATTAGAAATATCTCTAACAATTATATCATCATAAATCACTAGGTTAAGGGAGAAAAAAGGAAAAAGAAGAAATATCTCTGTATCCTGAAATCTGTTGTCATCCAGGCATCTGGTGGGGTGGGGTGGGATCACATGGGTAATCCTGGTGGGGAAGGGTGCTCAGAGAGAAACTAGATTCAGAATGAAGCCAGATTAAGAGCAGGTAAAGATATGAGTATTGTAAGATCGTCAAGGCTGAAAAATCAGGGGCTGCTCAAGGAAGAAAAAGTGTGAGTCTTAACTTCAGGGATTCTCTGTGAGTGAAATGAAGGAAACTTCATTGCTGCATGTATTCCACTTACTCGAAATTTATTAAATGCCTACTCCAAGCGCTGCCATATGCTGAAACGTTAGGTGTGTGTGGTGTGGAGAAGTTTGGATAGGAAATAGTAGGTAGGATTCTTCTGAGACTAAAATAACTGAACTTAAAAGATCATGTTGGAATTGCAAAGAAAGAGAAGGAAACATAGCAGCCGATTGTGGCCACCCATACCATGCAGTGCTTTGTGGCTATGAGAAGTGAAAAGGAAGGCTTCTAAACTCTGTGGTGGAGGGAGCCCCCAGGGTATATCATTAGGTGAAATAAACAAGGGGCAGAAGAGTATATGTATTACTGACTAACTCTATGTAAGAAGAGGAAAAAATACTCATGCACTTGGGTGGGGGGGTGGGTGTGTGCACGTATACGTATGTGTATTTGTGCTTGCTAAAGAAACTGTGGAAGGATAACCCAAGAAACTAATAAAAATGGTTACCTACATGAGAATAGAAAGAAAAGAAGAGAACTAAGGTGGAAGTTAGAGCTCTCTAAATTATTTTTATGGTTTTAACTTGGGAAATATGTAAATTTTTTACATAATTTAAAATAAACTTTTTTAAAAGGGAGTCGTTTAAAATTGAAAACATACTGAAACAAATGAATCTAGCTATACATTATTATGATAACATAGTCATGTTAATTATTTCTAATGACTTTAAAGTGAAGTAAATGATGATACAGTTCTAGTAGTATATATCAAAAAGACAAAAGGAACCACAATAAAATATTAAACTGCATTCAGTTTAAGAGCTCCTTACTGCATTCATTTTAAGAGCTCCTTACTAAGAGCTGCTAGTAGAAATATTATATGTATGTATTTATATATATATATATATATATACACACACACATATACATATGGAAGGAGAGAGAAAAAAGAACAAAGCAAATAAGTGATTATGGGTTATGTCAATGTTATTACGAAACATTTTCTGTTACAAGAAAAATACAATCATACATTTTTTAAAAAATCAGTTTAAAAACTGCAATTTTATATTTGGATTGAAAATAATAAACATTTTTAATGTATTTCTCTCTTTCTTAAAAAATATCATATCTGCCTATTAAAAAGATTAGAAGCAATGACGTACAACCAGTAGCAGTGAGCACCCCTAAGGCCCAGATTGTGACCTTTAAATACCACTTCCCAATAAAAAGGAACTAGGGCTGATTCCAGGGCTGGTATTACACAGAATGTGCCTATGATATCTGAAAGCAAGGATACTATCAAAGTCTACTAGAGTTATATCAAAAGTACATAGCAGTCAACTTGAAAAGGGTCTCCCATCTGAAAATGGACCAATGTCAGTATGGAAAACAGTAATAGCCACAACGCACTGAAAGCTGTTAAAATACTACCAAAGAATTTGAGTTATCTTTAAAAGTTACCAGAACATCAAATTCATTACTCTGAAAATTGGTAGGCAAAAAATCCACCATTTTAAACATTTTCTTAACAAACTGATTCAGATCAATTAAATAGTTGATGAGTAAAAGCTCTCCTTTATAAAAGAAATCTAGCTAATAAGTGCAGAAGGAATGACTGAATTAGAATGTAACCATTTTATAATCCCTGATGAAATAATTGATCTTGCAACTATCCAATGGCAGCTGAAGCCATCAGGTAAAATGTTGATGGGGAACTTTATAATGGAGGTTTCAGACTGGAAATACTTGAACTCACTGATAAATCTTATTCACTAAAAGCAGGATAGCCAGGCATTATGTACCTCCTGCTGTGATACAGTAGAAAATACACACACCTACAAAGAATGCTTGCAAAAAATCAAAATCCACAGTAATCAAGGGCCTAGATCTTACTGGCAAGTTACAGAAAATACAGAGAATAGAGAATATGCTAAATGTCAGGAGATTATAAGCAGCCAAATATAAAACATGGGTAATTCTATAGGAGAAATAGCCCCATAGTTTCTTCAACAAATAAATAGCATGATAAGAGGGAGGGGGCTGATATATATCAAAAGAGACATCAGAGCCACATGGACCAAATGCAATGCATAAACCTTATTTGGATCCTGATTCTAATAAGCCAACTCTAAGACTTTTTATACAATTTGATAATCATATTAATAAAGAATTTTAAAAATTGTATTAGGCATGATAATGGTTTGTGGTTTTGTTTTTTAAAAAGCCCTTTACAATTAATAAATCAAGTTATTAGATTATGCTTAAATTTATCTGCCTAGAAAGGTCTTATTATTCCAAGGTTTCTCCAAAGACTGGCAAAGTGCTTTTGCACATTAAAAGGTTGGGATGCACTGGAGAATGGTGGAGTTTGAAAGGAGAAAGGCCCAGGGATCCCAGGACATCAGGTTGTTAAAATTATACCCATGAGGCAGGGCGCAATGGCTCACGCTTGTAATCCCAGCACTTTGGGAGGCCAAAGCGGGTGGATCACTTGAGGCTGGGAGTTCGAGACCAGCCTGGCCAACATGGCAAAACCCCATCTCTACTAAAATTACAGAAATTAGCCAGGTGTGGTGGCACACGCCTGTAATCCCAGCTACCTCGGGAGGCTGAGGCATGAGAATTGCTTGAACCCAAGAGGCAGAGGTTGCAATGAGCTGAGACTGCGTCACTGCACTCCAGTAAAGATGACAGAGTGAGATCCTGTCTCAAAAAAAATGAATAGATAAAATAAAATTCCACCAATGGTAAATTGGACTAGTCATCCAGGAAGACTCCAACCTGGGTTGGTCCCAGGACAACATTCATGCCAGTTTTGATCTATTCACAAATATCAAGACCTGGAATGTGCAAAGTTTGGCTTACCAAGGGTAACGTGGGGAATCAGCACCTGAGAAACTGCTTTTGGCAGTATTGTTGACCTGCTTTTACAACCTTTAGAAACTATGGGGGAAGGGTATGGAGATGAGCCAGGTAGAGGGACCTCCCACTTCAGGGGTTAGAGCAAGCCTTAGCAGCCTCGACTGCACTTCAAGATCCCCAGGAGCGCCTTTGAAAGTGCCCACGCCTTGGCCCCAGGCATTTCCCCAGAGATCAGTTTTATTTTTAAAATTCCACCAAGTGATCCTAATGAGAAGCCGGACTTTAGAACTACAATGATCAACGATATTGGAATAAAAATATCACCAAGTCTCCTTCAGATACCAGGTTTAAGAAATCAGCTTTTGGGTCAGACCACCTGAGCTTGAATCCCAGTTTCACTATTAAGCAGTTATGTGATCTTGGACAGGTTATTTCATCTTGGTGCCTCAGCTTCCTCATGTGTAGAATGGGGATCAATAAGCAAATACACAACATTTTGTCTTCATGAGATTGTAAGATTAATTTACGTAAGCATGTAAAGCATTTAGAACAATGGCTGGTATAAAATAAGGTCAATTATTATATCTCGCAGTGTCTCTAAAAGAGAACCACCTACATCTCTTTAGCTTATTTAGCTACTTAGCTTGGGGATGGATTTTAATCATGGACATTAAATACTCTGATGCAAGCAGAGGAGACTAACTACTCCTCAACTTTCTAGGATGCTTTAACTGATCTCTTCCACCTCTCAGGCTGGGTGAATGTCCTTCCACTCTGAACTCTGCAATTTCCCATTTGTATTTCTTACAATATTCTGAAATACTTCTTTTCATGTCTAAATCATCTGACTACACTAAGTTCTTTGGGGCACTCTAGGGTGAACAAAATGTTAATAAAATCTAGAACTGGCAATAACGTAGAGAAATGAATACATAAAAAATCAAGCAATTGACCCCTTAGTTATCTGTCCCTACAAAAAATAGAGAATGAGAGATTGAGGAATAAATTATTCCTAAATAACTGTTAATGGCAGAGAAAGAAAAGAAAGAGGAGAGAGCAATTTAGAAAAGAGACTACTAATACAGGCTAATTTAGGACATCACCAAGGAGAGGAGTGTGTTCACAGAAAGAGTGAGGTTGATGACAGGGACAAAAAGGTAAACCTATTATTCTTCACAGTACTACAAAGGGTGCATAGATTCCGTTTCTCCTAATGTTTTAGTTAGAAGTTTACTTACAGACCGAATCTTGCATAGCTAGCTTGAATATGATGGAGGGTTAAAAAGCCAATAAATCAAAACAGCACACCAATAAATTAATACCCATCTTCAATTATCTCAACCGTGAATGTTGTCACAGAACAGATATATTCAGAGGAGGGAGCAGTTCACAAGCAGAAACCACAGAGACACTTGGTGCCATAAAATATAATTCAGACTGCATGTTTTTTAATTAATGAGCATATTTCCCAACTTTTCATTTAACCATCACCATAGATCCTGTATGGAGAGTAGCATGATTGCATGTGATTTTTTTCCCCTAAGTTTTACCATATGCTTCATCGGAATATTTCTTTTTACTTAGGCAGCTGCATAAACTCGCATTTTTCCTTTTAACCATGCCACAGTCCTTACCTCATCTCATGCATAAAAAATAATATGGAAACTCTGAGTTCATTGCATCTTTACGCATTTCACACCTTCATTCATACACATTTTTAAAATGATTTAAACTTAATTCAGAGTGAAAACTGGAGATGATGACTATCAATACAATCTACTGCCAGGCATGGTGGCTTGTGCCTGTAATCCCAGCTACTTGGGAGGCTGAGGTGGGAGGATTGCCTGAGCCCAGGAGTTCGAAGTTGCAGTGAGCTAAGATCATGCTACTGCATTCCAGCCTGGGTGACTGCGAGATTCCTTCTCAAAAAAAAAAAAAAAAAAAAAAAAGTTTAAGATACAAGTTATTGCCTGATATGTACTTTTACTATTGATAATTTGTTGATGTCTTCTGTGGTTTGTTTTCTATAACACTCTGTAACATGTTGGAAAATGTCAGTTATCAATATCAGTATCGATTTTCTATAGGGAAGGCTGGCCACACTGAATGAAAGCACAGAGCACCTTTCCTGTGCATCGTTAGCAGAAAGCAGTGACTGTAGAAGAATAACTAGGAAGAAGAAAATCAGATTAAATAATTAGTGTCAATTAGCTGCAGCAAAATCATTCTATAAACAATTGGTCTCCAGTGCCCTGCTTAATTATGTGAGACTTCTATGTTCCTTACCAAGCCTGCTTTGATTCATGTTGACTCTTGAGTTTCCCAGAGGAATAATTAATTATTGTCTTGTAAATAAACCCTTAGTAATTAATGGCGGCAGAAAGCAATATAGTACGTTTTTTAAAAAAGTATTCAAGGAGAGGACCTTGACCAAGTGAATAATCTTTGCGGTATTTTTCAGGGCAGACCCATCATATAGTTAGAATAAATGGTTGGGAGTTATAACAGAAAGCTGACAAGTAAAATGCATCCTTCCTACTTTACATACCAGCAAAGAAAACACTTTATGTTATGTCACTTTTGAAAATGTTTGTTATTCACTAGACATCATTTTAATTTGATCTTGGACATAATTAAAATACATTTTAAAAACCCAGTTTAAATCATTAAACAATTTATTTTGAGAGTCTTGAGATAGCACACTCACAATGCACAAAACAAAAAGACCGAAATTAAAATATCATTCCATTATTCAGGTGTACTCTAAAAGCTGGCACCTGGTATCATCAGCTCTTAAATGGCATTCTAATCTCCTCCCAAGAATGGTAGATGTCAACCAGGTTACCACTCTCAATAAGCATAGCTCAGTATTTTGTACATCAGTGATGGTCTTTTCTTTCATATGTGTATTTTGATTCTATAAAATATTACCCTTGGTTTTTTGTTGTTGTTGTTCTTAAAAACATAACATTATCATATGGGAGTTCATTTTTAAAAGAATCCTTAATGCTTCCAATGTCATAGGACATTAGACATATAAATCCAAATACTGGAAAATTCCAAGCCATGGTCAACAATATACAGTTGTCATAGTGGGACATTTAAGGAAGTTTTAGAGCTCTGGCTAGATTACTGATTGGCACGTGTACTCACAAGAATCTAAAAGAAGCACAACATGGAACCTGCGGTCAAAATTTTTATTTTAAGGTTGCATGCAATGTGGTCGTATTTTTCTTGTCATGTCCTCCCTTGCAACAACCACTGACTTTATGGCTGAGATCTTGGCCTCTAGTTCATTGCATCTCATAAATCTTCTGTGACTAGGAGAGCCTACTTTTAAGTGAGAGTGATAAAGCATGATTATATTGAATTCCGTGTATTAGATAACAAATAAATAAATAACATGAAATGATAAATTATAGCTCTTTAGTCTCATACATGGAAATATTTTATTTTCTTAATAAGTTGTCAAATTGTATTCAATAGTAATAATATTAGCAAATTTAATTTTGTGAAGCAAATTAATAAAAAAATTAAATAAAACTAGAAGTCAAAATCATAGCTCTTATGTTTTTAGATAAAGCCTTGATTATGTCCAGAAAAATCAAGGTAATAGAAAAATAAATTTCTGAAGCAGAAACACCAAGCATTTCATCATTTATTATGTCTGGTATATTTTTCTAAATGACATGGAAATGTCTGCAATAACAATTATTTTTAAATGGCATTCCAATACATGATAAAATTATGAACAATCTACTTGAAGTCCCAGTTTTGCAGTTAATATTTGCCCAAACCTTATCAACTTTAAAAATGGATACTATATAAGCTGATAGTAATGAGAAAACCACTGAAGAGAGAATGATGAGAAAACATTTCTTGTAAATATGTACTGTGAAAGTTATAGTTTAATAAGAGTATTAATAACTAAGAGTATTACAAATTAACATGGATTTAGTTAAGAATTTTGATATTTTTTCCATGTCACATCAGATTTTTAAGACATACATATATATAAAATTAGGGGAAATAATAATTCAAAAGAGGAAGAGTTTTCTGGTAAGTTTTATTTTATATAGTGTGGGGAAAACCCACTAAAAAGTCAAGAAACATTTTTTGCCCCCAAACATTAAATAATTTATATGAAATGCCTAATGTGTCTGAAACAAAGTAGGTCTACATAATGGAAAATGTATAGCAAAAGGAGTAAGAGGGATGCTTCTGTGTAGAACTTAGTGGCATAAGAAATACAACTTTGAAACTCTAGGCTGTGCACAGTCAAAGCAGACAGCAGGCACAATGACATGTTAAATTACCCACATGATGTATAGCTTAATGAACCCCCTTGTGTTGATCACGCTTGGCATTAATCAAGAGCCATGAACAGATTCTCTTATTTTCTCAATGCTGCTCTGATAAACTGCAATTTCATTTAACCTTGGACAGCAACTTTAATAGCTTCCACGGGACAACTGTCGATACCTTCCTGGGTATACAGTGATTAAACCGCAACCCAAGATGCATGTCATGAATTTTCTTCATTTGAAATTAGAATTTTTATTCTTAACAACTATTTGCATAAAATATGCTGAAGACACTGAGATGTCTGCGTTTAAAAATTTGCATTTATCTAAAGTCTAAATTTTCCATGCCATATTATAAAATATAATTAATATTATATTCATGAGCATTTTCCTGGTGTGTTTGTTTTACTTCTTTCAAACAATCTGCCCTGGACAGAAGCAACAGAATGAAGAAATTCAGAGTCAAAGTTAACTTTGAAGCAAATTCCCTCAACTGTTCTACTGTGACCGAGACATATCTTCCAGGTAGTTGGAGACAAACGGGCAGATCTTCCTATCAAATTCAATTGGGAAGTGAATGATGCCTTCCCTTCCTTTAAACTGCACATGTAATGGCCACACCATATGAATAAATCTGACTAAAGATGGATTGTCAAATAAAACAAAGATCTCCAGTTTCAATTTCCCTCCTTGATCTCAAATTTATATTTGTTTGCTAAACTTATCTAATGGCGGCCGGGCGCGGTGGCTCACGTCTGTAATCCCAGCACTTTTGGGAGGCCGAGACGGGCGGATCACGAGGTCAGGAGATCGAGATCATCCTGGCTAACGCGGTGAAACCCCGTCTCTACTAAAAATACAAAAAATTAGCCGGGCGTGGTGGTGGGCGCCTGTAGTCCCAGCTACTCAGGAGGCTGAGGCAGGAGAATGGCGTGAACCAGGGAGGCGGAGCTTGCAGTGAGCCGAGATAGCGCCACTGCACTCCAGCCTGGGCGACAGAGCGAGACTACATCTAAAAAAAAAAAGGGAAAAGATTAACATCCACCATAGGATAAACGATGCCAGAATTTGATTCCCTCTATAAGGAAAGAGAAAATTAATGAGTTGAAAGATACATAGGATGAACAGGGTGGGGGCAGAGGGCAAAAGAGAGTAAGAAAGAAATAGGTATGGTCACAGAATATACATATTTCTCTATTTTATGAGAAAATACTTATATCGGTCAGCGCATTGTGGCCAGTATTTTCACAATTTAAAAACTGACACCTGTGTCTATAAATTGCATTTCAGGTATTCAACATGAGCAGTTTTTTATGAAGTATTCCACATTAGATATAATCTTATGAATCATTTTGTTTTCAATTATTTTTTTCTTTTTAATATTGGTATAAAAATTTGGTTATTTAGGGGCCACTAAGGCTTAATGGAAAAGGCACTGAATTGGAAGTTAGGGTACTTGGTTCTGAGCCCAGCTCACCTCTGACTAGCTGTGTGACACTAGACAAGTCATTTAATCTCCATCCATAGATAGAGTCGTTTAACCTGTTTGGGACTGCCTATCTATAAAATGAGAGGATTTGATTTCATTATCTTTGAGCTTTTTCTGGAATTCTTATTCTATGATCTATGACTAACTCCTGTGAAAGTCCTTGGGTTTTGGTTTGGAGTTGCATTTTTTTTTTTTTTTTTTTTTTTTGAGACGGAGTCTCACTCTGTCGCCCAGGCTGGAGTGCAGTGGCCCGATCTCGGTTCACTGCAACCTCCGTCTCCCGGGTTCACGCCATTCTCCTGCCTCAGCCTCCCTAGTAGCTGGGACTACAGGTGCCCGCCACTGCGCCCGGCTAATTTTTTGTACTTTTCGTAGAGACGGGGTTTCACCGTGTTAGCCAGGATGGTCTCGATCTCCTGACCTCGTGATCTGCCTGCCTCGGCCTCCCAAAGTGCTGGGATTACAGGCGTGAGCCACCGCGCCTGTCTGGAGTTGCATTTCTTTATCATGAAGGAGATGAATGGTCTATAATAGAGTTCTAACTTCCCACTGGGGATATGTGTGACTTCCACTGTTCAGCATTTGATTTCACGCATAGGCTCAGACCCTAGATCATTTGTGCCTCTGTTTAAGGCTGTGGCTGGTTGGTTATCAATATTTTAGAAGACATCAAAAAACTGAATTTAACATCGATTGCCTCTAAAGCTCAGCTGCTGTCCTGAAGGGAAATTATTTTTGTCCTTCTCTGTGCAAAAGAAAGGAAGCCTAGACCAGGATCAATGGCATCTTCATAGTTCTTCCGGTTACTTTTTATTCTGTGCTCAAATTCTTATACCGCTAAATAGAAATCGTAGCAGTAGTGGAAGTTTTTATTAGGGAGACAAAGTTATTCTGCTGTGGCTCATGTGCCAGTCAGATTCTAATAAGAAATCTCTTAAGAGCAGAAATTCCTGAGTCCAATGTTGTGAAATAGGGCCTATGCAAATTGGCAGGGGAAGGGTTGTATACTTGGAAGCCAAGCAGAACTGCACATAAGCCAAATCCTGGCTTTTCAAAGCACAGGCAAATAGCTTGTCATTGACCAGCCAGGTTCACGAGTTAGCCTGGTCAAGGACTCCAACACTCCTGGCCTTCATCCATATCCTTGAATATGCCAAGCTTTTCCTGCACTGGAGTCATTGCGCATGCTATTCTCTCTGCCTGAATTGCTCTTTTCCTCCTTCTTGGGCGAATTAATTCCTTCTCAATTTTCAGATCTCAGCTTCAATGTTATGTCCCCAAAGAGGTCGCCTCCTGATAGTCACACTCCCACACACCCAACCACCAATCAAATCTAAATTATTTACAAGATAAATAAGATGTATTTTAAAGAAACAAATCAGTGAAGTGTCTCGCTGTAATCCATATAATGAATTTGAACAGGGCACTAAAGACTAGTATCCATAAAATAAGGGTATTCATTTACAAAGGCATAATATTAAATCAACTCAACAAATATGTACTGAGTTTGTAGTCAACAGTCAGTGGAAGGCGTAAATTGGTTCTGCTTTTTGGTTAAATGTATTATTATAAGTAGAATATTGATATATTTTGGGGAACAGGATTGCATTTTGAGTGCAACATAAAACAAAACAAAAAAACTCCTCAAATATGGGTATTCAAGACGATATATCAATTTTAGTCACTTAGACTAGAGGTGTCTGTTTGACTTCAATATTTAAAATACTTAATCAAAGTTGCAACACATTTTATTTGAATCATAATTTTATTTTTTAGTTGAGGCCTATCAAGCAGCACTTAGAATACATCATTCTAAAATGTGGATACTGGCTGAGCACAGTGGCTCACACCTGTAATCCTAGCTCTTTGGGACGCCAAGGGGGGAGGATCTCTTGAGCTCAGGAGTTTGAAACCAGCCTGGGCAGCAGAGCGAGACCCTGTCTCTACAAAAAATTAAGAAATCAGCAGTGGCGTGCACCTGTAGTTTCAGCCACTTGGGAGGCTGAAGCAGAGGATTGCTTGAGCTCAGGAGGTCGAGGCTTCAGTGAGCCATTTTCATGCCACTGCACTACAGCCTGGGTGACGGAGTGAGACTTTATCACAAATAAATAAATAAAAATAAAATGTGGATACTCTCACAAATACTAAGTTGTTAAAATATTAATTATGTTGGCCGGGCACGGTGGCTCATGCCTGTAATCCCAGCACTTTGGGAGGCCGAGGGAGGCGGATCACGAAGTCAGGAGATGGAGACCATCCTGGCTAACACGGTGAAACCCGTCTCTACTAAAAAAAATACAAAAAAATTAGCCAGGCGTGGTGGCGGGTGCCTGTAGTCCCAGCTACTCGGGAGGCTGAGGCAGGAGAATGGCGTGAACCCGGGAGGCGGAGGTTGCCGTGAGCCGAGTTCGCGCCACTGCACTCCAGCCTGGGCGACAGAGCGAGACTTCGTCTCAAAAAAAAAAAAAAAAAAAAAAAGAGAAACAGAGAAAAATTTCTTTAAATCCGAAAGTAACAGTAAAACACATACTTAAATAATTTAGCATTTAAATTCTATTGCTGGAGGAAATTATAATCTATAAAACAATAACAGAAACAATTTTCTACCTTCTCTGTATAATACAAATTGATATTTACTGGGCATTTTCAATGTGTTAGGCACTGTACTGTAGGTACATTATAGCCAATGTTTGATTCTATCTACATAAAAACGATGATATAGATATTATATGATGCAAATGCATATCTTTTTTTTTTTTTACAGATAAGGCTGATTAAGTATGCTTCCTAAAATCATACTGTTAATAAGTTGCAGAATCAAATTTTCAGCAGAGCCTGTTTCCAAAACAACGGCTCTTAATCATAAGCAGTACTGCCTATTACCTTCCTTCCATCATTGAGAAAGAGGGCTAGAAAAAAGAAAATCCAACAGAATTCCGATGGCTACCTAAATTATCATATATTATGATTTAATGAAGGACAAATCATGCCAATTTGCCACATAACTAAAATCAACAAGGCAAGTTTTCAAAGGAAAACACCAGATCCCAAGAGTCAACACATGGAATTTCTAGCCAATTGCAAGTTATGCCTGTAGTCCCACTGCTCAGGAGGCTGAAGCAGGAGGATCACTTGAGCCCATGAGGTTGAGGCCACAGTGAACCATGATCATACCTGTGAATAGCCATTATACTCAACTCACTGCACTCCAGCCTGGGCCACAAAGTGAGATCCTGTCTTAAAAATTAAAAGTTAAAAAACATAAATTCTGTTCTCCCTTATTCCCTTATGCCTACTGACTTATTAATTCATCTTAAAGAGATTGGTTCTCAGATTGTACAAATGTTTTTCCATTCATTCAATAAGAATAGTGATAAGTATCTTTCAACTAGCTTACAGGAAAGTTCTGAAAATTAATAATGTCTGAAAAGGCTTTCATTTCTCTGAAGAAAGGGATTATATAATACTGTATATTTTTATCCCAAGCAACCAAAGTGAGTAGCAACAAAAACTCATTTTAAAGGTTTAGAATTGTCACTGCTTTATAGTATGCTAAATTAAGAATGGAAAATTAAAGGATGAAATTCATAACCCATCAGTAAGAATTTCTCGATGGTACATTAGCAAACTTAAATACCAACCACACCCATAAAGAATCTGAAAGAATGTTGGCTTGAAAGGCTATCTGACGGTCCAATTAAATGTCATGAAGATATAGATTTTTTCCACTTTGATATTTACCCATGACCTATATTTATATTGTGAGATGTCTTAACTTTTATTTTGTCCTTTCTTATTATTGATTCTGTTGAGATTTTAGCATTACCTTAACTTTGTTAATATATTAAATAAATAAAAAACATTTTTATAAAACAATACTTACATTTACATTCTTGCATGGTTAATTTCAGAATTCATTTATTCTTCATGCTTTATTATAAAAAGTAATAATTTTAGCATACTTTTCCTTTTCTGATCTTAAACCTTCTCATTTAAAAATCTCTATTAGGTTTTAAGCTCTAAAAATAAAATCTAAAACAAGTCTTGTGTTTCTTATTTATGGGCATTATCTTACTTTTCCCTTTTATATCTATGACATTATTGAAATGAATCAAAACAGCTTCTGTTATTTTCAGCAGAGGTGAAAAGAAACAAGATTCCCCCAATTTTGTTTTTTAAAAATTTATTAATAAATAAATGAAAGAAAAGTAAAGGAAACCTACTACCAGTCAAATTGCATACATCACTCACTTTCGAAGTCGCAATAATTTGGCCTGGTCACTAGAGATCCACTTAGTGTCCTGGAAGAAGTAATTAAATAAATGGGCCCTTGTGGCCCAAAGAAGCTAATAGAGCTGCCTTTTCAATAATAAAACATACCATTTCATCCTGACAACGTAGTTAATTTCTAATCTGCAAAATAGGAGCTGCCAGAGTTGGCTGTGTTGTTCCTTTCAGACATGTTGTTGATGACTCAGAATTACAGTTTTTAATCCAACTTACCTGTATTCAATTTTAAACTCTTCGCTGAGTTTAGATGAAATAGAAAATGTGAAGACACAAGAGATCGGTATTTCTAAGCTTCCAACTCCATTCCTTTAATGCCACCACATAATAATTTTCTGCTTTTATGCTCTACATATTTAATTTACTCTGTTTTAAGGAGTAACAGCCATGCCTGGGTCTGGTCCTGGCTAGTGCAATGTTGTCAAGTAATTTAAGCTTTGGGGCTTCAGAAGGAGGGGATGGTTATTTGGTTGCTTTCGAATCTAAAATTATCATAAGAGTCATATTAAATCCTGACAATTGTTTCTGGCATGACATTCCATACCCTTTTACATGGTTAGTTTCTTCTCATTCTTCAGGTATACATTATTCTCTCTAGGAGAGGACTTCCTTGACCACCCAATTTACAATATCATATACACAAATACCCATCCCTCAGCCCTCCTTTGCCGCATATAGAAAACATGCATTCATACACAGACACACACAGGCATGCATGCACACACTTAATTTTTAAGGCCAATCACTCTGGGCACTTTTCCTTCATGGCACTTATCAAAATATATAGTTGTTTTCTTTACCTGTTCACTCATTTTTTTTCTCTCTTCTACAAAAAATATAAGCTCCCTGAAGGCAAAGAATCCACCTATCTTCTCCACAGATATATTGCTGGAGTCTGACACTGCCTGGCTCATGAAAGACCCTCAATTCTTTATTAAATGAATGAGACAAACATGAAATCACATAGCACATATTCTAAAAGCAAAGTTCAAATCTCTTAATCTATGAGGAATCCATGTCAGCAGTATGCATGTGTGGATGTGTGTGTATAGATAAAACATTGTAATGAGCATTTATTGAACACTTTCGATGTGTCAGGCACTAAATAAATGTTCTGGATAAATTAATGAATTAATAAATGAATCTCAGAATTTCAGTATATCACCGTAATCAGGCAAACCAGACAGAATTCTGAAGACTAAGCTGTAATGAAATGTTGCCTTAATTTAGGCTTAAGTTTCTTAACACGAAGTCATCAATTATTGCCTTTGTTTCCTTTCATGTACATTATGGTATAAATATGAACAAAAATTTACAAGATCTCTAGTTAGATATCTTACATTGACTTTAGTGTATATGGGCCATTGTCTTTGGTTACATATTTTTAGAGCTAAAACTTCATAGTCATAATATTTTAAAGTTATCAATAAAATTTTTTTTAATTTTTTTAATTAAAAATATAAATGAACAAACCAAAAATGTCACGAGGCCACAAAAAGTCTCAAAAATTAATCTATGAGGAACAAATATTCTATTAATAGTTTATTCTATTAATAGAATAGACAATTATTCTATTAATAGTTTATTCTATTAATAATATTAATAGTTCCTAGGATAGAACAATAGAATAATTGTTCTATCCTAGGACAATATCCTATGACAATAAAGGAACAAAGATGGTAACTTATTACCCTCTTGCTGCTTGATGAAAAATTCAGAGTATTCTTTGCAATAGCTTTGTTCTTCAATGGGGTTATTCTTCTCTTTTGCTTTTCCAGATTAATTACCTGTAATAATATTTCACCTTTCTGGTTGTCTACAGATGTATTAATTCCCTAATTCTATTAAAACTATTAATATAATAGTTTATTCTATTAATAGAATAATTAATAGAATTATTATTATTTATTTATTAATAAATAGAATTGTTTATTCTATTAATAGAATAAACAATTATTCTATTGTTCTATCCTAGGGACAATTATTCTTTTAATTGATTCTAATTAATCTATGAGGAAAAATTAATCTATGAGAAACAATTCTTATAAAACTATCTTATAAAACATCTTTTATAAGATGTTTTTTATAATTGTTTTTTATAATATATAAATGTTTTTTATAATTGTAATATATAAGATGTTTTTATAATTGTTTTATATCTTATAAAACAATTCTTATAAAACTATCAATATTATACAACTTTATATTCTGAGTTGTTCTCATTTAAATGCAAACAAAAAGGAAAAAATATGACATAATGACATAATGAATAAAGCAGAGGGCACTAGTTAATTCACTGACTTTTCAGACCATCACTAAATTGATAAATAGCTGAATACACAGATTCACTGGTTACTTTATGTGTTCTTTTAAAAAAATCATCAAAATATTTTCATTGCCTTATACATCAGCACCATTTTGTAAAGAGAAGACACCTGGTTCTCATACTTTTCACAGCATCCTTCACAGAAACAAATCTCTTTCTATCCTATTTTTGTTTCCAATAAGAATTCAGCTGTCTTTCATTAGAGATGTTTAACTGACTGGCTGTATATATGTAGAGTTTTACATGCTTAACAGAAGATTTTAATACAGTTTTAGCTCCTACTTGAGATAAATCAAACTCAAAGTGACAAATAAGCAACTGTGCCTGCAAGAAGTGGGGGGGTTGTCTGATTTAAAACTCTGAGAGGTTTAGAAAGCTTTCAATCTCAAGTTGCACAAAATACACATTTTATTCAGCAAGACATGATAAATGCTTTATTGCAGGTTGTTCTTTTTTAAATTCACTAGATGCAACTGAGAATAATCTGAAGCTATAGTATATTAATAAAATTAGCCAGAAATGGAGAGGGAAAACTAGTAATATAAGTAGTATAATTTATCAATTGCTTTAGAAATTTTACATAAACATTTTCTAATCTTAAAGGTCTTATCCAGTTTCCTTGTTTTCATTTTTCTCTTCTATTACACTTGCTACCAAGCTGGGGTTTTTTTGTACAGTCCAAACATTTTCCTGATTATTACGGTGCATGATTGTGTATAAATGCAAAGCAGCTGGAGATTATGCAGGGGAAAATGGTTGATGCACACATTTCACTTCATAGACCTAACTTATTACCATCTTGCTGCTTGATGAAAAATTCAGAGTATTCTTTGCAATAGCTCTGTTCTTCAATGCGGTTATTCTTTTCTTTTGCTTTTCCAGATTAATTACCTGTAATAATATTTTGCCTTTCTGGTTGTCTACAGATGTATTACTTCCCTAAAATAACCTCTTATATGCTTTTAAAAATAATCACTGGTAAGAATTTCTGCTTGATCAAATTTTTAAGAATCAACATTTGGCAGCTAACACAGTGATCACTGATTTAGGCTAAAATCATCAATAAATGCCATAATCTCTGGGTAAAAGTTGGGAACACGATCCAAGTACCTCCTCTTGGTTTACATATTAACTACCAAAAGGAATAATATCTTTAAAGTAGAGACAATAGTAAACACTTCCTTAAGGAAACGATAAAGTTAGCATCACCAGTAATAGGATAAACTGGCATCGCATGGCACTTGATAGGATACTCGGAAAAGAACACACTACTACATATATAGTACTCTAACAAAAATGCACACCCTGATTCTAATCATGAAGAAACCACCAAACACAAATGATCAAACACAAAATAATTGGCTTGTTCTTTTCAAAATGTCATGAACAACAAAAGGATTGATGAGCTGATCCAGACTTAAGACTAAAGAGGCTAAGCACCATATGGAATACTGAAGTAACTCCTGAATTGGGAAAAAAAAAAAAAAAAAAAAAAAAAAAGGTTTTTCGTTTGTTTTTCTCTAAAGGGCATTATTGGGACAATTGAAAAAAATATGAACTATATATTGTGTAATTTGTGTTGTACTAATAATGTTAAATTTCCTCAATTTGATCATAAGACTATTGCTCCAGGCAAGACTATAAGGACACATATGTTATATGTATTTAGGGGCAATTTATTCTCAAGTAATTCATAAATTAGTTAGATGGATGATGTGTACATATTCATGGAGAGATAAAGCAAATGTGAGAAAATCTTAACAATTGGGGAACGTGATGAAGTGTACACAGGTGTTCATTACCCTACACTATAAAGTCTTCTATTACTTTTTTGTAGATTTGAAATTTTTCAAAATAAAAAGTAAAAAAATAAGACAAATTTCTGCAAGTCATGTAACAGGGAAAAATATTCTTAAAGAAAAGGAGAAAAATCAAGGTTAAAAAATTAAGCATTCTATAATTTAGTGAATTTATTAATCTTCCGGCTACATTAAAATATATTGTCAACGCTAAATATTTTTAATATATTTACTTTTTCTGTAAGGGTTCAAGAACTTTCCATTTGTTCAGCCTGGAGTGTAAATTAAGATACCATCTTAACCGCCAAAGCTCCTAATTTACTTTTGCCAATTATGAATTATACTTGATGATCACAAACTTGAACATCTGAGGCACTTTTCAAACATGTTTTCTCAAATCCTGTTTCTTTCATGGAGGAAGATATCTTTTCCAAAATAGTGAATTTCAATATAAAAATAAAGTTTGGTTAACATTTTATGTCTTTACAGAATCTTTTTTCACCTCCATCCACCCATTTGTCATTCTTAATTCTGTGTTCATGTGTGTGTGTGTGTGTGTGTGTGTGTGTGTGTGTTCCAGAGAGCTTTAACATGATTACTTTCTATCCATTTGGAGAAAATATTGACATACCCCTAGGTTTGGTTCATTCTTTCATTTTTACTCTTCACTTTAACCTAAGAATCCAAAGAAAATCACCTGTAACCACTCTTTTCCTCAAGTCTAACTACTGTCATTTCTTTGCTAACTTTCCTGTGAATCCTTATAAATTGCCTTAATTATGAGAAGTAAATATTTTGTTCTAGAAAAATTTCACTTTTTTTCTTTTACTTTGGAATCAATAAAGAATGGATGAGAAATATACAAAAGCAATCATACTATACTCTCTCTTCCCAAGAGCCAATTATTATACTAAAATGTTTTACTTAGTAAAGGAAGAAACTTCAACTTGAGCTGGCTTCATTATAAAGATGGAAGCTGCCCTAAACCGTAGTGTTTATTCAACTGGGAAAGTGGGCAAATTACTAATAACCCCAAAATACGTATACTTTTTTGTTCAGAGATAGGGCTTCACTCTGTCACCAAGGCTGGAGTGCAGTGGCATGATCATAGCTCACTGTAGCCTTGAACTCCTGGGCTCAAGCCATTCTCCTGCCTCAGCCTCCTGAGTATCTAGGACTACAGTTGTATGCCACCATGCCCAGATAACTTTTTATTATTATTTTTCTAGACATGGGGTCTCATTATGGTGCCCAGGCTGGTCTTCAACTCCTGGCCTCAAGTGATTCTCTTGCCTCAACCTCCCAAAGTGCTGGGATTACAGGTATGACTAGCTGCCTACATTTTTCTATTAAACTCCAACTTCAAGCCAGCAATGCTTTCACTAATCCTTAGCAGCACTACAATGTAAAAAGCTTTCACGTTATACTAAGCAGGTCATGTTTCCTAGATGTAAAAAGCAAAAAATTGTATTTACTTATCTTAGTTAATACTATTTTTTCTATTTTTAAAAGAGATAATAGCTACTAGCATAGTGTGTGTCACGATTGATATCCCATAAATGTTAGATAGTATCCATTGTTGTTATTTTTCACTGTGTTTGCCTAATCTCAGAAGTATTTTTCTTTCTATCCTCTTGCATTTTTGATAGCTCAGCCTCCAAAAATCACACGCACGAATGTATGTAGTACTGATATTTGGTAAATTCTCTTTACCAAATTTTAAGTCATTACTTGAATTTGTGATGTTTGCGTCAGCTAGCTGCATAATCAATCACTCTAAATTTGCCATTTGAGCAAACTTCATGTTTTTTTTTGTTTTTTGTTTGTTTGTTTTTTCTGCAAGCTGGCAGCCCTTTTACTGATGCAATTCCTCTGGAAGTTTGATAGGCTTTCTGTGTGTCAGATTATAGTCTACTCTATTTAACGTAAGCCCAGTAGATCGTCGCAATAATGGTGCCAACTTTGTTCACACTTCTCTGAACCCATCACTTCCTTCAATGTAAGCCTGGGGGTAATTCCCTCCCACACTCACGCTGGTCTAGACTTAGCCATGTAACTTGCTTTGGCCAATGTGACAATAGTAAATGTAACACAAGTAGAGAATTGAGAAGTATTTGTGCTTTGGAGCTTCTCTTCTCTGACTGATCTTGGAATCCGGGCGACTCCTACTGTGGGAGCAAGCCCTGACTAGCTGGCTTGATAACAGAAGACATACCGCCTGGTATCCGTGTTATCCTTCTCAACAGCCAGTCAACACCTGAGGCCAAGCCTCTTAACTAAGTGTTAAAGACTACAGATTCTAGAGCGAGCCCACCCAAGACCAGCAAATGTTCCTCAATTAGCCCAGCCCAAATTTTCCAACCCACATACACAAATGATTGTTTTAAGCCACTAAATTTGGGGAATGCCTTGTTTGCAACAATAGATAATTGAGAAAGACATTGGTACCTAGAAGTGGGGCGTTTCTGCAACAGAAACCAAAAACGTGGCATCTTGGCTTTGGAATGATGTGATGTGGCTGGTAGAAGCTGGAAAAGCAGCAAAGTGACTATGAAGCCTTGAAAAATGGTAAGCACACTGTTAACAGAGGCTGCAAAAGTAGCAAAGAAATGACTATGGCAGTCTAGAAAAATAGTTATTTGAAATTAGTAGTTGTGGAACAATTGATAAAATGTTACCTGCAGCAACTAATGAACTTCTGGATTTGATTAATGGAGACAGCCTCACAGAAAGTTAAACTTGTTAATTGGCTTCTTTTAGCTGCCTATGATAAAGTACTAGAAAGGAGAGATGAGCTTTAAAAAATTCTGTTTATAAGCAGAACTTAGGAGATATATAGAGGGGCTGGAACATGCTGCGAAGAAAATAAATTTTTCCTTATCTCCAATCTTCCCTGTCAGTAAAAAATTGTCAAGGTAAGAAATGGCCTCAGGGTAAAGATCAAATCAAAGTGTGACTGTAAGTCCCTTTGTTAAAAACTCTGAAAAATTTAAGATTACACATAGTAGACACTCAGACAAAAATGGCTTTTAAGATTTTTAAAGATTGTTTTCCCCAGCAGGCTGACACACCAAAGTAAAAAGTCTCTCTCGGCCGGGCTTGGTGGCGCATGCCTGTAATCCCAGCACTTTGGGAGGCCCAGGCAGGTGGATCACCTGAGGTCGCGAGTTCAAGACCAGCCTGACCAACATGGAGAAACCCCGTCTCCACTAAAAATACAAAATTAGCTGGGCGTGGTGGCGCATGCCTATAGTCCCAGCTACTCGGGAGGCTGAGGCAGGAGAATTGCTTGAACCCAGGAGGCGGAGGTTGTGGTAAGCCGAGATTGCACCATTGCACTCCAACCTGGGCAACAAGAGCGAAACTCCATCTCAAAAAAATAAATAAATAAATAAAAAGTCTCTCTCAATAAAAATTATGGATGTGGCTTCTGGGGTATGGAGTGAACCTGAATCTGCCTTGTAGGAAGTTCTAAAAACCCTGAAGTCAATTGTGCCAACAAAAGCACCACTATCTTGGACTGAAATATTCACATCACCTTGAAACAAAAAGAGGCTTCTGGGCTCCCAACATTATACAGGAATGAAGGTTGAGGAAGGTATTCAGCTGCATACAGAGGCCATTTCTTATTAAAAAGGAATGACGTTTCAGAGGACACAGGCAAGAACTGTGATGCACAATGGACTACAGTACTACTTCCAGAGAGCAGTAGAAAATAAGACTCTGGAGAAACAGCTGCCAGAAGTGGAATCTTAGCCCAATCAAGGAAAATTTTCTCACCTTGAAGTACAAGGATCTGAAAATCTATGCCCGGCTGGGTTTCGGAATTTCTTTTCTTTTTTTTTTTTTTTTTTTTTTTTTTTTGAGACAGAGCCTCGCTCTGTCTCCCAGGCTGGAGTGCAGTGGCGCCATCTCGGCTCACTGCAACCTCCGCCTCCCAGGTTCACTCCATTTTCCTGCCTCAGCCTCCCGAGTAGCTGGGAATACAGGCGCCCGCCACCACGCCCAGCAAATTTTTTGTATTTTAGTAGAGATGGGGTTTCACCATTAGCCAGGATGGTCTCGATCTCCTGACCTCGTGATCCACCCACCTCGGCCTCCCAAAGTGCTGGGATTACAGGCGTAAGCCACCGCACCCGGCCCGGGTTTCGGAATTTCTATGAACCAGTGATTGCTACGTGTTTCCAATTTTCCCTCCTTCCAATAGCAGTGTCTACTGCAGTTATCATGTGTTTGTCTTCTCACTGCATAATTTATCTTTTTAATGCAGCTGGAACAAGAGGATCTGCATCCAAAAAGTCACTCCTAAACATAATTATCAAACAAGAGATCCTGGACATTGAGTATGATGCTGTGATTGGATGAGATTTAGGGGGTCTTGGGAGGAAACATATTATGAATGCAGAAAGGATATAAATCATCAACACTAGAGGCCTTCTGTGATAAGACGTAGCAGTAATAGACCCTAATCATTCATGCCTGCCTGTATCCACACGCTTAGTTCTTCCCCACACTCTGGACGAGACCAGATGACTTGCTTGAAACAATGAGACAATTGCAAAGTGACACCAGCAGAACCTCAAAAAGTGCTCGCATATGGGAGCTTGCCTGTTTTGGCTAATCCTAGAACCAGCATGTGAACGAGCACAGGTTAGCCTGCTGAATGATGAGAGACACATGGCCGTCAACTTTGTTGCCCTAGCCAACCACCTCCCAGAAACAGAGCCAACTAGCTGACCAATAGTTGACCACAGTTGTATGACTGAACCTAGTCAAAAACCACCCAGTTGAGCCCACCCAAATTGCCAGCCAACAAATGGCAAGCTAAACAAGTAAACGGCTGTCATGTTAAGCCACTAAACTTGTGGTGCGTGGTAACATAACAAAGGACAATGTTCTCATTCCTGATTGGCAAACCACAGCACTCAGACCAAATCCAGTCTACCGCCTTGTTTTTGTACAGCCTCCAAGCTATAAACGGTTTCTGTATTTGTAAACAGTTGAGGAAAAAATCAAAAGAAGAATAATATTTTGTGATATTTAAAATGTATATGAAATTCAGATTTCAGTGTTCATACATAAATGTTATTTGAACATAGCCACACCCATTGGTTTATATCTATGGCTGCTTTTGCACTTCAGCAGCAAAGATGGATAGTTGCAAAAGGAGTATCTTGCCTGCAAAACCTGATATATTTACTATCTGGTCCTTTACAGAAAGAGTTTGATGATCTCCCTTCTAGCTAT
Organism: Homo sapiens; assembly: GCF_000001405.40. Classification (NCBI taxonomy): domain Eukaryota; kingdom Metazoa; phylum Chordata; class Mammalia; order Primates; family Hominidae; genus Homo; species Homo sapiens. Next base: position 20,846,541 of record NC_000007.14, on the reverse strand, counting down.
GGTTCAGTTGTTTACATGTGGTCAAAAACAGCACAGCCAAAGTTTGGCAGGAAGAGGGAAAGAGGGTGTGCCATGTCTTGGCAGCCCAGGCACAATGTTCAGGCCACCATCCACACCCCCCCTGAAACTGCCCATATACTAACTCTGAAATTTTATCAGAAGAGCAAAGGTGTACAACCAATGACCAAGGACTCTCCAGCTGTGACCAAAAAGGTATGGAGAAGGAAGCAAGGCACAAATGACCTAAGAGTCTGTGTAAGGATTTTGTGTTCGGGCTGTCACTAGCTCTTTCCCCCTCCTTAAAATATTGTAGCTGTAGCAACACAAGTATTAACAGAACTCCAGCTTTAGCAATTCAACACAGCTACTTACTGCAGGGAGAAAGTCTAAGTTCCATCAAAACAAGCAAACAACTAAGGTTTCTAATCCCATTGAAAGTATTCCACAAGCATAGGCACAGTCAAAGAGAAGATAGCCGACTAGAAACAAATGACTGACAACTTTTAAGGCCTTCATTTCGTTTGTTGTTGTTGTTCGAGACAGAGTTTCGCTCTTATTGTCCAGGCTGCAGTACAATGGTGCGATCTCGGCTCACTGCAACCTTCGGCTCACTGCAACCTCCACCTCCCAGGTTCAAGTGATTCTCCTGCCTCAGCCTCCCGAGTAGCTGGGACTACAGGCACACGCCACCATGCCTGGCTAATTTTTGTATTTTTAGTAGAGACAGGGTTTCACCATGTTGACCAAGATGGTCTTGATCTCTTGACCTCGTGATCCACCCGCCTCGGCCTCCCAAAGTGCTGGGATTACAGGTGTGAGCCACCGCGCTCGGCCTTGTTATTTTCATAGTATTATCTTTGCTTATGCATTTTCCCACGTGTTCTCCCTTTTCTCTAACTCTCCCTTTTGATTGACGTTAGAAAACAAAACTGATAGAAACTCATTAAACTAGAGTTTGACTAGCTTTGAAGAAGAAAGGGAGCAGGATATTTACCACCAGGTGTTCTATGTCCCATTGTATTCACCCTGTTCTCTAACAATTCACTGTTATAGATATAGAAATAAGAGCCAAAAGAAAGGACAGGTAGACATAAAATGAGAGAAAGAAAAAAGAGGAGGACGATGAGAAAGAAAGGATGAAAACTGAAAGGCAGAATCCTATTCCAACCTATTTACACAGGATCAGAAATAGTACAGAGGAATTTCAGCTACCAAAAGGAGAACAGAAGGTCAGATGCGGTGGCTCACGCCTATAATCTCAGCACTTTGTGAGGCCAAAGCGGGCAGATCCCCTTAGGTCAGACCAGCCTGGCCAACATGGTGAAATCCTGTCTCTACGAAAAACACAAAAAATTAGCCGGGCGTGGTGGCGTGTGCCTGTAGTCCCAGCTACTCGGGAGGCTGAGGCAGGAGAATTGTTTGAACCAGGGAGGTGGAGGTTGCAGTGAGCCGAGATGGCACCACTGCACTCCAGCCTGGGCGACAGAGTGAGACTCCGTCTGAAAAAAAAAAAGGAAGACAGAAATGTCATTCTCTATATTCCCAGTTTCAGAGGATGCCTCAGATCTGAGTACAGAAAGGATGGCAACAAATTAAGACCAAAGTCACCAGGAATTTTAAAGCACGTTGGTCACTTACATACCTGCAGTATCTTCTAAGTTGGTAGAAAACAGCTGCAAAAAGAGAGTGACAAGCTTCTGATGGAAGTTGCCACAACATATGCCTTATTTTATTTTTATTATTTATTTATTTTTATTTTCAGTTTAGTTTTTGAGATGGAGTCTCACTCTGCCGCCCAGGCTGGAGTACAGTGGCATGATCATGGCTCACTGTAGCCTCGATCTCCTGGGCTCAAGCATCTTCCTGCCTCAGCCTCCCATGTAGCTGGGACTACAGGTGCACACCACTGCACCCAGATGTATTTTTTCTTTTTATTTTTGTAGAGACTGAGTCTCACTATGTTGCCTAGGCTGCTATTGAACTCGCGGATTCAGGTGATTCTCCCACCTCAACCTCCCAAAGTGCTGGGATTATAGGCATGAGCCACCGTGCCTGGCTTATTTTAAATTAAAGCTGTTTGCTGACTTCCAATGACAGATCAAGGTGGGATAGTGGAAGCACTCAGCCTGGGCACCCGAGACACATGAGTCGCAAATATTAAAACAACAGAAGTGCGTAAAAATCAGTCTGTTCTTTATTAACAGCATGCATGGAAAGCTCTAAATGATATCCACGGTAAGATATTCCTTTCTACCAAAGCAACTCACCCAACCCAACCACATTCTGCCTCTTAGTACTCCACTGCTTATTTTAACCAAAACTTTAAAAGATTTCTGCTCTTTCAAACCCCTTGATACTTTAAAGCCAGCTTCACACATACATTCAGAACCAAAAACAAATAGAAACACTCCAAAAGCATTGAACAACTGAATTCTACATGAGGCTTTGTTGGCAGGCTAAAAGAGGAGTTACATAACGGACAACGTAACCAATCTTTTTTTTCTTTTAGGTACAATTTCCATTTTCTTTTTCTCCAGAGGATAATTTTTCATCAGTCCTTAAGGACTGAACTCCTTACATGGGCTTTGGCGGGGGTCATGGGGCAGCACCCGCAGGTCTAAACTGGGTGAAGGTGTTCGGTCCTTGCAGGCTTCACAAGATCGATTCCTGACTACCTTGCTGTGAATGGCACAACTCACAGCGCAACGTAACTTCCCATACAGCTTGGGAAGCACTTCGCTGTTGAAGATACTCACTTTAGAAATGTCCCTGACAGCTGTGGCCTCTACTGTGTTTCGAATGACGAACTTTTTAATAGCATTGGGCATGCATTAGGCACAATTTGTGCAGCAAATAAGCTACATATGGTCATGGCACTTTTGGGCACCACCATTGTTCTTTCTTTTCTTTGTCGTCTTGGAAGCGAGGACCTGAGGGAGGGAATCTTTTAAAAAACCCTTTCTCCTCTATCCCTCATCTCCTTTCTCCTTTTTTGAAATCCCTCAGGTTCTCTTCCCTTATCCTGTTACATGAATCTTTTTCCTTTTTTCTCCTCAAACTCTGATCCCCCTCTTACTGTCTCCGTCCCTTTCTTCTTTGAAGAAATGTCCCAAATTTGTACCTTCACCCACTAGGCCCCTCCACAAACAAATGTAATAAAAATGTTCCTGGGATTATATGCCATTCTTAGAGAGTCTTAAAAGGCCAGGGTGGAGGGAGGGCATTTGTAAATAATTAATAAGAATTTAACACATCCAGTTGATAAAATGATAAAAATGTGAGCAACTACATTGTCAGATATGTATTGGGTGAACTATAGCACTCATTTAAATATATTATAGAAAATCACCAAAGGACTAAAGTGTGAATGGAAAGTGTTTTCTAAAGGCCTTTCCTTTTATTTATATTACACCTTCTACTATGAAAATAACATATATTTCATCTATGTTGGCTTAGCATTTGTGGTGTCCAATCTTACAACATCTATAATATCAAGGGAAAATTCCTGATAAATTAAAAGAAGGTTTGCATTTTGAGACTATATAGCCACCTCAAGTGCTTACCACAGAGCATGTTTTTCTATAGTATTCTTCTTTATACAAGTTGCTTATCATGAAATTCTCCAATAGTAAAATGGAATGGGAGGTTTAAATTGCTTCAGCACAATTCAGCAAGGTTTCAATCCACTTACTGAAATGCACTTTTGCCTACAAGCACGTGCCCCTGTTTAATGATGCACTCACCATACACTATACAGGTGAGAAGTGCTTGTACTAAAATGTTCCCTCTCTGCTTTCCCAGAGAGCCAGAATGAGAAAAATAGTGGGTTCCCTTCCTGAAAGCTAAAATGACCGGGAATCTCTGCTGGATGAAGTTTAGTTTCTGCTTGCTAATGTTTCTCACAGCATCAGGCCAAAAAAAAAAAAAAATGAAAAAGTAGAATTTTTTAAAAAGTAATTTTGTCAGGATGGTTTATTTTCAAGATAGAGAGCTAAATGTCAATTCTAGAATATAGAAGAAAAAGATAATGTATTAAGAAATGTGCTATCCTTTGCAGTATACACTAAATAGAATTCTCATAAGGCACCATCTATGTATAATTATGTTATTTTAGAGTAGACTCTAACAATATCAACTGCAAGTGATCTGCCAAAAGATTGATCTAAGCCAGGACCCCATTCTCTCATCCAAGAAAGGCCTGAAACACTATGTTCCTGCTCTATAGCCCTGTCACCAATGAGCAATCAGAATTACATTATTTCCCACACAATGACAAACATGGAAGATACTCCAAAAAGTCCTTGAGCCAGGCACAGTGGTTCACGCCTGTAGTCTCAGCACTTTGAGAGACCAAGGCGGGAGGATGGCTTGAACTTGAGAGTTCAAAACCAGCCTGGGCAACATGGTGAAACTGTCTCTACAAAAAAATTAAAAATCAGCCTGGTGTTGTGGTGGATGCCTATAGTAGTTCCAGCTACTCAGGTGGCTGAGGCAAGAAGATCACTTGAGCTTGGGACGTTGAGGCTGCAGTGAGCTGTGATTGCACCACTCTACTCAGGCCTGGGCAACAGAGTGAGACCCTGTCTCAAAAAAAAAAAAATTCTTGATATTCTAGAATTTTGGTCTCCCAAGTTTTTAGATAATACACTCCATCAGTAAAAAATGTCCAAGTATGAACTGCAAGTAGTTGTAAATTTTTCATTTTAAAATCATAGGCTGGGCACAGTGGCACACGCCTGTAATCCCGACAACTTGGGAGGCCAAGGTAGGTGGATCACCTGAGGTCCGGAGTTCAAGACCAGCCTGACTGACATGGAGAAATCCCGTCTCTACTAAGAATACAAAAATTAGCCAGGCATGGTGGCAAATGCCTGTAATCCCAGCTACTCAGGAGGCTGAGACAGGAGAATCGCTTGAACCCAGGAGGCAGATGTTGCGGTGAGCCAAGATAGTGCCATTGCACTCCAGCCTGGGCAACGAGAATAAAACTCTGTCTCAAAAAATAAATAAATAATAAAATTATATACGTGTGCTGTTATATTAGGTATATCTAAAATAAAAAAGAAAATTTACCAAATAAAATAATAAAGCATACAGTATTTTATTAGGTGATAGTATTTTTAAAAACACAACTCTCGGCCAGGCGCGGTGGCTCACGCCTGTAATCCCAGCACTTTGGGAGGCTGAGGTGGGTGGATTGCCTGAGGTCAGAAGTTTGAGACCAGCCTGGCCAACATGATGAAACCTCATCTCTACTAAAAACACAAAAATTAGCCAGGCGTGGTGACAGGCGCCTGTAATCCCAGCTACTTGGGAGGCTGAGGTAGAAGAATCACTTGAACCAGGGAGGCGGAGGTTGCAGTGAGCCGAGATCGCACCACTGCACTCCAGCCTGGGTGACAGAGCGAGACTTCGTCTCAAAAAAAAAAAAAAAAAAAAAAAAACTCTCATTAAAAATACAATGTTAATTAAATTAATACAATAATATGTTTGAATATTTTCACCAATTTTGGTTTAACAACTTGTGACAGGATTTGAAGGTCTGCTTCTAAGTTCAGTTTCTTTTGCTATGATTTTTTAATGATAGGTGAAAAAGATTTCTCATAAATATATATAAATCCCAAATGCAAGAACTGCATCATTTGGCTGTGCTTAGTAAATCACGATGCACTTTTTTTTTTTTTTTTTTTTTTTTTGAGACAGGGTCTCGCCCAGACTGGAATGCAGTGGCACAATCACAGCTCACTACAGCCTCGACCTCCGGGCTCAAGCCATCCTGCTACCTCAGCCTCCCAAGTAGCTCAGACCACAAGTGTGTGCCCTGATGCAGGGCTAATTTTTAAAATTTTTCATAGAGACAGGGTCTCCCTATATTGCCTAGGCTGGTCTCAAACTCCTGGGCTCGTAGGATCCTCCCACTTCAGCCCCCCAAAGTGTTGAGATTACAGGTGTGAGCCACCTGCCCAACCATGATGCTCGTATTTTAATCCCTCACCCAAATATGATGATTTTTGGTGAAATTCAGCCAATAAATTTCCATTTTCTCTAATGTCCAATCATTGTTGCAAACTAATCATAAATGTGTTCAAACACATAAAAATTCTTAACTTGGAAGATATGAAAAAATATTTTTAAGTTCTGGTTCAAAATTTTTGAAGTGTACCAAAATAAGCAATTTCTTATGTAACACATCATTTTCTGCAAAATCATATAACAATGGAAACATTTCCCATCATTTATTTTTAAACACTCCTTAACAAAAAAAGAAAAAAAAAAGAAACTCTCACTTACTGTGAAAACTGCTGTTATTGTGTGGGTACAAAGGAAGTGAGCAAGTATGTGTGTGTACGTGCCTATGTTAATTTTCTACTAGGTAGCATTCTATTCACAGTTACATATCACAGAAAGGTCAGCCTACTTGGAAACTTGTATTTTGTAAAAGCAATGTGAACTATTTGTCTTTAAATTTGACAATTCCAAATGTTTTGTCTCAAAGTAACCACTGAACTGTACGTAAGGCATAAGAGATTTTCATGGTCAACCCCCCATCTTATGACTAAACACTGGGAAGATTCCATAATAAACATATTCTATAGTATAATCCATAGATTCACTTAGGATAGACACATGTAAGCTAGGTGGCTCCGAAAGGAATGAAAGAAGAGAATGTCCACTCCTCTTTACATTAGACGGTCCCTTCTATTTGAAGGATAACATGCCCAAAAAATCACATGAGCACCTAATATACAGGATATCAATCATAGTCAAGCATAATTTCTTTATAATTTTTTAGACCAAAGAAATACAGAAACAGAAATTCTAATATTTTCTTCATATTTGACAATAAATTTCTTGAATAATCCCTGGGAGTACTTCAGAGTAATGGTCCTGAGTGTGGTTCTGAAAATACTACCTGGCATTGAATTACTCCAGGACCTTGTTAAACTAGCAGATTCCCAAGCCTCATCCAAACCTATTGAGTCAGAATCTCTGCAAGAGGTGCCAAGATCTCAGTATTAGTAACAAGCAGGTCATGCCAGTTATTTACCACTGCATAAACAACCATTCCAAAATGTAATGGCTCAAAATAATGACTGGTTTTTTTTCTTGCAATTCTGTGGATTGGCTGGACTTGTGCTCCATAGTGATATCAGCTGACGTCACTGAAATGGCTGCATTCTGTTGGGAGCTCTACTGGACGGAATTACCCAAGAGGGTCTCACTCATGGCACTTGGTGCTGACCTTCAATGGGGCACCAAAGTCCTCTTCCATGGGGAATCTCTCTCTCTCCTCTAGTCCCTCCCCATTCAGTAGTCTACTCTGTGCTTCTTCACATGGAAGCTTATTTCCAAGATCATAGACATGAAAATTGCCAGGTCTCGGCCAGGCGCAGCGGCTCACGCCTGTAATCCCAGCACTTTGAGAGGCCGAGGCGGGCGGATCACGAGGTCAGGAGATCGAGACCATCCTGGCTAACACGGTGAAACCCCGTCTCTACTAAAAATACAAAAAATTAGCCAGGCACGGTGGCGGGCGCCTGTAGTCCCAGCTACTCGGGAGGCTGAGGCAGGAGAATGGCATGAACCCGGGAGACGGAGGTTGCAGTGAGTCGAGATGGCGCCACTGCACTCCAGCCTGGGCGACAGAGCAAGAGTCCGTCTCAAAAAAAAGAAAAGAAAATTGCCAGGTCTCTTCAGAGCTAGTCTCAGAACTGACTCAGAGACTCCTCTGCTGCTTTCTGTTGATCAAAGCAAGTCATGTGACCTGACCAGATTCAAGGAAAGGGAAACAAGACTCTACCTTTTGATGGAAGGGGCACCGTGAAGGTACAGGGTTAGGAAGAGCTATTGGTAGCCATCATTGTAGACTAGTACTACACAGATGATAAAATTTGAGAACAGCTATTTTAAAGTGATAAATCCAATAAAGACTGTTGAATTTAACATAAGAGCAGTTTTTAGTATTCTTAATGAGTTTTTGCATCAAACTGTTACTAATAAGCGTAACAACCCTAGACTGAAATATATGTACACGCAATGTAGAATACTCCAGAAAAGTGGTTTCTTTCTCATAATGCTAAATTGTATTATAGTAATTACTTTTTTAGTTTTTTAATCATTCATTCCTGAGACATTGGTTTCATCTTTGCAAAATATAAAATTGTAAATAAATAAGAGTATTTGGATTTAAAAAGTGTTAATGAAAGAAGATAACAAAATTCTTTCAATATCATGGTTTTATCTTAATCAAACCAGCCACGTGTATTGAGGAAGCTGGCAGGAGCTGCTCTCAGTGTAAGACCCTACGATTTAAGGCCTTCTACCTATCATGAGATTAATCCCTTCGGTTAGTTTGTTTTGGTTTTTTGGGTTTTTTAGAACGAGAAAAAAAAGGACCACAGAGAACTTTCCAGATCAATGAGAGTTAACCCAGCTTTCAAATACAGGAAATATTGGCTGTAAGGATATCATGCAGTTTCCATCAGAGATCTTGAGACCCGCGGCTTAAAGGAATGTATTATTTTTCTAAATCCTGAATTTGAATCATGTAGTTACAAAGAGCAGTGTTAAGGGCTGAGCATGGCTGACCGTCCAGCATCTGCTTTTAATTCAGCTTTGCTGCACTCTACTTGTCACGACTAAATTTTATAGGAAGGAATTAAATGCTTTAGATCAGAGGTCAAAAGCTAAAGACCCACAGGCCAGATACAATGACAGACATATTTAATTTGGCCTGGATGTTTTTTAAAATTGAAATTAGTTGTCATCATTAAAGAAAAAAAACAATACTTCAAACTTCTCAAAAAAGAAAATCAGGAACACTTAATACTAAATTTGCATTCCCTTATGACATCACAGGACTAAAGTTGATTACGAACTGGCCCCTGAAGATAGGTCATGCACTTTCCAGTGAACCATACTCCTCACTCTTCTCTGCTGTCTTCCTCTAGAATTACACCATTTACATTCTCTACATGATGTTTGGAAGTACTAGATTTTTAGTTTTTTTGCAGCCAAAGCACTATTTAGAAATTCAGGGATTTGAAAAGTGACTAAAAGATTCATTTGTAAATATTTATAAATATCACAGTTCTACTCTATTTCAGGCTAGACTTCCCTGCTATATATCCTAGCACATATTTTGATATACCTTGCCTGCACTGCAAATTGAAACCCATTTTTATTTCTTTTTAAAGAAATAAAGCCATTTTTAAAAGCTGTCATATATTAAGAAGAAGAATAGAATTTCTAAGAAAAAATCAAACTAATGAAATTTTTTATGTAGAATCATATTTTGCGTTTGTTTTCCCAGTTGAAGAGAAAAAGGGGGTGGGGAAATATACTCTGAAACAACACAAAGCGCAAAATATTGATGCAGCAAAATTTGTTAAATTTTTTTCTATCACATAGCTATCGCTACTTAAGGGCCACTATCATCATCACAAAATCTAAAACAAAACACAGGAATTTGTCCACTTCTTGATATAGCACTGCCATTAATATAATTTCTGTGCTTACTAAAACTGTCCTACCAATACACAATATTTTTATGTAAAGGATAGTAAGAGTGCCAAAAGAGCACTCAAACTGGGGTAACCAGAAGACATGTGGATGCAAATTCTAGCTCTACCAGTTACTCTCAGCAGATTTTGGGCAAGTCAACTTACCTCCGTATACCAGTGACATGATACAGTTGAGACTCAATATTTAACATCCAACTAATTCTTAACCTTTAAGATTTTAAAATTTATTATTCTAAGAAACTTTCTCCCAATCTGACTTGTGTGTGACTCTCTCAGAGTTTTACACCTTTAAGGAACTGAATTTAGTTACTGATCTACTTCGACTTCCTCAAAAGAGAGCTCCCCATGTAAGATTTTAAAATTTATTATTCTAAGAAACTTTCTCCCAATCTGACTTGTGTGTGACTCTCTCAGAGTTTTACACCTTTAAGGAACTGAATTTAGTTACTGATCTACTTCGACTTCCTCAAAAGAGAGCTCCCCATGTAAGTTAGTGTTTGTATTAGAATGGGGCACAATAGTTTAAAGATATGGCATTGGGGAGCACAGCATTGGCATTAAAATAAAATAACATTAAGCTCTAATATGAGATTTGAAAAACACAGTCTGGGCAGAGGGTCCAGTGAATCTTAGCAGGAATAACCAGTCTTCAGCATTATCAGCTTAGTGCTGACTGAAGAGTCATTTGGCTACATGTGATTTTTACACATCTGTCAACTAAAGCAGAGCTCCAAATGAAAAATCTGGCACATAGAAACATTATGGGGATTTGTGAGTCCCCCTGGAGAATTTTGGGTCCATAAACCAATGAATAGATTACTATGACACACAAATGGAATATTTTCATCTGTGACAGACATAATCTCGCCCTGGTACTCTTTGTGTCATGTTGCAGAAAACTATACGCACTGTCCTCAGACCTGCTTTAGTTGCCCATGCTAAAAGATGAGTGACAACACTAAATATGGAAAACATTGGCCGGGCGCGGTGGCTCACGCCTGTAATCCCAGCATTTTGGGAGGCCGAGGCGGGCGGATCACGAGGTCAGGAGATCGAGACCATCCTGGCTAACACGGTGAAACCCTGTCTCTACTAAAAATACAAAAAATTAGCCGGGCGCGGTGGCGGGCGCCTGTAGTCCCAGCTGCTGGGGAGGCTGAGGCAGGAGAATGGCGTGAACCCGGGAGGCGGAGCTTGCAGTGAGCCGATATCGCGCTCCAGCCTGGGTGACGGAGCAAGACTCCGTCTCAAAAATTAATAAATAAATAAATAAATAAGTAAATAAAATAAAACATCTAAGGTTAAAGAACGGAACCACCCTTGGGAAGACCTAAATGCAATCTCTGTCAGTACCACTAACTGTGGCCTCTGAGTTAGCACACTAACTCCAGTCCTAATACAAGTACATTATAAATCACCTCAGCGGTCAAGACCTCATTCGTCGTCCTGCAAACCTGTGCCATAATAGGTTTTACTAGTACAAAAACTGAGGCTCACTGTGTTTGTAACTTACCTAAAGTCACATAGGTGATAAAGGTGTCCCTGAATCCAAATCCACATATTCTTTCCATTGAGACAGGCAGGTGGGAAGGCCTCCCTGGCAAAACTCCAACCGGCCAGTGCACTGGGAGGAGTGCGCACTGGGATCGAGCCACAGAAGTTCGCGCGTTTGCAGCGGGAGGAGCTTGGCCCCTCCTCTTCCTGGGTGGAACCTGGGATTCAATCTGTGAGGCGGGAAGCCCAGTGGCAGGAAGCACACTCTCTCGCTTTGCTAAGAGTCTCTGTTTCCCCTTTTCTTCCATTTCACCCAATAAACCCTGCCCTCCTCTCGCTTCAAATTGTCTGTGAGCCTAATTTTTCGTGGCCATGTGATAAGGAACCCTGTCTTTAGCTGAACTAAGCAAAAAGTCCCACAACACTATTATGCCATAAAATGTCTTTAATCTATAAAATTAGAAGATAGCAAGTCCTTATTGAGTCATGAATTTCATTTATTTATTCAAAAAATATGTTTATAACTTGAATGAGTCAAAACATGGGTATATAAAAAAGAGGAATTTACATGTCTCTAGAAGAAAAAGAAGAGATTGCAAGGGTAATATTTAGTGTCCTTTTGAAAGTACATTAGTGCCAGGCACTACATAAGTCTTCCTGAAGGTGGTAGTACAGGCAAAGCATGCACTCCAAGCTTTGGGAACAATTTTTAGAAAAATTTTTGAGGTCTTTATAAAAATTGTCAAGGAACTGTTAACATAATGACAGCAACATATACAAATGTCTGGAACACTATCATGTATTTTAAATCTATTTTTTGACACAGAGCTATTGGGAAATATTATGTCAGCCTTTCAAGAAGTATATAATTTTGAGATTGAATAAAATCAGGTTGTCTCCATGTTTACTTGAATTAATGAGATGTTTGATGTTGTCCACCTTCTCCCTTGTTGTCCAAACCCTAGTGAGTGCCCTGACTTGAAAGCCAAGTTCTCTGTCTGTAACCAAAGAGAAAAGCTCATCACCCTGGTTAGACAAAGTTCACAGCAGCCACAGCCTTCTGAAATGACACACTGCCTCCATCAGTGTTCCTTCTTGTGTTCTTTTTGTGAAGAGTGTGTTTGGAGTTACTACAGTTTTTGGTCATCAGTGAATGATGATATATCTTTAGAAAGTCTCTGTAAGGGTAACCAAGGTTCCCTGAAGATGTGTAAAGTCTCTGCACAAGTTTGAGCATTCTTAAGGAGCAAATTAATAGTATTTTGTATTTTTACATTTGTACAATGAGAAAACGTTCTATAGGTTTGATATTCTTTCCTGGAAATACTTCCACAGGAAAACAGTATATGGAAAACCCATTTTTAAGGCAAGTTTATGTTTTTACATTAAACAACAATTGAAAATAAAATATTTCCATTGGAATATTGGGATCTTGACTTTAGTCCGTTTGTCAATTTAACAATTAATGATAGAGCTTAGCAATGACATATAGCTAACAGCAAAGTACTTGTGGCAGTACCCTCCTCTTCCCCCTTCTCTCATGCTAAAGAATAAAATGACATATTTCCCAAGTTAATGGTCCCAGTTAGGGGCCAATTTTATTTTCAAATAGATACAGAATCACAAGAAGTTGCCAAAATAATACAAAGAAGTCCCATGTGTATTTCACCCATTTTCACCTTCAAAGATAACATCTTACATAACTAATACAATATCAAGACCAAGAAAATGACGTTGGTACAAGTACAGTCTTATTCAGATTTCACCAATGTTGACAGGTACTTGTGTGTATGTACATATGTGTGTGATTCAGACAATTTTATTACATGTAGATGTGATAAGGGTACAGATCTGTTTCATTACCACAAAGATCCCTAATAGTTCTATTTTATAGTTATACGCATCCATCTCCCTCCCAGAGACCATCTCTATCCTCTGGCAACAACTACTCCGTTCTCCATCTCTATAATTTTGTCATTTGGAGAATGTTATAGAAATAGAATAATACAGTATGTTACCTTCTGTTTATAACCTCTTTTTCACTCAGCATAATTGCCTTGAGATCCATCCAACTTGTTACATGTGTAATAATAGTTGATTCCTTTTTGTTGCTGAGTAGTATTCTATAGTATGGATGCAACACAGTTTGATCATTCATTCACCCATGGAAGGGCATCTGGGTTGTTTCTAATCTTTGGCTATTACAAATAAAGCTGCTATAAACATTTGCAAATACATTTTGGTGTCCATAAGTTTTCTTTTCTTTGGGTTGAATGCTCAGGAGTATCGTTGCTGGGTTGTATGGTAAAATGTGATTAGATTTTTAAGAAATGGCCAAACTATTTTCAAGTGGTTGTACCATTTTGCATTCCCACCAGTAATGTATAAGGGATCCAATTTCTCTGCATCCTTGCCAGCATTTGGTGTTATCACTTCTTTTTTAAAACATTTTAGTCATTTTGATTTCAACTGGATTGTTTTACTACTGAGTTTTTTTTTTTGTTGTTTTTTGTTTTTTTTTTTGAGATGCAGTCTCGCTCTGTCGCCCAGGCTGGAGTGCAGTGGCACTATCTCGGTTCACTGCAACCTCTGCCTCCCGGGTTCACGCCATTCTCCTGCCTCAGCCTCCCCAGTAGCTGGCTGGGACTACAGGCGCCCGCCACCACGCCGGCTAATTTGTTGTATTTTTAGTAGAAACGGGGTTTCACCATGTTAGCCAGGAAGGTGTCGATCTCCTGACCTCGTGATCCACCCGCCTCAGCTTCCCAAAGTGCTGGGATTACAGGCGTGAGCCACTGTGCCGGGCCTGCTACTGAGTTTTGAGAGTTCTTTATCACATATATGGTTTGGAAGTGGTTGACAAATGTTTTCCTTAAATTTGTAGCTTGTATTTTCATCTTCTTACTACCATCTTTCATTGAGCAAAAGTTTTTAGTATCGAAGAAGCCAATTTATTTGTTTTCTTTTATATAATTATAATATTGGTGTCATGTCTAAGAATTCTTCACCTAGCCCGAGGTTCTGAAGATTTTCTCCCATGTCTTCTTCTAAACATTTTTTACCATATACCATATCTCATGGACTAATGCTTTTACCCTAATTCATATCCCATATACTTAAGGTCTCATTAGAAACAAATGACACCCTCCAACAGATAATTAGATAAAGCTTAATAAAGCAACCATTTACAAAGGTGCAGGAAGAGAAAAGAGAAACCAAGAAGGGTGAAGCACCCTAGGGGTAGCAAAGTGGGGCACTATTACCACTCCTAGGCCTGACTGGGCAGGAGGGAGAGGAGGTACCAGGGAGCTATAGCTGCAGAAGTCCTCACAGCAGGAGCTGTGGCCTGCCTAGCAATACACTGGGGAGGAGCCAGGAGAATACAAAGCTAAACTTCCCCTCTTCCTTCCTATCACTTGGCACCAGAGAACACAACAGCTTGTTTACATACTTCAAACAAGATATGGTATCAAGAAAAGTTGGATTTTAAGAAAAGTACCAGAATCCCTACATTTACATTCTTAAAGTACAGATGTCAATAAAAAGAAAAAAAAAAGAGAAAGAGGAAAAGGGAAAATCAGAAATTCCAGTGTCAGCTTATCTGATCATACCAATGCTGCATTTGAAATAAAACATGTAAAATACAAGAAATGCTTACTCTAATAGCAAAGCAAGAATTTCAAGCCTTGCTGAAGCTACTAACTATCCACTGTTTTTCTTTCTTCCAAAGGCAAGCCATCCTGATCAGGGAGGTGTAGTGGCATTGCCTTCTCCAGCCTTCCAGGACTTTCTGGATTGTCAAGCAGTAATTAACTTGGTTGGGGGTGGGGGGTAGGCAGAGAAAGCTGGGAAGGAAAGAGAGCCAGTAGATGGCAGATGGTTGTCATTTAGGCATTTTTGTCCATGTGGAACAGGATCCTTGCCAAGGGCAGGCCTTCAGTTCCCAGGCTGGAGAGAAGGAGGGTGTTAGAAAACAAGCAGTGGCATAGTCCTAAAAACTAGGACTAATAGAGGAGTGGAAAATGGTGACCTGAGATCTCTGCAGAGTCTCAAGGTCATTTGGGAGCAAAGGATTCCAGATCCCAGACTTCAGGGCCGGCTGCAAGATTCTGTCTCCTGATTTGCATATGGACCTGCAAAACCCAGGGCTGGGCTGGTGACCACCATCTGAAGGGAAATCTGAGGCTGTTAACATATTTGATTAAGTTTAGTTTGGTCAGGAAAATGGGTGGCTTGAACATACATGATTCAGTGTGGCAGCTGAGGAAAGCAAAGACGGGGTGTTGGCCCAGAGCTTTAAAAGGTTACTATGGATGTGAATGTTTTGTTGTTGTTGTTGTTTTGGGGATGGAGTCTCACTCTGTTGGCGAGGCTGGAGTGCAGTGGCATGATCTCGGCTCACTGCAACCTCTGCCTCCTGGGTTCAAGCAGGAGAATCGCTTGAACCCAGGAGGCGGAGGTTTTAGTGAGCCAAGATTGCACCACTGCACTCCAGCCTGGGCAACAGAATGAGATTCCATCTCAAAAAAAAAAGGAGAGAGAGAGAGAGATTTAACCTGAAGACTTGGCTTTTGCCCAGATCATACATCTCTCACTGTGACTGAAGGGTGTGAGATTCACCAGCTGTAGACAGATGTGCTGGCATCAGGTTGCCATGTCAATACCCTCTCTAGGCATTCATCGTAGGGAGCCATGGAGAAGCAGAACCTGCCTCAGCCTCCCGAGTAGCTGGGACTAGAGGCATGCGCCACCACGTCAGTCTAATTTTTGTATTTTTAGTAGAGACAGGGTTTCATCATGTTGGCCAGGCTGGTCTCAAACTCCTGACCTCAGGTGATCCACCCACCTTGGCCTCCCAAAGTGCTGGGATTATAGGCATGAGCAACCATGCCTGGGAATGTTTTTTATTCATTCAGTAAACAAATATTTATCAAGTTTGTTCAAAGAGCCAGGTCCTGTGTTGAGTCCATGGGACACAGTGTTAAGGTTCAGTTCTCCTAACCTTAAAATGGAACTTAAAATTCAAATAGAAAATGCCATGAGGCCAGGCATGGTGGCTCACGCCTGTAATACCAACACTTTGGGAGGCTGAGGTGGATGGATCACTTGAGGTCAGTAGTTTGACACAAGCCTGGCCAACATGGCAAAACTCTGTCTCTACTAAAAATACAAAAATTAGCCGGGACATGGTGGTATGTGCCTGTAATACCAGCTACTCGGGAGGCTGAGGCAGGAGAATTGCTTGAACCCAAGAGGCGGAGTGTAAGGTACATGGATGTGCTTTGGTCAAGGATAGGCCAAGGCAGACGTCAGGCCTCCATGACTCAGTGAGTCTGGTGCACAGGCGCACACCTCCACTTGTTATATAACCTGTCTGTGTAAGTTCATACTTGGCCCTAAGCCGCTATTGTCTGTAAGAGGTATAACTGTCCTGCTGATGCTCTACAGGGGCTCTTGGCTTGGTTCCTGTGGCTCAGCTCAGCTCAACATGGCTTGACATGGCAGGCACGCTGGCACCCAGAGAAAGAGAGAGAGAGAGCCAAAGCTGTCCGTCTGCAGGGGAGCCACAGCACAGTTTGTGCTAGTACCCAGAAAGAGAAAGAGTTAAGCTGCTGACCCTGAAGGCAAGGGAGATCCCGCTGCAGCTGCAGGCATGGGGGTGGCAGGAGTCTCAGAGCTGGAGCAAATAGCTGAGATAATGGTGGACAGTGTGAGAGAGCTAATGTGAGTATGCTACTGATGAGAAAGCTGCTGAATAAAACTCTATTTCACCTGCCTACGGCCCCCCAAGTACTCTTTCTGCCCATCCATCCACTCCCCTCATACTTCAGCATGGGCTGAACCCAGACCCTGGCATTTGGACCTAACACAGAGGTTGCAGTGAGCCGAGATTGTGCCACTGCACTCCAGTCCAGGTGACAGAGCACTCTGTCTCAGAAAAAAAAAAAAAATGCCATCAAAGAAAAAGAGAAAGGAAAGATAATAATCTCTAAAGAGTGATAAATGCTATGAAGAAAACAAAAGAGGGCAATTTGATAATAGCTGAAGTGAGAGATGAGAGAAATGGTACTCTAATTTCACAAGACCTCTCTGAGAAGGTGATATTAGAGTTTAGGCTTATTGACAGGATGGAGCCAGCCCCTCACAGAAAAATCTAGGAGAAATGCAAACAGCTGGAGCAAAGGACCTGCGACAAGAATGATTTTGGCCTATTTAAGTAACAGAAAGAAGGTGGTGAGGCCAGAAGAGAATGAGCCAGGAAGAAATCATTTAAGATAAAATGAGAAAGGGAGGAGGCTGTCACCAGATTTTAGCCTAGAAGAACTGAAACTCCTAATTTGATTCAAACCTCAGCTGCAACACTCAGCCTTAGGTGCTGACCAGGTGTAACTCACTGAACAACACCATTGTTGCCTCTGACAATTACCGCCACCAAGCTGATGAATTTGTAGTCAAGAGGCTCCCTAAATCAACACCGTTATGCCTTATTACCTCCAAGCAAATCAGCATAAAGGGATAGAACAGACCATTAAAAATGAGCCAACAGTTTGCTAGGTGACTGTTCAATAAGATTAGTTAGCTCTTACGTGGATCAGCTTCCTGTATGTTCACCATTAGGAGCCTGTCCCATTTAATAATTCTGGGGGCTCTGCATAAAGGTTTGCCTCCATCCTGACCATGTCGATTCAGAGCCAGGACAAAATAAGAATGCACTTTGAATGCTGCTCTTAAGAGAATTAACCAGGTTGGGTGCGGTGGCTCATGCCTGTAATCCCAGCACTTTGTGAGGCCAAAGCAGGTGGATCACTTGAGGTCAGGAGCTTGAGACCAGCCTGGCCAACATGGTGAAACCCCATCTCTACTAAAAATACAAAAATTAGCCAGGCATGGTGGCAGGTGCCTGAAATGCCAGCTACTTGGGAGGCTGAAGCAGGAGAATCACTTGAACCCAGGAGGTGGAGGTTGCAGTGAGCCAAGATTGCACCACTGCACTCCAGCCTGGGCAACAGAATGAGATTCCATCTCAAAAAAAAAAAAAAAAAAAAAAAGAGATGAGAGAGAGATTTAACCTGAAGACTTGGCTTTTGCCCAGATCATACATCTCTCACTGTGACTGAAGGGTGTGAGACTCACCAGCTGTGGACAGATGTGCTGGCATCAGGTTGCCATGTCAATACCCTCTCTAGGCATTCATCGTAGGGAGCCATGGAGAAGCAGAACCACCTGACATGCCTCCTTCAGTGTTTTCTAGTGGTGTTCCTTTGACCAGAGTTCCTGAGCACTGAAAAGAAGCAGAATATGAAGGAAGAAATATGTCTTCCTTGGCCACTTTCGCTGCTTAAGGTAGGCATTGGACTCACAATCATTTAATCATCACACAGAGCAGTTTCTTAAACACATACTCTTCTTTTGGATAAAAAACTCAGAGAAATGGTCATGCCACATAGACAAACATGTCTATTGGTGTTAGGATAAGAGTTTTTTTCCCTGTGGATTATTTTAGCTGTAGGCTACTCATGAATTCCCCTCCATTCTTGCCCCAGAGCTCTCCTACTTTTGAATGAATAGTGAAGGTTTAACAATTACCTGTTCACTGTTGCCTCAGTCCCTCAAAAATAATTTTGTAGGACATTAAAATAACATAAGTATTTACAAATCGGCTTCTATTAAAGTGTTTTGACACTACTCTTTTTTTTTCTGGGAACAAATACTTTTTAATGGGTTTAAAATTTTTTTGTTTGTTTTGTTTTGCTTTTACAAATATACTGGAGAATCACGCAATGCTGCCAGCATCGGACACAATCCGGGGGCCACAAGTCTGCACACTCCTTTGCTACTGGTCCTGTAATGGCAGAACCTTTCATCTGGCCTTTATTGCCC
Source organism: Homo sapiens (assembly GCF_000001405.40). NCBI lineage: Eukaryota > Metazoa > Chordata > Mammalia > Primates > Hominidae > Homo > Homo sapiens. Next base: position 20,827,642 of record NC_000007.14, on the reverse strand, counting down.
ACTATGACCACTGCATTATCTTCAAAAGAAAGAAACACGCCATCTTTTCTCTGGTATGACTTTCATTGTCAAATGACCACTGCTGGATGTACCTTTTTTCTGAGCTCTAGTTTCCCTTTCTTGACTGTAGCCATCCCCATGTCACCCACACCAGCAGCGGGAAGTCTGTTCAGCCGTCCCTTGATCCCCTTCACGGAGATGATATACAGGTTTTTGGCTCCTGTGTTGTCAGCACAGTTGATCACAGCTCCTACCGGAAGACCCACAGAAATCCGGAAGTTCACACCAGAGGACCCACCACGTCCTCGCTTCCACATCTTGAACGCTGGAAAGAAGGAAAAAGGACATAGATTTTGACTCTATTCTTAAACAAATTATAGGCAAATTTATCCTGTTTTTAAAAAAAGAATAGAGTTCTCACCTCTACGATCAGCAACTCCACATATTCAGAACTTTGAATATCTTTGCCAATTTGTTAAAGTATAAGCACCAGAAATAGGCTCATGAGAAAAAAAGTATGTGGCTAGTAACGAGTCTAGTAATATTCTTTAAAAATTCAAAACTACGGTATTCTCTAGTACTGAATATTTGCAACATGTTCATGAAAAAAAGACTTATACAATCTAATATGATTAAAACTCACTTCAAGATTAAAATGTTCATTTAAGTGGTTCATATTGCCTGACCTTCCTTCGGAAAGTCTAAGGCTTTTTATGGAAAAGCCCTTCTTAGAACTCCCTAAATTGAATAGTCACCGTTGAATAGCCATTTTCTACATTCCACTCAGTCAGGTTGGCCTGAGGTTTTCAGATGTCATCAGCTTGTCCGGCAAAAACATGCCTCTTTGGATTGCTCCTTCCTGCTCCGTGAACATGTAAAGTTAAAGCCACCCTTTCAATGGAGCTTCCTTCTCTGGGAAGGTTGGCCTGGTCCCTTTCCTTCCTAAGGGCAGGACCATCACCACCTGTGAAGAAAGATGGAAAGGGATAGGAGAGGGAAAAAGAAATTCCCTGCCCCAGGCTTACATAAGGAAGGGGAAAATTTCTCTTTTCTTAGCAATTCAGAGATCCTGACTGGCATCACCTCCCAGGACTCCAAAAGCTTCCTTTCTTGTTATAATCCTCTTAAGTTCTTTTTTTCCCATTCCCCCTGTGATTCTGTCAGTGTTTCCCACTCATTCTTACTGGGCTTGGCGCCCCTCCTCCACACTGCAAACCTCACCCAGAAACAGGGAAAGAGGCCTGGGGGCTTTCAAGTTTATGGCCCATTATAGGTGCATGCTGGGAGGTGTTGAGCAGGGCTGCGGAACTAATCAGTTATCTTAACACTGCGGACAGTAGGGCTAGCATTTGTGAATTACCAAATGTCACTGCCTATTTCAACTGTGGAAAAAAAAATCAGCTTTATGAATTACTGATCAGTGCTTTGAATCCCCCCCTCAAAAAATCTACAAAATCACCTACCAGAGCTAACCAATTAAAGAAAGAAAGAAAGCAAAAACTCAAAAGAAAATTCTTTGCTCAGTGAACAAAACTAAAGGCAAAGTAAATCAATGCTATTGCAGAAATTGTAAATGAAACAAAGAGACGTGCTTTATGTTCCAATGAGGCTCATATGAAACCGACACTAAGATTCCATACTCAGGGTTAATCACAAAACCATAGAATATGGATTAAGCTACTGTGAAAGGTAAAATACAAAGCAACAGAATAGAGAAATTTTAATCAGGAACAAAGATCGCCATAATCCCCAAATGGGTTTGTTTTTGAAAGAAGAGACATTTGTAGAGGACAAACATTCTTAAAACAATAGGAGTGGTGTGTAAAATTAACCCAAGTAAGATCTAGGCTAATGTTGGGGTGAATCAGGGTAGGTACTTTCCACAAGTCATGTGTTTTGCACAAGACTGACTCTATGCATCTGTTCACTACGGTCTAATCTTTCTAAAATTAGAATGCAGTTCTTTGAAGGCAAGAATTTCTTCTTTATGCTTTATAGCTTCTTGTACCCAAGGATTATCTAATTTTAGAAAATTAGTCCACTCTCCTAATACTATCTTTTTTTTTTTTTTTTGAGGCAGAGTCTTGCTCTGTTGCCCAGGCTGGAGTGCAGTGACGTGATCTCAGCTCACTGCAACCTCCGCCTCCCAGGTTCACGCCATTCTCCCACCTCAGCCTCCAGAGTAGCTGGGACTACAGGCACTCGCCACCACGCCTGGCTAATTTTTTATGTTTTTAGTAGAGACGGGGTTTCACTGTGTTAGCCAGGAAGGTCTCGATCTCCTGACCTCGTGATCTGCCCACCTCCGCCTCCGAAAGTGCTGGGATTATAGGTGTGAGCCACCGCACCTGGCAATACTATCTTATTTTTTTTGGACATCCTTACAGTATTATTATTACTGTAAAGCTCCTCTTCCGCTCGGTTTTTTTCCTAAAGATTGATAGAAAATTCCACATAAATAGTGCAAAAATAAAAATCATAGGCAACTATAAGAAATAATTATTGTTTGACAATAATCACACCAATTCAACGATAATAACAGAGTATATTATGAGAAAAAATAAGTTTTTTTTTCTTTTCCTGAGAAGAGACAATATGTTTGCAGGTATCTTCTCACCGACCAAAGTAGGCACACCTCTGTGGGACAAACAAGCTCATTTTGTCAAGAGACTTGTTTATAGAATCATTGTAAAAAAAAAAAAAAAAATTAGGATTATTTCTCCAAAGAATACCTCCAACATTTTCGAGAATCTTGGATGGAAAAGCCAGTACTACAATAAACAAATGTAAATTTTAATGTAGCTTTTTCTTCTTCTTCTTCTTCTTCTTCTTCTTCTTCTTCTTCTTCTTTTTTTTTTTTTTTTTTGAGACAGAGTCTCACCCTGTTGCCCAGGCTGGAGTGCAGTGGTGTGATCTCAGCTCACTGCAACCTCCACCACTTGGGTTCAAGCGATCCTTCTGCCTCAGCCTCCTGAGTAGCTGGGATTACAGGCATGCACCACCATGCCTGGCTAATTTTTGTATTTTTAGTAGAGACAAGGTTTTGCCATGTTAGCCAGTTTGGTCTCCAATTCCTGGCCTCAAGCAATCCACCCACCTCAGCCTCCCAAAGTGCTGGGATTACAGGCATGAGCCACAACTCCTGGGGTTAATGTAGCTTTTTCTATAAGAATAAGAATAAATTCTAAGAAATTAACATAACTTGTGGGAAACCAGTATGTTAGCAACATAGGAAATTTGGTAAGTTCCAGACAAGAAGCTAAAAATGTGTAACTATGTGGATCATGGTAATGAAAGCATGGGGTTTAACTATATTATTCATTTCTGTGACAAAGTCTGTTATAATTATCATCACATTTTAGTTAGCTTGGCAGATCACACTTTGAACTCTCTAGGATAGGCTGGAAAAGTAAACTGGAAAGTAAAGAACAGTGTCTTTGTAAGAAGGCCAACTCCTTGTTGAGCCAATATACATAATATCCTGTAAAGAATGGACCGCTGACCGGGCGTGGTGGCTCACAACTATAATCCCAGCACTTTGGGAGGCCGAGGTGGGCGGATCACCAGAGGTTGGGAGTTTGAGACCAGCCTGATCAACACGGAGAAACCCCGTCTCTACTAAAAATACAAAATCAGCTGGGTGTGGTGGCACATGCCTGTAATCCCAGCTACTCAGGAGGCTGAGGCAGGAGAATTGCTTGAACCCAGGAGGTGGAGGTTGCGGTGAGCTGAGATTGTGCCATTGCACTCCAGCCTGGGCAACAAGGGCGAAATTCTGTCTCAAAAAAAAAAAAAGAATGGACCGCTAACACTTAAGTGATAATAATACTGTAATAATAAAAATCTTGCATTTATAGAAAGCTTTACACTTCTCAAGTGCATTTATTTTAGCTTATTTGATATCCCCAAATCATGAGTATTCGTCTTTTGACACTGAGGAAAATGTATTCTTCGTTCAAAAGACTCTTGGGCTATCTTGCTTTGTGCAAGAAAACAGTACAAGTCAGCGAGTACTTTACTCCCAAGCATGAATTTTGCTTTCCTCATAGCACAATATAATAGGAATCCAACAGAATATGAAAGCAGGTTTAAATTGCTATGAATCAGTAAAAGAAAACCCTTATTGAAATCACAAATTATTTATCTTAGAGATATAATTCTCCAAATGAATAAAATAATATATTTGATGGAAACTGCTAGCTGTCTACCAAAATCTATTTTCCTTCTTTTCCTGGGCATATGACTACCAGGGTAGATCACATTTTCCAGCATCCTTTGTGGTTACTTGTTGTTATAGAACATGAGAAGTAATCAATTCTACTACTTGGCCTGAGCTGTAGGGCCCAGGGTATGTTTCTTCCTGTTCTCTATTCCTTTTTCACTTGAAGGAAATGACTGGCAATCTCACTTTGCCATGCATATGGGCAACAGTGCCCTAGGGGTTGGTTGTGCAAGCTGAAGGAAGGTACCTGAGTCTTTGACTGATATCAGGGAGCCAAGCTGCCCTGGACCGTTCTCTGTATACAGTGAGTAAGAGAAACTTTTGCTTTCTTTAAGCAATTGTATTTAGCATCTGTTTGCTATATCAGCTTATCTTTACTCTAATATAGTTTCCTTAAATAGAAAGATTTTTATCATAAGAATGAACGTCATGTATCTGTGAAGATGTAGATAAAAATATAAGGGATACAGCTCATCCTTGTCAAATGGAGCAAAGGTCACACATCCATGGTGGTATCCAAACCATGCTTAATAAAAACCAATTCAGTTAGTCATCCATGAATGCTTATAAGTTTCAGTAATAGTAATAAGTGAATTTGTGTCATCTTGAGCAATTAAATACATAGTGTATGAAATGAAATGAAACCAAGAAACAAAGGGAATAACATGTTATCAACATCTCACATATTGAAGAGATTTGGATTTCATCTGAAAATTCCTGACATTTGGTAAGTTGACGGAGTGAAATAGTCAGTCAGGATTTTTACAATGACCTCCACATTTATCCAGAAAGTAGCCTGTGTAGATGTAAAGCCTCAGAAATAACACCACACATCTACAGCCATCTGATCTTTGACAAACCTGACAAAAATAAGAAATGGGGAAAGGATTCCCTATTTAATAAATGGTGTTGGGAAAACTGGCTAGCCATATGTAGAAAGCTGAAACTGGATCCCTTCCTTACACCTTATACAAAAATTAATTCAAGATGGATTAAAGACTTAAATGTTACACCTAAAACCATAAAAACCCTAGAAGAAAACCTAGGCAATACCATTCAGGACATAGGTATGGGCAAGGACTTCATGTCTAAAACACCAAAAGCAATGGCAACAAAAGCCAAAATTGACAAATGGATCTAATTAAACTAAAGAGCTTCTGCACAGCAAAAGAAACTACCATCAGAGTGAACAGACAACCTACAGAATGGGAGAAAAATTTTGCAATCTACCTATCTGACAAAGGGGTAATATCCAGAGTCTACAAAGAACTTAAACAAATTTTCAGGGAAAAAAAAAAAACCATCAAAAAGTGGGCAAAGGATATGAACAGACACTTCTCAAAAGAAGACATTTATGCAGCCAACAGACACATGAAAAAATGTTCATCATCAATGGTCGTCAGAGAAATGCAAATCAAAACCACAATGAGATACCATCTCACACCAGTTAGAATGACGATCATTAAAAAGTCAGGAAACAACAGATGCTGCAGAGGATGTGGAGAAATAGGAACGCTTTTACACTGTTGGTGGGAGTGTAAATTAGTTCAACCATTGTGGAAGGCAGTGTGGCGATTCCTCAAGGATCTAGAACTAGAAATATCATTTGACCCAGCGATCCCATTACTGGGTATATACCCAAAGGATTATAAATCATGCTGCTATAAAGACACATGCACATGTATGCTTATTGCAGCACTATTCACAATAGCAAAGACTTGGAACCAACCCAGATGCCCATCAATGATAGACTGGATTAAGAAAATGTGGCACATATACACCTTGGAATACTATGCAGCCATAAAAAAGGATGAATTCATGTCCTTTGCAGGAACATAGATGAAGCTGGAAATCATCATTCTCAGCAAACTATCACAAGGACAGAAAACCAAACACCGCAAGTTCTCACTCATAGGTGGGAATTGAACAATGAGAACACTTGGACACAGGGAGGGGAATATCACACACTGGGGCCTGTCATGCGGTGGGGGGAGGGGAGATATACCTAAGGTAAATGACGAGTTAATGGGTACAGCACACCAACATGGCACATGTATACATATGTAACAAACCTGCACGTTGTGCACATGTACCCTAGAACTTAAAGTATAATAATAAAAATTAAAAAATTAAAAAAAAAAGGACCCATTCCAAATGCAAAAAAATAAAATAAAATAAAAAATAAAAAGAGGTTATTCAATATAAGCCTACCTCATAAATAATAACATCAGCTAATGTTATTAATTATTAATATTAGTAATTATAAAATAACAACATTATTGTTGATTATAATAGCAATAATATAATTAATATTAAATACTGGGTGATTATTAACTGCCAGGCATTATTCTAAATATTTTACATGTATTGATTCATGTTATTCTCATAACATCCTTGTCAATAAGTGGAAGAGCCAAGACACAGTCCAGACAGTCGGGTCTTCTTAACCACAACCCTATTCTGTATTATAGGGAATAGAATATTAAAAATAATAAGATTAAGATATTATTTTAGAATATTATATATTAAAATATTTTTAAAAATAATAATTATACCTTGTTATACATTGCAGAATGCTTTCAGATCTCATATTAAGCTGAATTCTCACAGCTTCATTAGGTAGAAAATATTATATATATTTCACAGATTATAAAACATTTGAAGAATTCCATCATTTGCCCAATGTTATTTAACAAAAGTGCGACACACCAACAGCATAGATTTGGAACCTACATTTTCTAACCCAACTCTATCCTCTTTCATTTCAACAAGTTGTCAGAATTTTATTTGTCCAAAATGTAATGTCTGGTAATTAATATTTTTCTTTTTGTTGTTGTTTCCTGTGCACATAACATAGTGCCTGGCACATAGGTGAGAATCAGTAAATATTTGTTGAGGCCGGGCATGTTGGCTCACACATTTGAGAGGCCAAGGTGGGAGGACTGCTTGAACCCAGGAGTTTTTTTTTTTGTTTTGTTTTTGAGACGGAGATTCTCTCTTGTTGCCCAGGCTGGAGTGCAATGGTGTCATCTCGGCTCACTGCAACCTCCGCCTCCTGGGTTCAAGCGATTCTCCTGCCTCAGCCTCCTGAGTAGCTGGGATTACAGGCGTGCACCACCATGCCTGGCTAATTTTGTATTTTTTAAATAGAGACGGGGTTTCTCCATGTTGGTCAGGCTGGTCTTGAACCCTCAACCTGTCAGGCGATCCGCCTGCCTCGGGCTCCCAAAGTGCTGGGATTACAGGGGTGAGCCACCACGCCTGGCAAGCCTAGGAGTTTTAGACCAGCCTGCACAAAATGGCGAGACCCTGCCTCCTCAAAATTTTTTAGAAAAATTAGCCAGGCATGGTGGCACACACCTGGAGTCCTACCTATGCAACAGGCTGAGATGAGAGGTTTGCTTGAGCCCAGAAGGTCAAGGCTACAGTGAGCTCTGTTGGCACCACTGCACTCCAGATGTGATGAAAGAGCCAGACCCTATCTCAAAAATAAATAAATAAATAAATAAAATATTGATTGAATGAATGCGTGAATGAATGAATTGGGCCTGGAAGGTTGAGTAGAATTTTGACTTAACTTGCCCAAGTTTGGAGGCATGGGCTAAGGGGGATAGTTCTCAGAACTTACAGAAGTGCCTTAGTCTGCGTTTGTAGAAGCTGTTTGTTTAGCATCTGGAAAAGAGGCCTACAGATATACTCAAATGAAATTAAAACATTTGTCCTCAAAAAACCTTGTACCTGAATGTTCATAGCAGCATTATGAACGACACACCGAAATAAAATAGCTGATTCTCACCTGCGTGCCAGACATTATGCTATGTGCACAAGAAACAACAAAAAGAAAAATAATAATTATCAAACATTACATTTTGGACAAATAAAATTCTGATAACTTGTTGAAATGAAGGAGGATGGACCTGGGTTAGAAAATTCAGGTTCCGATTCAATGCTCTTGGTATGTCATCCTTTTTGGTTAAAATAACCAAAAGTTCTGGTCCGAGTGCAGTGGTGTTTATAACAAATTGATTACAACCAGTCACAGATTTCTTTCTTTCTTTTTTTTTTCTTAGACGGAGTCTCGCTCTGTCGCCCAGGCTGGAGTGCAGTGGCGCAGGATCTCCGCTCACTGCAACCTCCTTCTCCTGTGTTCAAGTGCTTATCCTGCCTCAGCCTCCTGAGTAGCTGGGATTACAGATGTGTGCCACCAAACCCGGCTAATTTTTGTATTTTTAGCAGAGACAGGGTTTCACCATGTTGTCAGGCTGGTCTCGAACTCCTGGCCTTGTGATCCACCTGCCTCAGCCTCCGAAAGTGTTGGGATTACAGGCCTGAGCCACCGCGCCCGGCCCCAGTCACAGATTTCTTTGTTCCTTCTCCACTCCCACTGCATCACTTAACTAGCCTTAAAAATTTTTTTAATAAAATTAAAAAAAAACAAAAGGTGGAAACAACCAAAATGCCCATCAACTGATGCATGGATGAGCAAAATTTCATATATCCATATTAATATTATTAATGGAATTAATATTAACAACATTATTCATTCATTAAAGGAGACAAAGTACTGATACGTTATACAACATAGATAAACCTTGAAAATGTTATGCTAAGTGAAAGGAACCTGTCACAAATGCCACATATTATATGATTCCATTTATTTGAAATGTCCAGAATAGGCAAATCTAGAGATAGAAAGTAGTTTAGGGCATAGGATGTAAAGGATATTTTATATCTCATGTCTGATATGCATGCACTTATTAGGAGGTTGTATTCAGTTCCATTCATTTATTGTTGGCTCTGCAACAAGTGACAGGCTTGATCTTGTGACATGGCAAGATATTTTTTTAAAGACATCTATTGATTGCTTTGGGCTGGTGGAGATGGGAACATGAGGAATTTGCATGGTGGTAGCTAAAGAGTATGGGTTTTTTGAGGGAGATTAAAACATGTCTAAAATTGATTGTGATAATGGTAGTACAACCCTGTGATACATTAAAAACCATTGAATTGTGTGAGAAACAAACTCACCTGTCCAAACCCAAAGAATAGACTCAGAGAACCAGAGAACAGCAAAAGTGAGACTTTTAATGACAGTCTTGCGAGATCAGGTGTCTGATGGACAGGCATACCCAGCATGGTTTCAACAAGCAATATATCCCCTAATGCACAGGTCCCTCCCCTAGTTCCTCATAGACTGAGTACTATGGGGTTACAATCTTCCCGGATGTCATCGATTGGTTTTTGGGTAGGGGCTTTAGGTGTTTTCTTTAGGGTTGTCCTGATGCATTTTGTTGCAGCCCACAATACATTGCAATCCTAGTCAACTCAGGAGCTCTTAAGTATTTGACTTATAACCTAAGTAGCTGGGCAGGCTAATAAGAACAGACAAAGTGAGCTATCTTGCAGGCTAGTAAACTTTCATCTTAGACTAAATTTCTTTGGTTGGGCTAGGGGCAACTAATGGGTTGGGGGGTGGCGGGGACTGACAAGCAGGCATTGGTTATCCAAGCAGAGGCCTAGTATATCTTGTTTCCTCTGTAGTTTGCTGACCTGAGCCAATTTGAGGCACTTTGTCTTGAAAACGGACCGCTATATACATTATTTGCTTCAAATTGTATGTTTTATTTTATTTATTTATTTATTTATTTATTTAGAGATAGGATCTTACTCTGTCACCCAGGATAGAGTGCAGTGGAGTGTTCACGGCTCACTGCAGCCTTGACCTCTGGGCTCAGGTGATCCTCCCACTTCAACTTCCCAACTAGCTGAGACTACAGGCATGTACCACCAGCCCTAGCTAATTTTTGTATTTTTCGTAGAAACAGGGTTTCGCCATGTTGCCCAGGCTGGTCTTGAGCTCCTGACCTCAAGCGATCCTCCCACCGCAGCCTCCCAAAGTGCTGGGATTACAGGTGTGAGCCACCAGTGTTCGGCCTGAATTGTATACTTTAAATGGGTGAATATTATGGTATATGAGTTATAGTTCAAAAAAGCTATTACATGAACAAAAGAGTTGATTAGGAAAGTCCAAGGAAAGGACAGAAGTAAAAACAATCCTTTTTAAAAAGTTTTCTTTAGCTGTCCTTTAGGAGGTCACATTTCTGAAGAAATGCCTAATTTGTTTTCCTTTATTTTACAAACTCTCAGAAATCTAGTTTGCTCTCATATCTTAAAATATATTTAAGAAGAGCAAAATAACTTAGAAGATTGCTCTAAACTGGTAGTGAGATTGATGTTCAAATGATATTTATTCAAATATTAAATAATAAATACAATTATTTTAAATTTTAAAAGGAGCAATTGCAGAATAAATTTTACTCTTTTTTAATGTTTTGATTAAAAATATATGTATTTCAAATTAAATGATAAGACCATGGCACAAAATACCAAAATCAAAGTCAACAGCTATTTAATTGGCCACATAAATTGGCTTCCTGTTGCTTTGAGAACATAAAAAGTTTAAAGTGGATTTTGATAAACTTGTACATTCCATTTGAAATGACAATATTATGGTTAATGCAAAACCACAATGTTCATTGGCTTCGATAGGTCACTTTACAAATAAAAGCCACTGGTCTCTCAGCAAAACACAGATGGTACAGTGAAAACAGATCAACACTTCCTCTGTGTCACTGGCTGCAGCAGGAACTTCTGAGATTCTCCTCCAAAGGTCTCATGAAGTATTTGGTTGGAATTGCAAAATCACAGCCAGGGATCTGGCAATAATTCAAAATAGCTTTACGAAGGATTATACGTTGGGACCAGGCTAAATTTTTTGAAAGATTGTTTTTCGATCCTGAGATATGCTCAGTCACTTTAATCTAGCCTCTATGTCTTAGAATTTGATTGCTGTGGTTGTTGCCACTTCATTATAAATGAGAAAGGTATTCAGTCATGCTGAATGAGGACATTTATATGTAAATAGAAGATGTTTTGCTTTGGCAATACCACTATTCCTGGGATTGAAGTGTATATGATTTTCCAAGTGCTACACTAGCCACTAAAAAAAAAAAAAGAAAAAAATCATGATTTAAAAAGAACCAAAAACACTATGTATTTTGAATATTAATGTCTTTTTATTTTATGTCCCATAGTTAGTGTTTGGAAAGGAACAAAAGAATTAGAAGCAGTCTGCCTTACATAAATGATTGCATATGTTCATCCAAACCATTATTTTACAATTATTATTTAAAGAGAAATACCTTCATCAAAATATTTCACCAAGCATGTCTTGTCGACAATCCCAGTGTTTAATTAGGTTATTTTTCTAAAACAACATGATAAACCTTGTCTAATTTTGCAAATTAACTCAAAGTCTGATCTAACAACTTAACCAGAAGTGACAAAAGTTAAAAGTGATATGGATAAGAATTATTAGACTCTGATTTAAAAATTAAATTATAGGTCATTACAGATCTCAAGTTCATCATGTTCATTCAATTCATTTGAATATTCAATTAGTATTTTCCATGTCCAAGGCAAGATAATGTATGGTAGGAAGAAAATAAAAAAGCATAAGACACTGTCATACTCTCAAAGAACTTTCAAACCACCGACTGGGCGTGGTGGCTCACGCCTGTAATCCCAGCACTTTGGGAGGCCGAGGCGGGCAGATCACGAGGTCAGGAGATCGAGACCATCCTGGCCAACATAGTGAAACCCCATCTCTACTAAAAATACAAAAATTAGCCGGGCATGGTGGCGCATGCCTGTAATCCCAGCTACTCGGGAGGCTGAGGCAGGAGAATCCCTTGAACCAGGGAGTTGGAGGTTGCAGTGAGCGGAGATCGCGCCACAGCACTCTAGCCTGGCAACAGAGTGAGACTCCGTCTCAAAAAAAAAAAAGAACTTTCAAACCAATGGAGGAAACAAACAAGTAAGTTCTAGAAGGTGAATAGTCTTAGCCTCTACGTAATTCTCCAAACACCATCTTTGACTCATACTTTTTTTTTGTTTGTTTGTTTTGAGACGGAGTCTCACTCTCTCACCCAGGCTGGAGTGCAGTGGCGCGATCTCGGCTCACTGCAAGCTCCGCCTCCCTGGTTCACGCCATTCTCCTGCCTCAGCCTCTGGAGTAGCTAGGACTACAGGCACCCGCCACCACGCCCCGCTAATTTTTTTGTATTTTTAGTAGAGACGGGTTTTCACCGTGTTAGCCAGGATGGTCTCGATCTCCTGACCTCTTGATCCGCCCACCTCAGCCTCCCAAAGTGCTGGGATTAGAGGCGTGAGCCCCCGCGCCCGGCATCTTTGACTCATACTTACACACATCATTTAGAACTCAGATGTACTTTCATGGGAAGCAAATATTTCAAATTTCTATCAAATATTTTTTCTTCAAGAGTTATTTTAACCACTCGTGAGAAATTTTGTTTTAAAAATTCTTAGAACAATATAAAATATCTAGTATCAAAACGTAAGTAATCAAATGATCATTTGTAGCTGAAATTTTAGAGTTAAAATATTGGGATTCTAATGGAGTTTATGACTAAGATATGCATCATTATTCAATGAAAATATTCTACATTGTATTTTCTTACTAATAAGTTCCTTTTTGTACTTTCAGGGTCTCAATAACCCTTACTTTGTTTACATAATAGAGAAAACATATATATATATCATTTTACATATATAGCATCATATATATTTTATATATATATATATATATATATATATATATATATTTTTTTTTTTTTTTTTTTTTTTTGAGACATGGTCTTGCTCTATCCCCAGGCTGGAATGCAGTGGTGATCTCAGCTCACTGTAACCTCAGCCTCCTGGACTCAAGGGATTCTCCCACCTCAGACTAACCAAGTAGCTGGGACTACAGGCAGACACCTGGGTGTGGACCTAGCTAATTTTTGTATTCTTGGTAGTGACAGGGTTTTGCCATGTTGGCCAGGCTGGCCTCAAGTGATCTGCCTGCCTCAACCTCCCAAAATGCTAGGATTACAGGAATGATCCACTGCGCCTAGTGGAAAAATAATATTTATCACACTTAATTATTAGGTATTGCATACTACTTAAAAATAACATTTAATGAACACTTTTGGAAATGATGTTACTAACTTACTCACAATTTTTGAGACTCTGTATACATTTTCTTTTTTTGTTTGTTTTTTGTTTTTCCTTCTGTCGCCCAGGCTAGAGTACAGCGGTGCGATCCCAGCTCACTGCAACCTTTGCCTCCCAGGTTCAAGTGATTCTTGTGCCTCAATCTCCCAAGTAACTGGGATTTCAGGTGTGCACCACCACCTCTGGCTAATTTAGTAGAGACAGAGTTTTGCCGTGTTGGCCAGACTGGTCTAGATCTCCTGGCCTCATGTGATCCACCCGCCTCAGCCTCCTAAGGTGCTAGGATTACAGGTGTGAGCCACTGTGCCCGGCTCTCTGTGTACATTTTCCTTTGGTGCTACAACAAATTTCTAGGTACAAATTGAAAAAAAAAATGAAAGGAGTTTTAGACTGTTCACAACCAGATGGGTGAAATCTAACAAACTCCTAATGTCCCAGTTATTACATTCTCTAGACTTCCCTAGGAAACCTCACAGTAGCTTCAAGAATGGAAAGACAGTAGGTAAGTCACCATCTCCAGATGCATTTTCTGAAAGTGAGAGGAATACCAAAGTGAGACATGCCAGGAGAGAAATAGCACAATCCTGAGGGACACCACTCTAGAGGGAAGATGTGGAAAAAGTGCTGGTGTGCACTGCCTGCTATCTTCTCTGCATGAATTAATGACCAACATGTACAGAGCACTTAGGTGCCAAACATTCTGCTTTGGGTACTTATAATGGTTTCTGTTACTTAATCATCACAACAACTATATGAAATTGATTACTGCTGTATTTTATCATTCTTGTAGATGAGGAAACTGAACACTAGATAGTTAAATAACTTGCCAGAGATGACTACAAACGAGAGCCAACACTCAAACCACTGCACTCTCAGCCAGTACACTCCACTTTAAATTTTTCACGTCAGGGACGTTATCAGCCATGTGGTCACACCATGCCTTTTCATGGCGTTCCAGTATCTGGAATTCACAAGGACAGTGGACAGACTGGGGCAGCACACACAAGCTGATGAAGAGACATTATGAGATCAGTAAGGAGATCCCATATTCCTCCTGTTTATACAAGTGTGAAGAAACTGGGGCCAGAGGTAGCGTGGTATCACAGATAGGGCATGTAATTTGTAGTCATGTTACCCAGGTGCCTCCAGGAAACGGACTCCAGAAAATTAACCCCAGGCTGCTTCTCACTTGAAAACTGCATCCAAAGCCAACAAGGCAATTGCCCTAGCAACTAGAAACTCCAATTATTAAGATGAGATTGGAATATTGTCCCCAAAGTCTGAAAACAATTAAGGGTCCCAAGAGGCCTACTGCATGGAAACATATTGCCCTTTTCCGGGAGAAGGTTTTTAAAAAAGGGTCATACCAACTGGACGCGGTGGCTCATGCCTGTGATCCTAGCACTTTGGGAGGCCGAGGCAGGTGGATCATCTGAAGTCAGGAGTTTGTGACTAGCCTGGCCAACATCATGAAACCTCGTCTCTACAAAAAATACAAAAATTAGCCAGGCATGGTGGCGGGCACCTGTAATCCCGCTACTCAGGAAGCTGAGGCAGGAGAATTGCTTGACTCCAGGAGGCGGAGGTTGCAGTGAGCCAAGATCGCGTCACTGCTGGTCTCAAAAAAGCATAGTCTCAAAAAAGAGTCATGCCAATGCAATCTGCCTCGAGCCAGGTCTCAGAGAGAAAAGGGCAAGTCCTAGAGGAGAGGTCCTTCGCTCCTGGATAGTCTAGGATGTAATGGCTTAAACCAGGCCTGACTCTCCTTGAACACACCCAGGGGCTTTTCTTCTGATAGCCTTGTTAATATGTTATGCCCTTAATCACATTGTGTTACAAATGCGTAAAGATAGACCTCCTCACTGGACTGCTTAAGGGCAAGGACTGTATCCTTTCAAGTTTGGATACCCAGTACCAGACAGTGTGCCTATCACATGATGAGCAGTCTGTTGTTGAATAAATGAACAAATAAACCAATCAAAGCAAATCAATGAAGGAAAGTCATAGTGACCCTGTAGCAAACAACGTAATCAAACCTGCAGCTGTTTAGGATTCAAAAGTATGACCCATTTGGGCACAAAGTTATCAATGACTAACTACATATTTAAGTTGTTTTGATTTTTTTTTTTGAGATGGAGTTTCGCTCTTGTTGCCCAGGCTGGAGTGCAATGGCGCGATCTCGGCTCACCACAATCTCCACCTCCCAGATTCAAGCAATTATCCTGCCTCAGCCTCCCGAGTCACTGGGATTACAGGCATGCACCACCACGGCCGGCTGATTTTGAATTTTTAGTAGAGAAGGGGTTTCTCCATGTTGGTCAAGCTGGTCTTGAACTCTCGACCTCAAGTGATCTGCCCGCCTCGGCCTTCCAAAGTGCTGGGATTACAGGCAGGAGCCACCACGCCCGGCCATATTTAAGTTTTGAAACAATGTTTTATGACTATTCAGCTGCACTTATGATAGTGCTAAAATGATGAAGTTAAAATGAATTGACACAAATAATGCACTATGCTAGAACAGAAGGAAATGTTTTTTAAAGACAAATTATATAGACTATAACAAACTATACAGCTTCTTCAAACCTCAGTCTTTTCATCTGCCAAATGGAAATAATAATAATACACCATCTTCATCAAAGGTTTTATAAAATTATACACACACACACACACAATTTAAGCTTGACAAATGAAAGTGCTATATAATTAGAACTAATATTCCATTTACCTCCTCAGAACATCAGAAACTAGTTACCTATTCTTGCATAATATATAATTAGGATACTTATGAAGAATTTAGTTCTGTTCTGAATTTAGTTCTGTCATTATGCTGAAGAGAATAATGGCTCATAATTTGTTTGTTTATAAAAATAGATGTAGCTAGAGATAACTAATAGGCTTGTTAAAGAGCACCTAGTTACACAGTAGTAGAAGACAATGCATATTAACAAAGTTGCAAGACAACAATCACTTTCTAGAAAGAAAAAAAGGAAAAAGGAAAGAAGGAGTAATAGTTGTTAGCATTTAGCAAAAGCCTGTGATGTACTTAACACTTTGCTGATATATTTCATTTCATTTAACCCTCACAGCTACACTACCTTATCATTAATTTTAGAGAAGAAATTGATGCTTAGAGAAGTTAAGCTACTGGTCCAAGATCACATGATCAATAAGACTTATTCAAACCCAAGAATGTGGACTGCATTGCACTTTGCAACTAAGAAATCAAAGAGATGGGCTGGGTGCGGTGGCTCACGCCTGTAATCCCCGCACTTTGGGAGCCTGAGGCAGGCAGATCACAAGATCAGGAGATCAAGACCATCCTGGCTAACACGGTGAAAGCCCGTCTCTACTAAAAATACAAAAAATTAGCCGGGCGTGGTGGCGGGCGCCTGTAGTCCCAGCTACTCGGGAGGCTGAGGCAGGAGAATTGAGTGAACCCAGGAAGTGGAGCTTGCAGTGAGCCAAGATCACGCCACTGTACTCCAGCCTGGGTGACAGAGTGAGACTCTGTCTCAAAAAAAAAAAAAAAAAAAAAAAAAGAAAAGGAAAGAAAGAAGTGAAAAAGATGGAATAAAAACCAAAACATGTAAATTATTTCCTTCATTGTTATAACCTGGGGTTTATCTGGTGATTTTTAAAAATAGTTTGATTGGAACTCTGAGCCCATTTTACTGGGTTTCTGAACTTTAACATTCTCAAAAGTAACAATTTTTGGCCGGGCCCAGTGGCTCATGCCTGTAATCCCAGCACTTTGGGAGGCCAAGGCAGGTGTATCACGAGGTCAAGAGATTGAGACCACCCTGGCCAACATGGTGAAACCCTGTCTCTACTAAAAATACAAAAATTAGCTGGGCATGGTGGAATGTGCCTGTAGGCCCAGCTACTCAGGAGGCTGAGGCAAGAGAATCGCTTGAACCCAGGAGGCGGAGGTTGCAGTGAGCCGAGATCGTGCCACTGCACTCCAGCCTGGCGACAGAAAGAGATTCTGTCTAAAAAAAAGAAAAGGAACAATTATTTAAATTTTTTGATTAGAAATGGTCTTTAGGAAATCATACATGTATGCCAGGTGTGGTGACTCAGGCCTGTAATCCCAACACTTTGGGAGGCCGAGGCGGGTGGATCACCTTAGGTCAGAAGTTCAAGACCAGCCTGGTCAACATGGTGAAACCCCGTCTCTACTAAATATACAAAAATTAGCCGGGCGTGGTGGCGGGTGCCTGTAATCCCAGCTACTCAGGAGGCTGAGGCAGGAGAATCGCAGTGAGGCAGAGGTTGCAGTGAGCTGAGATCACGCCATTGTGCTCCAGCCTGGGCAACAAGAGCGAAACTTCGTTCCAAAAAAAAAAACAAACAGAAATCATACATGTATGTATTAACTGCTTCTGGAAGTGAAAGAATATGATTTGAAAGTGTTTCTTCAAGCCACATATTTGTTTGCTAAAGAAGATATTACTTTAATTTTTATTTTTACTTATGTAATACATCTATATGGTATAAAAATCAAGTACTATTAAAAATTCTCCCTATCCCACTCCCAATTCTCTTAACCCCCAACCTCTCACCAAACCTCACAGCCCAAGGCAACGACTTTTAGTTCTTTCTTTTAGTAATTAAGTAAATATTTATATATATATATTTGTATATTGTATATATATAACATATAACTGTTATATATATAAATATGTACTTACTTATACATATACATAATTAATACATATATATAAAAGTCATATGTATACACAATATACAAATGTATATTAAGTATATATATACATGCACTGTATATATGTACATGTATATGTATATATGGTACTATATATATATATATCTATATAACCTATTGGTTTTCTCTTATGGATAATGATTGAGCTTTCTTATGCTTTACAAAATAATACACGTTTGTCTCCCCATTCATCCAGTATAGGTATATCAAAATTTTCACTTAAATCAATAATTGGTATTTACTGTGTTATGACTACATAAAAATTGTTTACTCCTGAGCCAAGTGGTATATTTTGATTATGTTTTCTCTCTCACTTATCTTTTTGTTTTTCCTGGAATTGTTCATTTCCTTGATATTACATTGGTTTAGTTTTCTGTGTACCGATAGCTACTTTTTCCCCAAATGGCATAACACATTTGGCAAATGCCTCTCAATTTTTCTAAAGATTTATGCACATCCAATGATCTATTACTTTGTACTTTTTTCTTGAAGTTCTCCCTTCTGTGGAGGGAGAAACAAGAAATCCCTAACTCACATTTTCTTCAGTCTGTTTATATTGAGGTAGCCTTTGTTAATGGGAGTAGACTTGTCTTCACTGATTTTTTTTTTAAAGGCATAGTGACTATAACTGCAATTTAAAATTATTACTACTAGCAGTTAACATCTAAATGGATAGATTATGTATATAATTTGATCATTATGGCTACTTGATATACAGTGATATACTTTCCCAGTGGCCTCCAGTTGGCTGAAGTAAAGACAAAGTATTTCAGGCTATTTTTCAGAGTCTATAAAGAGAATCTAAATATGTTTGGATAAAAGCAAGCTCTAGCTAATTTTTTTCTTTCTGATAGATTTTTTTTTCTTCAATGTCTAAAGCTTTTGTTGCAATCAGTGGCTGTTTTCTTCATTAAAGATATATAGCAGAATCAATCTTCTCATTTAAAATATAGTGCCATATATACTTACAAAATAGTTATAATTTTCGATCAAAAAATTAAGTAGGGATTCAGATATGAAATAAGAATATAAAGAGGTAAAAAAAAATACTAGGCATATCAAGATAAAGCAAAAGATAAGAACCTTCAGTGTAAGAAAAGGCTTTTAGTTTCTAGAGGTAAAGGTTTGGGAGAGAATTATTCTCCCTATGATGAACAGTGAGAAAAATTCAATTTAAGTATTTTCCCACCAAAAATAACATTAGAGTGAGTCCACTGTATATGGGGCAGGAGAGGGGTATGAAGGAAGGAAGCTGAAATAACTACTTTCTAAATAAATCTACCAAGTTCTTATAGGTACATGGAATCATACAAAGAAATAATGTAGATTGTCTTAAGAGTTGACAATCTAAGACTGCAGTAACACACATGGAGTACAGGATATTGAGGTCGTTAAATGAGAAAAGACATTTACACTACAGGTCTTGTAATCCTATTTACTTTGGCCTCATTCTGAATTTTTATAACAATATATTAAAACCAAGTTTTTATTTTTATGTTATTTTTATTTTTTGAGAGGGAGTTTTGCTCTTGTTGCCCAGGCTGGAGTGCAATGGCATGATCTCAACCCACTGCAACCTCCACCTCCTGGGTTCAAGCAATTCTTTTGCCTCAGCCTCCTGAGTAGCTGGGATTACAGGCAGCCACCACCACACCCAGCTAATTTTCGTGTTTTTAGTAGAGACAGGGTTTCACCATGTTGGCCAAACTGGTCTCGAACCCCTGACCTCAGGTGATTCACTTGCCTTGGCCTCTCAAAGTGCTGGGATTATAGGCATGAGCCACTGTGCCTGGCTAAAATCAATTTTTTTTAAATTACGTTATCCATTACATCACATATGAAAAAAACAATCACACAACATGGTATGCCTTTGGCAGTATGATATGTAACTTTAATTAGTAAGGTTAATTTACCATTTAATTTTAAAGCAACCAATGCATAAAGATACATATTTTAGTAGTCATGAAAAGGAGAGAAGGTAAAAAAATATCTATTTGGAAAAAAGATGTAATGTATAGAAGTCTGAGGAGGGAAAACCTTCTCAGCTCTATGATATGTAATAGGGTTTTCTTTTCTTCTTTTCATTCTTCATGATCCAGTATGAGAGAAATCATTAATTCTTCTTTAGCTATAATTTTGCAGTGGTAGAGTATTTCCTTTGGATACAAAGGGAAGAGACCACAAACTTGCCACCAAGTAATGTGTGTTCAGTAATCACTGTAGCTAGCCATAATTACAATTGTTGAGTCAAATACCCATAATCACAGTTGTCCAGTGAACCAGATTATGACTGTGTTTATTGTCTTTCTTGTCAGGGTGTCTCTTTTGTCCATTTTCCGTTGTTTGAAATGACTGCACCAACAAAGTTTTGGGAGTTGTTTTGCCTTTATTTTGTTGACTAGAATGATCTAATTGTGAGATCAGCATTGTGGGTTTTAAATTACTGAAATCCATAACTTAATAAAAGATGCACAATCTATTCTCTGTCTGAATGACCACTTAGAACATCTTCTTGCCAGCTTTATCATAAGTTTTGACCATGCTTCTTCTACCCTATTATGGGTATATTATAAGCAATGTTCAACCCTTATAGTTCTTAGTGCTGAATTGGGTCTGTCATCTAGTGTTGTTGAATAGTCTTTACCTCTTTCCAAGGTTCCTAATATGTATATCCAATAGGAAGGTGTAGTATCCACCACATAAAGACATTGGACTTTTTAAAGTTTTCTTGTGGACTTCTACATTCAGTTAAAATGTGTAAGGGCACAAAAGACCTTCTGTGGTGGACAGAAGGGTACCACACAATCTTTAGGGTAGCCCTTATGATTTGTTCCTCCTGGTATGTATGCCCTTGTATAATCTTCTCTTAAGTGTGAGCATAATCTGTCAATTGCTTCTAACTAAGAGAATATGGCAAGGGTGATGAGATTCACTCCTGAATATAGTTATAGTGCATTATATGAGATTCCATCTTGGTAACCCACTCTAGACACTTTCCTTACTGGCTTGATGAAGTAAGCAAGCACATGGCATGGCACTGTTGGCAGCCTCTGGAAACTGAGGGCAGCCTCCAGCTGACAGAGCAAAAATACAGAGCCTTCAGTCTAATAGTTGCAAGTAAATGAATTCTACTAACAACCTGAGTGATGATCTTAGAAGTAAATTCTTCCCCAGTCAAACCTCCAGATAAGGTTGCAGCCCAGCCAATATGCTAATTTCATCCTGTGCAAACCAGGATGAAATCACATCCAGCCCAGCCAATGTGTTGAGTTCATCCCAGCGACTAAGCCATGCTGGAATAGAAACTGAGATAATAAATGTGGGTTGTTTTAATCTTTTAAATTTGTGATAATTATTACTCAACAATAGAAAACTAATAAACCTTTACTCCAGTAGTGGATGAAACAAAAAACATAAAAAATTGAAATATAAAAATCCTATTTTTTATGGCACTATTGCAAGGTAAGAGTTCAAGGGAGCCTTGATGAACTAGAGTCCAGAGAAAGACAAGCTGTTTGCAGGTGGTGGCCTCCATATTGGTAGTTATACAGTTTGGCTGTTTGTCCCCACCCAAATCTCATGTTGAAATGTAATCCCCAATGTTGAAAGTGTGGCCTGTTGGGAGGCATTTGGGTCATGGAGGTGGATTCCTCATGGCCTGGTGCTCTTAGTGAGTGAGTTCTCATGAGATCTGGTTGTTTAAAGTGTGCAGCACATCCCCAACTCTCCCTTGTTCCTGCTCTGGCCATGTGACATGCCTGCTCCTGCTTCACCTCCTGCCATGAGTAAAAGCTCCCTGAAGCCTCCCCAGAAGGCAGACAGATGACAGTGTGACACATCCCATACAGCCTGCAGAACTGTGAGCCAATTAAACTTCTTTTCTTTATAAATTACCCAGTCTCAGGTATTCCTGAGTCACATGCCACCAAGCCCGGCTAATTTTTTTTGTATTTTTAGTAGAGATGAGGTTTCACCATGTTAGCCAGGATGGTCTCAATCTCCTGACCTTGTGATCCACCTGCCTCAGCCTCCCAAAGTGCTGGGATTACAGATGTGAGCCACTGTGCCCAGCCTCACTGTTTTATTTGGTATTAATTATAGCTAAATTTCTTAACTTCTGTGTGTGTGTGTGGTGTGTGTGTGTGTAGAAATCATATATTCTTCATTCTTTATGTCACTAAGTATCCTGAATTAAGCAGGCTTTTGGAAAAAATAGTCTTAATCTACAAAATAGATTTGAATTTCCAAATTGAAAATATCTTTGAAATTGTTATGTTTCTCCAATAATTTGTGTTTTGGGGTCTTCCTAGGAATCTGGCTTGCTGATTGGTGGCTCTAAAGTCTGTTTCACTGAAAACTGCACCAAATCCACCTGTGGAGTGATCTAAATTTCTGGAGCTCAAAATTACAATTAGTACCTTTCCATCAGGACTATTGAAATAATTAAAGACATATTTTTTTTGTCTTTAAAACACACACACACACACACACACACACACACACACTCAACATAATACCCAGCAAAGATAAAGCCCAGGTGAACTTTGATCTCCACAAATTCCAACTCAAAGATGCAGAGTTTGGCCAGAATCAGCCCAGTCACCAACCAATTGAAAAACCATTTGATTGCTCTACATTCAAGTTTCTGTGAAAGATTCAAGCCATTAATACTAAATTAGTAGAATCTGCTACTTTCAAACACAAAAGATTCTTTGCCTATGTCCACATCCTTTTTGGGAAGCTAACAGTAATTCCTTGTTTGGAAGGAAACCTGAAGGGAACCTCCCGACTAGATCCTCCAGTCCTCTTCCATTTACTAACTGCTTTGGGCTATGCAAATGCACGCATGTGCATGGCCAACATAAATTATGGCTAACGATTTGTCACTATTGTTTTATTAACAAATACAATTCAAAGTAGAATAATTAAATAGGGACCCATAGTAAAATAAACATTCCAGTGACCTTTTAAACTGAAAAGTTCTGCTTTACAAACAAAAGAGAGAACAATACAATTACATGATAGTGCTTGTACAGACTTGCCGAATATGTGATGAAGCCTTGACCAGCCGGCAAGTCATCGCATCTCTTCCATCCCAGAAAAGGTTGAAAAGAACAGGACAGCTGTAGTGTCCTCACTTTGAGACTTATTGGTGAATGGAGTGACAGATGTAGAGCCAGTGCCCCAAAGTGGGCAGGACCTGATCCCCAATAGACAAAAGAGGGTGACAGTCTCAGAGTCCCATTTACTTCAATAAAAAGAAATATTTTAAAGCCAGCTGTCTTTTTTTTATACATAAGATACTGATACAAGGCCATAGTTACTGATTAGGTCTCAGAACACCATCTTGCCTGATAATCCATGCAAAATGCCAACAAACAGTTTTTCCCTAACTTATTAGTATTACCTGTTTGTTCTAGCCATACTAGGTATATATTGTATGCTATTGATCTTTCTATAGCTTTAGTACATATCTCAAATAATAAGGGCTGCTCTAAGTTTGTCTTAGGTTTACTCAACAAAAATCTGAAAAGTTAAAATTTTAGTCTCCAAAATATTTCATATCTGTTACATGTATCTTTTCATAATAAACCAAAGACC
Source organism: Homo sapiens (assembly GCF_000001405.40). Taxonomy (NCBI): domain Eukaryota; kingdom Metazoa; phylum Chordata; class Mammalia; order Primates; family Hominidae; genus Homo; species Homo sapiens. The sequence goes on along the minus strand of NC_000007.14, from coordinate 20,804,021 downwards.
CCTAGTTTTATTTAATATTCATTTATTGTAACTCCCTATTGACCCAAAGTAACAAATATGTTTAGTAATAAGTATTCTCTTCTCTACCATAAGTGGTACCTTCCTGCATTTTTGTTCTTCTACCCAGGGACTGTAAATGTCTAGAAATCAGATATCTGTTGCTTATATTTCTCTAAAGGAGGTGCTCCATAAATAGGACAAGTCACATATATTATCTGATTGGGTCCTCAGAGTCCTCTTTTGGAGTTGGCTGAGTGGTAATATCCCTATTTTATAAATAAGCAAACTGAGACTTAGCTAGACTAAGTGATAGATCATCTAACCTAATACAGAAAATTAATGGAATCGAAAGTAGAAACTAGTTTTCCCAATTTATAATTTGGCGATCATTTCATATCACCTAGCTTCTCCTAATGTATGAAAAAACATAGCAATTTTATTTAGAAATATTTTCAGGCCGGGCACGGTGGCTCACGCCTGTAATCCCAGCACTTTGGGAGGCCGAGGTGGGCGGATCACGAGGTCAGGAAATCGAGACCATCCTGGCTAACACGGTGAAACCCCGTCTCTACTAAAAACACAAAAAATTAGCCGGGTGTTGTGGCGGGCGCCTATAGTCCCAGCTGCTCGGGAGGCTGAGGCAGGAGAATTGCGTGAACCCGGGAGCCGGAGCTTGCAGTGAGCCGAGGTCGTGCCACTGCACTCCAGCCTAGACGACAGAGCAAGACTCCATCTCATATAAAAAAAAAAAAAATTTCGTTCTCGGCCAGGTGCAGTGGCTCACGCCTGTAATCCCAGCACTTTGGGAGGCTGAGGCAGATGGATCACTTGAGGTCAGGAGTTTGAGACCTGCTGGGCTAACATAGCGAAACCCCGTCTCTACTAAATATACAAAAATTAGTGGGACGTGGTGGCACACGCCAGTAATCCCAGCTACTCGGGAGGCTGAGGCAGGAGAATCACTTGAACCTGGGAGGCGGAGGTTGCAATGAGCTGAGTGGCGCCACTGCACTCCCACCTGAGCGACAGAGACTCCATCTCAAAAAGAAAAAAAGAAATATTGTCGTTCTTAATTTCTTTCAGTTGATCAGTAATAACAAATTTCTCAGGGACAGAGACAATAACCATTAGCAGTTGTCAAAAACCATGTATTGCAATTTAGATTATATATCTCCAATGCTTAAATTCTGATTAAACCAATTCATGTTGCAGTTCTTATTTGATAAGATTAACAAGGCCAAGTACAATGGCTCACACCCAGCACTTTGAGAGGCCAAGGCAGGAGAATTGCTCGAGCCCAAGAGTTCAAGACCAGCCTGGGCAACATGGCAAAATTCCGTCTCTACCCCAAAAACCACCAAAATTAGCTCGATGTGGTGGCACACATCTGTAATCCCAGCTACTTGGGATGCTGAGGTGAGAGGATGGCTTGAGCCAGGAGGGCCGAGGCTTCAGTGAACCATGATCACACCACTGGACTCCAGCCTGGGTGACAAAACAATACCCTGTCTCAAAAAAAAAAAAAAAAAAAAGTGAACTACATAAGAATAAAAGAAAGCTGGCGGGGCATGGTGGCTCACGCCTGTAATCCCAGCACTTAGGGAGGCTGAGGTGGGCAGATCACAAGGTCAGGAGTTCGAGACCATCCTGGCTAACATGGTGAAACCCCATCTCTACTAAAAGTAAAAAAAAAATTAGCCAGGCGTGGTGGTGGGCGCCTGTAGTCCCAGCTACTCAGGAGGCTGAGGTAGGAGGATTGCTTGAACTGGGGAGGTGGAGGTTGCAGTGAGCCGAGATTGCGCCACTGCACTCCAGCCTGGGCAACAGGGCGAGCCTCCCTCTCAAAAAAAAAAAAAAAAAAGAATAAAAGAAAACATTACATTTATTTATTTATTTATTTTTGTCTTTATTTTCTTTTTTTGAGACGGAGTCTCGCTCTGTCTCCCAGGCTGGAGTGCAGTGGCTTGATCTTGGCTCACTGCAACCTCCGCCTCCTGGGTTCAAGCAATTTTCCTGCCTCAGCCTCCCAAGTAGCTGGGACTACAGGAACGTGCCACCACACCCAGCTAATTTTTGTATTTTTAGTAGAGACGGGGTTTCACCATGTTGGTGAGGATCATCTTGATCTCTTGACCTCATGATCCGCCCGCCTTGGCCTCCCAAAGTGTTGGGATTACTGGCGTGAGCCACCGTGCCAGGCCTAAATTACATTTAAAATAACCAAAATAACAGTGACTCTGACCCAAGGAGGTAATTACATATATAAAATTTAATATTCCCACCAATTTTTACATAAAGCTGTATGAATTTCACACCTAACAAACTGCAAAAATTCATCTACATTTATTTGTAAGATGATTTTAAGCTCCAGGAATTTCATGCAGTTAGAAGTTGGCTTTCTGCAGAAGATAGAATAATGCTAATGAGTGAATATTAAGTATAAGACACTAACACTGTAGAGGTAAATACGTAATTATATACATTTCCAAAAGTGGGACAAATCACACATTAAGTTATGTAATAATTCAAGGACTTGTAAGAGACAAGAAGATGTACTTGATAGTCTTTGGCTAATTACTTTTAATTAATATGTCTATATTATTGAAACATATGAGAATATTTTAAAATTAAGCATGCAAAAATATTCAATCAAGGAAAAATATGGATCATTAAAGCTAGTAGAAAGCCACCATTGGAAAGACAAGAGGTTTTACTTTTTTAACCATAAAAGCTAAGTCCAGACATTCATAATTATATCAATTAATTGGCCATTTTGGCAAAATTATATAAATTGTCTACACACACTTCTCAGAGTACATAACTGCCAGTGCTATTTTCTCTTTGGTCAAGTCTATACTAGCTATCAAAATGAAGTGGATAATTAAGACCATTATTCTGATAACTTAGATCAAATATTAAGGTAAAAATAGAATTTTTTGTTTGTTTGGATTGAAATGTAAATGTTCTGTTTGTGTTCTGTAAGCATGTGCAAATGGTTTTGTTTCTTCAATTGTTTTTAAAATCTGGTTATACAGCAATTTCTTAATTAGAATCTCAGGTTCTAAAATTCCCAAGATGCCTAGGTAATACAACAGTATTTTAGAATTTTGTATACCAGTACTGGCTTAAATCTCATTTCCTAAGTTTGTAGACAACACTGATAAAACTTATGGATATTCTGAATACAAAAATAAAATAAAACCATTGGAATGTATTTAAAAACTCAACAATAAGAATATTCTTTATGGTTATGTAGAATACCCTTTAATCAGGATAGGCACGCTTTAGTACTTAGGAATAAAGTGCAGTGATGTTTACCACTTACTTGAAATAGATAAAAGAGGTAAGTTTATGTATGTGTATGAACAAACAAATAATCATATCTGACATCTACCTATCTATTCAGATATAGTAGATCCATATATGTCTGTCTGTCTAGCTATCCATCTACTTAGAAAAATCTAAGCAATTGTCACAAAATGTTAAAAGCTGATGAACCTAAGTGAAGGGAATATGGGTGTTCTTTGAAATTAAATGTTTCATTGTACCATTATTTTCTGTAGGTTTAAATTTTTTGAAAATAAAAAGTTGGAGAAAATGTACATTTTAACCTTTACATAAAGTAACTAATAAATGTTCAGTAACCACCAAATCCCCATGAATATGATACCCCTGAGACTGAAAATTCTGCAGTACCTCATTTCTTAAAATCATACTGTGAAATCTATACTAAAAGATTCTTTCCAATAGGCCTTAAGTGAGCACTTTAAAATATTCCCAAGGTTTCCCATGCAGGGTATAGTTAAAGAGCATTCCACTTGAGATCCTTGCCTGAAAGGCCCTATAGAATTGCAAAGTATCATTATTAAGCAAATGTTCCTGGGCCCTTGGGTGGTTCACTTAAAACACATTTCCCTGTATTGAATATTCAATGCCAAAAGCACACTGTTCAGTGTTAAGATTTGCAATTTAAACCCAGTTGGGAGAAGTAAAAGGTTCTTGTAATTTGCCTATACTGTATTGCATTGATGTGGTAGCTTTCATTGATAATTAAGTTCCAAAAATATGAGTTAGATTGTGTGAACAATGGAGGAAAGCTAACCTTTCTATTATAGCTTTAGCTCTTGACTTCTCGTATTTAAGATTACAGATGCTCCATTAAATCGATTTTGTGTTTAATCTCCTCTTGAAAAAGAGTGAATGCAAGTCCCCAACGTTCTTCCCTTTGAGAGAACCCAAGTATTCGACAATGAAAACTACAAGGCTCAAACTGGATGATTAACACCGCCCACTGGGGATAAGAAAAGTTTAGTGTGCCTCTTTTTAGGTAGTTTTCCCTTAACTAATTCACTGGATTGGAATGTCAAAATATATTTCTCATTAGATTTTCAAAAATTTTTTGAAAAAAAAAAAACAGATTTGAAAGGACAGGGGTGCATTTTAAATGATTCAATTCATTATATTATTTTAAATACATAGATATGCTTTTTAAAAAACAATTGTAAATTTGTGGCTTTTAAAAATTTTATTTAAATCTCCTCTCTGCCTATCATTTAGTTCTTTTCTCTGCTTTAAAATATTTTAGGTCCTTCAGTAAAATATAAAACAATGGAAACATGCTGAACGTAGGATAGAATATTTCGATCGAAATATCAAAAATTTATAAAGAGAAGGTGGGAGGTTGTCATTGTGTCGAAATGAAACTGTTTGGTTCTTTTTTGAATTTGTGCTGGGAAAGACCCATCGCCCTGGTTCTGGCTCTTCAGGGGAAATGGAAACTGGACTGTGGCTTTCTCTGCCTGGCATCTATCTAAACAGCCTTGCTTTCTCCAGCACCAGCAGCGTGAGGGTTCCACTCTAGCATATGGTCAAACTTCTATCGAGAAGATCCAGTACGTATTCAATGCAGAGCTTACCTTCAAAAGAGATAAAACTACCTTGGCAATGAGAGCACTAGCACTGTCTTTGGGATCCCTGCGGGAGATCCTCTCCCCACTTCTACAGTTAGCGGGTGGTGGGGAATGAATGGCATAGCAGTGATTCTCCTAGTGTGGTACCCGGTTCAGCAGCATGAGCGTCACCTGAGAATTTAGGAATACAAATGACTGGGCCCCACCGCAGTCCTACTGAAGCAGAAACTCTGCGGACGAGCCCAGCCATCTGCGTTTTAACTAGCCCTTTGCGTGATTCTGATGTATAGTCGCTGACATAAAAACGAGAATATAAATTTTCTAAAAGATCTTTAAAGTCCAGTTAAGACCTGAAAGGGGACGCTAGCGAAGCAGTAGGTCACTATTGCCCGGGTGGGGTGGGTCCCAAGCCGCCTGACCTGTCCGCGACCCCCTCCCGAACACACGCCCCTGCGCTGGCGCTTCCCACCCCGCCGCCCGCTGGCCTTCGCCCCAGGCCGCGCAGGCTGCCCAGCAGGTGTCAGGTCGGCGGCCCGGGGCGAGGCGGGCCCTCCCGCGGCCGCGCGTGCCGGCTACAGCCCCTCCCGCCCGGCCTGCCCCTTTGTCCGCCCCGAGGGCGGCACCTTCCCGCCCGCGGGGTGTGCGAGCCCTCGGGGGGTGGGAGAGGAGGAGGGACAGGGAGGGAAGGAGGAGGAGCGGGGCGGGCGGCTGAGTGCAGGGGTGGGGAGCCGCCGTCGCGCACCCGACTCCCGTCCCTCCGGGTCAGCGGAGAGGGGCTTTGTGACCGGCCCAGGAGTCCCAGCAAGACAACCGCCCCGGGGCGGGGTGGCGCCTCCCCCTTGGCGGGAGCCGGCGCAGCCTTCCCGCCCGGGGAGCCGCGGTGGCGAGCGGCGTACGGGCCGGGCAGAGCACGGAGCTGGCGGCGGAGCTCGGCGGGAGAGCACGGCTAAGCGGAGGGGAGGGCCGGAGGGTGGGGCGGGGCGGGGCTGGGCCGGGCTGCCACGGAGCCCGGCGCCTGCGCCTCCGCCTCCCGCGCCCGCGGCCGCCGCAGCCCGGGCCTTGCGGGCCGGCGAGCAGGCGGGGACGCGTGTGTGCCCTGGCCGGCGACCTGCGCCGGGTGCCGGGAGGTGCGCAGAGGCGCGGGCTGGACCTGGGACGGCAGGCTGTCTCTCGGGTGCGGGGTGGGAGGGGTGAGGAGGAAGGAAAGGGAGGGGTTGAAAGGCCAGGAAGAAAGGGGAGTGCAAATATTGTGACTGCTGGGGACTGAGACTGTCTGTGGCGCAGTCGGTGGAGATCTGCACTCCAAGCTGGCGGTAGGCTGCGGAGAAGTCCGACTGCCCCTCGTCTGGAACTGTCGCTCTTCCCTCTGACTGCTGCACAGACAACCGTCACTCATTGCTTTTAGATCCTGCGACTGGTGGGGAAAGCTGCCCACTACTCGCCATTTATTCTAGATTCCCCAAGGGCAGGATCTTAATTAAGCTGACTGTTTTCTGAAGAAGCTTCAGCTCCGAGAATCCCTGGGACGTTGCCAACACTGGGGGTGAAGGTGAAGGGGAACCTGTCCTTTTCCTGCTGTGTTCCCCGCCTTACCCCTCGGCCATTGCCTTTCGTTTACTTCTCCAGTCTCCTGTCCTCGTATCTTAGATGGGTCAAAGCATTAAAACGGGACAAACCTGTATGGCAACGCATCCCAGGTATACGTGAAACCGGAAGCAGGAGCACTTCCGAAGTTCGTTGGACCATCGCGGGGAAGCGCAGCTCCTCAAGGCTCCGTGGGTTGGTGGCAGCCTCGGGGGCCCTGCCCATGAGCCGAGCGTGGTGGATGCCGATGCATTAAGTGATCTGGAGACACTCGGTCCTCGAGGTTCTTCCTCCAACTGAGTTATTATATAGACTGGGACGTGCCAGGCCTTTCAAAAGTCAATCAGCATCGGCTTGTAATTTCCTTCCTCAGACTTCTAAACCTACAATCTTCCCACCCATTTCTAAGCATTTTGGAATTTCTGTTCCCAAATCTTGACTGAGGAAGCTAAAGGGAAGGAAATTCAGATCACCGTAGCTTAAGTTAGAAAAAAGAATAGTTTTTTTTACTTAAATGGTAAATCAACAGCAAATCACCTAATAAAAAATATTTATGAATATCTGCGGCTTATTTTTGAAGTTTTAAATTCTATATATCAATTACCCTGTTTTCAGTTAAATTTGTTAAAGTTGATTAAAACACTGAAATCGAGTCAGTCAATAAAATCAATAGTGCAAGTTTCTTCTAGTAAAAAAGATCCTCTTTTGGTTTGACTATGGCTCGTACTAATTTGCTGCGCACCTATTAGTTTCATTTGGTTAAGTATGTCAAAATTTTTGAAATCACTTTCGTTATCTAGGCTTAGAGGACGTCTTGAAACTAAGCAGAAAAATAATCAAAGTGGATTTATTAGTTTTTCCCTTTTTAGCTATAGTTTCAAATAAACTGACATTGGGTATTACTAGTCAAATCGTTTCACTTTGCAAATGGGTTTCCCCAGTTTCAGAAGAGAGGAAGTTATGCCTAGGTTAGAATACTACTAGAAAACTACTGAAGCACTATCTACAGAAAAACTCAAGAACTTTCTGTCGTTAATAGCTGCCCTTTTGAAGGTAAAGGGCATTCCATTTCAGGGCTGTAAATGCCAAGTGTAGACTCCAAAGTAGTGGGTTTTGGTTTTCCAATGTTTGCTTTCTTCAGTGTTGATCAAAGACCAATATGTTTGCCCTATGAGGCCCCACTGAAAAATGTTTTTAGAGCAATTACAGACATAACAATAATCAATCTGTTCAGCTTATTTCTTTTACCTTAAGAAATCTTGCCCCCTCCCCCCCAAAAAGAAAAGAATGAAAGAAATATTTTAATAAAGGAGAGAGAAAGAGGTACTATATTGGCGATTGAGGGTTAAGTGCAAGCACTCCAAGAGAAAAAAAGGTTGATCTTCACTCCTCGGCTCTTTCTAAGACCAGCACTCGTGGCCCTTGTTTTGAATTAAAATGGGCAGCCTCCTTTAGTAGCCAGCAGGGTCCTTGTTATTTAAGATGGAGAATCTTCAGGGCCATGGTGGGGGGAGGGAGCGATGCAAAGTGTTTAGGGGAAATTAAGCTGCAGGGAAAAAAAATTCAGCAAGTGGGAAGGTTCGGATGAAGATCTTGTGGAAAATTATCTGAACAACCTTTATTACTTTTCCAGAATTCATAAGCAGGAATCAAGATCTTATTTCCTCTTAAAAAATAACCTCTGCTCAGAACAAGAGTTGGTACTCATCAAGTCTTAAATAAAAACATGCCCTCTGTTCCATCTAGAAGGGTGTTTCTGTCTGGGATTGGAAGTGGGGACTTGGCACCTAATAATGTAGACACCCTTGAACCGAGTGATTAGCGCATCAAACCAAGTTTCCGACAGTTGATACGGATATTTTATTTCCAGCACCTTCTAAAGTGGAGCCGGTTTCTCCTCAGTGGGTCCCCCTCCCTGTAGGCCTACACTCAACAGCCCTAAACTCAGGGCAGGGGGAGCCTAAGGCGGCCAATGCCTCTCTATTTAAAGGGGGTGAGGGGCTGCATGGACTTGACACCATAAGCAGGAGTAAACCCATTTGTAGCCAAGGTTGATGAAATAAATAATTCGGGTTCCCAGGCTGGGCGTAGTGGCTCACGCCTGTAATCCCAACACTTTAGGAGGCTGAGGCGGGTGGATCACCTGAGGTCAGGAGTTCAAGACCAGCCTGGCCAACATGGTGTCACCCCGTCTCTACTAAAAACACAAAAAATTAGCCGGACATGGTGGCGGGCGCCTGTAATCCCAGCTACTGGGGAGGCTGAAGCAGAAGAATCTCTTGAACCCAGGAGGCAGAGGTTGCAGTGAGCCGAGATCGTGCCATTGCACTCCAGCCTGGGCAACAAGAGCAAAACTCTGTCTCAAAAATAATAATGATAATAATAATAATTAGGGTTCCTTCAGTTTTCATCTAGAACTCTCCAGTCAGCAGCAAAACCGTCGATGTTTTCTTAGCAGGAGAAAACTGCGAATGTGCGGCCCACTGGGACAAGATCTTTGTGAAGTCCTGCAAAACCCCTGAACTCAGTCGTGAAAAATGTTTCAAAAATGAGCGGGGCCAAAGCTTTCGATGGGTAGGGATGAGCTGGCAGGGGTGGTGGGAGAGTGGCAACCCATGACTCAGACCTCTGTGGGGGGCGGGATTCACCCTGACAGTTGTGATGCACCAAGTAAAACCTGAATTCACAAGGCACCCTTTGCTGTGACCAATACAGACGTCCAGTTTAATTACCACGGAAGCTGTCCTGGCTGATTCAATTTGACATAGACGTATGACCCACCTCGTTTACTAGAGAAAGACGGGCTCAAGAGAGACCCATTTCCCTTGGGCGGCACAGGAAAGCGGTGGAGTTGTGGGCAGGCGACAACTTCACGTGTGTGTGTGTGTGTGTATGTGTGTGTGTGTCTGTCTATATAGGTGTCGGTGCATATATTCTTTTTCCAAACATCTTTGGAAGTTGTTTTCGCACTTGTAATTTACAAACCAAGTAAATTTCAAAGAGCTTATACTGCTTTCAGACACCTAAATGCACCTTCAGCTTTCCTCCCAAATTAGATTGCAGCTTTACTTTTATTTTTCTTTGCTAAGAAATATGAGAACTCACCATCTGAACCCCCGTATAGGGCACAATCACTCAAGAGAAGTGAGTTAGTTAGAAAATATAATTAAGGTAGATTTTAAATAAAAAAGTTAAAGTGAAGCATACACAAAAATATCCCAATGTACTTTGTAAACGCATTCAGGAACTCAAATATCTGCTGGCACTAGCAGGTCCTCACAAGAATTCTTTGCTCTAGTATCCTTCAAAATGGCTCCTGATATCCCCACTTCTTAAGAAAATAAAAGTCAGCAAAAGCCTGCACCCAAATTTTGGTTGGGATTCAATATTCTAAGCAAAATATGCTCAACAGATGATAGTAGAGATGAAGCCAGAAAACAACTCCAGCTATTTAAACTGCCAAATGAGACATAAAGCTGCATTGTAAAAATCATCTGGAAAACAGGTTTTCCCATTGAAGTCGCTATGTGTTAATTACTGTGAGCTGGAAGGCTGGAGATCGAACGCCTGGAAGCCGACTTTCACCCCGCATACGTAAACGGAAAAAGTGCTGAACCGCAGCCAGAGGGCTCCTGCTCGGACTCATTGCCATGCATGCCTAGACATTAATATGTGTTCATGGAGGGCTCTTACAGTACGAGGTGTTATTTCCTTATAAAGAAACACCAGGTCTCGCTTTCCATTCTTCTTACAAAATTATTCGCATTATTTATGCTACATTGAGCGATCTAATTTCTTCGTGATAGTCAGCTAATTGCTCTGGCAGGTAATTAGAAGCGGTTTACAACGCAAAGGGCTTTTGCATTGCCCCTCGGATTATTAAGTTGCGCTGTAAATTATACCACTTTTGCTGGGGAAAAATTCTTTTGAGCAAGTTCTCTTCCTGCGATCCGAGATGAAATCGGCTCCCCCACTCATATACACCCCTCCCTAGCCACCCCCACTGCCACCACACCCCCTGCTTTTCCTGGACTCAGAGTCGAATGATTCTAAAGCACGCGATTTTGTTCGTGTTCACTGGGCCGAAATAACGTGGCCATTATGGCCTGAAATGGGCCAGGTTTGAAGCGAGCTTCCTGCGCGCCTGCAATATCCAGCAGGCATGTGGGAAAAGAACGGCTTAAATGGGGACATCTGTTCAGTGCTGCTCATCTTACTCTTAGAGCCAGGTCAGGTTAAGAGAATAACCTGTTCGCCACCTTTTTTCTTGTTAATAAGACTATTAGAAAAAACCGAGCACACACACACAAACAACACTAATTGAGCTGCCATATAAGCAAAGAATCACACACACACAAAGGTAGCAGCTGAGTTACAAGAGGAACAGTAAAAATTAACCATTGAGCTATTTCAGGGGACATCCACAAAACTTCTGTCAAAATAAAATAAAATTAAAAAAAACTTATGTAGACTCAAAAATATTCTCTACACAAATGGACTTGTGCAAGAGACTTTGAGAACTCAAGAAAGCATGGCTAATTTTCAGATTTTCATTTTAATAAAACTGACCTGAAAGTAAACTCCAATGAACAATTTTTTAGGCTTTCAAGTGCTCGAAGACGCCACACTTTCTGGTCATTGGTGTTATTTTGGGTAGTGTTATCTCTAAGAATCTGTTGACAAACCCAAAGTGGGAGCATGCTAGTTTGTCCCCTGGTTTTAGAAAGTGAATTGTATCCCCTTTCACAAATATCACACATTTGTAAACCTTATACAGTGATTTGAACACATGTGTGGTTAAACCCAGAGACCTGGAGCAGCTCCTAGATTATTTGTAATTAAACACAATTCCCAGAGTAACATTTATCTTCCCAAAACTGCGATTGCAATTGTCAACCGTCTGGAGGAGACCCCGGGGTAATCTGGGAGCATTACCTCCTCTACTAACAGAACAGAATGAAAAGAAATCAATAGTGTTGAGGATAAGCATTTAGTAGTTTTTAACTCTGCATGTTAGCTGTAAGAAAGTGATATATAATACCAAAAGAGAAAATAACAGAAACAAATCCATTCTAGGAAAAAAATCAGAGACACACTCATCTGAATGTCTAAGCTTCTCTTTTGCTCTCTTGCCTTGAACGACAGTCACACACAAACACACACCATTCACACTAAATGAGCAAACTCTTTTCCCTACATGTGTTTCCTTCATTTATATGATGAAGGAGAAATACAAAGTGCTGTAGAATTAATTATCAATTTTATCCATGGGCTGGCAGAGATGAATATAAAAAGTACTGTAGAGTGCAAGCCTGAATGTAGAAGTAGCACGAGGCCACATTAACATAGCATGAAGATATGAACATTATGTGTGTTGACAATAAATAGGGAAAGGTGTTTTGTTTTCTTCCTTTAATACAGGCTGTACACAGAGATGGAGATTTTGAACATCAATTTTGGTAAATATCTTTATACTTTTCCTATCTATGAACTTACCTACTACTAAGATGATTGTTTGATACATGGGGAAAGTCCCGCTTGTCTTCTAACTATGCAATTTGAATATCCCAGCTAAAATAAATCAAAGCTGGTAATATGCTAAGTCAGATAAGTAAATCTCTTTTAATTAAAGTGTCCCTAACTTTTGAACATTTTGAAGTGGCAGAGAAGAAAAAGTAAATATTAAGGAGAATGGAAGAAAAATATCAAGTCAAGAAAAAAATAGGAAATGCTCTCTCAAGTGGTCTCATTTATTTACAGTCATCAAGGCAACGCTTTTCATCACCAAGAAGCTCCTGTGCCAGTAGATCAAGAGTCACTATTGCTTCGTTGTGGTCAACAAATGCATCCAATTAAGCACTACCAGAAAAGTAAGGACTCGGCTATAAATGTGGCCGGACAGTTTGGAACCAAATAACCTCACTAATAGAGGCTATTGTTCAGCGTGGAAGTTCCCATTTTCCAATCAGGAAAATACAGCCCTCTCTGGGCTCTGGCCGACTGATCTCTTCCCACCTACGGCTCAACAATCTGCCACCAGCGAGGGGCTTGTATTACCTCTCTTCCCAGGAAATGTTAGGTAACTTCTTAGTAAAACCACACGAAAGAGAAATGGACTGCTAAGGGGCACCCCTCAGGAATTCACAGGTCCACGCCTAGCCAGGTTTTTTTTTTTTGTTTGTTTTGGTTTTGGTTTGTTTTTTGTTTTTGTTTTTGTTTTCCAGCGGGAAGGAAACTTTGACCAGAGAGCTCTCGACGAGGAAACACCCCCACCCAACCTGGCTCAGCTCGCTGCTCCCGGCGGCCGCCGGCGGCGCTCAGCTACCCAGCGATCCCTCTTCACGCTTTATTTAGTAGCCAACACGTCCGCGTGCGAGGACCCCGCACACTAGTCAAGGGGTTGGGGGTCGTCTTCCCATTCTGGGAGAGGCGCAGGCCAGGGACGCAGTGCCAGCACTGCGTTCGCTCTGTCTCCCGCGGGCACCCGCCGGTCAGCTTCCAGAGCTGCATGTCCCTGCCAACGCTCTAGAAACCGAGATGCTAAGAGCCGGGTTTAAACGTACCCTGCAGAGGTACGCGCTACAGTTTGTGTGCATTTTTTACCATTAGGCTTTTTTCCTTTCCTTTTATTTTCTCTCTCTCTCTCTTTTTTTTTTTTTTTTTTTTTTTTTTTTTTTTTTTTTTTTGACGCTCTGTTTATAGTGGTCCACACTTAACAAGTTCAAAAACCGTATTTGGTGTAGATGAGCTGCCGGACACTTGAAAGCCTAGATAACTTTGATGTTTTCCACTATAAATCCCTAATTGTACTTAATGGTTACAAATGACTTTATTTACTTGTCGCTGTAGCTACACATTTTAATCTATTAATCAAACAGCAGAGGCATCTTTCACTTCCTACTCCCGCAAAAGGAAAAGCAGGAATTGAGGCCTCTAATTTGCTTTTAGGACCTTCTGTTTCTTTGGTTGTGAAAGCTAAGACCTCCAGATCCGAGCATTGATTAGTCTTCAAACCTGCCTGCAAAAAACCTTCCTTTCTCCGTTCCATCTAAGGAGATGTTGATGTATATTGTAGCTGCAAGGTGTTAGATATACTTGAGCAAGTTGTTCCCAGGATGTAAATTAGGTCCCAAAAGCTGTTGTCCAAATCGAAGAAACAGAGAAATTAATCTGGGAGACTATCCATCATCACCGGTAATAAAGAGAGCGACATGGATGAGACAGATGATATGATTAAGGGGCTGTGGTCGTTTTAATTAACTTTTTGCTGTCCTGTAATGATCAAACTGGTCACCAGACCCGGTCAATAAGCATGTTAATATCAAACAAATAAAACCAGGGATGATTAAAAACCTCCTAGTTTATTAAATTTGAAATTCAAATGAAATTTATGCTGCAGATGCATACAGAATGCTAATAGATTTTAGCTTTATTGATAGTGGATCCCACAGGTTTGCAAGAAACAGCAGAATATCCATCTACCCCTCTTCCTGCCAGCACATTAAACTTCATATGGGGTGGAGAAACTTTTAATTAATGTTAGAAAGCCTGTACTTCCTATTTTTCTTCCCCCTCTTTTTCAAACATCTATATTATCACAATATAATACTCAAGAGTAATAATCAATATCGTAAAAGTTAAACCGAAGTGTATGCACCCTGAAATGCTTTGCCAGGCAGGCTATATCAACAATGGATTACAGATGTTCTCTCCTATGGGACAGGATTTAAGAATGATTGGGTCACTTCTCCAAAGTGGAGAAAGAGCTGTCATTAAGTCTAGTTTCAAGCATATTTAGATGCAAAATTATGACTGCTAAAATTTTTGGTCAATTATATAATTCTCTTTGTCTTTTCTTTTTAACACAGCTGCCTTATGCCTCATGTCACAAACACTAGCCATTTCTTTTGGGGAGGGAGTGAAAGAAGGGTGGTACAAGAAAAAAATGCCCTTTGACCAATGCTACTATGAAAGAAATAGCTCACTTTTTATATGAAAGTAAGTGGAATATACATATATTTCTAATAAAAAATATATATACATATATATAATGAAGAAAGTTGCACATACACACCTTTGTGGAAATCCCCAAATGCTGCAAGCCAATCTTACACAAACTGAAGAATCCAGTATTTTCATTAAATCCACACCAACGTTGTGACTTATAGGAAGAATGACATATGATTCTAAAGTTAATTTATACACTTGAAAAATCTTAGAATTAGGTAGCTCAAAACTGCAGTCACATGACGCTGGGTTTTTCTAATTCCTGGCATTTTTGAGGAAACAGTGTTAACGCCTCTGTTTACTCTCAGTATCAGCATTTAACTTTTTAATAGTCCTGCCTCACTTCCTTCCAGAAGATAGGAGGATAAAAAGATAAAATAAATAACTATTCATAGATGGGAGCCTCCCCTCAAAGCTGTTTTTCTCCACCTTTGAGGATGATGGTATTGATTAGAATTAAACCCCAAATCTGAACAACTGTATATTAGGCCCTTAAAATGAATATCATTAAAGAAGGAGACCAAAGCAATGAAGTTAATTCTCTTTTATTTGTTAAACGGAGTACCCTCCTTCCCCCACCCCTTCCTCCTTCTGGGCTGGCCTGTCACGCCTTCTCAACACGCTAAAATCATTCAGAGCGGCTTGCAGGGAGAAACACGACATTTATGGTAAGCGTCAGCCCTCAGAGAAAGAAAGCAGTTCATTAATTTACTTCACACTTACTTCAAAGTATGAGAGTATACCTTACCCCCTTAATCAATAGATATGATGTACAGTCAATATCCCCACAGCGTTTAAAAAAGGGTCAGAAATGTACACTCTCACACCACAAACATCAGTTTCAACTCTGCTCAATGAAATTTACACGATACAACTTGACTTCGAAATTTTGTAAACCCTAGGAAGATTTTTTGACATCCCTAGAAGCTGTGAAATCCTTGAGGGGGGTTCAAACACAACAGTAAAATAAAAATGTTTTCCCAGTCAAAACAAAACAGTTCGCCCAGCTAGTCACATTTTAGTTAATTCCATTTTAAAATTAGACTTCTGAGAGCACTTGTAACTGGTTAAAAATATGAACTGTTTTTATAACTTATGAATATTCAATAGGGCTACAAAGACTGGACTTTTTGCTACACTGGTGTTGTGCTTTCTGCGGTTTAAGTTCCCTTGTGGTGGCAGTGAAATTGTAATGGCATTTCTGAAGGCAACTAATAACACAAATGGCAAGCAAATGACTAAACCCCACCGAATTTGAACTAAGTGTATCTATTAACATGCACACACACTCATAGACAGATCTCTGGCCCAATCGCCATTAGACACTGACGCCTGGATAAATGTCCAAGATTTGTCAAAAGCTCCTCTCTATTCTTAGATAAATAGAACCCATATATTTCGATCAAAGTCCTGATTCTTTTCTCAGAAAGAGGCAGTGAGGTTTTCTGTGAAAATTTCTAAATTCCGTAAAACGCTCTTCAATTTCTTACCCAAAGAAAAAACGACCCTCGCTTACTCTCTTCTCTATCTAATCCTTTTGTATTGAAATTTACTCAACACCACGGGACACACACACCTCCTCCCCTAGAGTGAGACGTGCACTTCTAAAGCAGAATTCCACCTCAGGGAAAAAAAAAAAAAAAAAAAAAAAAAAAGCCACGGCATCAAAGAAACAACTCATGGGCGCGCAGGCGCGCATCCACGTCCCAACGCATCCCTAAAAATAACCCTTAGCCTCTCAACCTTTCTACTATTTCGTTGGAGAGCCGGGAAAGAAAAGGTGGGTTTAAAGATCTTCTTCAAAAATGTAGTGACGCTGTTTACCAAGTTAAGAAAAAAAAATCACTCAAGATTTTAGGTACAAGGAGCCAAAGGAAGTTGGCGACAGGGGCAGCGTTTGTGAATATTTATTCACTCAGCCTCCATCAACTTAGTCGGTTTCTCTCTTCAGCTCGACAGTCTCTCTCTTACAAACACACACTTTATTGCATTGTTCCCATTCCCCACTACCAGCTTTGGTGCGCGCACACAACACAAGCGCCCACACACACCCTTCCCTCTTCTCTGTCGCACAAATACACATGTTCACAGCCCTCCTTCTCCCCCAACACCAAACACACTCACCCCCCACCCAGTTGAGTCCCTCTTCCCTCCCTAGGTTTGTCAGTTACACTACCGTACACTCACACCCTTCCCAACACTTAACTGCTCTGTCCCTCTACCCCGCTTTGTCGCACACGCAGTTATCTTATCACACAACCCTCCCTTTTCTGCACTCTCTCCACTCCCCGCCTTTACCACACTGTCACTGTTACGGTGTCACACCCCCATCCCCCCTCCCTCCAGTCTCCGCACTGTCCTCTCCTACGCCTGGTCACACTCGCACACAGTTACATTGTTACACACACACTCATACACGCGAGCGCGCGCTTTGCGCTTTGTAACACACGCAGCCGCCCCCGCCCCCTCCGCTCCCACTCCCCCTTCCACCACGGCGGCAGGCGGCGGCGCCGATGACCTCACGGCGCGCGCGCCGCGCGGCCCGGCGAGGCCGCAGATTGGCTGGCCGCGCCTCCGCGGCACTTCAAAGCCGGAGAGGGAGCTACAATTGTGGTGGAATGGGCGGAACTGATCATTGTATTGCACACCTCTAAAAAAAACACTGCCTCTGATTTATCAATATAAAAAAGATCCTCTGAGAGGAGGAGGGCACTTTTGTGTGATGGCAACTTCACTTCTAGGGGTGAGTCTCAGGATTTTCTCTTGCTGGTTTAATTAGTTTCCTTTTATTGCCGATTGGAGGGGGTTAAAGTCGCCCCGGCCAGGCCACGGGCTATCAGTCTCTCTATTGAGAGCTTTTTTTTTTTTTCTTTAAATACAAGTGAGTTTGGAGAAAAGAAAAAGGGGGAGAAGGGGGCAGAGTCACTTTTTTTCAGCGCAGGAAAAGGTTCGAAGGGCATTTAGACAAGCCACCGCGCAGCGCCTCGCTGCTCCCTGCCCGGGAGACCTGCGTCCAGCCCATTTTACAGGCACCGATTTCGGGGGTAAAGAGAGCAAGTTTTTCCTTCTGGGCAAAGTGCAGATTCTTCCCCTAACCCTTAAAAAAAAATTCTGCAGCCCGCCTTGTCTCGCAGGTACGTTGAACTCGTCTCGTTTTTACTACTGTAGATATGCTTTTAAAAAAAGAAAGAAAGAAAAGCAGGAAGAAAGAGTGAGCCCTACAGTTTGATTTCTTTTGGCCTGGGAGAAACAACCCAGGATGGGTTTCTGGGGACCCGAACAGGTTTTTCAAAGCTCTCCGGATTACAGGGAAGCGCTCTTAAAAGCAATCCAATGGTTTTCCCCCAGGCTTCTCGGCAAAGAAAACTTCCTTCCTCTCCAATCTGGACTTTTTGCTTGTTTGTTACGAAGTGTCTGGGGCTTTGTGTGCAAGAGAGTGTTGTTTTAGGTGAGAATACTTGTCAAACTCTTCTTTAGCGTGGTGCTTGCTCCCGAATCAGACGCCGGCAGCCAAACTTGTCCCCTCCTGTAGAGTAGGAAGCGGCCGGGCGCCGGGGCTGTTGGGGGTGCCAGGTGAGTTGGTGGCGGCGCGCCGCAGCGAGAGATGGGGTGCAGTGGGGCGCTTTGGAGGCTACCGAAGGACTGATGCACATTTCTTCCTTTCCTCCCCCACCGGCCCTTTGCCCACCTCCCCTCCCCCACTCCTTCTCCTCTCCTCCTCGCAGGAAGAACCGAGGTTGGGATCGACTCCTCTGGCCATGCTTGCCGCTACCTGTAATAAGATAGGCAGCCCCAGCCCGTCTCCCTCCTCCCTCTCGGACAGCTCTTCTTCCTTCGGCAAAGGCTTCCACCCCTGGAAACGCTCCTCGTCCTCTTCTTCCGCCAGCTGCAACGTAGTGGGTTCCAGTCTCTCAAGCTTCGGCGTGTCCGGGGCCTCCAGGAACGGCGGCTCGTCCTCGGCGGCTGCGGCGGCCGCGGCAGCAGCCGCGGCTGCCGCGGCCCTGGTGTCCGACTCGTTCAGCTGCGGCGGCTCGCCTGGCTCCAGCGCCTTCTCCCTCACCTCCAGCAGCGCCGCAGCCGCCGCCGCCGCCGCCGCAGCCGCCGCCTCCAGCTCGCCCTTCGCCAACGACTACTCTGTTTTCCAGGCCCCCGGAGTTTCCGGGGGCAGCGGCGGCGGCGGCGGGGGCGGCGGCGGCGGCTCCTCCGCGCACTCGCAGGACGGCTCCCACCAGCCGGTGTTCATCTCCAAGGTGCACACCTCTGTGGACGGGCTGCAGGGCATCTACCCGCGGGTGGGCATGGCGCACCCGTACGAGTCGTGGTTTAAGCCCTCGCACCCGGGCCTGGGTGCTGCGGGCGAGGTGGGCTCGGCCGGCGCCTCCAGCTGGTGGGACGTGGGGGCCGGCTGGATCGACGTGCAGAACCCGAACAGCGCGGCTGCGCTGCCCGGCTCGCTGCACCCTGCCGCCGGGGGGCTCCAAACCTCGCTGCACTCGCCGCTCGGAGGCTACAACTCGGATTACTCGGGCCTGAGTCACTCGGCCTTCAGCAGCGGCGCCTCCTCGCACCTGCTCAGCCCCGCCGGGCAGCACCTCATGGACGGCTTCAAGCCAGTGCTACCCGGCTCCTACCCGGACTCGGCCCCGTCGCCGCTGGCCGGCGCGGGGGGCTCCATGTTGAGCGCTGGGCCTTCGGCGCCGCTGGGGGGCTCCCCGCGCTCCTCAGCTCGCCGCTACTCCGGCCGCGCCACCTGCGACTGCCCCAACTGCCAGGAGGCAGAGCGGCTGGGCCCTGCCGGGGCGAGCTTGCGGCGCAAGGGCCTGCACAGCTGCCACATCCCGGGCTGCGGCAAGGTGTACGGCAAGACTTCGCACCTCAAGGCGCACCTGCGCTGGCACACGGGCGAGCGGCCCTTCGTGTGCAACTGGCTTTTCTGCGGCAAGCGCTTCACGCGCTCCGACGAGCTGCAGCGGCACCTGCGGACCCACACCGGCGAGAAGCGCTTCGCCTGTCCAGTTTGCAACAAGCGCTTCATGCGCAGCGACCACCTCAGCAAGCACGTGAAGACGCACAGTGGCGGCGGCGGCGGCGGCGGCTCGGCGGGCTCGGGCAGCGGCGGCAAGAAGGGCAGCGACACCGACAGCGAGCACAGCGCCGCGGGCAGCCCGCCCTGCCACTCCCCAGAGCTGCTGCAGCCCCCCGAGCCCGGGCACCGCAACGGCCTAGAGTGACGCCCACCCTGCGCCCGCCCCTCTCCCCGACCTCCTCCCACCAAGTCCTCTTGGGCCCTGTCTGTCCGGACTTCAACTCCAGCCTTTCCCTATTGCATCCGACTCGCTCTCTGTCTCTTTCTGTTTCTGCCCCTCTTCCTTCTTCCTTCTGTGACTTAACTTTGTAAAGGGGATATGGACAAGTAAGTAACACGCATCGCTGTCCCGGGCCCTGGCTTTCCCTTTCCACGGGTAACGCTGCCTGAACCCGTTGCAGCCGGAACCCGCGCCTCGTCGGGCCTTTATTTCTCGTTCTCTCTTCCTTGTCCTCCCCTCCTCCACCCCCCAGGTTGTGAAGGGCGTAACTTTTAGAGGGAACGGCCACTGGAGGTAGAGCTGGACTAATCCAGTGCCTGGTAGACAGCGGGCCTCGCGCGGGCAGGAGCGGCTCGGCTGACAAGCCTGAGCGGAGCGGTGGAGAGGGAGAGGCTGGAGGCCTGGGCAGAACAGCGCCGCCCGGGCAGACGGCTGCTTGGTTCCAGAGCCGCTGTACTGAGCACCTCGGCTTCGGAGCACCCTGCCAGGCCCCTGGGCATCGCCGGACGTCCTACTCAGGCTGTCGGGGCTTGGTGGGGGTGACTTTTGGCAGCCCGAGACCCAGAGTTTGTAGAGTTTAGATCTCCCAATGTCAGTCTGCCTCTTTTTCTTTGTTCCCTGAGGTGGAACCGATGCAAGTTTCAGCAAAGGGCAGTCTTGTCGAATCGCTGCAGCAGCTTTCTTTCATCTTTATAGCATATATTTTATTTTTAAAAAAACTAGGGGGAAAATAGCAACCTTCCATTTGGTTTCCCTTCTATAATAGTTTTTTCCTCTAACGGGGAGCAATCTTTCTCTCGAAACTGCTAATATTGATCCCAAAGTTACTTTGACTGCATTAACTTAACTTACGGGGTGGGGGCGGGGGTGAGGGTAGGTGCTTTTTTCTTATGCAAAAATACTCCTTTCCGGTGAGACCAGATTAACTATCTCCATGTTTGTCCTTTTCTACCTCGTTTTTTCACCACTCCCAAACATAACCTCCCAATCTTTTTTGTTAGTCCGGCCGTCAATTGTATAGTACCAATTTCGTAAATTCTCTCAATTCATGAAGATCGTAGGGTTAAACTTTTTTGTGTGTGATTTAAACTTACAAACAAGTGAAGAAGCTATCGTTTATTTCAGACGAGGCTGTAGTTTAAATACCAAAAGAGGGAAAATAAAAAAGAACCTTTGTAAAATATATCTGAACCTAATGGTTTGTACAACTGGAGAATCGTTCTAGATTAGTTACCAATTAAATATAACTCCGCCAGTGTAAGGGTGTGAGGTGCAGTTGTCCAGGAGACGATTTTGTATAGTATTTTTCTTGTACATTACTTCCAGTAAATATTTGAAAATATATTGAAGTAAACTTGATTTTTTTTTTTTGTCACAAGAAAATATTAAGAGTTATTGTTGCAGTTCTGATGAGCTGCAGGTTTTTTGAACTCACTTCTGGAGGTGCAGAGCCACAAACGCACTTTCGGGGCCTAGTTTTGCTCGAATATGAATTTAGATAGGTATCAAGCTGTAACTAAGACAATATTTGATAAATGTTGGATGACATTTAATTTAATGGAGCATGTACTTATTTGCATTTGCTGGCAGTTCAGGCATAGTTAAAGTGAGAGTTCTCCTATATTTCATAATAAGTGGTCTGCCAAAACCCATGTATTAAATAAATTGTCCAAGTGAAACTCGACTAACTTTGGCCTTTGTGTATTTCCTGAAGGTAATATTGTTAACTGTTAATAAATACTTCTGACACTACATTTAAATGTTTGCAGATTCTGCAAACTAATTGCTCATTGTAATGTTGAAATAATTTGGATATTTCACATTGAAATGAAAAGCCTTTCTCTGGAGCATTTTAGATTTGCATTTTAAATGCATGAAATGTAATTGATTTATTTGTAATATTTTAAATGGTATAATAAACTCAGATAAAAGACTAGGCCAGTTAATTTGTATTTTTTCCCCTTTTTAAACTATGGACGTGCATTTTATCTTCAGTTAATTGTCTAATTTAAACAAAATATATCCTTGTTTGTGGTAATATTTAAATAATTACCTTTAAGATGTTAGATGGAAAGATCTATTTGGCAAAGCTGTGTTTTCTCTGTTTACCAAGATAAAGATTATAGTGTCTAAGGAATGTAATTGATTATTTACCAGTAGATTTAGCTCATAGCATCAGGATTTACTGACCTCTTAAAATTTGTACTAAGTCACAATTCAAAGAAATTTCACCATTCTCTTTCCTTCTCAGTCTCCAGAAGGAGTCAGGTTGTTGGCCATTGATTGCATTAGTATTTAAAAGGCCAAGCCTTACATTGGAAGATCAATACATCTAAAATAAAAACATGGGTTTGGGGATAACTTTTGTTGTTAGGAGGTGGAGGAGGTCAAGCTAACAAAAGCTTGTTTTTGGCATTCCAAGTCTTAGCTAAAGATTATGTAGAGGTAAATATCAGTAGTAGATTCCTGTTGAAATGAGTTATCTGTTCTTTTAAAGTCTCTAAACAGCCACCAAAGAAAAGGAAGGTTAAACCTTAATCTATTTACTAGGCTATTGTTCATAGGTGTCAATGATGCCAATAAAAAATACTGTCTTGTTATGTCTAAGTGCATTTAGCAATGGGTGTTCCTGAGCCATACTTTGAAACATAAAATACTCTAAATGTTGATTGATGTTATATCACTATTTCACTATTAGATTAATATTATTATTTTGAATCAAATTGAATAAAAAGTTAGTGTGTTTGGATTCTTACAAGTTTAGCTTCTTTATTTCTGTTTGCAATCTCCCCACCCTAAGTATAGTCTTGGTATACATCTTGAACTGAAAAATTTTCCATTGAAATCTATATATGGTAATTATAATGCATAGAAGCAAGTGAAAATACAAAGTGCTATGAGCACTGTAAATTGAGAGGAAAAAGCAATTAGGGATAAAAGATGTTTTAGAATAATATAGCTCGTGTCCAAGTAGGTGACACCTTTAATCCTGCTGTCTATGCAGGTATTTGAGGCCTCCAGTCTCTATGGTTCTAGACAAACAAGTTAACTCTGATTCTTTGGTATACTATAGTTCTAAATAATGGATTTTAAAAGTAAAATAGTTTCTTTCTGTCACTTTCTTCCTAGGATAACAAGCAGAACACAGTTTAAGTGTTGTTTCTTTTTTATTGAAAGTTGCAATGCTGAGGGATTCGGAAAGAGCGGTTCTGAAGGAGTTAAATGTAGTGGCAGGTAAGAGGAAAGCTGCTTGGTACATTTATAATATCAGTTGCATTACATGCAGAATCAACATTGATTTAAGAGGTGGGTTATGACAAGGAGAAATATTGTCTGGAAGAAGATTTCTTTGGGGTGATTGAAGGGGGACATTTTTTCTGCTGTACAGATGTGCAAACTTTCCCTTTCTTCCTTCTGGCTCCTCACCCTTCTAGCTTTGCTTGGTTTGTTTTGGTGGTTATGGAACAGTATTTCTAGCTTAATTTTCTGCAGGGTGGGCAGGGTTCTTTTGGGAAAACAGAAGATGAGGTACCAAATTGTGATTTTTTTTTTTTTTTTGTTCCTGTTTTGTCCCTGATAAAGCACTTCCTGGCAGTAGCTGGAGGCTCACTCAAGTGAAGTCAAAGGCCAGGTCTCACTTTGAACCAAGGGACAAGCTTCCAGTCTGGCAGATCAAGATAGAGTTAAACTAGTTGTTGACCCAGAAGTCAGGCCAGCATATATCAGCCCACCCTCCAGAGTCTGGAAAGGGCTGCCAATCCAACCATTTCCATTTCCTACCTCATCTCTTCTACAAACTTGAATGTTTCTTCCCTATCCTGCTTTCTCCTTTTTTGGCTCCTTCCTTCCTCACCTTCTCTCTTTGTGGATGATCTCTTTCACTGAGATATGTGTAACTGTGATTTGTTGAGGCTGGATTACCAACTGAAATATTTTATGTAAGAAACTTAATTTAAACCAATATGATGACTTCCTCTCAGAACAACTGATGCTGGAAAAAGCTCCTGAATGGGTTTGCCTTCCTTCCGCCCTGCTCCTACCGGAATCTTGGCATAACTTCTCAACTGGGCTTCCTTTGGTTAGAGAATACTGAAATTAAAATTTAAAGACAAGCAGGTGATGAGACTGGACTCCTAAGTAGGCAGATCGATAATTTTGCTATCATTTTCATCTTCATGGATCTTTTGGTGAGGTTATTAAATGGAATGCTACAGAAGGCTTGTAGAGGAATTTTTTTAAAAATAAATATTGTAGAGGATTGCTCAAAGGTCAGATGATCTTTTTGGCTGATAAATTAAGGCAGAAAAAGGGGGAAAAAAGTGTGGATTTGATTATTATCTGTTTGCTAAGATGGTAAAGATAAATATTATCATGAAGAATTTAAGAATTTTGCTCAGTGTTTTGTACAAACAGCCTCAAAAAGGGATTGATTTGATGCAGGTATTTTGAATAAACTGTGGTTGTTCATTTTACTACTGATTTTTGCTGCTTCTGTCCAAACAGGCATTATTTCTCTTTACACTCCTAAGAAAAACCCAGATATTACCAACATCTTTATCCTTCTCTCTCTTTTTAAAAGTATGGTTTCTGCAGTTGCTTCCTTCCTTCCTTTCTTCCTCCTTCTCTCCCTCCCAATCTCCCTCCTTTTTAAAAAATGGCGCAGAAGATCAATTCTGTGCCTGTATTTCAAGAAAATGGTGTTAAAGTAAGGAATCGAAATATAGTAATGCTGTACCCATTTTAAAGTCAGGGCTTTGGTTTTGGGTGGCATCTTTTGAAGACTGCTCAATATAAATAGTTGATGTTATTTTAAAAATAAGATTCAGAATTTTCTCCCTGTTTATTCCCTGCTTCCGGATTAAAGGAAAGCCGCTAATTCCTTGCCATCCTGGACCCTAGCCGCTGCGGTTTAAGGGGATGCGCGTCAGTGGCCATGTCTTTAGATTCGCTGCTCTCCCTGTGAGCAGAAATGTTGATTTGCTGCAGCGGCGGGGAGGGGGGATCTATTTTTCCCTAGTCCCTCGGCGCATGTTTAATTTAATTTAATTTTCTGCGGAGTCTCTTGGCGGTGAGGAAAGCAGCCTTATACATTTTGCTTTGGTTCCTAACGAACAGTGGGAGAGCTCTAGGGACAGCGGGGAGGGCTTGAGGTGACCTAGAACTCGGAATAAAGCCCCGCTACAAGCTGTCGCTTTTTCCTGGTATTCTAGTACCGTTTTTGAAAGTCCATCTACCGGAAATGTTGCTTTTTTTTTTTTTTTTTTTTTTTGAGATGGAGTTTCGCTCTTGTCTAGGCTGGAGTGCAACAGCGCAATTTCGGCTCACTGCAACCTCCGCCTTCCGGGTTCAAGCGATTCTCCTGCCTCAGCCTCCCCTGTAGCTGGGATTACAGGCGACCGCCACCACGCCCGGCTAATTGTGCATTTTCAGTAGAGACCGGTTTCACCATGTTGGCCTGGTCTCGAACTCCTGACTTCAGGTGATCCGCCAGCCTCGGCCTCTTAAAGTGCTGGGATTACCGGCGTGAGCCACCGCGCCCGGCCTGGGGCTGCCGCTTTTAAAAAGCCCATTCCTCAACTTTGCTTCTCAGGCACCAATTTCTTGCTGCGCGGGAGGAAACGCTGGCAGCGACCTCTGCTTCTCTCGCAGGGCGCTGAGCCGAGGTCCGGCCTGCCCAAAGTTCCCTTCGTTCTCTTTTCGAATGAATTCTGCGAGAGGTTTTGAGCCTGGGAGGATTTCCCTCCCTTTCTAAACGCTACCCTCCGCTTTCCTCTTCCCAGCTCCTCGAAGTGCCCAGTACATTGAGAAAGACCCCGGGGCCCTCCCGGGGAGGGTTCCGAACTGGCGATCCGCACGGTCCGCTTGCACGTAGCAGCGAAGAGTGAGGTGGTGGTCTGGGGTCTCCCCGCGAGCCCTGGCCCCGGCCCGGGCCCGCCGCTCCCCTCGGGCTGCGGGCCGGAGCAGCCCATCGCCGCGCCCACCGCACACAAAGGCACCGCGGCCGCCTCCGCCCGCTGCACGGACAGCGAGCGCCACCCTGTGCCCTGCTCCCGTTCTGCAGCGCGCTCAGCGCGGGCAATGCCGGCCAGACCCGCCCCGCCAGTCCCGGGCCTCTGACCTTGGGCAAACCCACGGTGGGAATGCGCGGGGAGCCTCCCCCCGCCCCGCTCGCCTGTGGGCTCTCAAAAGACACTCGGGCCGGACGGGGTGAGGGATTCCCCTGCCTTCGCTTCCCTCCCTCGCTTGCTCTGTAGTTTTCCCGCACCAGCCCGCTGCCCTGCGCCATCCTAGGGCCTCGGAGCCCGGGGAATCTGTCCCATCCTGTCACGGGGTGCCGCGCTTGATCTTTCTGCCCGTGCCACCGGAGGCTGCTGCGGCGTGGACAGACTCAGATTCTTCTTCCTGAACTTGTTCAGCTTTCTCTCTGTCCTGGCCCACGACTGCCTGCCTTTCTTCACCTCCTGTGCTCTTTTCTTGGCCAAACTGCTTTGTGTTCACTCGCACCCGCCTCCTCTCCCCAGCGACGTCAAAGTGCAGCGTCCTCCATAGGTGGCAAGATTTATTCTTGTCATTTTATCATGGGGTTGGCAGACTCGACGAGTGAAGGAACTTGCCCACATTTCCCCACACTGTTATCATAAAGAAGGCGCAATTAAGTGTGACTGGCTGTGAAAACTCTGCGCTTTTTAGTTTCAGGATATCAAAAAAGTTTAGCTACCCTGGGACTAACAGAAAAAGTGATGGATAGATAGGTGGATGGACACAGATGTAGAATCACTGAACCTGTTGAACAGAACTCTACTGCATTGCACCCAAAACCCAACAACCTCTCATGGGCTTCCTTCCCAATGCTCTTCTCTCCCGACTCTGGGCCTCTGGGTCTTTGGGGACTGCTACCAACATTCTGAAGGTCCCTATTCTGGTGACATCTGAAAGGAGATCAAGATAGATCAACCCTTCGGAGAAGAGCGTCATGCTCCGCTTAAAGGTCTTTATTTGGAGAATGTACCTGCCTCTCCCCGGGCTGCCTGAGGAAAGGAGCTGGCTCCTGGTAAACCTTTCCCCAGCCCCACCCCCTGACTCTTTTAGGCGCCTCTAGGTCTTAGGCCTTCTGGTCTTGGAAGTCATCGCACAGGTTCGGATCTGTGGGTTCCACTTTGTATTCTCGAGACATGCCAAGGATTAAACTTGGCTTTTATGGGTGGTTAGATACGCACTATGTACATGCATTTAAGGCATCCTGTGATGAGGCTGCAGCATAAATCTTCTCCCGCACTTATATTGAAAGAGCTCTCGGAGACGCACACCTGCGCGTGACAGGGCTCCAGTCATGTCCCCTCGTGGCTAAATCCACGGGCTCCACTGACCCCAATCCCCCACAGTGGGGAAGGAAGGAGGGCCGCCTATCTTCGCTTGCAAGCCCCTGCAGCCGCCGGTAGAAGCAATCTGGCTTCCCGGAGCTCCAGGATATAATTGACACGTCCACCTCCGGAGCCGCCACCACTCTCCTCCCTCAAGCCAGCCGGCGATGTGAGCCCACACCCCCACCCCCTCTCTCCGGGGTCCGGAAAGCTGGGAAGCGCTGGAATGCCGCGTTCTCTCACCCTATTGTGCCTAGGTGTTGCAAACCACTGGAGGACAGAGCTTCGCGCTTTGATCTCATGTCCCAGTCATTCTTTAGCACAGAGGGGTGAGTTTAAATTAAATTTCTTTCTCTGCTGATAAGTCGTAATGGGCCTCAGAAGGTGAATAATTATGCAGTAACATTTCATGGGTTGTTGGAGTGGGAATTCCCACTGCGCTGTCATCAAGAACAGAATTTCCCTCGTACGCTCAATGCTAAAAGAAGCTTTGCAAGTAAGCCACAAGTGTCTTTCAAATCTCGATGCAGATGATCTAGTCCTTCCCTACTCACCTTTCTTGCCCCTACAAATCTGTGTCGTCCTTTATTTTTTCATTCGTAGTTTATAAGTGGTTTACGAATACTTTTAAAATCAGTGCTAAAGGATCTTATATTTGAGGTAAAAAAAATACTTAGCTTTGATGATTATGCATTTCTATCAAGACAAAGCACACACTGATGAAAGCTGGGGCCGCATTTTCCTGGGAAAAGGCAGATGAGCCACCTGAGATTTATGTCCAAATACCTGGATTTAGTCTGGCCAACTATCTTCACTTCTTTTAGTGAAATAGTGCTTTTTGGTTTGATTCCTGAGGAGAGTCCGGACCCGAAGTTGCTGCAGGGATAAGATTTGATCATTAGTGTTCTGAAGGTATCTAGTTGCAGTTGAGAAATTGACTTTCCATGCAGGAAGGTTAAAAGGCAAAATGCCTTGGCTGCTTCACTCAAAATAGCCACCTGCCTATTAGAAAATGTGGACTTAATTCTTGGAGATATCAATTTATATTTAATTTCCCTCCAACCTAGATAAAAAAAACAGCATCAACAGTTTGGATATTGTAAATGGGTCATGACATTTTGATACTCAAAAGAAAATCAGACCCTTAAAGAACTCTCTAAAATTGTAATTTAAAAGCACAATGGACTCTTTATTGTTTTGTTTTTTTAAAAAATCCTCTATACCCCCATTCACTTTAGTGCTTCATCGCATAGCATTTTCATTGTTTACTTTTTGTCCCTTTACATGTCTTCCTTTAAATGAATTGAGCTCCCTCAAGCTTTAAGATTTCCAAATCAACACACAGAAACTGGAGCCTGCTTACCAAGTTTTCACTCCTCTCTTGGCAACTAATTTGAAAGGGCTCAAACAATAAGTTGATTTACATTATGCTCATTTTACCCTGAAATCTGTGCGAATGTTGAAAAACCCTTAATCTTTCACCTTGGGTTATCTTTACATCTTTGGGGGAACCAATCCTTCCAGCTTTAAGTTTTTTAGCTACTCCATTTTAAGCGCTGAAATAGAAGAAAGAAAGTAGATCTTTTTCTTTTTTCCCCTAAAGTTCAAGTGATTGTCTAGTTCAACTGAAAATAAAGGATTTGTACTGCCCAATTTTGCACCCAATTTAATGTCCCTAATTATGTGGCACCCTATCATCAGGTTTCCATCATTTCAGGAAGTTTTGTGCTCATTCTTGTACACTGATCAATGCTTCATTTTTCTCTTACATGCCTATCTCTTATGATTATTATTTTTTTTCTAAGCAGGTCTTTCCCCTTTCAATTTAACAAACAATGGCCTTATTGCAGGGAGGTGGGGAGGGGAGCTAGTACCAGGTGGAAATGTGTTTAAAAGACATTCACGTTATTTAGCTTTAAAAATATTATTGAGTTATATATTCTCTTTAACAGAATTTACACAGACTTTTTCTATAGATAAATGAAACTTTTATTTAGGGCAAAATATTTTTTATAACATTAAATTATATTTCTCCCAAAACTTTAAGAAAAGAAAGTTTTTATAGATGACAATTCAGTGGCTTTTTACTATGAGGCAAAGTAACTTTTGCTGTTTCTCCAGTAAATAACTATTTGACTTAAAACTGCAGTGGTTAAGTTTAAGGTCCATATACATTATACTTCCTGTGTCCTCAGTATTGACATATTTTAGTGAGTTTCACAATTGAATGTTGTCATAGCAATGAACAGAGATCATTAAAACAACCTCGTAAATATTTTGGCTACAAATACTGTATAGTTTTCAGTAGAAAGCATATGATATATTAATAATTCATTTCATATGTAATTATTAAATTTGAAATGCATTGCTTAGTGATGTGTTCACTAAGTGTTTTAGTATGTATATCCAGGAAAATCAGATTTGGTGAACTTTTCATTCTTGAAGTTCTGCTTGTTGTTTTGTAGAGAAAATATTACTTTCACAATAGAGGTATAATAGATCCCTGCTGTAAAGAAATAGTATTAATAATTTATGTCCATGAAGGGGTTTGGAACTACTTTTATTATTTTATGCTGCAAAAGCAGTGGCATATTCTTTTTCCCTTCAGTTTTTAAGTAAACTTTTTATTTTGGAATAATTTTAGATTTACCGAAAAGTTGTAAAAATAATATAGAGATTTCCTGTGGTTTTCCTATTGTTAACATCTTACATTATGATGGTATGCTTGTCAAATGTAAGAAATCAATGTTGATATAGTTGAGTTTTTTTAATGAAGAAATAAAGGCAAAAAAAAAATGCATCACCTATCAGTCAGTGGTAGGTTGTAGTTTAGAAAACTGCTGACCATTTTTTTTTTCAGCTTCTTATGATCACCTGGGATTTGCCTCCAAGACAGACTATGTACTAAATTATTAAGTTAAGTAGAAAGCTTTTCTTCACAGATATGTCTTTAAGATATAGTTTCTTATAATGAAGTTTTGTTTCTTTCATGGTTAACTAAAATCTAAGAAAACATATTTAGTTTCATTTTGCATTTTTATTTTGTGTATGGAAGCATCAGATTAAATTTTAAATGGTCCATATTTTCACTTCAAATTATCCAAAATAGTAATATTCTATTTGTCACTTATACCTATTTTTTATCCTATAATTTAAAATGACTTAATCATTATTATTTTCTTTAATGTAGTTACTACAAAAATATAAATAAATAATCTAATTAAATTAATTTCCCCCCGTATTTTAAAACTTAAACTTTAGGATCACTTTTGCTAAGAAACTGAGTTTGTCAGAGTATAGAAACCTTTAAAACTTGCCAGGCGCAGTGGCTCACACCTGTAATCCCAGCAGTCTGGGAGGCTGAGGTGGGTGGATCGCTTGAGGTCAGGAGTTCAAGACCAGCCTGGCCAAATGGTGAAACCTCTATCTACTAAAAATACAAAAATTAGCCAGGCGTAGTGGCACGTGCCTGTAGTCTCAGCTACTCAGGAGGCTGAGGCAGGAGAATCCTTGAACCCAGGAGGCGGAGGTTGCAGTGAGCCAAGATCACACCACTGCACTCCAGCCTAGGCGACAGAGCGAGACTCTTTTAAAACTCAATAGTTTTGTTGTC
This sequence comes from Homo sapiens, assembly GCF_000001405.40. Classification (NCBI taxonomy): domain Eukaryota; kingdom Metazoa; phylum Chordata; class Mammalia; order Primates; family Hominidae; genus Homo; species Homo sapiens. The sequence goes on along the minus strand of NC_000007.14, from coordinate 20,773,240 downwards.
AAGTTTAGATAAATGTATCTTCTATACTCCATGGAGTAATATATTTGCATATATTTTTATCTTATTTAAGTAAGATTGTAAGGCATTTCATCAAAAAAGAAAATATTCTTTATTTAAAATACATTCTCACTATACCTGGCATTGCCAGATAAAATACAGGATATTCAGTAAAATTTGAATTTCAAATAAACAATAAATCATTTTTTAATATAAATATGCTTCATGCAATATTTGAGTCATATTATTCTAAACATGATTAGTTGGTTTTTTAAAATCCAAATTTAACTAAACATGCTGATTTTTCATTTTTGCTTCTTTTTAAAAAATAAATTTTACGTATCTATAAGGACAAACCTAAAAAAAAAAAGGATTATGTAAAAACAAAGTAGCCTGTGACTGTTCACGAAAGCTTGTAGTAGCATTCTGTACTATTTTAAAAGGGGCATACAGGACATAAAGAGGGTTTACTTGTTATAATACAGGACATTAAGATTTGCTTGTTACCTGGAGGGTGAAAATATAAATTTTATTTTCCTATTATTCTTTTGCTTTTCTTTTTTTTTTCAACTCATTTGGCTTCATTCTGGACTATCCTTATACATTTAGAACACTAGTACTACTCTACCTTATGAAAAACCTACATTTACCTAGCTTCCAAGAAAAAAATGTTATGCCGATGATTGCTGATCAACCTCTCCACTTTCTTTCTAATATTAATGCTGTAAAAAAGGAGATATCTAAAAAAAAATCTCATATCTGTTTATTATATTTTTGCAGTTGAGACTCTATAATTAAGTTTTGCTCTTACAAATTCTGTTCCTCAGGTACTTTACAGCCACCCCCTAGTTGAATCGCTCTCACTTAACTTGTACAAAATGTGGAATCCTGTATTTCTGGAAGTCATATATAAGTTGTAACACTAGTACTTATGTATCAAATTTATTTACTAAGTATTCCATAAATTGTAGCCAAATAATCAGAAGCTAAGAAGTTCTCTGTTGCAGGAGAGTTTCTTTTTTTTCCTGTTGAAGTATGCTTAGGAAATAAAGTAATAACAGTCATTTTTTCATGCCATTTTCCTCAAGAAACAAGCTATTGTATTTATGTAACAGTTTGTTTTCTGGTTCATTTATGCTATTAGTTTAATTTTTCTAATAGTTTTCTATCTCTTGATAATTATTGTGATTATGCCCAGAAGTAATGAGTAAAAGTCTGTATAGCGTATACAGAATACAGGCTAGTAAGGATGAGAGGGAGAGTGACCCTGGCATCTAAGGTTCCTCTATCTTGCCTTCATATACCTTATACAGAATAAGTGAAAACAATATTAACAGCCCATGTATACCAATCAGATAAATCCTTAAAAACAATACAGGGAATTTTTTTACCCATAAACAGAAGATGTATCAAGGATCCAGGCTCAAAGGACCTCTACTCTTTAGATTTTGCTTTTACCAGGTGATATAGCTATTACCATGAGGGTTCAGGAGAAACTGGAAAGTGGAAAGCTTAGGAAATCTTATTTTGGAGGCTGGCTTGATAGTAGCACTCCCTGGGAAGTTAAATAGTGTACAGGCTCCCACAAATTGCCCTACTTATCTTTCCATTTTACTTTGTTTTATAAAACCAATTAGATACTCGTTTGGGTTAATAAATATTTCTTTAAAAATATAATTGCTTCTGTGAATTATAAGGGAAGCATTCATATATAAGTACAAATTTGTCTAATCATATCACCTCCATCCTAAGCCATAGATTTTCCATTTCAGTAAGTTTTTTTGGAGACAATTGCATGCTCACTGAAAAATATAAGAAATTGTGAAGAAGCAGGGAAAACAAATTACCTTAATCCTACTTCTCAGACACAACAATTGTGTTGTTACCTACAATCTTTTTTCTATGTGGTTTTTTTCTTACATACATGTGCAAGATTGTAACCTGCTTTCCCCTCCCCGCCATAATATTAAAATAAATTTTCCTTACTATTAAAAATTATTGGCCAGGTGTAGTGGCTCACATCTTTAATCCTAGCACTTTGGGAGGGCAAGGCGGGCGGATCACTTGAGGTCAGGAGTTCGAGACCAGCCTGCGCAATATGGTGAAACCTGTCTCTACTAAAAATACAAAAATTAGCTGGGCATGCCAGGCACGGTGGCTCACGCCTGTAATCCCAGCACTTCAGGAGGCCGAGGTGGGCGGATCACAAGGTCAGGGGATCGAGACCATCCTGGCTAACACAGTGAAACCCTGTCTCTACTAAAAATACAAAAAAAAAAAAATTAGCTGGGTATGGTGGCGGGTGCTGTAGTCTCAGCTACTCGGGAGGCTGAGGCAGGAGAATGGCGTGAACCTGGGAGGCAAAGCTTGCAGTGAGCCGAGATCGCGCCACTGTACTGCAGCCTGGGTGACAGAGCGAGACACTGTCTCAAAAAAAAAAAAAAAAAAAAAAAAAAATTTAGCTGGGCATGGTGGTAGGCACCTGTAATCCCAGCTACTTGGGAAGCTGAGGCAGGAGAATCTCTTGAACCTAGGAGGCAGAGGTTGCAGTGAGCCGAGATTGTGCCACTGCACTTCAGTCTGGGCGACAGAGTGAAACTGTCTTAAAAAAAAAAAAAAAAAATTCTCTGCAAGCTTTATCTTAAATGGCTAAAAATACTGTATGGGATGCATGTATTAAATATGCATATATTAAAATTTTACCTACTCCTGTAATACTGAATATTTAGTTTTTTTCCCACATGATCAATATTATACACAAGGCTGCATAGAACATCCTTGTGCATGACTTCTTGTTTTAATATCTGATTGTTTCCAAAGGAAGGAATTCCTGAGGAATAAGAACATTTTAAAGGCTGTAGATAGAGATTAGATCTAGATCTAGGTTACTCCCCAATAAGTATGTAGCAGTTTATATTCCAACAAACAGTGGTTTAGAGAATCAGCCCTGAATTCATAATTTTTTTCCTTTTTTAAAAAATAAATGAATCTCATTATTGTCTAATAAATTTTAGAGCCCTAAACTTTTTTTCATGTTTACTTGCCATTTTAATGTCCTCTTTCATGAATTGTTTCTCTGTGGCTATCCTGCTTTGAGAAAGAGAGTCCCCTTGACCACAAAATGAGGTAGAAGATCTGGCCAAGCAGTATGTTCTGTGGGAAAAGAGTGCTGATTCTGGAAGCAGAAACTCACTTCAAGCCTTTGCACCACATAGTTCCTTTAAACTGGGACTGGAAAGTCATTTTCCCTTTATTAGTCCTAGATTGACTACAGTAAGTAGCAAAATGCAACTTTATGTTATTCACAAAGGAATTTTGCGGGACAACCCATTGTTTCAGTAAAGAGTGGATATTATTTTGCATTGTCATATGATACTAAAATATAGATTCAATTGAACATATCTGAATCTTAAATTCTACTAAGTGTCTTTTATTGTGGCAACCTCTATAAAAGCTGTAACTTTGTGACCAGTTGTAGAAACAAGAAAAGACAGATAAAAAAGCTTTTAACTGATTAAAAAGCAAAGAAAGAAAAACTCAATCAATCAATGAGTCTACAGAATGCCAAAAAAACTTAAGATTTTTATATTTTAAAGCCGGGCGCAGTGACTCACGCCTGTAATCCCAGCACTTTGAGAGGCGGAGGCGGGCGGATCACGAGGTCAGGAGATTGAGACCACGGTGAAACCCCGTCTCTACTAAAAATACAAAAAATTAGCCAGGCGCGGTGGCTGGCGCCTGGAGTCCTAGCTACTCGGGAGGCTGAGGCAGGAGAATGGCGTAAACCCGGGAGGCGGAGCTTGCAGTGAGGTGAGATCGCGCCACTGCACTCCAGCCTGGGTGACAGAGCAGACTCCGTCTCAAAAAAAAAAAAAAAAAAAAAAAAGGGATATTTATATTTTACTTTGTTAACTGATTTAGGTAGATATTTTGGTCTCTGGCTGCATGAAGCTACAAAATTGACCTTTAAATCAAATTCATTCATTTATGGCCACCATAGATAATAACTTTGATTTGAATAAACTATGATAGCTAGAAAAAACGATCTACTTAAAAATTCTGGGCCGGGCACAGTGCTCATGCCTATAATCCCTGCACTTTGGGAGGCCCAGTCAGGAGGATCACTTGAGGTCACGAGTTCAAGACCAGCCTGGCCAACATGATGGAACCCTGTCTCTACTACAAAAATTAGCCAGGTGTGGTGGCGTGTGCCTGTAATCCCAGGTACTGGGAAGGGGTCGGGGGCTGAGGCAGGAGAATCACTTGAACCCAGGAGGTTGCGGTGAGCTGAGATTGCATCACTGCACTCCAGCCTAGACAACAGAGTGAGACTTTGTCTCACAAATTAAAAATAAAAATGAAACTTCTGGTATTTTATGGCCATTGGGGAAATAACATACAACAGTTAAATCAGATCTAGTTAATCATTATTTCTAAGTCAAGTTTCGTATATAATGCTATATAATTGAGTTATTCTTCTGCAAGTATGAAGTTCTGTAATACAAAATGACATATTCATTAGCACTTGAAAGAAATGTTACATATCAACACCAAAAGTCTTCAATCTTGAGTTGTTGAGGGGAGAGAAGGGAAAAGGATGATGAGCTTGGACAATACGATTTCTCTAATACAGCCTCAGCTTGTAGTAGACACAAGCTTATCTTATAGTGATGTTTTAAATAATATTTTTGCTTTTGTTTAAAAATAAAAATTAAATCAACAAATACTGAATGCTTACTTATTGTTCAGTAATTTATTTGGGGTAAAAATAAGCCTTGCACATGATCATGAATCACAGTCATAATTTGAGAACTTATAATTGTAAAACAAAAGTAAAATATTGCTTGTGTTATTTCTTTTTCTTTTTTCTTTTTTTTTTTTTTTTTTGAGATGGAGTCTTGCTCTGTCACCCAGGCTGGAGTGCAGTGGCCCGATCTCGGCTCACTGCAAGCTCTGCCTCCCGGGTTCACGCCATTCTCCTGCCTCAACCTCCCGAGTAGTTGGGACTACAGGCGCATGCCACCACACCCGGCTAATTTTTTGTATTTTTAGTAGAGATGGAGTTTCACCACGTTAGTCAGGATGGTCTCGATCTCCTGACCTCGTGATCCGCCCACCTCGGCCTCCCAAAGTGCTGGGATTACAGGCGTGAGCCACCGAGCCCGGCCTTCTTGTGTTATTTCTTTAAGAAAAAAGTCGTCATTTGAAAAAATAATCACCCCATCATCCTACCCTGACTCTAAAATGAACTATTTAAAAATTTAACAATATGTAGGCATTATAGTTTTATAATTTTAAAATGCTCAAAGTGTGTCACAATAACTTAAACTTTGGTCTGTATGTGTACATGTATTTACCCAGAATTAAATCTTATCTATTTTTGTCTAAAACTATTACAAGAGGGAAGAGGTTAGTTTAGTTTTTCCTTCAAATAGAGTTACTTGATTATTAAGCAAATTTAAATGTTGCATTTTGTATAGCATTCTAAAAGGGTTCACTGATGGTGCTAGATAGACTTTTTAAAAAGTAACAGCTCTTTCTTTTAACTGTACATAAGAAATTCAGAATACACCGAAAAGAAACTAAAAAATGGAGGCAAGAGCCTATGTCTTTTTTTTTTTTTTTTTTTTTTTTTTTTTTTTTTTCCAAGACAGGCTGAAGTGCAGTGGCATGATTGTGGCTCACTGCAGCCTCGACCTGCCAGGCTCAAGCGATCCTCCCACTTCAGTTTCTCAAGTAGCTGGGACTACAAGCACGTGCCACCATGCCTGGCTAATTTTGTTTATTTTTTGTAGAGATGAGATCTCACTATGTTGCCCAGGCTGGTCTCAACTCCCAGGCTCAAGTGATCCTCCTGCCTGGGCCTCCCAAAATGCTGGGATTATAGATGTGAGCCACTGCGCCCCACCTCCTATGTCTTTTTAAAACTATTGTATATTATAAGAGAGAAAATAAGTTAGCATTTATTGAACTTCATTAATTGTTCCATCCATACTCCAGTTTAAAACTCCTACTCATGAATTCTGTATATAAAGTGACTGATTTTATAGACAGGGTTTTGTTTTGTCTAGAACAATGCTTCTCATCCTTTTTTGGATTAACAAACTTTTGAGATTCTGACACCAGCTATGGACATTCTCTTAAAAGTTTGCTCATCACTGTACCTCTTTGATGCCACTCAGTGGACCCCAGACTTAGAACTAGAGGTGAGCTGTTGGGTCCTTAGTTTATATGCTCTACTAAGATGTTAGACATTTTAGAAGAATTTACTTGAATACATCTAACTGTTTTTTATCTTTGGCTCTATAATCTACATAGAAAAGAATAATGTAGGAAAAGGTTAACTCTTGTCTGATAGACTGGATTTTCTGCAAAGGTTCCAATTTTCATTGAAGGAGCAACCTGAAATACAATAGATATAAGAGAAAAACCATGGTGTATTGTCTTTCTATTTCAGAAGTGCATGATCAAAATTTCGTGATATTTGCACTTCTCTTGCTGGTTTGTCTATGCTGGGTTTCTGATATAATTTATTAGTGGTCTCTCCAAATGGTTTTATTTTGTCTAGGCTAATGTCATAAGAACTTCTGGTAATATATGAAAATATATAAAATTTTATAGCCCATCACAAAACATCCCAATTTTAAAACAATGTCATTACTTGTAAATGACAAGAGCGAAACTCCGTCTCAAAAAATAAATACATAAATAAATAATAAATAAATAATAAATAAATAAAATAAATAAATTTAATGTGTAACACTTTTTTTTTAGGTTTTCTGAGGATTTGAAAGTGGAGTATTTTATACTTCCAGTCCTAAGCTGTATTTATTTTACAATATTTAGAAAGTCATTCATATGATTAGGAGCCTCACTATATGTAAGCAAACTGCAACCACTTTTTTTTTTTTCTTTTTGAGATGGAGTCTCACTATGTTGCCCAGGTTGGCCTTGAACTCCTGTGCTCAAGCAATCCTCTTGCCTCAGCCTCCTGAGTAGCTGGGACTATAGGTGCTCACTGCTGTGCACGGCTCCAAACCACTTTTGATGACTCCACCTTAGCCAACACTTCACCCAATGCATGTGTTACTACTTTTTTTTTTTCAGTTCAATATTGTAAGTCTGCCTTGGTTTTAGCACGATAAAGCTATCAAGATTTTTTTAAATCTTAACTAAAGAGAGGAATGATACATCAGCAAGTGGGTTGCAAATGGAACAAAAGAATTTCGATAAATACCCTGAAAGTAAAGATAGCAGGGATGATTCAACAGTGAGAGACAATCTGTGTAGAAGCCAGGGTCTAATCTCCCCGTACACTTTGGAGTATGTTTTTTGGAAGGTAGAGAAAAATGAAGAGTCACAGGGAAAATGTGTTATTGCTGGAGCAGCTGTATTCCTAAGGCTTCCAAGCTGTAATTGCATTATGTACAAGATATTTTTTTTCAGAGTGTAGGTAGGCAGAAAAAATCTAGTTTCGCGTTAAAATAACCAAAGAAGAACTGTGTACCTTTGTATTTTTGCAATGTAAGGAGGAGGCAAACAGCAAGTTACTTCTATATGTACAACTCAAAAGTACCTTACTGTTTCCAATTCCATCTTAGAGAGACAATGAATTAGCTCAGTGTGGCCTATGGAGTCAGATTTTTCTGCATTGAATCCTCATTCTGTCACTTCCTTGCTATTTGACCTTGGTAAGGTTCCTTAACTACCCAGTGCCGCAGAGTTTCTCCATTTGGTAAAATTTGAATAACAATAGAGTGTATCTTCTTGTCAGTAAGTTAATGCCTATAAGGCTCAACCACTTATTAAGCCTGATATATGTGTGTTCAATAAATATGAATTTATTTTAATAGTTCTAGCTTATTTCTTCTTCTTCTTCTTCTTCTTCTTCTTCTTCTTCTTCTTCTTCTTCTTATTATTCTTATTATTATTATTATTATTATTATTATTATTATTATTATTTTGAGACGGAGTCTCGCTCTGTGACCCAGTGCAGTGGTGTGGTCTCAGCTCACTGCAACCTCTGCCTCCCGGGTTCAAGTGATTCCCTTGCCTCAGCCTCCCGAGTTCTTAGGAGTACAGGCGTCCACCACCATGCCCAGCTAATTTTTGTATTTTTAGTAGAGATGGCGTTTCACTATGTTGGCCAGACTGGTCTTGAACTCCTGACCTCAAGTGATCAGCCACCTCGGCCTCCCAAAGTGCTGGAATTACAGGCATGAGCCACCTCGCCTGGCATTTCACATTATCTTATTGTTACTACTTCTAAGTGATAGAAACATTCCATTTGACAATTCTCTCTGCATTTCTCAATATCCACGTGGATTTCCAGAGTTATTAATTGAACAATTTATCTTCTCTTTGTTACTTTGGAAGTTTCTTCTTTGGCATCTTTGGGAACATGTTGACCATGCTCTGATTCTTGGTGACCACCTTCCACTTCTCCTCTTTTCCTTTGGCCTCTTATGAGAGACAGGCTCCCTGCCCTCCCCTTTTTTTGGCTAATTTGTTACTCACTAACCCATCTCTTCTCAGGGGGACATAGCTCTAGGAAATTGGAGATTAAAGGAATTTATGAAACTAATGTGGACTAGGTGTAATTCTGCCTGAACTGGGGGTGTAGGACTAGGAATTTAAATTTACATGTGTAGGCCAGGTGTGGTGGCTCATGCCTGTAATCCCAGCACTTTGGTAGGCCGAGGCAGGCAGATCACCTGAGGTCAGGAGCTCGTGACCAGCCTGACCAATATGATGAAACTCCATCTCTACTAAAAATGCAAAAATTAGCCGGCAGGTGGCATGCACCTGTAATCCAGCTACTTAGGAGGCTGAGACAGGAGAATCGCTTGAACCTGGGAGGCGGAGGTTGCAGTGAGCCGAGATCACACCATTGCACTCCAGCCTGGGCAACAAGAGTGAACTCCATCTAAAAAATTAAATAAATAAATTTAAATGTGTATCACTTTTTTTTTTAGGTTTTCAGAGGATTTGAAGGTGGAGTATTTTATACTTCCAGTCCTAAGCTGATTACTAGTGTGTATTACATTTTTAAAAATTGTTTGAGTGTATTCAAATATTCAGTCTGTCTCCCTTCCTTCCTTCCTGCCTGTCTTCCTGTCTTCCATCCTTTTTTTTGCTTCATTTGTCCAGAATGTTCTGGTAATTTAACAGTTTCAACCATTTTCCTAAAATCTCTTGACTTTCAACTGGGTAGAAAATATTTCAGCCATGCATTGTTTTACTGTGATGTAGTAAAGTTAATTAGATGAAATACCCCCCATTCAGTAGCAAATTTTACCTGGCTCAGAAATAATGGCATTCATCATTTAAATATAAAATACACAGACTGGCTTATTAGACTTTCCCTAAGTCTAACAGTGCAGCAGTCAATGCATGCATTTACAGTTTTAAACACCCAATTGTTCGTCTAACTTTGGCTTTTCTGAAATCTCAGTAAACTAACATCTTCTTTAAGCAGATACTCACACAGTTTAAAAAGAAAAACATTTAGTAGGATTAAACTGAACCTTGATAATTAAGTATAAGTCACTAAGAAAACGTGCCCAGCAAGCTCAATTTCACTGGCGATGCTTTTCAGAATATTTCCACAGACGTTACAGTCAAAGTACTATGCTTTTTTCTAAGAAGTGTGCTGCTTTCTCCATTTTTCTTGGCTTGAAATTCTCATATTTCTGCAATTTTCTCCATACAAAAAGTATCTGAATCCCCAAGACTTATATGTGTAAGTAAACACTAAAGAAAAACAGACTCCTACCTTGAGCTGAGTTCAATCTTGTTTTAGGGATGTGGATACAGAATATTTTCTGGGTGTGCCTGGTTAATTTAATGAGACCATGCAGCTGCTGCCAAAATTTTGGTTTGGTCCTCACATTGATCCAGTGCACTCTGTGAGCCATGACTGCATCAGCTATCTTGCTGAATAAATTGTGGACAGAAGACCTTGGTGCTACAATCAACACTCTAGGCTCTGGTGTTAGAAAGAAAAGTTTCTGAATCAGATTCTAACTCTCAACAAGTTACTTAATTTCCTTAAGCTTTAGTTTTCTTTAAAAATAGATAGTATCAATAATATCTGCCATTATAGAGTCAATGTGAGGACTAACTGAGATAATGTACTGAAAGTGACATGCCATTTCATTTTAAAAAATCGGCCATCATTAGAAGCAGTGGTCTGAAATAGTTTTAGGAAAATTCAAAAGTGTACTGGCTTAATAGTTTGTGAAGCTCATATACTTACAGTGTTAACGATGCCGTTTTAACTTGCTGGCAAATAAAATTATTTAGTAGAAAGAATAATGATGCTAAGACAGTAGAATTTAGTGCCAGGTATAGGGGCTCACGCCTATAATCCCAGCACTTTGGGAGGCTGAGGTGGGTGATCACCTGAGGTCAGGGGTTCAAGACCAGCCTGGCCAACATGGGAAACCCCATCTCTACTAAAAATACAAAAATTAGCTGGGTGTGGTGGTGGGCACCTGTAATTCCAGCTTCTCAGGAGGCTGAGGCAGGAGAATTGCTTGAACCCAAGAGGTGGAGGTTGCAGGGAGCCAAGATCACGCCACTGCACTCCAGCCTGGGTAACAGACCAAAAGCCCGTCTCAAAAAAAAAAAAAAAAAAAAAAGTAGAATTTACTATAAGCTTTTAGTAAATAAATCTAGTCTAGGACAAAAGGAAATAGCAGCAATAGAGGAATTTGTAGCACAAGAGAGAAAGACAAACACCTTCCAAGTCCTGGCCCAGCATCAGTGTAGGGTTAGCATGTTGCAATGGAAAACGCACATGACTTGAAGGCCAGATATGTGAGTTTTTGCTCTTTCTGTGTATAATGATGACGTTGGATTGAACTTTTACTCAGCACAAAGCTGTGAAAAATTTGGCTTGCCTTCTCCATGGAATAAAAATTCAAATAGATAGGCTTTGTGGAAGGCTAAGTAACAGCCTTCTGCAAATGCCTGCATCCTCTTTCCTGGAACCTGTGGACATGTGACGTTACATGGCAAAAGGGACTTTGCAGATGTGATTAAGTTTAAGATCTTTTTTTTTTTTTAAGTTTAAGAATCTTGAGATGGGAAAATTATATTGGATTATCCGTGAGGGCCCAGTGTGATCATAGGGGTCCTTATAAGGGTAAGAGGATGGCAGAGGCAGAGAGAGATGGAGGTTTGATGAAGGAAGCAGAGGTCCAAGGAATGCAGGCCATCTAGAAGCTTCTGGAACTGGGAAAAAGAACAAGGAACAGATTCTTCTCTAGAGACTGTAGAAGGAATGACACCTTTGATTTTAGCCCAAAGGGACGGATTTTAAACTTTTGACTTCCAGAGCTGTAAGATAATAAATTTGTATTCTTTCATCATTATGTTTGTGATAATTTGTTACAGCAGCATTAGGAAGTTAATATGGGCTTCATCAGTGTGGCTTTGCTAAAAGGGGGCAAGTTGAGGTACTATTTATAGACTTGAGGTACTATTTATAGATATTTGGTTGATCCATGCATTTTTTATAATTATGGTTTTTAAATGAGCTTTAAAATTTGTGGTAATTATTACAAATGGCAGAGAAATAAATAAAGGCTTGAAAGCTACTGTATACCCCAAACCCTCTACCCTCATTCCTCCATTTCCAATCTTTCCAGTTTCCTCTCTGGACTATTTCCAATCAATTTATAATTCCACTTCACAAACCCTCTTGGAATAAGAGCTCAGAACCAAAGCAATGAATACATAAGTTGACAATAACCTAGGAAATATTTTCATAGAATAGGTCATGTGTAACGCTATGATATACTCTGCATGCTGTGAAACTGACACATTGAGTAGGCTGCGAATCAGTTTATTAGCTATGACCTAAGTTGATTTAACATGAGAACATACCATAACTTGTTTTAAGGAGTGGTAATATATAAAATAGGTTGGCTGGGTTAGTTTTAAAACAGGTGTGATGTTCTTTTGTTTCTTTTCACTGACATCTGTGTCATACCTTATCCTTGTTAAATTGTTTTTATTCCACTGGTATCCTCATTGGTGTTTCAATTATTTTAAGACTCACTGAGCAGCCTTCCCTCTTACAAAGAAAGGGCAGTTTAACAGATAAGATTTGATTGCTGAGAGCTACTGTAACAGCAGTCCCTAACCTTTTTGGCACCAGGGACCAGTTTCCTGGAAGACAGTTTTTCCACGGACCGGGGAAGTGGGGCAGTGGTTTTGGGATGATTCAAGTGCATTTTTACATTTATTGAGTACTTTATTTCTATTATGATTACATTGTAGCATATAATAAAATAATTATACAAATCACCATAATGTAGGATCAGTGGGAGACCTGAGCTTGTTTTCCTGCAACTAGATGGTCCCATCTGGGGATGATGGGAGACAGTGACAGATCATCAGGCATTAGATTCTCATAAAAAGCACGCAACCCAGCTCTCTCGCATGTGCAGTTCACAATTGGGTTCGCGCTCTTCTGAGAATCTAATGCCACCGCTGATCTGACAGGAGGCAGAGCTTAGGCAGTAATGCTAGCCATGGAGAGCGGCTGCAGCTGTAAATACAGATGAAGCTTCACTTGCTTACCCACTGCTCACCTCCTACCGTGCTTCACTTGCCTACCCACTGCTCACCTCCTGCTCTGCAGCCCGGTTCCTAACAGGCCATGGATTGGTACTGGTCCGTGGTCTGGGGATTGGGGACCCCTGCTGTAACACACTAACATTTACAGATGACTCTGATGGATCTTGATCTCTCTGGACAGCTGCCTTCATTGTATTTAGGATTTTCTAGGCCAGGTGTTTTTTCTTTTTTTTCCTTTCCTTTTCTTTCTTTCTTTTTTTTTTTTTTTTTTGAGGTAGAGTGTTCCTGCGATGCCCAGGCTGGAGTGCGGTGGCGCAATCTTGGCTCACTGCAACCTCCGCCTCCCGGGTTCAAATGATTCTCCTGCCTCAGCTTCCCAAGTAACTGGGATTACAGGCATGCACCATCATGCCCGGGTGATTTTTGTATTTTTAGTAGAGACAGGGTTTCACCATGTTGGTCAGGCTGGTCTTGAACTCCCGACCTCAGGTGATCCGCCCACCTCGGCCTCCCAAAGTGCTGGGATTACAGGTGTGAGCCACCACGTCCGGCCTTGTTATGTTGTTTTAAACTGGTGTTTCATTCTTTCTTCTAGTCTCTTGTTTTATAACTATAAGCAAGCCCAGAGGTAGAGGAGAAGCAAAGGGCAAGGACGCTCAGACAGTTTGGATTGAGGTCAATCCAAGTAAGGAGTAGGCTATGAGTCATGACTGGCAGAGATCAGTGTTTACCTTAGACCAGAAGTCCTTGAAACTAGGGAATATGCCTTAATCTAGACAAAAGCCTTGTGGGAAATTAGACTCACAATGTTCTAAAATAAATCAGGCGATGTATGCTCAAATACCAAATTATTTCAAAATTAAATAAATTAAACCAACACATAAACTATGATAAAAGGCTAAAATTAATTAAAATAAAATTAAAAATTTATTTAACTAAAATTAAAATTGCCATCCGAATGGAAAGAAAAAGTTTTTATGGACTTAAACGAGTCTAGCCTAGAAGTAAACTATCGAGTATGTCACCAATGACTGATAATACCCATGACGGAGAGATTCTAATACATGATTGTTGAGGCAAAACAACTGAAGCCCACCAGGTCATCTTTTCAGTAAGTGTGTGCTCATCTTAGTATCAGTAATGCATACCTGCTATGATTTTTGACTTTTCAAACTGAATCACCTAGTATTTATTGAGTATCTACTATATCCAAGGCACTATAAGAAGACAACATGTCTTAAATTCACTGATTTGGTGCCCTGAATAATCTGGCATTCATTGCTTAAAGCCCTTTAGTAAATACCAAGTTGTAAGCTGTACACCTAAGCATGGTATTATTTAATAATTTATAAAATATTTAATGAGCGATTTAACATGTAAAACTTACATTTAAATCTGCTGAAGTATGGGCATAAAGATGGCAACGATAGACACCAGGGACTACTAGAGTGGGGAGCGAGGGGGCCAAAGGTTGAAAAACTATCTATTGAGTGCTGTGCTCACTACCTGGGTGATGGGATCAATTGTATCCCAAACCTCAGCATCATGCAATATACCTATGTAGAAGGAACTCCACATGCGAATCTAAAATGAAAGTTAAAATTATAAAAATAAATAAATACATCTGCTGAAGTACCATTTTGTTTATTTATTTTAGATAAAAATATCAATTCCTAATGTAGCTTCTTTTTTGGGCTGGGAACGGAAGTGGGAAGTAGGGGTGATAGAATCTCCCTCTGTCATCCAGGCTGGAGTGTATTGCACCATCTCTGCTCACTGCAACCTCCGATTCCCAGGTTCAAATGATTCTCCTGCCTCAGCCTCCTGAGTAGCTGGGACTACAGGCATGCATCACCACACCCCACTAATTTTTGTATGTTTAGTAGAGACAGGATTTCACCATGTTGGCCAGTCTGAAATCAAACTCGTGGCCTCAAGTGATCCGCCTGCCTCGGCTTCCCAAAGTGATGGGATTACAGGAGTGAGCCACCACACCTGGCCTAATTCAGCTTCTTTTTTGGCTACAGAATACCTTGCTTTAAGAAAAGTGTAGGGGCCAGGTGCAGTGGCTCACGCCTGTAATTCCAGCACTTTGGGAGGCTGATGTGGGTGGATCATGAGGTCAGGAGTTCGAAACCAGCCTGACCAACATAGTGAAACCCCATCTCTACTAAAAATACAAAAATTGGCCAGATGTGGTGGCGCATACCTGTAGTTCCAGCTACTTGGGAGGCTGAGGCAGGAGAATCACTTGAACCTGGGAGGCTGAGGTTGCAGTGAGCTGAGATTGCGCCACTGCACTCCAGCCTGGGCAACAGAGTGACTCCATCTCCCAAAAAAAAAAAAAAAAAAAAAGAAAGAAAGAAAAGGAGAGTGTAGGACACAGGGCAAGGTGGCTCACACCTGTAATCCCAGTACGTTTGGGGCCTACTGGGGTGGATCACTTGAGCCCAGTAGTTCCAGACCAGCCTGGGCAACATGGTGAAACCCTGTGTTTAAAAAAACAAAAACAAAAATTAGCCGGGTTTGGTGGTGCAGGCCCGTAGCCCCAGCTACTTGAGAGGCTGAGGTAGGAGGATCTCTAGAGCCTGGGAGGCCAAGGATGCAGTGAACTGAGATTGCACCTCTGCATTCCAGCCTGGGCAACAGAGCTAGAGTCTGTCTCAAAAAAAAAAAAGAAAAGAAAAGAAAGAAAAGAAAAGTGCAAGAATTAAAAAGTCATAAAAAGTCATGCCTATAAAACTGATAACTATTGTTTTAATGAAAATGATATATTTTAAACACAACTTTAAGAACAGTACAGCAATTTTAAACCTTTAAATTGTCGGCCGGGTGTGGTGGCTCATGTCTATAATACTAGCATTTTGGGAGGCCGAGATGGGCGGATCACCTGAGGTCGGGAGTTCGAGACCAGCCTGACCAACATGGACAAACCCCGTCTCTACTAAAAATACAAAATTAGCCGGGTGTGGTGGTGCATGCCTATAATCCCAGCTACTCAGGAGGCTGAGGCAGGAGAATCGCTTGAACCCGGGAGGCGGAAGTTGTGGTGAGCCAAGATTGCGCCATTGCACTCCAGCCTGGGCAACAGGAGCAAAACTCCGTCAAAAAAAAAAAAAAAAAAAAAGAAAAACCTTTAAATTGTGGCAACCCCTAAAAAGTAGTTGATCTCTACCTACTTTCTGCCTTCATCAGCTGATAACCTTACAAATCCTTAAAAACTCTTTGGGACCCCAATTCTCAGCATGATTGCTTGGTCCAGTGCAGGCAGTGGCTTTATTGATGAGAATTCTGCCTGTGAAGCGTTCTTTAAACTCATTAAAAATAAAATGGAAATAAAAACTAGCAGGGTTATACATTAGAAAGGAATGTGTTTTACTGCTATCTATAGGTATGGGACAGATGTTGATAGGTTCAAAGGGTAAGCAGGCATTTCAGGTACCATATTTGCCCCTCTAGGAGGGATTACAGAATTGGAGCCTGTGGTGCTCCTGCTCTGAGGTTCTGAGCATGTCCATACTATATTTTTATTTTCTTCTTGTCTACCCTACCCCGGGAAGAGAAGCTACCAAGAGCTCTATATCCATGAATAGCAAAATAACCACATGGCAGTCAGCACCAATGTGTCTAAGCAATGCATCTGATTCTCAAGTCCCCAATCTTATTTTTATTTTGCATTTTAAAGAAAGCAGCATAATATATAAATGGTTTTAATTTTGTTTAACAAGATTTCAATTATTGGTAGAGTACACTTTAGGGAGGCTAGCTAAATGTGTAAATGGAAGAAAATACACTGAAGAATAAAGATAAAATCACCAGGTGACATTACATATTTAAGTAAGTTGAAAATGTAACTCATTTTACCAATATTGTTATTTACACAGAACTTTAAAATCATTCACACATTATATATGATAAAGTATATATAAAATTTAAGGAAATTATTTTATTATAGAGAAAGACGTTTAAAAATTTTCACCCACAATAAAATTAGCTCTTATTTATTATTTTTTGAGATGGAGTCTCGCTCTGTTGCGCAGGCTGGAGTGCAGTGGTGAGATCTCGGCTCACTGCAACCTCTGCCTCCTAGGTTCAAATGATTCTCCTGCCTCAGCCTCCCAAGTAGCTGGGATTCCAGGTGCCCGCCACCAAGATTGGCTAATTTTTGTGTTTTTAGTAGAGACGGGGTTTCACCATGTTGGCCAGGCTGGTCTCGAACTCCTGACCTCAAGTGATCCGCCCTCCTCGGCCTCCCAAAGTTCTGGGATTACAGGCGTGAGCCACCGCACCCGGCCCAAAAGTAGCTCTTATTTTAAGTAAGTAAGTTTTCATAAACAGGTAGGCCTGTGACTTATACTGCCAAACCCAAGGTTTGGAATAATGAATCTTTGGGATGGCTCATGTGAGGCACTTCACTTACTGGTGAAGTAGGAGATAGCTACCTAATCCTCCCAGAAATTTTACATCGTAATCCTTTCTATTCCCTGCTCAACAAAAAAATAGAATAAAATTTAGAGAAATAGTGAATACTTATTGAGAGAAATCCCTACGGTCTGGAGAAAAGGGACTAGCAAAACTACTGTAATATGTGCTGCAAAACAAAATTCCAAGTGAAAGACACTCTCCCTGCAATGCTACAGGCCCCACTCTATCTTACACTGCCTTTGCTAAAACCTTCAACATGGTTAATTGGATAATATTCCCCCTGGAAACATATTTCCGATTTTATAGCAGAAGTTGATGGGAAATAAATTCACCTTGTAGAAAACTGCTTTACAAGCAAATGTGCTAGAATAGTTTTATAAAGTGAAGGATATAAGCATTATTTCACTTACATGAAATAAGCAAATTTTTGCTTCCTTTTAAAAATCTGAAGGTCAGATGGTGTGTGAATAGAACATGTATGTACTTGAGTAGCATGATTCTAGGTATTGATATATGCAATAAAAGAGATCAAAGCTTGCCAAGTAATTATTAAGTACTCCTTCTTTGCATTACACGAACATCAAAATATGTGCTACCTCAACAGCATCACTGCACTGACTGTGCATTCACTAACTTAAAATATATGTCTCGATTTCTCAGGAGCTCTTGATGAGTTCCTTGTTCCTTTATCTTTCCATTGTGCAGAACCACTATCAAATCTGCGTTCTGAATTGCAGAGAGCCTGTGAGTGACCACTAGGCATGTCCTTCCCGTCCTGGCTTTATCAAGGGCATGCTGAACCACCTGGAAGAGAGAAAGACCTGTGATCACCAGTTTGAGTTAGATGTTAGTAAACTTACCTAAGTCAAATCAATTAAGGTAGTCTAATAACCTTCTTTGCTTTATTTGCTTGTCCCCAAAGGAACTGCCCTACTTGTAAAATAATCACCTTACTCAATAGAAATCTAGAAATATTAACTACAGCTGGGCACATTGGCTCATGCCTGTAATCCCAGCACTTTGGGAGGCCAAGGCAGGCAGATCACCTGAGGTCAGGAGTTCGAGACCAGCCTGATCAACATGGAGAAATCCCATCTCTACTAAAAATACAAAATTAGCTGGGTGTGGTGGCAGGCATCTGTAATCCGAGCTATTTGGGAGGCTGAGGCAGGACAATCGCTTGACCCTGGGAGGTGGAGGTTGCCGTGAGCTGAGATCGTGCCATTGCACTCCAGCCTAAGTGACAAGAGTGAAACTCCGTCTCAAAAAAAAAAAAGAAAGATTAGCTACAGATAAATTATGTAAGACTTTCAGTGGAAAAGCATTTGTGAGAATGAATAAAAATGAAATAGTTGTTTATATGTTAGTGGTTCTAAACTCACAGTCAGGAAGTAGTATTTCTAAGTAGAATTATAGTAGTATTTCTACTACAATTTCTTTGAGTAGTTCTAATACTATTCAAATTTCTACTATCATTTCTTTGAGTAGTTCTAAACTCAAAGTCAGGAAGTAGTATTTCTAAGTAGTATACCTAAGTAGAATTGTCTAATTTATTTATCTAATTTTCTCTCATAGATTTTGTTTTGTTTTTGGTAGGATTTAGCTGTAGAACTGTCCTGTTAACATAGCATTTCAGCCAACAGTGAGGTTATGACGCTATATAGAGAAAGTGGGAGTGGAAGGTGAAAACCCATATTTGTTGAATACATAAAATGTTCCCAAGATGGATATCTCATTTAAATTCTTTCAATAACCTCATAAAATGACAGTATTTTTATTTTTCTGATAACTGAACTGAGGTTAGACCAAGGTCATACTGCTAGTAACTGATGAAGTAAGGATTACAGCCCAGATATGTCTGATCCCAAAAGTTAGTTGTTGTTTATTTTTCATAACACATTGTTGCTTTGAGAATCAAGAATAATAATCATCTTCAAGCAGCAATCATGGGTGGATTAACTGCCTGGGCTCTTAGGTCAGATACCCTCCATTAGAATTTAGAGAAGTTACTTAATCTAAGCCTTAGTGTGCCAATCTGTAAAATGGGCATGCTAATACAAGAAGCTCATTCGTCATGTTGTTGTGAAGACTGAGATAATAGCATGTAATGCATACTCTACAAATATTAATGATAACCATTCATTTAACCAATGTTCATTTACTAAATAAGTGCCTACATGTGCAAGAAACTCCTAAGGGATAAGGACATAGCAAAATCAAACAGCTGGAGAAGCTTGCTGTGCAAGTATTTTCTCATGTGTCACTTTGCCTCCTTGTTTCCCGCTCAAACTAGGCTGAGTCTGTAGAAGGTAGAATAACTCTCAGGCTCTGACCCTGCAGTGTAGATTACTCTTTTACCCATACTAATTACCTTATTAGTTTGTTTGGCATCACTGGAATAATAATAAAATTGAAAAGTTATTTTTCTTGGGCTCTTTCCTTGAATGAAAAAACATTTTGAAAATTGGTCCACTTTTGATAATGAGACAAATTTGAGTGAGAAAACCTTTCTGGAACATGAGATTCCCTCTGTCTCAACTGTCTCCCACCTCCCCACCACCTACTGACCTTTTTGTAAAGGTCCAAAGCCTTAATTGGAACTGGTGACCTTAGAACTACAATTCTTTCCAGGCCTTTGTTTTTCCAAACTTACCTTGGTTTCCTCCATGTTATTGGATGCTTATATTTGGTATTATATTCTGAGATAAAAGAAAATGATGTTACCTTCTCACTGTCATTATCGAGGGCTGAAGTGGCCTCATCCAACAATAAAATTTTGGGTTTTTGGAGAAGAGCCCTTGCAATAGCTAGTCTTTGTTTCTGGCCGCCAGAAAGCTGTGCTCCTTTCAGTCCAACTTGTGTGTTGTATTTCTATCACAGGAGCATGCAATTAAGAAAGCAAGTCTTGGTTATTTAAATTAGCATGGCAACTGTGGGCGAGAACCATCTAAATATTTCAAATTTTGCTACTCTTGAAAATTTGTGTCCCAACAAATGTTGAAATCTATTCTTGGGCTTTGTTGCAAATAAATGCTAAAGCCGCAGTAAACACTACCATCTCATTTACATATCCAATCTGATCAGACAGCAGACCTCTGCCATTATGCTTCCACAAAGAAATTTTTCAAATTAAAGCATAAGAAAAAAATTACTGGCAAGAAACAAGTTCACAGTAAACACAAATCCTTTTCCATTAAGTTATACTACCTACTATTTTCAGGTTAAAATGATTCGCAGTAGTAAAAACAACAAGGAAATTATGAAGTTTCTTCACTTTGGCTCTTGCTGAGCCTCTGTGGGCACATCCTTACAGATGCTGGGATAGGAGTCTCAGTGGTACATGCATCTTCCTGGAAATAAGTTAGGTTGACTTTTTTGTTTTTTTGAGACCGTGTCTCGCTCTGTTACCCAGTCTAGAGTGCAGTGGCGCAATCTTGGCTCACTGCAACCTCCGCCTCCCGGCTTCAAGCGATTCTCTGCCTCAGCCTCCCAAGTAGCTGGGATTACAGGTGCCCACCACCATGCCTGGCTAATTTTTGTATTTTTAGTAGAGATGAGGTTTCACCACGTTGGCCAGGCTGGTCATGAATTCCTGACCTCGTGATCCACCCTCCTCAGCCTCCCAAAGTGTTGGGATTGCAGGCGTGAGCTACCGCGCCTGGCCAGGTTGGCGTCTTGAAACAGTCTATTCACCTTTTCAGGCCACTAAGTAGTAATGGTGACATTTAGCACTTCACAGTGTTTTCTTAGTTCCCCTACTTACTAATAACCCAATTTCTCCAGTGTTTCCCTTCATGGAAGGGTAAAGAAAATTTCACACAAATCTTGAAGCCATCATGGTCCTCTGAATCACAATTGGTCAGTACAGTTGGGGTAAGCAGGTTCTTGCCTGCTTTTTAGATTGTCCCATTGACTTTGCTTCCTTTCAAGGCTTCACATTGCTTTCTAGTGGCCCTTGGCACTTTTGTAAGAAACATAAGCCCTTGGTACCTAGACAAGAATGTGTAGATGGATCAGTTCCATTGAGAAAGCTGGTCCAAGGGTATAGCCAGAAAGATTAATCCTGTAGCAGCATTTCACATGTAGCTTGTGATTCCTAGCTGTTCATTTTGTGTTGGTAATCTAGAGAAGCTTGAGGGAATTGCCTTTCTCTCCACATCTGACTGCCTTCAGGAAGTGCATTTTGGACAGAGTTGGTGTCACGAACCTGTGGTATAACCTTATAACAAAATGTGTCTACGTCATCTCAAAGCTTACTTTTCAATTTAACATGCATAGGTGCATGCTTTGTAGCAAAGGACGGGTGTCTGAATTACTAAAGCCTAGTAAAAATATCTTCTCTGACGTGAATGCTCTACAAAGAATACAGACTTTCGCTGTTTTCTCTGTCATTTATCTGGGACTACTAGCAGGCCTTGGGCCCCTTCCTCCTAAAATGCATTTTGTTAAATTTGGAACCATAGATAAAACTGTGTCTGCCGTTCATTTCCAAACACTGCAAAGTTCATATTTAAATGAGGGGATTCAATCTTAAACTAAAAATTGGGAAGGGAGGTGGGAATGATAATGAGCTCGTAGCCCTTTCTGCCAGCCTAGCTTAAATTGTACATGAATTCTTCTAGGGCAGCTGAAGAACATACAAAACTAGGAATCACTTTGCAGTCTTTGGCCTTCCCTGGATTGTAGGAGAGTGTAAGTTTAAAGAACATATTGGATGAAGGTTTTTTAATTTTTTTAAATTTTATTTATTTATTTATTTTTTTACGGAGTCTCGCTCTGTAGCCCAGGCTGGAGTGCAGTGACGCGATCTCGGCTCACTGCAAGCTCCGCTTCCCGGGTTCACGCCATTCTCCTGCCTCAGCCTCCCAGTAGCTGCAACTACAGGCGCCCGCCACCACGCCTGGCTAATTTTTTGTATTTTCAGTAGAGACGGGGTTTCACCATGTTAGCCAGGATGGTTTTATTTGTTTTTTAACAAAGAACCACAGAGTTTCTCTTTAGCCGAAAATTTGAATCCATTTTCTGGCAATCACTGGGATGGTGAGTGCCCCGAAATCACCTCTTTTATGAGAAACTCAAGGGGTAATGGCTCCTTAATATGAACCGGAGCTAAAAGTCAGTTGTGTCCCAGAGGGAACACCAGAGTCTAATCCTAAAGCAACTGCATTCTGGAGAATCCCTGCAGGCACTGGGTTGGATTTTCAGGGTGGTTACAGTGGTCAAAGTCCTACTTAAGGATGTGGCTCGACTGAGAGCTGCCACTGGGTGATACTGTGAAGATTAGTAGAGAACCACACCTGGTGTGTGTCTCAGAGGATCCTTGAGGTCAAGGCGGTGTTGCTTCCACTTCTGTCCTATGCCCCAGGCCTGTATTTCCAAATGCCTGTGGGATATTTCTATGAGATAAGTGGTAGATGCATTACATTACACTCAGCATGTTCTAATTGACTCCTTGCTCTGCACCCTTCTGGTTTGAGCCGTTACACAGATCCACACTCCCTTACCGAAACCGTTGGAGTTATCTGTATTTAAGAATTCTGATTTTTTTTCAACCTTAGAAGAAAAAAGTCTACGTATTATACATATACGATATGTTATCTATATTTAATAGATAATATATTATTTAACACCCCCAGAAGGATCTGGGGAAGCAATGGTAATCAAATACATGAATTTTGTGCAGATGTATTTGATTATTTATTCTAAGTGGGATAAATATAAATAAAGGACTATATTATATCCTCACATCATTTTGCCACCAAATGAATTTTCATCAAACATACACAATTTGTGTGTGGCTTGTGTGTATATGTGTGTGTGTGTGTGTGTGTGTGTGTGTGTGTGTGTAGGGGGAAGCCTTTGGACTCTCATCACTGCTCCGTGTTTTATTCCATGAGGCTGCTCAGTGCATTGTACATTTCCTTGCTCACTTTCCAGAAACAATCTTGAGCCAAGTCCTGTTGATTCCACTTTTAAAATATCTTTTAAATCAATTTTCTTGTTTTAGTTCACTTTGTAATTGTTATTGTAGGCCTTCAAAACCTATCCCTGGAAATAGCTCTGAACTGATCTCTCAAGCTGCCTGTGTCTTTGTCACTCTCTACCGTCATTTACATTGCTGCTAGATGAGTAATTCCAATATCCAATTCCCAACATGTTCCCTATTTAAAAATCTTCAGTGACTCCTTAGTAACTACCAAACTTAAACATTTCTTTCCTTGTGATTTAAGTGCCAGCTTTTTACCTTTACATGCTTATCAAATACCATAGCTTTATATACTCTATTCTTTGTCAATTGGCTTACAGTTCCATGAAAACATTGCCATAGTTTCTGTCTCCATGTTTTTGCTCAGGCTATGCCCATTGCCTCATTATAGAGAATGCCCTTTTAAAGCCTTGACTACTGAAATTCTACTTGATCAATACTCAGATCACCTCTTAATTCTCCAAAGGTCTCCTCTGAACCCCCAGCCAGAAGTGATTCTACTCCCCTCTAGGCTCAGATGGAAGTTTGTTTACCTTCTGTGCACTATAATTATTTGTATGTGTTGATCTGTGTTCATCTTAACTATTGGGCTTCATATTCCTAAAAGTAGGACTATATTTGTCCTATCTTCCCTAAATAAAAGCCCAGTGGTTTGCAAAGAAATGCTCAGTAGCTGTGTGTTGAGTGACTAAATGCATGGATGTTGGGATAGAGGAATGAAGACATGGGGCTGGACACAGTGTCTTTGGGAAGCCGAGGCGGGTGGATCACTTGAAGCCGGGAGTTTGAGACCAGCCTGGGCAACATGGTGAAACCCCATCTTTGCAAAAAAAAAAAAAAAAAAAAAAATTAGGCAGGCATAGGTGGCAGGCACCTATGGTCGCAGCTCCCGGGGAGGGTGAGGTGGGAGGAACACTTGAGCCCAGGAGGTCAAGGCTGCAGTGAGCTGAGATCCTGCCACTGTATTTCAGCCTAGGCGACAGAGCAAGACCCTGTGAAGAAAGAAAAGAAAGAAAGAGAGAGAGGGGGAGGGAGGGAGGGAGGGGAAGGGAGGAAGGAAGGAAGTAGAGAGGGAAGGAAGGAGAGAGAGAGGGAGGGAGGGAGGAAAAGAAAGGGAAAGAGAGAGAGAAAGGAAGAAAATACAAGAAAAGCAAGCAAGAAAGAAAGAGAAAGAAAGGGAGAGAGAAAGAAAGGGAGAGACAAAGAAAGGAAGGAAGACAGGGAAAGTAAATTTTGAGGAAGCAGGACATGGCAGATTGGTCAATCCACAAAGTTTGTAGTAAAAGTAAAAGAAATCCTCAGAAAGCAAAGTGTGACACAATTCAATTTGCTAAATAATTCTTGGAGAGAATTAAAATGAATAATACATTAATGTGTCTTATGTGAAGCCGACTTTCTTCCTATGCCTGTTTTACATATGGGTATATATTTTATGCTTACTGCATGTTACTGGAAGACCTGAACTCTTTCAGACTTTTGCTTCACCATTTTCACACTGCCACTGTGGCCATGTATTTGGAGGGAGTGCTGGGCTCCACTTATTTGCTCAAGAAAAAATTAATTCCCTTTTTTTTTTTTTTTTTTTTTTTTTTTTGAGATGGAGTCTCACTCTTGTTGCCCAGGCTGGAGTGCAATGGCATGATCTTGGCTCACTGCAACCTCCATCTCCCGGGTTCAAGTGATTCTCCTGCCTCAGCCTCCCAAGTAGCTGGGAATACAGGCGTGTGCCACCATGCCCAGCTAATTTTTGTATTATTAGTAAAGACAGGGTTTCACCATGTTGGCCAGGCTGGTCTTGAACTCCTGACCATAGGTAATCCACCCTCCTTGGCCTCCCAAAGTGCTAGGATTACAGGTGTGAGCCACTACACCTTCAGATAAAATTAATTCTATCTGAAGGAAGTACAACAAATTACAAGATTCATGTTCACTTTTCTTCCCTAAAAACCTACGTGTGAGCTGTAACATGTTTCTAAGTGTCACTCTGAGTATACCAGTGCCATTATCCACAGTTGTGGTGGTTGCTTTGGACTGCTCTTCTGAAGGGAGGAGCAAGGGCACCTTTGTTCCCATCTCTGAAACCCTAGGACCACCATGGTTACGAACCCTTTCCGTCCCTTCAGGATAGCACAAAGAATCCAGGTTCAAATGCTGAGTTTCTATACAACTTTAAGAAAGTTATTGAACTTCTTTATCTGTAAAATGCGGTAGTTACAGCATCCTTGCTGTACTATGGTGGAAATTTAGCTTAGTTCTTGGTTCCCAGAAGGGCTGGGGAATGCGTGGCTGGTTTCCTCTCTTCGTTTTTCCCAGCCAACTGAGCATAAGAGGGCAGCCTTATTCTCCCCAGGGTACTAACCGAAGGCATTTAGTAATATGCAGCTTTTCTAGGAATTATCTGATTTGATTTTTTTTAAACTATTTTATTTTGGTATCAGGTTTCCTTATTTTTCTACGTGTTTTTGGGGGAACAATGACATGAAGGTAAATTAAAGTTAAAATTTAAAACACTGAAAAATAAGCTAGTCTTTTAGAAAAAATGTTAAAGGAAATAACATCTTAGTTTTCAAAGTCTGTTGTAAAAAGTTAGCACAGTGGATTTTTGCAGCATATAGTTTTGAGTAAATGTGAGAACTGGTACAATAAAAAGAATAGAAGATAATAAACAATTTAAGAATAAAAGTTAGGCCAGATGTGGTGGCTTATGCCTGTAATTCCAGAACTTTGGGAGACCGAGGTGGGTGAAATTGCTTGAGCCCAGGAGCTTGAGTCCAGCCTAAGCAACATGATGAAACCCCATCTCTACAAAAAATACAAAAATTAGCCAGGCATGGTGGCATGTGCCTGTGATCCCACCTATTCGGGAGACTCAGGTGAGCCTGGGAGGTCGAGGCTGCAGTGAACCAAGAACACACCACTGCACTGCAGCCTGGGTGACAGAGTGAGGCCTTGTCTCAAAGGAAAAAGAATAAAAGTTAAATGGTACAAATATCAATTGGGCAGCATTTCACAATACATAAAACAAACTATCGAGATTATGCAGATAACAATCTGACCACAAATTAACAATGCAGTGAGTGTCATGGTTAAAAAGGAAGTTGCCATTAAAAGACATTCACAGTGTCTCTATATTTATAAAAAATATGTGAATCCTTCCTATGTCTTTAGTACTGCAAACCCTTACCAGAGTAAGGGAAATCCTGTTTGTACATGTAGGCACTATGTAGTATGGAGAAGAGCTGGTGAGGGAAAGAGTATAAAAGTTAGAGAGTATGATGGCTATTGGCCTTCACCAAAGAACAGGGCTCTAGATTATTAGTTGTTTGATATATTGGTTGTTAAATTTAACTATCTCCCTTTAAAGTGAGATAGAAACTTAGTTTATAAAAATCACATGTAGAAATTCGCCCCTACATGAAAATATCTCTATTTTTATTTCATTTAATTTATTTTATGTGTGTGTATGTGTGTTGCAAACACTCAGATATTATAAACACTTAAAGTTACAATTATCCCTCTCTGTGCACTGTTTTTGGATTTGTATCAATGCTTGCACTACCAAAGGCTTCTCTACAGTTAGCCAAGATTTTTGACTTTTCTGAGATTTTGTGCCAATTGCCACAGCCAATACAGACATCAAGGTGATAAAAAAGGATCTTACACTCTAGTGGGGAAGGGAAACACTAAACAAATAACTAAGTGCTCAGGGTAATTTTCAGACTGTGATACATGCCCTGAAGACAAAGTGATAGGGGATAGGACTGGTGAGGACTTTTAAAAATAGGATGTTTAGGGAAAGCCTCTGCAAAGGTAACATTTGAAAGGGCTTGAAAGTTAAGGTGCTACTTGCCGGGCGCGATGGCTCACGCCTGTAATCCCAGCACTTTGGGAGGCCAAGGCGGTGGATCACCTGAGGTCGGGAGTTTGAGACCAGCCTGTCCAACATGGAGAAACCCCTTCTCTACTAAAAATACAAAAAATTAGCCGGGCGTGATGGCACATGCCTGTAATCCCAGCTACTTGGGAGGCTGAGGCAGGAGAATTGCTTGAACACGGGAGGTGGAGCTGAGTGAGCTGAGATTGCACCATGGAACTCTAGCCTGGGCAACAAGAGCGAAACTCTGTCAAAAAAAAAAAAGAAAGTTAAGGCGCTACTATGCCAAAAGCCAACCTAAGGGAGGTCTAGGCTGGAGAAACAGCAAACGCAAATGTCCTAAGGTGGGGAGCAAGTTGGCATGTTCTTGAGACAGGAGAGACCAGCTCAGCTGCAGCAAAGCGACTGTGTGGTGAGGTTGTTGCTGGGGAAACAGCAGGGCCAGATTACAGAGGCTTCAGCAGCCCCTCCCCATGGGGTGTGTGGGCTTTATTCTAAGCGCACAGGGGAGCCATGAGGCAGTTGTGAGCAGGGGAGGGATAGGATCTAATTTGTTTTTAAAAGATCCCTCTGATTACTGTGAGGAAGAAAAATGATAAAGGAGCAAGACTGGAAGGCAGATGAAGAGGCTACCGCCGTGGCGGGGAGGTCATAGTGTGGACCAGCCACAGTGTAGATGGATGGAAGGCAAATAACAAAATGTGAAAGTTAATCCAGTGAATATTAATACATTTTGGTCGTAGGAAAATCGTCACACGAAAATCTCAAACTTGGTTTTTCGCATCTGACTTCATGTTTTACATCTAACTTTAGATTCTGGCAATAAATACATTGTATAATCCAAGGAATACATAAAAACAACTGCATAGGCCCAGTAGCTACTTAGCCTTACTTGGCAGCTTTATAATTCAAGATTTCAGAAATTTTCTTACCTCAGGGAGACCTTCAATAAAAGAATGGATATTTGCTGCATTTGCGGCTTCTTTGATCTCATCTAATGGCACCACACGGCTGTTGTCACCATAGGCGATGTTCTCAGCAATGCTGCAGTTGAAGAGCACAGGCTCTTGAGGAACGATTGCTATTTGGGAACGGAGCCACTGTACATTCAATTCTTTTGCATCCACACCATCAAACAGCTGCCAAAAGCAGATTGGAGAATGGTGTGTTAAGATCACACAACTGTATCATGTTACAGTTCACTGTATTCAAACACACACAAATCATAACAAGAAGGATAGGAATTCAAGCTATTTCAAAGTATAAAGTTACCCAAGGAAGGCTCATAAATCATACGTTGTATAGAAGCAAACAGCGTGTAACTCACTACTGCCCCCTCCACTGTAACAGGACCTGACTTTCTGAAAGCCCAGTAAAAAGTAGGTGGAGATGATACAGTACTCCACATGTAAAGCTGTGTCATCTTGCACACAGCCATGTTTATTCACATAAATAAATAACAACACTCTTAACAACACCATCTCATATTTGATGAGCATGCTCACTACGTGAGGGGGACTCTTCCAGTACCAGGGAAATAGTGGTCAATAAGAGAAAGCTCTTTCCCTTTTGTAGCTTATATATATATATTTTTTTAATTTTATTATTATTATACTTTAAGTTTTAGGGTACATGTGCACAACGTACAGGTTTGTTACATATGTATACATGTGCCATGTTGGTGTGCTGCACCCATTAACTCATGGTTTAGCATTAGGTATATCTCCTAATGCTGTCCCTCCCCCCTCCCCCCATGGATGTAGCTTATATTTTAGCAGAGAGGCATGCAATAAACACATGAACAAATAACTCAATAAACTCAGGAGAGGAAAGTACCCTAAAGACAGGGTAACAGGGTAGAGCGACTGAGGCAGTGGGGAGGGTATGGAGAGGCATGAGAAGGGGGTTGTACAAGAAGGCCTTAAGGAAAGGACGTTCAGACTAAGACATGAACAGTGAGAAGGAGCCTGCAAAGGGGACATTCTGGTCAGGGCAATAGCAAAAGAAAGGTTCATAGGTGTGTTTAAAGAACATGAGGAGACTGGGAGGCTGAGGTGGGCAGATGACTTGAGGCTAGGAGTTCAAGACCACCCTGGTTAACATGGTGAAACCCCGTTTCTACAAAAAATACAAAAACTAACTGGACATGGTGGCACACCCCTGTAATCTCAGCTACTACTTGGGAGGCTGAGGCATGAGAATCGCATGAACCCTAGAGGCGGGGGTTGCAGTGAGCAGAGATCACGCCACTGTACTCCAGCCTGGGCCACAGAGCAAGACTCTGTCTCAAAAAAACAAAACAAAACAAAAAACGTACAAAAGCCCCCCAAAAAACAGAAAAAGCACAGTGCATGATGACGTGGGGAGTGATATGAGAGGAGCTTGGAGTGGGAGGCAGGGGCCAGGGCATGAAGGACCTGATTGATGGCATAGACTGGTATGTTCTAACTGTGGAAGGTTTAGAAGAGGGAGTGTGCTATGCTATGTGCGAATAGATGAGTGTCTCATAGTTCAAGGGAGCCCTTTAGGACTCCCTTGAGTCCCTAAACTCTGTTTTGCAAACACTCATTGAGAATCTGTAAGGGCGAAAAGACTGTACGTTGCAGGAGAATGAGGACTAACATGGCAGTCTGAGTTTTAGGAACTTTTTTGTACGGGCAGGAGGCAGGACAGGAAGCTTTGTGTGGGTGTGCTGATGTGGTGGTGGGTGGTGGGGGGAGGACAAGGTAATGGAAAAACCACAATATAAGGTATAGTAAGACAAGTGCCAGGTAAGAAAAACAATCCTTAGTTTCGAAGGATGGGGAGATTACATTATTTTAGATATTAGAGGCATGACTTCATGGAGCTGATTCCAATAAGCCTTAACCGTGCATAAAGTTTTGACAGTTGGGAGGTGGGGATGAGTGGTGGGAAAGCAGAAGCCTGAACTAAGGAGGTGGAGGACAGTGTTCTCTCTGTCTTAAACCACAACAGAATACGGAGCCACGATGTGAACATTAGACCAGATCTCCAGCACCCATGTTCTAAAGTAATTCCATGGCTAAGATCAACATTTCTGCTGCCAGAATGGTTGAAGAATCTTTGGACCTTTGTGCTTCACTTCAGAGTCCTAACCATCATTTTTGTGATGGTTTGCTTGTCCTCTTAGTTAAGGGTTGACACAGAGATTTTTTTTCTTTTTAACTTCTGCATTGTTTGCCCCACCCAAACCAGTGGGGATGCTTAAGCCCTAGTGAATGTTTAAGAATAGGACTGCTAACCCCCAGATTAGGTGTGTTTCAGTTCTGTCTTACCACTTGTCCTTGCACGGGGTCATAAAGTCTCTGCAGAAGTTGAACAGAAGTGCTTTTCCCACAGCCGCTGCTCCCCACAAATGCTACTGTCTTTCCTCGCTCAATACTGAGGGATAAGCCACGGAGGATGAAAACATCTGGGCGACATGGATAGAAGAAAGAGACTTCTCGAAACTCTAAATTCCCTTCACATGTGTCCTGTGAAAGGAAGTTGACAGAGTTGAGAAGAATGACTTGGGAAGGTTGTAACACACTGTAGCATACTGGCCAAGTTCATTTTGAAAATTGTGCATGTTTCCAGAGCCCTTTTAATTTTAAACATGTATGCATCTCTGTAGAGCTGTTGACTGCAAGTGGGTTTCTGTCACTTTTGTTTATATTTTTTTGTGTCTGTGTTTCTTGTTATCTTCACTACTGACTTCACTGAGTTTCTAAAAACCACTTGCTTCCTTCAGCTTTGCTGCACAGACAGTTCCATTCCGCAGTTGGTTGTTTGACCAGCTTATCTGGGTAATACGTTTTTCTTTTTAATGTGGTTTGTGCTTTACAAACCTTTATTGCTTAATTCAGAAGAGCTGGGGTTCTCATAAACTATATGTATGAGGGTTATTTCTCTAAATTGGGCCATGTTTTATAGTGAAGGTACAGTATGTTTTGAATTCTGATTTATCTTTCTTATTTTATTTTATTTTATTTTATTTGAGAAAGGGTCTAGCTCTGTCACCCAGGCTGGAAGGCAGTGGTGTGATCTCGGCTCACTGCAACTTCCACTTCCCAGGCTCAAGCCATCCTCCCACCTCAGCCTCCTGAGTAGCTGGGACCACCAGCGTGCGCCACCACACCCAGCCAATTTTTGTATTTTTAGTAGAGATGGGTTTTCACTATGTTGCCCAGGCTGGTTCCAAACTCCTGGACTCAAGCAATCTGCCCACCTTGGCCTCCCGAAGTGCTGGGATTACAGGCGTGAGCCACCACACCCAGCCCTATCTTTATTTTCAATTGACCATTATTTGGCAGTGACAGTTGCCTAAACATTTAGTTTCTCTCTGTGCATCAATCTCTTTACTGGTTAATGATTTCTAAACCAATACTCATCTACACCAGGATGTTTAAAAAAGACTTTCCAGAACTATCACTAAATGATTAACTTTCCCTTTATATATTTGGTTCATAAGATTTTAAGTTCTTTTGATCTTTGTGTTCTTCTCAATTGCATTTTAAGTCTTATTAATTTTTGTTGTTAGACTAAACAACTAAGGAGTAGTGGATTTGTGTGTGTGTGTGCATGTGTGTGTGGTGGTAGTGATGGCTGGATTTTAAAACACATCCTTACAGTCAGGTTTACTAGTCATGTTTGACCCATTCTGAGCCCATCATATTATAGGTAAGAAGCAAGGGCAGGTAGGGGTGAGGAGTAAACAAAAAAAATTTTATGATATTATTTTCTTGTTAAAAGAATTTGATGTTAAGATGTGGTTAAGAGATCTAGAAATAGAAAAAAAAAATCTGGAAGGATATTTGCCAAAATTTAAAAGTAGTGTAGTAGTCGTTTATTTTAGTGTAGTGAGTATTTTCCATTTGCCCCCTACAACCTATGAATATTATTTGTATAAAAAATTTCTTTTTGTTTTATTTTTTAAATTTTTTTTGGTGTACTTCCCTCTCTGCATTTGTATAAAAAAGGTTTTAAAAAAACAGAATACCGCAGAAACATGAAGAATTCAATTATTTTTATGTATGCTCTTGTAAGTATTTTGTATAATAGCTCACAGAGGTATTCTAGAAAACTTCTAAATTTAATACATTTAAAATTTATTCTTACGATTTTTAATTCTATTTAATATGAAAAACTCCAAAAGTATAAAAATAGAGAGAAAAATTTAATAAATGGCCCACATACCTATCACCCAGCTGGAATTTCAATATTTGCCAATTTTGTTTGACCAGACTTTAATTTTTTTTTTTTTTTTTTGAGAAGGAGTCTCGCTCTGTCACCCAGGCTGGAGTACAGTGGTGTGATCTCGGCTCACTGCAATCTCTGCCTCCCAGGTTCAAGCGATCCTCCTGCCTCGGCCTCCCGAGCAGCTGGGGTGACAGGCATTGCCCCCACACCCTAATTTTTGTGTTTTTGTTAGCGATGGGGCTTTGCCATGTTAACCAGGCTGAACTTGAACTCCTGACCTTAGGTGATCCGCCCGTCTCAGCCTCCCAAAGTCCTGGGATTACAGGTGTAAGCCACCACACCCTGCCCAGATTTTAATTTTTAAAAGCGTAGAGTGATATTCAGAAACATTTACATACTAAATAAAATAAGGATTAAATTCATTAATTTTATAGCCTTTATAAGAAACACTTCCATAGTCTATGCCATGCCTATGGTTCTGTAAGGACATAGATCAGTGAGATACTCAATTCCTCTGTTATAATCTGCAGAAAGAAATAGGAGTAGCAATACTGTTATACATATAAATCTTAAAATTAAAAAAAAGCTTCTTACATCCTTTACTTTCCAAAATACAAGAACAAAATCTTATTTTGACTGTGATGTATCTTTGAAGCATTCTATTTTGAGAATTTCCAGATAGTCTTATTTCTGTCACTAACAGGCATTCTTCTTAACCATTGTGTAGCTCTAGTAATGCTGTATTTTAAGCTGTCATACATATAAATCTATTAAAATTCTAGAGGGAAATAATTATAAGTTAAAAACATTTAAGTATATACCTAATGGACTATTTTTATTTTAAAAATTAAAATGTCTAGAAAAGTACTAAAATTGAATGTATATTTAATGTATAAGACTATTATTTATTTTGTATTTATTTATTTATTTTTGAGAGCAAGTCTCGCTCTGTCGCCCAAGCTGGGGTGCAGTGGCGTGATCTCGGCTCACTGCAACCTCCGCCTCCCGGGTTCAAGCGATTCTCCTGTCTCGCCCTCCCGAGTAGCTGGGACTACAGGTGCGTGCCACCACACCCGGCTGAATTTTTTTAATTTTTTTATTTTTAGTAGAGACGGGGTTTCACCATGTTAGCCAGGATGGACTCGATCTCCTGACCTCGTGATCCACCCACCTCGGCCTCCCAAAGTGCTGGGATTACAGGCGTGAGCCACCACGCCCAGCTGTATAAGACTATTATTGAGAGATTTATTTTGAAATTATACACCCTACCTATTATTTCTCTTTTAATATTCACAGTCTTTTAGAGTTTGAGGCTAAATTTGTTTGTGTGCATCAATTTAATAGGTATACTTTCCTTTTTTTCCCCTTTGTTTGTAAATATATTTCCCATGAAAAATGGTGTCTGAAGCAGCAGAATATTATTTACTTTGCATATATTATCAGAGAAAAAAAAACAAATAAACCTTAATACGAATCTTCATCCAAGATCAAAACTTTAGTTTCTCAGTAGAATTCAGTATAAGAATCAATCTTTTTTTTCAAGAACATTCTCATAGCATCAGGCATATAAATTAAAAGCATATATTTTAAAATATGAAATATAAATTTTAGTTGTAGAGGTAAAAATTTGATTAAGACAAGACCCCTTTTCCCCGTTTGCAGCCATAAAATTATTTTGCACAAACTTTTAACTCTTTATGTTACTATGACATTATCTTTTGCAGAGTTTTCCAAAGACAGCCTTCATTTAATAAGTGGACATTTATTTTTTATTTTTATTTTTCATTTATGTTACATTTTATTTTTTCAACTTTTATTTTAGATCCAGGAGTATATGCGCAGGTTTGTTGTCTGGGTATATTGCGTAATGCTGATGTTTGGGGTATGAATGATCTTGTCACACAGGTACTGAGTATAGCACCCAATGGTTAGTTTTTCAGCCCTTGCCCCTCTCTCCCTCCCATCTTCAGTGGCCCCCAGTTCCTACTGTTGCCATCTTTATTTGGACATTTAAGATCACAGTTGTGCTTACTGGCTTTTTCCCTTCTTGACTGCGGCTGTCTATATTTGGTTTCTTTTCCAACAAGGCAAACAGATGCGCAGCCCCCGATTTGGCTTTGGAATATTCAGGAGCCAAAACGAGCGTTTCTCCGATGGCCATAGCTCCATATGCAATTGCAGTAAAAACTCTATCAAAAGATAAAGCATTTGAATCTTAGGTCCATCGATCCTTTGTAAAACAGTAGAACTCTAAAAGTAAAGAAAAAAGCAGGCACAGGAATATAATCTTTTGATGTAGACGGCACCCCTAACGCTGAAGACCCACCAAGTTATCTCTTTAAAAAATTTCTACCATGTAGTAATCATTCCTTGCTCTGTACACCAAAATGAACTTTGGAGCTTGGGTAATCTTAAAAATGTCTCTTCCAATTAGAGCCACAGATCAAAGGTCCCAACTAGTGAATATAAAACTTCTTAGTCATCTTGATATGAGGCTTGCTTGCTTGGAGATTTGACAGAGAATTCAACTGACAATAGGAAGAATGAATCTCCAGTAGTGAGATCTGGATTTACACAGTAGATATGATTTTTTGTTTGTTTGTTTTGCATATAATGTAGTTAGGACAGATAACTGAAGCTAAATGACTGGTTATCTGTCTGATATGCTACATTATTTAGAGAGCAAATCATGGGGATCGTATTTTCCTCAGGTTCCCAAAGCAAAATCTGACTAAAAAGACTGAAAGAAGAACTTTGATCTTTTAGGTTTGTTATTGATTATGATCTCAGTTTCAAAACATGTTAATTATAAAATGGTAAGTGTGCAAATGATGTTTGGAAGCACACAGAATATTTACTCGACTGTGGCACAGGACCTGACCATGGTTAAATATTTTCCTCTCATTTTCGATTTCATTTTAGATATGAAAGTAGTGTACTAGAATGCAAAACAATGCATCTTAGTAACAAACCTAACGGCACAATCAGGCTAAAACTGGACCAGTGTCGCTGGCAATATTTAAACATTAGGCAGTAAAGGGTCATCACAGAACCCAGTTGCTTGTTTGCAGTGCTGGATAACAGCAAAGTAAACACGTCTGGGCTCCTTGTGAATTTCTCCCTCAATGGGGCCTATCAAAGGGTAGATGTAGATGCTGATGCAATCTCTTCAGTGACCTAGACCTCAGATCCTGAATCCTGTTGGCTTTACAAAGATCAAACACAGTATAAAATATAAAAACAAAAATAACACTAAAATAATTGTTATTTAGTTCAGTGATGTCAAGGCATTTTTTAGTACTGATATTTACAGAAAGTGTTTAAAGCTCAAAATGCCATTTGAATTATTTGATACCCAGCTATAAACATCAGAAATGGTCACTGAGTTTAGGTAACCAAATCAGAAGGTTTTTTTTTTTAAATGTGTTTTTAATGCAAGGAAAAATCAGACTGTCAGACTTAAGCCTCAGTCTGATCCAAGAATCAGCAGGTGAGCTGGGAAGATAATTGGATTATGAGTTAGGAGACCTGGTTTCTAGTCCCAAAGGGGTAGAGGCTTCTCTGAAATCAATAACTGAGAAAATAGCTTCTTCCCATGATTTGAGATATGCTAAAATCTCTACCTGTCCTAACATTCCCACTATAACAGTAATGGTAAGCATTAGACATAAATGTCTAGAGGCAGACATCCTTGTTAGGTCCCTCTGAAAATGGAAATATTAATGAGAAAGGGAGAAGGGCCTTCAACTCAGAGCTTGTGTTTGTGGGAGGTAAATGACCCAAAGGATGGAGAATGGAGCCGGAAGAAAGGGTTCAGTTAGAGAAGGGAGAGTACAAGCAAAAGCCCTGATACCGTCTTTAATGAGTGAGTGCTGAGAGAAACGTAAGTGGGATGGGGGCTGATGCCGATGAGGGTTATGTTGAAGACCCTGGAGGGGAAGTGTGGACTTTGAGGTGTTGGACTATCTGGGGTTGAGTGAGGGACACTAATCTTCTTCATCTTTTTTTTTTTTTAAGACAGAGTCTTGCTTTGTCATTCAGGCTGGAGTGCAGTGGCATGATGTCAGCTCACTGCAACCTCCATCTCCTGGGTTCAAGCAATTCTCCTGCCTCCACCTCCTGAAGCTGGGATTACAGGCATGCACCACCATGCCTAGCTAATTTTTGTGTTGACCAGGCTGGTCTCGAACTGCTGACCTAGTGATCCGCCTGCCTCGGCCTCCCAAAGTGCTGGGATTATAGGCATGAGCCACTGCGCCCGGCCTAGGGACAGTAATCTTCTTTACGCTTTTTCTCCAGGTGGATTCTGTATAAAGGTAGGCCAAGGCCCACACATGGAAAAAACTGGTCTGCTACAGAATTTGTCCTTACCTAATCAGACCCAATTAGCTAGGGTGAGCTAAACTGAAATTCAGTTCCACTCAACAAGTATTTATTGTAGAATAACCCGTGCTGTAACTCCGTAACATAGTTAAACCATATCCTTCAAATCTGGTTTAAGCTCCTGGAGGCATTTGAACTGAACACCTAACTGGGAGAAATGTACAGGCCAACAATCTCTCATGTCACTGTTGGTCTTGAGGAGTTTCACCCATTTGGGATATATGAAGAGGAGTAATTTGGTATCATGACAAATATTTTAAAGTCACTAACAGGAGCTGTGTGCAGTGGTTCATGCCTGTAATTCCAGCACTTTGGGAGGCCGAGGTGGGTGGATCACGAGGTCAGGAGTTCAAGACCAGCCTGGCCAACATGGTGAAACTCCATCTCTACTAAAAATACAAAAATTAGCTGGGTGTGTTGGCACACACCTGTAATGCTAGCTACTCAGGAGACTGAGGCAGGAGAATTGCTTGAACCCGGGAGGTGGAGGTTGCAGTGAGCTGAGATCACGTCACTGCACTCCAGCCTGGTGACAGAGTGAGACTCCGTCTCAAGAAAAACAGCAACAACAACAACAAAAAAGAAAAAAAAAGCTCTCACACTTCTGTAGCAATAGATTAGCACGGCAGGTCAAATCACAACTTTCCAAGTCCTTACTCAGTAAGTTTCTTTCTTTGATTAGAAGGCAGAGTATCTTTCCCCATAGAGGTAGTCATTAAAATTATTCCCATGCTCATCTGTATATCATCCATATACAACCCAGAGACCTCTTCCCGCCCTAAATCCTTTTCTCAACAGATAGGAGGAGAAAATAAGCAACTAACATTTATTTGGTTCTTTGGATCTTATAGAATGTTTTCATATACAAGATACCATCTAATCACCTAGGAGATAAGTAGAATGGAAACTTATCAGTCAATGAATGAGGAGACTCTAGCTCAGAAAAATTATGCAATTTGCCCAGAAGACATGAGATTGTAGGGTTGGAACGTGAGCTGCCTTCCTCTCTGTGTTTTCCCCTACATGGTCTTCCTTGCAGTGGAAAGCTGGCTGGAATGGTCTTTTCCTACATGTTGGAGTTTGTTACCACTTGCTTTCCATTTTAGAATCTTCTGAAGGCCCTAGATATCAACTGTCCTTTGATTTCTCTTCTTTAGGTCCCTTCAGTGGTTGATTTAGCCTTCTTATCTTGTCCTTGTCTGTCTCTTCCGGATAATCTCTGGGGAGGAGCCAGGCAAGAGCTAGGTGGCTGCCATGGCAGCCAACATGGAAAGAAGTCTTTCCTGTTTTCTTTGTTTTGTGTAACCAGTGTTGCTTTCCTTAACACAGCAATAACACTCACAGTTCTTCCCTGGCTGCCCAGCCTCCTAGGGCAAAGATGATGGTGCAGGCCTAGCTCCCTTCTGTCCATCCTTTATTATGTTAAGGTATCGACCCACTGTTAATACTCATTGAAAACCCACCTATGTTGCTCTTTTGGCCAATAATCACATTATTATTGGAAATACAATGTGGTTTCTTGTCAAGAACTGCATTTGGTTTTTAAGAGAACTAGGAAACACACCCATAAACTGCCTGGTTCTGCTTCTCAGGCAGTTTTCAAAGCTGTGGCTTTTATTATTACTGTATTGAGGGCTGCCATATCTTGATTCTTTCTTACCTATATGCTCTGCTTAGCTTCTTGATAATATGGATAGAAAATATGGAAGAAACTCACAGAGATAGAGAAAGCTTTGCAGTGGGGAAAGGAAGGCTACAGAAACCTCTCCTGATTAGGAATGGTTCTTGGTCGGTATTGCAAAAGGCAAGTCAGCTGGAAACCAGCCGAAAGGGACTAACACAAAGAGATAGGATAAAATAAACTTATTTTGTACATCTAAATCTACACATTTATAGTG
The DNA here is from genome assembly GCF_000001405.40 of Homo sapiens. Classification (NCBI taxonomy): domain Eukaryota; kingdom Metazoa; phylum Chordata; class Mammalia; order Primates; family Hominidae; genus Homo; species Homo sapiens. The sequence continues at coordinate 20,734,890 of NC_000007.14, read as the reverse complement.
AAATAACAAATAGAATGTGTTACCAGGACTAACAAAGGGAGAGGTGAGTGTTTTACTACACATGGGTGCATGAGAACCTAAACAAGAGATTTTCTAAACGCCCCTATGCCTTGTCTGTAAGGTGGCAGAATGAAAATGTTATCACCTTATTTTAAATGCTCATTTCAGATAAACTTCTAGGATAGTAGAAATAGAGACGGCTTCTACCATAAGACATGCGTGTTGTCTTTTTTTTTCTTTTAGAGGCTTTTTCCTCTAAAAAGCCTTGCTGACAAACTAATATTATGAGCACATTAAAGAATTTTGCTGTTAAAACTCCCTTTGTGTATCTCCCTTTCTGAGACACAATGTCATTTTTGAAAGAGACACAGATAATCCATCCTTGTAGCTATAAATTATGCCTTGGAGTAATCTGGAATGTTTGATAAAATGAAGATTCCTGCCCCATACTAGATCTACAAATCAGATTTTGCAGGATGAGATCTAGGTATCTACAGTTTTAACCAGCTCCTAGATTGCTGAGTTGGAAAACCATTGGTTTAGAGAATGGCTCAAAGTGCTTTTTATCTAAGAAGAATTCTAGTAGGAGGGAGTTTTCTTTGTAAATTTCTTTGGTTTAGCTAGTCGATGAGATTGAAAGCTGTCTGTCATCCTAGATTCTGGAAGGTACAGAGTCTTCTAGGCCAGGTATCATTTAGTGTGTCTAAAGGGAGCTTGTGACACATTCATGGTAGTTGGGGCCACATTTGATCTCTAGGACCAAATCCTCTTTGGTGTTGAAGACAAATCTCATCTATTGACATTATGCATAGTGCTATGTTGCTCTTTTGGGCAATAACCACATTTAATACTGGAGGAGAATCCCTAGAGAATCTCTCTTTTGTCCATACTCCAAAAGTGTGGGTACCCTTATTCTGTCTGTATTCTGACTGGATGAAACTCAAAACGTGAGGCTGGGTGTGGTGGCTTACACCTGTAATCCTAGCACTTTGGGAGGCTAAGGGAGGTGGATCACTTGAGGTCCGGAGTTTGAGACCGGCCTGGCCAACATGGTGAAATCTGGTCTCCACCAAAACATGCAGAAATTAGCCAGGTGTGGTGACATGTGCCTGTAGTCCCAACTACTCAGGAGGCTGAGGTGGGAGAATTGCTTGAATCCAGGAAGCGGAGTTTGCGGCGAGCTGAGATCGTGCCACTGCACTCCAGCATGGGCGACAGAGCGAGACTCGAACTTAAAAAAAAAAAAAAAGAAAAGAAAAGAAAAGAGAAGAAAAGTGATACCAGTGGCTCTAGCTCAGATAGCTCTCTATTTCTTCCTTCCCTTGGGGCACTGGGAAATACCAAGGTGGTACTATTCTTTAATTGTTACTCTTATGTTAACAGTCCTTCATATGTTCTGATAGTTAAAATGCTTATGTATCTAGAAGAGACCCCCTTTTAATGAATTTAATTAAAAGAAATTCAGGAAGTATGGTAGGCCAGCTCAGGGAAGAAATTTTATATTGGGGACTTTTCATTCTCATATTTTAGGGCTATAAAATAGCACTAAGCAGGTCACCTGTTCCATTTATATGTGAGGAATCAGCCCAACTTTGAATACTCGAATGTTTGAAAAACTAAGCAAGAATTATTTAAAAAATAATTTCACAGAAATATTCTATGAATGTTTGGCCACAGAATTTGTAATAATAATAATAATAATAATAATGTACGTTGAGTAAACCAAACCTCTGGAATCTGGAACCATGAACTTGAATCTGTGCTCTGCTACTTACCGATTATGTAACTTTGAGCAAGTTAGGTAACCTCTTTGAGTCTTAATTGTTCTCATCTGTAAAATGGGAACCATAGTATTTCACAGGGTAGTTTAGAGCATTAAACAGATAATATACAGCAAATACTTAAAACTGAGTAAAGATTCAATCAAGATTTGCCGTTATAGCAATTTTCATAAGTAATGGAATGGTTGGCAGTCTTGGAAAGCCCCTTAAAGGAAACATCCTAACGGGTGTCATTTGCAGGCATGAAAGTGACTGGCATGATTTTGAGGTTGTATCATTCTTCGACTGAGAAATTTTTTCTTAGCTTTAATCTAAACAAATCTCAGTAGGTACAGGTAAATTCTCAATTCCACACATCATATTTTATATCAATGGTTGCCCTCGATTTAGATCCAGTCCTCCTGCCAAAGCACCTGGTATTAGACATATGGGTGTAGAAAAGAAGAAAATTAGAAAAATTTGTGAAAAACAGACTCCTGTTTTCAAAGTGTGAAGGTGACTCCGAAGGCACATTTCCAGAAATGACTGTACTGCCTAATTATGTACCATTCCAAATCTCCCCCTTAATTTTGATTCAGTCATTCATTCAATAAATATTTATTGTGTGTCTGTTATGTGCCACCCACTTGTTTTTGGCTTTTGGGAAACATCAGTGAACAAGATAGGTTACAACTTGTGCTCAGTCTATGCACTCATAAATATGGAAACACAAAATATAATTTCATAGAATCATAAGTGTCATAAGTGTTGTAAACAAAATATGGTGATGGGAAAGAGAGTGATGAGGAGGGAGGGTTAGGGGAACTACTTTGGACCATCGGTGAAAGTCCCTCTGAGGAGTGGACTTAGCAGGGGAAGCCTGAGTGGTAAGAAAAAGGTAGCTTAGCAAAGCCCTGGGGAATGACCATTCCAGGCAGAGAATAGCAAGTGTGAAGACCCTGCAATGGGGAGGTCCAGGGACAGACATGGCAAGTGTGGGGCTGATGAGTAGTTAACATGGGAGATAGAGGTGGATGAAATTGGAAAGCAACGCAGCAGCCCCATCATGAAGGTCTTTCAGGTCATGGTAAGGACTTTGGCTTTATTCAAATTTCAGTGGGAAGATCTAGATCTTGCAGAATTTTAATAAACTGGTGCTATTGGATTTGTGCATTAAATGATCAGTCTGGCTGCAGTGTGGAGAATGGATTATAGGGAAGCAAGAGTGGACACAAGGACATTGGTGAGGTTGTTGCAGTGGTCCAGTCAAGACAGGGAGGGGCTTGGATGAGTGTGAAGAGGATGAGAAGAATTTTGGAATTAGAGTCATGAGGAATCAGTGATTTATGTGGTGGACAATGGCAAGAGAAGCAACAGGGATGACTCCAACATTTTTGGGCTGACAACTGTGTGGATGGTGGTTGGTGTTATTAGTTAAGATGGGAAAGTCTTGGGGAAGATAACCTTTGGGGAGAAACACCTTAAATTCTGTTTTGAACACATTGAGATATTAGTCCTCCAAGTGGAGGTGTCTCCTAAGTAATTGGATAAGGGTCTTGTGCTCAGGGCAGGGTCAGAGTTGGAAATATACAGAAGGAAGTTATCAGGACACAGGTGGTATTTAAAACTGACAGATTGGATGAGAACACTAATGAAAGTGTAATAGATGAAAGGTCTGGGAGCTCTAAAGCCCTCCAACACACAGAGTCCTGGCTGAAAAACAGGATCCAGTAAATTTTATATGTATATATATATATATATTTTTTTTTTTTTTTCCTGAGTTGGAGTCTTGCTCTGTTGCCCAGGCTGGAGTGCAGTGGTGTGATCTCGGCTCACTGCAACCTCCACCTCCGGGGTTGAAGCAATTCTTGTCCCTCACCTCCCAAGTAGATGGGATTACAGGCGCCCACCACCATGCCCAGCTAATTTTTGTATTTTTTAGTAGAGACGGGGTTTCACCATGTTGGCCAGGCTAGTCTTGAGCTCCTGACCTTGTGATCCACCCACCTCTGCCTCCCAAAGTGTTGGGACTACAGGCATGAGCCACCGTGCCTGGCCTTCTTATTTTTTTTTATAGGTGTGATTACAAAGCAAAGAAAGAGTAGTGACAGAGAAATTGATGAAAACAGATGAAAATTCTTCTGTGAGAATTTGGAAAATCATCAAACCTCGTACATTAGTATGAATATGTTTAATTGGCTTGCTTTCTACTAATACTCAAAACTAGTTATACAGAAGGAACGGGGCCCTGGGGATTAAAGAAGTCTGTGGAAAGTTTAGAGCAACATGAGGAAAACATGTTTTGAGTTTCAAACTATTGGCTTGCAAACAAACTTTTGGATTACAACCAACTTTCAAGCTTGGGAGTGCCTGGATTATATTAGAACAAAGGAAAAACTGGCTCACGGGGGCTGGTGAGCTGAATTATTTATGTGATTTCAGATTTTGTTTCTTGTTAATCTACCTAAGTAATTAGTCTTATGTAATCAGAATGAAACCCAAGCCTAAATATAATTGTGGTTTATAAATTCACATGGGCAATAGTGCACACTATTTTAGAGGCTAGGAGAACATAGGACAGGGAACTTGCAATTTCTGTTGAAATTTTATTTTAAATTTTTTGAGGCAGAGTCTCACTCTGTCATCCAGGCTAGAGTGCAGTGGTGTGATCTTGGCTCATTGCAACCTCTGCCTCCTCGGGTCAAGTGATTCTCATGCCTCAGCCTCCCAAGTAGCTGGGATTACAGGCATGCACCGCCATACATGGCTAATTTTTGTATTTTGACTACAGACAGCATTTCACAGGTTGTCCAGGCTGGTCTCGAAATCCTGACCTTTGGTGATCCACCTGCCTTGGACTCCCAAAGTGCTGGGATTAGAGGCATGAGCCACCACATCCAGCCCTTCTGTTGAAATTTTAAATACAGATATTCCATTTCCATATTCCATTTTATAAGGAAATCTGCTTCCAGGAAACTTCTAAGTGGCTTTGGTGTCAGGTAAGATTTAGGAATACTGGGTTGGTGAACTCTGGACTGTTTTCTTATCAGTGCCTAACAAAGAAACTTCCTGGGACTTCACTTAATGCTTAATAAATAAATAAATTTTCATGTGAATAGAAACTAAAAATTATTCCAAGTTATTCTGAAATTACTTAGGTTTAAATGTCTTTTGGCCATTTCCTCAAATTGAACCTATCCTGAAAATACAAATATGCCAACAATAAGGATATTCAAAGTAATGTCCTGAGACTTGGGAAACAAAACCCAAAGAGAAGTGCCCAGTGTGTTCTGCCAAATAGCAGCATCCTTGTAACAGGTGTAATCTCCCAATTCATTATTGTGAAGAGGCTGATACTTGCATGGATGTGCATTTTTTGGTGGGCTTGTTAAAAATAACATAATGTTACTTTTTTGAGTCAAGTATTGTATGGATTTCTCCAGTTCTAAATGCTTAGCAATGACGTTTATGATGGATTAGCAACATTTCTGATATTTTAGGCTCTCAGCTCAGAATTAATACTCAAAATTAATTTTTCTAATTTAGCAGTTGCATTAGATGTTCCGGTAAAACAAATAAATTCATAATTATGTGACCAGAACTTCAAAATAGGAGCTCCAACCTAATGCTTTGGGAAGAAGCAGCCTCACTGGGACACCACATTCAATTCCAAATGTGACATTTTTGAAGGGAAACACTCATTTATATGTGTTTCTTCTGGATTATTTGCTTAGCAAATAATTCATCCTCACTGATGTACAGTCTTACTTTAGGAAGCCATCTCCACACTGAGAGTTTCATAATGTCTCACAAATTTCCTAAGGGATGAATGACAAGAAGGCATATTTTGCCCCCACATTCCCATGTTCCAGTAAACTGAAGCAGAGAGCAATTCATCTGGGAATTTAATTCAGATTTTATGCCTTATATCAGTATCAGTATTTTACCAGTTATGCTGTACTTATAGAGACTAAATAACAAAAACACTTAGCTCGATTTAATCATTTCACAGTGTTAACATATATCAGAACATCCCATTGTACCCCATAAATATATAATATGTACAATTATTGTCTGTCAATTAAAAATAAAATTCATCCCAATTACCCTGATTTGATCATTAAACATCATATGAATATATCAAAATATCATGTGTACCCCTAAAATATGTGTAACTATTATATATCAATACAAAATTTAAAAATATGTGTATATTTAAAAAAATTCCAACTTAAAAAAAATTCAAGCATACCTTTTCCACATATGTGATTTAAATGATAACTCACTATAAACTAGACATCTTTCTGGTAAATAAGTACATGACCCCCTTACAAGGTTTATGTATTTCCACAACTTATTAATTAATTTATTTATTTTGAGACAGAGTCTCACTTTGTTGCCCAGGCTGGAGTGCAGTGGCGTGATCTCAGCTCACTGCAGCCTCCATTTCCTGGGTTCAATCGATTCTCCTGCCTCAGCCTCCTGAGTAGGTGGGATTACAGGAGCCTGCCACCACACCCAGCTAATTTTTGTATTTTTAGTAGAGATGGGGTTTTATTATGTTGGTCAGGCTGATCTCAAACTCCTGACCTCAAGTGATCCACCCGCCTCAGCCTCTCAAAGTGTTGGAATTACAGGTGTGAGCTACCAGGTCCGGACTATTTCCACGACTTACATGAACATGCCCTCTGGGGTCATTCGTCCAGCTTGAATTAAATAGGCTCCAAATCGAAACCCTGCCGCATAGGCAAAATATATAAAGGCATGGCTGAATGCATAACAGCTTCCAATAATCTGTGCTTTCTTCGAGGTATTTCTGGAATGTACAAAATTTACCAAATAATGAGGCATGAATTATAGCAAGGTCAATTGAATACATGTAGAGTAATAAATAGAGAGGACTTTGAAATGTTATAATTTGGTGGAAAGGCATTTTTCGAATGATGAAAGAGAAAGTGATTTTTTTTTTTTTACTACTGAGAATTCTTTGAGAAAAGACAGATAATGTTATAATTCTTTTCCCTATAGTCATATACTCTCTAGTTCAGTATAACAAATTTAACTTTATATACTGTTAAATGAATGGGCAAAGCCCGTGAAAGGATGGCTAGTGTAAGAGTTAGAGATTTGGTTTAGGTATTTAGAAGGATTTTCTAAGTCTCCATTACAATCTTTCATTAACAGAATAGAGGAAATTAAAGGGTGGTGCCAACTACAAGTATGAGTCCAAAAGAGTAAAAAGCTATCTTTCTGTTAAAGTAATATAAAAAGCATCACTAAGTCAATGTGATAAGGAGGACTAGTTTAAAATTAAAAGTGTAAGTGCATTTATTATGTATATATTCGTATTTAAAATGTAAACTATTTTAGGGATTTAATGTAAAGGGCCGAGCTCTTTTCTCTTGCTGTGTCGCCTAGGCTGGAGTTGGAGTGTAATGGCATGATCTCAGCTCACTGCAACCTCTGCCTCCCAGGTTCAAGTGATTCTCCTGCCTCAGCCTCCAAGTAGCTGGGACTACAAGTGTGCACCACCACACCCAGCTAATTTTTGCATTTTTAGTAGAGATGGGGTTTCATCATGTTGTCCAGGCTGGTCTCTAACTGTTGACCTTAAGTGATCCGCCCACCTCAGCCTCCCAAAGTGCTGGGATTACAGGTGTGAGACACAGCGCCCTGCCCGCAATTTTATTTTCTTTCTTGCGTATGTTATTTCATTAATATTCTTTCAGGAAAATAAGAAAAATGTGCATACTTAGTAACAGACAGTTAATGGTAATGTGAGAGGACCTAAAATATTTATTCTAATTGTGGTTGCCCTCAATTCCTCTTCTAGTTTCTCTTGGTGAAGTCATATGAGAAATTATGACATGACATTATTAGGAAAGGCTCAAGAGCAAATGAATTAGCAGGCAAACCACTGGAGTCATTTGAGAGTACTGCCTTTACAGAACAAAATTAAGTTTTTGAAGTCAGTATGAATCTATAATCACCTGTGTTGAGTCTGAAGCATCTCTTCATACATTTGCTCGAAGGCTTTTTCCCTTGTTAATGACACTATAGTACGTATATTCTCCAAAGCTTCAGTTGCTATCTTATAAAACAGGACAATACAATATAGAAATAAAATTAGTAATGGTTAATCTTTTCCCATTTGTGAATTCTAGTCACTCACACTGGGGACATATTAAGTATATCAAGTCAGTAAGTTTTCCTGACAAATATTCTTAGCTTCCTTTCCTCCCAGAAAATAAGATAGAAAAATGACACTTTTGGATGATAAGCTTAAGGAAAATGTCTTATTGAGATTTAGTCTACTGATCTAAGTTTAACCCCATTCAAGTTTATACTGAATTTCAATTTAAACTTGTTCCATAGACAGAAGAATAAAACATTAGTAAGCATTATGTTCACATGCAAAGGAGCTTCCTACAAATTATGAAACAATTCAAGTAAAAGATAGCAGATGCTAGGCACAATGGCTTATGATTGTAATCCCAGTACTTTGGGAGGCCAAGGCGGGCCGATTACTTGAGGCCAGGAGTTCGAAACCAGCCTGGCCAACATGGTAAAACCCTGTCTCTACTAAAAATACAAAAATTAACCAGGTATGGTGGCACATGTCTGTAATCCCAGCTACTCAGGAAGCTAAGGCACGAGAATCACTTGAACCTGGGAGGTGGAGGTTGCAGTGAGCTGAGATCATCCACTGCACTCCAGCTTGGGCAACAGAGTGAGACTTCTCTGTCTCAAAAAAAAAAAAAAAAAAAAAAAAGATAGCAGAGATAAAGTAATCACATAATTATTTTATTCTAGCAAAGAATTAAAAATAGCAACTTAAAAGGACTCAGGAACATTACAGGAAAGTAACATGGCATGTGGTTATAAAATTCTTTATGAGATAAAGCCATTTCTCATATTGGCGTCTGTGAATGTAAAAAGACATTTAATTCAAATGTGATGAATACTTCTCCACATTTATATAGTTTATAAAGAGAATGCATAATTACATGGGATTCAAAATGGAAGAGAGTTTTGGTTTAGAATAGCTTTTCGGACATGAGAACATGTGTTGGCTTGAAAGAGAAACTTCCTGTTTTCACATTCTGTTTCCAGATTGGCAGAATGGACTGTGGGACAGAGAAGACCAGGTAGACACTTGGCCTTCTCTGAAGAATAACTTGGGTTGTAGGAGGGAACTAGATTTCTGGACTGTCGTGAGGACACCAGGATTCTGCTCCCAATTTTGATGTTGGTTGTTTTAAATTCTCATTAATTTAAAAATGGACTTAAAGAAACCTCCATTTGTAACATTCCATAGTATATGAAGAAAATGGATAAGAATGCTGAAACCTTGTTTGAGGAAAAACAAAAGGAATGAATATAAAAAAATTTTGAGGAAAAACAAAAGGAATGAAGATAAAAAAAGGAATGAACATTAAAAAAATCTCCAATTTTTCACAATGGAGAAGGGATGAATATTATTACAGACCCTTAGAAAATAGTCATTAAGAAAACTAATTAAGCTATTCAAAGTCTTTTTTTGTTTTCTTTTGAGATGGAGTCTTGCTCTGTTGCCCAGGCTGGAGTGCAGTGGTGCGATCTTGGCTCACTGCAACCTCTGCCTCCTGGCTTCAAGTGATTCTCCTGCCTTAGCCTCCTGAGTAGCTGGGATTGCAGGCGTGTGCCACCATACCTGGTTAATTTTTGTATTTTTAGTAGAGACAGGGTTTCACCATGTTGGTCAGGCTGGTCTCGAACTCCTGACCTTGTGATCCACCTGCCTCGGCCTCCCAAAGTGTTGGGATTACAGGCGTAAGCCAGCGCACCTGGCCCATTCAAAGTCTTAAAAACTAAACGTTTGATAATTTTTCCAAATCTACACATGCAACTGAAGAAGGACCGATACATTTTATTAGTCTATGTTCTAAATTGATGTTTAGTAAATTGACTTATTAAAAGCCATAGGGAAATGCCTCCAATTGACTATTTGATTAGAGTTGTTTGTTGTATAGTCTGAGGTTGCTCTAATGATACATAAAGGAAAAGTCAAAGGGCACATATACAGCAAAAGCTCATGACATAAAAAATAAGATGAGGAAAACATAATTAGGCCTCATTAATTTAGAAATTGTATAAATTATTGCAATGTTTAAATTAGACAAGGAGGTCTAAACAACTGTTTACTGTCTCTGAGGCGAATATTTGCTAGGTAGTTCAGACTATACAGCACAAGCAAACAATCCAAGGGTCCTTATCTTGTGCAAAAAAAGGTGGAAAGGTCTAAGGCTCAGGCAAACGAGATTACAGTGAGTTATGTGCTTGGCATCCCTATTCATGAATATGTATGACATTTATGCTATGCCAATTGTGACACATTCACCGTGATACAGACTATAAAGGATATTAACATCATTTTGCTATTCAGAGGATGTACACCAGTGTAGCCAAGAGCTCTGAAACAGTATTAGGAGAGGAACACCCTTTTTTTTTTTTTTTTTTTTTGAGACAGAGCTGTGCTCTGTCGCCCAAGTTGGAGTGCAGTGGTGCAATCTCAGCTCACTGCAACCTCCACCTCCTGGGTTCAAGTGATTCTCCTGCCTCAGCCTCCCAAGTAACTGGGATTACAGGCACGCACCACCATACCCGGCTAACTTTTTGTATTTTTCGTAGAGATGGGGTTTCATTATGTTGGCCAGGCTGGTTTCAAACTCCTGACCTCAAAAGATCCGCCCATCTCGGCCTCCCAAAGTTCTGGGATTACAGGTGTGAGGAACATCTTAAAGACCTGGATGTAGAGTCAACAGAAGTCTCCTTGTTTACAGCGATTCAGCTGCTAAAGGGCTGTCGTGAAAAACAGATTTTGGACCTCTACCAAGATGAAAGCCAAGAAGAGTAAGATAGAAGTCCACCAATAAATAAATAAATAAATAAGACAAGAAAAAAAGAAAGAAAAGGAAAAGAACTGCCTACCACCCAAGACTATCCAAGTACAGGCAGCCTGGGAAAGTAATGTACTACCTGCCACTGGAGGAAAAGGTGGTAGGAGATGGGGATGGACGCTTGACAGGGATGTTGTGCAAGGGACTCCTACTTCAGGTTAATGGTTGGGTCAGATGATGTCTCTTTCAATTCTTAGGTGTTATGATGCCACCATAATGTTTCCTTCAGTCTCTAATATAATAATTATTTGTATGAATATGGTTGATCCTAAGAAGCTTAAATACCTGTATGTCCAGGCATTTTCCAAATGATTAAATAAATTGGTCATTTATGGTCCTGTCTCTAAAGCCTTGTTTTATATGTTATCAATATCAGTGCATGGCCTTGCATTCAGTAACTGCTGCATTGCCTGTTTGTTTTGAAAAATAAAATATTCAGAAGAATTGCTCAAGAAAATTTGATTATTCAATGACCAGAAAATGGGGAATGATGATGTTTGAAAACTTCCCCAGTAATAATGGCTGACATTAGTACGTGCTTACTGTCTTCCAGACACTGTTCTAAGTGTTTTGCGTATAATAACATTGTGTTTTATGCAATATTCACAAAAATTTGTAAGTGAATACTCGTATTATTCCCACTTTGCAGATGAGAAACCTGAAGTCTACAAAGGTTGACATAACCTGCTCATATCACACGTTTGTTAGCATAGAATCTGGATTCTAACTCAGCTAATTAGACTCCAGAGCCTGTGCTCTAAATCATGTACCCTATTGCTATAACATATCTACCTTCTATCCTAAATTGGTCTGTATGCATTTCTCTCTCTATACATATCACTTTACAGATCCCTAAGAGATGAAGTTAATATATCATAAAGATGGTTAACACATCATATAGTTAACATATCATAAAGTTCTGACTGTTTTTCTCTTTAAATGTTACGATGGTGATAACAGTCTTCATTTTACCTTTCCAGCATGCTTAAGTTCTTGCTTATCTTTGTTGGCAAATCCAGTCATTGCTGCGGTTTCAATCATTCCTGTCACGGCAAGTACTGGAGCAATACTCAGAATCAGGAATGTCATCTCCCATCCATATATAAAGGAAATGATAACTGAAAGTCCCATGTTAGTTGCATTTTGTGTTAAGACGCCAATCCTGGAACCTGTTGCCTATAATCAGACATATTTTGGGGGAAAAAACTCAATTAACTTTACATTTACAAGAGTTCCTATTATAGTTCCTTGCAAAACAAGGTAGACTTTTTAAAAAAAGAATTTATACTTAAATTTATGCCTTGAATTTATACTTTGAGATTAAATAAGATACATATTTTTATTTATTTACTTATTTTATTTTTTTTTCCGGGATGGAGTCCCACTCTGTCACCCAGGCTGGAGTGCAGTGGCGCAATCTCGGCTCACTGCAACCTCCGACTCCTGGGTTCAAGCGATTCTCTTGCCTCAGCCTCTGGAGCAGCTGGGATTACAGGCAACCGCCACCAAGCCCAGCTAATTTTTTTATATTTTTAGTAGAGATGGGGTTTCGCCATGTTGGCCAAGCTGGTCTCAAACTCCTGACCTCAGGTGATCTGCCTGCCTCAAAATGCCCTAAACTAAGGAAATATTATACTTTATTTTTATGTCTTGATGTCCAATATTGAGATGTCCAAATGAACTGGATTTTAGTTTAGTGGAATACCATAGAAGACTGTATAGAAGCATGATAGGAACAGACAATCTGAAATTAAATACTACCTCCTTAAAGGGAGACTTTTATGTGGCTCTGAGACCTCTCCTTAAATAGTTTAGCAGGATTTTACAGCCCAGTGCAAGTTGAGTGTGTTGAAAGCTGAAGTTACAGGATTTCCTTTGTCTTCTCAATGATAGGTACATACCCACATTCTTCTTGTTTCTTTACACCCAAACACCCAGCAATAATACAACAACTCATTTGTGCATAAACATAGATACTAACACCCTGCCATCTCTTCAACCCTAACTTACAGATAAGTTCTTGGTAATAAAGCTGATGTTTGAAAATGACAGAATCATAGTTACTATTAACAAAAAACTAAAGAAAGAGTCTATCTTTAGTTAAGCATTTTTTACTATTTCCTATTTATAAAGTTGTAATCACATTTGCTAGGAATTTTATACAAAATCAATATTTTAATAAATACTAGCATCAAAGTACCAGTTTTACATACATGCATAATTGACATGTACTTAAAATTTAAGTTTTTGGAAAAGATGGCTTGAGTTATGCATATAAATTCTTTTAGAAGGTTTTACATATTCTATTTCACGGAGAGTAAAAAGGAAGAGAATGCTATACTTTAGCTTAGGTATTTACTACAATAGAATCTAAATCACCTTCAAAAATGTTCTAAAGTGAATTCTTAACTCCTATTTGAATGGAAAAAATTTGCATTATGGAACCTGTAAAAATGAGATTTTTGTATATTTTTTGTACATTTACCGTTCACACAAATTATCTCTTTCTATTGGTGAAGATATTATAATCATGCAAGGAATAACCCATGCTGTCTGACTCAGTGCTTTTTGGAGCATGAAGCTTTGTGTTGGAGAGGCAAGAGTTGCTATGGAAAGGAAACCAACATGGACAGGAAACAGTAGGGCAGAAGGGAAGACACACTAAAAGTGGGCCAAAATAGGAGAAAGGTCAAAAATAAATAGTAACCATAATTCTCATATTATAGTTGGAGCTAATATATAAAGGTACTCAAAAACTAGCCAACTTTAACTAGGCACTAAATAACCTCTTTACCTTTACCAACTTATTTAATCTCATAACAATGCAAAGAGATGGATACTATCACTAGTCCCGTACAATAGATGAGGAAACAAAAGTAGTCAGACAAAATAACCTGCCCACAGCCATACGCTTGTAACTGGAGGATAAAGAACTCTTTGTTCCCTGAATCACTTGGGATTAAGTGGCTGACCTGATACTCTATCATCCCTGCATACTTAGAGATGATGTTTCATAAACAAGAACATTCTCTCTCTTATCCAAAATACCATGATCAAAATCAGGAAACTACATAACTATCGTTTAATGCTTAGACTTCCTTCAAGTTTTATCAGTTGTCTCAATAATGTATTTTATAGTGAAAGGATATCTACATTGGAATCACACATTTCATTTAGGTGTCAGGCCTCTTTAGTCTCCTTTAATATGGAATAATTCTTCATTCTTTTTTTTTTTTTTTTTTTTTTTTGAGGCAGAGTTTCGCTCTGTCGCCCAGGCTGGAGTGCAGTGGCGCGATCTCGACTCACTGCAAGCTCCGCCTCCCGGGTTCACGCCATTCTCCTGCCTCAGCCTCCCGTGTAGCTGGGACTACAGGCGCGCACCACCATGCCCGGCTAATTTTTGTATTTTTAGTAGAGACGGGGTTTCACCGTGTTAGCCAGGATGGTCTCGATCTCCTGACCTCGTGATCCGCCCGTCTCGGCCTCCCAAACTGCTGGGATTACAGGCGTGAGCCACCGCGCCTGGCCTCTTCATTCTTAACTTGATGTTCATGACCTTGACTTTTTTGAAGATCGCGAGCCAGATATCTGGTAGAAATTTCTCAATTTTAGCTTATCTGATATTTCCTCACAATTAGATTCAAATTATGCATCTTAGAGAAGTGATGCTGTGTTCTTCTCATTGCATCCTATCAAGTGGCACGCAGTTTTGATTGGTCCCATTCCAGGCATTGTTCACTTGTAATAATTAATTAAGATGGTTTCTTCCAGGTTTCTCCGCTATGAAGTTGTTCTTTCTCCCTTTGTAATTAATAAATGTCTTGAAGCACTTTGAAGCTATGTCAAAATCCAATTTCTCATCAAACTTTCAACTTATTTATTGTAGTATGAACTAATGACTTTTAAATTTCTTCAGTTGTTTATAACCTGTTACTATAATCATTTATTTTGACTCAAATTATCCCAGATGTAGCCAGTGGAAGTCCCTTCACGTTGGCTTTGTCCTTTGACATATACCTATCAGTTTTGGAATATGTCCTTACTTTCTGACACAAAATGATTTTCCAGTTTCATCTTGTACTGTCTCTGCCCTACTTTTGGAATTAGTCATTTCTCCAAAGATCCCTGGGTTCTTTTAGTGGAGAATTTTATTTAGCAGTCAAGATATGGTGCTGGTTGTACTCATTATTACTAGAATTCAGTGGTCAGACTAGAGAATGTGTGTGTGTGTGTGTGTGTGTGTGTGTGTATTGATAGGTACAAACACACATTTACATCTATATTTGTTTCTGTATATTTCTTGAAACTCATGAGTCATATCAATACCTCCAATTCCAAGTCAACATTGTAAGGTTATTTCCAGTTTTCTCCTTTTCCATATTTGTTATACCCCTCTTCACAAGGGAGAAAACTGGCTCCCATTGTCTTTAATAGATTGATCTATGTGATTAATCTCTCCATGGGTAACCCATCTGCTCTCATGTCTCCTGCCTCTTCCCTGCACGAACACCCTCCTCACCCTGCTCTGGCTCTGCTTCCCTGCACGGGGCTGCCACCACACTGGGTGTCATAATATCGGGGCTGCAAACCCCAGCCCTACCCCTTTCCCACACTGACGGAAGGCCAGCACTCTTAGCCACTCTATCATAGTAGTGTTGAGTTGAATGATTATGGATATTCATTAAAGTGTATACTTTGGATACGATTTCTCTCATTCCCATTTTTGCACATTATAAATTGGTTTCACTCAGTAAAGATCTAAGAGGCAATATCAAGATAGAAAAGGAGTCATAGTATGAGGTAAAATAAATTTTTAAAATACCTTCAAATATGTAGAATTATCTTTATAACTTTTATAAGAACTACACATTTTATGGATCATCTTTCAGTGGGATGTATGATACTTAAGCAATAAGCTGAAACATAAAGTTCTTTAGTGCTGGGATTAAAAAAAAATGAGGGCCCCTATTTACCTGGAAAGACAGAATTGACCACAGTTTGAAATATATTTTTTGCTCTGATCATGAAAACAGGATCATTAGAAAAAGCTTAGATAAAGTTAAAATCTACATGCTTCTAGACATAAATACTTATACACATTCAGATTTGGTTTATTACGTGCATGCAGTTTTGTATCCTGATTTATTCCTTGTACATTATACTGCAGTTATTAAATATTCTCCAAAAATATTTGGGTTGCCTTCAATTTGGGTTGCTTTCGTTATTAAAAATAAAGATGTAATGAACATCTTTGTGAAAAATCTTTGTTCTCATTTACACCTACTTACACTCAAATGCCCTATTGTTAAATTTCTAACTGGAATTACACCTTAAAAGGTGTAATTCTCCCAACTTGAAGGGACTTCCACTGGCTGAATCTGGGATAATTTGAGTCAAAATAAATGATTATAGTAACAGGTTATAAACCTCTGAAGAAATTTAAAAAGGTGTATATACTCTTACATTCTTGATGGGTATTGCCAAATTGCTTCCCTAAAAGATTACATCAATTTTCACCAAACTATAAAAAAATTAGCATCTTCATTAAAAAATAACCATAACAAATCCTCCCTCCCCCCCAGGGCTCTGCCTAATTCCTAAAAAACTTTGTGGTTTCAGTTTCAAGACTGTATCTGGTGATGACTCAACCATTTTCCAATTTCTCACTAAAACATCTAAGGAAATTTCAAAAAAGTAAAAACACACAACAGCAAACACTCAAAAAACTATGAAATACTGAAAACTAAGATCGACAAGGTAGCCTGGTTAAGTGTTTAAGGGTATGATACACTAACTCTAAGAACCATGGGCCTAAATGGGGATGCCATTTGGCATATAATGCTGACTTACAGTTCATCCCCTGGAAGTTTAAGGATAAAAGAGATAAATGGTGATGTATGTTATAGGCTACATTGTGTCCCTCCGACCCTACATTTATATGTTTAGGTCTAACCTCCAGTTTATCAGAATGTTACTGTATTTGGGCCAGGCGCCGTGGCTCACGCCTGGAATCCCAGGACTTTGGGAGGCCGAGGCGGGCTGGTCACGAGGTCCGGAGATCAAGACCATCCTGGCTAACACGGTGAAACCCCGTCTCTACTAAAAAAAAAAACCACAAAAAAATTAGCCAGGCGTGGTGGCGGGCGCCTGTAGTCCCAGCTACTCAGGAGGCTGAGGCAGGAGAATGGCGTTAACTCGGGAGGTGGAGCTTGCAATGAGCCGAGATTGCGCCACTGCACTCCAGCCTGGGCGACAGAGCGAGGCTCTGTATCAAAAAAAAAAAAAAAAAAAAAAAAAAAAAAAAAAAAGAATGTTACAAGAATGTTACCGTATTTGGAGATAAGGTAATTATAAATAAATAAATTATAGATACAGGGATAATTAAGTTAAAGTGAAGTTTTTAAGGTAGGCTCTAATCTAACCTGATAGATATTCTTGTAAGAAGAGGAAATTTGGGCCAGGTGCGGTGGCTCGCGCCTGTAATCCCAGCACTTTGGGAGGCCGAGGCGGGCAGATCATGAGGTCAGGAGTCTGAGACCAGCCTTATCAACATGGTGAAACCTCATCTCTACTAAAAATAAATTAGCCGGGCATGGTGGTGCGTGTCTGTAATCCCAGCTACTCAGGACGCTGAGGCAGGAGAATCGCTTGAACCCGGGAGGCGGAGGTTGCAGTGAGCCAACATAACGCCACTGCAGTCCAGCCTGGGAGACAGAGCAAAAGTCTGTCTCAAAAGAAAAAAAAAAAAAAAAAAGAGGAAATCTGGACACAGCAGACACTGCATACACAGAGAAGATCCTGTGAGGACGCATAGAAGACAGCCAACTACAAGCCAAGGCCCTCGGAGTAAAACCCAATCGTGCGGACATCTTGTTCTTGGGCTTCTAGCTTCCAGAACTGTAAGGAAATGAATGTCTGTTGTTGCAGCCTCCTAGTCTGTGGTCCTTTGTTATGGAAGCCCGAGCTGACTAACACACTGTCCTTGCTCCTCTGCCTCCCACCCCCCACCATAAGTTTCAGAGTCATATGGACTAGACAACCGGTGAGATGCTGTGGACCTTAAGTTCTTGGCATTGTTGGAGGCCTTCCATGTCTTTCCTTAAATACTAAATGCTCCTGGTGCGGGGTCATCTCAAGCTCCAGATGGGAAGACCAGTCTGGAGTGTGGCGTTCAGGTCGGGTAAGTGCTTGTAAGCCTGGGCTTTGTCGGTAGGTGTTTGGCCATCTAAGCCTTGGGACTGGAGGAGATCGCTGGGGAATCGAGTAGATGGCGAAAGGAGATTCCCTAAGGCTGCGCTGGGGTTCGGCACGCTTTAGAATTCCTAAGGGAAAGCTGTATTGCTAACAGGCTGTAGGGTTCAGCCCTCACCCACTTTGCTTTTCTGAATGAACTCCTAGATTGTCCAGTTTCTCTTCTAGGGAAATGACAAGGGCTCCTGTTTTCAAATTTTGTTGCTTTTCCTTACTGTAAAGCTGACCTTAAGAATAACTTTTCCTCTTTTCCAGGCCCATTCCTCTCCTTACTATGGTCTTTTGAATTGAATACATGTCCCCACAATTCATCTTTAATGTTTATTAATGCATATAAGTGTGTCCATGAAAACTATATGGTAATGCTTTTGTGTTTATCCCTTAAAATGTCCACTAAAGTACTGTGTTTAAAATCTGGGGTACAATAAAAAAAAAATTGGTCTTTGCCCTTGGTTCCTGGAAAGTGCTCCTAAAAAAATACTAAATGCTCCTATAGCTACATAAAATTTATATATATTGTGATGTGCAATCATTGGAGCTATTTTTTAAAATTATAATTATGTGTTGTTGAGAATAAGATATTCATTGTTCTTTAAATATAAAATTTATTTTATCTAAATATTATCAAGAATTACTTGTCATCAATTACTTGATAGGGGGTTATGTTTTGTAGACCTTGATACATGTATTAATTTCCACTTGGAAGTTTCTTTTAATATTTTGAAGCCAATGATTTTTACTTTTTTGGATTTCAATTCTTGGCACAGTATCTATATTGTCGAAAGGATAAAACATATCCACTGGGGCAGTTATTCTTTTCTGTTTGGATATCTCCTATTAGGTAACCATAATATAGTTCCTGATTCCTCACTACCTTCTGTTGTTTGTGTTCTATTAACTTTAAAGATTATAGTTCAGCTGGGCACGGTGGCTCACACCTGTAATCCCAGCACTTTGGGATTACAGGCCGAGGTGGGAGGATCACCAGAGGTCAGGAGTTCGATACCAGCCTGACCAACGTGGTGAAAGCCCGTCTCTACTAAAAATACAAAAATTAGCTGGGCGTGGTGGTGGGCACCTGTAGTCCCAGCTAATTGAGAGGCTGAGGCAGGAGAGTCGCTTGAACCCGGGAGGCGGAGGTTGCAGTGAGATGAGATACTGCCACTGCACTCCAGCCTGGGTGACAGAGAGACTGTCTCAAAAAAAAAAAAAAAGATTATAGCTCGCTCTAGGCTGGGTGCGGTGGCTCATACTTATAATCCCAGCACTTTGGGAGGCCCAAGTGGGAGGATCACTTGAGCCCAGGAGTTCAAGACCAGCCTAGGCAACCATGCAAGACTCTGTCTCTACATAAAAATGAAAAAATTAGCCAGGCACAGTGGCGTGCACCTGGTTCCAGCTACTTGGGAGGCTGAGGTGGGAGCATCCCTTCAGCCCAAGAGTTTGAGGTTGCAGTGAACTAGGATCATGCAACTGCACTCTAACTTGGGTGACAGAGTGAGACCCTGTTTCACACACACACACGCACACACACACATACACCACGCATTCCAGCTCTAGACATTAAAGCAAAAGGAAATGAAGTAAGTAGTAGAGGCCATGCGCGGCGGCTCACACCTGTAATCCTAGCACTTTGGGAGGCTGAGGCGGGTGGATCACCTGAGGTCAGGAGTTCAAAACCAGCCTGGCCAATGTGGTGAAACTCCATTTCTGCTAAAAATACAAAAAAATTAACTGGGCATGATGGCAGGCACCTGTAATCCAGCAACTTAAGAGGCTGAGGCAGGAGAATTGGGTGAACCCAGGAGGTGAAGGTTGCAGTGAGTTGAGATCATGCCACTGCACTCCAGCTTGGGCAACAGAATGAGACTCTGTCTCATAATAAATAAATAAAAGGGGTAGAAAATAAGAAAAGTAAAGACAAAAAGCATGCTGAGCATTGTAGTTTTCATGTATAAGCTTGGGTAGTGTATTAGGGAAAGAAGTAGAAATACTTCACAGAGCCACGCTAGACAAATATTTGAGAGTCATGTCACTTAAAGTTTGTCTAAGGACTATACACACCAACCTAATTTCTAAAAGTATCCAAGAGTGAACTTGACAGATTTTTGATGAGACAGGCTTCTCTATTTGAGTTTTTTGTTTGGGACACAAGAACTTTCTACGAAGTGGCTTGTACTTGCATATCTTTGCTTGCTTAATAAGCTTGGGTTTTCCATTCTTGTGTTAATCTGCTGCTGGAAAATAGAATTATATCCTTTCTATAGTTCATTTTAGTTTAAATTACCACAAACTTATTGAAATGTTCAGTCAGTGCGACCGAGAACAAGCCACAAACCCTGCTTTTCGGTGTTGGTGGTACAATGAGAAAGATCTGAATATATTTCTTCTGTTCCAAGAAGAATAAACAGAAAATAAGAGACTCTTGGCCTCGAGGAGTACTACAAGAATTGAAGGAAAACGGAATGTGGTCTTAAAGACCCAGAAAAATAGTGTACCTCTGGAAAGAATTTAAAACTGGAATCAGAAGAAATTTAATTAAGCTTTCTTAGATTCTTTAGCAAGAGGCACAAAAATACAGGTTTTTTTTTTGAAATTAAGAACAAAAAGTCTTGTTTAATTCTTGAGATAAGTTATTTATGGAGTGTCTACTATGTCTTAGGTACTACGCTAGATGTGGGGGATATCACTTTGATAAGAAAATTATGAAAGGAAGGAAACTCAGTATGCAATTGTAGAAATAAAATGCCATATGGTAGGATTTCTGCTTCTCACCAAGACAGAGTAACAAGGATTTATCCTCTCATCTAAAACCAAACAAAAAATAGACAAAATACATGAACCAGTGGTTTTCAAGACACTGAACATAAGGCAACCACGGGCAGAGGTGGCAAACAAACAAGGTGACCCCTGTGGTTGCTGTGGCTTACTACCTTAAGAGTTTCCAGGTGGCAGTGCAAAGAGCCCAATAGACTCTGAGTTGAGCAGACAAAGCTGAGAATCTCAGGAATCTAAGTCAGCTAGAGTTTGCAGCATAGAATACTAGAGAAGAGAGAGATTCACAGAATGATAAATCGAGATATCTGCAGAGGGTCCTTCTTGAGTATTCAGCTGAGTAGTGCATACATGTCAGGACTGGGATTAGTGCCTGGTAACAGCAGCCAGACTGGAAAACCTTCTGAGCCACAGGGCGTAGGTAGAGTATGTGGAAGGGTTTTGCCTTTGTAGTAGGCTCCACTCCTGCTTGACAAACCTTAAAACCAAGACCCAAAAAGATCAAACTATTCCCAGGTAACTTAACTGTATTCCACAACAAAACCCAGAATATTTATAGAAATGTAAAAATATCCAGCACCAAAAATTTTAAATTCACAATGTGTAGCATCCAGTCAGAAATTGGCAGGGGGTTAGGCATGGTGGCTCACACCTGTAATCCCAGCACTTTGGGAGGCTAAGGTGGGAGGACCACGTGAACTCAGGAGTTCAAGACCAGCCTGGACAACACAGTGAGACCCTGTCTCTACAAAATTAAAAAAATTAGCTGAGTGTGGTACCATGTACCTCTCATTTCAGCTGCATGGAAAGCTGAGGCAGGAGGATTGCTTGAGCCTGCTCCCAAGTCAAGGATACAGTGAACTGTGTTCATGCCACTGCACTTGAGCCTGGGTAACAAAATGAGACCCTGTCTGGAAAAAAAAAAAAATTCCCAGGCATGCAAAGTGGCAAAATAAGACCTATGATAAGGATAAAAATGAATCCATGGACACCAACCCAGAATTGACAAAATGTTAGATATGCCACATGATCTCACTTATATGTAGAATCTAAAAAAGCCAAACTCATAGAGACAGAGAGTAAAATCATGGTTTCTAGGAGATGGGGATTCAGGGGGTTGAGAAGATGTTGGTAAAAGGACACACAATTTCAATTAGGAGGAATAAGTTTAAGAGATCTGTTGTATATCGTGGTAACTATAGTTAATAATAATGTATTGTAAACTTGAAAATTACCAAGAAAATAGATTTGAAGTGTTCTCACCACACAAAAAATAAGTATGTGAAATAATGCATATGTTAAATAGCTTAATTTATCCATTTCATAATGACTACATATATAAAACATCATTTTTATACCCTAAATATATAAAACTTTTACTTATCAATTTAAAAAGCTACTACCAATGTATATACTACATATTAGAATAGTTAAGAGATAAGGAAGCTATAAAAAAGTCCATATTAAAATTCTAAAAATAAAAAATATAATATCTGAGATGAAAAATATATATGATAGGATCAATAGCAGATTAAATATTGAAGAAGAAAAGATCATTGGTTTTGAAGACATGGCATAGAAACTATTCAAAATAAATGCAGAAAAAAATGAACAAAGCATTGCTGAGATGTGGTAAAACTTCAGGCAGCCTAATATATGTAGAATTAGAGTCCTTGAAGGAGAGGTGAGACTAGAAAGACAGAAAAAAATACTTAGATAAATAATGGTCAATAGAGTTTTAAAATTTGGTGAAAACTATAAGCCCATAAATCTAAGAATTTCAGTGAACTTCAAGCATAAGAAACAAGTAGGAAGCTATTTCAAAACCCATCACAATCACATTTCAAAGTCAGTGATAAAGAGAGCATCTTAAAAGCAAAGGAAGAAATATACATTATGATCAGAGGAAAAAAGATAAGGATAATGACAAATTCTTGGTTGAAAAAATCAAACGAGAAGACAGTAGAGCAATATCTCAATATCTTTTTTTTTTTTTTTTTTTTTTTTGACGGCGTCTTGCTGTGTCACCCAGGCTGGAGTGGGACTACAGGTGCCTGCCAGCATGCCCGGCTAATGTTTTTGTATTTTTTAGTAGAGATGGGGTTTCACTGTGTTAGCCAGGATGGTTTCAATCTCCTGACCTCGTGGTCCACCCGCCTCGGCCTCCCAAAGTGCTGGGATTACAGGCGTAAGCCACTGTGCCCAGCTGAGCAATATCTTGAAAGAAAGAAAGAAAAAGAAAGAGAGAGAAAGAAAGGAAGGAAGGAAGGAAGGAGGGAGGGAGGGAGGGAGGGAGGGAGGAAGGAAAGAAAGAAAGAAAAGAAAGAAAGAAAGAAAGAAAGAAAGAAAGAAAGAAAGAAAGAAAGAAAGAAAGAAAGAAAGAAAGAGAAAGAAGGAAAGGCAGGCAGGCTGGGCTGGGTGCAGTGGCTCACACCCATAATCCCAGCACTTCAGGAGGCTGAGGTGGGCAGCTCACTTGAGCCCAGGAGTTCAAGACTAGCTTGAGCAACATGGTGAAACCCTGTATCTACAAACAATTAACTGGACATGGTGGCATGTGCCCAGAGTCCCAGCTACTCAGGAGGCTGAAGTGGGAGGATCACCTGAGCCTGGTAGGTCAAGGCTGCAATGAGTAGTGATCACACCACTGCACTCCAGCCTGGATAACAGAGTGAGACCGTGTCTCAAAAAAAAAAAAAGAAAGAAAGAATGGAAAGAAAAAACTGTCAACCTCAAATTTCATAACTGGTGGAAATATATTTCAAAAAAATTAAGGTGAAATAAAGACTTTTCAGGCATAAAAAACCTGAAATAATTAGTCACTATCAAGCTTAACGCTTTAAGAAAGGTGAAAAAAAGACCTGGATGCAGAAGGAAAATGATACCAATGGAAATAGGTACCTAGAATAAGGAAGGAAGAGACCAGAAATGTTAGCTACGTGAGTAAATACATAGGACTTTACATATTTATTTAAAATTCTTTAATAAAAGATGATTGTTAAGCAAAAATAATTACAATGTAGTATGGGTTTATTACATATATAGAAGGAGACTGTATGACAACAATAGCAAAAGATTTGGAGGGGAAAATGGAAGTACTGCACTATTTTAAGTTTCTTACGCTGTAAGTTGACATCCATATTGCTTGAAGGTAGACTGTGATAAGTTAAAGATGGGTACTATAAAGCCTAAAGTAACCACTAGAATAACAAAACAAAACATTATACTTAGCAATATCACTTTCCTTACTCCTCCAAAAAGAGATGAAATAGAATACTAAAAAATTTTAATCCAAAAGAAGGCAGAAAAATAGGAAAACTGTGCAAAGAACATATGGAATAAAGAGCAAATTGCAAAATGAGAGACTTAAACCTAATCATTTTGATAACCACATTAAATGAAAATGGTCTGAATATCCCATTCAGATATTCAAAGAGACTTATATGCTGCCTGTGAGAATCACACTCTAAATACAGACACACAAATAGAATAAAAGTACAAGGGCATAGTTCACATGGATTTCTTCTTTTGTAAAATGCCACTTGAAGTTCTTTTGTGGATTTTTTATTGCGTGGGTTGACAAACTATAGATTACAGGCCAAATCTGACCCTCTATCTGCTTTTATATTGTCCATAAGATAAGAATGTTTTTTATATTTTTTTAATGGTTAGGAAAAAATCAAGAGAAGAATAATATTTTGCATCATGTAAAAGTGGTATGCAATTCAAATTTCAGTGTCTGTAAATAAAGTTTTATTGAAACACAGTCATGCCCCCCCCCCACTTTTTTTTTTTTTTGAGGTGGAGTTTCACTCTTGTTGCCCAGGCTGGAGTGCAATGGCACGATCTCAGCTCACCTCAACCTCTGCCTCCCGGGTTCAAACGATTTTCCTGCCTCAGCCTCCCGAGTAGCTGGGATTATAGATGCCCCCCACCACGCCCACCTAATTTTTAGTAGAGAGACGGTCTCACCATGTTGGCCAGGCTGGTCTTGAACTCCCGACCTCAGGTGATCCACCCGCCTCGGTCTCCCAAAGTGCTGGGTGCTGGGATTACAGGCGTGAGCCACCACCCCTGGCTACCTATTTTTTTTCTTTTTTTTTTTTAGAGTCTTGCTCTGTCGCCCAGGATGGAGTGCAGTGGCATGGTCTTGGCCTCCACCTCCCGGGTTCAAGCGATTCTCTTCCTTCAGCCTCCCGAGTGGCTGTGATTACAGGCACCCACCACCACACCCAGCTAATTTTTGTGGTTTGAGTAGAGACAGGGTTTCACCATGTTGGCAGCCTGGTGTCTAACACCTCAGGTGATCCGCCCACCTTGTCCTCCCAGAGTGCTGCGATTACAGGTGTGAGCCACCTTGCCCAGCCTTATCTTAACGAACTGGCTGACTGTCATGTTTACCTATTGTTTAGGCTGTCTTAGGTTATAGTGATGGTAGCTGCTAGAGAAACCATATGTGCCACTCTCATCACTTTACCCTGCTTCTCAGCATGCTACACATCTCAGTGACGTGGTTAGAATTTGAGAGCATGTTGAGTTTTGCTGTACTGTTACACTTTATCCTAGTTTTTAAAAATACCATTGCATACCCATCATCTCAAAACAGAAAATAAGAGAAATGTGGACTTTCAATGCCATGTTTTTAAGGAACGGTGGGCTGTGAGTTATTTTGTATTCAAATTAGATGCCACAGCATTGTGTTTTTTATGCTATGACACTAAATAGTGCTGAAAAATACAAAATATGTCAACATTAGCAGACTGAACACTCATCGCAATATTCCCCACTTACAGGAAAGCAGCATTCAGAAAACTAGAAAATATAAAACAAAATATCTTGTCTTAGCAGAATTTCTTCGCAAAACTAAAATATGAAAATGAGAATGAAACCAAAGTAAATTTTTAAGTGGCTTATTCATTGGCCAAGCAAAGAAAGGCACTTATGGATTGTGAGTTAATTATATCATGTTTGATTGTAGCAGTGGAAGAAATGTGTTCAGACTGCGTAACTTATATAAGGCTGCCATTTGGTGAGAACAGTTGCTCATAGTTACAGACGTTGAGAGTAACATCCACAGTCAATTAAAAAATAAGGTAGATTATTTTGAGTAGTTTTTCCTGGATCTTGATGAGTTGACATATGTTACTGACACTGCTCAGTTGCTGGTTTTTTGAGGAGCCAACGTTGAATTTGAAGTAAGTGAAAAGTTAGGCACTATAAATAGTTTCTGTGGAACAAGTACTGCTGAGAATATTTTCAAAGAAGTTGAGGAAAAAAAATAAGTACAATCCAAAGTAGAATCTACTAAGATACATTACAACTGATGGTTAAAATATTTGTACAGCAGAAAACAAGCCTTGGTTGGACAAATTTACAAAGCTTGTGAAAATGTAAAGTGTTTAAGGCCTACGGTTATTTATTATTATTATTTGTCAGCATATATTTTATGGGAAGTAATTGAATTTATCATGCATTATTGGACCAGTAGTGTAAATGGTTAAGTTCATTTGCTCTTGTAAACGTAACCATCTTCATTTTTGTGAGTTTTTGTCAAGGGAAATTTTTGACTTACCTTACCACTCAGCAGTTTGATGGCTTAGCAGTGGTAAAGTTTTTTGCAATATTATGAATTCAAGGCCAAGATTGAAAAACAATTTTTTTTCAGACAAGATCTCACTTTGTCACCCAGGCTACAGTGCAGTAGGACAATTATGGCTCACTGCAGCCTTGACCTCCCAGGCTCGAGCGATCCTCCTGCCTTGGCCTCCTGAATTACTGGGATTACTGATGTGAGCCACTGCACCTTGCTTGAAAACTTTTTTTAAAAGAGCCGTCCTTAACCACTATTATCAAATACTAAATGCCTCTGGATATTAGCTTCTGCTGTAGATTTGATTATCTTTCTTAATTCAACCTAAAACTGCAAGACAAAACAGCAATTATACGCCAACCTTATGCTGTGGAAAAGTCATTTCCATGGCAACATTGTTTGAATCAAAAGTAATGTCAAGTTGTTTTACACACTTCCCATGTCAAAAAGTTAAATTAAGAAATGAGGTTACCGCCGGGCGCGGTGGCTCACGCCTGTAATCCAGCACTTTGGGAGGCCGAGGCGGGCGGATCACGAGGTCAGGAGATCGAGACCATCCTGGCTAACATGGTGAAAACCCGTCTCTACTAAAAATACAAAAAAAATTAGCTGGGCATAGTAGCAGGCACCTGTAGTCCCAGCTACTCGGGAGGCTGAGGCAGGAGAATGGCGTGAACCTGGGAGGCGGAGCTTGCAGTGAGCCGAGATCGCGCCACTGCATTCCAGCCTGGGCGAGAGCGAGACCCCGTCTCAAAAAAAAAAAAAAAAAAAAAAGAAATGAGGTTACCATTGTCCAGGTAATAATATCTTAGTTCTAACTAGTAAACTCACTGGGTTTTTGGAATTAATACGTGAAATAAATGTTTACGATTTATTTGGGCAACATATTACAGCTCTGATGAGAAGAGTTCTAGGTTCTAGCATTGGATGTGTCTGTGGTATATCAAATGCACACTGTGGTGTCAATAACACACTTTCTTGTGGACAAAAATGAAATAAGACTTTTGGTTGATGAAAAGAGATCGCCAAAATGTACAGAAATAATACCTTGTAATTTTACAGAATTGAGTTTCCAAAATAATCTAAAATGGCTTTTAGCTTTAATTAAAGCACATATTACACAGAAAATAGTCTGTTGACAGATGTACTGGCAATAGGCTATTCCCTTGGGCTAAAACAATATCAGTTAAATTGGTTGTATTCAGACAACTATCTAGGAATCATGTTGTCCTATGACTCTATTTCACTAGCATGTTTTTATCATGACTTTCAAAAATATCAAAGCTTTAAAAAATGGCCAGAGGAATACCTTTACAGTCATGAGTTAAAGGTTTCAAACTAAGATTTGTTATTATTAAGGAGCTATTTTATGAACATTCATTCTAATATATTTGATAGAATAAAATATAACTGAAATTACATGATGAAGAAATTGAGATGAGTATGACTTATTTAAGTCAATATGATAGGAAATATGACCCCCAAATTATTATTTCCTAGCTCATCTTTATGCTACAGTGTCCTTGTGAGGAAGAATTCATTTGTGGACAAATAAGTTTGGTAAACAACTCTTCCTTTTATAGAAAAACTGTCCATTGAAATTGAATATGAATCCATCTTTATATGGCAAAGTAAGAATTTTTATAAATTACATTTTATTAGACACAGTCTCACTCCTGAAATCTTTCTTCGATTGTTTTATTCATTAACTTAATTTTTAAAATTAGATTTTTTAAAATATAGAGATAGAGTCCCACTATGTTGTCCAGGCTGGAGTACAGTGGCTCTTCACAGGTACTATCCCACTACTGATCAGCCTGAGAGTTTTACTGACTCCATTTGCAACCTGGGACAGTTTACCCCTTGTTTTACTTTTTAAATTTGGCAACTTTAAAATCTTTCATCAGGATTCCAACCATTTATTCTCTAGCTACTAGTTCTAATGAAAAAGATTTGACTTGTCTAGAAGTTATTGTGAGACCAGCACTTAATAACTGCAACAATGAAGTTTCAAGTGATGAAATGATATTAGTCAGGTGCTTATAATCAGGTTGACAACTATTCCCCGTAATTTCCCTCAGGGACAATACTATTTATTAGTAACAATTAATAAATGTAAGGACAGTAATGTTGGGTCTTTCAGTATAATTTGGTTTTTCAGTTGAAGCAAATATCTGCTAAAAGAAATGTCTCACATATTAATATAGCTGCTGGTAAGAATGCCTGTTTCACTCAAAAGATTCCGAAAAGATTTGAAATATAAGTAGTAAGAGACAAACATTAACACAGTAAAGAAAAAATAGCAAATTTTGTGGAGTGGGAATTCAAATGGAATTATAGGGATTGATATTTCTGCCTGGAGTAGTATACCATGGAATTCCTAAACTCAGAAGTTAATCAGATAATTATATTGTGCTACGGAGGTTAATGCTATACCCATTATTTGATTATTAAGTGAAATTCTATCCACCATCTTTTCATGTATGCCAATAAAATTGAACTCCTCAGCCCTATTTTAGAATCTAAATACTATCTAACAAAATTCTAGAACCTTGCCTTCAAAATTAACAAAATGAATTTCAGGAAGAGATGAAGATGCCCACTTTCCTCTCGAGCTCTTTCTCCATCATAAAATTAGCTTTGTAAACCAAAATGAATGCTTGTGAATATTCACAACTGTAACCCACTTATTCTATTTTCTGATAATATAAATCCGATCTTGCCGATGTATATTAAACAAAGAGGTCTTGCAAAAGTTAAAAAAAAAAAACAACTTAGAACGGTTGCCATATCCTGTGGAAATAATCTCTAAAAGAAACATACAATTCTGATGGGTTGCTTTAGTTGACAGTTTGTTGCTCTGCTAACAAAGCTTCAAGCAACATCTCAGTATTCCTAAACAGAATAAATACTTGTAAGATTTTTCTGTTATTCAGAAGTGAATTATTGACATTTTCCTTTTCTCCCAAATGCATGATAAGGAAAAAGGAAAGCCTATAACTCTACTAGAATTTTTATTTTAACAGAAATAGAAAGCTTTATTTTACTTCAGTTTAAAGTAGGAAACCTTGTTTTCTGCTGCTTTTCTCAGTTAAGATCCCATTTGTTGTACAAAGGTGAATTTTGTTAAAATAATTAAAAGAAAACTAACAAATTATTACTTACCTCTTCTATACTCCTCTACTCCCCACAGCTGTTTAAGCATGACTTTGATACATATTATGCTGGTCATTCCATCACTAATTATGAATATATACAAATATCTTGGTTATGCATATTACTGGTCATGATTACACAATTCTTTTTAACTTGTATAACAAGTAGTACAGAATCATTTCTGATGCACACATGACTCTGAATTGTTAGACATTATTTTAACTAAAATCTTATTTTCTGGGGGAAGGAAAAACTAAACCTTTTTCTTATATTAAAACTCAAAGTGTGTGTGTTTTCATTTCGTTACTTTTCCTTATCTAACTATTTAATTCTGAGCTCTTTTTTCTAACTTATTCTTGGTCTCTTCTTTAGTCCTCTAGTTATCCTATTACAGGTACTAAATATTCTCTATTTTTGGTTAAAAATATCCAGAACGGAAAGTCTTCCTTTCATCTTTCACTGAGAGTTACCTGTTAACCGTGAGACTTACCTGGCCTCATTAATGATGTGGGTCATCTCAGCACAGCTCACATATATGCACAGACACATGTGTGCATTGCATGTGTGCACACCACATACATACATCATTTACAATAAAAACAATATACATACTCCTTGAATTTGTGCTATATCTATGGCTAATATTGTTGTCAAGCCTCCTGTGCTGTTTTCCTTTTCATCAAACCAGGCAATATCCTAGAGAAAAGGAGAATTAACATATGGTTGTCAAAAATCATTTTTTTTATCTGACTTGTGATTTTTCTGCTGTAAATCAGAAAACATTTACCTGCCTCCTCACTCACAGGTACTTAATTCCTATAAAATACTATGGATTGAATGACTGTTGCTTATTTTTTCATGAAGATCTATATTTATATATAAACTGAAGAACTTAAGCCCAAGAGCTTGGACTCATTACTCATCACCACATATAGTATAATAATCAATGTTGAATTAAAATGGTCATTTTCAACCATCAAGTGATTTGTAATTTTATTCCATAAGTCATTTGTGAAAAGCAGACATAATTCAAAAGTAAGGCGATGAAGGCCAGAGCGGTGGCTCACACCTGTAATTCCAACACTTTGGAAGGCCAAGGTGGGAGGATTGAGTCTAGGGGGTCGAGACCAGCCTGGCCAACATGGCAAAACTCTGTCTTTACAAAAAACACAAACATTAGCTGGGCATGGTGGTGTGCACCTGTGGTCCCAGCTACTTGGGAGGCTGAGGTGGGGAGGATTGCTTGAGCCTGGGAGGCAGAGGTTTCAGTGAGCTGAGATTACACCACTGCACTCCAGCTCGGATGCCAGAGTGAGACCCTGTCTCACAAAAAAAAAAAAAAAAGGAAGGCAATAAACAACACAATTTAGAAATATCTTCAAAACTTTCTACCTAAACTAACTAATGATAAAAAGTCTATCTCTTTCTCTTTAGGGGCCATATAATAAAGATTTTCCCTGATGCTTCACATTACCTCCTAGAACTTACAGCAATGGGCGTTGTGAGAAGCTAAAAGGGCAGAAGGCTGTGAAACTCCTGAAGTTAAGAGGTATGCAATCTAAAGAAGGAGTCACGTCAAAATTACAAGCAATAAAAGTATAATGTAATAACCAATTTTATTTTCAACAGCAAATGGAGACAGCACATCTTAGTGCTTCTCAGCCTGAGGAATTCTGATTTCCTCTTATAGCTATTGAATGTTTCCTCACACTCACTGGAACCACTTGTATCTCTTGTAGATTAAAACCATGTGGAAACTGTCTCTGAAAGATGGTTTATTTTTAGTGAGTAAAGAACAAAAAAATCTTGGCTTACTGCAACCCAGCCAGGGCTCTGAGGCCCAGGTAACAGGCAAAACAAAGGCATAGCAGGTTGAGGGCTGTGCCTTAATCACGCACATCATATGTTAGATGAAAACTTTTATGGAGGAATATGGTAGGAGCCAGGCATGATAGCACCACCCTGAGCCACTGTGTTGGGAAGGTGTCTGCATGAGCTTCGGGTCCTAGATGCCCAAAGAGCATCCTATGGAGATTACAGTCTGCACCGGACAGTAGCCACTTTGAAAGCACAATCCCAGGCAAGAGCCTAACATACTGTGAATACACAGCAGCAACAATAATAAACACAGCACTGCTGAACTGAAAGACATCACCTGCTTTTTATTGTGTTCTCTCTCTCCAAAATTAAGATATTTTATGTATTTTCTAATTGGTTCTAGATTTCAACATGACATGGAATGCACAGATCATTTTTAGATACAGTATAAAGTAAAAAATATGAAAAGAATTTATTATTGAATATTACATTCCTGATTCTATAGTAACTCGCTGTAAAACACCATGAATAGGTACATATGTGATTAATCTTAGTCATTATCTGATGTTCAGTTGGCAAGATGTCTGAAATTGCTTTTTGGCAAGACAGCAATTGTGTACTCCAGGGATTGTTTTCCAGCATAGGCAATATATATGAAAACATTTAGGGAGGCCAAGATGGGTGGATCACGAGGTCAGGAGATCGAGACCATCTTGGCTAACATGGTGAAATCCCATCTCCACTAAAAATACAAAAAAAAAAAAAAAAAAAAATTAGCCAGGCGTGGCGGTGGGCGCCTGTAGTCCCAGCTACTCAGGAGGCTGAGGCATGAGAATGGCGTGAACCCTGGAGGCGGAGCTTGCAGTGAGCCGAGATCACGCCATTGCAGTCCAGCCTGGGCGACAGAGCGAGACTGTGTCTCAGGAAAAAAAAAAAAAAAAAAAAATCCATTATATGTAATACTAATTGTTTAGTTAGCCTCAATGGATATTTTTTGTTAAAAACTTTGTTTTTTAAACTTTCAAGTTGAAGAGTACATGTGTAGGTTTGTGATACAGGTAAACTTGTGTCATGGGGGTTTGTTGTACAGATTATTTAAGTTCTTAATCAATTATTTTGTTCGGCCTGCCATCTGACTGAAGAATTACAGCTGAGTTTCATGACCTGTTTCTCATGCTCCAGGACTCATTACCTCAAAGCCTTTTGGAATTAGCTTAGGTAAATTTTGAAGCCCCTTAGTGATCACCATCAATGCTATCATAATTTAAAGAACCCCAAGAAGCCTTAGCCAATCTAATTTAGAGGGAAATGGGGAAAAATAAACTTCTTACATGTTCAAAAACTCAATAGCTCTATAGGTAATTATTTATCATTAAGAATTGTAAACTTAACTTTGAAACACAATGAACGACGAATTATTCAGTGACTGAAGTCAGCAACACTTAGAACATTCTTTTCAACAGGAAGAATCTAAAGTAATCACATAAAATATGGATTTTATACCTACACACACCTGTTTCTTTACATACCTCTACCTCAAATGAAGTTTCACAATGGTTATAAAAAGCACTGCAAGTCTGAGCACGGTTGTTAAATTTTAAAAAGTCTTATCTTAGGACAAAAATCAGGTAATAAGAGTTAGATAAAACTGCACACTAGGGGCTTCCCTTACTATAGACAAAGCAAAACTGTGAAGATGCTTACAAAGAAAGGGCTAAATATACTAGTCTTCTTTTTCTCCAATTTTAAAAGGTAAAGCTAAGAATCAAAAAGAGTGCTGAAGGATGAAGAAGGAAAACAAACAACTTAACTTATGGGGATATTTAATAACATGTGCTAAGTGGCATAGACTTTCTGTGCAAGTCTTTGTGAGTATGTACATGATATTTTAAAACCCAGAGTTTATGGCTTATAGTTTCAAGCATCCTTATTAGCAGAAGCTACTGTATCTAAAAATGTTACAGTCCTAATATTCACATGGCTAATGCTAGACAGAGGATTAATGTCCAGTATTAACCATCAAAATACTAGATTAACCACAGTTTCTCTCATTAAACGGTCTCATGGCTTTGAAATTCTTCCACTAAAAGCATTCCATGAACAGAAAGGAAGTTCAAAGTATGCTTGGAAAAATTAAAATTTATATTCTTCTGTATAAAAACAAACATCTAGGCATTCAGGAAACCTTTTCAAAAGTTTCTAGAAATTTAAAATAAATTTATTTGAACAGGGAAAAAGATAAATTTAAAGAAAAACAAAAATGAGCAGAAATAGTCAACAAATGTGAAATACAGTATTAGTTAATTAAAGTCTCAACTTATTTCTTGGAATATTTGCAGTAAAGACCTAAAGTATTCATAAATTAAAAAATAATAATGTACAACTTTAACATGAGAGGTATGTGCTGGCATCAAATTGATTTATGATCCTACAAGTAGACTTTTGTTTTTCTGGATTAAGGAGTGTCTCCAAATGTGGAACAAGAAGCAGAAATGGGACCTTTTTGCACAGAAGGTGTAAGGTCACCCATTGCTTTAGACCACGGTGTTGCCGTGGGAAACCTCCGACTTGCTTCTTTCCGTTTTGTATCTTGTAGCTCCCTAAGAGTACAGCTGTTGCACGGCAGCCTTCAGAGCACTGCTCCTAAAAGTCATAAGACTTAAAAATGGGTTTTGACGACTCAGTTGGAGTGACAGTAACTCTATTTCTGAAAAGAAATCACCTTGGCAGGAAGCTATTTGCTCCTGCCTGGTGAGCTTTTGTGACAGAAAGTGAGGTGAAGGGCTACTAATGATTACTGGCTTTCAGGGTAACCCAATACATTTTAGCCTCGTGAAAGAATTTTAGAGGTGCCAGTCTGAGACATTCCTTCCATTTGCCCCCAAGACTCACTTCTCAAGATTACTACTTGATCCACCTATTTTTAGTTATTTCACAGCGGGGACTGATCATCTGCGTGAGGCAGGCAGACCTGGCAGCTAGACCGATGTTATCTGAGTTCAGGACTCTTCTGATAAAGGCAGAGAGATTGGCTGCTTTAAGAAGTGTAGAGTCAAAAAACTTAAGCTATGCACATGAATTAGAACCACAGAAATTAACAACTTCTTTTCAGATACATTCCCAAGATATGGTAGCTCTTACTTCTCCTTTTTAATTTGGCCTTCCGTTCTGATCCCAGAACACTACATCATTCATTAAAAGAAAGATTTGTCAAGATGAATGCAAGGAACAATGAGTAGATCCTACATTCTTTTCTATAAGCTGTATTTTTTTAACGTCACACTTTTGGACTTGCTTCTTTTAGAAAAATATAAGACTTCTGACATCAGATTTTTGCTGCTTAGAACAAAAAGAGTGTGCTTTCAAAGAAAGATTATGTCAAAAATTGACTTGAGACAGAATTAAAGCTAGAATGTTTTACAATAAATTTTAAATAAAATAAAAAAAAAATCAACTTATCACTGACCTGATATAACATGGCTTTGAAGGCCAAGTGTCTTAATCTCATCGTTAAAATTTCCCCTGCTCTGCCGTAAAATAATCCCTGAAAAGCAAACAAACAAAAATCTACGTTCTTTTCCTTTGTAACATTTAGTTGATATATTTTTAACTCAAATAGAAAGAATGGCAACAAAAAGTAATCATGCTCAGGCTTGTTTATTAAAAGCTTACCTGCATGAAATAACTGACAAAGCAAATAACACCCAAAATGACGAATATCATGGAATAAATTTCTGCATCATGCTTTAATGTGGTTTTATCATTATTTCCAAACATCTGAAAAGGAACAGATTTTTATCAGGTGTTTGGGGGAAAATATAAAAGAAACAGAAAAAGTGAAAATTTCTGTATATCAGGAGTTTTAAAATACATTTCTTTTTTTTTTTTCTTTTATGAGACAGAATCTTGCTCTGTCGCCCAGGCTGGAGTGCAGTGTTGCGATCTCAGTCTTGGCTCAATGCAACCTCTGCCTCCCAGGTTCAAGTGATTCTCATGCCTCAGCCTCCCGAGTAGCTGGGATTACAGGCGCGCACCACCACACCCGGCTAATTTTTATGTTTTTAATAGAGATGGGGTTTCACTATACTGGGCAGGCTGGTCTCAAGCTCTTGACCTCAAGTGATCCGGCTGCCTCCGCCTCCCAAAGTGCTGGGATTACAGGCGTGAGCCATTGCACCCAGCTTAAAATAAATTTCAACATAAAAATAAAACTATACACACATTTCTGTGGGAAAAAGTGCACCATGATGCTATCATCTGCATACATTATCTATGATAAAAAATAACTTGCTTTTAATTCTCAAACTATGTAAATATGAGATCTGAATAATGAGTCATCTATCTGCTATTATTATCACAGTATATTTCCCAAGAAACCACCAGTTTGCTTGAATTATTATTTTGAATAATTTTTGATCACTCAAGTTTCTTAGTAGTCTTCTAGTTAAGTAGTACCTGCAAGGTGAGGCTTTTTAATGTGCCCCCAGAATTTTTCTTAAAAATTAGTAACATACATACACAGGCATTTATACTGATAAAGTATAGCTGTGCAAATTAGGGAGACTGAAGTTCCAGGCTAGAACTTTAGTTAACATTGAAGAGTAAGCATGGATCTTGTAAGATCCTTAAACACACCAATTGCCCTGAGTCCTTTAGCAAAATCCCAGACTCTTGTTATTTCTTCTCCCTGAGCTGGCTGGTAAGAAAAGAAATTGCAACTATACCCACTAATTGAAAGGAAAGTAGTTGTATTTGCCTATTTTATTTCTTCAGTGTTTTGGAATGCTGATCCAGCACTGGAGTAAAAATTAGAAAACAAAGCAATTTCTTCACTGATTGCCCAGTCAACAAGGCCCGGCCACACACTTTACAAGAGATGCTGGCTTATCTCCTGGGAACATTAATTAACCTTCCTATCACGGACTCCACACTAGGGGCGGCCCACTAAAAGTCCCAATTTTCCCCTTGTGGTTTAGACTGATACAAGCTTGTTCTCTCAGGTCATACTTTCTTTAAATTGCTGAAAGTATTAGCAAATTTATTTTACTTACGGTTATAATTTTTGCAAAGATGATGGAAAATACTGGATGAACAGTTCCATTTAGAACAGAAGCCAATGTCCCCAGAACCACAAAAGGCCATTCAGGCTTGTTTAACTTTAAAATTTTTAATAGAGAGACTTCAGGAAGACTTATCTAAAAATAAAATATGTTGGTTAAAAATGCCAGTTTGTGTGCATAACAGAATCTAGTGAAGTTAGCCCATCATAAACAGAATTATAATGTATAACATCAAACATAACAGACAGCAGGGTAGAAAATATTTTTCTTAAAAAATTCACTGCCCGTATTATTAACGATGACCCTAAAGCATAAAATAAAAGAAGATTTGCCACAAGTGACTATTTGTGCAATATCACTTTTTGGCATTTCACTCAGTTGCTATTATTTAAAAAGTACAGTTAACTCACATGTAATTGTTAAGGGTCACAAAAGAAATGGCAGGTGTATTTTTCTTTACTCTTGTTAAACTGGATGGAATATTGTACTACAGGATAAGAAAAAAATCTAGGCAGAAGCTAAGAAAAGAAAATGTGGAAGGTAAAAGTTTCATTACGATCTCAAACTTGAAAGTTGGAAAGTTTCAAGATGTATTTACAAAAACATTTTCCTAATACCTTGGCTTGTTTTGGAGTTCTTATTTACAAGCAAAATATTGCAATATCCGAGCACATTATTTAAACTCACCAAGACTGTCTCCTCATTTTTCCAAGGGGAGTGGTATCAGTTCCTATCTTGTAGGATTGTTTATACAATTAAGCTTTATTCAGTACATTTGCAACTCACTGTATTTGCAAACAATAAACACCCAATAAATGCTAGCAGTCATTGCTGTTTCTGATGTTATTACAGAGGAAGGATTATGTTACACAAAATTTCAGGTTTTATACAGAGAAAGCACAATGCAAGTAGTCATTCTGGGTCTGCCAGCCCTTCCTAGGAGACGTGGAAGGTGACAAGGGGAGGTAGTGGTCACAGTGGTCAGAGGATAAATAATACGATAACGATCTCTCTTGGCTCTTGTCTGCAATAAGTAGTGTATTTCAGAATCTTAAAAATTCTTCTGAACAGCTTTGTGGTGAGTAATTATTCTGAGTAGGAAAGTAGACAGTGAATTCTTTGGTATTTCATTCATTAAAACTTCCTCATGGCATTCACTCTTAAAATAATGACATTTATGGACCTAATAACCAGAGAATTCTTCAAGTAAGACTATAAAATAGTTTATAATTCTCGTTCTATTCTCAGTGTGGCCACTATAATGCGGACTGTTGTTTGGACAACAGAACTTTGAAATTCTGATGCCTTTAAAGTCCATTTTCAGGGTGGCTAACCCACATTTATATTGGATTACTTAATAATTTGATTGTATCCATCATTTTTCCTGCTGAAGTTTTCTAAAGCTCATCATCAAAAAGGGCACAACATTTCAGCTAGGTCACTGTTCAAAAGAATGTACAAAAATTTAAAAAGTTGCACGCTAACTATCAGGCACTGAGCATGAAACTAAGTGCATTACAAAATTACCTTATTTGGTAAGGAGATTAAGGTTTAACATGTGCCAGGACACCAGTAAATTACAGAGCCAGGAAATTAGGAGGGCTATCTTCCTCCTATAGAACGATCTACATTACATAGGTAATTTAAAGATGTTCTTTTGCCTCTGGGAAAATACACAATAAAAGATTTAAAATGGTATCATTTAAATAGTGTTGTCAAGATAGAAAAGAAGTAAATAAGATAAAAACAAAACAAAAATTTCAGTAAAATCATAAAATAGGCTGTGTTACTTAAATATGAGACAGGTTGTACATGCGTTAAAATAATCTCATACAAAAACATAAAATTATAGACATAAAGAGATATGACGAGTATTAAAAAGTTAAAAAGTGATATCTAAAATATTCTAAATTTCATTTGATACAGCTTAGAGCTTTCTTGAGTTATAGTTTTCATATAACAAAGTGCACATATTTGAAATGTAAAATTTGATAAATTTGAACACTGCTACAGACTCAGGAAAACATCAAAAAAGTCAAGATAATAAACATATCCATTACCCCTAGAAGTTTTCTCCTGCTTTTTTATCATCCCTCTCTCCACACTTCTTAGTTGCCAGTCCTCTTCCTTCCTTCCTCCTGCAACTACTGATATGCTTTCAGTCACTATAGATTAGTTTGCATTTTTAGAACATTATATAAATGAAATCATACATTATCTACTCCTTTTCAGATAGCTTGTTTTGCTCAACATACTTATTTTGCCATTTATCCATGCTGCGGCATAAATCAGCATATCATTTCCTTTTATTGCTGCATAGCATTTCACTGTATAGCTATCTCACAAATTATTATCCATCCACCTGTTGATATAAATTTGAGTGGTTCCCACTTTTAGACTATTACACATAAAACTGCTATGAACATTCATATACAAGGCTTTGTGTGGACATATACTTTCATTTCTCTTGAGCAAATATCTAGAAATGAAATGGCTGGATCATTTAGTAGGTGAATGTTTCACTTTTTAAGAAACTGACAAATTATTTTCCAAAGTAGCTTTAGCATTTTATACTCCCACCAGCTAAATAAGCTCCAGTTGCACCCCACCATCACCAATATTTGGTACTGTCAGTCTCTTTAGATTTAACCATTCTAACAGGTGTATAGTGATTTCTCATTGTGATTTTTTTTTTGCATTTCTGAAATGACTAACCACGTTGGGCATCTTTTTGTGTGCTTATTTCCAATGTGCTCATCTTGTTTAGCAAAATGCCTTTTCAAATCTTTTGCTGACATTTAATTGGGTTGTTTGTATTTTTATTATTGTGCTTTGGGAGTTCTTTATATTTTTTGGATACAAGTCCTGATCAGATATGTGATTTACAAACATTTTCCCCTAGTTTATGGTCTATCCTTTTCATTTTCTTTGAAGTGTTTTACAAATAATGAAGTTCTTGATTTTGGTAATGTCTGACTTATCAATTTTTTTGTTTATAAATTATGCATTTGTTGTTATATTTAGGAGATCTTTGCTTAACACAAAGTCGTGAAGATTTTTTTATTGCATTTTCTTATAGAAGTTTTATTATTTTAGGTTTTACGTAAGGGCTTTAATCCATTTTGAGTTAATTTTCATCTGTGGTTTGAGGTATGGGTTGTGGCTGATTATTTTGTCTATAGATATATAATTGATCCAGAATCATTTTTTGAAAAAAAAAATTGTTAATTGAGTTGCCTTTGCCCTTGTGTTGAAAAGCAATTGACCATTTATGTGTGGGACTACTTCTCAGCTCTCTTTTCTGTTCCATTGATCTATTTGTCTATTTGTATGCCATTGAAATGTTTTGATTACTATAGTTCTATAGGTAATTGAAATGAGAATTAGTAATTAGCTTTATATAGTAGTTGAAACAGAATTGAAATCAGGTAGTATCCCTCTTCCAACTTTGCTCTTTTTAAAAAAAATTTATTTTGACTATTTTGGCTTTCTGCATTTCCATGTGAATTCAATTGGAGGAGAAAGAACATCTTAACTATACTGAATTTTCTTATTCACTCACATTGAAAATATCTTTTAATTTATTTAGTCTATTTTTCTCAGTAGTTTTTCTCTGTAATATTTTATAGATTGCAGTGTGTGGGTTTTACAATCTCTGATCACATTTATTCCCTATAATTTAATATTTTGGTACTATTGTACATAAAATTATTTTTTTATTTTTAATTTCCCACTTCCCACTTGTAGTATATAGAATTGGGATTGATTTTAGTATATTGTCACATATTCTACAACCTTGCTAAACTTTATTAGTTTTAGTACGTGTATGTGTGTGTATGTGTAGATTCCATAAGATTGTTTGCATAAGTAATCATGCCATCTGTGAATAAAGACACTCCTACATGTTCCTTTCCTACCTGGATGCTTTTATTTTCTTGCCTTATTGAACAGGCCAGAACTTCCAGTACAATGTTCAATAGATGTAGTGTATGCCCTTGCCTTGTTCTC
Source organism: Homo sapiens (assembly GCF_000001405.40). NCBI lineage: Eukaryota > Metazoa > Chordata > Mammalia > Primates > Hominidae > Homo > Homo sapiens. The sequence goes on along the minus strand of NC_000007.14, from coordinate 20,694,533 downwards.
GATCTTAGTCTTTCACCATTTAGTATGATGTTAGCCGTTGTTTTTTGTAGCTGCCTTTTATCAGGTTGAAGGAATTTCTTTTAATTCGTTGCTTGCTGAGAGTTATCAAAAAATGATGGGGTATTTTATCAAATGGGTTTTCTGCATTGATTGAGATAATTGGTTTTTTCTTTTTAATTTTTTTAATTAGGAGAATTACATTAATTTCTGAATGTTAAACCAACTTTTCAGTTTTTAGAACAGTCCTACTTGGTGATGATATATTATTCTTTTTCTATATGGTTGGATTAGATTTGTTACATTTTGTTAAGAATTCTTTCGTCTATGTTCATGGCTGATATTTGTCTATAATTTTATTTTTTTTGTAATCTCATTGTCTAATTTTGATATCAGAGTAATGATGTTGGTCTCATAGAATAAGAACTTCTTCCTTATCACTTTTTTTTTTAATAGAAGTCATCAGTAAAGCCATATGGCTTAAAGTTTTTTTGTTTTTTTGTTTTTTTTTTTAGGGAAAAAAGAATTTAACCACAGATTCAATTTTTTAAAATAAATGTAAGAATATTCAAACTATCAATTTATTCTTGAGTGGGCTTTGGTAGTTTGTAAACTTTAGGGAATTTGCTCATTTCATCTGAGTTGTAGGATTTGTTTGCATAAATGTTTTAATAAGATTATTTTATTAGTCTTTTAATATATGTAGAATCTGTAGTGATGTCAGCTCTTTCATTCTTGATGTTGGCAGTTTGTATCTTCTTTTTTTTCTTGCTCAGTGAGTTCAATATTGATGTTCCCAGAGAACCAGCTTTGTATTTGATTGATTTTTCTTTGTTATTTTCTTCCTTCTGGTATCTTAAGGTGGAAGCTTAGTATATTAATTTGAGATTTTTAGATAGTATAGGTGTTTAGTGGTACAAGTTTCTTTCTCAGTATCACTTTAAGCTTCCTATACATTTTGATATGTTCAGTGTTCATTTTTGTTCAATTCAAAACACTTTTGAGTTTCTCTTTTGATTTTTCCTTTGATTTGTGCATTATTTAGAAGTGAGTTATGTAGTTTATAAATATTTCAAGGTTTCCCAGACCACTTTCTGTTATTGACTTCTGACTTTATTCCATATTGGTCAGGTAATATACTTTGCATTTCTTGATTTTTTTTCTTTTTTTTGAGACAGGGTCTTGTTCTGTTACCCAACATGGGGTACGGTAATGCAATCATAGCTCACTGCAGCCTCAAAGTCTTGGGTTCAAGTAATCCTCCTATATCAGCCTTCCAGTAGCTGGGACTACAGGAACATGCCACTATTCCTGGTTAATTATTATTATTTTTTTTTGTAGAAACAGGGTCTCCCTATGTTACCCAGGCTGGTATTATGTGAATTTTTAAAAGTTTATTGAGACTTGTGTTATAGTCCAGAATATGGTCTATTTTGGTAAATGTTTCAAGTGCATTTGAGAAGAAGACATACTCTGTTGTTAATATGTGAAGTCTTCTACAAATGTTTATTAGGTCAAATTTGTTGATAGTGCTATTAAAGTCATCTATGTTTCTGCCGAATTTCTATTTACTTGTTCTACTAAGATTTAGTAGAAGGGTGTTGAAATCTCTGAATACAATTGGAGATTTGTCTATTTGCAGTTCTGGATAAACTGATTCCTTTTTAATTTTGAAAGAAACTTCTTTATCCCTAGTAATGTTGTTTGCTCTAAGAAAATTACTTTGGCTGTCCTTAACATCACAATCTACCTTCAGACAATGTTATATACCACTTAGGAACCTTAAAATATAATACTTTAGTTTCTTTTTCCCAGTGTTTTGGCTATTGTTTTCAAACATTTTACTAATACTTGTCTTAAAAAAACCCATAATATAATGTTCTTTTTTCTTTGAAAAATAAGTATGCTTTTAAACATATCAAAAATGTAAATATACAAACCATTCTTTTATAGTAACTTGTATATTTACTATTACTGATACTCTTCATTCCTTTGTGTATATTCAGATTTCCATCTAGTATCACTTTCCTTCTGCTCAAAGGACTTCCTTTAATATTTCTTGTAGTGTAGGTGTGCTGGTAGTTAATTATTTTAACCTTTAATTTCTGAAAATGTCTGAACTTTGCCTTCCTTTTTATTGGGCATTTTTCTGTAAATAGCATTCTGATTTGAGGTGTTTTCTTTTTCTTTCAGTGCTTTGAAAATATTGCTCCATTATCTTCTTGTTTGCATTGTTTCTGATGAGAAGTTTGTAGCTTTCTTGTCTTTTTCCTCATCTATATTGTGTCAATTTCTCTGGATGCTTTAGTAGTTTTCTCCTTAACATTGGTTTTAAGCAGTTTGATTATGATATACCTAGGTGTAGGATTTCTTATGTTTCTTATGCTTAGAATTTATTGAGCTTCTTGAATCTGTGGATTTTAAGTTTTCATCAAATTGGCAAATTTTTAAAGCATTATTTCTTCAATGATTTGGACTTCCTTTGGGGACATATGTACATACGGAATATAGATATAATAAATGCTTAATGTCTCTACTAACTCTACTAAGTGTGCCATTTCCGGGTCTATTTCTATTATTGACTGATTTTTCTCTTCATTTTGGGTACATTTTTTTTCTCCTTTTTTGCTTGCCTGGTGATTTTTGAATGGATGCCAGACATTGTAAATTTTAAACTTTTGGGGACTAGGTATTTCTGAATTCTCGTAAATGTTACTGAGCCTTGTTCTGGAACACATTTAAATTACTTGGAAACAGTTTAATCCTTTTGAGTCTTGCTATTAGGATTTGTTAGTTAGGTTTAGTGCAGAGTTTAGTCTAGGACTAATTATCTTCCCCTCTGAGGCAATATCTTTCTTAACACTTTACCCAGTGTCTCACCTGCACGTTGTGCACATGTACCCTAAAACTTCAAGTATAATAATCATAAATAAATAAATAAATAAATAAATAAAAATGAATTTAAAGATTTTCTACTCCAGTTAGTTTAATAAGAACTTTTCCTGGCCCTGTGTGACTTCTAAGAATTGCTCCTTTTAATCTTTTCTGGTAGATATATACCCTGCCTCTGGTAGTTTCCTCAATAAATACACTGATCAGTAGTCGGATGAAGACTCAAAGGAGAACCTCTGCAGATCTCTGGGCTTTTCTCTTTCTGAGAAGTTCTCTCCTCTCCGGTTCTTTGCTCTGAAACCTCTGGCTACTTTGGCCTCCTTCAACTCTTAGCTCTGTCTCCTCAACTCAAAGTCCACTGAGTTTCGGGAGGCGGAGTTTGCGGTGAGCCGAGACTGCGCCATTGCACTCTAGCCTGAGCAACAAGAGTGAAACTCCGTCTCAAAAAAAAAAAAAAAAAAAAAAAAAAAAAAAAAGTCCACTGGGTTTTGTCTGTGTTTTCCCTCTAGGCTCCGAGGCCTGAAAACTACTCAGACCTTAAACTGGGTCAATGACAAGTTTCATCTCATTTATTTCTCCTTCCACAGAGATCACTATCCTACTTTGCATGATGTCCAATGTCAGAAGCCATTATTTCACATATTTTGTTCAGTTTCTTAGTTCTATCAAGCAGGAAAGTAAATCTAGTCCCTGTTAATCTATCTTGGTTGAAAGTGAAAATCTCTAATTTTATGTGATTCTTCACGGCAGTTAACAAAAATGATCTCTTCCTTCTTCTGTACCACATTTCTTTTTTGGTGTCTATGATACAACACTCTCCTGGGTTTCCTCTTATTTTGCCAGCCATTTGTTAGGATCCCTTCACTAGTGACTTTTTCTATCCGAATCTAAATGGTGCAGGGTCCTGACTCTCATTCCCCTGTCCTACTCTTTTATCCATCTATATTTTATTTCTCCGCTGACAGCTTTAGTGAGACCAATCAAGTTCATTATTCAGCCTCCATCACCTCCTCTCCGTTCTGCTTTCCCTCATCTTACTCTGGCCCCCACACACTGTTCTCCAAACTGTAGCCACATGGAGTAGATCAGACCATGTGCCCTTCTGAATAAGACCCTCTAATGCAGCAGTGCTTCACCTGTTTTATTTCGTGGACTCCTTTGGAAGACTGGTGAAGTCTATGGAATCCTTCCCTGAAGAAATGTGTAAATATACTAAATGATACATAGGACTCCAAGAAAGCCAATTCCATTGAAACATCGTATTCAAAATATTTAACAAGTAACCTAAAGTTGTGATACAGTTATGAATGTGGTTCATTATTAGAACATAAGATATAATAATGATGAGTGTAAATATATTGTAAATTATCTATAAGGGCAATGTTATATTAAAATTTCTGTGGTATCCGTTCGTGATGTCACAAATACTGGTAATACTATTGTAGTTTGTTGCTTAGATTCACAAAGTAAATGTTACATTTCTATCAAGGGTTAATGGGGGGAAAAAGTTGTGATTTTTTATTCATTCAGGTTAATGGGCTCTGAAATCTATTCAGAAATTCCCTATAGGTCATGAACCACTGTTTAAAAACTCCTGAAGGTTTTTTGTTAGAGGAAGAATAGAATCCAAACTTGTCATGATGGCCTAAGAGGCCCTGCATGAACCGGTCCCTCAGTGTCCCACACGCCTCTCTGCCTACCCCTGTCGTTAGTCATTGGGACCCCCAAATCCAGGCCCTCATGCTTGCTGTGCCCCTGTCTGAAATATTACCACCCCTGTCCTGGTTATTGACTTATTGCCTCTCTGGTTCAAATTCACTTTTTTGCCTAATAAATATTTCTCCTTTACCAGTGGGCAAGAGGTTAAGCCCTGTCAGTAGAGGGTGCCGCAAAGACATTGCAGGAGGAGGTTTTTCTTCCTTATCTTTCTGGTGCTCCCTGGGAAAGCTCCTGCAGGATGGTTTTTTTTCTCCTCTGTTCTGCCTGCATAGTTTTTCAGAGGCAGGTGCCTGCAGAATGCAGCTTTCTCTTCTGTGTGGCCACTGGGTGCTTTCTCTAGCTCTTGGCTTAGGTTACAGAGGCATAACTATGAGCACAGTCCTATGTCTCAGCCAGGTCACTAATGCCTGCACCCTCCCACATGCAGAACTGCCCTAGACTCCTGCAGATGACAATCTTGGCTAGCTTCTTGTTCCAGTAGTGCTCAGTGGCCAGTAGTTTCCCCAGCACCTGACAGGTTCTGAAGCTCAGCACCGTCCTGTGGAAGGTCTCCCTTGCCACCCTTGAGGGCAGATTTCCAGCAAGCCCCACCAGCAAGGTACCACAGCAACTGCTCTGCCATCCAGTGAACCACAGCTGTGCCCTTTCCATTGAGGCCTGCCTCTCCGCCTTGCTGGGAGAGAAGAAAGGGATCATCGATGGGTGCTGTATTTCACTCCAGCGGTAGTGGGGTGCTACTTTTATCTGCTACTTCTGTATTCTTTAGAGGTGTCTTAACTTTCTTTTATTATTATTATTATTATTTTATTATTATACTTTAAGTTCTAGGGTACATGTGCACAACGTGCAGGTTTGTTACATATGTATACATGTGCCATGTTGGTGTGCTGTACCCATTAACTCGTCATTTACCTTAGGTATATCTCCTAATGCTATCCCTCCCCCCTCTCCCCACCCCACCACAGACCCTGGTGTGTGATGTTCCCCTTCCTGTGTCCAAGTGTTCTCGTTGTTCAATTCCCACCTATGAGTGAGAACATGCCGTGTTTGGTTTTCTGTCCTTGTTAGTTTGCTGAGAAAGATGGTTTCCAGCTTCATCCATGCCCCTACAAAGGACATGAACTCATCCTTTTTTATGGCTGCCTAGTATTCCATGGTGTATATGTGCCACATTTTCTTAATCCAGTCTATCATTGATGGGCATTTGGGTTGGTTCCAAGTCTTTGCTATTGTGAATAGTGCTGCAATAAACATACGTGTGCATGTGTCTTTATAGCAGCATGATTTATAATCCTTGGGGTATATACCCAGTAATGGGATGGCTGGGTCAAATGGTATTTCTAGTTCTTGATCCTTGAGGAATCGCCACACTGACTTCCACAATGGTTGAACTAGTTTACAGTCCCACCAGCAGTGTAAAAGTGTTCCTATTTCTCCACATCCTCTCCAGCACCTGTTGTTTCCTGACTTTTTAATGATCGCCATTCTAACTGGTGTGAGATGGTAGAGATGTCTTAACTTTCGCTACCCAACTCCCCATACTACAATCCCCTCTTAATGATTCATTATACTAAACTTTCTCTTTCATTGTGTGCTTTCTATCTCCTGACTGGACCCAGACTAATAGAACTCCCATTAACTCTGTTCTAAAATACTGCTCCATTTCTTTTTCATTTCATTATTGATCTTTGTTTATTTTATTTTATTTTATTTTGTTTTTTGGTTTGTTTTTTGAGACCGGGTCTCACTCTGTTGCCCAGGCTGGAGTGCAGTGGCATGATCTTAGCTCACTGCAACCTCTGCCTCCCGGATTCAAGCAATTCTCCTGCCTCAGCCTCCCGAGTAGCTAGGATTACAGGCATGTGCCATCACGCCCAGCTAATTTTTTATATTTTTAGTAGAGGCAGGGTTTCACCATGTTGGTCAGGCTGGTGTTGAACTCCTGACCTCGAGTGATCTACCCACCTCAGCCTCCCAAAGTGCTGGGATTATAGGCGTGAACCACTCACCTGGCCTATTTATTTTATTTTTATTTATTTCAGAGATGGGTTCTTGCTCTGTCAGTCAGGCTGGGGTACAGTGGCATGATCATAGCTCACTGCAGCCTTGAACTCCTAAGCTCAAGCAATCCTCCTACCTTAACCTCTCTTGTAGCTATTATTATAGACCTGTCACTGTCCCCAGCTCATTATTGATTATTACAGTCTCTTCACTTCCTTGTTTATTTTTCACTGGATTACCACAGTCTGAAAGAGTCCCTTAAAAATATGGCCATTGAGTCACTCCTTAGCTTATTTCGGTTCTTGGTTGTAGGACACTTTCTCTGTTTCCTGCTTCCCCAGGCTCACGGATTTCTATAAACTTTAGCTCCAGGCATTGGCTAACCAGGTTTTTCAGCCTTCTTTTCAGAGCAGGTCTGTGACTATTGTCCAGCTCACCACTTTGTGCTTTTGCTCTAGTTCTGGTGTGAAGAGATATTCCTCCTGTTTTAGAGCCTAGATACATTTTATTGTTTTTTCTCATTTTATATTTTATCAGTTTCCATGTGTGGAGCACGTAGTTGTATCAGATTGTAAACCAATTATATCATTTTGTCCAGAAATCTGGAAATTCCTTTTTAATTTTCGTTTTTTATCTTTCTTAGGTTTTGAAAATCCACTTCATAAATACGGTGAATTTTTAGACCTAGAGGCAGATTTCCATAGTGTTTTCAGCAGTTGCTGAGGGAGGTCCAGCAGCTATCAATAGATGTTTTAACACAGTGTTTCCTCCACTCTTGCCTAGTGTCTCAGTACAAACTTTCTTGTACTATATTCTTAACATACATTTGTCATATGGTATACCATCTATACCATTATTTTTCTTTGCATGCTTATTTATTTAAATAGACTTAAAAAAATAAAATTAGCAGAAAAGGAAAAATGTCTGAGTGTAAATGGCTATAGAGGACCACATACCTAAAAGGAAAGAGTTGTAGCTAAAATTAAAAGCAATGGATTAGCAATGCCAGAGAAGGGCAAGAGGGGTTTTGGGGCAGATAATCCAGGGGCTTCAGGCAGATAATTGACAGATGAGACCAAGGAAAGTGGGCATGAAGACGGGCTAAGAGGAGATTCAATCTCAAGTCTCTGTCAGTCCCAAGGAGAAGAAGGAAACTCTAGTTTGGGAGGAAACAATGGGCCAAGGATAGGTGTGAGATGGTATGGATGCTGGAGGTTAGGGGACTGAAGCTGAGATACAGGGGCAAGGGTGAGGGATTTCAAGGCATGTGAGGTTACAGAGCACCAGGGGCTAGCAAAGGTCGACTGGGTTTGGGAAGAGGGCTGGAGCTCAGTGAATGCGGAGGCTGGGAGAAGCATGGGTTAAGGTGAGATTAAGATGGAAGGGTGTGTTGTAAAAGGGTGCTGCAGAGAATGTTCAGGATGTGTGGTGGAGGCTCAAAGCAGGTGTCGGGCGTGTTAAGAGAAGGAAAGTGGAATTGAGACAGAAAAGTGAGACTTCAGGTGCAGATGGGAACTGCTGGGAGGTATGAGGGGTATCAGCAGAAGGAGAGTCAAAGCAGGTGATGTGGGGCTCAGGCAGAGCCTGGGGCTTTGGGGGTAGGAGTGGGCACAGTAAGCATGGGAACAAATACTCCCATCCAAGTGAGCAAGGCTTCTCAGGTTGTGCCCTGGGACTGCAAGCCTGGGTGGTGTATGTGCTGGGCCTATCTGCATTCCGGGAGTGGCATGCATTTATGCCTCTGACCTGACCCAAATTAATCTTGAGCATCACCATTGGTATCTGTATCACATTTGCCGAGGCACTGTTTTAACCTATGGTTTGCTTCATAGGAAAAACATCATGTAACAGTCTCACGAGATTTTTTTTTCCCCAATAAAGAAGGGCCTCTGATATAAATGCAGCCTTATTAGGCAGCCTTACCTAGAGTGACACACTGATGCTAGAGTGAAATTTGGGAAAGACATGTTTTGTGAGCTTAGTGCTACAGTAAGTAATATTTTACTATAAATAAATTTTAAATTTTGTAAGGATTAAATCAAAATTAGAAAACATGCAGGAAAAACTGGTTGATCGCTGAGCCATTACCTCTTTAGATTGGGTGGATTCCTCAGCCTTGTCAATGAAGTCTGACTTGATGCTCTTCACAGAGTGCAGAGGAAGTGAGTTGGTCTTTCTTTCAGTAGAATATGTCATTGACTCCATCTGTTCATCAGCTTTTTTAATATCCTTACAGGAAGAATATATAGGTTATCATTATAAGAATGCCTTAAAAATTCAAGGAAACTTATTAAGCATCTCTTTAAAGCTGTTATCGCCTTTGCTATTGAAAGTGGCATATTCTAATGTAGTTCTTGCTGAACAGCTTTCAGGCTTGATAGAGAGCTGATAAGTCTATCTCATACTAAAATGTTAGTGACTGACAATAGCTCATTGTCCTTTCTTTTCCAAAGACATGTATAATCACCTGCAGAAAACAATGCCTTAATCCAAGCAATTATATCACTAACAAGGAGAGATCTTAGTAACAGGAGCTTTTTGAGACAGAAGATACTGTTTCTGACGCCTTCCTCCTAGCCATTTCTGGGGCTTATGACCTTGTAGTATTTAGTTGGGTACTTATATGTGAGGCTGGGCCTGAGAGAGACCTTGGGAGACAATCATGCTTTCCAGGCCTGCCCCTGCTACCCATTCTGAACTGTGAACAAAACACAAAACTAACAGGGCCTACTCCTCAACAATAAGAAATTCCAAAGCAATCAAATTAACATTAAAGACCAGGTGCAGTCGTCACCCCTGTAATCCCAGCACTTTGGGAAACCGAGACGTGCGGATCACTTCAGGCCAGGAGTTTCAGACCAGCCTGGCCAACATGGTAACACCCTGTCTCTACTAAAAAGACCACTTTAGTGAAATAAAGGAGCTACAGATTCTCTGTTCATTTGAATGTGGTTTGAGTAAATCAATGACTTTCCCAGGAGGAGATGGGAGGAGAAGGACAAGAGAAATGAGAAGCCCAGCTAAGTTGCCAGCAGGTCTGGCCAACGTGGGGAAGAGATGGAAAATGTAGGTCGATTTAGGTGCACAAGGAGAATGTGCACATGGAAGAGTTTCCAGGGACACGGTGATTCTTTGATAAGCCTAACAACTGTAATCAGTCATTTAAAGGGACAATGAACTTTAACCAGCCCCGGACTATCCAAACATCTTTAATCAGGCATTCCTTTTTGCTATCATTTTCTCTTTTTTCCTGTAAATGTCTCTGCCATGAAAGAAATATTTTATATGGCTTTGAAATTTTTTATTTTTTGTTTTTATTTATTTATTTACTTATTTAGAGAGTAGGTCTCACTGTGTTGCCCAAGCTAGTGTTAAACTCCTCAGCTCAAGCAGTCCTCCTGCCTCAGCCTTCCAAGTAGCTGGGATTACAGGAACCAGCCGTCATGTCCTGCCTTGTTTGGCTTTTCTCCCCTGCCCCCAGGAGTTTCTCACTTTGTGGCAAGTTTAAAATAGAACTTTGACCTCTCTTCATAATACATTTTCTGAGAAGGTGCTTTAATAAGTCAAGGAAATTTTCTTTTCTTGAGAAGGTCGCTGGACAAAATAATGATGACAGTAAGTTTTGATATGTGTATATCTCTACATGTTTATATTTCATTTTCACATACAAACTCACTAAAGCAATATACATGTATATAACCATGGACAGTCTAAATAAATAATTATAATATTAGTCTCCATAGTTTGAACTTTTCTAAAAAGTTTGATAAAATAATGTTAATGTCAATAACATAATAAAATTTATTACACTAACAATAATTCTAAGTACTTCACATGATTTTGCCTGTTTAATACTCACAATAATTTATTAATAGGTTATTACCATTTCCCTCTTGTTAAAGGTTAGGAAATTGATGCACTGAGAATTTAAATAACTTGCCAAGGACTAAAACTATTAGTGGTAGAGTCAACTTGTAGTGACCAAGAGTTCATCATCTTAACCACATTGCTATATTGCTTCTCGGGATTATTTTAGCAGCATTAACTGTGATATTTGTGATAATCACGAATTATCAAAATTGACACATTTTGATACCGCAGTCAATCTTGGCAAATAAGAATGTGCAGATCTTCACATTTCAAAAGTGTTTGTGTAGATATTATGTATGTTACATTTACTGTACCATGCTTAGAATATTATACTTAGTATTAATATTTAAAACGGTGTTGTTATATCTGATTGGGCATCATTTTAGGTAACCAGAGAATACTAATCCATTTTAAATAAGGTGTTTAAAATTTTTACACACTCATCCCACAAACACACCATTTTTGCTTTTTATACATTGTGAAAGCATTTAACTTAAGACCTATAATGGATTTTTAGTTTAATTACAATAAAAAATAAAGATGTACTACTCCAAAGAAAGATCTGACTATACTAGTATTAATAGTGTTTAAAAAATCTTAAAATAGGCTTAATTCGACCAGTTATTTCCTATTATTCCAACTCATATTAGTTTCAAAATATTAAACCTCGTAAATTATTAGGTCTACTGTGGAATAAAAATTCGATTATCAAATAACACCTCACTTTTATTTTTGAGACACAAAATGTGAACTAATATGAAATAAAATGAGAATCAGACAGTTTTTCAATTAATAAAAACTACATTTTCAAACCTATTTTACTGTTATTGCTTCTTAGGGTATGTTCAGAAATATTTCATTTTAGCACAATGGAGAAAGTTAGGGTTTGAAATTTGAAGTTATAAACTTGATGAGGAGATGGAGGCTCATAACTTTCTAAATTTCCTAATTTATAAAATAATAATATTGACATCAAAGATATTATCAGAAAGCTGAAGAAGACCAAAAAGGGTTGAAATCAGTTATCTGTAGAAGAGCCCTTCGAAAAAAGGATGCCTTCCAGGTCAAGAGAAGAAAGCTGGGCGAGAACAAAGAAGAGAGCTAGAGCCTAATTCCCATGACTCATATTAATGTGCCCTAATGAGAAAGTTATGTGAAATCCAGTAGGGTGGATCCATGACACACGCAAGTATGGATCCTAAAGAAGGGGAATTTGCCGTGTGCCTCCAGCATCATCATGCCCCAGCTTGATTGCCCAGTATGAGCTTTCTGGTCCATCTGTGGTGATGTGGTAGCATGCACATAGTAAGGTTTTACGTGTGCATCCCTTCATTCAGCAAGTGTTTATTGAGTGCCCACTGTGTGCCAGGCATTGTCTTAGGTGCTTCCTACATACGTTAAGTCTCAACCCTTCTGCCTGGCTTCTCAGAACGTCCATGATCTGATGGTTATTTTCCAACTCTTTTCCATTATACCCTCAACACTCATAAGTACTTAAGGAAAGCTACCTCCTTTTTGTTTCAGTCGCACACCAAGTTCCTTCTTACCTCTATGCTGTTGTTCTGCCTACCTGAATTTGTCCTTTATGTTCACCCCCAACTCCCACCTTTTAACCTTAAAGACCTCTTCCATGAAGCCTTTTGTGGGTAATATAGCTCTGTCTCTCCCCATCAATCTTGCTTTTTCTTTTTACAACTAATAATATCTATATGCACAATTTTGCAATTTGCCTCTGTAGCTGAGTTTTAAGTCTTTAAGTAAAGACTGTGTGTTATATTTCTTTGTGTTCTAACCAAACATCACAGTATCTTCCACATACAAGTTTTTGTTTGTTTGTTTGTTCGTTTTTTTGAAATGGAGTCTCGCTCTGTCGGCAGGCTGGAGTGCAGTGGCGCAATCTGGGCTCACTGCAACCTCCGACTCCCTAGTTCAAGCAATTCGCTTGCCTCAGCCTTCTGAGTAGCTGGGATTGCAGGCACACACCACCACACCCAGCTAATTTTTGTGTGTTTTTGAGAGACAAGGTTTCACCATGTTGGCCAGCATGGTCTCGATCTCCTGACCTCATGATCCGCCCGCCTCGACCTCCCAAATTGCTGGGATTGCAGGTGTGAGCCACCCTTTCTGGTCACATACAAGTTTTGAAGCCTATTTGAAGTGTGCCTGGCAGATATTAGGTACCAGGTACCCATTAGTTCTTCAACTTTCATCATATTATTGAGCACAACACTGAGGATTTGAAACACTCCATTTCTTTACTGAGGAACTATAAACCTTGGTTGCTTTTTGAAATTTAAGATTATAATTTGCAACTTTTGTTTTCTAGTGTGGTATGATCTCTGAAACGTTAAACCCTGCTGACATAGCATTATGTCACATAAGCATTACCTGTGACATCACAAGTGAATAATATAGACCTCGTTTTGCCATTAGTTCAGCATGTGCTCCTTTCTCCGCCAGCATTCCATCCTTTAGGGTCACAATCAAATCTGCACTTCGAATAGTAGAAAGTCGGTGTGCTACCACGATTGTAGTCCGACCTTTGCTCGCCTACAGAATAAAATGCATAGAAAATAAATAGACATTAGTAGAAATAACAACCTTTGCACTGTTTAAGAAATCTTTGTTGACCCGGCATGGTGGCTCATGCCTGTAATTCCAGCACTTTGGGAGGCCGAGGAGGGTGGATCACCTGAGGTCACGAGTTAGAGATCAGCCTGGCCAACATGGTAAAACTCCATCTCTACTGAAAATACAAGAATTAGCCAGGCTTGGTTGCGGGCACCTGGAATCCTAGCTACTTGGAAGGGTGAGGCAGGAGAATCGCTTGAACCTAGGAGGCAGAGGTTGCAGTGAGCCAAGGTCATGCCATTTCACTCCAGCCTGGGCAACAGGAAACTCCGTCTCAAAAAAGAAGACAGAAAGAAAAAGAAAGAAAGAAAGAAAGAAAGAAAGAAAGAAAGAAAGAAAGAAAGAAAGAAAGAAAGAAAGAAAGAGAGAGAGAGAGAAAGAAAGAAAGAGAAAGAAAGAAAGAAAGAAAGAAAGAAAGAAAGAAAGAAAGAAAGAAAGAAAGAAAGAAAGAAAAAGAAAGGAGGGAGGGAGGGAAAGAAGAAATCTTTGTTGCAGTATTGTTTTAAATATTCAAGTATCTTATCCTTGGGCAGAGAAATTTGGAAACTTTAATAGAATAAGAAGGCCAATAGAAATTAGAATAAAAAGAAAGTCAGAAAGTTAATTGTTTTCATCTTTAAAATGGGGATATTACTTAACTAGTTGGGTACAAATTAAAAGTAATATATATTTTTAACTTTTTTACAAGTATCATTAATATATGGAAAAATGCACATAAGGGTACATACAGATCAGTGCATTTCAAACGGAATTTGCCCGTATCATGGTATCCAGGTCAAGAATCCCATCATTACCAGCACCCACAAGTCCATCTCATGCTCTTTTCAAGTCAGTCGGTTTTTTTTTTTTTTTTTGAGACGGAGTCTGGCTCTGTCGCCCAGGCTGGAGTGCAGTGGCGCAATCTCGGCTCACTGCAAGCTCCGTCTCCCGGGTTCACGCCATTCTGCCTCAGCCTCCTGAGTAGCTGGGACTACAGGTGCCCACCACCACGCCCGGCTATTTATTTTGTTTTATTTTATTTTCATTTTTAGTAGAGACAGGGTTTCACCGTGTTAGCCAGGATGGTCTCGATCTCCTGACCTTGTGATGCACCCGCCTCGGCCTCCCAAAGTGCTGGGATTACAGGCGTGACCACCGCGCTCGGCCTCAAGTCACTCTTAGCACTCACCTATACCAAGGGTCACCACTATCCCGATTTCTAACAGCATAACTTGTTTTGATTTTCTGGTAATTTATATAAATGAGATTGTGCATTGTATACTCTTCTGTATCTGGGTCTTTTCACTCAACATTATGTTTTTGAGATTCATCCATTTGGTTTTATAGAGTTGCGGATAATTTATTCTTATTGCCACACAGTATTCTATTGCGTGACTATACCACAACTTATTTATCCATTCTATTCCTGATTGACATTTGGATAGTTTTTAAGTTTTTTTTTCCCCCTACTATTTATAGGTTGCTGTAAATGTTTATTTGATGAACATATGTACACAGTTCTAGTGTTACACCTAGGAGAGGAATTGCTGAGTCGTAAAGTGTGTATATGCTCTGCTTCACTAGATTCTGCCAAATAGTTTTTCAAAGTGGTTGCCCTATTTTATAAACCCCCCAATAGTGCAAGAGAGCCATGGTTGCTCTATATTCTGACTAAGACTTGGTTCTTTCTGTCTGATGGGTGAGAACTATCATATTTTTATTTGCATTTTCTCGATGACTAATAAAGTTGAACAACTTTTCAAATGATTAGTGACAATTTGGATATTCTCTCTTGTGAATTGTCCACATTTTTTCTCATTTTTCTATTAGAACTGTATTTTTCTTTTCAATTTTCATGAGTTGTTTATATACTGTAGAAGTGAGAACTTTGTTAAATACCATGTATTACAATGAAAGTTTATGTGATTGTCTTTTCACTCTCTTTCTCTCTCTCTCTCTTTTTTTTTTTTTTTGAGATGGAGTTTAGCTCTTGTTGCCCAGGCGGGAGTGCAATGGCATGATCTCAGCTCACTGCAACAGCTGCCTCCCAGGTTCAAGCAATTCTCTCCTGCCTCAGCCTCCAGAGTAGCTGGCATTACAGGCACCTGCCACCATGCCCAGCTAATTTTTTGTATTTTTAGCAGAGATGGGGTTTTACCATGTTGGCCAGGCTGATCTTGAACTCCTGATCTCAGGTGATCCACCCACCTCAGCATCCCAAAGTGCTGGGATTACAGGCGTGAACCACCGTGCCTGGCTTTCTTTTCACTCTCTTAATGGTGTCTTTTCATGAACAGAATTTCAAAATTTTAATGAAGTCCAATTTATCAATTTTTTTTCTTTTACAATTTATGCTTTTTGTGTAGTTTTAAGAAATCTTTACTCCAAGGTCACACAGATGTTTTCCTATGTTTTACCTTACAATCTTTGTCATTTGCCTTTCATATTTGGATGTGATATGTAACACCTGGGATTAGTTTTTGTATGTGATGCCAAGTAGAAGTCAATGTACATTTTCCCCATAGAGTTAACCAGGTGTCCCGGCAGCGTATTTTGAAGACCATCATTTCCCTACTATACTGCAGAACTGCCTTTACCATAAATCAGGTGACAATTGTTTTGTGTCTGTTTTTGTATTCTATTTGCTATTGGGCTGGTCAGCTTGTCTGTCACTGCACCAATGCTATGCTGTCTTAACTACTAAAGACTTAAAACAGGTATTGAAAACTATTAGTTTACCTCTTCAAGCTTATTCTTCCTCTGAAAGATTTTGTGGACTATTCTTGAGGTAATGTGTTTTTTTTTGTTTTTGTTTTTGTTTTTGTTTTTGTTTTGTAAATGCCTAGCACAATAACTGACACTTCTGGCACTACAGATTTGCCAGGGAATCAACAATCGACAGCTAGTATTGTTACTATTCATACTATTACTGTGTTACTGCTATTTACTTTTCTTATTCTTATCTATTATAGAGCAGGAAAATGGAACTCAGAAAGTTAAGAAGCTTGTTCAGGGCCTCAGCCAGTCACTGGAAGGACTGGTACTAAAACCCAGTGTGGTTTTCCCTCTTCTCTCCACAAGGTCTCTTCATTGCAATAGATAAACTTGATGAAGCAGGTGATAATTTCTTTCAAACTTTTTTCCAAATCTATAAGAGAAGGGAACCTCCCAAAGCATTGGCTATTAAGATTAAATGATAATGTGGAAAAGATGTATGATATAATGCTACCTGTAAAAATGCAGGAAAAATATGTATCCTATTATAATTATGTTTTAAAAAAATTTCCCATAAAAAAGACACCTATGTAGAAATATATCAATATACTAATAGTACCTGTTCTTACTTATTGGATCTATGGATTATATTTTTCTCATCTCAGTTTTCCCAATTTTATTTAATGTGCATGTATTGCACTTTGGTTTAAAAGTAAGAAAGATTTAGAAGGGCATGACTCTTGGCTTAATGCTCTGCTGCTGTCATTCTGGAGTTCTTAATAGTTTTTGAAGAAGAGGCTCTACATTTTCATTTTGTGCTGGACCCCACAAACTATGTAGCTGGTCTTGATCATTGACAGAGGTAAAAAGGATTCAATGTGAGTCTACTTCAGCTGGTTTTTCCCACATAACAGATATTAAGGGAGTCATTTAAACAGCGGGACTAGGTAGAAAGAGGGGCAAAGGGTACTTTTATAAACTAAATTAATTAATTAATTATTGAGACAGAGTCTCGCTCTGTCACACAGGCTGGAGTGCAGTGGTGTGATCTCAGCTCACTGCAACCTCCACCTCCCGGGTTCAAGCGATTCTCCTGCCTCAGCCTCCCGAGTAGCTGGAATTACAGGCGTGCACCACCACACCCGGTTAATTTTTGTATTTTTAGTAGAGACAGGGTTTTGCCATGTTGGCCAAGCTGTTCTTGAACTCCTGACCTCAGGTGATCCACCTGCCTCTGCCTGCCAAAGTGCTGGATTACTGGCAAAGGGCAGTATTTTTTGATGGTTAAACATTTATCCAAGTCAGGACAGATGTCAGGACTTTGATAACTGATTTTTAGTCTGATACTAAAAATCAGACTATAATTATTATTCAGCTTCTAAATCTGTATCCTTAATCCCCATTTCCTGTCACAAAAAGTAGGTAGAATGGACAGTTATGCTCCCCTCTAGCAGCCCTACCTGTGCTTCGGAGCTCTTTTCTAAAAGTATATACTGAGATAATATGACTGGGATCAAATTTCCCTTTATATTTTTAATTTAAAAGCAAATTATCACACTGCATGAATAGCTGAACAAGTTTTATGAACAACAGACTAAGAAGACTAATGATATAGGAGTGAAGTCCACACTGTCTCAATAAAAACTCGTAATACAGTTAATCTGACAAATATCATGATGGATGTAACTATAATAATTAATACATTACAAGGTAATTAACTACAAAACAGCAAGCAGTATATATAGATTATAGTGTATGACTTTTATAATGACAAATCTAGTATTCAATAATTTCATCATTTGTGTTTTCTGGAGTTGCAAGTCCTGGGTTTGGATCTTGTTTCTGCCAATTTCTGTCTTGGAGGACTTAGACAAGTTTTTTAACCCCCTAAGTCTTATATTCTTCATTTGATAATAGGGAAAATTACACTACCTCTATTTTAGAGTTATTGTGCAGATTGATTTTTTGTGGTAAGAACACTTCACATGAGATCTATCCTCTTAAAATTTTAAGTGTACAATACAATACAATATTGCCAACTATAGGCACAATGTTGTAGTGTTAATGTCTAGAACTTATTCGTCTTACATAAATGAAATTTTATTCCCACTGAACAGCAATTCCCTGTTTCTCTCCCTGCTCATTCCCTAGCAGCCACCATCCTATTGTCTGCATCTACAAGTCTGACTGTTTTAGACACCTCATTTAAGAGAAATCATGCAGTATTTGTCCTTCTGCGACTGGCTTATTTCACTTAGCATAATGTCATTCAGATTCATCCATGTTGTTCCATATGGACTTCCTCCTTTTTAAAGGCTTATTAATATTTCCTTGTGTAGGTATCATATTTTTCTTTATCTGTTAATCTGCCAATAAATATTTAAGTTGTTTCCATATCTTGGCTATTAGAAATAATGATGCAATGAGCATGGGAGTGTATATACCTCTTCGAGATACTGACTTCAGTTCTTTTGAATATATATTAATATATCCAGATTATTGGAATTAATGTGCGTATTCTTATACATATGTGTGTGTGTGTGTGTGTGTGTGTGTGTGTGTATGTGTAGTAGAATTGCTGGGTCACATGGTAATTCTATTTTTAATTATTTCTGGAACCTCCATACTGTTTTCCATAGAGACTGCAACTTTTTACTTTCCATCAGTCATATACAAGGGTTCCAATTTTTCCACATCCTCACCAACACTTATTTATTTATTTATTTTTTAACAATAGTCATCCTAATAGGTGTGAGATATCTCATTGTGGTATTGACTTACATTTCCCTGATAACTAGTGATGTCAAGAATCTTTTCACGTACTTGTTGGCCATTTGTATGTCTTTTTTGGAGAAATGTCTTTTCAACTTCCTGGCCTATTTTTAAATCAGGTTATTTATTCTTTATTTTTGTTTTTTACTATTGAGTTATAGGAGTTCCTTATATATTTTAGATATTAATCTCTTACCAGATATATGGTTTCCAATTTTTTTTTCCTTTTTGTAGGCTACCTTTTCATTCTGTTGATTATTTCCCTTGTGGTGCAGAGGCTTTTTGTTTGATGTAGTCCTACCTATTTAATTTTGCTTTTGTTGTTTGTGTTTTTGGCATCATATCCGAGAAATAATTGTCAAACTTAATGTCATGAAGCTTTCCCACTACGTTTACTTCTAAGAGTTTTACAGTTTCATTTTAAGTTTTACAGTTTCTTATACTGATGTCTTTAACCTATTTTGAGTTGATTTTTGTGTATGGTGCAGATAAAAGTCCAGTTTTCATTCTTTTGCATGTGGACATCCAATTTTCCCAATATCATTTGTTGAATAAACCATCCTTTCCCCATTGTGTACTCTTTGCACCCTTGTCAAAGGTCAGTTGATTATATATGCATACATTTATTTCTGGGCTTTCTATTCTGTCCCATTGGCCTCCATGTTTATTTTTAGGCAAGTACTATACTGTTTTAATTACTATAACTTTGTAATGTATTTTGAAATCAGGAAGTGTGATGCCTTCAGCTTTGTTTTTCTTCTCAAGATTGATTTGGATATTTGATATCTTTTGTGGTTTCTTATTAATTTTAGGGTGAGTTCTTTATTTCTGTAAAATATGCCATTGGGATTTTGATCAAGGTTATACTAAATCTGTAGATTGCTTTGGGTAGTATTGACATTTAACAATATCAAGTCTTCCAGTTCAGGATCACGGGATGTATTTTATTTGTGTCTTCTCTAATTTTTTCATCAATGGTTATAGTTTTCAGTGTACAAGTATTTCAGCTTCTTAAGTTTATTTCTAAGTATTTTATTCTTTTGATACTGTTGCAAATGGGATGTTTTAGTTATTTTTTCAGAAGATTTGTTGTGAACAGAAATGCAACTAATTTTTTTATGTTGATTTTATATCCTGCAACCTTACTGAATTCATTTATTAGTTCTAACAGTTTGTGTGTGTGTGTGTGTGTGTGTGTGTGTGTGTGTAGTCTTTAGAGTTTTCAAATTTTAAGATCATATGATCTGCCTACTTTTTTTTTTTCTTATTTGACACTTCTTTTTTCTTTTTCTTGCCTAATTGCCCTGGCTAAGAATTTCAGGACTTTGTTGAATGCAAGTGGTAAGAGGTACTATAGGTGTTTTTGTGTGTTTGTATACCATGAGGCTTATATAAAAACCTTATATTTGTGACAGTCTATTTTAAGCTGATAGCAACTTAACTTCAATCATTACATATATAGGAACAAACATAAAGATGACAGATTTCTCCTCAGAAAAAAATGCAAGAAAGGAGACAGTGAGCAACATCTTTAAGGTATTTAAAGAAGAAAAACCCTATAACTTTCAGGCTAAAACTCTATATCAAGGAAATAAATTTTTCAAAACTAAAGGTGAAACAAAAACATATGACAGCTGAAATTATTCATCAGTAGTGGGACTGTGCTACATTAAAGGTTTCAGGTAAAAGGAATCGATGGAAATATGGATATACACAAAAGAATGAAGAACACTGGAAATTGTAACTCCGTAGTGCATGGAGAAAAATGTAATTTTTTCTTATTACCTATTTAAATTTTTTTAAAAACTAATGATTAATTTTAAAAGTTACAATGTGGCATGGAGTTTATAACATATGTAGAAGTAAGATGTCTAATCGCAATAGCTTAAAGGCCAAAAAGGGAGAAATGGAAGTATGCTAATTCATGCTTTTATACTACACATGAAATAATATAATATCACTTGAAGGTAGATTGTCTTAAGTTAAATGTGTACACCATAAACTCTAAAGCCATCACTGAAATATCAAAGTTCTATAAATAAGCTCACAAAAGAGATAAAACAAAATCATAAAAAGTACTCACTTAATCCAAATGAAGACAGAAAATGAGTAAAGCAGAAACCAAGAATCGATGCAAAAAAGAAAACAAGTAGCAAGGTGACTGATTTAATTTAATAATATACTATCAATCATCAGATTAAATGTAAATGGTCTAAACACTCCAATTAAAAGTCAGAGATTTTCAGTTTGAATACAAAAGCAAGACCCAACTACGTGTCATCTGTCAGTAACACATTTTAAATATAAAGAAACAAAGAGGTTAAGACTAAAAGGATAAAAAACTCATACCATGCTAACACAGAGTAAAAGAAAAATGGAGTGGCTATGTTAATATTAGATAAAGCAGATTAAAGTGAAAAGGATATAACCAAAGTAAATAAGTTTATTTCCTAATGAATAAGGGCTCGATTCATCAAGAGAACATAACAATCCTAAATATTTATGTGTGTAATAACACAGTTCTAAAATACATGACACCAAAATATGTACAATTACAAGAATAAATCTAAAAGTTACAGTAATAGTTGAAGAATTAAATACCCTTCTCTCAGTAACTGATAGAACAAGTAGACCATAAGGACAAGGAAGAGATGAATAATAGTATCAACCAACTCAACACAATTGACATTTATAGAACATTTCATCCAACAATAGCAAAATGCACATTATTTTCAAGTGTACACAAAACATTTACTAAGAGGGACCATAATCTGTGCCATAAAACGACTCTTAATAAACTTACTTGTATTCAAGTCATACATGAATACTCCCTGACCGTAATGCAATTAAATTAGAAATCAATACAGAAAAAATATCTGGAAAATACTCCAATACTGAAACCAAATAAAATTTTTCAAGTAAATGACTTCATATGTAACTTAAGAAACAAGAAAAAGAAGGGCAAGTTAAACTCAAAAGAAAAAGAAAAAATGGAAGAAAAGAAATAAAAATCAAAGCAGAAACCAATTAAATACAAAAGAGAAGAATAAACTCAAAGACAGACAAATACATCAATATGACGCAATGGAGTCAACAGTCTGGAAAACAACTCACACATATATGAACAACTGATTTTTTACAAAGGTGCCAAGAAAAATCAGTGTAGAAAAGATAATTTTTTCAACAAATTGTACAGGACCAACTGGAAGTCTATATGCAAAACAAACAAACAAACAAAAGGAACCTTAAACTGTACCTTATATCACATATAATAATTAACTCAAAATATAAAAACTACAAACTATAATACCTTCAGAAGAAAACAGAGGAAAGTCTTTGTGACCTTAAATTTGGCAAATATTTCTTTCTTTCTCTCTTTTAAAATTTTATTTTACTTTAAGTTCCTGGATACATGTTCAGAACTGGAAGGTTTGTTACATAGATAAATGTGTGCCATGGTGGTTTGCTGCACCTATCAACCTGTCACCTGGGTATTAAGCCCCACACTCATTAGCTATTTGTCCTGATGCTCTCCCTCCCCTCATCCTGCCAACAGGCCACAGTGTGTGTTGTTCAAAGATTTCTTAAATATGACACCAAAACCTTGATTTGTAAAAGAAAAAAAAAAAACTAATAAATTAAACATCAAAATTAAAAATTCCTGGCCTTTGGAAGACACACTTAAGACAATAGAAAGCCAAGCCCTAGAATCAGGAGAAATATTTTCTAATCCTACATCTGATAAAATACTTGTATCCAGAAATATAAAGAATTCTCAAAACCCAGTAATAAGAAAACAAACAACTCAGTATAAAATGGGCTAAAGATTTGAACAGACACTTTAACAAAGAAAAAAATGTGGATGGTTAATATGCACATAAAAATGCTTAAC
This sequence comes from Homo sapiens, assembly GCF_000001405.40. NCBI lineage: Eukaryota > Metazoa > Chordata > Mammalia > Primates > Hominidae > Homo > Homo sapiens. The sequence goes on along the minus strand of NC_000007.14, from coordinate 20,672,065 downwards.
ATCATCAGTCATCAGGATAATGCAAATTAAAATGACAATGGGATACTACTATACATTTCTTCAGATGGCTGAAATTAAAATAAATGACCATATGAAGTGTGGGCAAGTTGTGGAGTAGCTGGAATTTTAATATATCTCTTGTAGAAATGTAAAAGAAAAACAGTTTGGCACTTAACTATAAAGTAAAAAGTATACCTACCATAAGATTCAGCCATTTAAATCCCAGGTATTTACTCAAGAGAAATAAAAGCTCATGTCTATACAAAGACTTGCATATGAATGTTTAGAACAGCTTTATCTGTAATATCCCAAAACTGAAAACAAACCTAATAATTCAAATGAGCATCCATACCAATTAGTTTAAATTGTGGCATAGTCATAAGTAGAATACCATTTATCAATAAAAAGAAACAAACTATTGATGCATTCTACAACATGGATGAGTCTCAAAATAATTATGCTGAATGAAAGAAGCTAGACCTAACAGAATACATATGATATTGCTCCCTTTATATAAAGTTCTAGAAAATACAAACTAATCTCTAGTGGCAGTAAGCAAAACAGTGGTTGCCAAGGATCAGGGGAGGAGGGCTGGAGAGGGTCAGGGTGAAATGGTTACAAAAGTCATGTGAAAAGTATGGCTGACTATCTAGATTTTGGTGTACATATACGCCAAAATTTTTCCAATCATATGTTTTAATATGTACAGTTTCTTATATTCAATGAAACCTCAAAAAACTGTTAAAAACAAAAATCAAAGTCAAATAAAAGAAGCAAATACATTCAGCAGCCCAGTTGGTCATTCTAAAGTTCTGCAGGAATCCTGAATGAGACTGAGACATTTTAATGAATGCCCTGCAAAAATAATGACAAAGTAGATTGGGGACAACTGTGATATAGAGTTGCAGACAGGCAGATTTCGGTATTTTTAACTGGAAATTAATTATCAGCATATGTAAGTTTCTATGGGTCATTTTTATGGTATAACCTACTCTACAGTAGAAGAGAGTTATACTAAGCACTAACATGCTTAGTGCTTTCTTTATTTTCTGATATTGTCAAGTTTATGAATATTTTATTAAACTAATGAGTGACTGATACGTGGGGAACAGGTTTTTATTGCTTGCTTCTTGCTTTTCTTTTTTTCTTTTTATTTCAGGTGGAATTTCGCTCTTGTTGCCCGGGCTGGAGTGCAATGGCACGATCTCGGCTCACTGCAACCTCCGCCTCCCAGGTTCAAGCGATTCTCCTGCCTCAGCCTCCCAAGTAGCTGGGATTACAGGCATGTGCCACCACGCCTGCCTAATTTTGTATTTTTATTAGAGACATGGTTTCTCTGTGTTGGTCAGGCTGGTCTCAAACTCCCGACCTCAGGTGATGCGCCCACCTTGGTCTCCCAAAGTGCTGGGATTACAAGCATGAGCCACCGCACCCGGCCAGCTTGCTTCTTGTTTTTCTCAGTCTCGCATTTACTTTGGTGTGGTAATTCTAAGCCTCGCTTATACAGCACACCCTTATGAATGGTATAACAAAATTGGTTAAAAATGTGAGTCTTTTTTTTAAGTAAACACTGAGTTCCCACTCACTGCCTTCCAGAAGGTTGCCTCAGTTGGATTTGGGGCTCATCGGTGACATGTGCTCCATGGTGTAGTGCTGTTAACGTCAACCTTTTTTTTTTCTTTTTCTTTTTTTAGAATAGCTTTAGATTTACAGAAAAATTGCAAAGATAGTGCAGGAAGCTTCCATGTACCCTGCGTTCTAACATCTTACATTTCTATGATGCATTTGCCACAACTACTGAACCACTATTGACACATCATTATCTAAACTCCATATTTTATTCAGATTTCTCTAATTTTCAACTCACGTTCTTTTTCTGTTCTAGGATCCCCATCCCTGAATATCCCAGTACATTTTGTCATCATGTCGCCTTAGGCTCCTCTTGGCTGTTACAGTCTCTCAGATTGTCCTTGTTTTTGATAAACTTGATAGTTTTAAAGAACACTGGTTAGATGTTTTGTAGAATATCTCAATTTGAGTTCGTCTGATTTGTCTTCCTTTTTACAGGTAAGATATTCAGCCTATGCTGATACCACTCCTCTCTTTCACACTTCAAGTTTGAATTCTATTCTGGGTCTTGGAGACCTGGGACTTGCCTACAGCCCTTTAAAAGAGAGTCCCAGAAACTGTTGTTGGGTTGGTATGTATTAGAAACCTGACAACCGCGAAGGCAAAAACACTCAGGCACCTAGCCTACTGGCTCATATTTATTTAATAAATCTCTATTTATTCTGTTTCCTCAAAGTTACGAATGTTATTTTCTTTTTTTTTTTTTTTTTTTTATTGATCATTCTTGGGTGTTTCTCGCAGAGGGGGATTTGGCAGGGTCATAGGACAATAGTGGAGGGAAGGTCAGCAGATAAACAAGTGAACAAAGGTCTCTGGTTTTCCTAGGCAGAGGACCTGCGGCCTTCCGCAGTGTTTGTGTCCCTGGGTACTTGAGATTAGGGAGTGGTGATGACTCTTAACGAGCATGCTGCCTTCAAGCATCTGTTTAACAAAGCACATCTTGCACCGCCCTTAATCCATTTAACCCTGAGTGGACACAGCACATGTTTCAGAGAGCACAGGGTTGGGGATAAGGTCACAGATCAACAGGATCCCAAGGCAGAAGAATTTTTCTTAGTACAGAACAAAATGAAAAGTCTCCCATGTCTACTTCTATCCACACAGACCCGGCAACCATCCGATTTCTCAATTTTTTTCCCCACCCTTCCCGCCTTTCTATTCCACAAAACCGCCATTGTCATCATGGCCCATCCCCAATGAGCCGCTGGGCACACCTCCCAGACGGGGTCGTGGCCGGGCAGAGGGGCTCCTCACTTCCCAGTAGGGGCGGCCGGGCAGAAGCGCCCCTCACCTCCCGGATGGGGCAGCTGGCCGGGTGGGGGGCTGACCCCCCCCACCATCCTCCCGGACGGGGCGGCTGGCCAGGCAGAGGGGCTCCTCACTTCCCAGTAGGGGCGGCCGGGCAGAGGCGCCCCTCACCTCCTGGATAGGGCGGCTGGCCGGGCGGGGGGCTGACCCCCCCACCTCCCTCCCGGACGGGGCGGCTGGCCGGGCAGAGGGGTCCTCACTTCCTAGTAGGGGCGGCCGGGCAGAGGCGCCCCACACCTCCCGGACGGGGCGGCCGGCTGGGCGGGGGGCTGACCCCCCCACCTCCCTCCCGGACGGGGCGGCTGGCCGGGCAGAGGGGCTCCTCACTTCCCAGTAGGGGCGGCCGGGCAGAGGCGCCCCTCACCTCCCGGACTGGGCGGCTGGCCGGGCGGGGGGCTGACCCCCCCACCTCCCTCCTGGACGGGGCGACTGGCCGGGCAGAGGGGCTCCTCACTTCCCAGTAGGGGCGGCCGGGCAGAGGAGTCCCTCACCTCCCGGACGGGGCGGCTGGCCGGGCGGGGGGCTGACCCCCCCCCCCACCTCCCTCCCGGACGGGGTGGCTGCCGGGCGGAGACGCTCCTCATTTCCCAGACGGGGTGGCTGCCGGACGGAGGGGCTCCTCACTTCTCAGACGGGGCGGTTGCCAGGCAGAGGGTTTCCTCGCTTCTCAGACGGGGCGGCCGGGCAGAGACGCTCCTCACCTCCCAGACAGGGTTGCGGCCCAGCAGAGGCGCTCCTCACATCCCAGACAGGGCGGCGGGGCAGAGGTGCTCCCCACATCTCAGACGATGGGCGGCCGGGCAGAGACGCTCCTCACTTCCTAGATGGGATGGCGGCGGGGAAGAGGCGCTCCTCGCTTCCTAGATGGGATGGCGGCCGGGCAGAGACGCTCCTCACTTTCCAGACTGTGCAGCCAGGCAGAGAGGCTCCTCATATCCCAGACGATGGGGGGCCAGGCAGAGACGCTCCTCACTTCCCAGACGGGGTGGCGGCTGGGCAAAGGCTGCAATCTCGGCACTTTGGGAGGCCAAGGCAGGCGGCTGGGAGGTGGAGGTTGTAGCGAGCCGAGATCACGCCACTGCACTCCAGCCTGGGCACCATTGAGCACTGAGTGAACGAACTCCGTCTGCAATCCCGGCACCTCGGGAGGCCGAGGCTGGCGGATCACTCGCGGTTAGGAGCTGGAGACCAGCCCGGCCAACAGAGCAAAACCCCGTCTCCACCAAAAAAAAAACGAAAACCAGTCAGGCGTGGCGGCGTGCGCCTGCAATCGCAGGCACTCGGCAGGCTGAGGCAGGAGAATCAGGCAGGGAGGTTGCAGTGAGCCGAGATGGCAGCAGTACAGTCCAGGTTTGGCTCGGCATCAGAGGGAGACGAGGCAGAGGCAGAGGCAGAGGCAGGGGCAGGGGCAGGGGCAGGGGCAGGGGCAGGGGCAGGGGCAGGGGCAGGGGCAGGGGCAGAGGCGAATGTTATTTTCCAAAAGCAAACAGATCTCAAATCTTATTCATGAAGCCACGTGATGTGACCCATTAGCTCAATGATTTCACAATACTCTCCAACAGTTCTCAAATTAATGTGTATGGAATTTAATTAGAAAATATAAAAGAGAGCATTAACACGTCACAGTCTAAGGAGAATTTGAGAGGACAGAATATAAAGTCAAACAATTAAAAGGTTGCAACTAGAAAAGGTCTGAGAATTCCATGTATCCTTCTGTGCACAGAATCAGAATCACAGGGTTTCCTGATACAGGTTTATATTGTTAGAGACCTTCTTTTCTTCACAGGGGATTCACTTCACAGGTGTTTTAATATATATCTCTTCTCATATTTATTTACTTATCAAGCATTTCATCTGTGTCATCTTTACTTTGCCAGGCTCCTGGCCTAAACTATAAATATTTGATTAAGGTAGATATTATGTTACAATTTAACTTATTATAGCATGAATTTGTATCTGAGTGCATCAAATAAATCACAGAAATATCTAATAACTTAAAAGGGAAAAAACTGTGCCTCAGAGGTCCATAAAATGGGCCTACATGTACTGTACATATTCAAGGTACTATCAAGTGTACTAGAAAAATACATCTCTACTAGATCATTCATGTGACCTAAAACCGATATACTCCTCATAGTGAACAACAACAAAATATTCAACTGTAATTGCTTCAGACTTAAAACACAGAAGAGATTTTGGCAGCCAAAGCCTGCTAAAAAACTGATCAGGAAAATTTGAGCTGATGCTGTCTTTTAGCCAGAATTAGTGTAAAGATTAGGGAGATAGTGCAATTCATACCACTGTGGTTCCAGATACCTCAACGTAGATAGTGTGGTAGATTATCAATACGTCTTTGTTGTATTATTTTTTCTAGAAAATACAATATTGAAAGAATTTCCTAGTATCTCCTATCCTACTTCACAGATTACACAAAGCTAAAAGCCAAACAATTAGGTATTTGACCAAACAAAGGTCACCAGGAAGACAGGTCTCTACTTGACACTTTGCTGACATTTTTCAGATTACTTTACAATTCCATGCACAGCCATACATCACCAGGTCATTATTTTGGACTTTGAAAAAGAGGGTGCTTTAAAACATCCCTCCCAGAATTGCTAGGCAGAGATACGGACCTGAGGAGATCAGCTAGATTCTCACCAGTGATGGTTATGGGACTTGCCGTAAACATAGAGGGCAGCAGGAAAAGAAAGGAAAATAATACAAAGCCTCAAGCATTTGAGAGGGTCCATTACCAGGCATAACACAGTTTCTGGGAAAGCGTGTCAGCACAGAGAGTTCTAGTAACCTGGGGGCAAGTGTGGCATAGAAAACCTACGAGAACACAAGTTCCCACTCACTGCCTTCCAAAAGGTTGCCTCAGTTGGATTTGGGGCTCATCGGTGACATGTACTCCATGATGTAGTGCTGTTATCGTCAACTTTTTTTTTTTTTTTTTTTGAGACAGAGTTTCACTCTTGTTGCCCAGGCTGGAGTGCAATGGCGTGCTCTCGGCTCACCGCAACCTCCACCTCCTGGGTTCAAGCGATTCTCCTGCCACAGCCTCTCAAGTAGCTGGGATTGCACGCATGTGCCACCACGCCCGGCTAATTTTTGTATTTTTAATAGAGACAGGGTTTCTCCATGTTGGTCAGGCTGGTCTCAAACTCCTGACCTTAGGTGATCCGCCTGTCTCTGCCTTCCAAAGTTCTGGGATTACAGGCATGAGCCACCAGGCCCGGCCCAACATTTTTTTTTTTTTTTTAACTGCAAAATCCTTTCAACAAATAGAAGCTCATCTGGAAGCTTGTATATCTATATCTGTATGTATGTATGTATGTATGTATGTATGTATGTATGTATCTCTATCTATCTATCTATCTATCTATCTATCTATCTATCTATCTTTCCATCTCTATCTCATCCAGATAAATGGATCACTGCATTGCTTGAATTGGCAGGGGAGTTGGGGGTACGGCCCTACCTGCTTGTCCACCTCACTTCCCCACCTCTCTCAGTCCTTGAGAGGCTCCTTGGAGACCCTAGTACCCTAGTACTCCAAGAATACAGTCTGAGAACTTCTCACTACTCTTCAGTGTCATTTCTTTTAGGCTATCAAATTTTAGCTGGTCATCTTTTATAATAAGGTCACCATGGTAGTTGAACGGGAAACATAGGCCTTTTGTTTCTTAACTACCTGACTGTGATGTTGAAAGCCAATTGGCTTAATGTTCTTCTGGGTCGACATGGGTTCCAGGGCTCAACAATGTGGGGTTACTGTCAGACCACGTCACTGGTCCGAGAATGCTTTCTTTTTTGTCAAGGGGGATGACAAATAGCAAAATATCAGGAACTTAGAAGTCACTTTTAATGGGTGACTCACCTGCTCGTTGACCCTTCTTTCCAGCTTGCAGAAATCTACTCATGTGAATGCATGAATGCTTGGGTTAAGACCCTTTAGAAAAGAAACACTTTCAAAATGTAAACTCTGCTAAAATGAACCCACGTGTACTACCTAATTAGGAACGTGAAATAATAACATAATAATGGTAAAATGTTTTCTTTTTATGGCCTGGAATCTCTTCATTGTCACTTCTAAATAAGTTAACATGAAGGTTAAGAATTAGAGATAACATAAAATTATTTATCATCATTTAATACCTTTTCTCTTCATTGAACTTTTAAAAAATCATTTTATTATTTTATTTACAGACAAGGTCTTGCTATGTTGCCCAGCTGGTATTGAGCTCCTGGTCTCACGTGATTCTCCCACTGTAGCCTCCCAAGTAGCTGGGATTACAGTGTGAGCCACCACTCCCAGCTTTACTTAACTTTATTAACAAGCTAATCATTTAAGTATTTGTGGAGAAATTTACAATAAAAAATAAATGATGAAGTAAATGGTGGGTAAGAAGAGTAAATGGTGGGTAAGAAGAGAAAATGCTGCAATAATTAGTTTATTTTTTTCCATAAGGGCATAATAGCTTACCTATTTTTATTCTTGGTAAATAATACATTGAGATCACTTATTTGATAGCACTTAGGAAAATCAGTATCTTCTATAGGCATTTTCCTTATTTTGGGAGGAAGGAAAGGCTTAGGAATAATTTTAATTTACAAAAATCACCAAGATGCTTATCCATATCATGGAAAAATATTTTATTATGTCTTAGAAGACCTTTTAGTATATTCTTTAAAACCTTGGAATGTCCTGCTAAGTAACAGTGACCTAAATTTATAAAAGAGAATTCTACTAGTTATTTATACAATAGTATAAAAATAAACAACTTACAGGAACAAAAGTGGTTTTAACCCACATGAGAGCTTCGATTTGGAGTATGGTTTGAATTTCTTTCCCAAGAAGACAGTGTGAGTGTGGTTTTCCAAAAAAGGCTAGTTGTGTTTTGTTTTTAAAATTGTGGAAAAATATGCATAATACAGAATTTACCATTATAGCCATTTTAAAGGGTATGATCCTTCTGACTCTGAGAGGCCAAATTCCTCTTTGTCACTATTCTTTTATTTATTAATTTTTTTTCACTGTTCTTTTGTACTCAGGCTTAGATTACTAATCTCTCTCTCTCTCTCTTTTTGGTAAAAAAAAAAAAAATTGCCTGACTGGGCGCAGTGGCTCATGCCTGTAAACCCAGCACTTTGGGAGGCCGAGGCGCGTGGATCATTTGAGGTCAGGAGTTCGAGACCAGCCTGACCAACATGGTGAAACCCCATTTCTACCAAAAATATAAAAATTAGCCGGGTGTGGTGGTGTGTGCCTGTAATCCCAGCTACTCTGGAGGGTGAGGCAGGAGAATCGCTTGAACCTGAGAGGCGGAGGTTGCAGTGAGCTGAGATCATGCCACTGCACTCCAGCCTGGGTGACAGATCAAGATTCCATCTCAAAAAAAAAAAAAAAAAAAAGCCTAACATAAAATTTGCAATCTTAATCACACTGTTGTGCGACTGTCACCACTACCCATCTCCAGAACTTTCTCATCATCTCATATTCAAATTGTATACCCATTAAACACTAACTCCCCGCTTTCCCATCCCCCAAGCCCCTAGTAACCGCTCTTCTACTTTCCATCTCTGAATTTGACTATTGTATGTATCTCATGTGAGCAGAATTAAGCAATATGGATCCTTTTTTGTCAGTTTTATTTCACTTAGGATAATTCTTCAAGGTTTATTCATGTTTTAGCATCATCAGAATTTCCTTTTAAAAACTGGTAGTATTCCATTGTATGTATATACCACATTTTCTTTATCCATTTATCTGTAAACAGACATTTGGATTGTTTTCACCTTTTGGCTACTGTAGATGATGCTACTATGAACACTAGTATACCAATATCTCTTTGAGACCCTGCTTTCAATTATTTTGGGCATATACTCAGAAGTGAAATTTGATAATTCTATGTTTATTAAGAGGTTTGAAGCCTGATCTGGAATCGGTTTTAGCTCCACCTCCCGGCAGTGTAATCTTGAAGCAATATAGCCTGGTGGTTACAAGAATGAGGCAGAAGGATGAGTGGTCTGGGTTCTGGCTTCACTGTGCCTACCTATTACTTAACCTCCCTGTGCTTCAGTGTATTTTACAGCTCAACTGTAAAACAGGAGAATAAATGTCTTAATCTTATATGGATCTTGTGAGGATTAGCTGTTATCATCCATTTGTTCCTTTGTTACATCTAAAATAAGGACCCACAAATGGCTTCGGGGGTCTATGACTCCCTCAAGAGTACGTGTAAGTCTTTTTGTATAAGTGAATTTGTATACTTCTCTAAAGAGTTATGGTGGTTTATTTTTCCCTTTCTCAATCAGATTCTCAAAGGGGCCCTGATCTATCAAAGGAGAAGGACCATTACTCTGAAAGAAGTTAGTGGCTTAGAATTTAACATCAAGCGCTACAAATGTGAGCTTGATTAAGCAGGTTTATAAAATATCCAATCATGTTTTTTGCATGAGGTAGTCTGTGTGTTACCTTTGATTTTCTGTCTAAATTTCAGCCAAGGAAATTCCCTTGGAGAAATTCCCTTTCTGTTCCCAACTATTACAGTGTTGCTATAAATGATTTTTCAAAATTCCAAATACAGAGTGAGATGTTTAATTGACACAGACATTCAAAATGTGTGTGCATTAGTGTGTGTGTGTTTGTGTGTAAAATTTACTCTGACCTAACTTCGACTTTGGATAATCACTTCTTAGAACTTAATTTAATCCAGTGGCCGGCAGCTTAATGTAATACACCAATTTCCTTATTGTCCAGTCCTCTAAGTAGTATAAATACAACATAAGAGGTCTCCGAGGAAGACCAACGGGGCGCATCATAGGGAGAAAGCACAGTGATGGTTAAGACGTGCCCGTGAGGGCTGCAATAAAGCAACCCTGTGTTTTCAAAGAATAATATTGTGATGATAACTCTTCCTTCATAATTACCAAAGAGGTTCTCCATTGATGTGGTGTGGCCGAAACTCCCTTAATAATAATGATGCCTTAGATTTGCATACCACTTTTAACATTTCACAGAGCTTTCACAGGCTTTATCACAGAATCAGTGTGGGTTTCCTTGGCTTCCCCAGGGGCCTGCAGGTGCTCACTGCCATGTCTCCTACTAGTGGGGCAGCTTGGAAACCTGCTGCATTGGCACACCAGGTCAAAACAAGTAGCAGAGTGAAACTCACACCCTATGACATGAACCTTTATTCACTGACGCTAGAAATTCTTCTTGAACATTAGTGAAACAAAACTAGTTTGTAGTTATTCTAAATCCAGGAGTCCAGAAAAGAACATTTCAGGTCTCGCTGGGCGCGGTGGCTCACCCCTGTAATCCCAGCACTTTGGGAGGCTAGGGCAGGCAGATCACAAGGTCAGGAGGTCAAGACCAGCCTGACCAACATGGTGAAACCCTGTCTCTACTAAAAATACAAAAATTAGCTGGGCGTGGTGGTGCGTGCCTGTAATCCCAGCTACTCAGGAGCCTGAGGCAGGATAACTGCTTATCCCAGGAGGCGGAGGTTGCAGTGAGTGAAGATCATGCCACTGCACTCCAGCCTGGGTGACAGAGTGAGACTCGGTCTCAAAAAAAAAAAAAGAAAAAGAAAAGAAAGAAAGCAAAAAAGAATATTTCTGGTCTTAGAAGTATCCTGGATCACACTCATCGAAGTCCATCCAACAATATCTGTTGGCTGTTTGTTAAGGGCCAGCATTGTTCTAGAGGTGGGGATGCTGCAGTTAATCACTCAAAGCCTTCACCACCAGAGAGTTTACGTTCAAGTGGAGAAAGAGAGACAATAGCAAAATAAACAAACATATACGTTGTGTGTTAGCTAATGAAAAGTGTGAGGGTATGTTTAAGAAGCAGGCATTGTTGGGGCGAATGGTAGGAAGGGAAGTTCCAGAAGGAGCTTGGAGCCCAGCTCCATAGAGCCTTGTGCTTACTGTAAGGAATGTGGCTTTTACTTAGAGTGAGGTGGGGAGTTATTGGATGATTTGAAGTTGAAGTACGATGTCACCAAATTTTCATTTGAATAGCAACACTTGGCTGCTGTGTTGAGAACAGATTGAAGTGGGCATGGGCTGATGCAGAGTTAGCTACTGCAATAGTCCAAGTGAGGAAAAGGGTGTTAGTGCCTTCATGTTGCTGTTTAGTTAGAATTCACCCCTGCCCTAAGAAACTGCTGACCTGATTTTTTAATACCATTGATTGGTTTCACAGGTTCTAGAACTTTGTATAAGTGGAAGATAAATGACTAATGGAGAGGAGGGGATGGAAGGGATATGTGAGGGCAGGTTGTGGAGTGAAGTGGGTATAGATTCTATCACCAGGGAGGAGGGATACACTTCATTATGTCTTCTTTCGTTGGTTAGTGGCTTGCAGGATATTTTGAGCAGCATAAAACTGTTAACTGTGTGGGTTAGGCTGTATGATATAACAGAGTCTGGGGCCTCTTAGACAGCTGATCAGGAATGAGACCTGCTGGATGTCCTACCTTTCTTACCCAGGGCCCCCTCCAAGGGCTTGGTTCCATAACTGCAGTCTATGGTGGTGAGAGGAGAGGGCTGTCATGGTGCTACAGCTTCCATCACCCTGCCTGTATTTGAACTCTCCCCTTCTCCATAAGCCATTTTCCAATAAACTGAAGAGTATATGATTAATCTAGTTTACTGTGCTACTTTTCATCCTATTGGTTACCCTTTATCCTGACCCAGCAAACCATACATAAAGCAGTTTCACACCTATTTCTACATTGATTTAATCTCTTTCTCCTTTAAACAACTGAAAAACAGGGACAGTAAATGAATTTTTGAAATAAGTTAAATTCCCCCATAATTATGCCACATAGCTGTTATTATTTTCATATATTGCCTTCATTTTTTTCACAGTTGCTATTTTGTGTAATTTTGGAATCAGTTTACAAACATTCTGCATTCTTCTTTTTTCACTTTTGATAGATGTTTCATATTAACCAATAAGAATAACATTTATTAGTTTATCATGTCACCAAGCAACTATTTATTTTAAAAGTCTGAACTAGTTTTGATTACCTAAAGTGATTACCAGTGGATGAAAATACTGCGGGCACAACATGAAACCTTCTAAACAATCAGAGAGCCTATTACAATACATTTTTTAAAATCTTATGTAACTGGCCGGGCGCGGAGACGCACACCTGTAATCCCAGCACTTTGGGAGGCCGAGGTGGGCGGATCACCTGAGGTCAGGAGTTTGAGACCAGCCTGGTCAACATGGCAAAACCTTGTCTCTACTAAAAATACAAAAATTAGCTGGGTGTGGTGATGCACGCCTGTACTCCCAGCTACTCAGGAGGCTGAGGCAGGAGAATCGCTTGAACACAGTGGGCAGAGGTTGCACTCAAGCATGGGTGACAGAGCGAGGCTTGAATATAGTCTAAATACAGATCCCTGTCCTAGTTACTAAGTATAAAAAATGAATAAAATATTAGTCCTGTCTTTGTATTTTCTGTACCAAGATGAACCAAATTGCCGAAGTGTCCACAGTAAACAAAGATTATTTATCACACAAGCAACATGTGGCATTGTTATTATGGGAGGGAAACAAGCGTTCAAACTTGCACAATCTGATTTGCTACTAAATAATAGTAACTAAGAGATTTTTCAAGAAGCAGTGGACATTTAGCCTGCCAGTATCCGTTTCTGGTTCCATAAAGTCAGCATTTTAAAAAAAGAAGCCTGCGATTTTCTTAGAGAAAAAAAAACGCTTAACTCACTTCCAAGCAAATGCAAAGTAAAATGTGCCATTAAGCCTTGTAAGGGGTCTGAAGGCTCTGGTTTATAAGGGAGTCAGGCCATCGAGAAAACTGTTCAATGGTTTTTCATACCGCCACTGCCAACTCCCCTCCTAGATTCAGTGTAATTTGGTGCAGGGCCACAACTGCATATGGCCTTGAGGTATGTGCAGTAGCTCATAGGCAGCAGGAGGTCAGGGTGAGGTTTGAGGGGCCAGAGCTGTCGAAGGGCGCTGGTTCAAGGTCAGCGATTCTCCACTTGAGGTGAAATTAGGTCAAAATGAATACCTGGGGGTATCCTAAAGAAGAAAAGTGGTCAGAGAAGAGAATCCCACAGGTGTATGTAGAAGAAGCAAAGGGTGGGCATGGTTATAATAGTGATGATAGTGGTGGGCCACTCTAGGGAGGTGGAAAGTGCAAACCACTTGGAATGGAGGTATAGACTGGATGATTGCTTGTGTATCAGCCTCATGTATATATTTTTACACCAACCAACCACAGCATCTCCTTCTGTCCTCTAAACCACTTCCTATAGCCATCACGTAAGTTCTCAGTGGATTAACATCCTGCCTTTATACCTTAAGAGGGCTCTCAACTTGAGTAATCTATTACAGATCTATACTTTCTTGTACTTCAAAACAATAATGAACCAGGAGTATGGAAATAAGAAACGTTTCTGCTCACTTACCTTCTCCAGTGCAGCTTGAACAGCTGACTTGCTTTCTGAATCCAGGGCAGACGTAGCCTCATCTAAAATCAGAATCTTGGGGTTTCGAACTAAGGCACGAGCAATTGCGATCCTCTGTTTCTGCCCTCCACTCATTTGAGCTCCTTTTTCCCCTACCAATGTATTAAATTTCTAATGAAAAATAGGAAAGAAGCACAGAAACAGAAGGCAGCGTGATCAAATGGTTAGAACAGGAAATGACAATCCCAGTTGTGTTTTAATATCAGCTTAATCAGTACTTCAGCCTCTGGGTGCTTATGTCTTTTGATTTGTTCTTTGTGAAAACAAACCGCTGTAAAAAAAAAAAAAAGAGCCCAAAGAAGAGAGGACATAAGAAAAATTTGGCTAGGACTAAAATAAATTAGACCTCATTATAATCAAATGTATTTAGAAAAATTAATAATAATTTAAACTAATGTCCAAATCTCTTTTAGATATTTTTAGAATGCTTTGAAATCTTTAAAAGAACCACTGTAATACAAATACCTATTTTCTGCAGTGTTTATTAGCAATTTGGTATGTTACCCACAATTTCCTTCCTGGATACTCTGAAAAACAGCATGAAAAAAAATTGCTACCAAAACAAACTTTCCCCTAAAACGTTTTTTCCATCTTGAGATACTTTTTAGGTGTTCTTTTGATTTGTTTTAAAATAAATTTATCTTTAACAAAGTAGATATTTTGTCTTCCATATTTGTGGTAGGGGTAACTTCTAGCGCCCAGGAAACATGGCTAGTAATATTCTACTGGGTTACGTCCCTGATTCAAAGTTTATTTCTTCACGGAGATAAATTTAAATATTCTTTCTAAACCCTTAATTTCTAGAGATTGATCTTCACATTTAAAAAATCAGGCTTTTTGAAGAAATTTACACACAATAAAATGCATCCATTTTAAGGATATAAGTCTATGAGTATTGACAAATGAGTACACCCATGTTACCACCATACCAATAAAGATATAGAACATTTCTGTAGCCCTAGTAAGTTTCCTTATGTCACTTTTTTCAGTCAAAACCCATACCATGCCTGCAGATACCGCTGATTTGATTTTTATCACTATACATGAATTTTCCTGGATCTAGAACTTTATGTAAATGAAATCATACAGTATGTACTTCTTTGGCTTGTTTCTTTTACCTAGCTTAATGTTTTTGATATTCATCCATGTTGTATCAGTTGTTCACTCCTATTTATTGCTAAGTAGTGTTCCACACAATGCGAGTTTACCTTGGGTTGCCAGATTTAGCAAAAACAAACAACACACAAGAAAACACAAAGCTGTTACATTTGAATTCAGAAAAGCAATGAGTTTTTTTTAGTATAAGTATGTTTTATGCAATATTGCTAAAAAATTATTCATTATCTGAAATTCAAATTTAACTGGGAATCCAGTAGTTCATCTGGCAACTCTAGATCTATCACAATTTGTCCGGGTGTGGTGGTTCACACCTGTAATCCCAGCACTTTGGGAGGTTGTGGTGGGTGGATTGGTTGAAGCCAGGAGTTTGACACCAGCCTGGGCAACATGGTGAAACCCTGTCTCTACAAAAAATACAAAAATTAGCCAGGTGTAGTGGCATGAGCTACTCAGGAGGCTGAGGTGGAAGGACTGCCTGAGCCTGGGAGCCTGGGAAGTCGAGGCTGCAGTGAGCTGAGATTGTGCATTGCACTCCACCCTAGGTGACAGAGTGAGACCCCATATCAAAAAAAAAAAAAAAAAAAAGAAAAAGGAAAAAGAAAAATTAGATCTATCACAATTTGTTCATTCAACTGCTGATGAACACTTAAATTGTTTCCTATTTTTGGCTATTATAAATAAAGCTGCTATGAATATTCATGTACAAGATATTTTTGTGGTCATGTTTTCATTTATTTTGAATAAATACCTAGGAATAGAATGCTGAGTCATAAGTGTATGTTTAACATTATAATAAACTGCCAAATTGCTTTCTAGAATGATTATACTGATTTCACTTTTATTTGAATGAATGAGAGATCTAATTGCTTACATCATCACCAAAAGTTACATTTGTTAGTCTTTTTAATTTTGGCCATTCTAAGAGTGTAAAATGGTATCTCATTATCGTTTTATTTTAGAGTTCTCTGGTGACTAATAATGGTGCATATTTTCAATATATGTATTGTTCATTTGATTCTTCTTTTGTAAAATGTCTGTTCAAATTTTTGCCCATTTTTAATTTCTATTTTTTGTCTCCTCATCAAGCTATAGCAGTTCTTTATATATTCTGGATTCATGTCCTTGTCGGACATGTATATTATAAATATTTTCTTGTGCTCTCTGTCTTGCCTTTTTGTTTTCTAAATGATGTCTTTTAAAAAGGAGGTTTTAACTTTAGTACACTCCAGTTTATCTTTTTTTTATAGTAATGCTTTTCAGTCTAAGAAACTTTTGCCTCTCTCAAAGTTACAAAGATTTTTTCGTAAGTTTTAATTTTTGAAGTTTACGCTTTACAATTTTGGTACAAGGTCTATGGCAAATTAATTTTTGTGTGTGATGTAAAGTAAAGGTCACATTTTATTTTTTCCACAAGGATAACCATTTGTTCCAGCACCATTTGTTGAAAAGATATTTCTTTCCCCCACTGAGTTCCATTCGCCTTGTCAAAAATTAACTTAGTAGATATTTGTGAATCTATTTCTGGTCTCTCTGTTCCATTGTACTGATCTATACAACCATCATTATGCCACTACCACGATCTTAATTGCTGTCTTAAAATTAGATATTTAGGTCCTCCAGCTTTGGTCTTTCTTTCAAAATTGTTTTGGCTATTGTTGGTCTTTTGAATTTCCAAATAAATTTTGGAATCAACATGTCAGTTTCTACACATACACATAAAAACTGGTGAGATTTTGATTGATAAAGCACAATATTTATATATCAACTTGGAGAGAATGCAAATCTTTAAAAATATGGAGTTTCTAAATCAATGAATAAGGTACTTTCTATTTCTTTAGATCTTTTCATGTCTATCAGCATAATATAGTTTTTACTAGAAGACTTGCACGTCTTTCATTAAATTTATTCTTAAGCATTTTGTCTGTTGATGCTTTGTGAATACTGCTTTTTATTTTAATTTCATTTGTAACTGTTGCCGTTATTTAGACATCTAGCTTTTTTTGGGGGGCTGGGGGGAGGTGCGGGGGAGCAGAGTCTTGCTCTGTTGCCCAGGCTGGAGTGCAGTGGTGCTATCTCAGCTCACTGCAACCTTTGCCTCCTGAGTTCAAGTGATTCTCCTGTCTCAGCCTTTCGAGTAGCTGGGATTACAGGTGTGCACCACCACACCCAGCTAATTTTTTGTATTTTTAGTAGAGACAGGGTTTTGCCATGTTGTCCAGGCTGGTAACAAACTCCTTTCCTCAAGTGATCCACCTGCCTCAGCCTCCCAAAGTGCTGGGATTACAGGACTTTATGTCAAAAAATGCCCAGCTGTTTATATTTCCTTATTAACCTTTTAATGTCCTTAGAATCAATAGTCATGTACCTTCTTTCATTCCTGATACTGGCCATCTCTTTTCTCTCTCTCTCTCTTTTTTCAGCTTTGCTACAGTTATACTTTTTTTTTTTTTAATCTTTTCAGTGAACCAGCTTTTGGTTTCAGTAATTGATGTTTTTCAGTTTTTGGTTTTACTGATTTCTACTGTAATTTCTATTTACTTAGTCTTGCTTGTTTTGGGTTAATTTGCTCTTCCTTCTCTAGTTTCTGTAGGTGAAAATTAGGTTTGCAGACTGTAGATCTTTTTTCTTTTCCGAAAATAAGCATTAAATACTATAAGTTTCTCTCAGAGCAATACTTTAACTATATCTCACAAATACTAATACATTGCAATTTCATTTTGATTTAGTTCAGAATAGTTTTTCATTTTTCTTGAAATTTCTTTTTTGAGATATATATTCTTTAGAATTGTTTTTTGTGATTTTTCAAATATTTGTGTAGTTTACTTATATTATGGTCTGAGAACATATTTTCTATGTTTTCTATTATTTGAAAGAGCTACAGTTTTGTTTTGTTTGTTTTGATGGCCCAGAATATTGTTTATTTTAGAGAATGTTGCGTGTGCACTTGAGAATGTATTCTGCTGTTGTTGGCTGGAATGTCGTATAAATGCCAGTGAAATCTAGCTGCCTGTTAGTATTGTTCATCTATATTCTTACTGATATTCCACCTGCTTGTTCTATCAAGCACTGAAGGCCTCAACTAAAGTTGTGGATTTGTCTTTCTCCTTTCAGATGTATCAGTTTTTGCTTCATGTATTTTGAAGCCCTTTTCTTAAAGAATAAACTTTTAGGATTATGTTTCTTGCATACAGGCCATATTTTTCTGTTTCTTTGCATGTCTGGTTTTTGTAAATGATGTACTGAGTACTGTAATTGTTGTGTTGAAGAGACTCTAAGTTCTGTTTTCTTCTGAAAACAAAAACAAAAACAAAAAAAAAACAGTGCTGATTTTTGTCTCTAGTAGGCAACTCAAGCACTGACTGATCTTGAACTTGTGCAATCTTCATTTTAGGTTTCCTTGGGGTGAATTTGTAGAAAGCCACATAACTTGGCAGAACACAACCTCCAAAACCTCTCTTCTCTGGGCATCTTGTCATGGCTTGGTCTCAGGGTTTGTTAGGGCAGGTAGATCTTACTCTAAGGTGTGGTCCTGACTCCTAAGGTGTGGCTTTTTTGGTGTTTTAGCTACTTGCCTGGGGGGTTAAAAAGGTGTTAATGTGATCTCTCCATTCCAGCTGCGCTGCACTTTCAACGCCCCCGCAGCACTGCCTGACTTCTATCCAGTGTTCCGCTTGCAGCTTTATGGCTGCCACTCTCTGGTGAGCCTTGGGTAGGTAGTCTTATCCTCAGACAAGGATTCCTGAGGGATGCCCATACAGACTGGGCTTCTGCCCCTGCCTCATCGCCACAGGTGATTTCTTATCACCTTTCCAGCTGCCCAAGCTGCCCTGAAATTTGAGCTTTGCCTTTCAGCTCAGTGTTCCCAGACAGAATTCATGGAGTACCTTTATGAGATTCCTCTCTGTTAGGAATCAGTCTTTCATTACCTCTCATCCAATGCATGGAAATGACTGCCCTTGGCCTCATATGTTTTATCCAATTTCATGGTTGTTTATGAGTGAAAGGCTAACCAGTATCAGCTAATTATTATACATTAATTTTAAAATCTGTGTATATTATAAGGGAAGTAATGTTATACATTTTTTTACAATAGCTTTCCCCAATTTTTTACCTACCTAAATTAGCCACTTCTGGAACTTTCATTCATTATTGTGTTTCCTCATTTTTCTGGTTAGCTATGGCTGTGGAATTTAGGTTTCATCATGATAAGCTACTATCTTTAATTTATTTTGGTTATATCTTCTGAATTTATTATTAGATTTATAGCAAGGGACATCTTTGTGTAGTATTTGGCTTTTGGTAAAAGCAAGTAGTAACTTACAGGGTATGATTTAAGAGGCATCAGAAAGCTCCCTAATTCTAAGTGGGAAATGAGAGCATTGATGTTTTAAGGAAAGGAAGTCATTGAAAGGGGCAAAACATCAACAAAAGGAAATGTGTGTTCCCAAAGATTTAAGAAGCACCTTAAATCTTTAATGATTTTTTTGGCCTAAATATGTCCTAATTATGATCCTAAATAATGGGGACAAGAGACAATTACTGGCATAACAAATTTTTTAAATTAAAAACCAAGAATAAAA
The DNA here is from genome assembly GCF_000001405.40 of Homo sapiens. Taxonomy (NCBI): domain Eukaryota; kingdom Metazoa; phylum Chordata; class Mammalia; order Primates; family Hominidae; genus Homo; species Homo sapiens. Next base: position 20,652,917 of record NC_000007.14, on the reverse strand, counting down.
TTATTACAGTCCGTCAAGTTTGGTTTGTGAAATATGCCCATTAAAATAAACATTTCTGTTATTGTGACCCTCTGGGATGGTGGAATTTTATATGTATTTTAATTGCAAATCTCATCCTTTCATATGTAACAAGGTGCTCCGCACAACAATTTCAGGGGATGCTGAGGATCTAATACTTCAGGAAATATTTTTAAAAAAAGGCTTTACAGCACCCCATTAATTCTAAATACCCATTAAGATCTCGTAAGTCTGGTTAACAATAATTTTAGCTTACTATATTGCTTTCCAAATATGATTTCACTCTTTTGGGGACTATATTGCTTTCCAAATATGATTTCACTTTTTTTTCCCATAAAGTCTCACTCTGTTGCTCAGGTTGGAGCGCAGTGGTGCGATCTCAGCTCACTGCAATCTCCACCTCCCAGGTTCAAGTGATTCTCCTGCCTCAGCCTCCCTAGTAGCTGAGACTATAGGTGTGCGCCACCACACCCAGCTAATTTTTTTGTCTTTTTAGTAGAGATGAATTTTCACCATGTTGGCGAAGCTGGTCTCAAACTCCTAACCTCAGGTGATCTGCCCACCTCGGCCTCCCACAGTGCTGGGATTACACGCGTGAGCCACCGCACCCGGCCTGATTTCACATTTCTTATGCAATGTTAGCTTCCTGTGCTTTAAAAAATGATCATAGTTTTTCTTGTGGTTTGTCACAGAACCAATCTGAACATTGTGTGTATGACTTTCCCACTCTCAGCCACAAGATGGCCTCGCAAATAAACATTTTAGACATAATTTCTCAGCTTGGTCTGATGATTTTGTTTCATATTTCTTTGTTATGCTTTAACATATCTTTCATTTTTTTCTTTTTCAATTGCAGAACAAAATATGATTCTTTTCAATCTGGCCTTTCAATGATGCATTTCTTCTTTTGGTTGTTACTATGCATTCTTCTCTACAGATGTTTCATACAGGAGTGTCCAATTTTTTGGCTTCCCTGGGCCACATTGAAAGAAGAATTGTCTTGGGCCACACATTAAATACACTAAAATTAACAATAGCTGATAAGATTTTAAAAATCACAAAAAAATCTCATAATGTGTTAAGAAAGTTTACAAATTTGTGTTGGACCTCATTCAAAGCCATCTTGTGCCACTGGTTGGACAAGCTTGTTCTAGGACAATCCAGAATTTAATCACACCCCTACTATTCTGCATCAGTTGTTGTTTCATTACCTTATATTGGAATGTCGCAGCGCTGCCACCATAAGCTAAGGACACAGGCTGCACAGTGTACTCACATTAGGAAACTCCATGATAAAATCATACGCATTTGCTTCCCTTGCTGCTCTCTCCATCTCTTCATCAGTCACATCATCTCGTCCATACTTGATATTGTTACTGATGGTGGTCCCGAACAAAACAGGCTCTTGACTAACCACTCCAATATGGTCTCGATAATGCCGCACATTTAAAGCTCTGATGTCATTCTCATCCACCATGATCTGCCAATCCAAAGAATGAACCATGTTGTGATGCCTTTTACTGTATTGATTTTAGGGTTTTTCATACTAGACCAAAATATAAGCTGAGAAGTAGCATATTTTAGAAATCAAAGACTGACTATATTTTGATAAAATATTTCTAACATATATATTGTCCATAGACTTTTTCTGGTAGATGGGCACCAACAAAACTGCAAAAGAATAATTGGCCTAAAACCTTGCCAGATCATCTGATTATCTTTATTCTAAGATCCACAAGTTAGATATTATAAAGATACATACTCTAGGTTCCGCAAATGTTATTATGTAGACACATACAAAAAACTTCAGTTTTGGATGTGACCCTTACATTTCTTCTAGGAAATAGCCGCCATTATTTCAACATCTCACACCTCTGCAAAAGACAAAAGTGTCTCCTATTCATTGCTCTACATGATAATAAGTGACCTCTGGCTTCTCCACGGGTGGTGCCATTGCCAATTACCCCAACATATTCCCGTGACAGAAGCCAGGGTTTGGTAATTCTAACTCATAGAGTCTCTATTTCTTACCAACCCTTGTTTTCTGTCAGGGCATGGATATTCTATGCAACTCTTTTATACACATAACACTCATCTAATAATTTATGTAGTCACATGGGTCTAGGATACTCCAAATGAAAACTATGAAGTAAAATTTAAATAAAGCCAGGCTCTAGGGGAGTAGATTTTCTTTTAAAAATAACTGTTGAAACTTTGAACAGAAGCATTAAGAATTAATCACTTTTGAATATCACTGTCTTATCCTCTATGCCACTTACAAGGCTGAGAAAGTTAAGTGCAACACTGTAAGCTCCAAGAAAAAAAAAAAAGGAAAAGAAAAGTGGAGATGTTTTCTACATCATTCTTCTGGAACAAACTTTGAAATTCTTGATAGGTACTGGGTACAGATGTTAATACGCTATTTTTCTCCACAACATTCCCTCCCTTCTAACATACTATATAATTTACTTATTTTTTTATTGTCTGCCTCTGATTATTAGAATGTAAACTTCATGAGGGCAGATTTTTATCTGTTTTATTCACCTAGGTATTCTCAGAACCTAAAACAGTGCCTGACACATAGTAGGCTCTAAATAAATATTTGCTGAGTGAATGGATACAAAGGAAAGAAAACAATATGGCTTCTCTCCCAGCTCTACTGTTGAAAATGAAAAGTTACAGAGCTGCCAGCCCTGCGGTGTTTCCAGATTCCATTAGGTGGACTGTGCATGGTTTTGCTAGCTGCACTTACAAAGCCATCATCCGGATCATATAACCTCTGCAGAAGCTGGACTACCGTACTCTTCCCACTGCCATTGAGACCGACCAAGGCGACTGTCTCTCCAGACTTAATTCTGAGATTCAGACCTTTCAGAATCTATTGGAATGTATGGAGGGAAAATCATAAAACCACAATAAGAAGATGATGGACACATTTTCAGAAAATGAGTACATAATTATAACCAAAAACAAATTCTTCTAAAAACAAATTTAGATCTTGTTATGTTTGTTTCATGTACATGTGTAGTAATAGCCTGAATAATTTCAGAAAATAGTAGTAAAAGAATCTATCATTATCTCTCTATGTAAAGAGAACTAAATTAAGAGTACTTCAGAATATTAACTAGTAAACTGTTCACATTTTCAACTAAAATATTTTATATGAATTTTGACTATCAAGTTAATGAAAGTCTTAATTTGTAACAAGTAAATGAGATCTTGCCAGATATTTTCACAAGCTATTTAATGAAGCTCCTCCTTAGGACATACTAACATAATTGCAAAGCATATTCTAAAGGAAAACAGCTGGCAAAGTTTCTTAGTGGCTCCCGATAGATGAGAGTTTATCATTAGAAACCTTGGTGGGCTCATGGTGACCCATGAGGGAACACTTTAAACATTTTCTCAATGACTGGGGTTGCTACAGCATTTAGTGTGCCAGGGACCTGCAATGTGATTGAAGCCTCACAATAATTACCCTCTCGAAATGACAACAGTGATCCTGTTGAGAAATTCTCACCTATCTTTGCTTGCATCTGTATGTAGTTAGCCCTAAACAGGGGAATCTCCCTTTGAATTCTCTTGCTTTGATCTCACCATTTGTAAAGCAATGGACCCTTTGCATAAGCCAAACATAAAACCTTCAGAGGGCCAAGCCGAGAAAAGTTCTCTGAAGGAGGTGAGAAATCGGGGACCACCAGTAGGAGTACCTCTTCTCACACCTGCACTTTTACTCTAGATTTGGTTTCTGGTCATTCCTTGAAAGAATTTATTTATTTAAAATAGGTGGACCCCCCCAAAATTTCATTCTTTAGTTTAACAAAAAGGGTTATGTTTCAAAAGTTCATTTTAAAAATAGTTGTTTAAAACCCAAAGAACACTTTCCCATGCAATATAATGGCACAATTGGTGCTGAAGTCCCTAGGAAGCCAATCCAAATACAGTTGCAAAATGTAGTTTGAAATACTGTACAGTTAAGAAAAATGGTGGAAGTCAATACTATACCAATAATGGTAATCGGTAATTAAGTAACAACTTTCAAAACTAAAGAGCTTTGAAAAGAGAATTTCGATCAAAGTTTTAATCAGAAAAAAAATAAGGAAGTAGGAGTAGGTAGGTCTTTATACAAATTCTGTAGCAGACATTAGAAATTGATCACACTAGTAATTTTATCTATTTCACTTAAAATCATGTCTTTTTCTATGAAGCCAGTGTTTTATTAGTAATCGCCTTGTGCAATCTTTAACAACAACTACTTTTTTGGTAAATACACTAATGAAGTGAAAGGGGGAAGACAATAAAAAAGACACACATTTTCACAAGAACTTGTCAAAGACTGAATGATGGAGTACGATAAACTGCGTGTGTGTGTGCGTGTGTGTAAAGGCGATAAAGTACTAGCCGCAATTGCTGCTGCAGTAAAAGCCCCAGGAAAGGAAGAAGGGAAAGGCACATGTGCATAATTCTCCTAGGTTAGAGAGGAGGGGGTTAAAATGAGTATGTTGAGTGGGGTAGCATCTAGGAACCACCAACAGGTGGCAGCGTCAACCCAAGACATTTAGGTGTGTTCCCAAACCCAGAGTAGAAGAATTTCACGGAGCTGAAAATGCTTTAGTCAGTTGAATATAGAAAGAATGCTGCAAAATATAACTAGTTGATCCAGAGTTATTTGTCCATTATTTATCTACCTCCTCAAGTCTCTAAGCAAAGTAGCCAAAATCTTGGAAAAAAGTGATCCTAAGTAATCATGTCAGAGAAGATCTTGGCCAGTAGAAGATAATATCAGAAAACTGCACAATTGCGTAATTTGTTTTAACCTACCTTGATAGATGGTCTTGATGGATAATTGAAAGAAACATTTTTAAATTCCACAGTTCCTTCTATGGATTCAGGTTTATATCCAGCTGTGGAAAAGTTATCTATACTGGGTTTCTTGGAAAAACAAAGGAAATGTTATAAATCTTCAAAGGAGTAAACTGACAGTCTCTACATTTTAAAAATAGTATAAGGATGGTTTTCTTCCATGACAGTTTCCTTTCTGCTTTAGAAGTGCATTGAGTTAGACATGAAGGTTTCAATACAACACAATCTCCTCTTAGAAAAGAATTAAAGGCAGTCTCTCTTTCCCATAAACAACTGGCCAACATTAAATTTGTCCATCCTATTGTTTTAGTGAAAATGAGGGTGTATGTTTTTTTGTCTCCTTCTTGCAGTAATGATAGTTATTCTTCAAAGCAATAAGAGGTCTTACCTTATCAATAACCTGGAAAATATGAAAGGCAGCTCCTCGGGCTATTGCGAAGGTTTCAAAGTGAGGGACTGCTGCTCCAATGCAATAACTGCTATGGATTACACTAAAGAAAACCTACAGGAACAAACAAAGTGATATTTATCTTTCTGCAGTTATATAAGAAAGACAATAGAATGTAATATATAATTATTGGTTTAGGCTCACAGAGAGATATTAGAGGAATTAGGTAAGAAAGAATGGAAGATATGACCAAATAAAAAAGAACACAGATTACACTTGATCTTAGCCAAAAGGCCGAGAAGCAATAGAAACACAGATTAATCCAAGTATCCTTGGCCTTTTCCTAATAAGGAACAACTTTTGATTATCTCATAGTCTTGTGGTTATCACATGCTGGGATGTGTGACCAGAAAAATCTGCTAACTGAAGTGTGCTGACCATGTATAAACCCCATGGTGAGTTGCACTCCCCTCCTTGTTGGGTGACCCCTTGAACTTTAAAAAGAAAAATTCAGTAGATTTTATTGGCTCAGAGACATTGTACTGTTTTCACTCAAACCGTTTTTGAATTTTTGTATTAGGGGACAGCTGTCCATTTTAAGACAGACTCATCTCTGCAAAAAGTCAAATAAGAAAAGAATCCCTCAAGCTAGGAGCTCTTACTCCTATCATATAGATGAGGATGCTTAGGCTTAGTAAGCCAGATACCCAGCCACACATAAATTGAGGAGCAAGGATGAGTGAAAAATCGTTCATGCTCACATTTCACTTTATATGAAATAAATGAATAGCTAAAAGTCTTAATTATGAATGCCTCAAATTCAAAAGATGAATTTAATGGAAAGAAGAGAAATCTGTAAGAATGGAAAGGCCAAACAAGGATCAAAGTATAAAGAGCAGATCATTTTGGTTCCTCAAGACAAATGTTTCTTAATCCTGAACTGATCTGTTTATTGTAACTTAAGAGGATAACTGAATAAATTATTATTTAACACATAACCCATAAGAATTTAAAAGTCTCCAAACTGTGATACTGGACAGAGCTATATGTAGTCTGTTTTTTAAATTACTACATGCTGAAAGGACAGAGGAAGAGGAGGTGAGTGTAAACTCTACAGACCATTTCCAGAGAGAAGACATTTAGCAAGGTGAATGCAGAACTCCGTCTGATCTCAGCCCAGATGAAAGGAAAAGTCTCACAAGAGAATGGCCTTTTTCACTGCTAGATTAACAAAACTCAGTGTATTTCCCAGTGGGGAATTCAATTATGATTCTTCCAAAAGCGGAATGCAGATGCTTGACACAGCGAGGACACTAAAACATGCTGGATGAATAAATGCTGTCAATTCATAACTATAATTTAAAGGTGTATACAGATAATTTGAGGGAAACAAATATTTGTTTAATAAAAACATCCATCTTTGAATATTTATCTTCAAAGAGGAATTTTGGCTAAACTAGGTAAGGAAAGATTATCCAGGCCTGACACCTTGTTCTCAAACAAGACTTACAGCAAGAACAGTCCCGATGGTATATCCAGGTTCTCCATTAAGAATCAAGGAGGTTCCATACCAAAAAGCAAGTCCATAGGTTCCATTCATAAAGAAGTACACAGCACCAAGAGACACTTTTGAAGCTATAGTCCTTTTTATGCCAAAATCCTTTGCATCTTTGAGATTCTGTGTATACCTTACAAAAACAGAACACAACTTAGTAGCCACTGGGGAAAATAAAACCAAGCATATCTTGTTATATTTAAAAGGAAAGACCTTTGAAGTTCTTTCTCCTGGGCCCTAAAGGCTATGACTGTTCGGATTGATGACAAGACTTCTTCTGCCACAGCCCCAGCTTTGGAATAGGCACTTAATTCCTTACTGGTCAATGAGATGACCATCTGTAATAAACCACAACCACAGTTAAAAAATGACTCTGTGTAGTAATAATGTTCTGAACATTTAAGTCAGGCAGAATTTGAATTCTAAGTAGACTAATGGTATTTTTTTAGACTTTATCTCTGTATTTTTAAAAATTTGTCTTCAAATACTAAGAGGTAAGATTTCAGAGAGAAAAGGGAAAATATCACTATTGGTGACTAGACAGGTTTACCTGATTTCACATGCCCTTTTCTCCATTATATGTCCCATTTAATAATCCTTTTACAATTTTGTAATTAACACAACAGTTCCACAAAAGGGAACAGCGGGGATACTGCCTTCAGAGCTGTGAATTCATAACTATTGCCTATTCGCATAGCAAGTCTATCCACCTAAAAAATATATTCCACATAATAGGAGCTGATTTTATATAAGACATGCTTGGATAACTGTTAAAGTGAGAGAGTAGCAGAAGCGGAATAATACTCATTATTTTCTGAATTCACTTACTAAAGATAATTATTCCTATAGTAGATCACTAGAGGGGAAACACCACCTGGCACAAAGCCTTGTACTTAGCAAGTATTTAATAGATAATTGTCAAGTTGAATTGAAGGAAGCTAGAAGCCATCCACTCTGGTATCGCATCCTTTGGATAACTCTGACCTTCACTGGATAACTCTGACCTTCACCTGCTTCCTCTCCATGATCAATGAATACAATAATAGAATTTAGACTACCCACTGCTATTCCTTTACAACTCCTCATTTACTTCTCTTCTGTGGACGTTAAGGTTCTGATCTTACTAACTTACTGCAGGCAATCTTTCTACTGAGATTTCCTTCCTCATTTCAAATAAGTTGAGGATGAAGATTTTGATAAAGGCTACAAAGTCAACACTCGGAGTCACACTAAGTAAAGACATGCTGTCCAAATCTCCAAGCCTATTGTTAAGGGATTAGCCATTATAGAATAGTTTTATTGCTGAAAATTCTTGTTTGGTTGAATTACTATATTGTTAGTAAATAAACTCTGGAAATTTTAGGAACTGGATTTCCATAAAGAATGATTAGTGTTGCCAAATTTAAAGCACTGTGCCTCCTATCTAGAAGATGAGTATATACAATGGTAGAATTTCCAAAAGATATGATTTGAAGAATAATATTACAGATACATTTGTTGTTTTTAGATTTCACAGAGTATCGGTTTCAAAACCAGGCTGTAGATAAGATTACAATTTTGTGTTATACTTACAGCAAAACAGTGCTAAAAATGTAATTTAGAATGCGAGTACATAATTTGTTTAAAAAACTGAAACATATTTGTGTAGTACATAAAAATAGATATTAGCAGAAATCTGAAATGTAATTGAAAGCCTTACTGAAGTATAAACTTGGCTGGGTGCGGTGGCTCACTGGCCTGCAATCCCAGCAGTTTGTGGGGCCGAGGTGGGCGGATAGCTTCAGCCCAAGAATTCGAGATCAGCCTGGGCAACATGGTGAAAATCTGTCTCTACAAAAAATACAAAAGTTAGCTGGGCGTGGTTGCCTGTAGTCCCAGCTACTTGGGATCTGAGATGGGAGGATGACTTGAGCCTGGGAAGTTGAGGCTGCAGTGAACCATGTTTGCACCACTGCACTCCAGCCTGTGTGACACAGTGAGACCTTGCCTCAAAAAAAAAAAAAACTTTACATATATACATAAACTTTAAGAGGATGATATAAAAAGATGTTTATTGTTTTAGGATTTTCTTATTCCATTCTACCCAGTGAAATGAATCGTACCATGTTGATCTGTGAATTTAGAGCAAACAAGTCTGTCCCAACAGCAACAACTAAACATCACATGTATAAGGACATCATACTTTATCCATGCTACCACTTGAAGTTGTGTTAGACTGCTAAATGAAGAGAAATGTTTTCAATGTTAGTAAGCTATTAAAAACATTTCATCTTAGCCAAATAACTTGAAGATAGAAAGGGGATTAATGGTGAACAAAATCAAAAGTATTTGTGGTGTATAATATCCCTTTGTAGTTTGGGACATGGCAAGTGAATAGAAAAGCCATTTTTGAACAAACTCAGTGAGTCATTTAGTCCACACTGCTGCTTCCATTCAATATTGCATTAGCCATCTCACTTACCCTAGAACATGCTGCCGCTGAAGCCATTATAAGAGGAGACGTGGATAGAGTCACTAGGGTGAGTTTCCAGCCCTTCACCAAACCAACTGCCAGGCCAATCGAAAAAGTAGACATGTTTTGAAACAACAGAGCAATCTTATCTCCAATACCATCACTGATTTTGTCAATGTCACTGAAACAAGCAAATAAATGTAGTTAGGTCATTTACATGTCACATATGAAAACAAAGCTAACGTACTACAATATCATCCTCTTACTCTGTCATGCGAGTGTTAAGTTCACCGATGTCACAGCTATCAAACCAGCCGATGTCCTGTGCCAAAACTGAATGAAAAAACTGTTTTCGAATCCTCTTGGTCTGTCGTGCTGCAGTTATAATCCACAAGGAAATCTGTATGTAACCAAAAATCAAGGCAGCAACACCTATTCCAACATAATACAGGGTCAACCTGAAGAAAGAGTATTAGAATGTGAGACTGAAGCACAACATTTTTATCTTGTTACACACATAAAAAATCGATCACAGTATTTGATTGAGGAAATTTATGCTAGAACTAGAAAAAGAACTAAAAATAACATGCCATGAGAGTGAAGTGCATTGAATATAATGATCTAGGTTTCCTGGTAAAACATAGAGTGTATCTTTTACATTATTATCAGAAATTAGTATTTTAAAACATTCTTGCTACTTATATCTTCTTTCAGTATTTTTAATACTTTCATATGAAAAAGTTCCATTGAGTCAATCAAGGTAATTGTAGGTGGAACTGGAGGGTAAAAAAATAATGATAGCAGTCAAAAGCATTTGATAAAAAGCTTAAAAACTATACATAGTCAGCCCCAAATTCAACTTAAGGAATTCACCCTAAGGTAATATATACAAAGATTCATCTATATAACTGGTCTTTGCAGCATTTGTAACAATATAGAAAAGCTGAAAACAATCCAAATATTATACAGGAGGAGATCAGATAAGAAATGTAATTATTTAATAAATGTATACTGAGTGCCCACTATGTGTGAGGGTCTAGAGACACAGCCATGAGCAAGATAATAAGTCCTCCAATTCTGGCAGGAGGCAGACAATACACAAGGAGAAAAAAAAATAGGTTTTTCTAGGAAGGAAGTAAACGGGGGATAGGCCACAGAATAACTGGTGAGTAAACATGGGTTGGGAGAGCTAGTGCAGATAAATAGAGTGGTCAAGAAAAGTTTCTGTGAGGAAGTGATATTATAGCTGGGATCCAAAACGTGAAATTAAGCCAGCCATAAAAAGAGCAGGAAGTGCATTCCAGGGAGAGGAAAAATATTTCTCCCAGGAGAGACTGAGTCAGAAAAAAGTTGTTTAGCACATTCCAGAAACAAAAGAAGTCCAAAGTGGTAAGAAATAATGAGGCTGGAGAATTTGGCATATTCTAGGGTTTTTACAGTGCACTGTTCATGTTTTATTCCAGGAGAAGCAGAAGATCTTTGGAAGATCTGAGCATGGGATGGCATTATCTGTTCAACTTTTTAAAAGACCACTCCAGCTTCTCTGTGGAGAACGGATGAAAGCAGAAATAATGGAAGCAGGAAGTTCTGTTAAGAACCTATCGCCCTGGCCAAGGTGAGAAGAATGGGGGCCTGGAGGAGGATCATGGCGGCCTACATGAAAAGAAGCAGATAGATTTTAGGTGTATTTTGGAAACAAAAACTGCCAGACTAATGGACGCCCTGAACAAGAACAACCAACTTTCTCTGCTAGACACATGACGGGGAAGACTGTCAAAGCAAAAAGCTCCATTCCTGCCTCCAATGACACCTATCTTGAAAAAGAAAAGTACTTTCCATTCAGTCCTCTAGATTATGAGAATTTGACCTGCCTGAAGAGCATCAGACTGTACACCCACCTTGAATTAAGTACCTTTCATGATTCTTGCTGAGAAGAGAGAACTTGAACAGCTGTTACAGGTAAGCCCCCGTTTGCCTATGAAGATGTTCTCTCTACTGTGGGGATCTAATCAGTCACAGTCTCCCTCAAGCATACTATAGACCCAGGATGTTCAATTGCCACCTGTTTGCTCTAGCATGGATATTTAGATTTCTTAGTGCTTTATAGTTTATTTGCTTTTTTAAAAAGACGGGATCTGGGTATGTTGCCCAGGCTGTCCTCAAACTCCTAGGCTTAAGGAATCCTCCTGCCTCAGCCTCCTGAGTAGCTGGCACTGATGGTACATAACGCTGGGACTACAGGTGCACACTAGTGTTTTATAGTTTGTGTGTGTGTGTGTGTGTGTGTGTTTTGCAATAATAAAATAATCTTTGTTTAATAGATTCTTCCTGAAAAAAATGCCAATGTATTGGATATGAGGAATGTAGGAAAGAGAGAAATCAAGAATAACTTCTTAGGTTTTGAGTTGAGCAGCTGGTGATGAGGGTATCACTTATAGATGTGAGAGACTGGGACAAAGACAAGATTTGCAGGACATAGAGTTCACATTTAGACTTGTGAAGTCAGAAATGCCTGTTAAACCTCGAAATGGAGATCAAGTAAGAAGCTGAAAATGAGAAATGGAAGCACGAGAGAGGGGGTCTAGGCTGGGGATGTGGATTTGAAAGCAGTAACTTATAGGCAGGTGGTAATTAAAACAAAGGGACTGGCTGAGAACACCCAGGAAGAGGAAGAATTAAGTATAGGAAAAGAAGAGAAGAGGGCCAAGGACTGTTAGTGACTCTGCAAAGATGTTGCTTGGGATGAAGAGAAAGAATCTGCCAAGAGGCCAGTGAGGTAGTTGGAAATCCAGGAGAGTGAAGTACCAAGCAACACGGGAGAGGAAAATACAATTGATGCTCATTATTTGAAAATCCTGTATTTGCAAATCTGCTTCCTTGCTAAAGTTTTTTTTCTAAGTCCCAAGTCAATACTTGTGGTGTTTTCATGGTTATTTATGGACATGCACAGAGTGGCCAAAAATTTGGTTTGCCTGATGCACACGTACTCTGCCTTCTTGTTTCAGCTCTTGTACTGTAAGCAAGTGTTATTTTCGTGGTTTATTTAGTGCCAAGTTTTTCTCATTTTTGTGCTTTTTGTTGATGATTTTGCTATTTGTAATGATTCCCAAGCATCACACTGAACTGATGGCTAGCGCTCCTTAGTGCAAGAAGGCTGTGACGTGCCCTATCTAGAAAACAGGTGTGTCAGATAAGTTTCATTCAGGAGTGAGATATAGTGCTGTTGACCATGAGTTCAATGTTAAAGAATCACCAACACACATTAAATAAGGTGTCTTTAAAAAAAAGCACACATAAAGTGAGGTTGTGTATTATTTGGTTGACGAAAAGTTTGTCACCAGAGGTTCACAGGATCCTAACACTGTATTTCTCCTAAGAGTAATCTTCAGAATTTGATAATTCAATTTTCACAGAAACTTTAATAGAACATTAACTATCATAAATAATTTACTGTATTTTCTAGTAAGAGGGACTATTCAAGGATAGGATGGAACACTACAGGCTTAATACAAATCATCTTGTTGAATTTTTTTTAATGCTGTAGGGAAAAGGTTTGCAACAACCAAATAAAATAAATGTAAGATGAATACACTGAAAACCACAACACATTATTAGGAGAAGTTAAAGAAGATCTAAATAAATGAAGAGACAATCCATGTTGATGGATTGGGAGACTCAGTGTTGTTAAGATGACAATCTTCCCCAAATTTATCTATAGATTCAATGCAATCCCTGTCAAAATTCTCCTGTGTGCTTTCCTGTAGAAATTGACAAGGTGATCATAAAATACATATAGAAATGTAGAGAACTCAGAATAGCCAAAGTAATTTTTAAAAAGAAGAACAAATTTGGAGAACTTACACTTCCTGAGTTTATTTATTAAAACTATAAAACTACAGTAATCGAAACAGTGCAGTACTGGCATAAAGACAGACATGTCAATAACTGCAACAGAGCCTAGAGAACAGAAACGGACTCCTACATTTATTGGCAGTTGATTTTTAGCAAAGGTGCCAAGGCAATTTAATTGAGAAAAGACTGTTTTTTCAACAAATGGTTCTGGGACAACTGGACAGCCACATGCAAAAAAAATAAATTTAAACCATTACCTCACATCATTCACAGAGATTAACTCAAAATGGATCATAGACCTAAGTTTAAGAGTTAAAACATTGCAATTTGAACAGGAAAATGTAAAGGAAAATCTTCATCATCCTGGGTTAGGCAAAAAATTCCCACACCCAAAAGTGCAATCCATAAAAATAAACTTAGTGAACTGAACTTTACCGAAGTTAAAAACTTTGTCCTTCAAAAGAAACCTCTAAGAAAGTGTACACTCTGACAGATGGGGAAGAAATATTTGCCAATTGTATATCCAACAAAGAACTTGCAATCAGAATTTATAAAGAATTCTTACCACTTAATAATAAGAAGACAAATGGCACAATTTAAAAATATGTAAAATATTTGAATAGACTTTTCACCAAAGAAAATATATGAGTAGATAAAAAGTACATTAAATGCTCATCATTAGTCACTAGGGAAATGCAAGTTAAAGTCATATTATAATACCCCTTCATACCTACTACAATGGCTGTAATAAAAAAGGCAGACAATAACAAGTGTTGATGAGGACATGGAGAAACTGGAACCCTCAGACACTGCTGGTGGACAGTAAAATGGTGTAGCCACTTTGAAAAAACAGTTTGGCAGTGTTTTAAAGAGACAAACCTAAATTTACCATATGACCCAGCAATTCCACTCCTAGGTCTACTCAAGAGTAATAAAAACGTATGTTCACACAAAGAAGTGTACATCAGTGTTCACAGAAGCATTATTTGTAAATAGCCAAAAAGTAGAAACAATCCAACTGTCCATCAGCTGGTGAAGAGATAAACAAAATGTGATACAGCCTTGCAATGGATTACTACTAAGCAATAAAAAGGAATAAACTACTCCTACCTGTTACAACATGGATGAACCTCAAAAACAGTATGCCAAACAAAAGAAGCCAGGTACAAGAACCTTACATATTATATATTTCCATGCATATACAATGTCAGTAATATGCAAATCTTTTGAGATGAAAAGCAGATAAGGAGTTGCCTCAAGCTGGGCATGGGAATAGGGATTGGTTGCAAATGAAGATCTTTGTAGGAGGATAAAAGTGTTCTAAAAATATTGTGATGATGGCTGTACAACTCCATACATTTACTAAAAATCATTAAGTTGCACAATTAAAACTGGTAAATTATATGCTAAATAAATTATACATCAACAAAGATATTAAAAATAATATAAACAGTACAATTGCACTAAAATTATATATGTACCACTATACATGTAAATATACTATAATATAAACAGAAATTAATATTTTTATCTATTAGTGTTGGGATTATGTATAAGTGATTTAATTGTCTTCTTTGTGCATTTGTATCTTTTCACATTTTCTGCAGTGAAAATATGATTTAATCAGAAAAAATAATTTAAATAATTTTATAGAAGCACTGACTCACTTTTTAAAAAACTATTCCTTATAAACAAACAAACAAAACAACACACTCGAGTTTTCCACATGGAAGGACTCTACTTATTAACTCCACATTCATCTAGTAATCAGACTCCCAAACTACCTGGGATGGAGAAGAAGAATTTCAGCAGCCCCAGAGCCCAGGCAATTAATTTTGCATCAAGAAATGAAGCCACCCTTGAGGCCTTAGCTTTCTGATTCCAAAAGTCACCCATATTAAGATTGATTTAATGGCTTCATTTATTGAGCACTTACTATATGCTAATCTAACACGGAGTTGGCTGTCTAGTTTGCCCCTTCTCTTTCAAGTAGGTTATGCTAGATACATTAGAAGTAGCAAAAGAAAAGGATTAAGTTGCTTAGAAGTTCACATAGAATTAAGTAATCAAGGCCTGGCATGGCAGCTCACGCCTATAATCCTAGCACTTTGGGAGTCCGAGGTGGGCAGCTCACCTGAGGTCGGGAGTTCAAGACCAGCCTGACCAACATGGAGAACCCCCATTTCTACTAAAAATACAAAATTAGCCAGGCATGGAGGCTCATGCTTGTATTCCCAGCTACTCACGAGGCTGTGGCAGGAGAATCTCTTGAACCCGGGAGGCAGAGGTTGCAGTGAGCCAAGATCATGCCATTGCACTCCAGCCTGGGAAACAAGAGCAAAAACTCCATCTCAAAAAAAAAAAAAAAATTAAGTAATCAACTTTTGGCAGCAAAAGAGGAGGCATCATATTGACCAGCAGTAGTCCTGGCACTATTTAGTCATTTCAGTCTGGAGTCAGCAAGAAAAGATTCAACTATTTTTAGAAAAATTTTCTGAGAAATTAGACAGGGGCATAGACTTAACATTAAAATTATAAAGCTGAGTCACTTTCTTTGGAAAATAACAGGTAGAATAGAATTCTTTAGTTCCTGATTATTACAGACGGAAGAAGTACTATTACCTTATACTCAAAAAATTATGCAAATCAATGTGTCCCCAAAATATGTTCATTAAAATATTAGTTCCACAGATGCTAATCAATTTTAGCAGAAATAAATTATGTTCCACAATCAAATATTGGTAGGTTTGGAAAACTTGGATTAAATCAAGCTAACTAAATGAAGCCTTTACTATCCGTATTTGTCATGTATGTATCCTATGTATCGGATAGAAGGCTGTCATAGATAATGTTTTCCAAACCAATTTGACTGAAGAGTCTTCTTTAATATGTATCTCAAATATTTCAAAAATATTAACATACTGAATACATTAATAGTTATAATTAATAATAATGTACTGAATATTATAGGTAATTCCTTCCTTCCTTTTTTTTTTTTTTTTTTTTTGATGGAGTCTTGCTCTGTTGCCGAGGCTTGAGTGCAGTGGTGTGATCTCAGCTCACTGCAACCTCTAACTCCCAGGTTCAGGTGATTCTCCTGCCTCAACTTTCCGAGTAGCTGGGACTACAGGTGCCCACCACCATGCCCAGCTAATTTTTGTATTCTTAATAGAGACGGAGTTTCACCATGTTAGCCAGGATGGTCTTGAATTCCTGACCTCAAGTGATCTGCCTGCCTCAGCCTCCTAAAATGTTGGGATTACAGGAGTGAGCCATTGCAGCTGGTCTCAGTAATAAATTTCTTATTATTTAAATGAGTCTTAAAAAAAGAAATAATGGTATAACAAGTACTATAAAAGGTAAGTATGTTTCCTTATAAATTTAGTAGCCCTTACATAACTGTACATAGACATATCTTTTCATCTTATTGTCCCTTTTATTGTCTACTTTTAAATGGATGCTCCTATTAAAAAAATTTTAAACTTTTTGTAAAAAAAAGTATCCTTCGTGACTGTACATCAGAGCCCTGCTTTAATACTGTAAGACCAAAAATTCAGTATGAAACACTACCCTAGATCCTAATCAAGAATTTTCAAAAGATCCAATATAAATAAATTTTATGTAAAATTAGCTAAGAAAAGAACTTTAAGCCAAAGAAAGTTGAGGCTGCAGCAAAACTCAATTCAAGGGAGCATCATTCACATTGTAGCCCAGAACAACACTATCCAATAGAACTTTCCATGATGAAAAAAATGTTCAGTATCTATGCTGTACTGTATGGCAGCCAGCCAGATATAATTATTAATGCTTGACATGTGATTGAGAATGAGAAACTGAATTTTAAATTTTAATTTTAATCAATTCATATTTATAGTCAGAGCAATCAAGCAACAGAAAGAAATAAAAGGCATCCAAATTGGAAAAGAGAAAGTCAAATTATTTATTTGCTGATGATATGGTCTTATACCTAGAAAACCATAACAATTCCACCAAAATACTCCTAGATTTGCTAACAAATTCAGTCAAGACTCAGGTTATAAAATCAATGTGCAAAAATCTGTAACATTTCTATACACCAATAATGATCAAAATGAGAATCAAATCAAGAAATCAATCCCATTTACAATAGCTACAAAAAATATCTAAGAATATATTTAACTAAGGAATTAAAAGATCTTTACAAGGAAAACTACAAAACATCAATGAGAGGAATTGCAGATGATACAAACAAATGGGAAAACATTCCATGCTCATGGATCTGAAGAATCAATATCATTAAAATGACTTTACTGGACAAAGCAATCTATACATTCAATGCAATTTCTATCAAAATGCCAATGTCATTTTTCACAGAATTAGAAAAGACAGTCCTAAAATTCATATGCAACCAAAAAAAAAAAAAGCCTTTATAACCAAAACAACTATAAGCAGAAAGAACAAAGCTGGATGTATCACACTACCTGATTTCAAATTGTACTACAAGGCTATAGTAACGAAAATATCATGGTACTGGTATAATAATAGACACATAGATCAAGGAAAAAGAATAGAGAACCCAGAAATAAAGCCACATACCTACAACTAATTGACCTTCAACAAAGCCAACAAAAACATACACTGGGAAAAGGACATCCTATTTAATAAGTGGTGCTGGGAAAATTGGAAATCTGTAAGCAAAAGAATAAAACTGGACCCTTATCTCTCACCATATACAAACATCAACTAAAGATGGATTAAAGACTTAAATTTAACACCTGAAGTGATAAGAATACTAGAAGAAAACTTAGGACAAACTCTTCCGGACATTGGCCTTGACAAAGTATTCATGACTAAGACTTCAAAAACAAATGCAACAAAACCGAAAATAGACAAATGGAAATTAATTAAAAAGCTTCTGCACAGCAAAAGAAATAATCAACAGAGTGAAAAGACAACCTGCAGAATGGGAGAAAATATTTGCCAACTATGCAACCAACAAAAAACTAATATCTAGAATCTACAAGGAACCCAAACACCTCAACAATGACAATAAAATAAACCTTAATAACTCCATTAAAAAGTGGGCAAAAGACATGAGCAGACACTTTTCAAAAGGAGCCATACAAATGTCCAAAAAGCATATGAAAAAATGCTCAACCTCAGTAATCATCAGAGAAATGCAAATAAAACCACAGTGAAACACTGTCGTACACCAATCAGAATGTCTACTATTAAAGAGCCAAATAATAACAGATGTTGGTGAGAATGCAGAGAAAGGAGAACACTTATACACTATTGGGGGTAACGTAAATTAGTACAGCCTCCATGGAAAACAGTATAGAGATTTCTCAAAGAACTAAAAATTGAAATACCATTCAATTTGGCAGTGTTAATACTGAGTATGTACCCAAAGGAAAAGAAATCATTGTGCCAGAAAGATACCTGCACTTGTATGTTTATTGTAGCCCTATTCACAATAGCAAAGATATGGACTCAACCTAAGTGTTCATCAGTGAATGAATGGATAAAGAAAATGTTTACACACACACACACACACACACACACACACACAACATGGAATACTAGTCAGCCATAAAAATAATGAGATCATGGTTTGTTTTTTTTTTGCAGCAACATGGATGGATCAAGAGGCCATTATCTTAAATGAAATAACTCAGAAACAGTCAAATACCACAAGTTCTCACTTATAAGTGGGAGCTAAATAATGTGTACATATGGACATAGAGAGTGGAATAATAGACATTGGAGACTCAGAGGCTGAAAGGGTAAAAGGGGGTGTAAGAGATGAGAAATTACTTAATGGCTACAAGTTTCACTATTTGGGTCATGGCTACACAAAAAGCCCAGACTTCACCACTATGCAATATATCCATGTAACACAACTGCCCTTGTACCCCCTAAATCTATAAACAAAATTATATAGCCACAAATGGCCATGGCTAAAATATTGGACAGGGCATATTAGGAATTAAAACTAAAGAAGAACAGAGGATACTAGAGACTGGGAAAGGTAGAGAGAAGGAAGGGATAAGGAGATATTTGTTAATGCTAAAGTTATAGGTAGATAGGAGAAATAAGTTCTAATGTCCTATAGTGCTATAGTTAACTATGACTATACTTAACAATAATATATTACATGATTTCAAATAGCTAGAAGAAAGATACTGAACATTCCCAATACGAAGAAACGACAAATGTTTGAGATAATGAATATGCTAATTAATCGGATCTGATCACTATACGTTATATGTATTACAGCATCACTAGGTACCTCATAAATATGTATAATTATTGTGTGTCAATTATAATTTTTTTAATTAAAAAAAGAATTAAGGCCCAGAAGATGTCACTGCAATGTGATGGGTGTCCCTTGACAAGATGGTGTCTTCATTTTGGGGGGAAAAGAATAGGAATCACTTAGGTTTAGAGTAAAGACCCAGAAAGCTTTAGTGAGGCAGTACAGAAATCCAGTCAATATACTGAGAAAGGTAGTGTCTACCTAGGAAACTCAGAACATGTTGAGTAAATAAATCACACTGTTTAATACCTAAAATTACAAAACAGAACATCCTTATAAATTATTTATTATTCATACTTTACAATTTTTTGTTTGGATACAACTTTACCATAATAGTCTGAATAATTAGTCTCCAAATTTAGTGTGAGTAAAACCTTACTATTTTTATGTTAAGAAGTATTTTATTATTTTTACTATTTGTTGATTTTTAATGTTTAAAGAAATAGAATTTTCTTTTTATTTATTTATTTATTTATTATTATTATACTTTAAGTTTTAGGGTACATGTGCACAATGTGCAGGTTAGTTACATATGTATACATGTGCCATGCTGGTGCGCTGCACCCACTAACTCGTCATCTAGCATTAGGTATATCTCCCAATGCTATCCCTCCCCCCTCCCCCAACCCCACAACAGTCCCCAGAGTGTGATGTTCCCCTTCCTGTGTCCATGTGTTCTCATTGTTCCATTCCCACCTATGAGTGAGAATATGCGGTGTTTGTTTTTTTGCTCTTGCGATAGTTTACTGAGAATGATGATTTCCAATTTCATCCATGTCCCTACAAAGGACATGAACTCATCATTTTTTATGGCTGCATAGTATTCCATGGTGTGTATGTGCCACATTCTCTTAATCCAGTCTATCATTGTTGGACATTTGGGTTGGTTCCAAGTCTTTGCTATTGTGAATAGTGCTGCAATAAACATACGTGTGCATGTGTTTTTATAGCAGCATGATTTATAGTCCTTTGGGTATATACCCAGTAATGGGATGGCTGGGTCAAATGGTAAGGAAATAGAATTTTCAATGAGGCTCATAAGAAATATAATTTTTTAGAAGGAAAATCAAGTCCTTTCTTTCCCAGGATATTACTAGGAGGCAAAATTGCTACAAAAATGCAAATCCTTACAATTTTAAAATTGATGACAACTCTGTCAACTACAACTCAAAGCATATGACCTATACACCTTTCAAGTAGAAGAAAAAATATGTACTAATTGTATTTTATATACCTAATGAAAGAAGAGGAAATGTTTGCTTTAATCATTTGTTATGTAATATTAATGGTCATACAAAATTTCAGTTGCTTTTTTCTTGTAAGCTTTAAATAAAGCATCATTCAACGAATGTGATATTAACGTTTCATTTGGACTTACAGAGTCATATCTTCATTCAGCTTCTCTTGAGACTGAGTACAGTTCTGATAATTTGCTGTAAAAAAGGTTATTTAAAATATAGAGGAAATTAATTTATAATTGGTCACACTGTTACACAGATAGCCCTCCAAACCAAATATAGTGCACTCTTAAGACAACAGATTTACTGCCCACACGCAGTTTATTATCATCTCATTTTCTATTCTTTAACCTAGAACTGGAAATAATTATCTCTGCTCTCAAGAAGTACTCATGCGGCTTGGAAAAATGTAAGGAAGCATTAACCATGTAGCTCATAACTGGAAAGAATTATTTGGGACATCTCTGATCAGACAACAATCAGGAAAGTAATAGTTATAAAATTCCCTGCTTCTGCCTGAGATTATACACTTTAAATTAAGTTTGAAACACTCCAGGGAATGATTTCAGAAGTCCAAAA
This sequence comes from Homo sapiens, assembly GCF_000001405.40. NCBI lineage: Eukaryota > Metazoa > Chordata > Mammalia > Primates > Hominidae > Homo > Homo sapiens. Next base: position 20,631,674 of record NC_000007.14, on the reverse strand, counting down.
AAAGCAAGAACATGTGTGAAAGTTCTAGAAGAATTAGCCATGGGAAAAATGGAAAGCTCAGTGAAACATGTTGAGTATAAATAACAATGTTTAAAGGTTATAAGTTTTCTCTGTAAACTTTTCTATATATCTTCTAGTAGAAAAAAATATTGTACACTGATTAATATACCAAAGTCCTGATTTCACCAATAACACAAAACCATGGTTGATATCCATGATTATAATTTTATTCCTTAAACTTCTATAATCAACATTTGAAATAACTGCAGACATCATGACTCTTCATCTGTTATAACCATAACATCATCACATATTACAATGCTTATGATCTTTATTTATATGCAAACAATCATTTCTCCCTTATTCTATTTATGGAATTGTGGTAGGAAAAAATACCAAAATTCATGTGGCAGAAATGGAGATTTCAATGAGATTTAACTGAGCAAATAAAGGAAATAAACATTGTTTCTAAAAATGGTTCCTGCAGTCTTATAAAAATGGCATAATCTCAGTGTGTAGATTATATTGATAGAGGTAATATTTTGGAAAGTTCAGGACTCACACAAAAATGGATCCCCAACTAATGATAGCTATTATTCATATTTTTATTTATAGGAACGAATAATCCTGCTCTATTATCCTCCGGAAAACCAATGTTAGAAGGTTGAAGATTTGCCTCTTAATATCCCTACTTCTCTTTAACAATGTGTTATAATATACCAGTAATATCCATGAATTTATGTAAATCATTATTGAACTTCTCTATATGTTTACCACATTCAATAAAACCAGGAAACTGGCGAAGCCTTGAACAACAAGAAAAATTAGAATTCACAGCAATAGCAATTAGATATGTAGTGCCTAGCCTATCCAAAACAGGTAAGGCAATCAATTACAGAATAAACTTAACAAAAAGCATACGCCCAAGCAGATGGCCTTAGGTTGCCAGGTTGCCCATTTACTCACACATTCATTCATTCATTTGTTCATGGAGATGTAGTAGACAATCAATAAATGTTTACTCAGTGAATTGGCTCCATTTGTTTAACAACAAATTATTTAGCATATGCATCAATTTACATCATTAATATATCAGATTTTCACTTATATCCTTAATTTTGTTCATATTATTAAAATATTTAAAAAATCATAACTGTTTAAGCAGGAGATCATGGAAAGACAGAGATGGAAGCAATGGGTTTATCCCACTCAAGATTAGCACACGTAAAAGATTTACTTTTGAGTTTAAAGATTTTTTTTTGCTTTAAAGATTTTTTTTTTTGCTTTAAAGATTTGCTTTTTGGAAAACAAGAAGGTATAATTTAGGTATAAATTAGAATTTAAAGTCAAATAGAGCACAGAGGGAAGTAGACTGAACAAAGAAAGGCTAATGTTGATGAAAAGACAGTCTGGGTTGTAATGAGTTATTTTTCCCAGTTATAATAAGTATTTATAACAATACTTCCAGTGTGGAATTTGGGGAAAAGCATATAAAATCAGGAAATTACTAATATTTATAATATCCACCAGATAAAAAATACTGCATAGTCATTACATCAGTGCATAGGAAAATCACTGGAATTTAACCTAAAGAATAATGTCACCTTGAAAGACATGACCCTGAAATAGGAGGCTACAAACGATACACGAAAGATGCCTACAGATAAGAGCAATATGAAAACACCTTTTCCACACCTAATTGCTAGTTCCTCTCACCACCAATTCAGGGTATCTGTCTCTAGTTGTATAATTTTCTGCTTCTCTTCTGCATTATGTTATATAGTGCCATGCATGGCTAAAAACTACTACCAAAAAACCCCCAAAAACCTAAGTAGCTACTAAACTGAAAGATTTGATCATACTTGATTATTTCTTCTTCTTCTTCTTCTCCTTCTCCTTCTTTTTTTTCTTTGAGATGGAGTTTCGCTCTTGTTGCCCAGGCTGGAGTGCAATGGTGCAATCTTGGCTCAATGCAACCTCTGCCTCCTGGGTTCAAACAATTCTCCTGCCTCAGCCTCCCGAGTAGCTGGGATTACAGGCACCTGCTACCATGGCTGGCTAATTTTTTGTATTTTAATAGAGACGGGGTTTCACCATGTTGGCCAGGCTAGTATCGAACTCCTGACCTCAGGTGATCCACTGGTCTCAGCCTCCCAAAGTGCAGGATTACAGGCATGAGCCACTGCACCCGGCCTTGATTTCTTCTTTTTAAAGGATGTGTTACATCCTAGTGGCCTGGGATGGCCCAAGCGTTTGATTAAATCCTGATGTAATCACCACTTCTGATAAAAAGTTATTTGAATTCTTAGAGAGACAAGCTGAACTATTGTGGGCTTCAGATGATTCCTACGTAACGTCAGCAAATGGCTTTCTGATTTGAACTGCAACATTGGCTCTCTGCTGAGTCCCCAGCATGCCAGCCCACCCTCTTGAACTCACCAGCCTCTATAACCATGTGAGCCAGCCAATTCTTTAAAATCTCACTCTTTACACACACACACACACACACACACACACACACACACACACGCAGTCTCTCTCTCTCTTTGTTTCTAACGCACATCCTATCCATGCTGTTTCTCTGGAGAACCCTGACTAATAGGGGATTTTGTTTCTTATTTATTTATTTATTTATTTTAATTCAATTATAGACCTCTGTGGTCATGAAGATTTTGTTTCTTTAGTGCCCAGCAATATGGCAGAATAAATGACTTAAATACATATTATACAGATACTGTTTTACAATACAATAATCTGCCTTGCTAGCTTAACGTTTGTTTGCTTTATTCAATGCTTTTGTGTCTTAAGTGATACAGAAAAATAATCGTATACTCACTTGTGTTAGTTTGGACTAGACATCCACTAATAAGGTTATCACTCATTTCTCCTAAAACCAGTGGCATTAAAGGAAGGCAGGCTCCATTGACCAGTGATGCCAGTATACCCAGGATCATGAGTGTGATGTCCAGTCCATCAGCAAAGCGGAACTGAGGAAAACAAAGCACGGTAGCACCACAACTGTAAAACAAACAAACACACCAAGCACACACACACACACACAACAGCCTACAGCCTTTGCCACCTAGTAAACATGACTTTATACATTAAGATGGTAAATAAGTGCATAAAATCATAGATATGTATTTATATCTAAAGTAAAAACAAATACCAAAATTAAGAATTTACCATCTCCTTTAAAGGCATTAAAAAACAAAGCAGCTGACTATTCACAATAGCAGACTTGGAACCAACCCAAATATCTATCAATGATAGACTGGATTAAGAAAATATGGCACATATACACCATGGACTACTATGCAGCCATAAAAATGGATGAGTTCATGTCCTTTGCAGGGACATGGATGAAGCTGGAAACCATCATACTCAGCAAACTATTACAAGGACAGAAAACCAAACACCGCATGTTCTCACTCATAGGTGGGAGTTGAACAATGAGAACACATGGACACAGGGTGGGGAACATCACACACCGGGGCCTGTTGTGGGGTGGGAGGCTGGGGGAGGGATAGTATTAGGAGAAATACCTAATGTAAATGTCAAGTTGATAGGTGCAGCAAACCAACATGGCACATGTATACATATGTAACAAACCTGCACGTTGTGAACATGTACCCTAGAACTTAAAGTATAGTAATAATAAAAATAAATAAAGCAGCTAAATCAGTACAAATTGTAGATACCTGACACAAGTCAGGTCAGATGTGGGTATGAATCAGAAACTTTATTCCATTTGGTTGATTTTGGAATAAGTTAAGATATTCTGAAGACTGCAACAACAATATCTTAGTTTATGGAAAGCTGATCTGCACATTTTCAACGCTCTGGCTCACCGGCATCATGGCAATGTCATGGCTAAGTGCAGTGACCAGAGCTAACTAGTAAAAATGTAATGAATTATATTTGTGATTATTTTAAATTCCTTAGATTTTTTTTTCTACACAGAACAATGCCTATCCTGTAAATAGGATATTTAAGGGGGTCAATGATAATTTTAAGGGCTGTTTTGAATAAGAAAGAAATGCCTGAAAGCCATCTATTGAATGCTTTATATTCTATTCTGTAGTAGGTCCCCATAGCATCTGTCCAAAACCAAATCATGAGCAAAATTGAAAATATGGATTGTTTATATTACCGAGAGAGGCCAAAATAAAATTTAAATGGTATTAAAATGTAATTAGATTTTAATAACAGCAAGAGGAACTTACTGCATATTTTATGAATGGAGACCAAAATATTATTTTTCCATTCATCGTTGCAATAGCTAATAAATATTTATAGTGTTACTTCCACAGCATTGCATTCAGCATTACGGACATTAAGAGAGTATCTGCTCCTCTACCTTCCTCCAGAATAATGTTATCTCCTTGATAAAGTTTGTCATGTTCTGCTACTATTCAGTTTTTTTTAAATTGACTTTTGAAAAAGCAGGCTGTTTCATGTATATTTGTAGGGACATAACATTGACAGCCAGGCTGACACAGAGATTAGAGTGGGTGAAGACCATGTCTGGGAACACATGCATGAAACGCTCCTTAAACATGATTTCAAAGAAGTGTACAGACACATTATCTGATACATAGGCTTTAAAAAATTCTTAGATAATTATTTTTGATTTAAAAGGATTTGTAACACTATAAAAATAATAACAACACATAACAATGCAGAATCATTGGAATATACTGAAATGTAAACATAGATAGTAAAAGTCACTGATAATTTCCCACCACTCAGAAATATCCTTTGGTAACATTTATGTATGATACACACACACACACACACACACACACACACACACACACCCCAAAAACACTTTTAAAACACTGAGTCATTATGTGGATGTTATGCTATTTTTCCCTATCCTTTATTGTAAAATTTTGAGATTGTTTATATTTTTTCTATCGAAAATCATACTTTAATGAATTATTTTAGTTCCCTCTTTCCCACAAATAGTGGATGCAATCTAATAAACACAATCTTCTATGCACTACTGACAAGTCTCTAAAATCTTCTAATGCATGTACTTTCTAACTGATTTCACTTACTATCTCAATAGATCCAACTGCTTCCTTTCTCAGTTTTGGCTGTTCTTCTGCAGTTCTGGAAAATAAAAGTTCAAAATGCAGCAGTTACAATGTGAATATAATTTGCAAAATTTTTCCATTAATAGTTTGCAGAAGTGTCAGATATCACCTTGGTAGCAAATTTATACCAACACTGAAATTTTAAAAATAAACTTAATGATAGACAGTTGTCACTGGTTGTCTGTAAACTTGTTAGGGTAGCAACTTGAAGACGTGTCTGGAGGAGAATTTTTTAAAGTTGTGGTAAAATAGATATAATGTAGACTTTATCTTCTTGAATAATTTTAATTGTATAACCAAGGTACTAAGTACAGTCACATTGTTGTGCCACCATTTATTTTGATTTACCCACAGAACTCTTTACTTTGCAAAACTAAGCCTCTGTACACATTAAACATTTTCCCATTGTCCCCATCTCCCAGCCCCTGGCAACCGCGGTTCTATTTTGCCTCTATGAATCTGACTGCTCTGGGCACCTCAGAAAAATAGAATCATATAGCATTTCTCCTTCTGTGTCTGTTTCGTCTGGCTGTCTTCAAAGTTCATCCTTGAATTATTCACTTAGCATAAAGTCTTCATGTTTCATCCACATTGTAGTAGGTGTTGGAATTTTTCTACTCTTTAAGGCTGTATAGTATTCCATTATATGTTTTTGCCACGTTTTGTTGAGCACTTAGACTGCTTCCACATTTTGGCTATTCCTAGTAACGCTGTTAGGAATATGAGTGTACAAATATCTCTTCAACTCACTGGTTTTAATTCTTTTGAGTATATACCCGGAAGTAGAATTGCTGGGTTACATGTTAAACCTATTATTGATTTTTTGAGGAACATTCACACTGCACCATAGCAACTGCACCATTTTACATTCCTGCCAGAACAAGGATTCCAGTTTCTCTATATCCTCACCAACACTTGTTCATTCCTTTTTCTTTTCTTAGTATTAGCCATCATAATGAGTATGAAGTGGTGGATTGCAATTTTTAACCTTTAGTAACAAAATCTGAGCTTTAAATGAAATGAGTTCTATTAGGTACACATTAAGCAAGTGTACTCTTAATTTTGTCTCCCTTTTTGAAAATTTCATTTCTTAGCTTTGTATGCTCACATTTCAAGGAGGTCCAAATGAAAGCTGTACATTGTATCCACTGATTTCACAGCAATCTGTCAGTTACACACACACACACATGCACGCGCAAAATTCTGAAACATTAAGAGAAGACTGTAGGGAACAGTTTAAGTTTTCTATACAGACACAACAGGAAGACAAACATCCGGCTCCTCTCCTGCTTTATAACGCATTGTTCTGTCAGCTTTGATAAATGACAATTCACTTAATTTTATTCCACATGAGGTTAATAATTTACTTGAGTTCCGGTCAATTTGCTCTGGGCTGAGGCATGAGATGACAAAAGAATGCTTTACCATTGCAAAACCCTACAATCCCTTTCCTCACCTCTAGATGCGGATTTTGAAGCTTAACACCCAGTAAACCCTCTTCTCTTGATAAAAGTTGTTTCAGGGAAATAATTTCTAACTCCGATTGACCTTCATGGAAAGGTTTCGAAGGAGGGCTTGGGTCGTTTTGTGAAAGTCTCTTTATCAGCGTTGACATAAGAAAGCAACATGTGGGCAGGTGGGCGGGTTTGGGGGTCTCCTCCCTCTACACAGCTCTTGGGGCCAAGTGTCCTTTGGCAAAGGCCAAGGGCGGAGCCTGAGGCGCCCAGAGGAAACTGATTCCATTGTGCGGGTCACAGCCGCACTAGCTCCTAGTCCTAGCGTGCCCGTTGCTGGTTTTCAAGCTGGAGGGGATCTTAGCGATGTTGGTGGCCCAGTACTTTCATTAGCGCAAATCAGCATGGCCCAGAGCAGCGAAGATTCTGCTCTTAGCTCCAGTTGTGTCACCTCCACCTAATAGGAATCCTTCCTGTATTTCATGGCCAGACCCCACACCTATATCTCACTAATTTCACTTTTCAGGGCCCATCCAACCCCTACCTTCAATTCCTGTTGCTATTTTCTTTCATATTGTTTTCTCCTATTCTCTCCAGTCATGGAAACTAGAAAAATCAACCACCTCCCCATTCTAATTTTCTGTGCGATAGCATATAGATGCAGTTTGCTGTTGGTATTGCTACTGACCTGTTAGTTTTTTTGGTTCACCAATGAGGTCTGTAGTGTATTATTATCATGACCACTTTAAAGATGAAGAAACAGTCACAGGGTAAAACAACCCAAGTTTATGTAGCTAGTGATTGAACTTCAGTCTGACGCCAGAACCCAAACTCTTAACTGTACAGTTACAATGCTTCCTGTGGAATATATGCCGAACACATGATTTAGTCAGTCCACAGGTAATGCTTAAGAGCACAAATGTATTCTAAAATAAACCTGTCCCCTCAGCATCCCCTTACACCAGGATGCTGGGGCATCTTTAGATAATGTTTTGAATTTATGAGGAAAAGGTGCTTAGAAAGGAGAACATTTACTTTGGGAAAATAACAACAAAAACATTAAAGGAGAAGTTTGGAATGCAGTTCTTTTGATTTTCAAAATGTTCCTAAATGGAATTTGCTTTAGCCTAAGGAAGTTTCTGATTCTGACTCACAAGAAAATGGTATCGCTGGAATGCCCTCTCTGGCTATTTTCTGAATTAATAAACTACATGACCTGGAGGGATCTTCTCCAGTTTTATAGATTGTATGTCCAAATATAACACAATTATTATGGTAAAAGTGGAAATAAAATAGATGTAAAACTATTTCCATTTAAAAACTCTCAATTAATGAATTCCACGTGTAGAAACTTGTATAACATACATATTCACAGAGACATCTATTCAGAGAGAAAATAATCGGAATCGAATATTTTCTTTTATTAAAGGTACCACATGGAATGAAGGGTCCACAGAGAATTGAAATTAAAATTTGCAGGTGCCTTTCTTCTGTATAATGGTGGACAAGAAATTAACGATGAGAAATTCAGAAGAGGAGATATCTGAAGCACTAAATCAATAAATCCTGGATAAATAAATCCTATTACAATTAATCCTATTGCAGTTCCTAAAATCACTATTAAATTAATTATAAGACTGCTTATGTTCAAGTTCAGCAAAATGCAAATAGTGTTGCTATTTTTGGGAAAAAATTATAAACATTTTTGCTATAGGTGTGGAAAGGATGAGTTATATTTGAAGTTGTGGAAGCATACTTACAGAACTTAGTGAGAGCTTACCCATTTCTCTGATAATTTTCTTGCATTTCTTCAGCTCTTTCTGAATTTTCCATCTTATTTACAATTTACTTCTTCTGAAATACAATTTTAACAAATGTATTATGGCTATGTGACTTTTATCACTTAGTTGATATACAGCATTCTTTACATCCCACATCTCTCACAGTTTGAAAAAGGAAGCATCTCAGAATTTCGCCCTGCCCAGCCCCCCACTCCAATTGAAGTTTCTGGCTAGGCAGTTCATAGATTCAAATTTTGTCATTGAATTTATAACTTCCTTGCTTCATTCTAGGCTTAGATTTGGAGCTAATGAAAGTGTTAGAATTGGAATAAAAGAAGGAAAGTCAGATTCCACGGAAAATGCACTGTTTGTCAGGATATTAGATATTCCTACTTTGCCATTCATTTGACTGGAATTGGTGAAAATTTTTAATCTATCTCATGCTGTTTTCTCTTTAAAAAACTGATGCAGTAGTTTTTATTAGCCAGCAGTTTGAGGGAATAGGGTTTTCTAGTTTACGAAACAAACAAAGTTTGGAGCTTTCACAAACTGGATTAACAGTTACAAAAAATTAGAATATTTTGAAAATCCATTCATCATTAAAATTGTATTAAGCATAATTTACTCTTCCTTGGGATGATACTTGAGGATCTTACCTTGTCTTAAGATCACAGTTATGTTCATAAATTATAAATTATCATTTTATTATGGATCTATAGAGATGGTTGTGACTCAGTCTCAGTTGTTAGGCCCTATAACATATTACCCTATATAAAGACAATTATAAAGATATGGCTTTAAACTTTAAAGTGGAATTACAAATTAATTAAAGAGTACCTAAGCATCTGAAAAAGCTAATAAGCTTTCAAATAGTAAACTTCTCATTGAAAGTGGATCAGAACTGCTTTTAGCACCAAGGAGGAAGGCATAATACAAATACAGCCATCTGTTGGCTTATTCTTCCTTTTACAGAAGTAAATGGTCATACTTCATATGGGAGATATTTACAACTGCTAAACTGACTTTACACCATCTCCAGTAATCTGACATGTATGTAAGAAAAATAAAATGATTGACAAATCTCAAACATTTGCATTTTATAGAAATTAACAATTATGTAATGAAATGCATCCATCCATAGAAAGAAATCAAAACAATTAAGCCTCGCCTTGGTAAGTGCATGATCTGTCCATTTAAACCAAAATCATGTATGCGTTCTATTCTCAATAAATAATGAGCTGCACTTTCATAACTGTGCTTTACCAAGCTTATCTTCTGATCATGCTGTAACTGATTAGAACACTGGTTAGTATCCAGGTAAAGCACGTTGTGTTCTTCATGTCATACTGCACTTGGGAAACAGTATGAGCAAAGGAAGTCCACTGAGCCAAATAAACACTCTTTTTAAAAAGAGCCATAGTGTCTGTATACCTGGTTTTCTATTGCACAGTCCCATATCTTTTTGGTTAGTTGGTTGAATTCTTAATTATAATAGGTAAAATTTTAACAAGTCAACAGCACATTTGCACAAGAAATATTTATTGAGTAATACTTTACGCAAGGCGTTGATTTTATTACTTTATTATTGCTCCCTAAAAATCACCTCCTTCTCTGATTTCCTTTTGCTCTTTGCTTGTGTCTGTATTATATTCGTGACACATTCTGCATTATATTGCAAATCCTAGTTACCCTATTAGATCATATATTTTTCTCTCTTTCCTCATGAAGAATTGAAAAAAGTATTGAGCTTATATGATGTGCCAGCTACTAGTTTGTAGAATCAAAAGATATGTTTCCTTTTCCTGAGGAACCCCATGTTTTATTCTTTACTCTAGACCGTAGTCTTACTACTCAGAATGGTCCCAAGAGCAGCAGCATAGGCACCAGCCTAGACATGATTAAAAATGCAGAACTTTTTTAAAGTCTTTTAATTTTATCAAAATATACATAACAAAATTTAACATTTTACCATCTGAAGTACACAATTCAGTGGGATTAAGTGCATACTCAATGTTGTATAACCATCACCATATCTATCTTCAGAACTTTTTCATCATCACAAACTGAAATTCTATATCCATTAAACAATAACTTCTGTTATCTCCTACTGGCAGTCTCTGGTAACCTCTGTTTTACTGGGTCTATGAATTTGACTATTGTAGGTGTCTCACATAAATGGAATCATACAATATTTTTTCTTTTGTATCTGGCTTATTTCACTTAACATAATGTTTTCAAGGTTCATCAATGTATCACAATTTTATTCCTTTTTAAGGCTGAATACTATTCTGGTGCACATATATAGTACATTTTTTTAAAGTGACACATCTGTTGATGGACACTTGGATTGTTTTCACCTTTTGGCTATTGTGAATAATGTTTTCTGTGAACATTGGCATAGAAGTATTTGTTTGAGTATCCTCGTTTCAGTTCTTTTGGGTATATACTTAGATGTAGAATTGCTGGATCAAGCGGTTAGTCTATGTTTAACTTTTTGAGAAATATTCATACTGTTTTTCTTAGCAGCTGTATTATTTTACATTCCTACGAGCAATGTACAAGGCTTTCAATTTCTCCATGTCCTCACTAACACTTGTTATTTTCTGATTAATGGACAATAGAAATCCTAGTGGGTGTGATGTGGTATCTCATTGTGGTTGCGATTTGCAATTCCCTAATGACTAGTGATGTTGAGTATCTCATATGCTTACTGCTCATTTGTATATCTTCTGTGAAGAAATGTCTATTCAAATCTGTTGCCCATTTTAAAATTAGGTTTTTGGTTTTTTTTTATAGTAAGTTGTAGGTGTTCTTTATATATTCTGGATATTATTAAGTACGTGATTTGCAAATATTTTGTTTTATTATGTGGATTGTCTTTCTTCTCTCTGGGTAGTTTCCTTTAATAAGCAAAAGTTTTCAATCTTGAAGAAAAAATTATCTACGTTTTTATTGTTTTTGTGTGTGTTTTTGGCATCATATCTAAGAAATCTTTGCCAAATCCAGTGTCAAAAATTTTTTCCCATGTGTTTTTCTGGAGTTGGATAATTTTCACACTTATGATTAGGTCTTTAACCTATTTTTGAGTTGGTTTTTTATATGGTGTAAAGTAAGAGTTCAACTTCATTCTTTTGAATGTGGATATCCAGTTTTACTTGTTAAATAGACTGTCCTTTCTGATATTTTCTAATCTATAAGCAATCCTAAAGAAAAAGAACAAAGCTAAACACATCACATTACCTGACTTCAAAGTATACTATAAGGCTACAGTAACCAAAACAGCATGGTATTGGTGCAAAAAGAGACACACAGATCAATGGAACAGAATTCAGGACCCAGAAATAAAGCAGGGCACCCATAGCCATCTGATCGTTAACAAAGTCAACAAAAATAAACAATGGGGAAATGACTCCAAAAAATGGTGCTGGGATACCTGGCTAGCCATATGCAGAAGAATGAAACTGGACCCCTACATTTCACCATAGATAAAAATTAACTCAAGATTGATTAAAGATTTAAATGTAAAACCTGAAACTATAAAAACCCTGGAAGAAAACTTAAGAAATATCCTTGTTGTCATCGGCCTTGGCAAAGAATATACAGCCTATCCTCAAAGCAATTGTGACAGAAGCAAAAATTGGCAGATGGGACCTAAGTAAACTAAAGAGCTTCTGCACAGCAAGAGAAACTTCAACAAAGTAAACACATAACCTACAAAATGAGAGAAAATATGTGCAAACTCTGCATCCTACAAAGGTCTAATATCTAGAATCTATAAGAAACTTAACTCAAGAAGCAAAAAAACAAATAACCCCATTAAAAATGGGCAAAGGACATGAACAAACACTTCTCAAGAGAAGACATACAAGTGGCCAACAAACATAAAATGCTAATCGTCACTAATCATGAGAAAATTGTAAATCAAAACCACAATGAGATACCACTTCACACCAATCAGAATGGCTATTATCAAAAAGTCAAAAAATAACAGATACTGGCAAGGCTGTGGAGAAGAGGGAACACTTATATAAGGCTGGTGGGAATGTAAATTAGTTCAGCCACTGTGGAAAGCAGTGTGGTGATTTCTCAAAGAACTTAAAACAGAACTACCATTCAACCCAACAATTCCAAAGGAAAATAAATCATGCTACACAACAGACGCATGCACTCTTATGTTTATGACAGCACTATTCACAATAGCAGACACATGGAAGCAACCTGGGTGCCTTCGATGGTGAATTGCATAAAGAAAATGTGGTACGTGGCTGGGCATGGTGGCTCAAGCCTGTAATCCCAGCAGTTTGGGAGGCCGAAGTAGGTGGATCACTTGAGGCCAGGAGTTTGAGAGCAGCCTGGACAACATGGTGAAACCCCGTCTCCACTAAAGGTACAAAAATTAGCCTGCCATGGTGGTACATGCCTGTAGTCTCAGCTACTTGGGTGGCTGAGGCAGGAGAATCTCTTGAACCCGGGAGGTGGAGGTTGCAGTGAGCTGAGATCGTGCCACTGCACTCCAGCCTGGGTGACAGAACAAGATTCCATCTCAAAAAAAAAAAAAAAAAAAAAAAAAAAAGAAAATGCAGCACATATATGCCATGAAATCTTTTGTAGCAACATAAATGCAGCTGGAGGCTATTATCTTAAGTGAATTAACATGGAAACAGAAAACCAAATGTTGTATGTTTTCACTGATAAATGGGAGCTGAACATTGGGTCCACATGGACATAAAGATGAGAAAAATAGCCACTGGAGACTATCAGAGGTGGGAGAGAGGAAGGGGAGAAGGTGCTGAAAAACTACCTACCGAGTACTATGCTCACTACCTGGGCGAAGGGATTATTCACACCTCAATCCTCAGTGTCACACAATGAACTCATGTAACAAACCTGCCTGCACAGGTAAGCTCTAAATCTAAAATAAAAGTTGAAATTATATAAAAGGTGAAGATAGCCATATAAATGAAATACTGATACATGCTACATAAATAAACCTTGAAAGTATTATGGTAAGTACAATAACCCAATCACGAAAGACAACATACTATATAATTCCATTAATATGAAGTGCCTAGAGCAGGCAAATCCATAGAGAAAAAAGTAAGTTAGTAGTTGCTGGGTGGAGGAGAAATAGAGATGACAGCTAATGAGAGGGATACAGGGTTTCTTTTCAAGATGATAAAACCACTATAAATTGAATGTGGTGATGGCTGCTCAACTCTATGAATATACAAAAACTTTTGAATTGTACATCTTAAATGGGTACATTCTATGATATGTGAATTATATCTCAATAAAGCTGTTAGCAAAAAAGGGTAATCTTAAAGTTTCTAACCATTATTACAGAAGTTTTTATTTCTCTCTGCTTCTGTCAGTGTTTATTTAGGAGCTGTGATATTTTGTGGCTGTGTGCTTATAGTTGTTATATCTTCTTGGTGATTTGACTGTTTTATCACTATCTAATGTTCTTTGTTGTCTCTTATAAAAGGTTTTGACTTGAGGTGTAACTTGTCTGGATATTACTATAACCATTCCAGCTCTCTTTTGGTTAATATTTGCAGGATTATCTCTTTTTATCCTTTTGATTTTAACCTATTTGCCTTTAGATCTAAAATGATTCTCTTATTGACAGCATACAGTTAGATTATATATTTTTAATCCATTATAAAAATGCGATTTTTGGGTCTCACTCTAAAACTTCTGAATAGAATCTGCATTTTAACAAGATTGTCGAAGTGGTTTGTAATGCATATCAAATTTTGAGAAACATGACTATATAGTATCTAGCACAAAGCCTTGAGAAACAGAAGGCACTACTTATCTAGAGGAAATTTTATCTTCCTAAATCCAAGATTATAAAAATAAAGTTTAAAATACACCTTAGTGCTGACAACATATTGTTTTTATCTGCTGTTAATAGCACAGTTTTAAAGTATTGTCAAAGGACCTCTGGCATCAGAATCACCTGGAGTGCATGTTAAAGATATCAGACACCTACCTAGGCCTTGCCCCACATGTACTGAATGATAATCTAAAGAAATGCACTGGAAAAAAATCTACATTTTAAACAAGCTCATTAGATGATTTTTTAAAAAAATTTACTCATTCTATAGATATATACTGTGCCAGGTACTGTTTTAAGCACTGAACAGCCTAGACATCTTTGCTGTCATAGAGCTTAGACTCCATTACAGGGAGAGTCACAATTTTAAAAAAAGGCATACATAAATAAGGAAAATTAGAGAGTGGTCAGTTTTTGGTATATAATTAAAACAGGGTAATTTTATGAAGAGTAATGTGGTATTTATATACATCTGGTCAGAGAAAGCCCCTTGTAGAAGATAATGTTTAAGCTGCAATCTGAATTATAAAAGGAGGTTGCTATATAAAGATCAAAAAGACTATCCCAGGCAGAAGGAATACTATTTAGATAGTAGAGAAAAGTGCACTGAGACAAAGCGACACAAGGTCAAAGCAATTTGTGAGCCAGTTGGCAGGTCCTCACTGTATGGAAAGCTACAGGTTGACTATGATGGCTGCCCCCATGTTCCTCTCTGTTACCCAATGTTTCAAAAGGAAGATAAATTTAACTTGAAACTTGTCAAGTTTGAGATATTTGTGAGATAATCAGGTAGTAATATCCAGCACTAAGTAGATAACATGAGAGAAGAACTCTGAACATCTTAATTGCTCTACACAAAATCTATCAGTCAGCCAATTCTTACTTATTGACAGCTGTGTGGATGCTATCATGGCAAGTACTATGGAACATACAAGAAAATGTAAAAATAGACAGAATATTTTATTTATAAGGACTTTTGCCTTAAAAAATATTTCTAGGTTCATGTACCAAGATGGAAATCATAGGACAAAATACCCATGTGAGAAGAAATCATGAGATGCACTTAACGTTCAAGCATCCTTGGTAAGAATAATCTGACAAATAGCTAAGATATACTGGTTGGATGGAAAACATGGGATCTTTGGTTAGATGAAAGAAGATATGGCTGGGCGCAGTGGCTCATGCCTGTAATCCCAGCACTTTGGGAGGCCAAGGCGGCTGGATCATCTGAGGTCAGGAGTTCGAGACCAGCCTGTCCAACAAGGTGAAACCCCATCTCTACTAAAAATAAAAAAATTAGCTGGGCATGGTGCTGGGCACCTGCAATCCCAGCTACTCAGAAGGCTGAGCCAGGAAAATCTCTTGAACCCTGGAGGCGGAGGTTGCAGTGAGCCAACATCGTGCCACTGCACTCCAGCCTGGGTGACAGAGTGAGACCCTGTCACAGGGAAAGAAAGAAAGAAGATATGAATTGTATGGATGCTTTAAAATGACCAAAATAATAGTAGGATGATCATTTCTGACTATGAAAAAGTTTCATACACACACATTTTTGTTTCCATCTTTACCACAAACTATTCTTTCTAAGATGGAGAAGTGTTTTATATTCTTCACAAGCTTCAATTGTTTTCATAATCTCTAATACTTTTGCTTTGACTTACTTTAATTCCTTAGATGCTGTTTTGAGTGGGCCCCATCCAGTCAGTTGAAGTCCTTAAGAGAAAAGACTGAAGTCTTCTGAAGAGGATAGGATAAAGCTTTCAGATACAAGGTATCAATTTTTTGCCAGAATTTCCAGCCTTCTAGTCTGGCTTGTGGATTTTGGAAGTGCCAGTCACCACAATTACATGAGCGTGTTTTCTCTTTCTCTCTCTACATACACACACACACACACACACACACACACACACACACACGGCCTATTGATTCTATTTCTCTAGGGGAACCTAATATACCTGGCAAGACAGACGTTATGTGATGAATAGTACAAAGAGTGACTATTCTAGTATCTAAGAAGACTGAGGAAGAACATTGTGATCTAAAATGGTTTCGCCCACAGATGAGGATGGCCCTGAGGTTAGTTTCTGGAGGAAGGCTAAGGTTTCAGTAAGTAGAAAAATGTGGAGGAGGAACAAGGGCATAGTTTTAGGAATGCAAGGTGAATTATCTCATGGTAGAGAAATGAGAACGGTTTGGATAGGATGGACTGTTCATGCAGAAATGGAGAGAGAGATAAGGTACATACGATTGTAAAAGGCACTGAACCAATTTTTAGGACAACTTTTATAATTTTCTGGAATGAAAGAGACAAAGCCATTGGTATTTGGTACAATTAACCTGATTATTTGACATTACAGCCATGGATATACTGGAAGGACTTGGGGAAACACAAGATTTAAGTAGACTCATTAAAATCTAGTTTGATAGCAGTAAGTAAGACTATTTGAGAGGTATTTTTAAGGCGGTAGGTAGGTAAAGAGGACAAGGAAGAAGAAATAAAAAAAATATAAGTTCAGCGATCAAACTTTTAAAAGTTGTAACAAAAGAGTAGTAAAGATGGTAATAGAGAAGTTATGAGACAGAATTGGTTTTGGGGAAATGGTAACATTCAGTTTAAATATGCAAATTTGGGTTGATATTGGTGTCCAAGTGAAAATATCTGGCAAACAGATGTAAATGTGGCACTAATAATTAGGAAAATTGCCAACCTAGAGATAAACTTGCAATTGTCATATGCACAGAAGGAATAATTAATTTTGCTTTAAAAATCTCATGATGTCATCTAAATGCACAGAAGTGGTGTAATGTAGCTAAAAGTGTTACTTCTAGAGCAGAGCCATCCAACAGAACTTTCTGCAATAATTGAGATATTCTCCACACATCCAATATCCTAGCCGCTACACATATGTGGCTATTGAGCGCTTTTAATGTGCCTAGTGAGGGAGCTGAATTTTGAGTTTTATATAATTTTAATTAATTTATTTTATTTATTCAGCTTTAATATGTATAATTGACAAATACTATTGTCTATATTTAAGGTTTACAACATGATGATGTGATATACATATACATTGTGAAATGATTACTGCAATGAGCACATCCATCACTTCACATATTTACGTGTTTGTGTGTGTGCGTGTCTGGTGAGAACGCTTAAGATCTACTCTCTTAGCAAATTTCAAATATACAATACAGAATTATTAACTGTAGTCACCATCCTGTACCCATCTTATAACTGGAAGTTTGTACCCTTTGACCAACATCTCCCCATTTCCTCCACCTCCTAGTCTCTGGTAACCACCATGCTACTGTCTGCTTCTAGGAGTTTGACTTTTTTTGGATTTCACACATATCTCTGGCTTATTTCACACAACATAATGTCTTCCAGTTCCATCCACGTTGTCACAAATGACAAAGTTCCCTTCTTTTTTATGACTGAATAATATTGCTTTTCTTTATCGATTCATGTGTCAATGGACACTTTGGTTGTTTCCATATATTGGCTGGTGAGAATAATGCCGCAATGGACAGGGGAGTGCAGATACCTCTTTGAAATACTGATTTCATTTCCTTGGGGTATATACCTAGAAGTGAGATTGCTGGATCAGATGGCAATTCTGTTTTTAATTTTTTTAGGAAACTTGATGCTCTTTTCCATAATGGCAGTACCAATTGACATTCCCACCAAAAGTGCACAAGGTTCCCTTTTTCCATACCCCTGTTACCTCTTATCTTTTTTATAATAGCCATTCTAAAGCTAGAAGGTGATATCCCATTGTGTTTTTTATTTGTATTTCTCTGATGATTACTGATGTTGAGCACCTTTTCATGTACCTGTTGGCTGTTTGTATGTCTTATTTGGGAAAAAATATCTATTTGGGTCTTTGCCTACTTTTAAATGGGGTTATTTGTCTTTTTGTTATTGAGTTGTATGAGTTTCTTATATACTTTGGGTGTTAACGCATTATTCAAAATGTGGTTTGCAAATATTTTCTTCCATTGTGTAGATTGTCTTTTATTTTATTTTCTTGAAATGGAGTCTTGCTCTGTTGCCCAGGCAGAATGTCTCACTCTGTAGGGATGGGGTTTCACCATGTTGGCCAGGATGGTCTCGAGCTCCTGACCTCACGTAATCCGCCTGCCTCAGTCTCCCAAAGTACTGGAATTACAGGTGTGAGCCACCACGACTGGCCCTTTTTCATTTTGTTGCTTGTTTTCTTTGCTGTGCAGAGGTTTTAAGTTTGATGTAGTGCCACTTTTTTGCCTTTGTTGCCTGTGCTTTTGGTGTTATGTTCAAAATATCACTGCCAAGATCAATGTCAGGGAGGTTTTCTCTATGTTTTCTCCTAGGACCTTTATAGTTTTAGGTTTTACATTTAAGTCTTAATTCATTTTGAGTTAGTTTCTGTGAGTGGTGTGAAATTGGGGTCTAATTTCATTATTTTGCATGTGAATATCTGTTTTCTCAAAACCATGTATTGAAGAGATTATCTTTCCTCCACTGTGTATTTCTGGCATCTTGTTAAAGATCAGTTGATCATTTACATGTGGATTTATGTGTAGTTGTAGTTTGTTCATTGTAATTGTTGAATAATATTTCATCTTGTGAATATACCACCATTTAATTTTTCATTCTACTACTGTTGGTGGACATTTGGCTCATTTCTGGGCTTGGAGTATTAGGAAGAGTGCTATTATGAATACTATCATGCATGTTTTTTGGTAAACATATTATCTTTGTTGGATATATACAAAGGTGAAATTGCTAGGTCATAGGATATGTATGTGTTTAACTTTAGCTGAAGGAGCCAAATAGTTTGTCAAAGTGCTTGCACCCTCTGTGTGCTCACCAGCAGTGCATGAGAGGTCCACTTGCTCCATATTCTCAACAATGTTTGGCATAATGATTCTTTTCAATAGTCATTATGGTGGGTGCAGTGGTGTATGGTTTTGCTGTGTCCCCACCCAAATCTCATCTTGAATTGTAATCCCCATGTGTCAACGGAGGGACCTGTAATCCCAACATATCGAGGGAGGGAGGTGATGGGATCATGGGGGAGGTTCCCCCATGCTGTTCTCGTGATAGTGAGTCCTCATGAGAACTGATGGTTTTACAACTGTTTGGAAGTTCCTACTTCATCCTTCTCTCTCTCCTGCCACCCTGTGAGGGTGCCTGCTTCCCCTTCCACCATGATTGTAAGTTTCCTGAGGGTTCCCCAGCCAGGTAGAACTGTAAGTCAATTAAACCTCTTTCCTTTATAAATTACCCAGTCTCAGGTAGCTCTTTATAGCAGTGTGAAAATGTACTAACACAAGTGGTATTTACATTGAGGTTTTGTTGCTTTTCTTTGGTAATTTATAAAGCTAAGCGCTCTTTCATATATTTTTTATTGGCTACTTGGATATCTTTTTGTGCAGTGCCTGTTCAAGTCAGTCTTCTGCTCATTACTATATTGTGCTATTTGAAATTTTCTTATTGATTTGTAGGAGTATTTTAAGTGGACCCTATATGATTTCTTTGTTGGGAATATGAATTGCAAATGTTTTTCCAATTCTGTGGGGTACATTATTTTTCTCTTGATGTTTTTATCTTGATGAATGTATATTCTCCAACAATATAGTGCTATATGTTATTTTTTCCCTTACAGTTAGCCTTTTTTTTTTCCTGTTAAAGAAATCTTTGTTTATTCCAAGGTCACAAAGATGTTATCTTACATTTTCTTGTATAAGTTCACATTTGAGCATTCACATTTTGATCTAAAATCCATCTGAAATTAATTTTTGTGTGAGGTAGATACACTTTTTTCCCCAATAAGAATATTCAGTTGACCCAACACCTTTTATGACAGAGGTTCTTCTTTCTTAACTATCTCAATATGTCATCTTTGTTACAAATGATACATATGTGTGGGTCGGCTTTGTTCTATTGCTCTGTTTCTATGTCCTTGTCCTGTCTTCATTACTATAGCTTTGTAATAGGTCTTTCCTTCTGCTGTTTAAGTCCTACAGTTTTGTTCTTTCGGTTGCCTTGATTATGCTTGGTCTCTTTGTTTTCAATATAAATTTTAAGATGAAACACTCCTTTTCCACAAATGAATTACTTCTGGCATTTTAACTGATTTAAACTTGTAGATATGTTTAAAAAATTGATATATGTATAATATAGCATTTTTCAATCCATAAACGTAATGTATCTTTTCATTTATTTAGGTCTTCTGTAGTTTTTCTAAGTAATGCTTTATAGTTTTGACTATAGCTGTCTTACACATACATCATTAGATTTTCCCATAGGTATTTGATATTCTTTGATGTTAGTATATATGGTTTTTTGAAAAATTGTTTTCTGTTTGTGGTTGGCACTCAGAACTAATTGATTTCTATAATACAGAACATTTTAAAATTGATTTTTATGTTAACCTTGCATCTAGTAATTGGGTTACTGAATCTAATGGTTTGCTGTTTTTTTTTATTTTCTATGATGCTAATTTTATTTATTAATTATAGAATCTTGTTTTGATTTTTTTGCATTATTACATTTGGTAGGTCATTCTGTTTAATTTTTAATAGAACAGATTATAGCAAGTATCTTGTCTCAACCTTTTTCTCAGAGAGATAGCTTATAATATTTTATAATTAAATGCAATTTTTACTATAACTTTTGGGAACTATCCTTTCCCAGATTAAGAAAGTTTCCTTTCATTTCTAATTTGCTGAGAGTTTTAAATTATAATTGTATGGTAAAATTCATCCAATTGTTTTTCTGCCTCTATGGAAATAACCACATATTATTTTTCTGCTTTATTCTTTTGATGTGGTAGATTACAACAACTTTATGATATGTTTAGATTTACAAAAGAAATTGTGAAGATAGGATAGAGAGTTCCTATAGGATACAGAATTCTTATATACCCCTTTCCCCACATGCACACAATTTTCCATTATTATTTTTAGCATTGTTTTCCAATCTCATCCTTACTTTTTACAAATTTTATTTTTTGAAAAAATTTTAATTTTTTTGGCAAATTGTAGCTGTATATAATTGTGGGGTACACAGTGATGTTATGATATATGTATACGGTGTGGAGTGATTGAAGCAAGCTAATTAACATAGCCATCACCTTAAATACTTGTCATTTATTCCTCCTATCTAACTGCAACTTTGCATCCTTTGATGAATATCTCCCCATTTCTCCTTATCCCCGTAGCCTCTGATAACCACCATTCTACTCTTTGGTTCTATGAGTTTGGTTGTTTTATAATTCACATGAGATTCCTCATGTAAGGTTTTTCTCTTTCTGTGCCTGGCCTATTTTACTTTGCATAATGTCCTCCAGGTTTCTCCATGTTGTTTTGTTGTTTTAAATGACAGAATTTCTTTTTTAAAAAGACTGAATAGTATTCCCTTGTATACATACCACATATTCCTTATCCATTCATCTGATGATGGATATTTAGGTTGATTTCATCATTTGGCTATTGTGAATAATGCTGCAACGTACATGGGAGTGCAAATATCTGACATACTGATTTCAAGTCCTTGGGATATATCTCCAACAGTGAAATTGCTGGATCATGTGGTAATTCTGTCATTAGTTTTTGTTTTAATCATACCATTTTCCATAATGGTTGTACTAATTTGCATTACCACCAACAGTGTACAGGTGTTCCTTTTTCTCCACCCCACTATTATTAACATCTTACATTAGAGCAGTTGATTTTTGAATGTTAAACATCTCTGCATTTCCGGAATAAACCATGCTTGGCCAAGATATTTATCCTTTTTATATATGGTTAATTTTTAAATATTTTCTTTACATATGTTTTCTTTGTATTTTCTTTATATGTGGTTATGTTTCATATGCTGTTATTTTGTTTATGATTTTTGCACCTATGCTTAAGGGAAATTTGTCTGTAAATTTTTTTTGGTGATGTTTTTATCTAATTATAATGTTTTCATAAAAAGAGTTGGGAAATATTCCCTTTTTATTCCCTGAAAAAGTTTATAGGAAAAACAGTGTTATTTCTTTCTTAAATATTTGGAAGAGTGTAGTAATGAGGTCCTGTGGGTCTGGAGTTGTTTTGTGGAAGTTTTTAACACTGGATTTCAGCTTTTTAGTAAGAATTTAGTTATTCAGATTTTCTGTTTCTTCTTGTGTCCGTTTTTGGTGAGATGCATTTCAAAAGGAATTTCTCCAAATTTTGAATTTTATCTTTTAAATTATTTATAATATCCTGTTTTTATCTTTTTAATGTATAAAGAACACTTTTTTATTTCTAACATTGGTGACTTGTACTATGAGGAGAATCACTTGAATCCAGGAGGCAGAGGCTGCAGTGAGCTGAGATCACACGACTGCACTCCAGCCTGGGCGACAGAGCAAAACTCCATCTGAAAAAAAAAAAAAATTGTTACTTGATTGAAAGATACAGTAAAATACAAACAAAAGGGTATTCTTCTTTTAAATTTTATAAAGTTATTGAATATAAAATTAAGAATGTTAACATCGTTATTATAGAACATACTGAACTTTTAAGTTTTAAACTATATTTGGGCCATGACTTCATTCAAGAAAATGTCCCACTTGGAATTCTTCACAATGCATGAAAAAGAATTAAGAGCAGGGTATGCTTGTGACCTAAAATATATTACTGAAGATTATAAATCCCCAAATCATATATATTTTTAGATGTAATAAAAATAGAAAAGCTATGAAGAAAATAAGAAAGTATTAGAGAAACAAGTTTTTGTCTTCCACTTATCTCAGATAAATATCTGTTTAATAAAGCAGATACGTTGTATACTGACTGCAGGAGCTATTAGCAGCTGGCAGTGTTTGAAAATTGTGATTGTTCACTTTATATTAGACTTTTAAATTTTTACTACCCTGTCAATAACAATATGTAGATACTCTTTGATACTGAAAGCTCATTTTATGGTTTGATATTCAGCAAAACATCTATTTTATCATACAGTATTTTGGCATTGATACAAAGTATGTATATATACACATACAAAGTATATATATGCACACACATACAAAGTATATATATACACACAAAGTGTATATATATAAAACATACTTCGTATAAAGTATACACTATACATTGAAAGTATATATACGCACATACTTTATATAGTGCATATGTATATATACTTTATATATACTATTTTGTGTGTATATAGTATATATACATTATATGTATTTTGAAGTATATATATACACACTATATATTTGAAGCATATGCTATACTATATATACTTTGAATGTATATATAGTATATACTTTATACAAAGTATATGTAGTATATACATTATACAAAGCATATATATATAAATACATTCAAAGTGTGTGTGTATATAAACACTTTGAATGTATGGGTGTGTATGTATATGTGTATATATAGATATAAACTATCCATGTATTAATATATTCAAAACAACTCTAATATTATGGGAACATAAAGGAGTAAAAAGTTTTTAAAAAGTCTTTGTGAGAAAGTTTCTTTTAATGTCACCATAGTCTTGCTACCACTTTATGGCCCACGATATCAACCAAATTCTCAGTAGACTCTGCCTACCACATTTCCTCTGAATTCTAACCCTTGTCTTGCTAAAAATCTATGGGAATAGGATAGTCAGTTTACTTTGGTTTGAGACTAAATAAACTCTTTAAAGAATCCCTTTAAAGAAACCCATTAAAAACCCTCCCACCCACCCTGAAGTGTTCTGCCAAGACTAACTCAAAGCCACAACAGATTTAGGGTTGTTTCTAAATTGGAACCTATAAGAACTGTGTGAGCCTTTAACTCAGCAAAAATCCATCTTTAACAGAAGTGCAGAATATTAAACATAAGAACACAAAGTAATTTTCCAGACTCAAGAGAATCTGGGACAAAACCATGAAACTCTGCAAGGGAATTCCCCAAATGAAAGTTTTTTATTTTACGTGAAATGAAAGAATCATAGTGATCTCTGGAGAAGGGTTGGGTCTTGGACAGGGCAGAAATCCAACGCTGCCACAGAGTCATTTTGTGACCTGAACCTAGCTACGTAGTCTCTTCATGTTTACTCTGTTTCTTAATAAAGTAAGCAAGTATGATGATGAGTAATCATTTATCCATTAGCTATCTGTTTACATTAGGAAAAAATTTATTGCTTTGCTGTTACAGTCAACAATAATAATAATGGTTCCCACTAGAAGCACTTACTCTGAGTTATGTACTGTGAAAAAATTTTATAGATGCTTCAATCAATATTAAATATTATTACTATTATGCCAGTACTCTCATTAATCATTGATTTATTAGCTCCATTGTTACAAGAGGCAATTGAGGGTTAGATGACTTAAGTAGTGTTGCCTAGTTAACACAACTATTAAAGTAGCAGAACCAAATTTGTCTACCCTGGGCCAGGCACAGTGGCTTACGCCTGTAATCCCAGCACTTTGGGAGGGCAAGGAGGGCAGATCACCTGAGGTCAGGAGTTCGAGACCTGCCTGACCAACTTGGCGAAACCTGGTATCTACTAAAAATATAAAAATTAGCCAGGCGTGGTGACGGGTGCCTGTAATCCCAGCTACTCAGGAGGCTAAGGCAGGAGAATTGCTTGAACCCAGGAGACGGAGGTTGCAGTGAGCCAAGATGGTGCCACTGTACTCCAGCCTGGGCGACAGAGCAAGACTCCATCTCAAAATAAATAAATAAATAAATAAATAAATAAATAATAAAATAAAATAACCCAGGGCTTGCTTTAATCAGATATTGTAAGACACACAGAGCTAAAAATGGCTATCACGAAGGAAGAAGTTTATACTCACAGATCCCTGGAAACAGAAGGCATGGCCACCACGTAGGGCCACATGGGCAACCACTGGGGTTTGTCAGGAGGCAGAGGAAATGGGGAAAACTTGAGCAGGAACCTTTACTGTGCTTTCCTCTGGAAAGGCAGGGCAAGGTAAACAGGTTTAGGATTGGCTAGTTTCCTTCGCCCACTTTTTGATGGGTTTTTATCTATTTATTTATTTATTTTTTATTATACTTTAAGTTCTAGGGTACATGTGCACAATGTGCAGGTTAGTTACATAAGTATACCTGTGCCATGTTGGTGTGCTGCACCCATTAACTCGTCATTTGCATTAGGTCTATCTCCTAATGCTATCCCTCCCTCCTCCCCCGACCCCACAACAGGCCCCGGCGTATGATGTTCCCCTTCCTGTGTCCATGTGTTCTCATTGTTCAATTCCCACCTATGAGTGAGAAAATGCGGTGTTTGGTTTTTTGTCCTTGTGATAGTTTGCTGAGAATGATGGTTTCCAGCTTCATCCATGTCCCTATAAAGGATATGAGCTCATCACTTTTTATGGCTGCATAGTATTCCATGATGTATATGTGCCACATTTTCTTAATCTAGTCTGTCATTGTTGGACATTTGGGTTGGTTCCAAGTCTTTGCTATTGTGAATAGTGCCACGATAAACATACGCGTGCATGTGTCTTTATAGCAGCATGATTTATAATCCCCTGGGTATATACCCAGTAATGGGATGGCTGGGTCAAATGGTATTTCTAGTTTTAGATCCCTGAGGAATGGCCACACTGACTTCCACAATGGTTGAACTAGTTTACAGTCCCACCAACAGTGTAAAAGTGTTCCTATTTCTCCACATCCTCTCCAGCACCTGTTGTTTCCTGACTTTTTAATGATCGCCATTCTAACTGGTGTGAGATGGCATCTCGTTGTGGTTTTGATTTGCATTTCTCTGATGGCCAGTGATGATGAGCATTTTTTCATGTGTCTGTTGGCTGCATAAATGTCTTCTTTTGAGAAGTGTCTGTTCATATCCTTCGCCCACTTGTTGATAGGGTTGTTTGTTTTTTTCTTGTAAATTTGTTTGGGTTCATTGTAGATTCTGGATATTAGCCCTTCGTCAGATGAGTAGATTGCAAAAATTTTCTCCCATTCTGTAGGTTGTCTGTTCACTCTGATGGTAGTTTCTTTTGCTGTGCAGAAGCTCTTTAGTTTAATTAGATCCCATTTGTCAATTTTGGCTTGTGTTGCCATTGCTTTTGGTGTTTTAGACATGAAATCCTTGCCCATGCCTATGTCCTGAATGGTATTGCCTAGGTTTTCTTCTAGGGTTTTTATGGTTTTGGGTCTAACATTTAAGTCTTTAATCCATCTTGAATTAATTTTTGTATAAGGTAGAAGGAAGGGATCCAGTTTCAGCTTTCTACATATGGC
The DNA here is from genome assembly GCF_000001405.40 of Homo sapiens. Lineage (NCBI taxonomy): Eukaryota > Metazoa > Chordata > Mammalia > Primates > Hominidae > Homo > Homo sapiens. The sequence continues at coordinate 20,605,258 of NC_000007.14, read as the reverse complement.
TAGCCAGTTTCCCCACCACCATTTGTTAAATACGGAATCCTTTCCCCATTTCTTGTTCTTGTCAGGTTTGTCAAAGATCAGATGGTTGTAGATGTGTGGTATTATTTCTGAGATCTTTGTTCTGTTCCATTGGTCTATGTCTCTGTTTGGTACCAGTACCATGAAGGATATGAACAGACACTTCTCAAAAGAAGACATTTATGCAGCCAACAGACACATGAAAAAATGCTCACCATCACTGGCCATCAGAGAAATGCAAATCAAAACCACAATGAGATACCATCTCACACCAGTTAGAATGGCGATCATTAAAAAGTCAGGAAACAACAGGTGCTGGAGAGGATGTGGAGAAATAGGAACACTTTTACACTGTTGGTGGGACTGTAAACTAGTTCAACCATTGTGGAAGACAGTGAGGCGATTCCTCAGGGATCTAGAACTGGAAATACCATTTGACCCAGCCATCCCATTACTAGGTATATACCCAAAGGAATATAAATCATGCTGCTATAAAGACACATGCACACGTATGTTCATTGCGGCACTACTCGCAATAGCAAAGACTTGGAACCAACCCAAATGTCCAACAATGATAGGCTGGATTAAGAAAATGTGGCACATACACAGCATGGAATACTATGCAGCCATAAAAAATGATGAATTCATGTCCTTTGTAGGGACATGGATGAAGCTGGAAACCATCATTCTCAGCAAACTATCGCAAGGACGAAAGACCAAACACTGCATGTTCTCACTCATAGGTGAGTGAGAACACTTGGACACAGGAAGGGGAACATCACACACCGGGGCCTGTTGTGTGGTGGGGGGAGGGGGGAGGGATAGCATTAGGAGATATACCTAACGTAAATGACGAGTTAATGGGTGCAGCACACCAACATGGCACATGTATACATATGTAACAAACCTGCACGTTGTGCACATGTACGCTAGAACTTAAAGTATAATAAAAATATATATATATATAAAGGATCAGCTAGTTTGAATAATGTCTCTAGTTGCCTGGTACCTGGCCCTGCAGTGATTAGGGCAGGGGGATAGTGTGAAAGCCTGATAAAGGACGTGGTTGAGAATACAGGCTCTGGATTTGTTGGCTTCCGTATAAAAGGTATATCCTGGGAAATGAGTTGTTTTCTATCTCTAGGAATTAACTAATCCTGGGAGGGACAGACTTTTTAAGGTCAGCAAGGCCCTAAGATAGCGAAGCATCAGAAAATAAAAACCTGATTAGTACAAGGGGAAGCTCCTGTGCTGTTGCTATAAAACAGGACAAATGCTTGAATTCATACATGAGATGTACTTGTTGCATGTGTGTGTGTGCTGGGGTTGGGGGTTGGTGGTTTCTTATACACTAGCTTTCTTCTGATGTGATATGTTAATATTCTATCACTTTTTTTAGGAATTAAAAGGTACTCTTTAGCAGCTTTAAATTCTTAATAGACTAAGTATTATAAAGGCATTTTTAATTTGGAGCAAGAAAATATTGAACTCTATGGCAACATCTGGCATCCAAGTCCACGTGTTCTGCAATTCTGTGTGTGGCCAAACAGAAGTAATAATTGGTTTTCTTCTTTGGAACACAAAGCACTCAAATATCGTGAGTGGAGACCTGAGAAAATTTATAAATGAAGAACTGTATCTCAACAGTTGCCACTACAGGCATGGAAGCAGGAGGTTAGCTAAGATCTCACTGGTTCCCGATGAAAAGGATAATTTTCCACATAGACCTAATGCTGTCCAGTGAGCCTCTGAGAAAAGTGGATCTGCGTAGAGGCCCCAGGTATTGGGTAGAAGGGATCAGGATACAGACAAAAGAGGAGGGAGGGGTCAGAGAATGGAATGCTAAGAAGGAAGGCTCTTTGAGTACGGCCATTATCCCATTTTTCAAATGGCCTCATCTGATCAGAATGGTGGTTTTCCTTTTACCTCCCCCAACACCTATGATGGATTTTATGCTTCTCGGAAGTCTGGCTTCTAGAACTACAGAAACATGTATAGGTGACTGAAAGTCTCCAACATGAAGGGCGGCAGAGGTATGGCATGACTTGTTTTAGCATTGGTATAAATGAAGTTAACCTATATGTTTTAGGAAGACTTTCTTGACAGATAGGATGGCTAATTGGTGCAGCCACAGGACAAGATGTACCCCCTGTGGATGTGTATCAGCAATATCACTTTTGCCAAGAATCTTAGGAATGTTTGCTTGAAATTATTTTTAAAATATTTTGAGCCATAGAATTGTGATAGTCATCTCACATCTCTAAGCCTTGGTTTGCTCATCAGCAAAATAAGGAAGTTGCCTGGATGTCAGTGGGACCTTAAAAATTCTATGATTCTAAAATTCTATGACATAAAATTCTAAAATTCAATGTTCCATTGCAGTCTCAGGGGTGCAATGGATCACACACCATGTTAGTCATAAGATCTGGGTCAGAACATATTTTCTGCTTGTTTGCTGCATCACTTTATGTCCACAGTTCTTAGCTAGAAGTTACTCTGTCCCCCAGCAGAGGATAGCTGGCAAAGTCTGGAGACATTTTTAGTTGTTACAATTGGCAGGTGCTGAGGAGAAGGTGCACCAGTGGGTAGAATACACAGATGCTGCTAAACACGCCACATTGCACGGTACAGAGCCCACAACAAAGAATTATCCAGCACAATAATGCGAGTTAGGAAATCCTATTTTAGATAAATCAGCTCAATCTTTATTATTCTTGGCTTCTGTATGAAATACTTGTGTTTTTGAGGATAGTAAATGAGATTGCTATGAAAGCACACAGTAAGTGATAAAGTGTGGTGACATTTGTGGTCATTGATCTAGGGTGTTGCCTCTGCAGGGATAATAGCAGAAAGGGAGGTCTGCTGGTGGGGCAGAGCTGGCTGGGACACAGCAATGAGGGGTGTCCACTGACATTTTGCAACTTGGGAGGTGTTACAAAGTGAAATTTATTGCTTCCTTGACACTTTTATCATCATTGGCTTTTCCTCTTTCTTTTCCTATGGTCTTTCAGATGGAATTTCCTGGAAGGCTTAGGGGACACTGATGTCTGTACAGTGTAGTGGCTGAGATCCTGAGCTTTGAAGTTAGGCAGATGTAAGCATGAATCCTGCTTTATCATTTCTGGGCTGTGTAATTTAACGTTTCTGGCACCTACATCTTTCATCATTAAGGTGGATGCAACATTTCCTACTTAATTAGGCTGTCCTGAAGATTCAAAGAGATATTTCGTGTTAAATGTCTCTTTGATCACAGAATAAATGGGAGCCTTAATCATCACCACCGTCATCATTATTGTCTGCAGTTAGTGCTATATAGTCACTTGAAGCACATTTGCTCTTTACTTTTCTGTCACCTAACTCTTTCTCTCGTGGAGAAAATTGTCCTTGGCTTCCTTACGAGCAAGTCAGTACCTACTCCTTTTCCCTGGTAAAATCAGCCATCTAAATTTGTATTAGATTGGGATACAAATAGTAAAGTTTCAAATATAAAGTTGTACAAGCAAAGCAACAAAAATCCCTCTGTGGAGGCTAAAGGGACTCCATCTTGGCTGCTAATCCACCATGTTGACTTCTGGGAATGCCTAAAGATTTCTATTTTCCTGTACTTACTGTAAATGATGCCTTTAGGTCAAAACAACCTTGATATTATCCTAAAGACATACTTACCATAAATTCTGTCCTTAACCAAATTCTTGCCATTCTGTTTCTTGCCAATTGAGATTGACTTTGATTGTCGTACACATTCTTTTGCTATGCTATATAAGCCCTGAGTCTCAGTGCTAACAGTATGGGTGGGAATCCAGCATCTTGTCTCTCAGCTGCCTGTGACGTGGCCTCTGTTCATAAGCCCCCATTAAATGTTTCTTTCTGAGAAACCAGATATGTCAGCCTCTTTCTTTGGCCTCTCAGCTTGGTGGACTTTGTGGTTAAGTTTGCATAGACTTGCTCACCAAAGAACACCCTTCCTCCCTCCAAAAACAACAAAAAGAGCGAGGGAGGGGGGAAGTTACTGATTATAAGTTACAGAATTTTGTTGCTAAAAAGAATCCTATAGCATAGGGAGTCCCTATCTAGTTTTACATCAGAATCTCCTGAGGATCTTTTTTAAAATACAGAATCCGGAATTCTAACCAAGCCCTACTGAATCAGAATCTTTGGGATAAGGCCAAGAAGTATGCATTTTCTAAGAGCTTTCTTGGTTCTGAGTGGCTAGGTTTGGAAACCATTGATCAGAACTTAACCAGAATGCCTCTCAATCCTGGAGCATTTAAACAATACAGACACCAGGGTTCCACATGATACCTATTGGACAGAATCTCTGAAAGTGGTCATCTTTGACATAATCATAGGCTTGACTTTACAGCAAACCTGAGACTAGGCTGGAAAGGATTATTATATCTGATTTTTGGTTGAGTTTGAGGACTAAGTAATCTTAAGCAGTCTGCTTATATTCGATAAATGTGGCATATTTGATTATTTGTCCAAATTATTTGTTGCCCTTCCTTACTATACCCTCTCTGGAGCCCCTTCCATTTCGAGGAGTATACTTACTCTCCCATTGACCTCGGCTTAGCCTTGTAACTTGCTTTGACTGATGAATGTGAGTGGAAGAGGCCTGTGTCATTTCTAAGCAGAAACTTCAAGAGTCATCTCATCTGTCAATTAATTTTTTTCCCTCTGCCATCAGAATAGCATGTCCTTATTAGTAGCTACTTCTTCAGCCTGAATCCCAGAAGGAAGAATTATTAGAATAGAGATGCAGCCAAACTTCAATGGTCATTAACGTGAGCATGAAATAGATCCGGGTTGTTTTCGCCCTTGAGATTTTGGGATGACTAACGCTCCTAATGGCCCCCTGCCCACCGACAATGGAAGAGTGAGAATTAGAGGCAGGTTTCCTGTCCATCTTTCCCCCACCCTCCTGTGGTTTCTGTTACAATACTGAGAAGGAGAGGAAGAAGGTTGAATTTGTCTTAAGTGGGGAGAGGATTATTTGCTCCCACATCAGAGCTGAAACTGGGAGAAGGTGTGTTTTTTATCTACTCACTTAGAATTTAGAATGGAGATCTCAAATTTCTTCCAGCCCAGGAATTCTATTATTCTGTATTCCCAAAGTAACATCACTGTCCATTTTTGCTACCTATACCAGTCCTATTTGTGGAGTTATGTAATTGAAGCCTGTCTTTGGCATTAATCTGTGGGATTGGCTGTGAAATAAACCATTGTATATAATAATACTTAATATAAGAAAAATGTTTGCTACATTCCAAATAATAAGCAAAAAAGTAAACTTTTGAAACAAGCTCTTCCTTTACCTTAGGTTCAGGTAAAGCTTAGAAGGCCAAGATGATGTTTTCTAAGGAAACATTTTATAAGGGTGATTGTGGATTCCCGTGCTGCCCACAGGGAGGCCACACAAATCAGGACTTCACAATATTTTCTTGCGATAATTTGTTTACATATTTATTCCTAGGCCTGTTTTCTCCCTCCACAAAGCCAGGTTCCTTGAGTTAAAAGGGTTACTTTTTCAACTGCTATATATAACAATAATTATAGTCTGCTCCAGTTCTTCTACACCCTTCATTATTATTCAGATTTTGAGGTCTATGGCAGATTAGAATTCCTGGGTCATTTTCAGAGATTTGAGATATTTTCCTCAACCTCATTATTTTCCAGCATAAACATCTGAAATCAGAAGCAACGAGGTAATTTAAATGAAGATCAGAATGAGTTATTGACAATTTCAGATAAAAAAACAGGTTTTTGGTTTTAAAAAATATCAAATTGGAAAGAGGAGGACAATTATTTCCAGTAAAATGTAAAACCATAGGAATAGCTATTATTTATGGGCTACCTACTCCAGGCCGAAATCTTACTATATAGGATTGTATCGAATCCTCCCCAAAGCTGCCCGGTAGGCTGTATATATGTCGCCTTCAATGTTTGGGATGCGAAGATGGCGCCCCAGAGACGTCAGTCTGTCATAACGATCACGTGACTTTATGGGAAGACCTGGCATCCGATCCCAAGTCCCTCAGAAGCCAAAGCCCACAGACTTCCTCTACGCCACACTGACTTTCTCTCATTTGGCTTTCAAGTGCGTTTCTACTCTGGTTATCATATTTATCATCTCAAGTTTCCTACTCAATTACATACTTTCTTTCCAAAATAAATATTTATCCACATAAACCTCTATCTTCACAGGAAGCAGAAAGTTGAAAATCGCATAATCTCCATGAAAATTTCTGGTGATCTTCCTACGGGAAAGGGAAGTTGCGGTTTGCAAGGAGCACAGGCAGGGACCTCTTACCAGTAGTTTGTGGGTCGTTGGACCACAGGAGGATGGGGGAAGCATTTGGGCAGCCAGAACACATAAATCCATATTTGAAATACCTTCATAAGCAGTGTAGTTGGTGGGAATAACTTGGGTTCATTAATTATTCTGTAATATTCTCTTTCTGAATGCCTTGTCCGATTATTAAAGTCAGAAGAAGCTATGCAACCTGTCAGCCACTAGATGTCATTGTTGCTCATGAAATAGAATGGCTCATTCTACAGTGTTTATGTGTAGATCCTTGAATGACTGCTGTCCTCTTCCCTGAAGTTTACCCTTCAACTAAGAGCTATGAGTAATATAGAACATGTGGCTTCTGATAAGAAAAAACTTGTGTCCTTGATAGAAGCACGATAAACCTATCTAAACAGTTACAGAATATCACAAGAGTGTGCATTCATTTATGACCACTTACAAATATGAAGAACAGAGGTAACAAGAGCTCTCAGATCCAGAGAGAGAAATAAATGTAAACTGCACTGGCTGTGGAAGCTTCTAGAGATGTGGGACTCAGGTGCTGTTCTAATGGATGATTAAGACTAGGGTAGGAAGAAAGCAAGATCATTTCAAGAAGGAGGCATGCCATGAGCATTTGTGTGATGGTGGGAAAAAATACTCAATTTGGGTGAAGTAGAAGATTCATTCTGGGAAGAGTAGAGCTGCTGGTGAGGGTGACAGATGGTATAGGAACAGAAAAAACAGAGGAGTGCTTGAATTTACCTTCCATCCTGAATTTGCCTCTGAAAGTTTCTGAGGAGAGTGATGTGATGCAAATTGCACTTTAGGAAGATGAAGTGTCAGCGGTGTATAGATCCAGGAGAAAGGAAGAGTCGTATTAGGGAGAACACATACACTACAGAAAGTGGACAGCCGCTACAGTGTCCAGGTAACAAACTATAGCAGAAGACCAGTAAGGTGAACACAAAAAAATGACTGGGCTACCCTGACATGGCTATCTCTCGTTGAGGAAGACATGCTCCTGAATGGAAGGAATTAAAATATCTGGAGACTTAAACCTTGTGAATGGCCCTTCATTGTTCTCAGGACAAGGGCCCCCCAGGTCATCTAGGGCCACAGGTCCAAGCATCCTGGTGCTATGCCATTTTCTTCTTTCAGTTCCCTGAACTCATCACGCGCCTCCTGCTTCAGGCTCTCGCCTGAGTTGTTCTCTGTCTCCATCCCCTCTTCCTCCCCCTTTTCTCCCCTTACTTGTCTCTCTGTGTGCATCAGTTTCTTTACAATACACTCTCATAGAACCAGGAGCTTCTGCATCACAGCATTTATCCCTTTTCATTTATATTTCATACTTATGTAATTGCGTAACATCTGTCACTCCTTCTAGAATGTAAATTCTGTGGTAAAAGGGCTTATGTCCTCATATGCTCTCCATCATGTCTATTCTCATCACTGTGGGAGACAGAGAAGAATCAATTGCTTCTCTGTTGGGTCTCTGATGAGCCCACAGAGGGGAGAGGCGGTGACTAAGAAGCTGAGGATTTAGAATTAATGACTGTAGAAGAGATGGTTCTAATCATTTTAGTGTCCCTCCAAGTTGCCAGGGTGTAGCAACTTTACAGTTCATTGACATGACCTGCAGTATGGAGCCGTTTGCATTTTGGGCCTTGTAAGATGTAGCATTTTACAATCTGTTACAATTAAATGGCATGGAGCTATGATTGTTGGACGTGGAAATGAAGTAAAAGATTCAAGTCATTTTGAAGATATTTCCACAAATAATAAGGACCTTTACTGAAACGGCTCTGCAAAATCATTAGAAAGTTTTCGTCAAGATTTATTAACACTGCCTTTAGTAAAAGAGGTCCCTGTGGTGGCTGGGACAAATAGCTTGAAATGGTCTTTCAATTGCAAGAATACATTCAAGGCCTTCTGACACAATTTCTAGATTAGTCTTTGTTACAGAAAGTTTATGAATGGTTATTTGCCATGTGGCCAAGAAAACACAACAAGCATTTTGTGCAGTGATGACAGTATTTCCTGTGCTTAGCCTACTGTATGGATAACTCATGCTGATGCCTGGCATATGACTTAAATTCTTTTCTTGGCTTTTAGCTAGTAACCCCCTCTTAGTAAGCAATGAGTCAATCAATGATCTCATGCAGCTAATAGTGTGATTATATCGAGAAAGACACAGTAGCTATGGAAAGTGGCTCTATTTGCTTTTTATATTGTTCTTTTATGTTTAGAGTTATACTATATTGTATATTTGAAAAATGATCACAGCCATATTTCCAGGTCTACATGCTTTTCCAAAACACTGCTATGCCCTCTCGGGATTGAAGGCTTTTCTCTTATCCTTGAAATTGGGTGCATTTTGCAGCTGTTTCAACAAATTGAATATGGTGGAAGTGATACTGCCTAACTTACAAGGCTAAGTCAAAAATGTGTTATGAATGTATTGTACATTTCAAAATAGTTAGAAATGAGGACCTCAAATGTTCTCAGTGCATAGAAATGATAAATGCTTGTGGGATGGATATCCTAAATACCCTGACTTAATCATTACACATTTTATTTGTGTAACAAAATATTGCATGCACCCTATAAATATGTACAAATCTTATGTATCAATAAAAATAAAATAAATTTTAAAATGTGTTATGGCTTCCACATGGTTTATATCTCTCGGGATGCTCATGTTTGCAACCCAGCCGACATGCTGTGAGAAAGCCCAGCCACATGAGCCATCCAGGACTGTGTAGGATTATCAGCCCACAGACCCAGCTTGGGTCTCAGCCTGCTGCCAATGTCAACTTACATGTAAATGAGCCTTCAGTTGATTCAGTCCCAGCCTTTGAGCTATCCCAGATGATGCCAGACAGGGCATAGATGAATTATTCCCACCAGGTCCTGCTAAATTGCAGGTTTAGGAGCATGATAACTATTGTTATAAGGTATGAAATTTTGGGTCACTTGTAGGTAACTGGAGAAATAGCCTAAAACAGGGAGCAAAACATTCTATTTCAGCTTGCCCTTGTGCTTTTGTTCATGTTATTCCTAGGCCCTGAAATACCCTTTCTTTCCCTTCCTCTTTTTTTTTTTTTTTTCACTTGTCTAACTTTTCTGCTTATCCTTCATGAATCAACTCAGGTGTGAATCTCTGTAGGAAGTCTTCCATAACGCTTAGTTAAATGGCCATCCTATGTGTGTAAACCTCAATAATAGTCCCAGCCAAACGTGCTACCAAGATTCATTTACATGTTTGATGCCTACACCAGTTGATGCAGTCATCTTTGTATCGTTAATCTACGTACATTCACGGACTAACACAGTGCCTGGTTCCACCACCTACTACCTTCGTGAACTTCGTCAAGTTAATGAATGTCTCTAGGACTCCCTTTTCTTATCAGTGAAAGAAGATAAAAGCTTCAACTCATAATGTTTCTGTGAGGACTGAAGGTTAAAGTCATGGAAGTTGCTGGCATATACTAAATGCAACATAAATTAGCATAATCTCAAAATAGGAGGAAACAGCATTCCAGAAAGTAGATCTAAGAAAAAATATGTTGAGAACCATTATTCAGAGTTCTCAACACCTCCTTCCTGCTCCTCCACTGGGCAGCTTTGAACCCATTACATTTCTCCCATTGTATAATTTTCTTTGTACATTGCTCTCAAGGGGAGAGCAGGTACTGCTTAGAAAGGGGACGTTAGTTGGATTGATGAATGGGTTTTAAAACTTGTAGCAAAGGCAGAAGTCTTAAAAGCCAAGTGCTTAAGACAGATAACGTGTTTTAAAGTTCAAATGCTTGGCTTTGAATATCAGAATACAAAATCTTGAAGGTAGCACGGCGTGGAGATTATGCCCAAATCAACACAACATATGATGATGTAAGAGTTAGTGGGAGAAACCCAAATCCTGCCCAGTCCTCTCTGTCCTCCCCACTTGCCAAACAGAAAGGAATGGATGTGTTGTATCCTAGAGTATCCTACCTGTTGCATAGCCAGGGGAGACTAGAAGCCTGTTAGAATCCCTTGGTTATCATGGGGTTGGAATAGCAGACCAGCCACGGAATGATGAAGAGCCTGGACTAAAAGCCCCAAGGGCCTCCTCACAGAGCCCTTGTGTACCCCAAGGATGAAAAAAAGCATCCAAGGGGGGTGTAGAGTGTTGAAAGAGATCCAATTGATTTGAAAAAAACCTAGGGCAAGATAAGGAAGACGGTGTGTGTGTGTGTGTGTGTGTGTGTGTGTGTGTGTGTATGTTGGAGGGGGTTGATGGTTCAAGGGCATTATCATCAGTGTCTCCCAGCCCATAACAACAAGCACCTGTTGAAGAGATTTACAGCTCAGCAGACACCAGACGTTGTACTAGCTATATTTTATTTTGGTATGATTGGCGTAAATTCCCAGGTATAGATGAATAATTTGAATACAACTTATTTAGGTAGAGATTCCCTTTTTCTTCAATTACTCCTGCCTTAGAATGGAAGGGGTCTTATAGTCTTCAAGTGAGTAGACAGCATGGCTATGTGCAGACAGAATGGCAGCAATGCCCCTCTGCAAGCTCCACGGGTTTAGGGCAATTTGTTGACCATTTCCTGTTGACAGCCTTTCCAACAGCATGAATCCCATGGATGTGGTTTTCCAGCAGTTTCAGCCAGTTCCTCCCTAAGAAGCCAATGCACAGGATTCAGCGGAGGCCAGCGGAAACGTCCCTCTCCTAGAGAAGTGCTGCTTCATCAGGACTTGCGGCTCTCAGCAACATCAACCTTCTTATCACTGTAATCTGGAAGAGCACATGCTGTTCTCGATGATGTTGGCAACGGGCTTTACGAGAAAATGTCATGGAAGTTGTCCTTTCCAGTTATAGCTAAACCACCAGGGTCAAATTTTATTTTGCACTCAAGATCCACAGATGAATACTCTTGCAAAGCCTGCAATATCCAGAGATAAAGTGCTTTATGCTCTGAATCGTGCAATTCAGAAGGGAAGCACAATGAGGGAGTAGTTCTAAGAGGGGTATTAATCGGACTGCTTAGGTTCTTGTCTTAGCTTCAACATTTACCAGATCTGCAAAAGTATTTTAATCTTCGTTCTTCAGTTTTCCTTTCTGTAACATAGGCAATAATGTGCTTCCCTTGTAGGACTTGGGAATTAAATAAGAAAACATATAAGAAGCACAGTGCCTGGCATTTTCTGAGCTCTTAATGAATGCTGGCTTTGTCATGAAGTTTATTATTGCCAACATTTATGGTGGCAGAAAATGTTGGTTGGCTGCCCTACAGACGTTTCCTGCTGCTCTGTCTTCCTTGTAATCAAAGCGCTAATTTTGTATATTTATCTGGGAACCACATGCTGATGAATTTTGATTGAACTAACTGCTTGCTAATAAGTGGCTCTCCTATTTCTGAGTATTCAGGGCATGGCACAACTTACCTAAAGGGAGACCTGGTCATGTGACTTGCTGTGGCCAGTGAAATATGAGATGCTTGACACCACAAACAATGACATTCATGCTACATGTCTGTAGCATTGCCTTCTGTTGAGACTTTCAATAAAAATCAATGAGCTTTTCACTTCAAATCACAGAAAGACTAAAGTGTGGTTGCTATCTGTTACCATACCATTACTGAGTCCATCTTGGCTGGTATCTAAAAGCAAACTCCATGAAACCTGTTTCACTCTTTAATAACTATTTTGCATGGCATCTTTTTGTCCCTTAATTTTTAAAAATTTTTAATTTTAGTTTTCAGAAGTTGTTTTCACTGCCATCAACTTTTTTGGTGGAAATTACTGGAAATTCTGGCAATTATTAAATCATAGTTCATATCAAACTGTGCTGATTGAGCTTTTGCCATTGTGAGTTTTCTTTTGTGGCTATTATTTCTCTTTTTTAAACTTTTGAGTTCAGGGGTACAAGTGCAGGTTTGTTACATAGGTAAACTGTGTCATGGGGGTTTGTTGTATGGATTATTTCATCACCCAGGTACTAAGCCTAGCACCCAATAGTTATTTTTCCTGATTCTCGCTCTCCTTCCACCCTCTATCCTCCCATAGGCCCCAGTGTGTGTTGTTCCCCTCCCTGTGTCCATGTGTTCTCATCATTCAGCTCCCACCTAAAAGTGAGAACCTGTGGTGTTTGGTTTTCTGCTCCTGTGTTAGTTTGCTAAGATATTGGCCTCCAGCTCCACCCACATCCCTGCAGAAAACATGATCTCATTCTAACACATTTAACTTGATTGTGCTAAACTCTGCAGATCTAAATTCTGATAAGAAGATGTAAATTTGTAATTTTCTAATCAATAATAAAGGATTATTAGAAAGAAGGCAGAGCATCAAACAGACTCTAGAATGAGATTGATAAGTTCTAACTCTGGCTTTGTCACTGCTTACCGTGTCACTTGGGGCAAGTTACTTAACTTCTCTGTTTCCTTTTCATCTGTGAAAAAGGATCATATTAGCGTTAGCATCTAACTCACAAAATATTTTATGAGAGTAATCAGTTACTTTTTTATAAAAGCTCTTAAAACAGTGCCTGGAACAATAAAAGCTATGTAATCTATGTATGTATGTATGTATGTATGTATGTATCTATCTATCTAGATACACACATACATATCTATATCTATATCTATCTCTATATATGTATATACATATTTTTTTGAGATGGAGTTTCACTCTTTGTTGTGCAGACTGGAGTGCAATGGCTCAATCTCAGCTCACTGCAGCCTCTGCCTCCCTGGTTCAAGCAATTCTCCTGCCTCAGCCTCCTGAGTAGCTGGGATTACAGGCACGCGCCACCACGCCCGGCTAATTTTGTGTTTTTAGTAGAGGTGGGGTTTTGCCATGTTGGTCAGGCTGGTCTTGAACTCCCGACCTCAGGTGATCCACCCGCCCTTGGTCTCCCAAAGTGCTGGGATTACAGGCATGAGTCACTGTGCCTGGCCCGTAAATATTTTGAAGTGACTAAAATGTACGGTTTTAACTATTATTTTTTTTGGCTGTTTGTATAAAGTATACTTATTACTTGCTCTACTCTTGTGGGTGTAAATCACATATATATTATTTAATTTAAATATATATATATTTTAAAGAGAAGTTTATTGGTCTTTAAATGGCTCAAATTGCAACTAAACAAATCGGGTAGTGGCATCAGCCTAAGACACATGATGCATCTTTGTCATTTGGCTTCATAGCACCTCAGTACCCAGGAAAGGAGAGGTCTCAAAGCAAAGTCACAATGTTAGTGGTTAGGACCTCTGGTTAAACAAGACTGTAATGAGTACACGTGGAGATTGCTGGGCCCGCTGGCCAGTGTTACACTGGTAACTTGAATTCTGCACATGACATAGCCTATGAGAAATACAAAATGAAAGATGTACCTCTCAAACCCTTTAATGACAAATATTTAACAGAGAAACTGGATGTAATATCTAATGAGTGAGTTCCTAGAAAGTCTATTTTTAACTTTACACACACACCTGTTTCCTGGAATGCCTGAACACATCTTTGACCTGTTTAAATCAGGACTGAGCAAAAGGAAAAAAAATACTCCGTTGAATCAACTGTCCTAGTTCCACTGCAAAGAGGAAAAAAAAATCGGACAGTGGCATATTTCCCACTGAAATTATGTCCCCAAATAGCGTGCTAGAATTCTTCCGGCAGGAACACCACACAACGGTGACACAGCCTGATGTTTGGTCAGTGTGTGCCAAACATGTTTTCTGCACAGTACCCAGGTCTGACTGCTTGATGTTAACTCCTGAAAGTGAAGCTACAGTGTTCTTCATTCAACAGTGCAAAATGCATTAGCATTATTGACATTTTCTTCCTGTGCCCTACTCCCAGGAGATCAAAAACTTAACACTTACATGCTCACCACTGGCAGAAAGTGATTTCCAGGGACCAGCATCTTAAAGAAAAAGAGGGTTCATTCAAACATAACTGGTGCTGAATCCTTGCAGCTGAAAATTATCTTACAAGTATATGCTGGCCCTTCATTTTAAATGAACTTGAAGTTTATTAAAAGTGATCAAAGAGCTCTGGAATCTTATTTTCAAGAACCAGAGTGTGGCACACATTTTAAATTTGGACAGGCTCCTAGCAGGCAGTTACTTCTCAAGAATCTTCTATACCAAAGCTGTACTCCATGCTGGGCATATATTTTCTCACCAGGACACATGAGGCAGTGGACCCCTGGTGTCAGTAAGAACATACCCAGAATGATATAACCGGGTATTTTTCTGTTTCTAAATTAAGGCATATTCAAAAATTTCCATGTACAAGTTTACACTACTTTAATCACCGGGTAATTAAAGCAGATTCACAGATGAATTACTCTCAGTTTAACTATATACAACAACCATGCCAATAACTTTTTCTTCTAAATTTTGCATAACAATGGTTTTAAAAAGTGGTACAGTTTAACTATCATGTTCACAATTGTCATTTTTCAAGACAGTAGAAGACCAAGATATTTTAATATGATATAAAATGTAAGCTTTATAATAAAACACCAGAGGAAGTCCTCTTTCCTCCCTCTCCTCACCCCCATCTCGCTTCTTTAATATTTCAAGAAAGACTGCCTCAGAAACACAAGCTCCCATGCTACATTCAGGACCATGATAATTGTTGGCAATTACTAAATAAGTTGAACTTTGCTCCTTGGTGAAGCCATATTAATTTCTTTTTTAAGTAAATTTGAATTTCATTGCAGTTGCAATTCATGCTTTCAGTGATATACAACAATTTCCAAAATGTTAAAGTAATTTCAGTCAATTGAGCCTTCAGTGGCAATGCTTATAAATTATATTTATTAGTATAGTCGAGATAAGAAAGGAGTTTGGGATTTGATTGTAAAATGCAGCATCTTTCTCTGATTGTCTTGGCTAAACTTTTCCTCTTCTTTTTCCACTCTTTGTCACCTTCCATCTTTCTCACTCGAATTTCTCTCATTAAGTCAAAAAATACCTTGTGAACATTAGCTCATGTTTTAGGAGATGTTTCCACATAGATAACATTCCACTAGTCAGCTCTGTTTTTTGCCTCTTCTATAGAAACCTGCCTTTTATCTTCTAAATCTGATTTGTTACCAACCAGTAGAAATGGAATATTCTCATCTTTTTTTACTCTTAAATCTGCTCCTTGAAGTCAACTGTAGCTGCAAAGGATTCCATTTCTGTAATAGAGAAGACACAGTGGAAGTAGTTGTCTTTAATTGCAGTGTAGTCCTCCTGCCCAGCTGTATTTATGATATAGATCTGTACTTCCTCCCCATCCTGAGCTCCTTCTTCCGATAGCTGTCTGCTTTGGTAGGCTCATATTCCTCCACAAACTCATCGTACATGAACTGTATGTAAGAGGTGAAGCCAGCTAGACTTCCTGGGTCAAGTGGGGATTTGGAGAACTTTTGTGTCTTACAAGAGGTTTGTAAAATGCACCAATCAGTGCTCTGTAAAAATGCACCAATCAGCACTCTGTAGCTAGCTAGATGTTTGTAAAATGCACCAATCAGCCATCTGTAGCTAGATAGAGTTTTGTAAAATGTGCCAATCAGTGTGCTGTAAAATGGACCAATCAGCACTCTGTAAAATGGACCAATCAGCCTTCTGTAAAATGGACCAATCAGCAGGACATGGGAGGGGACAAATAAAGGAATAAAAGCTGGCAATCCAACTGGGTTGTCTTCCATGCTGTGGAAGTTTTGTTCTTTTGTTCTTCATAATAAATCTTGCTGCTGCTCATTCTTCAGGTTTGTGCCACCTTTAAGAGCTGTAACACTCACCAAGAAGGTTGGCAGCTTCATTCTTGAAGTCAGAGATACCAGGAACCCACCGGAAGGAACCAACTCCGGACACATAGAGTCAGAGCGGACTTGCCCACACCACCACTGTCCACCATGATGATTTTGTGTAAGGCCATAGAGTTCTGACCCTTGGGCTTATTTGCGGCCTTCTTGTGTTGCAGTTTTCACCAAAGGATTAGGAAGAATCTGCAGTGCGAGCCAGTCCGCTGCCCCAGAGGGTCTGGAAGTCACTGCTGTGTGGCTCCTGCCGGAGGGTACTTGGCCCTCATCACCTGGGAGGCCCCGGGCTGGGAACGGCTGAAGGAGGACTCTGACGAGTGGCGGAGGAGCTTGGGCGGCTGGAGGAGGACGATGATTCTGGGGCTCCGCCCTGGGGAGATCCACCGTCCTCCACGGTATCTATTATATTGATGAAATATAGGTTTTGACAGTTTTAAACTATAAAAAAATTTCCCATGAGTAGAATATTTGTGTTGATTATTTTTACTAATAATATTAATTATATGTGATTTGTTTATTTAAATAGATTTTAGGGGATACAAGTGCAGTTTGGTTACATGGACATATTGCGTAGTGGTTAAGTCTGAGCTTTCACTGTGACCATCACCCAAATAGTGTACATTGTACCCATTAGGTAATTTCTCATCCCTAAACCCTGTCCCATCCTCCTACCCTTCTGAATTTCCCGTGTCTATTTCACTGTCTATGTCCATGTTTAGCTGTTTAGCTCCCACTTATAAGTGAGAACATGTAGTATTTGACTTTTTGTTTGAGTTATTTCACTTAGAATAATGGCCTCCAGTTCCATCCATGTTGTTGCAAAAGACATATTTTATGGCTGAGTGGTATTTCATGATGTGTATGTATATATATGTGTGTGTGTGTGTGTGTGTACATATATCACTTTTTTTTAATCCAGTCATTCTTTGATGGACACTTAGGTTGATTCCACATCTTTGCTATTATGAATAGTAGTGCTGTGATAAACGTATAAGTGCAGGTATCTTTTTGGAGAAATGATTTTTTATTTCTTTTGTATAGATATGCAGTGGTGGGATTCTGGATTGAATGGTACTTCTATTTTTGGTTCTTTGAGAACTCTCCATATTGCTTTTCATCGGAGTTGTACTATAGTTGTACATGATTTAAAGTGTTATATTTAAATTTTATCAAAACCATAAGAAAACTGGGAATAATCTTCCACAAACATTTTAGGATTACTTTATATCCGGGGTTGGCTTATGGCATTACAAATCTAATCATCTATATATGTTGAATCGCTTTATTGTGGGTCCTGTTGAAGCAAAAAGCAAACAACAGGGTTAAAATGTCAGGCTAAATAGCACTGGGGTCAAAGTGGCAGGGTAGAAAGAGTGAAGTCAAAATTGCCTACTTCCTCTTTCACAAATGTTTCTTCTACACATTGATCTTTGTGATTCGTTCAATAATTCTGAAGTTGTCCAACAGTTGGTAATTGAGGGCCTCCTACATTCTAGGCACTGGAGATGCAGCAGGGAACAAAGGACAAAGCCCTTGCCTCACAGAGCTTACGTCTTCAATGGGAGGAGGTAGACAAAAGCAAACAGACAAATGCATATATTTAGGCAGTAATAAGTGCTCCTGAGAAAAATAAAGCAGAGTAAAGAAGTTTGGCAAGGCATAGGTGTGAATTTAGGAAGTCTTCACTGGTCTTTGCTCAGGAATCTGAAGGAAGAGAGAGGGCGAGACAAATGTATGCATGGAAGATGAGAGTTCTTGGCAGAGGGAAGGATCAAAGACCCTGAGATGGGAGACTGCATGGTCTGTCTAAGGTAGACCAGTGATATGTAGACTCTAGTAAGCCCTTTGGGGACTCGGGCTTTCACTCTTTGTGAGATGTGAAGATGATGGGTGTTCTCAGGCAGGACAATGACATGCTCTGAGTGAATGCAGTCTGGAGCTAAGACTGCCGGGGTTGAGTCCTGGTTTTCTGACCTGTTAGCTGGGTGACTTTGGGCAAATTATTATTATTTTCTCTGTGCCTCTGTTTTCTTTCCTATAAAGTGGGATAATCATGGTCCCTGCTACATAGGATTAGAATAAGTATTAAAATAGTTAATATTTGTAAAGTGTTTTGAGCAGTTCCTGGCACAAACTAATGCCATGGAAGTGTGTGCTACATAAATAAGTAAAGGTATTTTATAGTATCGTTTTGACGGTGGTGTAAATTGTGTGTGTGTGTGTGTGTGTGTGTGTGTGTTGGGAGTGATGGAAGGGTATTCACGGTGGAAGCATGAAGATCTATTAGGAAACTAATCTAACATGGCAGTGATGCTGACTTAGACCCAGATGGGAGTAGTGAAGGTAGTAAACAGTTATTAGATTTGAAGTATATTTGAAAATAAAACTGATGGACCAGAAGTGGAGTATGACTGAAGGAGAAGGGTGGAGGCTATCTCTAAGGTTTTCAGACTGAGCTACTGGGAGAACAACACTGCCATTTTCTGAGGTAAGAAACACTATAGGAAGAGCTGTGGAGAGTTGCTGACCCCATAAAAGTTATATCCTTGGACCAGTGATCAAAAAAGAGATGGTGTAGATTATGAGTGCAGCCATCTGAATGTTTAATGGACTTAAAAATATAAAACTCCTATTAATATATTTTCAAGACAATAAGAGTGCAAGTCAATCCAGTAGGTATGGAACTCAGTGGGGTATAGAAAATCCCAGGGAATTCAAGATACTATACTGTAATCTTTAGGAATTCAGTGATGAGCTTTGAAATACTGAACCAGTGCATTCCTGAGTGTATCTTGAAAACAGATCTTGAAATAATTTCAGAAGGCCATTGGAAGATAGGGCTCATAGAAAATGAAAAATTGGCAAACCCGTGATCTGTGGACAGAGCCAAATAACAACCAACAATAACACAACAGATAAGCTTTCTTTTACTTTCAGTTGCTAAACTTTGTGGAAAATATATCATGACCAAGGATAAAACAGAAGTTACAGTGATTTTTATGGTACATGACTCAAATTTACTAAACATAGAATTTTGTACAGCTGAAATTGTTTAGTTCTGAAGGCCTTAAACTATATATTAAGATACATTGAGAAAAATAAGTTTTGCTAATTTGAGAAGACATACAAAGATAATTCATTGAAGTTGAATTCCTTTGTCAAATCTAGTGTTATTTCCAAAGTTTTCCAAGATAATTTAAAATAGCCAAAGACAGCCCACCTCAAATTCAAATAAAATTAATTCAGCAATATATATTTATGTATAATTTACATGACTATGTACCTACAAAAAAAGAACTTACTTGAAATACAAAGGATCCTTGGTGACTTCTTCTATTTAGAACTTACATCTAATTTGTTCTCTGCTTAAGTACAAAATAAAAACATTATTCTAGTAACCATTTTTATTTCAGAGTGCAGAGGTGCAGAGGCATCATTATTCCTTTGCAGTGAGTAAGCATCTATTTTCATTCATGGTGCTTCTCACTGCTGATGTAATATCCTATCCCTATCTCTAATTCCAGGGTTACTGAACTTAGATCAGTGTGGCTATGACATAGAAAACACCTGTGAATGTCATTTAGCTCCATTGTTAATTAAATATGGATTGGAGTACGATCAAAAAATTAGTAAAGACATGCTTAAGAAGGTACTATAGAAAGAAGGATGAACTTGGGACTGGAAGAGTTAAAATTATGCAGTTATCTTTTCACTCAGGTTCTGACTTATCCAAAATGATGTACCTGGGCTAAGGATTGGGGGCAATATTTGGGTTCTGCAAATTTCCATATTTAGAATCAAAGTTAGATAATACAGTATGTATTTTTAAATAAATGATTTGACGTAGAGAGAATGGTAGTGTCTTTGCTTGTGGCTTTTTTGGGTTGAATATTGTGGCAGTGGAGCTGGGGAGGGGGCTGCCATAGCAAATCCAGATGCATATTGGGAAAGCTGAGGGTGTCAGGGCTGGTGGTCTGCTTTCCCTGGCAGATCCTCCAGAGCAACCTACACATTTACTTGAGTAAGACATCATGATTTAGAGCTGTAATGCAGTATTAGCAGAAGTAGCTTTTGAGGCATAAACTTGAGGTTCCTGGTGCCTCGTGGCCAACCCTGGCATGCAAGGCATTCAGAGATTCCCTCTGCTATCCCAACCCCCATGAGTGTGTGTGTGTATGTGTGTGTGTGTGTTGGGCATGGTGGTGTAGAGATGATGGTAAGGCATGTGAAGTGGTTCAGACCTAAGTTCGGGATGAAGAGTGGAGAGATTTTCCTTCTGGTGGCAAATGGCTGAGGAGGACAACAGGTGCCACCATGAGAGCCCAATGAGCCAGACCAACTAGCAACAACTTAGCAGCACCAAAACAAGTCATCTGAGATGTTGAGAAGTGAAGCTGGCTGCGCTTCTGGGTCTGGTGGGGACTTGGAGAACTTTTGTGTGTAGCTAAAGGATTGTAAATGCACCAATCAGCGCTCTGTGTCTAGCTAAACGATTGTAAACACACCAATCAGCACTCTGTAAAAACGCACCAATCAGCACTCTGTAAAATGTACCAATCAGCACCCTGTAAAATGGACCAATGAGCGCTCTGTAAAATGGACCAATCAGCAGGACATGGGCGGGGCCAAATCAGGGAATAAAAGCTGGCCACCCCCTGCAGCAACCAGCTAGGGTCTCCTTCCCAATGTGGAAACTTTGTTCTTTTGTTTGTCACAATAAATTTTGCTGCTGCTCGCTCTTTGGGTCTGCACTACGTTTATGAGCTGTGACACTCACCGTGAAGGTCTGCAGCTTCACTCCTGAAGTCAGCGAGACCACGAACCCACTGGCGGGGAAAAGAACAACTCTGGACGCGCCACCTTTAAGAGCTGTGACACTCACTGCGAAGGTCTGTCGCTTCACTCTTGAAGTCAGCGAGACTGCGAGACCACCGGGAGGAACAAACAACTCCGGACGTGCCACCTTTAAGAGCTGTAACACTCACTGCGAAGGTCTGTGGCTTCACTCCTGAAGTCAGCGAGACCACGAACCCACAGGGAGGAATGAACAACTCTGGGTGCACCACCTTTAAGAGCTGTAACACCTACTGTGAAGGTCTATGGCTTCACTCCTGAAGTCAGCAAGACCATGATCCCACCAGAAGAAGAAACTTCGGACACATCTGAACATCTGAAGGAACAAACTCTGGACACACCATCTTTAAGAACTGTAACACTCACTGCGAGTGTCCACGGCTTCATTCTTGAAGTCAGTGAGACCAAGAACCCACCGGAAGGAACCAATTCCAAACACAATATGACCCTGGTAGGCCACCTAGCCATGGATATAAGCGAAATCCCCAAATCCCAGAAGGTAGCACACACAGGCCTGAGGGTGTGGAGTGAAAGCCCCTGTCCCTCAGCACAAAAATTTCCCATAAACTCCCTCATATGCCCAGATGCCAGAGGCGGAAAGAACTGTGAAGGACTGAGCATTTTACTTTAAATAAATTATTTTCTGCTTAGACTCTTTTAAAGAAAAATTAATAAAGTTTTCAAACATCAAAACATTAAAGAAAATAGTGTAATGAACTGCCATATATTCTGATTCTAGAATCATCAAGATACTGCCATGGACACATCACCTAACTTTCTGTTTCATTTTGTCCTCATTAAACTTTGCCTTAATGGGTCTCAAAATTCTGTGACAGATTTGTGGTTAAGTTTTTTCTATTAAAATGGAGTGATTTTAAAAACTAATAACTGAAAACTGCCACATGAAAAAAACAAAACAAAACAGTTGGCAAAACATTCTCCTTCTGAAGATTTTACGAGGCATCGTGATCGTTAACGGGTCTTTTACTATTAAATGGCTAGTTGAAAGAAAGTTCTGAGACTGTTCTTCCACCACTGGTAAAGACTGAGGTGTCAGGCAGTAGGGATAATATTTATTTAGCCTTCTGAGCTTTCTGGGCAGACTTGGTGACCTCGCTTCCTCCAGCAGCCCTCTTGTCTACTGCTTTGATGACACCCACAGCAATTGTCTGTTTCATATGACAAACAGCAAAATGACCCAAAGAAGGACAGTCAGAGAAGCTCTCGACCCACCTGGGCTTGACAGAAACAATTTCAGTGACAACAGCTTCACCCTATTTCAAGAATGTAGGGCCATCTTCCAGCTTCTTACCAGAATGGTGATCAATCTTTCCCCTCAACTCAGCAAAACTGCAAGCAATGTGAACTGTGTGACAATCCAGAATAGCGGCATAGCCACCATTGATTTGGTCTGGATGGTGGAGGATAATAACCTGACCAGTGAAGCTAGTTGCTCCCACTGATGGGTCATTTTTGCTGTCACCAGCAACGTTGCCATGACAGACATTTTTGACAGATATGTTCTTGGCGTTGAGTCCCACATTGTCCCCAGGAAGAGCTTCACTCGAAGCTTCATGATGCATTTCAACAGACTTTACTTCAGTTGTAACGTCGACTGGAGCAAAGGTGAGCACTGTGCTGGGTTTGGGAACTCCAGTCTCCACTCAGCCCACAGAAACAGTACCAATACCACAAATTCTGTAGACATCCTGGAGAGGCCGACTTAAGGTCTTGTCAGTTGGATGAGTTGTTGGTAGGATGCATTGCAGAGTTTCAAGCAGCATGGTTCCACTGGCATTGCCATTTTTACTGGTGACTTTTTGTCCCTTGAACCAAAGCATATTAGCACTTGACTCCAGCACATTCTCACCATTCCAACCAGAAAGTGGCGCACATGCTACTGTGTCAGGGTTGTAGCCAATTTTTGTAATGTACATGCTGACTTCCTTAATGATTCCCTCATGTCTTTTCTGGCTGTAGGGTGACTCAGTGGAATCCATTTTGTTAACACCAATAATTCGTTGTTTCACTCATCTAAAATCTGAGATACTTGAAGGAGCTCTCTCCCATCTCAGCAGCCTCCTTCTCAAACTTTTCAATGGTTCTTTTGTTGATCACCCCACACTGGTAGGTCAGATGGCCAGTAGTCGTGGACTTGCCCTAATCTATATATCTAGTAATGACGATGTTGATATGAGTCATTTCTTTCTCGTTTTGGCTTTGATTTAGTGGTGATTTTCACAACACTCGTGTTCTGGCTGAAAAATCGTTATGAAAAACCTCTTTTTGTTTCTATTTCTTTTTCTTTTTTCTCCTATGCCCTCCCCCATTCTGCCTTGCCCTGCCCTCCCTCCCCCACCCCCTCACCTTATCATTCTTGTGAAAATATTTTAAAGCAAATCTGGGTATCATACCACTTTAATTTCTATATATTTCACTCTTCCCTCTAAAAAATGCAGACCTTGTATAACTACTCTCTTAGATCAGAAGAAACTTAACACTTTTACTTGGAAAACTTAATATTTTTTCGTCTTGATATCCAGCAGTGTTTGGCTTGAGAACAACATTAAATCAGTAATAGAAAAAAAGACACTATTTTTTCTTTGCATATTTCCTTTTAAGATAAAAGGTTGTGTGACATCTCCAATATAGCCACCTTATAATATATTCATTTAAGTGAGTAATTTATAAGATTTCACTTCTCTTCCTCATTGAGATAATGATTATACAAGCAAATTTTTTTGTGTGTTTTGAAAGGGAGCTACATATTATTTAACTTGGAAATCTCAAAAAACACTTTCAGCAACTCCATAAAGCACAGACATTTACCATATTTGACGTCTCATAATAGTAAGTACAGAAACATGAACATTTTTTGGAGCATGTAAATTGGTGGCAGAAGATGACTTGTGCATATATTTATACACACATACACACACGCAAACATACACTTTCACCCAAGCATTTCATTTATAATTCCTAGAAAGTGTATCTACCTTAGAAAGCATTGATTCCTAGCATTTCGGGGTCATTCACTTTTTTTTTTTATAATTTTATAAAAGTTAAGGACTCTAGCTCCAAAACTGAACACTCACACACTCACACAATTTTGAATACATTTTTATTGATTCAAATGCAGCTATGTATCTAGGATACCCTTCTAGCAGCCATAATCAAACCATTTTCATCTTACTTTTTGGCCTTGCGTACATTTTGACTTTATGTTAACTGACGTATCTTTGTATCTGTTTTGCTACAAGCTTCAGTGCCAGGGATATCTTTTATCAGTAATGCTGAGAAATGTTCATTTTTCCAGGAAGGTCACTGGGGCCTCCCCCTGCTTGGCACTTATTGCTCCGTATTCTCCTTGCCAATTCAAATGCCGGTCTCTCCTTCTAAACCCTGAACCTCTCAAGGGCAGAGACAAGGTCTCGTTTAGAGGAGTGCAGCCTCCAAGATCATGTCTGGTTTTAATGGCCCCTAAATAATTACTTACTGGATTTTGTGCAAAGTGTTATTCTCATTAAACACTTATGAAGATATGTGAAGTTCAGTGATTTGCCCAGAATCAAACAGTGAATAAGTGGTGTAGTGCATATTACTCTCAAGACAGCTGACTTTCAGTCCAAAGATATTTCCCATACATTACCTGTCAAGGATTAAAAAAAAAAAATAGCTGCAGTGCAAGTCACTACCAATATGTGAACTCTTGTCAGAGGTAAGGTCTCAGTAGCTTGGGGCTGACCCAGAGAATGGAGCATGACTGTTCAGAGCCTCATGATACGGGTCTCAAAGAAGAAAAGAAAGGAAATCTTGAGGTAGAGAGAGGCTTCCAGAGAGCAAGACAATATATATCTTAGGGAAACTCTGTTATAGTCATCAAAATGATGGCACATTTTAGGATTTGTAGAATATTGATTCAAAAAGTGCTTTAATCTCCTTAAAAATGAAAATATTTAAGGATGTGTGATTTTCGGGGGGATACTGTAAGAAACATTCTTGCAACCTAGGATATCAGATTGCAAGCCCGGTTAACTAGTTAACTGGTTGACTGCAGTTCAATATTATTATTGGCTCATGCCTTCCTATCCACTTTTCCCTCCCAGCTGCCAATTTCTACAAAAGAAATCTCATTAATGTCTTTTGTTCATGACATGTCTGTGTTGTTTCTGTAACTCTTTTTGTAGAAAAATAATCTGTTATTTCTTGTTTTATAAGTGAAAAATTTGGATGTTTGTGAAAATATAAGATGAACTTTACTGACGGCTTAGTCATTATCAACTTCTTAATCAACTTGATTAACTTAGAAGGTGACTTTATGGTGAATGGCACAGAAGACCTAAAGTGTCTGGTTTAATAGCTGAAACAACCCTTTGAGTCGCTGATTTATTTTTTCACTTTATTCCAATTCAATTTTTATAATATAGGCTTCCTGAAATTTGCCACATCTCTGAAAGTAGAAAACAAGTCAATAGAAGACGTTTCTAAGAAAAGCCAGCAACCAGAGTGAGCACAATCAATTTGAACATGTTAACTATAAGTTCATACTCAAAGAGTGAACTCATATTTAGTGTGGACAACTTCTAAATGGGAAAGATTGAGGGGATATGTTCAGAGAATAGCCTAACTTTTAGAGAAATTGCAGCCATTTTCTGTTTTGGTGGATACATGAAATATTCAGGAAAGTTATGCTTCTGTTGACTTTGATTGAAAAATAGGTTACAGGGTCTTTTTAGTTTTCTTGGATGATTCATTTTGAAATCTGGCATTAAGACAGCATTAAGAAAATACTGTGGAAAGAGAATCTCACAACATCTAGCCCTAAGGCATTTGAAAATCTTCTCTTTATCCTTTTATGTTAATTTCTTAATTTTTTAAAAAGTCAAGGGCTGATAGTAAATATTCATCCCCCCAAAACAGCATTTGTGAATATTCATCCCCAACAAACAGCATTTGTGAAATATCTCTTATGTATAAGTATGTTCATAGCATGGACTCATGAATAAATTTGTATTTAGGGTTGAACTAAGCCATAGATAATGCAAGTATTTTGGGGGAAGACACCCTTATTAAGGTATGTCACAAGATTTCTTATTGAGAGGCCCATCTCATGCCACCCTCTTCCAATTACCTGAGATTGACACTGTTGCCTTCCTAAAGAAGATACCACCTATTGTTAATGGGTGTAGGAGGTTGCAATGCTCTGTGTGTATGCATGCACGTGCACGCATGCACGCACACACACATACACACGCACTTATTAAGATACCTACAGCAAAGGAAAAAAGGGAAAAAGAAATCACGTGTTATCAAAGACTTAAAGTCATTTCAAGGATGTGTCAAGGTGCTAAGCTTGGCCCAAAATTAACATTTTTTTTTTTGTTTCTTGGAAGGGTGAAAAATTAAGCCATGAGTTTCTATTAGCTGAAGAGCACAACTGGTTTGCAAGACTAGATGACCAATACCAGGTCAGATGAGGGCACTGATGAAAAAGAACACAGAACAGGTAAGTTTATTTATTTATTTATTTTTGGCGAGACCTGGGAGAAGCTGAATGAGAAAGGGTATACATGGCAGCCCAGATTTTACATCTCTGCATGGTGATCGAAGGTTAGAATGAAGGAACAGGAGATTCCAAGAGAGAAGTAGGCAATCACCAACAGGTTTTCTTTGACACTGTGCTGAGCTCTGGCCTGCAGAGAAGGTAGACCTCGACAGGGAGACAAGTGGCACTTGAGTGTGTTTAGCAGGGCTCATTAGAACTATGGAGATCTGGCAGCATCACTGTCACATTCTAATTATTTGCCATGGAGGTGGAAAAAGCATTGCGAAAGAGCAATTTGAACAATAACAAAAATGGAGGAATGCAGATGAACTGAGAGAAAGAGGGCTTTCCATATAAGCCACTGAGAGAACATACTTGAGGAAAAAAGATCTTTTAAGATAGTCACAGGGAGTACTGACAATGTGTTAAGCATTTTTACAAGTTTTTTTTCTCATAAATTCCTTAAGATAACCCTATGAAGTGGATCCTATTATTATCTCCATGTTACAGAGGGAAACACTGAGGCTTAAAGACGTTGAGTAAGTTTCCCAGGATCTCACAGCTAGCAAGTAGCAGAGCTAGGAGTGAAATCTAAGGAAAGGCAAGGCAGTTTAAATTAAATATTCAAAGAGGAAAGTCATATGAAACGGGGATTTTTTTTTAATCAAGTATGGCTCTGGAGGGCAGAACTAATGCGAAGTTAAGGAAAAAAGTAAATTTCACTACATTGTAAGCTTTCTGAATTTTAGAACTAACCCTGGGGGAAGAACTCCTTCATGAAATCATGAGCTGTGTGTACTAGAAACATTCAAGTGCAGCTAAAATGGCCACGTGTCAGAGAAGCTGTAGAGGGATTTCAGATTTGAGTGGGAATGTTAGACCAAGTGACCTTTAAATCCCTGTGGTTTAAAATTACCACGATGTGAGTTAGTTCCTCAACATCTGGATTACATGTATTTTCAGGCCTGAAAAATAAGAGCTCAATCTCAGTTAACTCTGATTTCCCTGGAAGCCAAAACAGAAAGGGAAACTATATTCTGAATTTGATAAAAAGGTAGAAAATTAGTTTATGAGGAATAGCAAACTTTTTCTTTGCTTTCATTTCAGAGGGCAATTGAATACAAAGGTCAGTGTTTATCTGTTAAGCTCCCTCATTAGAGGAAGTATGACATAGCAGGGGCTTTAAGGTGGTTTTAGAATATAAATATTGCCAACTTCATTTGCATTTATATCTCTGTGTCATTGAGCATCACCATCTTTAATTGCCATCCATGGTCTAGTTTTTGACACAGGTCTAGGAATCTAGGAATCTATGGGTCCCATAAAACATTTGTAATCTTTAAAAGCCATGCATTTATCACATATTTATCAATTAATCCAAATCTAATAAAAATAATTATTATTTTTCTTACCACTAAGTATAGTTTTAACAGCAAAGTGATAAAAAGAATTAAAAGCTCTTAACTCAGTTGAGATTTTGATCTCTTTAAAACCCACAGTGGCATAGTAGTCTCCGCAGGTGTAAGACCAAAAATACTTCTTGTCATATTATTACTTGTGAGCTGCTCTCAAAATAGCAGTTTTTTAAAAAATAAGAAACCACTTTCACCCTCTTATAAGAATTGTCTTATTCATACAGTACAGATGTTGGGAAATGAAGACCTATAAAATCAAGGATAGACTAACTTTACAAAACAAAGAAAAGAAAGAATCATATTCAATCCTGCTTGGTTAAGCAAAATACAATAGTGAACATATATCTTATGGGTTATATATCTAAGACCAGGAAGGTTACCTAGTTATTGTAGAAGTAAAGCAAATGGAATACAATGCACATATAAAGACCAGAAACATAATTATAATTCCATTTTTTGGCAATTGAATAGAAAATAAAAAATTTCTTTTTGATAAGATTCCCAAGGAATAGGAATGCTTATAATCAATCAACTTATTGGGAGCAAGACTTACTGATTTAGTTCAACTAGGTGAATTAAAAAGTTATTCTGCATAAAATCCTAAACTTGGTGCTGAAGAAATCATAAAATGAGACACAACCTTTACCTTAAAGAGTTTACCATCGGGCACATATCAGTCAAATGAGCCAGGAACTATAATAAAAGGCAATACATTATGCATATTGTAACTGAGGTATAAACAAAGTACAGTGGATTCAAAGGAGAAATTGCTCACTTCCTATTTGGGGTGGAGAAAAGATAAGGCTTCTTAGGAGAAATGACATTTGAAAAATGGGTGAAATATTTACAGGTTGAAAAAATGGAGGAAGGATGTACCAGGCAGATAGATGATTAAAGCTGTGATGACAGGCAAGTGTGAGTCCTGAGAAAGTTTGCCGGAAGAGTGGAGCAGATGTATGTGAGGAGGTGAGGCATAGGAGCTACTACTGGAGATGCAGGCTGAAGCCAGGTGTGGTGCATCTCCTCACAAGGCTAACGGGTCTGCATTTATTTTCACAGGTGATGAGGGGTCATTTAATGTATGGAGTTGAGGCATGACAGGATCACAGGGCTGCCTGGAGTCTTGTATGCAGATTGTGCACTGCAAAATCTTAGACAGTGTCATTCACCTGGTGACCCTGTTGATACCTATATTTCGTAGGACCGTATTTTAGTCATTATAAGTGTACTATATAATGAGAAGTTTCTTGACACACGGAAGTCAAGTGTCTTGAAGATGGGATGCCTTTCCTGATTTGTACAAATGCACCATGTGGGGCAATGGTAGCTTGTGACAGCTGTGCTCTGGGTAGACACGTCTTAAAACAGAACATAGAACTGATTGCTACAAGGACAGCCTGGAGACTTTGACAATAGTACACAGTAAAACAGGAGCTTCACTTGGAAGGGAGGCTGATAGAGAATCTAGGTGGGAGGCAATGAAAGAAGAACCCATACATGACTTCAGTGATGGGTGACAGATAATGGTGGCCAACAGGAAATAGAAAAGTGAGAAGGGAGATTTATTAAGGCAAGGGAAAGGGAGGCAGGGAGAGGGCAGAGGTGCACACACTTTGGAGCCAGCATTGTTGGCAGAACATCCAGGTGGATGTGTCAAGTGTGAGGCTGAAGTGCTGATCTGGAGGGCAGAGCAGGAGCTGGGCCAGAACCATCCACATAAATGTGTTTGCTGGGTCCCAGGGAATTAATGAGATAATGACAGAGCACAAGAGAGAGGCGAGCAGAGTGTAACTAGTATCAGAAGCAATCCTCGTTCTTATCATATTTTGCTCTCTCACCCCAAAAGAATTAGGAATAAATCTTGTAAAAGGAGCCTGCCTTCTTAGTAATGTGGTTGTTGGATAGCTTGTTTTATTTCCAGTTCCTGCCAACCATCCAATGCAGTCAGAAAGCCAGCTTTTATCCAAAAACATGCCATTTTTTTTCATTATAAGATTAGATAAGAGTGACAGCAGGAGAAGCTTTCTGACCAAAGGCAGAATCGTTGATGACCTGGTAATGTTTCAATGGTGAAATGGAAACACATAAATCAATTATGAATGCAATCAACTCCTCACTCAAGAAAGAAAGCAATGGCAAAAACTACCTAAAAGTATCCTTATTTGATCCTCTGATGCACTATATGTGACTCCATGTTTTCATTTCAGTTTTTCCTAATCTGATACTAAAATTAATTTACATTTCATAAAGCCGTAAAATTAATGATAAGAAAAAAATAGTCAAGAAGTGCATCAGGTGGCAGAGAAGGAATTCTGAGATAAGAATGTCTGCCTTGTGTAAGTCTTACACAGAGAATGAGGGCTTATTCTAGCTGTCCTGAGCTGCTCGTCTCATAGTTTCAGACTGGCTGGAACACTTCCTGGTATCAGTGCGCGCACACTTATCTCGTTATGAAGATCCCAGCAGCCAACAAGGTATCAATGTTCCAAATGTTAGGTAGAAGTTGACTATTAAATAAAACCTATCTCCAACTTGCCTACCCCTTTACTTGCCATTTTAGGCTATTTTAATAGACGTGGGGGGCCAATCTAAGCTGGGAGTCATAAAATATTGGTTCTTCTGGGTCTTCAAGAAAGTTTAAAAAAGAGAGCAACATTTGGGTCAACATCAATATTTCCTTGATGTATCATTTTAAATTCCTACCATGACTATACTTTGTTTACTGCACTTTTCAGAGAAGAAGAAGTGTATTATGTGCCAGTATCTCCAGGATGATGGAGAAGAGTTTGATAGTCTAGTAATCCATTTGAAATTTAACATTCTGATCCCCTCATCTGAATATAACTATTATTGATATTCAATTTGATAGCTGATATTCTCATTGAACTTGAATGGTTTTTAATGTAGTGAGCTATATTTAAAGGATGTCATTGGTGTATCAGAGAGATAATTGTTTATTCAGCACTTTGATCTACAAATAAAAATATGTAATATGTAACTTTTAAAAGAACATTCAGTGTAGATGAATATTTGCAAGATAAATAAAGGCAGAAAAACTTGGGCCTTTACAAAGAGTATTTGCGGTGTACAATTTATGAATTTGATTATACTTTAAAAAGTATAGTTAGAAACATTAAATCTATCTAAACAAAGATGTCCTTAGTATGGGAGACGGTTCTCTCAAATATTATGTAAATTCGAAAATCTTGTTTTCTCCTCCCTTTAGATACTGTTCTAAATTATTATCCCATATTAGTCCATTTTACTGATTAAAAAATGTACCCAATCTCATATTACTGAAAAGCACATATATTAAATACATAGCCCTTCATAGAGAGCTGTGTTTTTTCTCAATACTGTAAATTTTCATTAAAAGAAGCTAAAACAACAAATAAACACACATACTAATACACACTTAAACATACCAATTAGGCCCTTGAATTACGGACAGCTCCTGATCTGTAATTTGTCAGAAATAAAATATGTGTGTATTCAGTTAATACAGCTTATTCAGCTAGTTTGTTGTAAATATTTACTGATGTCAGATGCCAACTGAGAAATTTAATCAGTGCATGCAAGAACATAGTTTTCTTATGAATGTAAATCAGGTAAAAATTCAGAAGGGAAAATGTATGGCTGTTGAAGATCTTACAGAAATGACTTTAAAATGAACCTGGGAAAAAAGAAAACATATCTGGTCCCCAGGGGACAAATTTAATTTCATTTTCATCTAGAATATTTTTTAAACATTATGAAATGTTTGTAACTCTCTTTTATTTTATTTTAAAATACTTAGGGACTTCCCAGTCTAGAGTAAATCTGGAGTCCAGAATATTAAAACTTTTTGAGGAAAAGTTTTGCTTTCAGACTTGCCCCACAGTATTATAAAATCTCTTGGGAATAAACTTCCAGAATTATAAAGATGTTCTTCCAAAGTTTCACTTGGCTTCGACGGCCTGCTTTTTAATTTTTTTTTTCTGCTATTGAATAAAACGTAAAACAGCCCACCAATGAACCAGCCAACCAAATAAAAAAGGCTGGATATCTAGAAAAGTATAATATGTAAAACTGTGAATGTTAATAGTAAATGCCTCAAAAAATATGGTTGGAAGGATAAGTGGATGGTGATGCAAAAACATAAAAGGATTATAGTCTCTTATTTTCTCTGATTGATAGCATGCATAAGTAACTAGGAAAGTCAACTCAACTCAATGTGCGATTGCTGTGGACTGAATTGTTTCCCTCCCAAATTCATATATTGAAGTCCTAACTCCTAGTATGCCTCAGAATATGACTATCTGGAGACAAGAAATTTGAGGTAAAGAAAGTTAGATCAGGCTGTTATGGTGGGATCCTAATCCAATTTGACTGGTGGTCTTATAAAAGAGGGAATTAGGATATACAGAGGCGTAAGAGATGCATGTGTTTAAAGAGATGGTCCTGTGAGGACACGGGGGATGGTGTCCATCTGCAAGCCATGGAGTGAGGATGTAGGAGAACACAAACCAGCTGACACCTTGATCTTGGACTTCTAGCCCCCAGGACTGCCAGAAAATACCAGTCTGTGGTATTTTGCTATGGTAGCCTTGGAAAACTAACACAGTGATAATGAAGTAAGTACTAAGTCTTTGAAGGAAACACATTTTTGAGTCATTTAAATGTCTTATAAGTGTACATATTCTGGCATTTGAACTACAGGCCCCTGTATATATTGGTACTTACTCAACATCTCTCACTTTCTATCACTGTTAACTGTCATTTAACAAATTTACCTATCGAGCTGTCCTTCATCTGCCCACTTCTTTTTTTTGTGATCTTAGCAGTAGTTCTTTTTATTATTATTGTTATTTTTTATTACACTTTAAGTTCTAGGGTACATGTGCATAACGTGCATGTTTGTTACATATGTATACATATGTCATGTTGGTGTGCTGCACCCATTAATTCGTCATTTACATTAGGTATATCTCCTAATGCTATCCCTCCCCACTCCCGCAACCCAACAACAGGCCCCGGTGTGTGATGTTCCCCATCCTGTGTCCAAGTGTTCTCATTGTTCAAGTCCCACCTATGAATGACAACATTCAGTGTTTGGTTTTCTGTCCTTGTGATAGTTTGCCCAGAATGATGGTTTCCAGCTCCATCCATGTCCCTACAAAGGACATGAACTCATCATTTTTTATGGTTGCATAGTATTCCATGGTATATATGTGCCACATTTTCTTAATCCAGTCTATCATTGACGGACATTTGGGTTGGTTCCAAGTCTTTGCTATTGTGAATAGTGCCACGATAAACATATGTGTGCATGTGTCTTCATAGCAGCATGATTTATAATCCTTTGGGTATATACCCAGTAATGGGATGGCTGGGTCAAATGGTATTTCCAGTTCTAGATTCTTGAGGAATCACCACACTGTCTTCCACAATGGTTGAACTAGTTTACAGTCCCACCAACAGTGTAAAAGTGTTCCTATTTCTCCACATCCTCTCCAGCACCTGTTGTTTCCTGACTTTTTAATGATCGCCATTCTAACTGGTGTGAGATGGTATCTCATTGCGGTTTTGATTTGCATTTCTCTGATGGCCAGTGATGATGAGCATTTTTTCATGTGTCTTTTGGCTGCATAAATGTCTTCTTTTGAGAAGTGTCTGTTCATATCCTTTGCCCACTTGTTGATGGGGTTGTTTGATTTTTTCTTGTAAATTTGTTTAAGTTCTTTGTAGATTCTGAATCCTAGCCCTTTGTCAGATGGGTAGATTGTAAAAATTTTCTCCTGTTCTCTAGGTTGTCTGTTCACTCTGATGGTAGTTTCTTTTGCTGTGCAGAAGCTCTTTAGTTTAATTAGATCCCATTTGTCAATTTTGGCTTTTGTTGCCATTGCTTTTGGTGTTTTAGACATGAAGTCGTTGCCCATGCCTATGTCCTGAATGGTATTGCCTAGGTTTTCTTCTAGGGTTTTTATGGTTTTAGGTCTAACATTTCAATCTTTAATCCATCTTGAATTAATTTTTGTATAAGGTGTAAGGAAGGATCCAGTTTCAGCTTTCAACATAAGGCTAGCCATTTTTCCCAACACCATTTATTAAATAGGGAATCCTTCCCCCATTTCTTGTTTTTGTCAGGTTTGTCAAAGATCAGATGGTTGTAGATGTGTGGTATTATTTCTGAGGTCTCTGTTCTGTTCCATTAGTCTATACCTCTGTTTTGGTACCAGTACCATGCTGTTTTGGTTACTGTAGCCTTGTAGTATAGTTTGAAGTCAGGTAGCATGATGCCTCCAGCTTTGTTCTTTTGGCTTAGGATTGACTTGGCAATGCGGGCTCTTTTTTGGTTCCATATGAATTTTAAAGTAGTTTTTTTCCAATTCTGTGAAGAAAGTCATTGGTAGCTTGATGGGGATGGCATTGAATCTATAAATTACCTTGGGCAGTATGGCCATTTTCACGATACTGATTCTTCCTATTCATGAGCATGGAATAGTCTTCCATTTGTTTGTGTCCTCTTTTATTTCGTTGAGCAGTGGTTTGTAGTTCTCCTTGAAGAGGTCCTTCACATCCTTTGTACGTTAGATTCCTAGGTATTTTATTCTCTTTGAAGCAATTGTGAATGGGAGTTCACTCATGATTTGGATCTCTGTTTGTCTGTTATTGGTGTGTAGGAATGCTTGTGATTTTTGCACATTGATTTTGTATCCTGAGACTTTGCTGAAGTTGCTTATCAGCTTAAGGAGATTTTGGGCTGAGACAATGGGGTTTTCTAAATATACAATCATGTCATCTGCAAACAGGGAAAATTGGACTTCCTCTTTTCCTAATTGAATACCCTTTATTTCTTTGTCTTGCCTGATTGCCCTGGCCAGAACTTCCAACACTATGTTGAATAGGAGTGGTGAGAGAGGGCATCCCTGTATTATGCCAGTTTTCAAAGGGAATGTTTCCAGTTTTTGCCCATTCCGTATGATATTGGCTGTGGGTTTGTCATAAATAGCTCTTATTATTTTGAGATATGTCACATCATACCTAGTTTATTGAGAGTTTTTAGCATGAAGGTTGTTGAATTTTGTCAAAGGCCTTTTCTGCATCTATTGAGATAATCATGTGGTTTTTGTCTTTGGTTCTGTTTATATGATGGATTACGTTTATTGATTTGCATATATTGAACCAGCCTTGCATCCCAGGGATGATGCCAACATGATCATGGTGGATAAGCTTTTTGATGTGCTGCTGGATTCGGTTTGCCAGTATTTTACTGAGGATTTTTGCATTGATGTTCATCAAGGATATTGATCTAAAATTCTCTTTTTTTTTGTTATGTCTCTTCCAGGCTTTGGTATCAGGATGATGCTGGCCTCATAAAATGAGTTAGGGAGGATTCCCTCTTTTTCTATTGATTGGAATAGTTTCAGAAGGAAGGGTACCAGCTCCTCTTTGTACCTCTGGTAGAATTCAGCGGTGAATCCTTCTGGTCCTGGACTGTTTTTGGTTGATAGGGTATTAATTATGGATTCAATTTCTGAGCCTGTTATTGGTTTATTCAGGGATTCAACTTCTTCCTGGTTTGGTCTTGTGAGGGTGTATGTGTCCAGGAATTTATCCATTTCTTCTAGATTTTCTAGTTTATTTGCGTAGAGGTGTTTATAATATTCTCTGATGGTAGTTTGTTTGTCTGTGGGATCGGTGGTGATACGCCCTGTATCATTTTTTTGTTGCATCTATTTGATTCTTCTTTCTTTTCTTCTTTATTAGTCTTGCTAGCGGCCTATCAATTTTGTTGATCTTTTCAAAAAACCAGCTCCTGGATTCATTGATTTTGTGAAGGGTTTTTTGTGTCTCTATTTCCTTCAGTACTGCTCTGATCTTAGTTACTTCTTCTAAGCTTTTGAATGTGTTTGCTCTTGCTTCTCTAGTTCTTTTAATTGTGATGTTAGGGTGTCAATTTTAGATCTTTCCTGCTTTCTCTTGTGGGCATTTAGTGCTATAAATTTGCCTCTAAACACTGCTTTCAATGTGTCCCAGAGATTCTGGTATGTTGTGTCTTTGTTCTCGTTGGTTTCAAAGAACATCTTTATTTCTGCCTTCATTTTGTTATGTACCCAGTAGTCATCCAGGAGCAGGTTGTTCAGTTTCCATGTAGTTGAGTGGTTTTGAGTGAGTTTCTTAATCCTGAGTTCTAGTTTGATTGCACTGTGGTCTGAGAGACAGTTTGTTATAATTTCTGTTCCTTTACATTTGCTGAGGAATGCTTTACTTCCAACTATGTGGTCAATTTTGAAGTAAGTGCAATGTGGTGCTGAGAAGAATGTATATTCTGTTGATTTGGGGTGGAGAGTTCTGCAGATGTCTATTAGGTCTGCTTGATGCAGAGCTGAGTTCAATTCCTGGATATGCTTGTTAACTTTCTGTCTCGTTGATCTGTCTAATGTTGACAGTGGGGTGTTAAAATTTTCCATTATTATTGTGTGGGAGTCTAAGTTCTCTTTGTAGGTCTCTAAGGACTTGCTTCATGAATCTGGGTGCTCTCGTATTGGGTGCATATATATATATATAGGATACTTAGCTCTTCTTGTTGAATTGATCCCTTTACCATTATGTAATGGCCTTCTTTGTCTCATTTGATCTTTGTTGGCTTAAAGTCTGTTTTATCAGAGACTATGATCGCAACCCCTGCTTTTTTTGTTTTCCATTGGCTTGGTAGATGTTCCTCCATCCGTTTATTTTGAGCCTATGTGTGTCTCTGCACATAGATGGATCTCCTGAATACAGCACACTGATGGGTCTTGACTCTTTATGCAATTTGCCAGTCTGTGTCTTTTAATTGGAGCATTTATCCCATTTACATTTAAGGTTAATATTGTTATGTGTGAATTTGATCCTGTTGTTATGATGTTAGCTGGTTATTTTGCTCGTTAGTTGATGCAGTTTCTTCCTAGCATCGATGGTCTTTACAATGTAGCATGTTTATGCAGTGGCTGGTACTGGTTGTTCCTTTCCATGTTTAGTGCTTCCCTCAGGAGCTCTTGTAAGGCAGGCCTGGTGGTGACAAAATCTCTCAGCATTTGCTTGTCTGTAAAGGATTTTATTTCTCCTTCGCTTATGAAGCATAGTTTGGCTGGATATGAAATTCTGGGTTGAAAATTCTTTTCTTTAAGAATGTTGAATATTGGCCCCCACTCTCTTCTGGCTTGTAGAGTTTCTGCCGAGAGATCCGCTGTTAGTCTGATAGGCTTCCCTTTGTGGGTAACTCGACCTTTCTCTCTGGCTGCCCTTAACATTTTTTCCTTCATTTCAACTTTGGTGAATCTGACAATTATGTGTCTTGGAGTTGTTCTTCTCGAGGAGTATCTTTGTGGCATTCTCCGTATTTCCCGAATTTGAATGTTAGCCTGCCTTGCTAGGCTGGGGAAGTTCTCCTGGATAATATCCTGAAGTGTGTTTTCCAACTTGGTTGCATTCTCCCTGTCACTTTCAGGTACACCAATCAGAAGTAGATTTGGTCTTTTCACATAGTCCCATGTTTCTTGGAGGCTTTGTTCGTTTCTTTTTACTCTTTTTTCTCTAAACTTCTCTTCTCGCTTCATTTCATTGATTTGTTCTTCAGTCTTCCACTTGATCGAATCGGCTACTGAAGCTTATGCATACATCACATAGTTCTCGTGCCATGGTTTTCAGCTTCATCAGGTCATTTATGGTCTTCTCTACACTGTTTATTCTAGTTAGCCATTCATCTAATCTTTTTTCAAGGTTTTTAGCTTCTTTGCGATGCATCTGCCCACTTCTTTTATTCCACCTGGACTGCTTGTTGTTCCTTTCATTCTCCTTTCAGTGTATGTTGCAGGAAAACATCTATGAACATTGTATTTGAATTCTGTCTCCATGTAAAAAAAAGAAAAGACATAACATAAAATGTAGTATCTTTACCGTTTTTAAGCATTCTGATCAGTTATATTAAGCAACTGCATATTGTACTGGTTCTCCAGAATTTTTCCGTCTTGCAAAACTGAAACTCTATCCTCATTAAAAAACAGCTCCTCTTTTCTTCCCCCTTCTCTCCAAACTCTTGGCAAACACCGTTCTAGTTTCTGTGTCTATGAATTTGACTAACTTAGATTCTTCATGTGAGTGAATTCAGATAGCATTTGTCTTTTTGGGACTGGCTTATTTCACTTAGAATAATGTCGTCAAGGTTCGTGCATGGTGCAGCATTGTGACAGAATTTTTCTCCTTTTTAAGGTTAAATAATATCCCATTATCCATATATACCACATTATCTGTATCTAACCTTTTATCCATAGATGGACATTTGAGTTGATTTCATCTCTTGGCTATGGTGAATAATTCTGCTCTGAGCACCAGTATGTGAATATTTCTATGAAATTCTGCTTTCAATTCTTTTGGATGTATACCCAGAAGTAGAATTGCTAGGTCATATAATAATTCAATTTTTAATTTTTTAAGGAACTGCTATAGTTTCATACAGTGACTGCACCATTTTACATTCCTGTACACAGTACATAAGGGTTCCAGTTTCTCTACATCCTAGCCAACACTTGTTATTTTGTTACTTTTTTATGGTAACCATTCTAATGGGAGTGAGGTGATATCTCATAGTGGTTTTGATGTGCATTTCTCTAATGATTAGTGATATCAAACATCTTTTCATATGCTTGTTGCCCATCTGTATATCATCTTTGGAGAAATGCGTATTCAAGTTCTTTGTTCATTTTAAAATCAAGTTATTTGTTTTTTGTTGTTGGTGGTGTTGCTGAGTTATTTTGTTGTCTTTATCCTTCCTGGATAATAATAACTCCTTATCAGATACATGATTTGCAGATACTTTCTTCCATTCCTATGTTGTCTTTTCACTGTGTTGACTGTGCCCTTTGATGCACAGAAATTGTACTCCCATTTGTCTATTTTTACTTTTGCTGCCTGTCCTTTTGGCATCATATCCAAGAAATCATTGCCAAATCCAACCTCATGAAGCTTTTCTCCTGTGTTCTTTTCTAGTAGTTTTATAGTTTTAGGTCTTACTTTTGGGTCTTTAATTCATTTTGAGCTAATTTTTGTATATGGTACAACGTAAGGGTCTAACTTTATTTTTTTGGTATGTTTATATCTACTTTTCCCATCACCATTTGTTGAATAGACTATTTTTTCCCTATTGAGTGGTCTTGTCACCTTTGTCAAAAATCATCTGACTATATATGCAATGGTTCATTTCTGGAATTTCTATTCTATTGTTCTATATTTCTGTCTTTATGCCAGTACCACACCGCTTTGTGTGTACTGCAGCTTTTACATATGTTTGAAATTAAGAAGTGTGAGACTTCCAACTTTGTTCTTTCTCAAGATGGATTTGGACATTCAATGTCTTTGGTAGTTTCTTCTGAATTTTAGAATTTTTTTTCTATTTCTATAAAAATACCTTTGGGTTTTGATGGGGTTGCATTGAATCTGTAGATCTCTTTGGGTAGTATTTACATCTTCACAATATTAAGTCCTCCAAACCATGAACATGTCATAAACTATGAACAATGGAAAGACACTCCAAATGTCTTTCCATTTGTATGTGTCTTTAATTTTTTAAATCAATGTTTTGTAATTTCCAGAGTAGAAGTCTTTCACCTCCTTATTTTATTCTTAAGTATTGCATTCTTTTGGCATGATTGTAAATGGAATTGTTTTCTTAGTTTTCTTTTTGAATTGTTTATTGTTAGCATGTAGTTTACCTGTTGATTTGATATCCTGTAACTTTGCTGAATTCTTTTATTAGTTCCAACAGTTTTTATTAATATAATCTTTAGAGTTTTCTACATATAAGATCATCTCATCTGAGAATGGAGATACTTCCACTTCTTCATTTCTAATTTGGAAGTCTTTTATTTCGTTTTCTTACCTAATTGCCCTGGATAGGAATTCCAATGCTATGTTGCATAAAAATGATGAGAGCAGGCCACCTCGTCTTGTTCAGGATCTTAGAGAAAAAGATTTGGGTTTTTCTTCACTAATTAGGATGTTAGCTGTGGGCTTTTCGTTTATGGTCTTTGTTATGTTGAGGTAGTTTCCTTTTGTTCTTGGTTTGTTGAGAGTTTTGTTTTTTTAAATCATGAATTGGTGTTGAATTTTGTGACATGCTTTCTCTGCATCACTTGAGATGATAATGTGCTTTGCATCCTTGATTAATGCGGTATATTACATTGGTTGATTTTCGTATGTTGAAATCTGGGAATACATTCCACTTAGTTGTGGCATATAATCCTTTTAATGTTCTGTTGAATTTAATTTGCTAGCACAGTAGTCCCTTGGTATATATGGGAGACTGTTTCCAGAAATTCTGTAGACACCAAAAATTTGCAGATACTCAAATGCCTTAAATAAAATGCTGTATAGTGTTTGCATATGATCTATGCATATCCTCCCATATAATTTAAATCATCTCTATATTATTTACAATACCTAATTCAATGCCTGAACATCATTTCATTCGTGTGAATTCAGTGTAGTACCCAGCATGTGGCAAATACAAGTTTAGTTCTTTTGGAAATCTGCGGAATATTTCTTTTCTGAATATTTTCAACCCATGGTTTGTTGAATCCGTAGGTGTGGAATCCATGGATAAGGTGAGCTGACTGTATTTTGTTGAGCATTTTTGCATTAATATGCAACAGAAATATTGGTTTACAGTTTTCTGTTCTTGTAGTGTGTTTTTCTGGCTTTTGTATCAGAGTAATAGTAGCCTCATAGAATGAGTTTGGGCATATCCCTTCTTTACTTTTTTTTTTTGGAAGAGTTTGAAATGGATTATTGCTAATTATTCTTTAAATGTTTGGTAGAATTCTCTGGTGCAGCCATGGGGTCTTGAGCTTTTCTTTATTAGGAAGCTTTTGATTATTCATCCAGCCTCCTTACTACTTATATGTCTGTTCAGATTTTCTATTTCTTTATGCTTCAGTCATCATAGGGTGTGTATTTCTAGGAACTTATCCATGTCTTCTAAGTTATCCAGTTTGTTGGTATTAATTTGTTTATGCTATTCTCTTATAATCCTTTCTATTTCTGTGACATTGCTTTTACTATCCCTTCTTTCATTTCTGATTTTAGTAGAGTCTTCTCTCTCTCTCCGTCTCTCTCTCTCTCTTTCTCTCTCTCTCTGTCTCTTTCTTTCTGTCTCTCTTCTTAATCTTAATCTGGCTAAGGACTTGTCAATTTTGTTGATTTTTTAAAAATCCACTTTTTAATAGTTGTGAGAACATGTGACTTGAACTCTTAGAGTTTTCCTGTCTTCTTCTATACAAAGGGCATGCCGTGTACTGTGCCAGATAGCTGTGCCCTACTTACATGATTACATTTAACCATTTGCTGTGCTTAATAAATAGTAGTTAATGTTATTTTTAATTATGTAAGAAAAATTTCTCCCATGTGGATCACAAATTCCTTTTTCATGATTTTTCAAAGGAATCACAAACTGTAAGCATCACACTCATTATCAGTATTCAGTTCTTAGAAAATTTTTACCTTCTACTGTTTTGTCTCTTACTGTTTTTATATAATTTTGCTCCTGGTTTTATGGCTCTTTTGTGGGCATGGTTAACTCAGTAAGAACAGATTACTTTCATAAGCCTTTCCTTATTGATTTCCTAGTAGATGGATACCTTACTGGTAGACTTTTCTCTTAAGTGTTTTTCTGACTGTACTTTCTATTAAGTGGAATCATTCCATGGTCATTCCATACATTATGGGACACTGTTTTTGTATAACCGTCCTGTAAATCTAAAGAACTTGAGTAAAGCAAAAGTTTACTCATTCCTTGTGTACCTGGTTTAGCGGATGTGGTTTCAATTTAATTTTTAGGATGAAATAAATATAGCTTTTTTTTCTGGCCTTCTTTTTATGTGTATTGGTAGGAAGGCTCTTGTTTGATTTACAACTTGATTAAGCATAGCTGAGTTTTAATTTTGACCTGATTAAGTGATCTATAAACAATCATAGGCATAGACAATACACATTAAAATTTTTCTCATTAAATCTCAACCCCAAAGTAGTGTCGGCTTTGATTCTCTTGGTGGAAAACTATGTATAATGAATTTTACTGGCATTGTTGTTAACCTCTAATTGTTCTGTGAATCATGGGAAAGTAAAACATTTATCCTTGGAGGGAGAAAAATGATATCTGGGCATAGAGAGAGAAAAGATAATATTATTGAATGTTAAACATAGTTGTATAAGTTAATCACAAAACTTAATAAATTCAGCATCTTCTTTCTTGGATCTTATTTTCTAGTTTAAAGTTATTCAAGGGTAATATTGCAGACCCTTGATTTAGAATTGTAGCCATCAGCTTCTGCTGTCAACAAACAACCCCTAAATTTCAGAGGCTTACAATAAACATTACAATTTTATTACTTTTCTATGTTTATTACAATAAACAATAAACGTTAATTTCTTGCTCATGTTACCAGAAGGCTGTGGATTGACTGTACTTTTGTTGGTCTCACTGGGCTTCACATGTCGTCTAATTCCTGGGCCTTGGATGATGAATACCCACTAGCTGGGGCATGCTTGTCTCATCATGAAGAGAGGTCAACAAAAGCACGTAAGACACTCACATTCCACTGTCCAAAGTGGGTCACAAGGCCAAGCCCCAATCAATGGGGCAAGGAAGTAAATTCTGCCTCCAGGAAAGCACAGCAAGGTTTGGGCAGGAATGAATAATCATGAGCAATAATTCAACCTACTGCAAGAACCGATTGTGCCCTTTCATTTATACATATATCTTATTCGTTCTGTCCCTCCAGAGAACTCTGACTAATACACACTATCTTGGAAACACTGTGGAGCTTTTCTGTGAAATCTCATAAAAATCTCAGCACGATAATTCATACTAGACATAAATCATTTCTAAGTCAGAGAATTTTAGAATATTATATTTTGAGGCCTCAAATAGATTAAAAGAGTTCATTAAATATATTAAAAATCTGTTAAAGATTAAAGGATCTATTATATTGAAAGAATATTATATTTTGAGTACTCAGAGTAAAAAGGTTGAATTGGGGTTTGGGGTCCCAAAGTCCTGCCTGCTGACTGCTTCCTGTCCACCTTCCTGCTCTCCACTTCTTACCACATTTTCTGGCAATCCCTAAAAGGATTCCACAGAGCATAGTTTGAAAATCACCAGTACAGCACTCTCAATGAAGGCTCCACAGAGGGTAAGGGGTGTTAGGTTACAAAAACATGTAAAACATTTTGTGTGGGTTGAACAAAGTTAAGCAGAACTGCAGGAATTCTCAGAAACTTTACTATGTTAATAATGTTCCTTGTGAACCTCCAAGAAGGGGATGTATATCTCAGAATTGCTCAAAATTTTAATGAAACAGTTTAGTGCTTTGAAACACATCTAAGAAAAACCTGCATTAGACAGTGCTTTTTTATTTATAAAATTATATTTAGGGCAGAGGCTCAAGATAGGACAGTTGGCTGAGTTTTTCTCATTTAGTTAGTTAGAAAGACCAGATCAAAATTCAGGTCTTCCGTCCCTCCTCCAGGAGTCTTTGGCCATGTTGTTGAGTTTGTTTCCATGACCTGGACATACTTTGGCAATGACGTAGTCATTCATGGGGTATTTTAACCTTTGAGAACAATAGTCCTGGTCAATGCCTCTGTTAGGATTCAATATGAAGGAAATTGAGTGACCATGAGTAACTAGTTTCACAAACAAAGTGAATGAAGGATTGATTGTATGATCTGAAGCAACTGTTGGAACAAACAGCAACATTAGAAAATACTCAGGAAATTTTTTTTCTCTTCAATGACTTTAAGGCTTCATTCATGAAAGCGATAATGGATGTCGAAATCTGTAATTTTCCACAGTACACAAACTCTGCCTTTTACTTTTCTTTTTTTCACAAGTAAATGATTTCTGTAATCTGTTTAATTTATGTCGTAGGTTACTACTTAAAACGTTTTCTAAGAGTGATGATATATCACTTAGGAGATAAATTTGGGCCCAGTTCTTGCCTAGGACTTCATAGCTGCTACACATTCAAAGGGGAATTAACTACTAATTAAAATATTCATCAATTTTCTGTGTCTCAGGAAAATTCATGGCATCAGTTGGTGGTGGGGGATAAAGTGGAGAAGAGTCTTACTCTTAAATAATTATCTGTGACATGGAAATCCAAAATTTTAAGTGGATTAACATCTTGAAAATGTATTAGTAAATGGAAAATATTCAAAAGAGTAAGAATAGAAGATGAAAGAAGTTGTTTGAAAGAAGTTGTTTCATGTCTGAAAGTATCTGTGAAATACATAAAAAAAAGAGAAAAGAACAGCAAAATGGGTCACAAGAAAGATGAATGCTTTAAAATTTAACTTAGATTGTTTCATAAATATTGAGTAAGTGCAATTTCAGATTTTTCTCCATTGTGCTTGAGGAGTAAGTGTCGGCACCCGCGGCCCATCTGAAATGGCTGCTGCAAAGACACTGTCTGCAGCTGGGGAGGTGGGGCCAGGGCTACGCAGGGCTACACGCTCCGTGGAGCCAGCGGGAGCCAGGAACAGGCAGAAGCCCCACCCCTTCCTAGTTGGAGCGGCGGGAGCCCCTCCCTCCCCGGCGCGGCTGCTGCCACTCAGCTGTGGCTGCGAACCTGGTATTCCTGTGCTCTTGGGGGCCTGGGAAGGCCCCCTGCCCCTGCAAGCTTGGAAATGCCTGCTTCCCCTGCCTGGCTTCTCCCCTTTCTGATTTCAGAGCAAAGTTGAGGCTGAGTGCTGGTGCTGTCATGACTTGGCCGGGTGTGCGCATGCTAGGGGCAGCACTGACATGCCAGTCTCTTGCTTCCTCGGCCCCTTCTGGACTTTGGGTGCAAATGAGCACAAGAGGGAGGCCAGGGGGGACTGAGGGTGGCTTG
Source organism: Homo sapiens (assembly GCF_000001405.40). Classification (NCBI taxonomy): domain Eukaryota; kingdom Metazoa; phylum Chordata; class Mammalia; order Primates; family Hominidae; genus Homo; species Homo sapiens. The sequence continues at coordinate 20,560,419 of NC_000007.14, read as the reverse complement.
GTGTGGACCTGCAGGCACCTTGTCACAAACAGCCTGGGTGCTGGTGGCCATAGGTTGAGGGTGGGAGGCAGACAGGCTCCTGGGCAGAAAGGGTCAGGTGCCTGGTGAAGCCCCACCTTCGGGCCTGGGATGGCCCGAAGTCTCAGGGCTGGGCTGCCAGTTCTGCCCACCGAAGTGAGAACTTAAGGTGCTTTTTCCAAGCCTGCCCATGACTACTCATAAACCAATCAGCACACCCTTCCTTCCACCTGAAACCCATAGAATCACCCAGATTCAGCCAGACTTGAGTAGAGCAGATGTCCAGGATGACCTGCCTGTAGAGAGGAGCTACCCGTTGTGGGTCTCCTCTCAGCTGAGGGCTGAGCAAGACATCAGGACAGACTGCCTGTAGAGTGGAGCTACACACTGTGGGTCTCCTCTCAGCTGAGGCCTGAGCAGATTTTGGGACTACCTGCCTGCGGATAAGAGCTACCCGCTTTAGGTCTCCTGAGAGCTGTACTGTCGCTCAATAAACCACCTCCTCACCTTATTCACCCTCCAGTTGTCTGCATACCTCATTCTTCCTGGGCATGGGAGAAGAAGTTGGGATCCGTGGGATGGTGGGACTAAAAGAGCTGTAACACAAACAGGGCTGAAACAGGCCCCTTGCCCACCGCCTTGCAGTGACAAGAAGGAGAGAAGAGAGAAGGAGAGGAGCTGTGGCCCTTCAGGGAGCTCAGATCTAGGAGCTCCCCGAGCCAGGGCTGTGACACCCTCTTTGGGACTCTGCGGTTCCTATAGTCTCCAAGCTTCTGGGCGCCACCACGTTCCCCATTGCCAGCAGCGGGAGCTGCTTGCAGTATGCTTGGTCCAGCCGCAGCTTCACAGGGAGCCGACACCTGTGTTGGCGCCTACAGCTGCGTGTCCCTCGGCAGCCAGTGTGCCTGGCTGTGCACAGTGGCCGGACCCCACGTTTGCTCACCCACACACCCCTCGCCACTCTGCATGTGGCTCACCTTTAGCAGGCATGGGATCCGGGCTGGTAGCATGAGGTGAGCGCAGGCTGCCGGGCAGAGTGGGCAGAATGAGCCCAGCAGGCTCAAGCAAAACTCGGGCAAGGACACCACCGGTTACAGAGCTTTTCCCGCTGGAAAAGAAACACCCTAAGAATCCTGTGACATAAGCATCCGATTACTTTTCTTCTTTATTTATAACTGAAAGAGGCAAGTGCAGTGTTTACAGTTTTATGAGTAGTTGCCGTAGGCATCAGTGATTGAAATTGCAAAAGCACAAATATAAAACTTTCCAGGTGTTGCAAATGAAGACCATATGTGAGATAAAGCTGTAATATGATTAGAATACAGGTTAAAGGATGACACTGATTTTTAAAGGCTGCAGTTACAGTGAAATTTTCTTTTAGGTAAATACAGTGATTTCTGACTTTATTTGCTTTTGTGCACCTCTTGTATATCGCACCTTGTATATTTATTTACAATAAGTAATATACTTGGAACTGTCTTACCAACTAGTTTCCAATTTTGTGAAAGTTACTCCAAGCTTTCCTTTTAGGAGTTTGTTCTAGTGTCCCAGATAAAGTTTCCCTGAACTTGATATTTTTCCCCCTCAAACTAAAAACAAAACAAAAACAACAAATGAGCCACTTTTAATTGATATATAATATACAAACAGAAAAGTTTATGCAAATCATTCACGTACACTGAGTGGATTTTCACAAATTGTACATGATACATAACTAGCAACTTAGAGCACCCCTTTATATTTCCTTCTAGATGCTCACAAACTTTTGTATACAAAAGCAAAATTAGCCCACTAGCCTCCTGTTGCATCATTTCAAAGTTTAGAATTTTTACCCTCTTTTAGGAATTGACTACATTTTAAATTAGACTGTATATTATAGCAGAATGAATTTCTCTGCTTATTCTATAAATAGTTGCAATTACACTGACATTCTTCTCAGAGCTAGGTGCATCCACTAGTGCGCAGAATGTTTTTATCAGCTTGAAAACTCTGCCCTTGAACGTGAAGCCTATCTAAGTTTATTTGGTCAGATTAGCTGTTATATATTAAGATTGCATAAAGATTAACCAAGATTAAGTATTTCTTTTGTAGAAACACATAGGTATAAAAGTATATACATTTAGAAGTAAAATCTGGCAACTTCTTTTCCCTCTTTTTCTCTTGAGTCTTTAAATATTTTTATGAAATATTAACTGTTACTCTATATAAGAAGAAAAGTAAGAGTCCAGTAATGGTGTTTCATATTTCATAGTATAAGCAGTTTTTTTTAACTAGGCTTTAGTTGTCTGTCATTAGCTGTTGTACAATAATCCTGCATCTGTATATATTACTATGTATTACTACACACATAACAATATATAATATTGTATGTATATATAATATATAAATAATAAACTTTGTTTATATTTAAAGCATTTTAAAAGAATTGCTAATGTTTTCTTACTGCGTCTTCTTAGAATACCTTAATATACCTTCCTCCAAAAGGTCATCTTTTAATCTCTTAATCTAAAGTACTTAGTTTCTTGGTTTTATTGTTCTCCCTCAGAGCAAGTATCCAGTTCTTTTCCCATATAGTACTTACCATAATGTGTGAGAAAAAAATCTGAACTTACTACTTAATATCAGGCTTCCTCAGTAGACTCAAGCTTGTAGGTTAGAGACCTGATCGTGTTTGTTTTGCCCATGGGTATATTTGTAGTGCTGAAACTATATTAATCATGTGGTACAGATTCAATGATATTTGTTGCATGAATGAATGCTTGAACAATATGATTATGTTTTCTTTTTAAAGGGAACACTGCAACTGTTGAGCCTAGGTAAAATTATGCAAGCTTAATTTTCTGACTTCCCAAGCCTGTTTGCTCCCTGTTCTTTCCCCCTGCTCTGCTCATTTCAGTGTCCTCTTCAAGTCTTTTCTTTGCATGATCAGAGCCATCTGCCTTCTAAGCAGAGCTCAGTTACACTGGATCCCTCACTAACCCTGAGTCTGAACCTTAGGATCCTCTTACTTCCTTCCCTCTGGCTCTGTCTTTAGGCCACATTTAGAGAACCAAGCTTCAGACTTTTCTGCAGACTGGAGCTTCCTATCTGTCATGTGGAGGTAGAGGGTTACAGATGTGGTGCGTGGTCAGAGCCTTTGCTATGAGTAGCTTCATCCATTTCTTCTCAGGATAAAAATACCATGATTTTCTTTTTGTAGCAAGATGTAAGAAAGTTGAGATGCACTGTCATAGGTCTGTTCTCTGTCAGAATAAGCTTGCAAAAATAGCCTGGGACTCAGAGGCTACAGCCTACTCTTAAGCCCTGGCTAGGTGGCTGGAGTGCTATCCTCTGCAGATAGTCCTCTCTGGTGTTAGCTGTTAGCCTTTTCACATAAAAGTTGACCATTGCCATCGGTGGATTTCCTAGCAATGTTCAGCTTGTCTTATGGGATGCCCCATGGATTGCGATCGGATTCCTGCATGTGAACTGCTTACAAAGCATGGTTGCCATACTTCCTTGGCTGCCATATTAGTCATTCCCTTTGAATTCACAGTTCGGTTTCACCTTCCCTAGGTATTTCCAGCCCCAAATTGTGGTCCTCTTAAGTATACCTTTTGGGCAGCAGGGCAGTAATGGGTGATGCTCTGAGATGTGACATTCATGTTACTCACGTATTGTGTTCTTCACCTCTGCACCTCATTCATCATAATAGGAAAGCATTCCAAACTCATTTATGCTCAAATAGAATTGATTGAATTAGTTTCAAATATTACTATTTCCAGTGGTGCCTGAAGTTTGGCGTGGGTCAAAGCCTTATATCATGAAGGCTTCCATAAAGAGGAACTTTAACTGTGAAAATACAAGCCTCTGCTTGGAAATAGGGAGCTGTTTTTCTGGACATTTGGCTTTCCTGTTACTTCTAAGATGCTCTCTGAGGTGCACTGCCTCCACAGCCCGTGTGGTTATGACATTTGATCTATTATTTTCAGTGCTTTGAGACACTGAAAGGGCCTGTGGCTCCGGATCCCTTTAAGAGAAGAGTTGTATTGGCCTGGTATTACCAATTTGCATATAAAAACAAATCCTCCAGAAGATAGCAATAAAGATTAAGCAAGCATGTGTGACCCAGCAGAAGCAACACGCAAGGCAGGGAATCAGGTTTTGCAGACTCAGGCATGACATCTTGCCACATTCAACTAATTATAGAATAGTTATTTAAAGAAAATACCGTATGTAAATTATTTATTAACAACATTATTACCAAATTAAAATTTTAAGAAATTGCTTTTATTTATTTATTTTTATTTTTTATTATACTTTAAGTTTTAGGGTACGTGTGCACAATGTGCAGGTTTATTACATATGTATACATGTGCCATGTTGGTGTGCTGCACCCATTAATTCGTCATTTAACATTAGGTAGATCTCCTAATGCTATCCCTCCCCCCTCCCCCTACCCCACAACAGGCCCCGTGTGTGATGTTCCCCTTCCTGTGTCCATGTGTTCTCGTTGTTCAATTCCCACCTATGAGTGAGAACATGCAGTGTTTGGTTTTCTGTCCTTGTGATAGTTTGCCCAGAATGATGGTTTCCACCTTCATCCATATCCCTACAAAGGACATGAACTCATCATTTTTTATGGCTGCATAGTATTCCATGCTGTGTATGTGCCACATTTTCTTAATCCAGTCTATCATTGATGGACATTTGGGTTGGTTCCAAGTCTTTGCTATTGTGAATAGTGCTGCAATAAACATACGTGTACATGTGTGTTTATAGCAGCATGATTTATAATTCTTTGGGTATATATGCAGTAATGGGATGACTGGGTCAAATGGTATTTCTAGTTCTAGATCCCTGAGGAATTGCCACACTGACTTCCACAATGGTTGAACTAGTTTACAGTCCCACCAACAGTGTAAAAGTGTTCCTATTTCTCCACATCCTCTCCAGCACCTGTTGTTTCCTGACTTTTTAATGATTGCCATTCTAACTGGTGTGAGATGGTATCTCATTGTGGTTTTGATTTGCATTTCTCTGATGGCCAGTGATAATGAGCATTTTTTCATGTGTCTTTTGGCTGGATAAATGTCTTCTTTTGAGAAGTGTCTGTTTATATCCTTCGCCCAATTTTTGATGGGGTTGTTTTTTCTTGTAAATTTGTTTGAGTTCTTTGTAGATTCTGGATATTAGCCCTTTGTTAGATGGGTAGATTGTAAAAATTTTCTCTCATTCTGTAGGTTGCCTGTTCACTCTGATGGTAGTTTCTTTTGCTGTGCAGAAGCTCTTTAGTTTAATTAGATCCAATTTGTCAATTTTGGCTTTTGTTGCCATTGCTTTTGGTGTTTTAGACATGAAGTCCTTGCCCATGCCTATGTCCTGAATGGTATTGCCTAGGTTTTCTTCTAGGGTTTTTATGGTTTTAGGTCTAACATTTAAATCTTTAATCCATCTTGAATTAATTTTAGTATAAGGTGTAAGGAAGGGATCCAGTTTTGGCTTTCTACATATGGCTAGCCAGTTTAAGAAATTGCTTTTAATACAATAATTGGATATGTCTGTTTTTATCTTCCTTAAGGTAATTGTGGGATGCACCTCCTCTATTTTTTTTTTTTTTTTTTTTTTTTTTTTTTTTTTTGCCTGTGCCAGGTTTTATGGAAGGAAGACTAATCAGCTTTTGTGGAAAAAAAAACAAAAACAAAAACCCACATGCTATTTCTTGCTGCTGAGAGTTGGGTCAGAGAGACTTATGGAAGCTGATAAAGTAAGCAGCTTCAGGAGAGGCATAAATGTACACTACGTAGAATAAAAACAAAATATTTTGTTACAAGAGAATTTAATAACGTTACTTCACATACTGTTCAAAGCTTTTCAAAGAAATATGGCAGATGCTGTTGGTTATTTTTTTCCAACACCCATTCCCACCATCCCTTCCCTTGGGCACATTCACTATAGAAGCTGTGAAAGTGCAATAAATGCTAATTTTTCTAGCTTCTCTTAAAGCTAAGTATCTGATGTAGTTCCAGGTAATGAGATCTAGGGGGAAGACTAGCTAGAGAACACTGAAGTGATGATTGGAAATAAGGCAGCCATCTTGTGACCACGAGTTTACAGACACGAGAAAAAGGCCAAGAGCCTAACAGAGATGTGACCTTGATAGTGCTGAGTCACTGAGCCTGTGTGTGCCACCACCTACCTTCAGGCTCCTTGCTATGTAAGTTCAAAATGTTGTCAGTTAGGAATTTGGTACTTGCAGCCAAAAGCATGGTCGAGTACTATTATGTAGAGCAAAAGTAATACATTATCTTGAATTTCATCCTCACAACAGTGTGAGCTAAGTATTATGTATGAATGACGTAAAAGAGACTGGGAAAGGTTAAGATCTCTCTTTTGATATCTTTCCCATATTAGAGTTGGAATTCAAAAGCAAGTTGTCAGATTCTGGTACATAACGCTGATGAATACTTTGATGGAATTAATACAAACTTAAGCTGTTTTGGAGTCCAAAAGCAGTAGAACATCTTTCACTGTATTTTCCCTCCCTAAATGGTGACCTAGAAAAGTTGTCAACATTTATGATATTATACTTTTGGAAACAAAATATAAAGATCTTCAATCTGTAGAAAAATACACAGTAGAAGCATAATAATCTAGATTAGAAATTATTTTTTTTTATGAGTCAGAAAACAAATAGTTGACATGAGTTTACTCAAAATGGCAGGTACTTTTGGTGAAAAGAACTGGTCAGTGCAGCTTAAGCAGTTCGGGAAGCAGGGAACTCACCTTGTTTTATTTATATTGTTTGCTTGTAAGCTACTCTAGTTTGTAGTGAAGTCAGCTCCTACTCCTTATGCTTTTTTTTTTTTTTTTTTTTTGAGACGGATTCTCACTCTGTCACCAGGCTGGAGTGCAGTGGCATGATCTTGGCTCACCACAACCTCTGCCTCCCAGGTTCAAACGATTCTCCTGCCTCAGCCCCCAGAGTAGCTGGGACTACAGGCACGTGCCACCACGCCCAGCTAATTTTTCTATTTTTAGTAGAGATGGGGTTTCACCACGTTGCCCAGGATGGTCTCGATCTCTTGACCTCGTGATCCACCCACCTCGGCCTCCCAAAGTGTTGGGATGACAGGTCTGTGCCACCGTGCCTGGCCTGTGATACAACCAGAGAATGTAGCACTTATGGTTCATTCTTCTCAGTAAGTGCCCTCAATTCTGCTCCATGCAAATAGACATCAAATTAATGTTAAAGGTAGCTGTTCCCTTCATAAGAGATGCAGTAAAGCTTTTAAACAACAGAAAATAAAGGATGTCTCTGACTTTTATTGGATCTGTAATGGTTTTCTATTGTGTGTAAAAACTAGAAGTGTCCAGTAGCTGTTGGCATGTTTTCAAAGACTCTAACCCAAAGAGATTTAGATTTTTTTTCTAATTGACCATTCTTTTTATAACTTTGACTTGGGGATCAAATATCACAATTAAAGATGTGAGTGGTTGGATGAGTTGGGCAGGAAGGGTGTAGATTGGGCTGTTGTGAGGTGGTATGGCTTTGGGATGCTTTATCCAATACAGTATGTTTTATTTTGACACGAAAGAGAATTGCTGGTAACAGCATCAGCAGATAATACAATTTAAGAAAGATTTTTAAAAAAATTAAAACTTGGCCTAATTATGCTAAAAGATAAAGCTAAGAATGAGCCAAGGATTAAGATTTATGTACTGTATTACATTTCTTCTCTTTCCCACATTATTTATGGGAATATAATGCAGAAATGAGGTATCACCATTTGGTTTGGTTTTGACATTTTGCTGTTTTACTTTATTTAAAATTTCTTATCTACAGGATGAACATTATATTTCATTATTTGCCAAGCCCAATTAAATTGCTATCTTTATCTGTAACTTAGCTAAAGGTACTTTTCTTAACAACAAAATGAGTTTAATAAAAATATATATAATGTAATAACACAAAATGAATAGAAAACTTCTTTATATAGCCACACAGGTGTAGTAAATGGTTATAAATGTTGTTTGCATAATTCCCAACTATTAGTTTTTTTAAAAAAGTGATATTTAAATGCAAGAAAAAATCTATTTAAGTCAGAAATATATAAGAACAAATTTCTTATTAAATTTTTAAAAACTGATAAATTACACACACAATTTTTTTAGGGGAGGGCCTAGATACCTCTTTAAAAATTACCTTTTAAATTTTGAATTAGTAGAAAAGCTTTTAAATATGTATGCAATTTTAAAGTGCAATAGCAATTGCAATGGAAAATTCCTTAGATATAAATACTTACTGGGCATATATGCTTTATAAAGTTGTATAGCTTACATGTAGTATAATATAGTTGCGAGGTAATCAGTAGATATACTCTTTTTTAGTAACACAAGAGATTTCATTTTATATATGAATAAGTTTTTTAGTGACTGAAATTCTGAAAGTTTAAATAGAAATAAAAATTTTATCCAAGCAAATAAATAAGAAACTGAGATTTTCAATATTTGGCACTTATAGAGCTATGTTCATCTCAGTAGCATTGTAATTAGGTCACACTTTAGAGTCATGTTTGTTTGACTAGAATGTTCTAACTTGATTAAAAGAATTAATTAAACATTGTATTTATGCATTTACAAAGTCAAATATTGTCAATTTTTTCTGAAAGCTGGTAGAATTTCCTGTTCCACAAGTCTTCTGTTCAAGGAAGTGGCTATTTTCACTGGCATCCGTGTGAAGAGACCACCAAACAGGCTTTGTGTGAGCAACAAGGCTGTTTATTTCACCTGGGTGCAGGCGGGCTGAGTCCGAAAAGAGAGTCAGCGAAGGGAGATAGGGGTAGGGCCGTTTTATCAGATTTGGGTAGGTAAAGGAAAATTATAGTCAAAGGGGGGTTGTTCTCTGGTGGGCATGAGTGGGGGTCACAAGGTGCTCAGTAGGGGAGCTTTTGAGCCAGGAAGAGCCAGGAGAAGGAATTTCTCAAGATAATGTCATCAGTTAAGGCAGGAACAGGCCATTTTCATTTCTTTTGTGGTGGAATGTCATCAGTTAAGGCAGGAACCGGCCATCTGGATGTGTATGTGCAGGTCACAGGGGATATGATGGCTTAGCTTGGGCTCAGAGGCCTGACATTCCTGTCTTCTTATACTCATAAGAAAAATAAAATGAAATAGTGGTAAAGTGTTGGGACGGCGAAAATTTTTGGGGTGGTATGGAGAGATAATGGGCGATGTTTCTCAGGGCTGCTTCCAGCGGGATTGGGGCGGTGTGGGAACCTAGAGTGGGAGAGATTAAATTGAAGGAAGATTTTGTGGCAAGGGGTGATATTGTGGGACTGTTAGAAGAAACATTTGTCATTTAGAATTATTGGTGATGGCCTGGATATGGTTTTGTATGAATTGAAAAACTAAACGGAATAACAGGAGGAGAAAAACAGGTATTAAAGGTCTAAGAATTGGGAGGACCTAGGACATTTAATTAGAGAGTGCCTAAGGAGATTCAGCATAGTCCTGCCAGCAAAGATTATTTACTTTAAGAGTTAAGAGTGGCAGTTTGGGGATAGCACCAGGAGGTATCAGCTGTGATGACTTGGAGAAATGGTGTAAACTGGCAGTGTAAACAAGAGCAGGGCATGTATGAGTAGTTGAGAACGGTGAATAGGAGTATGACTAGACAGAAGATAGTAGGGATGACAAGTTTTTTGGGGCACAGTCCAAGTTGGTCTGGTGTCTGGAATGAGAATGGGGCCTAATAAAAAGGAGCATCTATACAGGAGCTCAAATGGGCTGTACCCTGTAGCATTCTGAGGACAGGCCTGAATTCTGAGAGGGGAAAGTGGTAAAAGTATTGTCCATTCCTTTTTAAGTTGGTGGCTGAGCTTGGTGAGGTGTGTTTTTAAAAGACCTTTAGTCTGTTCTACTTTTCCTGAACACTGAGGACTGTAAGGGATATAAAGGTTTCACTGAATACCAAGAGCCTGAAAAACTGCTGGGCTGATTTGACTAATAAAGGCCAGTCCACCATCGGACTGCGTAGAGGTGGGAAGGCTAAACTGAGTAATTATGTCTGACAGAAGGGAAGAAATGACTGCGGTGGCCTTCTCAGACCCTGTAGGAAAGGCCTCTACCTATCTAGTGAAAATGTCTACCTAGACTAAGAGGTATTTTAGTTTTCTGACTCGGGGCATGTGAGTAAAGTCAATTTGCCAGTCCTGGGAAGGGGCAAATCTCTGAGCTTGATGTGTAGGAAAGGGAGGAGGCTGGAACAATCCCTGAGGGGTAGTAGAATAGCAAATGGAACACTGAGAAGTGATTTCCTTGAGGATAGATTTCTAGGATGGAAAGGAAATGAGAGGTTCTAAGAGACAGGTTAGCGGCTCGTAACTTACATGGAAGAGGTTATGAAATGACGACAGAATAGAATGGGCCTGTGAGGCTGGAAGGAGATATTTTCCTTGGTTTAAGAACTATTTGCTTTGTGTGGGAAGAGATTGATAGGTGGAAGTTTCAGCGGGGGAGTAGGTGGGAGTGACCGATGGGAAGGAGAAAAACTGGCCGTGAGGGACAGAAGTTGGAGAACTAGCTGCTTGTCTAGCCGCCTTATCAGCATAAGCGTTGCTTAGAGCAATGGGATCTGACGCCTTTTGATGGCCTTTGCAGTGAATGACTCCAGCTTCCTTTGGAAGTAAAGCAGCCTTGAGCAGAGTTTTTATTTAAGAGGCATTAATGATGGAGGACCCTTGTGTAGTGAGGAAATCTCTTTCAGCCTGTATAACAGCATGGTGGTGCAGAATATGAAAGGCATATTTAGAGTCAGTATAAATATTGACATGTAGTCCTTTTGCAAGAGTGAGGGCTTGAGTTAAGGCAGCTAGTTTGGCTTGCTGAGAGGTAGTGGAGGGGGGCAGAGCGGTAGCCTCAGTGATAGATGTGGAAGATACTATAGCATAGCCTGCCTTTGCTGGTGAGTGGCGATTAGGCCTGGTGGAACTGCCGTCAATAAACTAAATGTGATCAGGGTGAGGAACAGGAAATAAGGAAATATGGGGAAATGGGGTGAATGTCAGCTGGATCAGAGAGATACAGTCATGAGGATGAGGTGTGGTATCCAGAATAATGTGGGAGGCCGGATTGAAGTCCAGGCCAAGAACAATGGTAATTGTGGGACTCAACAAAGAGTGAGTACAGCTGAAGGAGCCGGGGAGCAGAAAGTATATGTGTCAGGTGTGAGGAAGAAAATAGATTTTGGAAGTTATGAGAACTGTAGAGAGTGAGTTGAGCATAGTTTGTGATTTTAAGCGCCTTTTCAAGTATTAGGGTGGTGGCGGCCACCGCATGCAGACTTGAGGGCTAGGCTAAAACAGTAAGGTCAAGTTGTTTGGACAGAAAGGCTACAGGGTGTTGTCCTGGCTCTTGTGTAAGAATTCTGACTGCACTAACCATGCTTAGGAAGGAAAGGAGTTGTTGTTTTGTAAGGGATTGAGGTTTGGGAGATTAGTCGGACACAATCAGCAGGGAGAGCACGTGTGTTTTTATGAGAATTATGCCGAGATAGGTAACAGATGAGGATGAAATTTGGGCTTGACTGAAGTAATGGGGGCTGTTTGTGAAGCCTTGTGGCAGTACAGCCTAGGTAATTTGCTGAGCCTAATGGGTGTCAGGGTCAGTCCAAGTGAAAGCGAAGAGAGGCTGGGTATGAAGGGTGCAAAGGAATAGTAAAGAAAGCATGTGTGAGATCCAGAACAGGATAATGGGTTGTAGAGGGAGGTACTGAGGATAGGAGAGTATATGGGTTTGGCACCATGGGGTGGAAAGGCAAAACAATTTGGTTGATAAGGCGCAGATCCTGAACTAACTTGTAAGGATTGTCTGGTTTTAGGACAGGTAAAATGGGGGAATTGTAAGGAGAGTTTATAGGCTTTAAAAGGCCATGCTGTAGCAGGTGAGTGATAACAGGCTTTGATCTTTTTAAAGCGTGCTGCGGGATGGGACACTGGCGTTGAATGGGGTAAGGGTGATTAGGTTTTAATGAGATGGTAAGGGGTGGATGATCAGTCGCCAAGGAGGGAGTAGAGGTATCCTATACTTGTGGGTCAAGGTGGAGGGATACAAGAGGAGGATGTGAAGGCGGCTTTGAACTGGGGGAAAAGGTGGCAATGAGGAGTGGCTGTAGCCCAGGAATAGTCAGGGAAGCAGATAATTTAGTTAAAGTGTCTCAGCCTAATAAGGGAACTGGGCAGGTGGGGATAATTAAAAGGAGTGCTTAAAAGAGTATTGTCTAAGTTGGCACCAGAGTTGGGGAGTTTTAAGAGGTTTAGAAGCCTGGCCGTCAATACCCACAGCAGTTATGGAGACAAGGGAAACAGGCCCTTGAAAAGAAGGTAATGTGGAGTGGGTAGCCTCCGTATTGACTAAGAAGGGGACGGACTTATCCTCCACTGTGAGAGTTACCCAGAGCGTCTGTGATGGTCCTGTAGGCTTCCGAGGCAATTGGGCGGTGTCAGTCTTCAGCTGCTAAGCCGAGAAGATCTGGGAAGGAGTCAGAGAGCTTTGGGCCAGAGTTCCAGGGGCTCTGGGAGTGGTTGCCAGGTGAGTTGAACAGTCTGATTTTCAGTGGGGTCCTGCACAGATGGGACGCAGCTTAGGAGGAATCCTCGGCTGCGGGCGTTCCTTGGCCTGGTGGCCAGATTTCTGGCACTTGTAGCAAGCTCCTGGGGGAGGCGGGCCTGGAGGAATGCCTGGCCACTGCGGTTTAGGCATTTGGAAGTTCTTGTGTGCTGGAGATGTGGCTGGGGTTTGTCTCACAGTGGAGGCAAGGAATTGCAAGTTTTTTCTATTATTGTACACCTTGAAGGCGAGGTTAATTAAGTCCTGTTGTGGGGTTTGAGGGCTGGAATTTAATTTTTGGAGTTTTATTTAAAGTCGGGAGTGGATTGGGTAATAAAATGTGTACTGAGAATAAGACAGCCTTTTGACCTTTTAGGGTCTAGGGCTGTAAAGTGTCTCAGGGTTGCAGCCAAATGAGCCATGAACTGGGCTGGGTTTTTCATATTCGATGAAAAAGAGCCTAAATGCTAACTGGGAGCATTTGGGAGAGGTCGGATAAAGAAAAAGGAGCATTAACCTTGACTATGCCTTTAGCTCCAGCCACCATTTTAAGAGGAAATTGCTGGGCAGGTTGGGGAGGGCTAGTCACGGAATGAAACTGTAAGCCCAACTGGGTGTGAGGAGGGGAAGTGATAAGAAGAGCAGGAGGACAGGGGATTGATCTTCCAAGGGAGGTCCCCTGATCCGAGTCATAGCACCGAATTTCACTCGCGTCTGTGTGAAGAGACCACCAAACAGGCTTTGTGTGAGCAACAAGGCTGTTTTTCACTTGGGTGCAGGCGGGCTGAGTCTGAAAAGAGAGTCAGCGAAGGGAGATAGGCGTGGGGCCGTTTTATAAGATTTGGGTAGGTAAAGGAAAATTACAGTCAAAGGGGGGTTGTTCTCTAGTGGGCAGGAGTGGGGGGTCACCAGGTGCTCAGTAGGGGAGCTTTTGAGCCAGGAGAAGGAATTTCTCAAGATAATGTCATCAGTTAAGGCAGGAACAGGCCATTTTCATCTCTTTTGTGGTGGAATGTCATCAGTTAAGGCAGGAACCGGCCATCTGGATGTGTATGTGCAGGTCACAGGGGATATGATGGCTTAGCTTGGGCTCAGAGGCCTGACAGCTATAATGTCTGCATTTTGTATAGTTGTCTGGGATCAGCCTTAACATGAGTACTTTGACCTCTTGGGACAAAGACAGTTGTCTTTTTCGTATGAAAAAGACATACTGGGAAGATGTCCCAAGAGGTCTGAACAATCTGAACTGCCATACAAGGAGTACGGTGGGTTTTCAAAAAGATTCCTCATAGCAGCATCCTTATTGACTGAATTGTTACTCCCACTCCTCCCTTGTTGGTGATCTCATTGTGGATTGTCAGGGCATGAAGGCTAGCTTTCAGGGTAAGCCCTAAGAAATCTTCAGGAGAAGGCAGTCTTCTTTTCCCCAAGTATTGTACTCAAAAAATTTTAAGAAAAAAAAACAAACCAAACCAAACCAATCTGCTCTTTGCTTGTTGTTCTTCGGCCTTTGTTATTCTACCGGCAGATCTTCATACTGTTAAACTTTGAAAAATGGCATTAGATTAGTTAAATTTTTGAGTTGGTGAAGTTAGAATTCTACAGACTCTAAATATATTTGAATTTGTTCAGAGAAGCCTCAAGAGAAAAAGGGCCTTTCCACTTTTCTATGATTTTCACATAGTAAAAGAATTAATTAAATATTAATTCTGTCTGTTGTTTGTGTATTCTCCTAGCTAACCCATTTCTAGTAGGTAGCTAAGATATTTACCTTAGTTCAGGATTTTTTTTTTTTCTATGTGGACAACAGAAGACATCCTATTATGTTTGGTCAATAAATTAGTAACATATCTATATTGGTACCTAGTGCATTCTGGAAAATAAAATGGTTATTTGCAATTTCCGACTGTCCACTGTTTTCTTAAAGAAAATGGAATGTCCAGATGATTTGTTAAAACTGCTGATTAAAAGTTGATGGGGCTGAATAATTGTTGAAATTTGAATATGAATTGTGGATTAGGTAATAGCATCAAAGTCAAATTTCCTAAAATTGTTCATTGTACTGGAGCCCTGTAAGAAAATATTCTTTTCTCAAGAGGCACAGACTGGCATATTAAAGGAGTAAAGAGATACAAAGTCTAAAACTTCTTCTCAAATGGCTCAGAAATTTTTTTATGTGTACATATACGTCCATGTAAGTAGAGAGTGAGAGAGAGATGAAACACACGTGGCAATGTTAACAACTGGTGAATCTGGGTGAAAGGTACAAAAGTATTTTGTATAATTCTTACATTTCTCTAGGTTTGAAATTATTTCAGAATAAAAAAGTGAAATGTGCCTTTGAATTAAGACTTAAACAAAAACAAGTGTGTATTTCCAGCCACCTGAGAGACATGCTCCTTTTCCTCTAATCCATGGCTTTTATTTTTGTATTTTAAAATAAGAAGAAAGCATATCTATGACATTTTAAAGCATCTAATAGCAAGAGGGGTAGAAACTTCCATAATGGCCATGGAGACTGCCCATAGAAGCTACAGGAAATGGATTCCCTCAGCATTTCCTTCCTGTCAGGAATGGAAACAGCAGCCCTTGGAGAACTACCTCTTCAGTTATGTGCTCGGGGGAAGATAGAGGTTTTATTTATTTCTAGCTTTTTCCTTCTGGTTAGAAATCAATTATGTGAATGTGCTAATCGAATTCCTTCACACTCATACAATTATAAAGAATAAATAAGTGGAAGGCCTTACACATGTTATACCCTTTTGAGTACTCAAAAATCTTGGCTTTTGCCCAATATAAAAGCCTGCATTTGATTTAAAGTGTTGCACCTAATGATATCAAACAGTTTCAGTCAGTTATGCATCAATTATTTGACTTCAAAGACTAGAGTAAAAGTGATTAACTATCCGGGTTTTTCTGAACATCTACTTTATGTAATGTTATGCTTTTTGGTAAAGATAATTCCTTACATACTTTGATAAATATATTTTATTTATATGCCTTTGCAATACTTTTCAAAAATTAGAGGAAAAGGTCCCCATTCGACTGTTGGTCAGAAAAAAGGACCATTGTGTCATTAGCTCCTATGAATTAAGCCCGGCAAGGTGGGGGGTAGTAAGCAGCATTAAATAAAAAGGAAAATTCAGGCTCAGAGGGCTGAAATAACTTCTTCAAAGGCAAATTCTATTTTAGTTTACAGTGTAATCGATGGCTTCAAGAATAGAATTCTTCACAAAGCTATGAGTTTTCTTAATTATAGTGAGTTCATACTTAGGCATATGTAGTCATCCTTGGTCATTCTTTCCATTTGTTTATACTAATTTGCAATTTGAAAAACACTTTTTATTTTCTTTTTGCACTTGAAAGCTTCAGAATTTAAGCTGCTTTGTAATTACCAATGGCAAAATATTTTCAAGTCAAATTGCTGGGACTTTGTTTGTTTGTTTGTTTCTTATTATTTTTCAAAATATTTCTTTTTTGTTTTTTTATTATTTTGCTGGGACTTTAATAATGTTGTGATATTTTGGCTTCTGTGATATCTTAACGGTTATGTTTTTAGCAATATAGTTCTGAGTGTTTTCCTATTTAAATGCTTTAAAAATTATTACTTTGAATACTGTTTCATTTCTAAACTCAAAATATGGTACAAGCCTATCACCAGTGCACTCATTTCATGTTGCAAAAATCCTTGAAAGACTTGCTTTGTATGCTAAGGGAAGAGCCCAGATTCCTCATATCTCTGAATGATGATCTTCGGGGTTCAATCTTGCCCAAATCTCCATAACTGTTTTCTCACCCCTTGGCACCCCAAAACTTTCTTTAAGTATTGAAACCTGGAGTTCCTATTCTATGTCCCCTATCCTCTGGGGAACTACCATTCTATTCTATGGAATTCTATTTCTCTTCCCTCTCTTTATTTATCCTTAAATTTAAATTGAATTTCCATCTTTACATCCATAAGCAAAACCCATTTACTCATATGGCATGTCATGCAGAATTAGGAATTCCATGAACAGATTACATAATGAAAAAAGATTAAGAGAGAAAATGTTCCATGGTGCCTCAGGCCAATCTTAATGAAGCCATAAATATTTTCCACTTTTAGCTGCTTTTTTCAACATCTTCCTGGCTAAAAATCTTCCTAGCATCACCATATTTGAGCAATGCTGTAGTCAAACTGAATACCCAACTGGGACCCTACGTAGTGTACACTTAACCTCTGAATGTAAGCTTTGAGTATTGCAGCACATCTGAAACATAGCTTGGGAGGGAAGAGGAAGATGAAAAGGGAGAGAATGGAGGCTTGGTGAGGTAGTGGGGACCCAAAGACAAATGCCTTCACATTCCATGGTATGGGGGTAAAAAAAAAAAAGTGTAAGTGCCAAAAGGAGAAACTTCCTAATTTCTATCGCAGTTATAGAGAAAGTCAATATTGTTGGATAGAACAAATGACATAACAACTGAACTAAACCTAACTATTAGATGATCAAAACCAGTTATTTTCAAAGTTGATGCATATATAAATCATTTGGGATTCTTATTACAATACAGGTTCTGATTTAATGGGTCTAGGATAGAGCCTGAGATGCTGCATTTTTAACAGGCTCCAAGGTGATGCTGCTGCTGCTGCTGGATTATAGTCTACACTTGGCATAGTGAGGCTTTAGAATACCCTCTTTTTTGTGTGTGTGTAAAATACATTTTATATGAAGGTCTTATATGAAAAATTAAAATATTTAATATAACTTCTAATATATACACTCTGACCCCTTGTGTGTAGATTAAAAACAAAAAAGCAACACGATGAAGAATCATCCAATTAAGCATGCATTTTTTAGGATTAAATTTAGATGACAAGAATCCAAAACAAAGCAATTAGATCTGAAATTCTGAGACTATTACCTTACATTTGTATCAAGGAAAACAGTCACAGCACATATTCTATTAATACATAATTTGGATTTCACAAGAAGAGGATCTGAATCATCTGTTCTCTTATGCTGTGCTGCCAAGGCTCATAAAAGCTCTCCAGCAGGCGAGCCTGTGTGTCCTGTCACACCATGGCCTTCCACCAACACAAGTGTTTGTCCTCTAGAAACTTTTAAGTTAAGCCCTGCAAAATTTGCACTTTTTGTCTTTCTAGGTTTGCAATGTTGATATTCCTGAGTCTGATGTTTCTTTCACATTTTATTTGGCAAAACTAAATGATAATATGTATTTGCATATATATTTACATAGTTCCATACACATATTTATTTACATTTATATACTACTTTAAGTTGTTTTCCATATACTCTCCTGTAATCTTCTCAATGATTTTGTGAGTTTAGCTATTTTCTCCATGTTACTAGTAAAAAAACCAAGGCTTGAGGATGTCAGAAAACATACCCAGGATTTAATAAGTGGCAAAATCAACACTCAAATCTAGGTCTTTGGGTGAAAATAATCTCAGTTTCTTTCCACCAGGTCTTACTTATTTTCATCACAAAGAACATATGTAGAGGTGATGTTATTGTGAAACCAAGAGGATAATTGCTAAGATAGCTTAAATAAAGACTGCAGAGAAAGAACAAAGAGACATCTTTCCAAATACTGTGACAAAGTCAAATCTAGAATCCAGTTGCATGGCTGAAAGGGATATGTTAGCTCTGATTAAATAACAAGTTTTGACATGTAGCAGATGACAGACAACAGGAAGAGGCCCAGAGCATGTAAGTGCGCAGACTTCCAGTCATTTTCAATAAATGACTGTGTCAGTGGAACATCAGTAACCCACGACTTCCTTTAAAGTTCACTCTCTTAAAAATAAAAAAATAGGGACAATTTTTAAAAATTTAATTATATTTTATTTTAAATTCTGGGATACACGTGCAGGATGTAGAGGTTTTTACATAGGTAAACGTGTGCCATGGTAGTTTGCTGCGCCTATCAACCCATCACCTAGGTATTAAGCCCCATACACATTAGCTATTTATTCTGATACTCTACTTCCCCCTGCCCCCTTGACAGGCCCCAATGTGTGTTGTTCCCCTTTCTGTGTCCTTGTGTTCTCATTGTTCAGCTCTGACTTATAAGTGAGAGCATATGGTGTTTGATTTTCTGTTACTGTGTATGTTTGCTGAGGATGATGGCTTCCAGCTCCATCCATGTCCCTGCAAAAGACATGATCTTATTCCTTTTTATGGCTGCGTAGTATTCCATGGTATGTATGTACCACATTTTCTTTATCCAGTCTATCATTGATGGGTATTTGGGTTGATTCTGTTTCTTTGCTATTGTGAGTAGTGCTGCAATGAACATATATGTGCATGTATCTTTATAACAGAATGATTTGTATTCCTTTGGGTATATACCCAGTAATGGGATTGCTGGGTCAAATTGTATTTCTGTTTCTAGGTTTTTGAGGAATTGCCACACTGTCCTCCACAATGGTTGAACTAATTTACATTCCTACCAACAGTGTAAAAGTGCTTCTGTTTTTCCACAGCCTCACTAGCATCTGTTGTTTCTTGACTTTTTAATAATTGCCATCCTAACTGGTGTGAGATGGTATCTCATTGTGGTTTTGATTTGCATTTCTCTAATGATCAATGATGTTGAGCTTTTTTTCATATGTTTGTTGGCCACATAAATGTCTTCTTTTGAGAAGTGTCTGTTCATGTCCTTTGCCCACTTTTTAATGGGGTTGTTTTTTTTTTTCTTGTACATTTGTTTAAGTTCCTTGTAGATTCTGGATATTAGACCTTTGTCAGATGGATAGTTTGCAAAAATTTTTTCCCATTCTGTAGGTTCTTTGTTCACTCTGATGATAGTGTTTTTTGCTGCGCAGAAGCTCTTTAGTTTAATTAGATCCCATTTGTCAATTTTTGCTTTTGTTCCCATTGCTTTTGATGTTTTCATCATGAAATCTTTGGCCGTGCCTATGTCCTGAATGATACTGCCTAGCTTTTCTTCTAGGGTTTTTATAGTTTTGGGTTTTACATTTAAGTCTTTAATCCATCTTGAGTTAGTTTTTGTATAAGGTGTAAGGAAAAGGTCCAGTTTCAATTTTCTGCATATGGCTAGCCAGTTTTCCCAGAACCATCTATTAAATAGGGAATCCTTTCCCCATTGCTTTTTTTTGGTCAGGTTTGTCGAAGATCAGATGGTTGTAGATGTGCGGTCTTATTTCTGAGGTGTCTATTATGTTCAATTGGTCTATGTGTCTGTTTTTGTACCAGTACCTTGCTGTTTTGGTTACTGTAGCCTTGTAGTATTGTTTGAAGTTGGGTAGTGTGATGGTTCCAGCTTTGTTCTTTTTGCTTAGGACTGTCTTGGCTATATGGGCTCTTTTTTGCTTCCACAGGAATTCTAAAGTTGTTTTTTTTAATTCTGTGAAGAATGTCAATGGTAGTTTAGTGGGAATGGCATTGAATCTATAAATTACTTTAAGCATATGGACAGTTTCATGATATTGATTCTTCCTATCCATGAGCATAGAATGTTTTTCTATTTGTTTGTGTCCTTTCTTATTTCTTTGAACAATGATTTGTAGTTCTTGAAGAGGTCTTTCACTTCCCTTGTTAGCTATATTCCTAGGTATTTTATTCTCTTTGTAGCAATTGTGAATGCGCAGTCATTCATGATTTGGCTCTCTGCTTGTCTGTTGTTGGTATATAGGAATGCTTGTGATTTTTGCACATTGATTTTGTATCCTGAGACTTTTCTGAAGTTGCTTATCAACTTAAGTTTTTGGGCTGAGATGATGGGGTTTTCTAGATACAGGATTATATCACCTGCAAACAGAGACAGTTTTACTTCCTCTCTTACTATTTGAATACCCTTTATTTCTTTCTCTTGCCTGATTGCCCTGGCCAGGACTTCCAATACTATGTTGAATAGGAATGGTGAGAGAGGACATTCTTGTCTTGTGCCTGTTTTCAAAGGGAATGCTTCCAGCTTTTGCCCATTCAGTATGATACTGATTGTGAGTTTGTCATAATTGGCTCTTATTATTTTGAGGTATGTTCCATCAATACCTAGTTTATTGGGAGTTTTTTATATGAAGGGATGATTAATTTTATTGGAGGCCTTTTCTGCATCTATTGAGATAACCATGTGGTTTTTGTCTTTAATTACGTGATGAATTATGTTTATTAATTATTTAAAAATTATTTAAAATAGCATTGTTGGCTGACTCAGGTAGCTGCTGCTATTTTTGATGGTTTTTCATATCTTGTTTAAAATTGAAACCCCTGTAGTGTGGTATGTGTTTGGGGGTGGGGTAGATTCACAGTTTAATACATATTTATGTTGTAATTCAGAAATACCATATATTCTCCAATTAGGTTCTCTTTCATTTCCTGGCTTGCTGAACTATTGGAGACTTGAGCATTGTTGAGCTTCACTTCCTCGTAAACACCTCTGCCACCTAGTGGACTACTTGAAATCACTTAGGTTGACTCTCTGGGTGTGTTTACGCACCAGTATGTAAAGGGTTCAAATGTTACAGGGAGCGAACTAGGAAGTATAACTGGAGATGACTGTGAAACCTGGATTTATGTGTCGCCTCATGCTAAGATGAATTGAGTGGTTAGCCTGTACTTAGGTAAAATGTATTTTGTCTCCTGAGGTCTCCACACTCACAGGGATAGGCTTCCGCACTCTTTTTTTTTTTAATTATTATTTTATTATTATTGTACTTTAAGTTTTAGGGTACATGTGCACAACGTGCAGGTTAGTTACATATGTATACATGTGCCATGCTGGTGTGCCGCACCCATTAACTCGTCATTTAGCGTTAGGTATATCTCCTAATGCTATCCCTCCCCCCTCCCCCCACCCCACAACAGTCCCCAGAGTGTGATGTTCCCCTTCCTGTGTCCATGTGTTCTCATTGTTCAATTCCCATCTATGAGTGAGAACATGCAGTGTTTGGTTTTTTGTCCTTGCGATAGTTTACTGAGAATGATGATTTCCAATTTCATCCATGTCCCTACAAAGGACATGAACTCATCATTTTTTATGGCTGCGTAGTATTCCATGGTATATATGTGCCACATTTTCTTCATTCAGTCTATCATTGTTGGACATTTGGGTTGGTTCCAAGTCTTTGCTATTGTGAATAGTGCCGCAATAAACATACGTGTGCATGTGTCTTTATAGCAGCATGATTTATAGTCCTTTGGGTATATACCCAGTAATGGGATGGCTGGGTCAAATGGTATTTCTAGTTCTAGATCCCTGAGGAATCGCCACACTGACTTCCACAATGGTTGAACTAGTTTACAGTCCCACCAACAGTGTAAAAGTGTTCCTATTTCTCCACATCCTCTCCAGCACCTGTTGTTTCCTGACTTTTTAATGATCGCCATTCTAACTGGTGTGAGATGGTATCTCATTGTGGTTTTGATTTGCATTTCTCTGATGACCAGTGATGATGAGCATTTTTTCATGTGTCTTTTGGCTGAATAAATGTCTTCTTTTGAGAAGTGTCTGTTCATATCCTTGGCCCACTTGTTGATGGGGTTGTTTGTTTTTTTCTTGTAAATTTGTTTGAGTTCTTTGTAGATTCTGGATATTAGCCCTTTGTCAGATGAGTAGGTTGTGAAAATGTTCTCCCATTTTGTAGGTTGCCTGTTCACTCTGATGGTAGTTTCTTTTGCTGTGCAGAAGCTCTTTAGTTTAATTAGATCCCGTTTGTCAATTTTGGCTTTTGTTGCCATTGCTTTTGGTGTTTTAGACATGAAGTCCTTGCCCATGCCTATGTCTTGAATGGTAATGCCTAGGTTTTCTTCTAGGGTTTTTATGGTTTTAGGTCTAACGTTCATGTCTTTAATCCATCTTGAATTAATTTTTGTATAAGGTGTAAGGAAGGGATCCAGTTTCAGCTTTCTATATATGGCTAGCCAGTTTTCCCAACACCATTTATTAAATAGGGAATCCTTTCCCCATTGCTTGTTTTTCTCAGGTTTGTCAAAGATCAGATAGTTGTAGATATGCGGCGTTATTTCTGAGGGCTCTCTTCTGTTCCATTGATCTATACCTCTGTTTTGGTACCAGTACCATGCTTTTTTGATTACTGTAGCCTTGTAGTATAGTTTGAAGTCAGGTAGCATGATGCCTCCAGCTTTGTTCTTTTGGCTTAGGATTGACTTGGCGATGCGGGCTCTTTTTTGGTTTCATATGAACTTTAAAGCAGTTTTTTCCAATTCTCTTTTTTTTTTTTTTTTTTTGAGACGGAGTCTCGCTCTGTCGCCCAGGCTGGAGTGCAGTGGCAGGATCTCGGCTCACTGCAAGGTCCGCCTCCCGGGTTCACGCCATTCTCCTGCCTCAGCCTCCCAAGTAGCTGGGACTACAGGCGCCCGCCACTACGCCCAGCTAATTTTTTGTATTTTTAGTAGAGACGGGGTTTCACCGTTTTAGCCAGGATGGTCTCGATCTCCTGACCTCGTGATCCGCCCGCCTCGGCCTCCCAAAGTGCTGGGATTACAGGCGTGAGCCACCGCGCCCGGCCAGTTTTTTCCAATTCTGTGAAGAAAGTCATTGGTAGCTTGATGGGGATGGCATTGAATCTATAAATTACCTTGGGCAGTATGGCCATTTTCACGATATTGATTCTTCCTACCCATGAGCATGGAATGTTCTTCCATTTATTTGTATCCTCTTTTATTTCATTGAGCAGTGGTTTGTAGTTCTCCTTGAAGAGGTCCTTCACGCACTCTAAGTAGCTGTTTTGGTTAGCGCTATTAAGATGAGCTGCAAGGTTCATCTCATAAGAGGTGCAAGGAAAGACCCTTAGGACCAGGATTAAGGTGCTGGAAGAATAGCTGGTCCTTGGGTATTGCCAATAGGAAATAATAAGACACTCTGGGAAGCCAGCTGGAAATCTGCTTGAAGAGCCAGCCTTCAGGCCAAATATTTATAGCAGGTGTGATGAATTAAAACAATGTCCTTACTATTACCACTTAATAAACAATAATTATTATTACTAGTTGAGCTTATCATCTGATTTGCATGTTCTATTTTATCTTTGTAACCATAGGGTAGGCTGCTCTACAAGTTGCTGCCTTTTCATAATCTGAGATTAATTATCTTAAAAGTGCTGGGAGTGAAATCCTCCCAGCATTAGAATGAATTAGTATACTGACTGTATTAGTGTAAGCTTTAATTTCGGGCATCTCATTTTCAGAAAAATCAAGGAAATTCACAGGTTAGCAAAAAAGAAATACAGCCTATAAAGAAAATTAAATTGAGATTATTTTAATCTGGAGGTAAAGACTGTAAATGCATTAAGTAATCATTTTCCCAGGATGAGTAAATTGGAAGAGTCTTTATAGTTCTATAAGACATTAGCTGAGGAATTCCTCAGTGGGGTATAACCCGATCTTCTCCTTACAATATGCACGACAAAAGCACCCTGAAGATAGGGTCAAACCTTCTGGTTTCAAGTTTAGAATTTAAATTTAGGTCATTGGTTTTCTGTAGAATTTAACATATTTATTTTAAAGTTACTTTCCTAATATAATTTCTGGAAAATTAGAACTCATCTACAACTCTCCTAAAATCTAACTTCTCCTAAGTCTCGTAAAGAGTCACTAAGCAGTTCTGAACATACTGCAGGGAATAACAGGTTTTAAAAATTGATACAGATTTATAAAACCATATAAAAACAAGATGTGTAAGTAATAATGTATATTTTTATGTGTGTGTGGCTTGATTTAATTAATAAAACATTGGGTTCATTAAGAATCATCAAATCAGAGTATTCCTCTACTGACCTTGAGAATATGGATTCTTAAGAGTTTCTTGATTTAAAGTTTTATTGCCTTTGGGACACAACACCTCACACAGTTCGGGGGTTCTTTTGAGAGAGAAAAAAACAACACAGAAAGAGAGAGAGAAGGGGGCCTTTTAACATGGAACACATTACTGGGCAAGAAACAGTTGTCTTTCATCTTTTGGATTTTGGCTCCAGACCTGTTGGTTACTGGGATGACCTGCACAGTGTTCTCTATGGTCCTCGATTCTGAATCTGCTGTGGTTGTGCAGTTCCTAGCTCACCTGGTGCCTGCTGTGCTCATTTCCTCCTCGGTCCATGACTTGGCTCTTCTGGTAACTTCTCCTGGTTGGACACACTTGAACACTCTGCCATAAATTTGGGCATGAAATGTCAATATCGAAGCAGGCTACTTACTTATGAAGAGACAGTAGCCACTGCTTAAACCCAGTTTTTCATATTTTATTATTATAGTGATTTCTTTCTTTTCACAATGATAAGTATTAATATATCCATTACTAGAAATTTTAGAAAATATATTTAACTTCAAAGCAAATAAACGACTGTAAGTCTATACCACATGAAAAAAAACTTCTGGCAAATAGAATTACAAACCATTTTTCCAGTGAATAAGCACCACTTTTTAAACAGAAATACGACCACATTTTATATCTTTTCACGTTAAGATATAATGCCCATTTCCCCATGCCATTGTATTTTCTTACAATGCCATTTCTTAATGTCTGCAGAATAATCGATTGTAAATATATCTCATTAATCAGTTCCTTACTTTGGACAAATTTAAATTTTTAGATATTAGATCTTTTGTGAGAAAGACCACTGTGTTTGACAAAATTTGATTGTAATCAAAATGAACAGAAAGTTTATTATATGGTTTCTTTTTAGAGTTAGCATGCAAGTCATGGTTTTGATTTTTACTGTTTTATGCTTTCTTTCTTGGTTTGGTTTTTGTTTATTTTTGGATTTTTGTTTGTTGGTGGTCCAAAAAATAAAAATTATTGAGGCAAGATATTTTTCTTTGCCAGAATCTGGTACAAAACTGATGGTATATGAAACAATAGAGCATGGAAAATATCATGTCACTCTTATGTGGAGAATGTTGGAGTTTTGATTTATTTGATCTTTTTCCTGTGAAAGTTTATTAAAATCTTCTCAAGCATATCTGAAATTGAAAACTAAAACAACCACCTCAGCATGTAGAGTGAATGTATAGACTTGTTCAACCCTCCCCAAAAGGCACCAGATAAAATCCAGCTTGTAAAACAAGGTAACAGTTAAAATTATTCCATAGCAAATATACTGAGCCAGCTTTCCATGCCAACTCATAAATATTTCCATCCACATGCACTTTCCAAAGGGTAGTCTCCCAGTTGCAATTAAATTCCAAGCCATTGCATATTTTTTGGCTT
The DNA here is from genome assembly GCF_000001405.40 of Homo sapiens. Lineage (NCBI taxonomy): Eukaryota > Metazoa > Chordata > Mammalia > Primates > Hominidae > Homo > Homo sapiens. The sequence goes on along the minus strand of NC_000007.14, from coordinate 20,534,625 downwards.
CAGTAATTTTGCCTATATACAATTAACATTCTGAAAATGGCATCCTTAAATTATTATAACTGTAATACATTTTTCTTACAGAAATGTACTTTCAAATCTTAGGTATTACAGTATAATAGGATAGATTCCAAATCTAAAGACCTCTTCATTAATGAAGTGGTAAGTACACAGTGTTCTTCCACAGATGAACCCATAAGCAAGAGCTGTAAACACGATGGTTATACTAAGAAAAACTAATAAATTCATCAAAATCAAATACTAGCATGATGAGTTCAACCTTGAAACAGTGAAGACTCAAGTGTTTGATTCTAAAGAAATGCAAACACTGACTTTCTAAGTTTCTTGTGGCAATTGACTTTGTATGATTCTATTCTTCAAGCAGCTAGACATCCCATGTAATTACATCCTTTGTAATTCTGCTTAATCTTTATTGTTATTTACTTTAAAATATTCATATCATAGTGTGGTAAAAATTATTATTTGTTGAGTGCCCACTATCTTTTAGCATTGGTTTTTGATGCTTACATAATCTATGAGGGAATTATTGCTATTCCTGTATTATGCACAAGAAAACGGAGAGTTAGAGATGTTGAATATCACCAGTGTCGCACAGTCTGGAAGCTGTGGAGCCAAAGTTCAGACTTTGGACTGGAGGAAATAAGTGCCACAAATTAGATTCCTGAGGGTAAACTATTGCCTGAAAGAAATATAACTACAACATAATTCGTTTTAGTAACAATTTTTAAGCCTAATTTTTGTTTCTATTTTTTTGGTTTACTAGAGAACTGTAAATTAAAGATGGCAAAATAAGTCCTAAATATAAACTAAACCTGCGCTGAGGCTACTGTTCTTATATTTTCTGGTAGTGCTGATGAAATCTAAATTTGGAAATAAGAGTCAGAACTATAAAATTACTGAAAGGTTAAAGATCCTTTCTGGTGATGCCAGTAGTCATTTCAAATAAGTATTTCATATTACTTCAATAATATTTTAATGACTATACCATTCTATCCTTTTGTAAAGTTTACTACCATTTGCTTTCTGTTAGAAAATCGCTTTAAATTAAGGGCCTGTGAAGATGGAAAGTCCATAGGCTGTAAGAAGTTAATAAATCAGAGAATATTCTTTTGCATTTCACCAAGGATCTAGATACATAAAGATTAAAGTATACATTCCCGACTTTTAAAGTTTTTTCTATCCTCTTCCATAGCACAGCTATTACCAGAGTAGAGAACATACTCTTTTAGCGTCTTCCAAGGCACTTATGTCTCCTGAAGGGTGTCCAGTAATAAAAGGTACTTTACTTCTACTTAAAGCCAGAGCAAAAACTGCTCAAGCCAAGATGAATTAAGCCACCTGCCAGCCATGTGCAAAGGAACCAGAGAGGCAGTAAGCCTCTGTGACAAAGCTCAGGTGAATTCCTGCTGCCTGGAACATGGCGCCTTATAAACTGTTGTGTTAAGTGTTAAATTTCTAACCTCACTGTATTTCTCCAAACAAATGGCATTATTGCCAAAAGAAGGCCCGGAATGCCAAAATAAAGTGGTGTGGTGGAAAATTCAACAAGTAACGAGTGTTAAGATGAATCATCAAGGAAATGAATAGCCTTGGCTTGATGCTTAGGAGTTTAGGAAGATTGGCAGCATTTTTGAGGCACAGCGTTTGGAGCAGGCAGCACATTGCCCTTTCTTAGAGGTAGTATTGCGGAATAGAAAGAACACTGGATTTGTTGTGCAAAGATCTGAGCTTTAAAAGGGAAGAGTGAAAGTCTTTCCCGTTTGATCTCATTAAATCCTCACAACACGGGCTAAGGGGTTAAAAGATTTGTTCTAAATCAGAGCTAGAAAGCAACAGAAATAAAACCTAACTATAGGTTCATCTGACCCTGGAGCTCATCTTCTGGCCACCCTTATTATTTAAACAAGATTATAATCATGTTCAATGCAATCACTTTTCTTGAGGGGTCATCTTAGTATCAACTGCTTCAGAATCATTTGGAAATCCCCATCTTGTTCCAGGCCTGGCAATCCAGCCAGTCCATAGATGTGCATTGTTACACACGTTAAAATTTGACAGCTGCTGCTCAAAAAGAGGTTATGGAAGACTCTGGCAAAGCACACATCGAAAACAATACTTTCACTATTTCATCTTTTAAAGTTATTCAAAATTAAGTTTAACACAGGTGGGCTCTGAGAATAAGAAGCTATTTGAAAATAAACCAACAACACAACTCCATAAAGGAGGCCTGACGAAATATTTGATCTTCACTGGAAAATAAAGCAGGCAGGCCAAAAGTAGGACAAATAATTTCTTGCTCCAGGTCAACACAATTCTTGTGTTTTATTCTGGAGCCTGAAAGACTGTCAAAAGCAATCATATTTTTCTCACTTTGGGGTATACACATACCTATTTGGATTTTGTTTTATAGCTGGCTGATAACAAGGAAAAGCAAATGAAATCATGGAATGGAGGAAATCTTCCAGGCTTTTGGGAACTACATACCTGGAACTGAATGTTTACTGGGTACATGGCCTTGGACTAATTAAACTTTTGTGGTCCCAGATTTTATATCTTTAAAATTAAATGATAGTGATAATAATAATAATCTTAAGAACTACTTTGTTTTCTTGCCATGAGTATATATATATAAGACATGTAAAGCATGTAACACATCCTGATACAAAGAAAATAATCATTGGTAACCTATATCATTCTTATTATAAGTGCCATTCATTAGAGAGAGAACATAGAATAGAAATGTGCTCATTGCATGTCTGATATTTAAGAGAACCTGTTTTGTAAGCCATTAAGTGAGGAGATATATCTCTCCTTGAGCATTGTTCAGAGGAAGCCAATACATTCTATAAATAATTCTATTCTTCACGTCTTGAAACATTCCTAAGGGTTTTGAAATAGTAACAATATTATTGAAATTTTTATTTGATTTTAGTTCAGAAATACTTCATCTTACTGATACCTGTATAGGACAAAAAGCTGACCATGCTCCATTGCCACAGTTTTAGCCTCTAGCTTTTAAGTTTTGTTCTAAATGTCAAAAGACAATTTAAACTCCAGAAATTTTAGTTTGGTAATGAACAAAGTTGTATCTATTAGATATATGATGTCATATTTTAACCTATTACCAATGTTTTAAAAATAATATTACTTGAAGTGTGTCTACAAAAAAGAGAGTATTTTAATTTGGTGGTATTCCTAACTACATGTACTTTAGGTAGTTCTGTACAACTTTTTCTGTATGTAACATATCATTTCTTACCAGGGAAAATCTATTTTAAGTTAGGTGAGTAAAATATCTACAGCATTTATAAAATTATCATATCAACTAGTGCCCCATGAAATAAAAACATGGGTATGTTTTTGCTTGTTGAAGTTTGATGTTGTTTGTAGGAGGCCTATTAAAATAGGTGTACTTAAACTTTGACTAATTTGGGCAGGGAAAGGAAGATCTTAGGAAAAAATCTCATCAAGCCTTATTTTTTCAGGCTCTTTATATCTGAATATCGTTTTGGGTGGAATAATTATTGCTGGGAGTATAATCACAAACATCAGGAACTCTCCAACGTGTTTCCCATGTCAATGGATACTGAGAATCATGTATTTACAGGAGGAGAGTTAAAAAGTCTGGCTTTGTAAGCTTTTTACCCATAGCGCCATTCATAGACAAGTATCCCAGCCATACCTAAATATTTGTGAGTATCCCAGCAATACCTAAATATTTGTCCATAGCTGAGTAATTATCAGCTAGAAATTTCTTCTTATCCAGTGCTTATACTGACTTATAACAGTCTTTGAGAAACTTCAAGACTTCAGTGTATGTACTTGTGTAATTTTTTATTATAGGTAGCTTTAATACATTTATCACATTTCAGATTTCTTAAAAATGGATAAAATATATTAAAGTTGTAAAAAATTTTCATTACAATTTCTTTTTTTACCTATGGGTTAGTTTCTAAATATATGAGATAAATTTGTTATTTCTTTTTGTTATTAATTTCTAACTTAATTGCATTGTAGTCATAGAATGGGGTTTTGTGTGACCTAACTTTTTGAAACTCTGGGGACTTGCTCTATGGCCTTAACATGATTGAGTTTGTAACTGTTCCATGTGTGCTTTAGAAGGACATGCACTCTGATTTTGGGGTCCATTCATTCAGTGATATTTATGTTGAAATTTTCTATAGTTAGCTGATTTTTTTAATCCACTTGATCTATCAATAATTGGAAGAGATATGTTAAAATCTTCCATTATGATGGTGTAATTGTCTAATTATTCCACTAGTTCCCTCAATTTGTTTGCCTATATTAATTGTCAATTAAAAATAGCTTTATTGAGAGGGGATTTACATACTATACAATTCACCCTATTAGAGTGTACAATTCAATGGTTTTGGAATATTCAAAGATAATGTGAAACCATCGCCACAGTCAATTTTAAAACATTTTTATCATCTCGAAAAAAAAAAAAAAACCCTCCATACCCTTTAGCTATTACTGCCTGTCTTCCAATACCCCACTTCTAATCCCAAACAACCGTAAATCTACTTTCTGTTTCTACTAGTTTCTATGTTCTGGATTTTCACATGAATGAAATCTTATAATATATAGACTTTTGTGACTGGCTTTTGTTCACTTAATATAATATTTTCAAGATTTATTTAAGTTGTACAATGTATCGATACTTCAATTCTTTATGGATAAATATATTCCATTATATGGATATACCACATTTTGTTTGTTCATTTGTCCATTGACGGGCATCTGGGTTCTTTCTACCTTTTAACTATTATAAATAATGCTGCTATAATTATTCATGTACAATTTTTGTGTAGATATATGTTTTTATTTTTGTTGGGAATATACCTAGAAATATAATTGCTAGGTCGTATGGTGACTTTCTATTTAACCACTTTAGAAACTGCTAGATTGTTTTTCAAAACAGTGGCACTATTTTACATTCCCACCATCAATATTTGAGGGTTCTTATTTATTCATATCCTTGCTGACATTTGTTATTATATTGTTACAGGATTCCTTCAGGGCCACTTTGCCAGCTGAAAATTGTGGCCACTGCTGCCTCTGCCCAGGCCTTGCTTGGGGACTGCTGGGCTCCCTCCACCTGCTTGGCCTGGCAGGCTGCATTTGGCTTGCAGCCAGCCCGAAGCTCCATCTCAGCCTGCAGCTGGACTGAGCATGCCACAAGTGGCTTCCATGTCAGACACTGGCGTCTAGACAAAGGGAACATGGTGGTGCCCAAAAACTCAGAGATGCCAGCAATCATGGAGACACAAAGGGTGTTACAGCTCTTGCTTGGGGAATCCCAAGGTCTGAGTCCCCAGGAAATGTCAGAGCTCTTCACTCCTATAGCTCAGCGAGCAGGAGTGTTACAGCTCTTTTTGCTCCCACTGTTTGGCAGGTTCTGGGTTCTTGTCCCGAGACCAAGAGGAATGAGGTGGGCAGACACCAGAGAGTGAGTAAGGCAGAGAAGAATTTTATTGAGCTACGGAAGGAGAGTGCTCAGCTGTGAGAGACGACTCGAGAGCAAGTGCATTATTCATGTACCTCAAGAGCAGGTCTCAACTCGAGAGCCATCTGTCATGCTGAGTCCAGGGCTTTTATGGGCTTACAATAGGGAAATGCATGCTGATTGGTCCATGGGTGGGCTTTGGAAAAAGCACCATTCAATTGGTTAACAGGCAACATCCAGAAGGAACTGATAGAGAGAGAGGGTAAGATGGGGATAGAAGTTCTCACTCCAGTCACAGACTCTATCCAGAACCAGCAGCTCAGTTTTCAGGCTTTAAACTGTCTTTGGCTTGAAGGTTGGGTTTTACCAGGGACCCATCCCTATCTGCCTAGGAATTTGCCTGTCTTCTGTCACTGTCAATATGACTTTTTGATTCTAGCCATCTTAGTGGGTGTGAAGTAGTATCTCACGGTAGTTTTGATTTGTATTTTTCTGATGACTAATGTTCTCAAGCATCTTTTCATGTACTTATTGGCCATTTGTATATCTTCCATGGAGACATGTCTATTCAAACTATTTGCCTATGTTTTACATTGGGTTATTTGTCGTCTTCTTACTGAGTTGTATAAGTTTTTATAGATTCTAGATGCAAGTTAGTCCCTTGTCTGATATATGATTTGCACATACATATGCACACATATAAGTGCATATATATTCTGTAGGTTTTAACTTTCTAGATGGTGTTCTTTGAAGCACAAAAGTTTTTTGTGGCTCTGAACAATTTTCTCTTTAAAAAAAAGGAAAGAAAAACAGGAAAAAAATAAAGAATTACTTTTATAAGGAGGTTGAAACACAAAAGTTTTGAATTTTGATGAAGTTTATTTTAAGACTTCATGATTTTGATGTCAAATCTAAGAATCCATTGTCACATCCAGGGTCGTAAAGTCTTACCCATTTGTTTTCTTCTTAAGCTACTATAGTAATAGCTTTCATATTTTGGTGTTTGATCCATTTTGAGTTAATTTTTGTGGATGTGTGAGGTAAGGATCCAATTTCATTCTTTTCATGGTAGCTATCTGGTTGCCCCAGTGCCCTTTGTTGAAAAGACTATTCTTTCCCCATTGGATAATCTTGGCAGCCTTGTCAAAAATCAGTTGGCCATAGATGTATGGGTTTATTTTAGTACTGGCAGTTATATTCCATTGATCTGTACATCTACCCTTGTGCCAATACCATGTTGTCTTAATTACTGTTGCTTTGTAGTTAATTTTTAAAATCAGGAAATGTGAGTCCTGCTTTGTTCTTCTCTTGCAAGTTTGTTTTGGCTATTCTAAGTACCCGTAAATTTCATATGAATTTTAGAATCAGTTTGTCATCTTGTACAAAGAAGTCAGCTAGAATTCTGATAAAAATTGTGTTGAATATGTAGTTCAGTTTGGGGAGTATTACCAATTCAACAGTGTTAAATCTTACAATTCATGAATTTGGGCCACGTTTTTCCATTTATTTCAATCTTCTTTAATTTCTTTCAACAATGTTTGTAGTCTTCAGAGTATGCTTCTTGAGTCAATTTTGGTATTTTGTATGTTTCTAGGAATTTGTTAATATCATCCAAGTTATCTAACTTATTACCTACAGTTGTTCAAAGTATTGCTTTTTAACTCTTTTATTTCTGTAAAGTCAGTGGTAATATCCCCATTTTTGTACTAATTCTAGTAATTTAAGTATTCTCTGTTTTCCTCTTGTTCTAGCTATCCAAACATTTGGCAGTTTTGTAGATCTTTTTGAAGAACCAGCTTTTAGTTTTATTGATTTTCTGTATTGTTTTTATATTCTCTATTTCATTAGTTTCTGCCATAATCTTTATTTATTTCCTTCCTTCTGCTTGCTTTATTTTTGCTCTTTTCCAGTGCCATAAGCAGGAAGGCTAGGTTATTGATTTGTAATATTTATTATTTCCTAATATAGGCATTTAGAAATATACATTTCCCTCTAAGCACTGCTTTCGCTGCATCTCAAAAGTTTTGTTGTGCTGTGTTTTCATTGTCTTTCATCTCAATGTATTTTGTAATTTTTCCTTTTGATTTCTTTTTTGGCCAATTGGTTATTTATGAGAGTGTTATTTGGTTTCCACGTTTTTGTAATTTCCCCGAATACTTTTCTGCTATTGAGTTCTAATTTCATTCCATTGTGGTCAGAGAACATATTTTGTGTTGTTTCCACCTTTTAGAACATATTGAGGTTTGTGGCTTCAATAAGTTCTAAAGGATATGGTCTATCCTGGAGAATGTTCTGTGTATACTTGAGAATAATGTATATTCTGTTGTTATGCTGAATGTTCTATAGATGCCTACATATAATGTATAGATGTCTACATATATAGATGTCTACATCTATATATGTTTACAGTTTTGTTCAAATTTTCTGTTTCTTTCTTTTTTTTGTCTAGCTGTTCTATCCAGCATTAATAGTGGAGTATTGAAGTACTCAATTATTATCGCTGAATTGCTGTTTACTTCCTTCATTGCTATTAGTTTTGCTTTGTGTATTTTGATGTTCTGTTATTAGTTGCATACAAACACACACACTCTAATGAGGACTGTGTATCATGAACCAACATATAACATGAATCCAATTCTATTTAAAAGATTTATTTTAAAAAAGTGTCAATGAAACACTTTTTCTTTAATTTTAAGATGTCATCAATTATAAGATTTATTAGTGAAAAGGAACATACAGTATTAAATGTTTATGTTGATTTTGTAAGTGGTAAAATTTATTAAAATGAGTTAAAATCATGGTAATATATTTAACAAATAGAATTAATTAGACCTTTAATTAACAAGATTACACATTCTTCAGCAGTAATAGATATTGGAGAATTTCCTTTGACTGAGTTGTGTTTGGTGGGGATGGGATTGGGACATCTTTATCAAGAAATGGTCCAAGCCCAGCTTGCCTCTCAACCCTCTTAAAATCTCTTGTAAACAATGGTGGCAGGTGGTTCATTTGCTTGTTAATCTTTGGGGTTAATTGGGGATAATGAAGCAATTTGGTCTCTGCCAGTCAGAAATTGTTAGCATCTACCTACTCCATTGTGATGAATCACTCTGGGTATATTCCAGCTTTGGCACCATCTATATTTTCAGACAAATGTGAATAAATATCTGAAGTCCAGATTCTTAAAAATATGCAAGTTAGATATTTTAAAATTAAACAAAATCAACCTACTAGTAATTTCACATCTTAAATATAGCTTATCTGTTCTACTGCATTTTAGAATCAAGGCTGGTAGGAAAATATTCCATACACAACTGTAAAACAAATAAAACAGTCCCTCTATTTGAAACAGTTAACTTCTTACTTAACTTTATACCATTTTGGATGATGTTTTATTTCTGTCTGAAATGCATATGGTTTGGGCTGATTGTTTTTGGCATAAACAATCACAAAACTAAGATGGTTGCCAATGGGTAAGGGCCAGACCTCTTTGAGCCAGTCATCTTTTTTGACAGAGATTACACAGAACTACTTAGCCCTCTCAGTTAGGAGTAATTGGAGTCAAGTCATGCTTACAGAAGATTCCCTCTTTGTTCTTCGTGCTGCCTTTTAACCCACTTTAGAAGGGACATTACTCTGCTACCAATAAATGCCAAAAATTTTTGAAAATAAGCAAAAGGCTGAACTGTGAGCTTGTACGTGTGCTTAAGCACTTAACATGGTACATGAAGTTAAGGAAATATATAATCAAATAAGCATTCAAAGAAATAAGAGATCGTATATTTTAATGACCAAATGCATTGCTTTCCTGAAAACAAATAAATATTATTATTATTATTAAAGGAAGGGAATTTCAATTCCTTTTACATTCTAACTCTAGTATAATTAGCCAGGTATGGTGGTGCATGACTATAGTCACCTGTATAGACAGTTTCATCACTATGATTATTTCTTTATGACTCTTGTTCTAAATTATATTCCCAAACCGTGGTACCATGGGATGCTTGCTAATAATTCTAATAATGGTTTCATGGTCAGATCGGTTTGAGAAATTCTGGATTTAAGAGAATTAAAGGTTTCAAAATTTTATGTATAACTGGAAGATTTTTTGGGGCCTTTTACATATCTATGAAAATTGTGAGTCCTGGGGTGATAGAGAGTGCAGTATTTTTCTAATCCATTTGATTACGGAACCCTTCTAGTGTGTTCCAAGAGAACCACTTTGGGAAACACTGCTGTGGTTTATAAATGCATGTTAAAATGTCTCACTTTAAAAAAAAACATTATTTTAAGTTCAGGGCTACATATGCTGGTTTGTTACATAGGTAAACTTGTGTCATGAGGGTTTGTTGTACAGATTATTTCATCACCCAGGTATTAAGGCTAATTAATACCCATTAGTTATTTTTCTTATCCTCTCCCTCTTACCAACCTCCATTATCCGATAGGCCCTAGTGTGTGTTGTTCCCCTCTGTGTCTATGTGTTCTCATCATTTCGCTTCCACTTATAAGTGAGAACATATGGTATTTGGTTTTCTGTTCCTGTGTTAGGAGGATAATGGCCTCCAGCTCCATCCATATCCCTGCAAAGAACATTATATCATTCTTTTTTTATGGCTGCATAGTATTCCATGATGTATATGTACCACATTTTCTTTATCCAGTCTACAATTGATGGAGACTTGGGTGACTCCATGTCTTTGCTATTGTGAATAGCGCAGTGATGAACATACATGCTGTGTCTTTATGGTAGAACAATTTATATTCCTTTGAGTATATACACAATAATTGGATTTCTGGGTCAAATGGTACTTCTGTTTTAAGTTCTTTCCAAAATCACCACACTGCTTTCACAATGGTTGAACTAATTTACATTTCTACCAGCATTGCCTAAGTATTCCCTTTTCTCTGCAACCTTGCCAGAGTCTCTTATCTTCTGACTTTTCTTTGTGACACCTATTCTGGCTGGTGTAAGATGGTATCTCATTGTGGTTTTGATTTGCATTTCTCTACTGATCAGTGATATTGAGCTTTTTATCATATGCTTGTTGGCCCCTTGTATGTGTTCTTTTGAGAAGTGTCTGTTCATGTCCTTTGCCCAGCTTTTAATGGGGTTGCTTGTATTTTTCTTGTAAATTTGTTTAAGCTTCTCATAGATGCTGGATATTAGACTTCTGTCAGTTTTATAGTTTGCAAATATTTTCTCCCATTCTGTAGGTTGTCTGCTTACCCTTTTGATAGTTTCTTTTGCTGTACAGAAGCTGTTTAGTTTAATTAGATTCCATTTGGCAATTTTTGCTTTTGTTGCAATTGCTTTTGATGTCTTTGTCATGAAATCTTTGCTTGTGCCTATATTCTGAATGGTATTGCCCAGGTTGTCTTCCAGGGTTTTTATAGTTTTAAGTTTTACATTTAAGTCTATGTTCCATCTTCAGTTAATTTTTGTATATGGTGTAAGGAAGGAGTCCACTTTCAGTCTTCTGCATATGGCTAGCCAGTTATCCCAGCACCATTTGTTGAACAGGGAATCCTTTCCTCATTGCTTGTTTTTGTCAGCATTGTGGAAGATCAGATAGCTGTAGATGTGTAGTCTTATTTCTAGGTTCCCCATTCTGTTCCATTGGTTTATGTGTCTATTCTTGTGCAAATATCACTCTGTTTTGGTTACTGTTGCCCTTTAGAGTACTTTGAAGTTGGGTAGCATGATGCCTCCAGCTTTGTTCTTTTTGCTTAGGATTGCCTTGGCTATTTGGGTTCTTTTTTGGTTTCATACTAATTTTAAAATAGTTTTTTCTGTTCTGTGAAGAACGTCAATGGTAGTTTAATGGGAATAGCATTGAATCTATAAACTGCTTTGGAAAGTATGGCTAATTTAACAATATTGATTATTCCTATCCATGTGTATGGAATGTTTTTCCATTTGTATGTGTCATCTCTGACTTATTTGAGCAGTGGTTTGTAGTTCTCCATGTAGATGTCTTTCACCTTCATAGTTAGCTGCAATCCTAGGTATTTTATTCTTTTTGTGGCAATTGTGAATGGGAGTTTGTTAGTGATTTGGCTCTCGGCTTGTCTGTTGTTGGTTTATAAGAATGCTAGTGATTTTCGCACATTGATTTTGTATCCTGAGACTTTGCTGAAGTTGCTTGTCAGCTTAAGAAGCTTCTAGGCTGGGATGATGGGGTTTTCTAGATATAGGATCATGTCATCTGCAACCAGGGATAGTTTGACTTCTTTGTTTCCTGTTTGAATGTGCTTTATTTCTCTCTCTTGCCTGAGTGCCCTGGCCAGAACTTCCAATACTGTGTTGAATAGGAGTAGCGAGAGAGGGCATCCTTGTCTTGTGCCAGTTTTCAAGGGAAATGCTTCCAGCTTTTGCCCATTCAGTGTGATGTTGTGTCCCACTTTCAAGACTTACTTTTTCTTTATGTTTTTTGGATAGAAATAACATTAAATTGTCTCTTATAAAGGGACACAGATTCAAACTTTTCCAGCCTCCCTCTCCTCCTCTTTCTCTGTTTGGGATACTCATAGTGAACAGTGGTTTACTAAATTGTGCTTTAGAGACTTTTGCTCTAAAGATAACGTCTCTCTGAGGATCAGCCTCTAAACTTAGGAGAGTTCTGCAAATTGGCTGAATCCCTAGCATACGGCCATATAGACCTAAGTATTACTTGGGAATCAAGTCTCTCAGAGGGATTCCTCTCAAGACAAAAGGATAGTGGTACAAAGGATTTCTAAGTGAGATTTTTGTTGTGTATCTTAAAGCCTACCCTAAACACCCAATTCTGTATTGATGCCTGGAAGAGTGCCGTAGTGATTGGGAAACTATGGGCTCAGCTTCAATAATCTATAGCCGTGACTAATCTCTGAACCGTTAAAAAGAAAAAAAAGTTACTTGGATAAGATGGCTGTCTTTAGTTCACAATGATCATTTAATCTATTCTAGAGAAAACGGAAATAACTTCAGGAGTTGGAAGACCATGTGTTCTAAAACACTGAGGTGTAGAATTTTAGTAAACACAGGTGTATTAATTTGCTAAGGCTTCCATGAAAAAGAACCACAGACTTGGTTGCTTGAACAACAGATATTCATTTTCTTATAGTTCTGGAGGCTAGAAGTCAGTCTGAGATCAAGGTGTCACTAGGGTCAATTTCTGCTGAGGTCTCTCTCTTAGTTTGTGGATGGCCATCTTCTCCCCATGTTTTCCTGTCTGAGGGTCTATATCCTAATCTCTTGCAAGAACCAGTAGTCATCTCAAACTAAAGCCCACCCTAGTGACCTCATTTAACTTTAGCTACCTCTTTAAAGACTTTATCTCCAAATACAGTCACATTCTGAGGTAATGTGGGGGATGAGGGATTCAGCATATACATTTGGGGGAGAGATAATTAGCCCATAACAGTGGATGACCCTTAGCCAGAAGTCTTCTGAGTTTATTCTGTTAGGCCAAGCAGGAACTTTTAAGCAAATGTCAAAAATGTCATGACTCATGTATAATGCCTCACTTTGCTTTTTTTATGGATTTCTCTAGATTTTTCAAACCTGACGTTTCATTGAAAAAAGGAAACTATCATCTCTGCTATAAGGTGCTTTAAAACCAATCAGGTCTAGGGGTTGTTTATATACATATCTTGGTGTTTCTTAACAACTTCTAGGTCACAGCATGTTTGGGAAATGGAAATACTGATCCTTCAGACTGTGGTCAGTGTACCACATGCTTATAGTTCCTCTTGGTTCTATTGCATCTTGAGGATACACCATTAACTGAACATATCCATAACTTTTGCTCAGAAAAACCATGGGCCAAGGAACATAGACTTAACTAGAAATGACTTACCTGAAACTGAGGAATGTGGGGGAAATCAGACCCAGGTCATGGAGTAATAGAATTTTGACCTGGAATGGACCTTAGATGCCACATTTCAGTCATTCACAAACTTCTTTAAAATTTGTTTTTGCCTTATCAGTGAAATTCAATATTAACAATAGATAATTGTTAATTATCTCATGGTTCTCTTTATATTGACTTACTTTATAAAGCCTTTAAATGTAGCCCCATCTAAATAAAAAATTATTTTGAATTAGAATTCAAGTATGTTGGACACATCACCTGACCCCTATAAATGTATAGATTCTTCCACACTTGCTCTCTTCTGTCATACAGCAGTGGATGGTGAGGATGCAAAGACTTTCAGGCCATAGGGGATGGTGGAAGCACTAACTGGAAAAAACCGAATGACTGCGAAGGAATGTGAGCTGAGATATTGGTGCTGTTTATTACAACAGATAGCCTGTCATGACTAATCGAGTCAACTTTGCAAGACTTTAGATATTTCAACCTCTTTGAAGGCTTTCCTTGCATATAAATTGTAGAAATGTCTTTTCATTATTTATCCCCAAATAGTTTTTGCTTACGTCAGTGCTTTTTATAAAGCCACTAAAATTATATTTTCAGTACATCTAGATTAAAAGTAATATGAAAATTAGTATATTACTTAATATCATCAATCCTTTGCATATTATGTTAAATATCCCATCTAATATTTTAATTTATTTCTGTTTTTCAGAAATTCAACACTTGCATGGGAAAAAGGCAAGTGTAGCTATATAGAGTACAAGCTGCAAATGCTCTTGACCTTGCTCTGATTAGGAATGCTAGGATTCTACCTTTGGATGAATTATCATCATATTTAGGCACTCAGAGTAAATCCTTAGTACACAGAAAATAGAAAAGAATTATTTATCACCAAGTATTTAGGCCAATTTGCAATTGCCATCACAGGCAAAAAGTAAAATTTAAATTTATTCATACAACCTATGTAACACAGAGGTTTAATTAACTTGAAAAACAAGGTCCCTTCTATTTTTTTTAGCAGCTTTAAAAAAATGGTTATTAAATTGTATTTGCTTTATTTGGCTTGCAGCTTGACAGGGCTGTTTTTGCGGGTGAGGGCATAAGGAGGTGGTTGTATTTGTTTCCAGGCTCCATTGGCAGATAAATACCAGTTATAGTCATTCTGGGGATGGGGATGGGGTTGGCAATAGTAAATAAGAACCAGTGTAAACAATCTAGGTTTTAAAGCAAATACGGTGATGGAATATTAAAGATGAAATGGAATCACTTTGTTCAATAATATTATTGAATGCCAGTGGGGTAGCAGCCACCTCGAGAGGTTATATACTGTGACTAAAGGGTGTGGACCAGAAACTAGCACAGCCCCTCCTTTCATGGGCTCACAGACAGTGCGTAGAAACACAAACACAGAGACAATAGACAATTCACTCAATGCCTGTGTGTATTCTAGTGTGTCCCACCAAGCCTGCACAAAAGCATCCTCTCAAGACCCACAGAAAAACTTCCTTCCTGATGTTATCCCTGCCTTTCCTTATTCTTTACCACTTCAGGATGACCTTACCCTGGGGACTTGACTTTGTTCCCAGAGCTGTATTTCACTCCTCCACTGAGCTTCAGGAACTCAGTGACTTGCTTAAGAGCTGAAAATTATCTTACCAGTCTGATGATCATAACTGGCTAATCCTGAATACTATTAGATTTGCCTTAAATAAATCCCAAATGTCAGTTATAAATGCAAAATATTTTGAAGTGCATTTTGGCAGAGGAATCTATGTAATACCTTAAGAAGTTTAATCAAATAAAAAGGTAAAAGTTTAAGCGACCAAATAACAAAACCATACTTTTTTATAAAAAGAAAAATTTAATATTAAAATAATACCCCAAAACCCTCATAAAAGGTCCAATCAGGATATCAGGAAGTTACAGAGATAGAAACAAAGATTGTAGTAGCGGAATTACATACATTAGATTAATTGGTCAATAATAAGCAAGTAAACTCTAGATTTAATAAACTCTTTTGAGAATATTAAATCTAGGGAGGTTTTCCAATAGATGTCACCATTGGGTTATAAGTCATTCTAATTTTATAAGCCTCTAGGAAATTTAACTCCGTAACTCTCAATTGGTTCTATTAGAAGACTCTTATCGGCTGGGTGCGGTGGTTAACGCCTGTAATCCCATCATTTTGCGGGGCTGAGGCCGGTGGATTGCTTGAGGTCAGGAGTTGAAGGCCAACCTGACCAACATGGTGAAATCCTGTTTCTACTAAAAATACAGAAATTAGCCAGGTGTGGTGGCAGGCGCCTGTAATCCCAGCTACTCGGGAGGCTGAGGCAGGAGAATCGCTTGAACCTGGGAGGCAGAGGTTGCAGTGAGCTGAGATTGCACCATTGCACTCCAGCCTGAGCGACGGAGCAAGACTCCGTCTCAAAAAAAAAAACAACAAAAAAAACAAAAACAAAACAAAAAAACACTCTTATCTTGGCTTCAAATAGTTTATGCTGTAATTGTTATTCTGGTATTTAGTATTTTCAATTTTTAGTGCAAATAATTATTAATTATATTTTTAAATGATCTTCTGAGATTGCCCTGAAAAGAATATAATTTTAACATCATCAGTGTATTACAAATATAACTTAAGAATAGAAAAAAACACAGAACAGAGTGTCTAATAGAATCATTAGACACCAAGACCTATATATCTCCACAGAAATTTGTAATATAAATTACATCAAATTTGGCCCGGAAATTAATTTTATTTTTAAATATAATTAACTTTTATGTATGCACTTGGACTACGTCTTTAAGTAACGTGAACAAATCTCAGAGTTCCTTGGGATTGGTCACTATTTGAAGAGCAAAACTAAACCGTTAGAGATATCCTATCCTGACTGTGTCTGAGGGTTGGATTTTATCATTTGAAAAAAATGCTTCAGTTCTACCAAGGATTCAGTCTTATTCAGTGTAACGCATGAAATAAAAAGCAAAATTAATCACTTGCTGTCTCTACTAACTCACTAGACGTGCTTGTTAGTTTTATTTGTCTTTCTTTTCAATTATTAATCAATGTCATGAGGTGGATCAATATACTAAGAGCTTCTAAATACAATATATAAGCCTTAAGAATCAATAGTGATATCATTCATATAAGGGAAAAAATTGAATTTATGGCTACACTGAAACTTAGATCACATGTTTCTACTTCTTTTATTTTTTGTTTTCAATTTTTCTGAATTCAAGGTTATATGTTTATTATACAATATATAAAAAAAGAAAAAATAAAAATTATTCATAGCCCTGCTACCACCCAAATGTGATCATTGCTAAGATTTTGAAATGTTTCTTTTTATATATTTGTAAATAAAATTGTAATCATGTATGTGTGTAAATTAGGATCTTGTGGTTTAACTTTGTCTTTTTAGGCATTTTTCTATATTATTTTACAGGTTTCATACATATATATATATATAACTGGTACATACCATCTACTCTTGGTAGTTTATGTCTTTTTTTATTAAAATAGTTCTTCAATGATTATGTATGAAATTTCCCATTTTCATATTTCAGAGATAGAGATAGGTCAAATCACATGAATATTTTTGTGACTCTTAGAAAATATTCTCAATTTTATTTTACAAGAAGATTGGACAAAATTAAATTCCCACCCAAATGGATGAGAGAAACTAGTTCCTCAGGTTATCTCTAGTATTGGAAATTACCTGACTTTTCTTGTTGCTAATTTGGGAGGCTAAAAATATCTGATTTCAATCTGCCTATATCTGATAATTGATGATACTACTTTTAAAGGATCTTAAAAATGCTTAGAACTGGCCAAGGTACAGAATGTGTTTCTATTGCTAAAATAAATTTTTAACCTTTTATTTTTAATTCTCAAAATCTAATCTATATTGTCACCATTGGGCTCCCTCACAGAAGGATGTACACAGTTAAAAATTTGGGAATGGCTGAGTTTGGAAACATAGGACAAATGTTAAATTTATGGCACAAAAGTGTCTAATTGCTTTGCATAATAGAAGGTAATAAACAGAAAATTTTGTCCCTTTCATAACACTTTGTATTTCCATTCTACTAATCATTCTTAATAAATTTTGTCTATTCTTATTAATTTTGTTAAGAAGATGATGATATTCAGAAGCTACACATAAGAACACATTTGGAATTTTTGATTAATCATAATCCAAAAGCACAACAAAATTAAATATTCTCCTTCCTGAAATAAATATTTAATTTCCTTCCTGGCATAGACGCTGTTGCTGGCAGTGCTTTGGCTGTCAAAAGAAAATACATTTTACTGTATTTATATAAAGGCTTTTGGCCACTATAGAAATGGAATTTTCATTTGAAAATTTAAATTTTTTAAAAATTATACTTTAAGTTCTAGGGTACATGTGCACAACATGCAGGTTTGTTACATAGGTATACATGTGCCATGTTGGTTTGCTGCACCCATCATTTACATTAGCTATTTCTCCTAATGCTATCCCTCCCCCAACCCCCACCCACAACAGGCCCCAGTGTGTGATGTTCCACACCCTGTGTCCAAGTGTTTTCATTGTTCAGTTCCCACCTATGAGTGAGAACATGCGATGTTTGGTTTTCTGTCCTTGTGATAGTTTGCTGAGAATGATGGTTTCCAGCTTCCTCCATGTCCCTGCAAAGGACATGAACTCATCCTTTTTTATGGCTGCATAGTATTCCATGGTGTATAATATGTGCCACATTTTCTTAATCCAGTCTATCATTGATGGACATTTGGGTTGGTCCCAAGTCTTTGCTGTTGTGAATACTGCCGCAATAAACGTGTGCCATGTGTCTTTATAGTAGCATGATTTATAATCCTTTGGGAATATACCCAGTAATGGGATGGCTGGGTCAAATGGTATTTCTAGTTCTAGATCCTTGAGGAATCACCACACTGTATTCCTCAATGGTTGAACTAATTTACACTCCCACCAGCAGTGTAAAAGCGTTCCTATTTCTCTGCATCCTCTCCAGCATCTGTTGTTTCCTGACTTTTTAATGATTGCCATTCTAACTGGTGTGAGATGGTATCTCATTGTGGTTTTTATTTGCATTTCTCTGATGACCAGTGATGATGAGCAGAAAATTTAATTTAATGTGAAATTTCTGTTAAGGTTAAAAGAAGCAATAACCTACAAAAATCCCATTTGTAACTTAAAGGGACCACAAGGTGGTACAGAAAAGCTTCTGCAGGATGTAGCTCAATTCAGTGAGTTATTTTATAAGAGCAAAACTGTTAAAATTTTACTCAATATTCAACCTGAACATTTTGATGTATATTGTAATTTTCAATATTAAAATGCTTCATCTATTATGTGCTTTTCTTCAATCTCTTTTGAGACAGTTACAGAATATACTAGAAAGCCTTCTATCATCTATTGTCTGTTTAAATATTCCCTGAGAATTTTAGTATTTGGGGTTTTTATCATTTGTCAATGACATATGATACTGTGATTAGTTGATGTAAATATTCTTTGATCTTCTAATTTAGTCAAGGCTTGTCAAAATGGTAAGGAGAACTGAAGAGGCTCTTACCAGCCAAAGTGCCACTCCCCTCAGCCAGTCAGAAGGGCTTCTCTTACCTGGCCATATTTCCTCCATTAGTGTCACTGCTTTGGGTAGAACAACAAAGTAAGGATGCTAACGCCCTGGTAGGATAAATTTATTGGTTACCTGGGAATGGAGGAGAGTGCTGAGAAAGTCCTCTCCCTTCCTCCATTCAGCATTGCCAGATCATGTCTTAGGTGAACTCTCTTTTAAACAATTTAGAGTGTTTCTGGTAGCATATAAACATTTTTTACTATTTGATTTTTTAAAATCTAAAACATTTTTGTGGAATTTTTTGTTTGCTTATTTTGATGTGGGAGAGGGGATTGAGATTGCTTTTTAAATGATACAGAGCCCAAACTGGAAATTTGTTTTTGCTATTTACCAGCTATGGTATCTTTGGACGAAACATTTATTTCTGTGGAGCTATTACAATCTCCTTTGTAAAATGGAAAAAATAACGTTCGCTCCACCTACTTGATAGAATTTTTGTGGTCATCAAATAATATGCTGTGAATAAAAATACTCCATAGGCTGCAATATTTTCTTTTCACGGGTGACTCTGTTGAATCTACATTGAAATAGCTTTATCAGAGTTCAAAGCAGAAAAAAAAATTTCTGTTATAACTTATATTTTAAAACTTGCTTTTTTGAAGAGGGTTGCAAAATACCTTTTTGATATTTTATAGGTTTTTCTTTACAAAAATATGTTTATTTTGAAAAATAATAGAGATAAGCAAAAATGTTATTAAAAATTGTTCAAAAAATTGTTCATAGCCCTAGCATTCAGAAATAACAATAATCTGTGATTATCCACAAGATGGTACTTGGGGGAGGGGCATATGAAATCAATCCTTTCCATGGTGCTGGCCTGGAAGCATGGCAGAAGGTTTTTTGAATTTCATTAAGTGACTTCTAGGATCTGTTTTTGAAGACAGCAAAAAATATCTACAAAATTTTATTCTAGACATTACCAATCCTGTCTTTAGTCCTTGTATTTGGTATCATTACTCTGTCCTTGTGGGAATAAGCCTTAGCTGCCTATGCTTTATAGAAGAAAAATCCAATTAATCACTATAACTGCATCCAGCTCTCCAGCTGGCTCATTGCCAACTCTCTGCCACTTAGCTGAGGCCAAATTAGACTAATAGTTTTGTGCACTGAACAGTGAGACTTTCAGCTTCTTATGATGATTCATGTGTTACAGCTGCAGTTCACGCTCGTTAACAATATCTGACTTTTCACTGAACCACAGAGCTTCCTTTCCTCACAGTTTATCTTTTGATAAGATTTTAACTCTGTTTTCTAGATGGGGATTTGAAAGTTAATAAAATTCATAGACTTCAAGAAGTCATTCAGAATAGAGTCGATTGCCAGAAAATTAATTATTTTAAATTTTTGCCAATATTCACATTTACAAAATATATGCTTCCTCTGAGAAAATACTTTTTCTTGTTTTCAGATAAATTATTTGTACCTAAATTTTTTTTACTTGGAATTAAAACTTCCCAAATGTGTCCTTTCTGAAAGTTTTGTTGTAAATAAGCCATAAGTTTACTTTTATGATTTTAGGAGTATTTATGAGTATTATTTCATCTTGCATTTACCCAGTAGGCTCTGTTATGTGAGCACATTATGAGAGGAAATGACAATTTGTTCAAATCAAAAGGTTAAGAAACTAAGTGTATATTCTTATCAATATCCCTGAAGTATTTTATTTTAAAATGTTCAAAAGTAAAAAGAATAACCTTATATTATCAAAACATAATACATTAATTAAAATTATGTAGTATCAAATATACCATCAAACAAAAGTTTTTAATATTTATCTGGTATAAATATATTAAAACAGACTTAAATTTATAACAAAAATAAATATAGTTAAACATAGAAGAAATAATAAATGCATTGTATTAGCTTTAAAGAAATATAATGTGTTTGTGTAAATGTTTTCAAAAATCGTGCCCATATTTTTTAACAAACAATTTTAACTTAAATCAATAGTGTACTTTCCTTGCTCCTAGTGGTTTTGGATGTGGTTCTTGAGTATAGTCTTCTCTAATATGGCAGATAAATCAATCTGACCTTCTTTTCAACATTCACAGTTGAATGAGGAGAGTATAATTTTTCCAGTCTGCAGCTGACTTCTTTATTCATTTGTTAAGATTATGGTTAGTCTTTGTAGTGGATTCTGTGGCTTGGTTCCCTTAAACATGTATTCCAACCTCTTTCTTCTGGGACGTCTAGTACTGTAATGCTTGGAGATTAAAAAGAAAAAGTAAAGCATTTCTCAGATGTCCTTGTGGCTAAGATTTCAGTTGTGATTTGGGGTCCTCCAATCTGGTACTTTGATGGTCAACTTGAATTTTGAACTAAGTTAATTAGGATAGAGACCATAATTCTGCTCTTCAGGTGGTGACACAGGCAGCATAGACCTGAGCCACCAATTTCCTGATTTTCAGCAACTTTCTTCATTGGTAGGTGCAATGTCCCTGGGTGTAGCAGCAGTGAGACAATTTCTGGGGCTGGACACTTCTTGGATATTCTGCCTGAAGCTTAATCTGCCTTACTTTTCAGATCACCAGACAGTTTTTAAGCCACAGGAATAGCTAGTGATACGTTCTATTCTGTATTACAGGTTTCTCTCGTCTTAAATGAAACTCGAATCAATAAAGAGCCTACCTCAATTATAAATTATTCAAGGGCATTTTGATTACCCATTCCTGATGAAGGAACCCATAGATTTTCCATAATCTTTTGATTTGTCATTTAATCCATGATTTAAGTGAACATTAATAGCAAATAAAACAGCTTTTTGAATAGATTTTTAGAGAGAGAAATATTGAGAATACAAGCGGAAATGTGTTTTATCTTCTGATACTCTTTTTATAGAGAATGATAACTTTAGTGATATAATCAAGGTAAATATACACATTAATATAATCGTACATCTGTATGTACTATTTGAGTAGTTAGTGATACCAAAATTCAAAAGTAATACATTTGAGAAAGGTATGATAGTGAATTTACATTACTCTCTCATTGCCTTCATCTGTCTGGTATATAATTTATGATAATGTTCAGGCACCAATTCCTTAATAATACCTTCTCTTCCTCTCCCATGCATGATTCTGTAACCACTAAAAATATACACATGCACACACACACAAATAAACACACACACACACTGTTTCTATTTACCACTTCTGTACTAGTTATATTAGTACTTTGGTCAAAATATGTGACAATTGTTTAGTCTATTTTCTATTCTTGATTATGAGGTTGATGAGAGTGGTAACAAGTGTGTTTTTATTAACCTTTGAGTTGGTAGTATCTGGAATACTTGAAATGCTTTAAAATGCATTGGTTGACTGAACAAATGAGAAGTAGGAGAAAGGAGAATGAGAAGACAGTATATATAGTGAAATATACAGACTACTGGAGGAGAGGTCTGGACACCCATCACTGCAGTTATCTGCAAATCTACCTACTACAAAGCAAACTTCCCTTTCTGTCAGTGACTTAAAACAACAATTGATTATTTTTCAGAATTCTGTGGGTTGACAGGCCATTCTGTTTCCTGTATTGTTGGTTAGGTCTCTGGGGGAGCCGGAAGATCCACAATGGCTTCACTCACATGATTGAGAATTGGCGCTGGCTTTTATCTGAGTAAGAGATAATGGTAGACATTGAAGTTCTCTTAAGGCTCTGCCTTGGAGTTACACAATCTCAATTCCATTGCACTTTATCGGTCAAACATTGCCTTCTGGTCAGCCCAGATTCAAGGGGAAGGCAAAAAAGTATCACTTCTTGAAGGTCTAATAGTAAAGTAACATTGCAAAAGAGTGATGGAAGATACTGTTCTGGCCGTCTTTGAAAACATTCCCTTCTATACATACCCCTACATTTTTTTCTGTCTCTCTTAAGATATGAAACAATCTTCCCAGGTCTGTAGATCTGTTTCCTCATCTTGACTTAGTATATTCAATTTTAGCTGTAGGATTATATGATATAGCAATGTTTCTGTTCAAAAGGTTAATATTGAAATTTGAGCCAGTTTTGATTGTGTCTTATTTCAACTAGAAATTTATCAGACTTTTCTTCTCGGGGCTTCTGTGAGCTTCAAGTTGCATTGTAGACTACTCAAAGTGTCGTCATCAGACCACCAGTATTAATATATCATGGGAGCTTTTTTTTCCTTTTTTTTTTTTTTTTTTTAACAAATACAAATTAACGGGCTTCACTCCAAAACTACTGAATCAGAATCTGTGGCTATAATGTTCAGGAATCTGGATTTCAACCTCCTCTCTAAAAACTTCTGACATCTGTTAAAGATTGAGAAGCACTGGTATAGAATACATTAGAGGAAGTAAAACAGTAAGCAGCAATGTACAGCAATGCAAACCTGCCTACTGGCCAAAAGTCGAGGATGGTAATACAATTAAATATTCCAAATTCTCATCTTGGCCAATCACACTGGAATTCCATCATTACATATGCATTCATTGTATTTAAATCTGAGAATCCAGTGTTAAAAAACAACCCCATAAGGAGAAAAAACACAGTAGGCCATTAAAATTACAGCAGAGATGAGTTTAGTTTATTGTCTTTCTTCAAACCACTTAGCAAACCCGAAGAAACTGAATACCACACAATAAAATCTTGTTTTGAATAAAAAGCCTGCCATGAAGGAAAGATTGATCCATGTTATTTCCAGTATCCCTGAGAAAGAAGAAAGACCCATAATGGGGGTCTCTTGGAATGAGAAAAGAAGGTACTGGGTCATCATGGAAGCCCGAGAGGGGCTGACTGGGGTAAAATATCAAATAGGTAAAGAGATGAACAAAGCAAAAGTGGAGACACACCAAAGATAGAAGCTGCTCTGTCTTCACGTGGCTCTGGGCCAGACATAATACTTGTTACCATGACGATAGATTACAAAGTTGCACATGAACAATAGAAAAGATGAAGAGAGGAAGAGATGAGAGAGGAAAAGAAAGAGAGTGTGAAGGATGGAATATGAGAAGGATGTTTAGAGCTGATTGCAATAGGTCAGAGATGAGAAGACAAAAGCAAATTGTCCTTCAAGAAACAGGACCTTCTGTCTCTAGCACTCTCTTGCAATGGTCTAAAAATAATGTGGAGGCAGGAAAAAGAGAGACTGAAAACTGAAAAATATGCATACTTCTTTCTTGAGGTATCGGTTACTATTCCACCTTACTCTCAGCTGCAAGGAAAGCTGGGAAACATCCCTTGGGAGCTGTGTGCCCACAAAGAAAAAGAAAGGTAATTGAATTAATATGCAGCTGTCCCTACCACACAGATGCAAATAACATATGGTTAAAAATGAATTTTCTCAAGTCTACTCTCTGAGAGCAAAGACGAACAAATTTAGTAAAACTGTAGTTTATAAAAGATTGTGAATTTATCTTTAGTCACTTTGATATAAAATACATGCATTGGCTTTCTTAGAAGCTTGCTCAATTTCGGCTTTAGTAGTTTGCTTTTCCAAGTGGAATGTTAACTGTTATTGACATGTAGGTTCATGGCTTATAAGATGTTATTTTTCCTATCATAGCAATCTAGGTAATCTTAAAAAGAGAATGCTGATGGAAGCAAAAATTATTTAACAAAATATAATTTAAATTTGGATATAATTAAAGTTTTGAAACATGATTCTAGAAGACTGGGGAAGATTACACAGCACTTCTATGCAGATAGCTAACATATTACTGAATCTTTAAGAGAATGGTGAGATCGTTAATTCAAGTGCCACCTCAGATAATTATTAGTTAATTTAACCTGGTACTCAGTACTCTGGGACTTAGTTTTTATATCTGTGAGATACAGAAGGAGTTGAGAATTTGGAATAATTAATCCCTAGAGTCCTTTCTAACTCTAAAGGTGTAAAAGGCATAGCAAGAATAAAAGAAGGCATTAAATGTCTCATGCTCTGCCGTTTAGTAGAAACTTCCTTTCTCTTAGGTAGGACTAAATCAAAACCATTTCAAATACATTGGTATCTGTAGGCTTTCCTTTGTGAGAAAGGAAATAGAGGTGTTGGAAGCATTATGAGATAACCCCTTTATGCCTAGTGTTCCATTATTGGAATGCTAAGCTTGTGGGAATTATTTATATCCTACTGCTCAAGGTCATCATCAAGGTCTGATTTCTCACACACACACAAAAATTTGCAACCTCCAGCATAAATGGGTTAATATGCTTATCTGTAAAGCTCTTAGCATAGTCCCTGATACAAAAAGAGCTCAATAAGTTAGCTAAGTTTAGCCATTTGAAAATCATTTCGGAACACTTCACAGCCCTCAAAATTCAAAACATTGTTTCTTATTATGTTATTTCCTGAAAATCCCTCCAGATCACTTACCATTTGGACTACAACTTTATATATAAATATGTACCAAAGAGATAGGTTACCAGAAAAGGAAGAGAGACATATGTTTAGGAAGGGAGTAAAGGATAAGCAAGGTTTTCCCATTACCCTCCTTGTGGCTTACCCTTGTCTCCCTTCCTTCTTTCTCTTCTTTTCTGCAAATCCATGGCTGTTAATTAAACCAAGGTAGTCTGCTTTCAGAGTCCAGATTCCTAACCATTCTTCTTTGATGACTCTTTTTAGTATCTTCCAGAGTGCCTTGCACATAGGTACTCTGCAAATATTGCCTGATGCTAAAATGCTATTTTTAAGTTTTTGGGGGGCCTGGTTTTAAAACTTTTTGCAGGATTCAAGATATAGAAAGTTTGCAGATATGGACCAGAAGAAAGGCTTAAGATGTTTCCAGTCATCCTTATCAGTATCGTAAGCAATTTTGGAACATGTGCATTTTCTGATTCCTTGAAACCAGTATTTGTTTCTTTTGATTACTGAACAGAGCAATTGTTGAATCTTCTCTCTTATTCACCTCTATAGCCCATCTTGACTATGGCCCTCTATGACCAAATCTTGACTTTTCCTTCCCAAGTAGATGGTCCAGTTCTCTCCATCTCCTGGCATTACTCTCGCTCACTCCAATCCAATCCATTTTCCTCACAACAGCCAGAGTGATCAACTGAAAAGTACAAATAGATTTTGGCTGTACTGTGAAGGGTCAGTCATGATCCCAGCAGGAAACAGACTTCAGCTCAAAAAGTTCAAATATAGAGATTATAATAAAAGAATCACTTTACAGTGTGGTTGCAGTTAAGAGGACCAATAGGAGACACTGAGGAACATAAAGACAGAAGTGAAAGTTATTTGCTACTACCCTCAGGGGGAAGGGGGAAGGGAGAAGGGGAAGAAGTTTTATTACTAGAGATCTTTGAGAGCTATCCCAAGGAGGACGGAGCACACAGCAGGAGTGGTAATTGTGGAGAGACAAATCACCACTAGCGATACTGCCATGAAACAGGGAGGAAGTGGAGCGGAAGTACCTTGAGTTTTTGAGTTTCATCTCTCCTCCAGTCTCTGATGCGTCAGTGCCTCCTGTTGGAACCTAACTGGAAACAGAACAAGGAAATTGGGTAATTCACTGCAGGGGTCATCATGAATAACAGAGCTGAGCAGACAACATGAAGAATAACCAGTACATCTTCAAGATCAAATCCTCGATCTGACCTGCAGGACCCTGCAGGATTTGACACTTTCCTCCCTAATCCAACCTATCCTTTGTTCCTCTGTTCCATTTCACTGAGCTTCAACCACATTTGGATTTTTCATTTTCTGGAAGGTATTGTGCTTGCTCCCAGCTCAGTGCTTTCACACAAGCTATTCTCTCTCTCTGATAAGTTCTTGTCCAGTTTTTGCCTCAATAAATTTTAAAGATTCCTTAGAATTCAGCTCAAAAGACATTTCCTCAAGGAAGTCTTACCTGACTCCTAGACTAGGTCAGATCCTCATGTAAGATATTTAATTACATCTTACTCTTCTCCTTTGTAGCACCTATTATAATTAAATATCTACTTCTTAATTAATTATGATGAGACTCTGTATTCTTGGCTATAAACATAGAGATTTTGCCTATCTTGTTTGTCACTGATTTCCATATTTTGCTTATAAATATTGAAATTCAATAAACATTGTTTGGATGAACAAATGCATGAATACTTTTCCATAGTTTATGAAAAATGCAAAACTGTTGTATATACCTTTTTAACTTACTATCAAAACTACATATAAACTAGCATGGGAGAAAAATAATTTTGAACTTTTTTCTGGTGTGGTATATATTTCTGTAGTGTTCTATGTATACAGGAGATTTTTAACAAAAGATGTGACTTGTATTTAACATCTTACTCATTTCCTGGCTGTTACAAGGATAGATTGAATGATTACTTCTTGTAAAGTCACAGTATAGCATTATGCTTGCCAGGTGGGTATTTTCAAGGGCAGGGCTGTGATTAAATGTACTTTAGTTGTTCTTATTGTGACTTTCTGAATTCTTCATCATTGTGTTATGTACCTCCAGATCTAGTAGGTAGCAGAGGACCTTTGGGGAAAAAAGCCATTCCGATTCATCTCTTACCACCAAATATCCCCATGCCTCACCTACTCCAGAAGAATATTTGTACCTACAAATCAGCTGAAGAAAGGGAGGGCTGCAAGTTTCATCCACTCCATGGCTTCCACTTCCAACGCGCACACACACACACACTTACACCCCACACATGCTAATGACTTCTCGGTCTTTTTTCCCAGTCCTTTTTTCCCAGCCTTCTCTTTGGCTCCAGATCCACATTCCAAGTGCCTTTTTCCGTCCTCTCCTAAAATCACACCTGTTAAACTTCTCATATTTTTAACAGATCACCACCTATCTAGTTTCCCAAACCAAAAATGTTCATTTTAAACTTAAATTCTCTCTCATTCTGTATCTAACCAGCCATCATATCTTTTCAACTCTTAACTACAAAATATTTCATTAACCTCACTTCAACATTTTCTCCTCATTTTTATTCCACTGGGTCAGGTCTGAAAACTCCACTAATGCAATTTTCTGTGGTCTTTCTCTCCCTTTTTTTTTTTAATCTTCAAAACTATCTGTTTTCTGGGCCACCTACGAAGATAAGATTTATATCACTTTGTTGCTCAATAATACTGATTGTACCTTAAGCTTCTCTTTGTTCACTCTTTAGTTTTGTATAATAAGTTCTTTAAAGTATGAACTATCTGAACTCTTTCTAATACTCTATTTATCCAAACATATCACCCGCTATCTCATATCTTACCCCAAAACCCTATGTTCTAGGTTTTAGATGTTATCAATTATCCCTTGCTTCCTGTGACCTTGTTTCATGATGGAAGCTCTAAGGAGTCCTTTGAAAACTTGCATTTCTGTCCTTATCTGCAAGGCCATTTAATGACTCATTCTTCGCATAGGCCAGACCCCATCTTACCCCATTCACCATTTGGCCTTTCAAGAAATAGTGTTAGGGAGAATTGCACTGAAAATACTTGTATTTTGATGTACTTCATTTCCAAGGGGATGTGTTCAATCATTTTTTCAATATCCTCTTGGCCTTTATTGAATACCTACTATGTGCCAGACACTGAATATAGAGATACAGTCCTCTTCATAAAAGTACATAGTCTAGTAGAAGGAATGGATACATTAAAAAATGTAGGAATTAATTATATCCTACCTTCAGTCTAAGTGAATATGTAGTTGTGAATGTCTAGCAAATGAGAAGGGCTGGCTTCTCATAAGAAAGTGAAAATGTGGACCACTTCTCATTTTTCAGCCACTTTTAAATTATTAAGTAAGGGAAATAATATTTCAGGAGTTTCTTTTGGTTAAAGCCCTTACATTTTCGAAACACTTAAAAAAATTTTATATATCATGTTCATAAATAGTTTGTGAAGTTCGCAAAACAAGTCCAAAATTATAAGTGAGATCTAATGAATATGAGTTTTACAGCTTTTATTTTTCCCCTCGGTGTTTCATGCCATAAGTGCTACTGAACAATTAAAATGTTGACCAAAACAAAAGGATAAGAAGCAACAAATTTTTTCACTGGGCCACAAATAGAGGAATCTCTGCTTTATTGCTGAGACAGACTTATAAACAGTGTATATAATTAGCTATTTTGCACATTCACGTGTGTATGCATCAGATGTTCTAGTATGTTTATAAAAATACCTAGTTCAATTATGTTTTTCAAAGCTTAATTAATTCTCTTGGGGTTTATGTCTAAAAATACTGCCCAGTTCTGTCTACAACCATTTGCTTGTTATACCACAGACTAATTTTTATACTATTATTACAACTTGGACTGGCAGCTTGGGGCTAAATGTGCCCATATATATTTGTTTTCTACTAATCTTTTTAAAATTTATTTTTTGAGATACTTTTATCAGCCAGAACCATGATTTCAGTATGGCTCAATTAAAATCTAAATGTGCATTCTAGTTAAAAGTTGCTTATAATTTTTCGGTGTTCAGTTTGTGATTTCAAATTTACTCTTAATGGATAATCAATCCAAGGGCTGGAAGAGACTTTATGGGGTCACTTGGTTCCCCTATTGCCTGAGACGTGTAAAAGCCTGACTTATCTAAGTAGACACTCTCATTTAAATTTCCCTGAAGGTAAAAAAGGCCACAGCCTTGCCTAGGTGAACTACTTAATTACTGTTGTAGTCGATATGGTGTTCTTTTTTAGGTGTATTCAACCTACATTATCCTATTGTTGCAAATTAAGCCAAATTCCTTTTCAATTTTTGGCAGATATTCACTGGGCACTATCTTTCATCAACTTGCAGGCATTAATATAGTGGTCTTCTATTTGCAAGATTAAAAAAAAGAAAGAAAACAAAACCAAAACTTCAGTACCCCTTTCTTACAGAATCCATATTTTTATTTATTTTCTTGGTGCCCTTTTCATTTCTCCATAATTTAAGATGCTAAAAGAGACCAGGTGTGGTGGCTCACACCTGTAATCCCAGCATTTTGGGAGGCCGAGGTGGGCAGATCACTTGAGGTCAGGAGTTAGAGACCAGCCTGGCCAACATGGTGAAACCCTGTCTCTACTAAAAATACAAAAATTAGCTGGGCATGTGCCACCAGGCGTAACCCCAGCTACTCGGGAGGCTGAAGCAGGAGGATCGCTTGAACCTGGGAGGTGGAGTTTGCAGTGAGCCAAGATCGCACCACTGCACTCCAGCCCAGGCGGCAGGGTAAGATCCTGTCTCAAAAAAAAAAAAAAAAAAAAAAAAAAAAAAATGCTAAAAGAAAATCTGAAGATGTTCCTCTTAAACAAGGCCAAGAAGTATGGATTTCTTCCTTTTAGTTCATTTGGCAAAAATTTATGAAATACATTCTATTTCAAGCATGTATGTTGGATGGTAAAGAAGCAATGCTGAGCAGCAGAGAGCCTCTGACTTTTAGGAGCTGATCATCCCGACAGGGCAGCAGGGAAGGATGCAGGCAATACAGAGGGTCAAGAATGCTAAGTCGTTAGGGGGAACATGCAGAAAGGAGGAGCCAATGATAGCCTTAGGCCAAATCAGTGAAGCACCACCAATGGGGACTGTGTGCCGTATGTGAAGGGTTTTGTGTATTCCTTGTGCAGTATAAAAATGGCTCAAAACAGATGAGAACTAAAGTTTTAGTTAAACATGTACTTGAAACACACAAACAAAAGTTGGATTTGTGCTGTTAACATCATCCATAAGCAGCCTGCTGATCCAGAGAAATATTTTTCCTTTTTATGATTCTTTGCCCAAATCCTCTTCAACCTTTTGGAGACAAAAATATATACCAGGTCTTATGCCAGTAAAAATGCAAATATAGTAACTAAAATAAACTTTTTTAGGAAGTATAAGCATAACTTTGGAGATATAATATATTTTTCCAATATTTACTCTCATCAAAAGGAGATAAATGCATTTTTCCCCATGACTCTTTGCCTGTAGATTTTTACATAGACACAGCATTCGTATGTACTGTTGATAGTGTTGATGGCTGACTGCCAAACAATCACCATGTGCTCAACTTTTCACTTTGTGATATAATTAAAATTTTTTTTCTATTTGTTTTGCTGAGCTGAAAACCAAATTTCTAGCTATTGTTAATATATAAATTGTTATTGTGCTGTATGTCCTTTAGTTATAGAAGAGTGATATGTCTTGATTTTCCTAGCATCAATCCAACTTTCATCTGTCTTTCTAGCATAATTATTAATAGCTCCTAGTTTCATGCTCAGAAGTATACCAGATTGGTTGATAAATTGCACGAATGGTCAACATATGGTAAATGTTAGACCCACTACTCTAATGACAGGATAAGAAACAAGTTAGCATGAAGCATTAATATGAGAGCATTTAAAGCTATCTTTGAGCCCAGGCACCATGGCTCACACCTGTAATCCCAGCACTTTGCGGGGCCAAGGCTGGCAGATCACTTGAGGCCAGCAGTTTGAGACCAGCCTGGCCAACATGGTGAAACCTTGTCTCTACTAAAAATACAAAAATTAGCCAGTCGTGGTGGTAGGTCTTGTAATCCCGTTACTTAGGAGGCTGAGGCCGGAGAATCGCTTGAACCCAGGAGGTAAAGGTTGCAGTGAGCCGAGATGGCACCACTGCACTCCAGCCTGGGCAACAGAGTGAGATTCTGTCTCAAAAAAAAAAAAAAAATCTTTGAAAGTTAGTGAAAATGACCCATCTATTCCTTTTTCCTGATTAGATCTGATATTTGCCCTGGCTTGGGACGTATGCCGCATTATATTTAAGTGATTTAGGTGAGGTGAAGGTGTTGTTGGAGTCTGGGCTCCTATAAACAAACCATATAAAATAATCTGTAAACAGATCATCTCGATTTGGCTTCATTTTGAAAACAGAATAATGTAGAATGACAAAAAAATTGATAACATTTATGAAAATTTATCCTTTTATGCTGGTCGTTTATTGTATTTCTTTATACGTTTCCATAAACATTTTATTTTATTTTTAAAAAACTTTTGCCAGGCACGATGGCTCACACCTGTAATCCCAGCACTTTGGGAGGCCAAGGCAGGCGGATCACGAGGTCAGGAGATCGAGACCATCCTGGATAACATGGTGAAACCCCATCTCTACTAAAAAAAAAAAAAAAAAAAAAATTAGCCGGGCGTGGTGGTAGGCGCCTGTAGTCCCAGCTACTCAGGAGGCTGAGGCAGGAGAATGGCGTGAACCTGGGAGGCAGAGCTTGCAGTGAGCAGAGATCATGCCTGGGCGACAGAGCGAGACTCCGTCTGAAAAAAAAAAAAA
The DNA here is from genome assembly GCF_000001405.40 of Homo sapiens. Classification (NCBI taxonomy): domain Eukaryota; kingdom Metazoa; phylum Chordata; class Mammalia; order Primates; family Hominidae; genus Homo; species Homo sapiens. The sequence goes on along the minus strand of NC_000007.14, from coordinate 20,502,462 downwards.
AAAAGCTTTTATTTTAGGTTCAGGTATATGTGCAGGTTTGTTATGGGGGGTTTAATGTACAGATATTTTGTCACTCAGGTAATAAGCCTAGTACCCAATATTTCTTCTGATCCTCTTCCTCATCTCACCCTCCACCCTCAAGTAGATCCCAGTTTCGGTTGTTCCCCCCATGTGTCCATGTGTTCTCATAATTTACCTTCCCCTTATAACTTTTAATAATAGCCATTCTGGGCTATCATTGAGAAACAAAGTATAAGCCTAACTTTGGAGACATATATTATGTCTCTAAATATTATGTTTCCAAAAATATATTATTTTTCTAATATTCTCATCAAAAGGAGATAAAGGCATTTTCCCCATGATTTACATTGCTTTGGCTATACCCAAAGGAATACACCAGGGGAATATAAGTCATTCTATCATAAAGGCACACAGGTATATTCATTACAGTCATTGTGGGCTATCATTAAAAAGTCCAAAAATAATAGATGCTAGCCAGGTTGTGGAGAAATGGGAACACTTATATATTCTTGGCAGGAGTGTAAATTAGTTCAGCCATTATAGAAGGCAGTGTGGTGATTCTTCAAAGACCTGAAGACAGGAATACCATTCGACTCAGCAATCCCATTACTGGATATGTACTCAAAGGAATAGAAATCATTCTATCATGAAGACACGTGCACATGTATGCTCAATGCAGCACTATTCACAATAGCAAAGACATAGAATCAACCTAAATGCTATCTGTGGAAGAATGGATAAAGAAAATGTGGTACATATACACTATGGAATACTATGCAGCCATGAAAAAGAATAAGATCATGTCTTTTTCAGGGACGTGGATGCAGCTGGAAGCCATTATCCTTACCAAACTAATGCAGGAACAGAAAACCAAATACCACATGTTCTCACTTATAAGTGAGAGCTAAATGCTGAGAACACATGGACACATGGAGGGAAACAATGTACTGGGGCCTATTGGAGGGTGGAGGGTAGGAGGAGGAAGAGGATAAGCAAAAAAAAAAAAAAAAAAAAAAAAAAAAATCTAATGGAAACCAAGTTTAATACCTGGGTGATGGAATAATCTGTATAATAAACCCCATGACACAAGTTTACCTATGTAACAAACCTACACATGTACCCCTGAACTTAAATAGAAGTTTAAAAAAATTATAGCCATTCTGACTGGTGTGAGAGGATATCTCATTGTGGTTTTAATTTGCATTTTTCTAATGATCAGTGATATTGATCTTTTTTAATGTGCTTTTTGGCCACATGTATGTCTTCTTTTGAAAAGTGTCTGTTTATGTCCTTTGCCCACTATTTAATGTTTTTTTTTCCTTGTAAATTTGTTTAAGCTCCTTGTAATGTTGGATAATTAAACCTTCTCAGATGCATAGTTTGCAATTATTTTCTCTCATTCTGTAGGTTGTCTGTTTACTCTGTTGATAGTTTCTTTGGCTGTGCAGAAGCTCTTTAGTTTAATTAGATCCCATTTGTCAATTTTTGCTTTTGTTGCGATGGCTTTTGGTGTCTTTATCATGAAATCTTTGCCAGTTCCTATGTCCAGAATGGTATTGCCTAGGTTGTCTTCCAGGGTTTATATAGTTTTAGGTTTTACATTTAAGTCTTTAATCCATCCTGAGCTGATTATTTTATATGGCATAAGGAAGGGGCCCAGTTTCAATCTTCTGCATATGGCTAGCCAGTTATTTCAGTACCGTTTATTGAATAAGGAGTCCTTTCCTCATTGTTTGTTTTTGTAAGCTTTGTCAAAGATGAGATAGTTGTAGGTATGTATCCTTATTTCTGGGCTCTCTATTCTGTTCCATTGGTCTATGTGTCTATTTTTGTACCAGTGCCATGCTGTTTTGGTTACCATAGCCCTGTATTATAGTTTGAAGTTGGGTAGCATGATACCTCCAGCATTGTTCTTTTTGATTAGGATTGGCTATTTAGGGTTTTTTTTTGTTCCATATGAATTTTAAAATAGTTTTTCTAGTTGTATGAAAAATGTCATTGGTAGCTTGATAGGAATACCAATGAATCTATAAATTTCTTTGGGCAGTATGGCCATTTTAACAATATAGATTCTTCCTATATATGAGCATGGAATATTTTTCCATTTGTTTGTGTCATCTCTGATTTCTTTGAACAATGTTTTATAATTCTCATTGTGGAGATCTTTTACCTCCCTTGTTAGCTGTATTCTCAGGAATTTTATTCTTTTTATGGCCATTGTAAACAGGAGTTTGTTCCTGATTTGGCTCTCTGCTTGGGTGTTTTAGTGTATAGGAATGCCAGTGGTTTTTTTTTTTTCACATTTATTTTATATCCTGAATTTTTACTGAATTTTTTTAGCAAATTGTTTGCTGAAGGAGCTTTTGGGCTGAGACTATATGATTTTCTAGATATAAAATGATGTCAGGGTAGTTCAACTTTCTTCCTTAATTTCCTTCTCTTGACTGATTGCTCTGGGTAGGACTTCCAACACTATGTTGAATAGGAAAGGTGAGAAAGGGTATTCTTGTCTTAGTTCAGTTTTCAAAGAGAATGCTTCCAGCTTTTGCCCATTCAGCATGATGTTAGGTATGGGTTTGTCACAGATGGCTCTTATTCTTTTGAGGTATGTTTCTTCAATATCTAGTTTTTTGATATAGTTTTCAACATAAAGGTTGTTGAATTTTGTCAAAGGCCTTTAATGTATCTATTGAAATGATCCTGTGGTTCTTGTATTTGGTTTTGTTCATGTCATGAATCATGTTTATTGTTTCACATATGTTCAACCAACCTTGCATCCCAGGGATAAAGCCTAGTTGATCATGGTGGATTAGCTTTTTTATGTGCTGCTGGATTTGGTTTGCTAGTATTTTTGCATCTATGTTCGTCAAGGATATTAGCCTGAAGCTTTCTTTTTCTGTTGTGTCACTGATAGGTTTTGGTAGGCCTCATAGAATGAGTTAGGGAGGAGTTCCTCCTTCTCAATTTTTGAATAGTTTCAGTAGGAATGGTACCAGCTCTTCTTTGTAAATCTGGTAGAGTTCAGCTGTGAATCTGTCTGGTCTAGGGCTTTTTATGTTTGGTAGGCTATTACTAATTTAATTTTGGAACTCATTTTTGGTCTGCTCAGGGATTTTATTTCTTCCTGGTTCAGTCGTGGGAGGGTGTATTTGTGTAGGAATTTATCCATTTCTTCTAGATTTTCTAGTTTCTATGTGTAGAGGTGTTCATAATAGTCTCTGATGGTTATTTGTATTTCTGTGGAGTCAGTGGTAATATCTCCTTTGTCATTTCTGATTGTGTGTATTTCTATCTCTCTTTTCTCATTTATTAGTCTAATTAGTGGTATATCTATCTTATACTTTTTTTTTTTTCAAAAAAATCAGCTTCTGGCTTCATTGATTCTTTCAGTAGTTTTTCATGTCTCAGTCACCTTCAGTTCAGCTCTGATTTTGGTTATTTCTTGTCTTCTGTTGGCTTTGGGATATGTTTGCTCTTGCCTCTCTAGTTCTTTCAGTTGTGAGGTTAGGTTGTTAAATTGAGATCTTTCTAACTTTTTGATGTGGATATTTAGTGCTATAAATTTCCCTCTTAACACTGCCTTAGCCATGTCCCAGAGATTTTGGTAGGTTGTGTCTTTGTTCTCATTAGGTTCAAAGAACTTCATTTCTGCCCTAATCTCATTATTTACTCAAAAGTCATTCAGGAGTAGGGTTATTTTTTAATTTCCATGTAATTGTATGATTTTGAGCAATTTTCTTTAGTTGTAAATTCTGTTTTTATTGTGCTGTGGTCTGAGAGAGTGGTTGGTAAGGTTTTGGTTCTTTTGCATTTGCTGAGGATTGTTTTATGTCTGATTGTGTGGTTGATTTTAGAGTGCCATTTGCAGATGAGAAGAATGTATATTTTGTTGTTTTGGGGTGGTGAGTTCTGTAGATGTCTATCAGATCCATTTGGTCTAGTGTTGAGTTCAGCTCCTGAATATCTTTGTTAATTTTTGGACTCTGTGATCTGTTTAATACTGTCAGTGTGGTGTTGAAGTACCCCACTATAGTTGGATGAGAGTCTAAGTCTCTTTGAAGGTCTAAGAACTTGCTTTATGAATCTGAGTGCTCCTGTGTTGGGTGCATATATATTTAGTATAGTTAGGTCTTCTTGTTGAATTGAACCCTTTACCATTAGCTAATACCCTTCTTTGTCTTTTTTGACCTTTGTTGGTTTAAAGCCTGTTTTGTTTGAAATTAGGATTCCAGTGTCTGCTTTTTTTCTGTTTTCCATTTACTTGGTAGATATTTCTCCATCCCTTTATTTTGGACCCATGGGTATAATTGCATTAGAGATGAGTCTCTTGAAGACAGCATACCATTGGGTTTTGCTTCTTTATCAAGGTGCCACTCTGCTTTTTAATTGGAGCATTTAGCCCGTTTATATTCAAGGTTAATATTGACATGTGTGGATTTAATGCTGTCATATTAGGTGTTTATTATGCTGACTGATTTATTTAGTTGCTTTGTAGTGTCACTGGTCTGTATGCTTAAGTTTGTGTTTGCAGTAGCTGATAACAGTCTTCCCCTCCTCCTCCTATATTTAGTACTTCTTTCAGGAGCTCTAGTAAGGCAGATCTGGTGGTAATGATTTCTCTCAGTTCTTACTTGTCAGAATGCTGAATATGGGCCTCCAATCTTTTCTGGCTTGTAGGGTTTCTGCTGAGAGGTCTGCTGTTAGTCTGATGGGCTTCCCTTTGTAAGTGACCTGTCCTCTAGCTGCCTTTAACATTTTTTCTTTCATTTCAACTTTGGGGAATCTGATAATTATGTGTCTTGGGGATGATCTTCTTTTGAAGTCTTTTGTGAGATTCCCTGAATTTCCTGAATTTGCATGTTGTCCTTTCTAGCTCTGTTGGGAAAATTCTCATGGATGATATCCTGAAGTATGTTTTCTAAGTTGTTTCCATTCCTCTTATCTCTTTCAGGGACACCAATGAGTCATACATTCAGTTTATTTACATAATCCCATATTTCTTGGGGGTTTTGTTTTTTCCCTTTCATTATATTTTCTTTATTCCTGTCTGGCTGTCTTCCTTCAGAAAGTCTTTCTTCAAGCTCTGAAATTCTTTCCTCAGCTTGGTCTATTCTGCTGTTAATACTTATGATTGCATTATAAAACTTTTGTAGTGTGTTTCTCAGCTCTTTCAGGTTGGTTGTGTTCTTTTCTGTGCCAGCTTTTTTGTCTGTCAGCTCCTGTATTGTTTTATTGTGATTCCTAATTCTTTAGATTGGGTTTCAATGTTCTCCTGAATCTTTATGATCTTTATTTCTATCCATATTCTGAAATTTTATTTCTGCTATTTAAGTCATCTCAGTTCAGGTCAGAACTCTTGTTGGAAAGGTAGTATGGTCATTTGGAGGAAAGAAGGCACTCTGGTTTTTTGAGTTGTCAGAGTTCTAACAGTGTTTTTTCCTCATCTTTGTGGGCTGATGGTCCTTAAATCTTTGAAGTTGTTGTTCTTTGTATGGGATTTCTATTCCTTTTATCCTATTTGATGACCTTTGGGGTTTGATTGTGGTATGAGGTGGGTTCAGTCAACTGCCTTCATTACTAGAAGACTTTAGGAGACCAAGGCTCAGCTAAGGACTCCTGGACTGCATGCTCTAACTCTGGTGGACTACTATTGGGACCTGGCTTTGTTCTCTGGCTCCTCAAGGTTAGGGACCTGCTGCACTGGATGGGCTGAGGTGCTCCCAGACTTCTGGTCACAACACTTCAATGGGTGGTGCCAGTCAAAGCACTTTATAGGGCAGTGGCAGCAGGATCTGTCCTCATTGGCATGTGTCAGCAGCAGTGGCAGCATGATGAGATGTATGATCATCAACTGTGGCAGGGTACTAGCGGGTGCCAGGTGCCTGCCTTTGTGCAGGTGTTCACAGTAGCGGCAGAACCAGCACAGCTTGTTGGGGCAGGGGCCCACTTATTGGCAACTATGTGTGCAGTCACACTGGTGGAGGCATTGGCAAGGGGGCAGGACACTGGAGGGGCAGGTCTCTGTGCACCATCTGTGGATGTTCGGGGCAGGGGAGGTTCTGCTGCTCTCTGTGCCTAGTTTCACTCAAGTGATAATGTTGGCACAGGAGTGAGGTGCTGGCAGGGACAGGATTGGTGGGCTGCACGCCTCCCTGGGCTCCAGTGACAATGGCAGTGCAGCAGGTAGCGGTAGGGTGGGGTGCACTGATGTTGGCAGCAGTGGCATGGCAGGATACAGGCATACATGTGAGCTGGCGGGGAAGGAAGGGGAAGGTCCGCCCATACATATAGATGCTGGCAAAGCATATTGGGCAGGTGGCCTGGGCAAGTGCCTGCAAGCAATGTGGCATAGGGGAGGCTGCAGTGTGGGGAGGGCATGGGCAGGCTGGTGCATGTCAGTGGGGGTCACTCTGCTGCAGCACTCTGATAATCAGGTGTGGTCCACTAATGCAGGAGCTATGATGCAGGCCCTCAGAGGTACCTGGGGGTTGCACTGCAAGTAGGTGTGGTCAGACTGGGGCCCCAGGAGAAGCCAGCAGACCAAGGAGTGCTCAGGTCAGACTAGCACCATCTCATGGGCACGACCTCCCTGCAGAGTTCAGGTTCTACAGTTCCCTAGGGCTAAAGTCTCACATGGGAGCAAGTCAAGCCTAGGGCAATGGACATCTCTGGCCATGCTCCACTACAGATGTTTCTGCATCAAACCCTCTGGGCTCTGCACTAGCTGGAATTGTGCCCCTACCACTGCTCTAAGCAGCTTTTCCCTGCCAACTCAAGTGTCCATGGTGGTCAAGGGGTCTCCTCCTGCCAAGATTCCAGAGGCCTGTGGTGAGAGTTGATTGCTCCTTGCCTGTCCTCCTCCTCAGGAGTCATTGTGGGTTAGAAATGAGTTCCCGTGCACAGTATCCCTGTGCAGGGTTCCCAGCTTCCTTCCCCTTCAGCCCAGCTTCTGTGTCTTCCCTCCATTTGCTCTCAATGCCTTCCCTCTGAAGGTTGGCTAGGAGTGCGCCAGTCTTCCCAATGTTGCAGTCCCCTGGTGGGAGATGTTCCTCCCGGCTGCATCTAGTTGGCCATCTTGGAGCAGGAATCTAGTTATTTATTTCCATTTCTCTATGCTCAGTGCTGTACATTTCTGGATTGTCTGCAGATAGCTATGTCCTCTATCAAAGTATCAGCACACAAACCTCCGATGTAGTCAAATAATTGCACTGTATCAACATTTTAAACACAAAAATCTTGTAAATATGAATACAGCTTTCATTCTTGAAGTTACTATCATATCTGGACAAGGCCAAAATTACATTTGTTTTAGGATGTACATTGAGTTTTAATTGATTTATTTATATCTTTATGCAATGCACACTGGCTTATCTTAATGGCAAAAATTAGAAAGGTCAACTGGAGATGAGTTGGGGTTGGTAAGGTCATTTGAGTTGGGGTGAGGAAGGGGTGGATAGAGGCAGAGTCAATATTACCACATGTCTTACATTGGAGAAGTAGCCTTATTGGAGGACCTCTTGTGAAAAATCCTGTGTTGTAGTTGCTAGGGCTGCCATAACAAAGGACCATAGACTGGGGCTTAAACAACAGGAATGTATTTTCTCACAGTTTTGGAGGCTGGAAGTCCAAGATCAAATTGTTGGCAGTGTTGTTTCTTCTGAGACCTCTTTCATTTGCTGGCAGATGGCCATCTTCACTGTGTCCTCACATGGTCTTTCTTCTGTGTGTGTGCACTCCAAGGTGTCTGTGTGTTAAATTTTCTCTTCTTCTAAGGACACTAGTCAGATTGAATTAGGGCCCACATTAACAGCATCATTATAACTTAATCACATTTACAAAGCCTCTACCTCCAAGTATAGTCACATACTGAAAGATCAGGCCTTTAACATATACATTTTGGGGAAACACAATTCAGACCATAACACCCGGAAAGGAGAAATTTCATTTGCAAGAATGAGTGAAGCCAAATCCTTTAGCACCAATACTGAAAGGCAGTGATGAGATACGGTCTGAGCTACTCCAGGAAATCTCTGGGAAATTGTTTTACAGTTCAGATGGCACATATTACTGAAAAGAAAATATATTTAATTGCTCATGCTCAGAGAAGGCCTAAAGGATTATGTTATCTGAATATAGGAATAGTCATGTTTCAATTATTTATATTTGGTATGCTTTATATCTTCCCAATATACCTTATTGAAATAAAAAAATAAAGGGCTAAGACTCAGAACAAATGAGTTGAAACCTCTATAAACTATTAATTATTCTGTGATCCTGAAGAAATTGAACTTACATTTTTAAATGTTAACTTATTCATTTAAAAATGATTACTGATTTTGAAGGCATGCTCCTTCTCCCACCCCTCACCCACTCCAATCAGAAAGAATTAGGTTAATTGGATGTGTCCAATGGTTGAGTCACCTAGAAAAATGTGGAGACAGATCTTGAGATACAGAGACCATTATAGCAGGAATTAATGTTACAGATAATCTCTCTAAAAATCTTCAGTTTTCCATGTGAAGAATACTAAATCCAGGAAAACATAGCTTTATTAGAATTTAAGCTCTGGAGTCAGACCAATCTTTCTGAATCAGCCTTGACCACTTTCTATCAATATGACTTTGGATAAATTCCTTAACCTCTCTAAGCCTTGGCTTTTTCAACTACCACATGAGGGGACTAACAGTATCTTCCTCATGGGGTTGCCGTGAGTTTCACATGGAATAATAATTGTAAAGCATTTAGCACTGTACCTGGCCCATGTTAAGTGTTTACTAAATGTTAGTTCTAGTAATAATTTAGTATACTATTGCCCAGGACCATGGAAATGGTATCTTTTGAAACCCTAAGATTTCTCGGTTTTAAAGGTATATATTTTGAATTTAGAAAGAAAATAATTTCTGCTTTAAAAATCTTTGTAAGTACAATTTGCTACCAACCATGCCTTCCTCTTATGCCTTCTACCAACATTAAGCACAATAATTTTCTTTAGGGCAGTGAACACTGCTTTAGTTCTCACTCCTGCTTCAGCATAAGCAGGCAGTTCTGTAGCAGTTACCATTGCCCAGATTTAGAAATAAAAATTGCCCTTTGATAATTTATTCAATGTAGTTATTTAACAAATTTACCACTTGAGATTCTTGATATATAGAACATTTTTCAGGTTCAGGAATAAGTTTAAAGCACACTAAATGAACTCCCTTTCAACTATTTCATTGGAATCATATTGTGTTTAGAACTTAAGAACTGATAAGAAATTCCACGAAATTATCTGAGAAGTCTTCAATGTACAGATTACTTAAAAATAAATTTCATATAATTAACCTAAGAATAGGCAATTATATATGTATCAGTATAAACCAACCACACAAAAGCTTAATAAAAAGTATCATTTAGGACTGTGTTTCTCAATGTGGTGAGATAGGGTTGGGAAAAGAAGGGTGGGGAGGCATCAGAATCTAGGGGCATAGGTGTTAAAGCATGAAAACACTGAAGTTTATTCCTCTTTGCTTTGACTTGCTTTCAATCATGGTATTTAATGTATAATCAAGTAATTCAAGAGATATTTGTTTGTCAAGTGAGGGCATTGGTTATAAAGGAGTGAGAAAACCTGGTTTGGCTCAAGGGAAATGGCCATAAGTTAAGGTAGTAAAGTGAAAAAGGCTTTGTTGTTAGGCAAGCATGAAACCAAATTCTGTCTCTACGATTACCCTATGACCTTTAGAAAGGCAATTGTCAATGAGTTTCTCAGTGATAAGATGGGCAAAATATCAGTTGTCCTTCAAATAGAATTGCTGTAAGAATTAAATGTGTTAATTTACTTTAGTGCCTAGCACATATTTGGTGTTCCTTAAATAATGACTATTATTAAAATAGATTCTAAAATATTGATTGATTATTTGATCAGATTGGGAGTATTTAGTTTACTCAGCTGCATGCTTTTACTTTAAGAAATAAAGAAGCATTATGATCATTATCCAAATTCATTCATTCAACAAATACTAATTGAGCATTGACAAACTGCCAGGCTGTTGGGCTAAGCACTGGGAAATCCACACTAAATTAAACAAACAAAAGCCCCTGCCCTTGGGGCTGATCTTCTGCTTCACATAATGTTCATTCAAAAAAGTGAGTAAAAGTTTTTTCCCTGAAAAGAATTTTTATTTTATTTATTTCAAGTTTTGAATTATGATTACTTATACAAAATATGCTCAATATGTTGCAATAAGAGGATTAGTAACTAAAACAACCAGGGTGAGTTTCTAGCAAAATTTGAATCCTCTGATGTCTCCTGACAGTAATAAGACAAAAAGTGGCATTAACATGTACATTTTACCTTCAATGTAATCCTGAGTAGAATTTATATTCCTGTGAAGAAAAGTCTAACATACACATCGTATTTTTATTTTATATATTAGAAATAATATATAGATTTTCTTTGGGTTTTATGGCCACAAATATATGTTTCATGATTCTCTATAACATTAGGTGTCTTAGCTAATGCTGCTATGTAATCCGGTCCAAGGGAGAGGTAAGCATTCATGTATCTTTTGTTTCAATAAACTGAAGGAATAAAGATAGATCTAAAAGTAGCCACCTTTCCAACCTGCCTGTTATTCATCAGCAAGCTGACTTATCAGGTGAGTTAGATGTAAGTCTGCTATGTCATCAATTTCAGGGGACACATTCAAATTTTTGTGTATTAAAAGCAGTACTTTTAATATTCAAAAAATCTGGTTATTTTGTAACTTTAATAGGGATAGGAGTTTAAAATCATGTCACAAGTTTTGGGATATTTTCTTTGAAGGTTTCTGTCTTAGTCTGAAATCTTTTATTTCTTGTTGTCTCCTAATAAACTTCCAGAGTTTATGAATATAACAGTGTATTAGAAAATCACACACAAGAATGAAAGAGGCTTTGTCCAATGTATGTGAAGATGATGTCATTAAATGTTAATGCCAAAGGATATTTTTGCAGACATTAAAATGCAATAGAGATAACATCCCAAAACCAGGTGCAATTAATTAAGAACAGATTTGGTGATGAAGTCTTCTTGGAAGATGGCCATGGCCAGGCCATGAATCCTCACTAGTTGTACCCCATCCTAGAAGAAGACAACTCCAGATTTATGTAGAGGTGGTTGTATTAGTCTGTTCTCACACTGCTATAAAGCAATACCTGAGACTGGTTATTTAAAAAAAAAAGAGGTTTAATTGGTTCATGGTTCTGCAGGCTGTACAGGAAGCATAGCATCTTCTGCTTCTGGGGAAGCCTCAGGAAACTTACAACCATAGCGACAAACAAAGGGAAAACAGGCACATTTTACTTGGCTGGAGCAGAAGAAGAGAGAGACGGGGAAGGTGCCACACACTTTTAAAAAACCAAATCTTGTGATAATTCACTTACTCTGCAGTCTTAAGTGGGATGGTGTTAAACCATGAGAAGCTGCCGCCATGATTCCATCACCTCCCACCAGGCCCCACCTCCAACATTGGGGATTACAATTCCACATGAGATTTGGGTGGGGACACAGATCCAACCTGTATTATTCTTCTCCTGGCCCCTCCCAAATCTCATGTCCTTCTCACATTTCAAAATACAGTCATGCCTTCCCAGCAGTCCCCAAAAGTCTTAACTCATTTCAAGCATTAACTGAAAAGTCCAAAGTCCAAAGTCTTGTCTGAGACTAGGCTAGCCTCCTCCACCTGTAAAATAAAAAACAAGTTAGTTATTCCTAAGATACAATGGGGATACAGGCATTAGGTGAATACTCCCATTCCAAAAGGGAAAAATTGGCCAAAAGAAAGGGGCTACAGACCCCCAGTAGGGCTGGATTTCAGACTTGCACAGGGCGTGTAGATATGTATGTCTATCTCCAATCCAAGGTATATAAGGTTTATTTGTATATAAAGTATATTTTTATACACATATTTATAAATATATACACACACACACTTTATACCTTTTTCATCTCTTTACTTTCTATGTGTCTTTACATATAATTTTCCTGTAGTAATATATACATATTACTTATATATATTATATTATACTATGTATAATTTTCCTGTAGTTATATATGTATAAAAATACTTTGACATATAATAAAAGTCAAATACTTGGAGATAATAGGATTCACAAAGTTTGGAGTAAGGATGTCATTTCTAAAGAAATTGCTTTTTAAGTTTAACAAACCTCTATTTAAGGGATATTCTGACTTAAACATGTAGTTCTAAAATATCATCTAAGTAAAAATATCTTAGAGAATTTGTAAAATAAATGTAAATTTAACATCACTTATTAGATCAATAAATATTCAGCATCAACATTGTAGTAAGCATTACTTTAGATTCTGGGAATACAGCAGTAAACAAAACAGATGAAAATTATTGTAATTGCTTTATAGTTTTATTCCATTGTTGTCTGAAAATAATCTTGATATAATTTTGGTTTTTAAAAATTTGCTGGGGCTTGTTTTGTGGTCTAATATATGGTCCATCCTGGATAATGTTCTATGTGCTGATGAGAAGAATGTTTATTCTGTGGCTATTGGATAAAATGTTCTGTAAATGTGTTAGGTCCATATGGTTTTTAAAGTATAGTTTAAATTCAATATTTCTTTGTTAATTTTCTGTGTAAATAATCTTCCTAATGCTGCGAGTAGGGTGTTGAAGACCCCAACTAATAGTGTATTGGAGTCTATTTCTTCCTTTAGATCTAATATTTGCTTTATATATCTGGGTGCATCAAAGTTGGGTGCATATATATTTTGAATTGTTATAGCCTCTTGCTGAACTAATTGCTTTATCTTTATATGTATCCCCATATTTATATAATGATAAAAGGATTAATTCAGCAAGAGGATGTAACAATTCTTTGTCTCTATTTATTGTTTTTTACTTAAAGTTTCTTTCATCTGACATAAATATAGCTACTCCTGCTCACTTTTGGCTTGCATTTGCATGGAATATCCTTTTCTCTCTCTTTACTTTCAGTATATATGTGTCTTTACAGATAAGTTTCCTATAGGCAGCATATAGTTGGATCATGTTTTTTAATTCATTCAACCAGCCTATATTTTTTAAGTGGAAAGTTTAATTCATTCACATTGAAGATTGTTATTGATATGTGAGAGCTTATTACTGTATTTTTATTAATTAATTCCTAATTGTTTTTTATATTCTTTGTTCCTTCCTTTGTCTCTTATGTTTGTCATTGTGATTTGATGGTTTCTGTAGTCTTGACATTTGTGTCCTCTTTCTTATTTATGTGTTTTCTCTACCATTGGTTTTCATAGTTTTGTGTGTTTTGTTCATGGTAGGTATCATCCTTTTGCATCTAGGTGTAGCATTCCCTTAGGCTTTTGAAGTAGGACTGGTCTAGTGGTGATAAATTCCTTCAGCTTTTGCTTGTCTGGGAAAGACTTTATTTTTCCTTCATTTATAAGTAATAAGTATTCTTGGCTGATTTTCTTTTGTCTTTCAGTTCTTTGAATATATCATCCTGTTCTCTCCTGGCCTGAAAGGTTTCTGCTGAAAAATTTGCTTAGTCTGATGAGAGTTCCCTTACAAGTGACTAGATGCTTTTCTCTTACTGTTTTTAGAATTATCTCTTTGTCTTTGACTTTTGACAATTTGGCTATAATGTGCCTTAAAGAAGACCTTTGGTTTATATTTATTTCAGGATCTCTGAGCTTCCAGTATCTGGATGTTTAAATTTCTTGCTAAACTTGGGATTTTTTTCAGCAATTATTTTATTAGTGGACTTTTAATGTTTTTTATATTCTCTTCCCCTTCTTAAATTCCCAACATTTGAATATTTGGTTGCTTTATTGTTTCCCACATGTCACAGAGACTTTCTTCATTATTTTAAATTCTTTTTTGTTTGTTTGTTTCTGACTGGGTTATTTCAAACGACCTGTCTTCAAATTTAGAAATTGTTTCTTCTGGCCAGGTGCGGTCGCTCACACCTGTAATCCCAGCACTTTGGGAGGCCAAGATGGGTGGATCACGAGGTCAAGAGATCAAGACCATCCGGGCCAACATGGTAAAACCCTGTCTTTAATAAAAATACAAAAAAATTAGCTGGGCGTGGTGGCATATGCCAGTAGTCCCAGCTACTTTGGACGCTGAGGCAGGAGAATTGCTTGAACCTGGGAGGTGGATGTTTCAGTGAGCTGAGATCATGCCACTGCACTCCAGCCTGGCAACAGAGTGAGACTCTGTCTCAAAAAAAAAGAAAAAACAACAACAACTTTCTTTCTTCTGCTTGGTCTGTTGTTGGAGCTCTCAGTTGTATTTTTTCTTTCATTTATTGAATTCTTTAGTTCCAGGATTTCTATTTGGTTCTCTTATGATATCTGTTCCTTGTTAAACTTCTTCTGTAGATCATGAAGTGTTTTTCTTATTTATTTGCATTATCTGTATTCTCTAGTATTCCATCAAATTTCTTTAATATAATTATTTTTAATTATTTTTAAGGCCATTCATGGATTTTCTTTTTGTTGGGACCAGTTACTGGAGAATTGTGTTTCTTTGGAAACATGTCATGTTTCCTTGCTTTATCATGTTTCTTGTTCCTTACATTGATATCTGCATATCTGGTGTAACTGTTGCTTCTCCTAATGTTATGTATTGGCTTTCACAGGAAAAGACATTTTCCTATAGATGTATCTATAGTGGCTGGGTAGGGTACTTTGGCTTTGATTCTGGATGAGTGCAGCAGTGTAGTCTCTGTATGATTTCTTTAGCTGTAATCAGTGTCAGTGGTGTCTGTGACTTAGTGGCTTAGACTTTAGTTGTTAGTGGAGGCTGTGGCAAGGCTCCACTGGGGACAAGGACATCAGGCATGATTTTTCTCAGGTCCCTGGGAGATGTTCCAGGCATGGTGATTAAGGGTCTAGGCAGGCAGGTCCTTTTGGCCTCCGGGTGACTTGCTTGGGTGGCAATGGTGGCTGGACTGAGTGGGTGAACGGGTGGGTTCTTGGGCCCCTGTTGACATCAGTGGTGGCAATAGTAATGGCGGTCCAATCCTCAGGCCCCTGAGTGGCATGTAGGGGGTGCTAGCAGTGGCGATGGTTGGCTTGGTGGTTCAGTTCTCAGGCCCCCTGATAGTGCACACAGGTACTTGTGGCAGTGGAAATGGGTGGGGCTGGCCTTTCCTCAGATCCCTGGATGGCACACATGTTCAACAATGGCAGTGGTGGGTGGGGTGGACCTGTCATTAGGCCCCCTGGTGGAATGCACAGGCCAGCCAGAGCAGGTTGAGTGGATCAATCCTTGGGACCCCAGACCATGCATGTGGGCACCAGTGGCACTGAGTGACACAGGCTTGTTCTTAGGCCCAGTGCCTGAGCAGGCCAGTCCCAGGCCCTCTGAAGGTACATACAGGAGGCTGGAGGAAGTGAGGTTGTTGTCAGCGGTAATCTCCTTAGGCAGTTAGTTCTTAGGCTGCAAGCAGAGTAAGCTTTGGCTTCTTTTGTCCTGGGGGCAGCTTTCCTAGTGTGCTGCACTGCCTGTTCCCCAGGGTATAGGACACTGCCTTGGTTAGAGTCCTTGAGACGCAGCCACATTGCTGGGTGCATCTGGTGGTGCAATGCTACAGTGCTCTGAATGGATGTTGGGGGATGGAAGTGGAGCTTCAGGAATGTGGAGATTCAGGGGCTGTTGGGCTCCAGAGGCGGATATAGCTGGTGGGGACTGGGCTCTCAAAAGGGCCCTGTGCTGCAGCTGCTTGGGTCTCAGGGGGTGGGTGGGACTCAGCACAAACCCCTTCTCTGGAATAATGTCACTATGTAGACTCCAGACATCTCCTGTACTAGTATCAGAGTCCATAAGGGCAAAGAAACTCTCTTGTGGCTAGGATTGCAGGGGTCCATAGTGAGAATATGAACAACTGGGGATATCTTAGTTGTCTTTTCCCTACAATAGAGAGTTTCTCCTAGCTTTGAACCAATCCCAGCCAGGCTGGCTGTTTCGCTTTCCTCTCTTTCTATGCCTCAGTTGTTCCCTGTCACTTTCCTGCTGAATTCCAGTGTTCTCTCTTAGAAGCTCTATTTGATGTATGGTTATCTACTTACCATTTTGGTCCTTCTTTGTGGTTAATCAGTCATATGGAATTCCACCCTCTGCCCTTCATTTTAAAGTTTGTTACTATGTATATAAACATTAAAAATTGCAATTTTTCTTTTTCAAATTCAATTTTTAGTTTTTTAGTGACCATTTTTATCTTTTCTTTTCCTTTTTGGGACAGAGTCTCCCCCTGCTGCCCAGGCTGGGGTGCAGTGGCACGATCTCGGCTCACTGCCAGCTCCACCTCTCGCATTCATGCCGTTCTCCTGCCTCAGCCTCCCGAGTAGCTGGGACTACAGGCACCTGCCACCACGCCTGGCTAATTTTTTTGTATTTTTAGTAGAGACGGGGTTTCACCATGTTAGCCAGGATGGTCTCAATCTCCTGACCTTGTAATCCACCTGCCTTGTCCTCCCAAAGTGCTGGGATTACAGGCGTGAGCTACCACGCCCGGCCGACCATCTTTATCTTTAATATTTTTTTGCCTTTATGTTTATTTTGTCCGGTTTTAATATAGGTATTCCAGCATTCTTCAGTTTAGTATTTATCTGATATATCTTTTTCACTCTTTCCACATTTTCTTTCATTTCTTTATGATAATGGGACTCTTACAAACAAAACTTAACAGGTTTTTAAAAATATTGAATTTAATATTACAAAATTTATTTTAAATGAAGAATTATTTTAAATGTATAATGATCACTAATATATGTTATTGGTTCTATTATTTTATTATGTGTTTCCTATTTGCCTAAGCTTTTCTGTTTCTCCTTAACTCTTTTCTTACTAGTTTATTGTTGTTTTTTCATTTTAATTATGAGTTTTTTTAACCCATACAGAAATTTTATATTTGTTTGGTTAAATTTATTGATTTTGGGAATTGCATTTGGATTTTGAATTTATAGTTGCCATTTTTCATTCTCATGACTAGTGTATTTCAACATTTCTGAGAAATTCTTACCCTTTATCTATTCTAATTTTGCTTCATCTCAATTTCCTTTATTATTTCTTTTGGAGCCCTGACTAGATGTGTTATCTTAACCTATTTTTAATTTCATAGGTTTTTTATTTTTTCTGGGCTACATTTTGGACAATTTGTTTGAATCTGTTTACTAATTTCTATCCTAGATTTTTATTTGTGTCTGAAAGTCATCTTGGCATTTAAATCCAATTCTTTAAATTTTATTCTCTACCAGAGATTTGACAGACAATAGAGGTGCTGTAAATTCAGACTGTAAATCTCTATGAGGGCAATTTTGTGGTTATGAATTCTCCCTTTTCTCTCCATCCCCACCTCATCTTCCTCTATGACAAGGCTTGAGACAGGCAAATTTCCTTGCTATCTCCTCCTAGGTAACAGGTTTTGCTTCTTCTTCATCTTTATACTGCTGGCAGAAAATCCTATTAGATTTCCCACTTTTCTGAGTAAGTGCTAAGCATTATCACCTGTTTCCTGGATATTGTGCAGTCACTGGAGGAAACTCAGGTGTTCAGGGTTGGGCAGAAACCCTCAGAGGTGACTTTGGCACTGGCTTATCTCCTGAGTTTTCTGTGCAGCAATGGGGAGGTCCCACAAATCCTTTTGTTTGTTTTTAACTCAGTGATACACTTAAAATTTAAACTATTCATATGTACTTATTCAGCTTTTTGGTTGATTTTATCTAGAGAGTAGTTTAAGGTTTCTGGTGGTGTTAGAAAAGAAAGTTTTGACCTAATTTCTTACATCTGTAATTTTACTTCCTCTGCAAAGTCATTATTCCTTAGTGAGTTGTATGTTTTTAGTGGGTGGCTCTGTTGTCAACTGATATTACCATATCCTTTTGGCTATGAGTCAGCTAGCCGGGGATTAAAAGAGAATTATTTTTCCATCTGCTTGTCATCTAGGTTTTAAAGTAGATAATTTCATCTCCTGACAAAAAAAATCTGTTTCTGTATTTTATAAGCAGAGTGTCAACCATGTTGACATTCTGTTTCCTTTTTTGTTTATATTTATCATTTGTTTATATTTATAACATTATATTTTATCATTTTATGTTTCATAACTATTTCTATTTATAGTTTGTTTTAATTATTGTAAATATTTTGACAGGGAAGGTTGTCACATCTCCTTCAATATCAGATCTGGCTTCCTGTCTACTGGTGTTTTTCTGATTGTCATTGTGTGAGTACCAAGAATTGTTTTGGGGTCTTTGACACAACACAAAAATTTAGCAAATATATAGTCACCAGCCTATAGTGCTTCACCAAATCTGAATGTTGCCTTCAACAGAAGACTGTCTGTTTCTTGTTTAGGTTGATATAACTCTCTTTGCTGGTGCTGAATGTTGTCAACCTTGGGCAATCCAGTTGATTTAACCTTGCTTCTTCATGCAAATTTCACTTTTGCATGAGTTTCTTTACCTAATTAAGTTAGAATTTTTGCCTTGATATTCTATCTTCTGAATAATTTTTTCCAAATTTGGGGGACCAAGTTTCAGAGATGAGAGAGCACTGGATCTGGCCACTGTGTGAAAGAGAGATTCTGTCTGAAACCATCCCCATCCACACAGAAGCACAGATCAGATTTACTTTGATCAATTTCTGAGATTTTGCTACTCAGTTTTTGTAGCCATATTGGTTATTATCATGGATATGTGGTAAAATTATGGAGGACGACAACAGTATTTTGTTTTGTTTTTCATTCCATTCCTTTTCTTTCCTTTTGCCTAGTTATCTTAAACCCAAAAGACCTAGCACTTAGAAGGTCTTCAATTAAGTTTGGATTCAAGCCCAATCTCCAGTGTTGCTTCCTCTGGTTATACTGTCTGTGGGATAATTTATCCTAAATACTATTGTCCAGAGTATATACAAGTTACCTATAGTCAGCGCTTTAGGGAGAGCTTTTAGTAGATGAATTCCTTATTCAAAATGAATGCTCTAGGCTTAGTTAACTAATAATGTATCATTATTAGTGAAATTGAAATGAGTGATATTTAGGTTATGATTGCTTGGAATGGTGATTCAGGACCCAATACTTTGGCCCGAATAAATACACAGGAGAAGATACCCAGTAACCAGGCTGTATGTATCAATGGAGTGGAACTTCAGGTCTGCACTCTAGTGGACCTGCAGACCCCCTTGCCTCAGAGGATCAGGATCAGACTATAGATGCTGACTTTGAGTCCCCTCTGAAGTGGGCGTTCCATACATAGGGCTGCTGGCTATGTCTTAGGTCAGAGAGAGGGACTGTGCTGCTCCAGAAAGTTCACACCTACTCTTTAATAATAAATGTCTGCATCTGACAGAAGGTGGTCTGAAATTTGTTTTACTGCAATCTGTTTTACTGCAGTTGACTTCTTGGAAGTGAGGTACAGGGCTGGAGATTATAGACCCTCTCCCACCTCTGACTATTAGAGGTTTCCAGTGTAGGACTTTATGTTTTTTAAACAGCCACACTGACTGGTTTGCAATGCTTTAGTTTTATAGTTATGTGCTTTCCTGTCTGCTTTTCTAGGTATCAGAAATGCTCTAGGAGCCAGACTCTGGAGTACACTCTGCAGTTGGGGTATCAGGGTCTTGCTTTGACACAGCATATTGTAAAAAACTGAGGAGAGTCTTTTGAATTCTGTAAGTGATAATGATAATTCTTTTTTAGCAAGAAAGAATTGAAAAACACAAGAAAGCATGCATTAAACTTCCTCATTTTTCTAGGTTATATTTCTTTTGGGTGTATCTTTCCTGGATATTTTGTCCTTTTTTTTTTTTGACCTATCAGTACTATTTTCAGACCAAGAGATTATTAATATAAGTTCTTATTCACGTACAAAATGGTAACACATTTGTTTGGGGTTTTATAAAACAAAAAGCCCAGTATTTACAACTTATATGTGATTCATTGTTCTTTGGGAATTAGCTAAACATGGATAATATTACAGCCTGAGCAGCAACTGTGTGTGTTTCATCCATAAGTCACCATATAATTAATTTTTCTGTGGAGGCACCCTCTTCAATTGTCGCATATTCTTTTCCTGAGATCTTGCTGGGCTTTGTAGCACATGTGTTTAAAAACCTCTTTATTCTGAAAAAAGCCACCCATTGCGTAGGAGTGTGAATTCAAATGTTAAGGTCACCATGGAATCCCACAGTTATTCAGTTCAGTAAGATCTGTGTGACATCACACTTTTGTTTAGTATCTTAGGGAAAAAAAAAAGAGGCTAATACTTGGTGCCTCCAAGTGCTAAATGAACCTTTGTTTTCTTCTAAATTCTCTCTGCCTGACCACCAACCAAGGCAAAGGAGCATTTCCCAGCATGTTAAACTTATGCTATATAAAAACAGAGCTGATTAGTTCTTCTCTGGAGTGTAAACCACTGACTTTTCACCATGGATTGGTCTCTTTCTCGCACATTTTTCTCTCCTTCAATGCGCTTTTTCTAGAACATATTCACTCATTAACATTCTGCCCAGCACCCCCAAATTTTTGTCCTTCTTACATGCAAAATATATTTATTCCACCTCAATGGCACCAAAAGTCCTGCTTATTTCAGCATTAACTCTAAACTGTAAAGTCCAAAGGCTCATTGATATGGGTGAGACTTGAGGTACAATTCATCCTAAGGCAAAATTATTCCCCACTTCTGAACCATGAAACGAGAGAAGTTATATGCTTCCAAAATACAATGGTGGGACAGGCATAGGACAGACATTCCCATTCCAAAGAGAAAAATTAGGAAAGAAGGAAGGGGTGATAGGTCCCAAGCAAGTCTAAAACTTGGCAAGGCAAATTCCAGTAAATCTTATGATTGAAGAATAATCCTATTTGGTTAGATCCCCTACCTTCTGGACCCACTGGGGCCGTGAACCTGCCATTTGGACCCATGGGTTAGATATTGCACCCCTGAGGCTTTGCTGAACAAGTACAGGGCTCTGGCAGGGTAATATTCCCCTTAATGCTCTGAAAAAAGCCTATCTGACCTGTTGAAATGAAGGTAGTGGCCCTGATGATCTCTGAATTGCTTTCGGGATCATTTTTCCCTTTTCTTGATGAATAGGGCACATTTCTAGCCAAATAGTTCTGTTGTTCTATCTTGTCATATTTAAGAAGTCCAACAGCCTTCCTTCCTTTCATTCTTTCTTTTTCGCTTTAGTTTAAACTGGCAAGGTTTTTGCTGGTATAGCCCCATCTCTATTTTTGGTTTCTGTTGAAATGACTGGTAAAGTCCATTGGTCTCACCCCCGATTTCTTTATCATATAGTTGTTCAACTATATCTTTAATTTTTCTCTTCAGAACAAGCTTTCTGACCTTTTGCAATATGGATAGGTTAAGAAATTTTCAAACCTCCAAGTTCTGATTCCTTTCTGCTTAGCAATTCCTTTTTCAATTCATCTCTCTCTTCTTGCATTGTTCTATAAGGAGTCAGGAGGTACTAAGCTGACTCTTCAATACTTTGCTTATAAATCACCTCAGGTAAATATCTGATTTTATTGCTCACAAAGTCCACCTTCCACAAAGCATTAGAACACAGATCAACCAACTTCTTTGATACTTTATAATAAAGACAGCCTTTCCTCCAGTTTCCAACATGTTCCTCATTTCTTTTTGAGACTTCACCAGAATCGCCCTTAATATTCATATTTCTAGCATGTACATCAGAAATCTTCTATCCTCTATTACCCATCTTCAAAACCACTTCCAGATGTTTAGGTAATTTTTTCTAAGCAGGACCCCATGCCTAGTACCAAAATCTGTATTAGTCAGAGTTCTCCAGAGAAACAGAACTAATAGAATTTATATCTATATCTATATATCTGTATATTTATATTTATATCTATATCTGTCTCAGATATAAAGAGATTTATTATCAGTAATTGGTTCACATAATTTTAGAGACAGAGAAGCCCCAAGATCTGTAGCCAGCAAGTTTTAAGTCCAGGAATTCCAATATACAGTTTCCGTCTAAGTCTGAAGGCCTGATAACCAGGAGAGCCAATGGTATAAATTCCAGTACAATAATCAGCAGCTTCAAGACACAAGAAGAATGAATGTTTCCATTGAAGTCTAAAGGCACCACCTACATTGAGGAGGGCAATCTGCAGTATTCAGAACAGATTCAAATGCTAATCTCATGGAGCAACACCTTCACCAACTCACCCATCATAATGAATGATCAAGTGTCTAGCACCTGTGCTCAGTCAAGTTTACACATAAGACTAACCATCACAGCAGTCTTATAAAAAAAGTCACTTGATATGTGAGTGGATTATTTATCTTCTCTCTGTTCTACTTCATTGGTTCATGTGACTAATATCTTGTATTTTTGTTTTACTATCATTACTATAAACTTCAGTGACTACCTATTCTTTATCTCAGAATAAAAGGGTGAAAGTTTACTTACAAACTCAAAAATATCAAGTAAATAAACATTCTGAAAAATTCCAGTAGCTTGCTTAATTTCAAAGTAGATTTTCCTAATAACATTGCAATATGTTTTTTTTTTTTGAGTTCTCAGAAGTGCCTATTACTACACAATAAGTTCTGCCTTATTTTACCAGATACATTCTTAGATTAATTTATTCAGGTTTCATAACTGTATAACTGTGTTCTAGCACAATGTCCACTTTGACCTCATAACTTTTGTGCTAGTTTTGTCCTAATTATTAAACACAGCCCATTATAGGCTTTTACAATTAGATCTACCTAAAGTTTTAAGGATTTCTTTAGATAGTATTTTCATATTTCTCAATGTTTAAATTCTAGTTTACCTGTAACTTGTAAGCAATCATTGTTTTCCCCCAACCATCTAGAACAGAACTATTTGTACTCAAAATACATACAAGCCAAGTTGTACAATAGCTGTGTGTGTAATAGCATGAATCCCTTTGTCTTCTAACTATCTGATATCTGATAATTCATGGTCACAGGAATACTAAAATAGAAAAGGTAGAATGATCATGGGAGTGAAGAAAAGAGGGTAAAAGGCACTCCTCTGAAATAAATGTCTGATTCTAAGAAATAGGGTACAAATTTGTAGCATAGATATTCAAGCTTTTTTTTGTTTGTTTTTTGCAATTCCTTAAAGTATAAAATCTTTCCATGTCATACATTGCACTAGTAAAGTAGAAACAAAACATCAGGTGGAACCAGTGAAATGCTGGTTTCACTATAAAAGCAAAATATCTTTTCAAAAAATATATATTTTATAATTATAGCTATATTTAAAGTTATCAAATGTATGCACAACTAAACCTGTGTGTTAAGTGGACCCTAATCACAACACTGATTATTCAAACCTCTGTGTCTTTGTTCATGTTCTCTGTTGAAAGTTTGAAGACAAAATTAGAAACTTAACTGAGCATGGCAGAAACAGCACAGGTTTGGGAAGTTGTCCAGACTAGAGTTCAAGTCCTTGCCCTGATATTTACTAGATTTGGTAACAGCAACAAGTTACCTAATCTCTTTAAGCCTTCATTTCCTTACCTGCTTGAAATCTTGTAACAAATAAATGATTTTCTATAAGTAAATAAATCAAAGCCTTCACCAAATGGTAAGAATGAAAAAGGGATGGTATGGCTTATACAAAACCTGAACTATATTTATGCCAAAGGTGTGTCACCGGGCAGGTGCTATGATTATCCTTGTATCCACGGAGTTTGTATGGTAGTCAAGCTCCTTTAAAAGTTCATTTTCTTGGTTTTTAAGCTCATAGTAAATTAGACTTTTTAAAAAACCTGCTTTAATGATATGGAGGCAACTGCAATTTACCTAGAATTCTAGTCTGTTGCTAAATGTCCCTTCTTCAATATGAAGTGGGGTATATCTTAATTATATCCTAGTCTTTCAAGTGCTTGTCCGGAGGAGAAAATTTGAAGATCATTTGGACCTGGATGTATTGCAGAGCTGAAAAGTTTGGAGCCAACTCTGAAGAATTCACTGTGTTCACTATGGGGGTGAGGTCTTGGGACTGTCTCTTTGTGGCCCAAACAGATTTTGAGCTCAAAGGCTTTCAGGGCATTTGCCTGATGACATGCTTTAATTACTTTTTTTTTTTTTTTTTTTTTTTTTAAGTGGGGAGTGGAGTTTTAGAAAGAGGCAATCATACCTGAAGGAATTCTCTATTGTGTTCCAAATAAATCATGGGAGATTTCTAAGTTTTGAATGTAAGTCAAAAGCACTAAAATATAAAATAATAATACCAAATAAAACTGTAGCTTGCACAATCTATCAGTTGTTTTCTGCTCATGGCAGAACCTAGCTAGGAGAATTTCATTAGGGTATGTTTTATAAGTGGTGCTTCTATTTTTATTTAACATAGTTTCATGAATAAGTGTATGGAGACAAAAGAGATGAATTTACATATTCAGTTGATTTTCAAGGAAAACAAAAATAATTATTCCTTTTAAATTTTCTTTATCAACTAAAGTTGCATGAAAATATCAGTGATTCCAAGTGATAGCAATTTAAGATTCTTGAAAATAAGCTATGGGATACACACAAACTTCTGGTATATATCTGTTATATAGCAAATAATTTTCAAAATAGAGTTGGATTCTTGAAATTTTTTCATTTCACTTTGAAAAAAGATATGATAAGAAATCATTTATTCATTTAGAGAACTCTGGGTTGTTTTTCTGGTGATGCTGATAGATTTCTGCTGATCCATGCACACCCTTTTTGGTAGAAAACAAAGTATGTATATCCGTATCTAAAAATATAATCAAATCTTTATTCATCCTTTATCTTCTCAGAGCACAGTGTTTCAATATCTTCCAAGGAAATTACAAGAAGAATAAGGAATAATGTAAATGGTTGGCCATTCGATGCTTCTCTAGATACCAATAGTTTCATTATACTAGCTTAAGCACTTTAAAAAGAGAAAATCAAAGTAAAGTCTTATTTTCCACTCGCTGCTTTTTTGGGGAGACAATTGTCATTTCTTAAGTATTTTTGCATTTCATGCTGAAAAGGAGATCTGATAAATCACTTATTCACTTAGAGAAGGGCATGTCCTCTGGGTGGTTTTTCCAGTCATGCCCATAGATTTCTACTGATCCATGCACCCTTTTGCCCTGTTCCCATTATGAAACAATGGCTTTTATTTGTTATGTGACTGACCAGGGATGGGGTACATTCTGCAACTACAGAACAAAATGAAGTCATTGGCCTAAACATGGACTAAACCTTTAACCCTGACCTCATTAGTAGTTTGACTAATGTAGGAAACTACCAGAAGCTTACGCTTAGAATTCTCCCAAATCACATGATATGGCAGATAACATGATTTAAACATCATCATGATTAAAATGACTGTTTGTGAAATAAAACATTGGAAAACAGTCTATTATTAATTCAGTATTGATGACTTTCTACCTTTTGAAGTCCATAAATTATTTAATTAACTATTCTATTAACAACAGCAGCAGCAATAACTATAGCTAACATTTATTGAGGGTTTTTATTTGCAAGTTTTATTGGCTAAATTATGTCTCTTCTGCCAATTAATATATTGAAGTCTAAACCCCAGTAACTCAGAATGTGACTATAATTGGAGATAGAGCCCTTAAAGAGGCAAAGTTAAATGAAATCATTAGGGTGGGCTCTAATTAAATATGACTGATATCCTTATCAGAAGAGGAGGTTAAGACACAGATACACATGCACACAAGGAAGACGATGTGAGGACACCAGGAGAAGATGGCCATCTATAAGCCAGGGAGAGAAACCTCAGAAGGAACCAGAACTGTTAACACCCTGATCTCGGATTCTAGCTTCCAGAACTGAAAACATAAATTTCTGTTTTTTAAGCCACCCAGTCTGTGATATTTTATTATGGCAGCTCTAGCAAACTAATCCAGCCAGGCATGTGCTAATCGTCTTACATTCATTGTCTTCCTTGCTTTTCATAATAACCTATGGAATGCATACTATTATGATCTCGCCTTTGTAAATGAGGAATCATAGGTGTAGACAATTTTTAAGGGCTAGTGAATGAGAAGGCCAGAGTGAGAACCACTGCAGAGAGAAGTCAGCATCCACAGACTTAGCCATGCTGACATACCGCCCCACTGCTGCCTTCTCTTGTGTGCTAAAAGAATGACCCCACACCGTTAGGGAGGGACAGTTACTGTTCTAGTTCTGTTGTTCTCATTTTGCAGATGAGGAATTTGAGACTCAGAGGTGTCTAGTTTAAAATCACTCTGCTTTCAAGTAGCTGAGCCAGAATCCCAAGTGTTTGACCCCACAGTCATGAATGTTAACCATCCAACTGTCCTGCTTTTGCCTCTTTTCATATGGAGGAAAGGAACCATCTCTTAATTTAGTTTTGGAGTTTTTGATTCTCAAATCATGCTTGAATAAAATTGAAACTTTGTTCTGCCTATTTTAATGCAGAATTTGAAATTTTGAAAAGTGTATTCATTATTACTTAGAACTATGGGGAAGTAAAAAAACTCAAAGGAAATCACAAACAGCAAAGTCACTTCCTTTTGATAAAAGTAAGAGTTTGTGGCATTGACCAGTAATTTTATATTTTACTAATACAAAAGGATAAAACAAGTTTATGGTAGAACATAATGATTTTACTTGAGCTATTTGGTTAATTTGTCTACTGCCTGTTTAGGCTCCTATTTCTTATGTCCACATAAAGGCAATAACATTTTCTTTTAACTTACTCAATAGATCCTTTATGAAAATGACTGAATAAAGTAGGATTAGGAAAGCAATCAGAAAGCAATTTTAATGTAGCTGAAGAAACATGAAATGGGGAATAATACTCAAATAACCTAAAAGCAATTCTATTAGATCATTAGGTGGCCCATTTAAACTCAGCACATTTATGCAGCATATCCTTAAAAGTATCATCTTTTTAACCATTTGGCCATAATGTAAAGCCCATTATCATAAACCACAACAATTCATGAAAATTCCAAAGCAGATGTAGAAAGATAAATATGGATGGAAATATTTCCAGTTATCTGAAATTCGCTTTTCTAGTAAAATCCATTTGTCAGAACGTATCTGCAAAGCACAAGGCTTGTGAATACCGGCCTTATTCTTCAAAAAGAAATTTCACAGTGTTTACATGTTAAAAGTTTTGTGCTCATAGAACACGTACATCAAGTCCTTGGCCAGAGCACGTTTCCTCCTAGCACATCTAACACAATTGTTTATTGCTTTCTTCAACTCACTACTCATTAAAAGCAACAAATTAATAGAGAAGGCTTGGGCTATAACTAAAAGCAAATATATTGCTAGCAACAAACAGAACTTCAACATAGGAGGAGATAGAAGTAAATCTTAAAGTATAATTTAATGCCAAACATTAGGGACGTAGCAGTCTAGAAAGCAGTGGCTTTTGTAGACAAACAGTTCCATATATAAAATCTCCATCTACCACCCATTTATTAGCTATGTAATCCTTGGCAAGTTATTTAAAATCTCAGAGTGTCTGTTTTATCGTTTGTAAAATGAAAATCATACAATATAACTGGCCAAGTCATTGTAGGAATTAAATGAAATTATTATGCAAATGGCCTGGTCAATTTTTGTTTCATTCTCAGGCCCCAACCTCCATGAACACTCGTAACTAATTGGACCCTCAATTACTTTGGGCTCATAATAATAATTGATTCTGGATCATTATGAAAAATATTTAAGCTATGTCCAACATACTCTACTTAAGAATTTATGCCAATATACAATTCACGTTAGAAAAACATCAGAATGATTATTAAGTCATCCCTGAATGGGTTACCCAGTTCATTTTTATTTTTATTTTTTTGCTCTTGGCCCCACCATCTGGGGACCTGTGCTCCACAGTGACCTCCTTCCAGGACCTATTACCGAGCAGCCCATGTCTTAAATGTTGCCAAACCACCCTCACTAGGGAAATGAAAGCTCTGGAAAGTCTACACCAGCAATTAGGTGCTCTAGCCGTGAAGTGACACATCACTTCCACTCATGAATACACCATTGTCACATGGCCTCATCCAACCACAGGGGTCAGGAGGTCCAATCCTACCATAAGCCTAATATGTGGAAGACTGGAACTATTTGGGGAACAGCCCTAGTGACTTACCTCAAAAGAGACTGATGTATAAACCAAGTAGCCAATGTACTTATTTATAAGGAGAAAATTCAGGATGGATCAGACTGGACACTAACATTCACTTATTAAAAAATTGTTTCCTTTACCATCTAATTAGTTTAAGTGGGGAATATTTATTACTAGGGATTGCTGGAGTTGGCTTTTCAGGGAACACTCTTACTGGTATCAGAGCTCAGAAGTTGGAAAGTTGCTTGGTAGGTGCAGGATCAGATCACAGGGAATTGGATAGTTTAGGGGAATGGTTCATCCATATTTTGGTAAAGGTTAGTGAACTTTGCCCCACAACAGATAACAATTTGGAGTGTAATTCCAGATTCAAAGTCTCTCTTTTGGAGTTGTGGTGAATAATTATCGGCAAATTTTATATCCCATCTTCTGTTTTACCCTCTTCAGCCTGCCTCATCTTTGTTAGACAGGTTTCCTTCAAGTTCATTTAATGCCTTTAATGAGGCCCAATTCAAGCTCTGATATTTCTGCTTTCATGTTTTTGTTTGTTGGTTGTTTTGGACAAGGTATATTTTTTTTGAAAAGTGGCTTCTGTATACATCTGATCTAATTCTTCATAGTTTGGCTTCATTGGCATTTTTCAAGAGTTGGGAGGTGCCCCATTTGAGAGAAATAGAAATATTAAATAGGTTTTTATATCACAGCAAATATATCACACCAAAATAGGTTTTTTTTTTTTTTCTCCGGCATGGATTTGCTTTCTAGATCATGGGTATTGGAAGTAATTGGTTGAAGACAATTCTTTGGTCTGATTTGGGTTCTGATCCAGGATTAGCAGGGAAGAATGATAAGGTTTAGCAGTAAGGCCAGGGGTTCAGGAGGTGATGATGACTGCCCATGAGCCTCATCTTTGCTATGTCAGGGCTAAAGCAATAATGGGGACACAATAGTAGTGTGCAGATCATGTTTGCAGATAATGGTGGTATTCTGGTGATAAAGTCTCTGCTTTAATGGAAAGGATTAATATTAATCACCAAAATTGTCAGCCCAGGAGTGGGAGAAGTAGTATTCTTTTAGAGCAGAAGGGGCCTTATTGGCATCACTAGTATTATTCTAAACATTTTTATTTTCATGACTGTGATCAATAAAGGCCAAAAGATGCTGATTAAATGCATTTTCTTTAGAAAAACAAATCATATTTAACATACCACGTTTAACCATATGCTTGTCGAAAAATGTAGAAAGTATATTCTTTCTTTTATAACTCCAAGACAAAATCAGAGCCAAAAAGGAACTGGAGTCCTTACAAGGTCAATACAAGTTGGTATGTTTCCAAAAAAGTTTTCAACATTAGTGTACAAGAAAAAAATTTGAACGTTTCATTGAGCAAAAATATACAAAGTGCTCTCTTGGGATCTGATTGTCCTTGACAAGTAAAAAGAATTCCAGGGTAGGATGATCTGCACTCATCTTTTCTGCTAACACAAGGTCTTAAGATTTGGGATATAACAGAGAAACATCAGTAGAAATGCATTACTTTTGGCCAGCCAGCTGGTACACCTTATGTAGGGCAAGCCTGTACATCTGTGCTGGAAATGTCATGCAGTAGGTGCTCAGCATGCTTGGCTCACTCTCTGCTAAAATGTCATGATAGAGGATTACAATAAAAGTTATCGTGTGGAAAGAACTAAGACCATATCAATACTATTTCATATATTTCTGAAAAAGTTATCAATAGTACAAGAAGAAAGCTTCAACACTTCACTGTACAAAAATATACATACTGTTAGGGATTCAATCGTCTTTGGCTAGGGAAAAAAAAATCTGGAGAAGAATTATTTATTTGCTCTGGGAGTCCCTGGTTTCCAACATTTCTAGAGTTGACGTAATGTGAGTCTGAGTGGATGCATTTCACGTCCATTACCCTGCCATGCCCTATGCTCTGGTAAATTGAGTAGGAAAACCAACCTCTCAGATCTTTTTTGCAATTGCTTATCTCCATGGGTTTATAGCAAATCGCATTCTCAGTAGTTAGCATTTGTGAATTGGCCTCCTTTGATTTCTGATGAGGCTGTCTGAGAAGAAGCCTAAAATTTTAGCTAAATGACAAAAGTCTCAGGGTATATTATCTTCCCAGCTCTCTTCATTCATAATGCCTGCATCCATTGTGCTCTTGAGTCTGGAATTATCCTGGGGTGTAGTGATCTTCACTGAATCCTACTCCAATGTTGATACTTCCCAAATATAGATTTGGGAATATTCATGCAACTAAAATTTGCTAAACATCTACTTTGTGTTAGGCTCTGCCTGGAGTGTAATACAGAAATTAAAAGAAAGAGACACAGCAGATAACAGTTTGTTGGAAATGGGGAAGAAGGGGCAGCCATATAGGAAAACAATCATAATAAAACAATTTATTTAGCTACGTTCAGATTTCTGAGGAAACCTGGAAATAAAGGGATGTTGCACAATCCTTCAATGAAGAGATCATGGGATTGCTGGATGTTGAAGATGGACAGGAGTTTGTTAGCCAGAAAAGGTAAGAAGAATATTCCAGCATTTGCAAAGATGCGAATTATATCAAAGAGCCTGGAAGGCTCAGGGAAGGCAGAGTAGCTTGGGGAGGCAACTGCACATCGGAAGCAAGACTTGTGGGTTGGAAATGGGGGTAGTTGAGGAGGAACAAAGGCAGAATAGGGAGATTCAAATCATGTCATGAAGGCTCTGAATTCTGTGGTGAAGGTTTGGCACTTTATTGGCAGCGAGGGGGCCACTGAAGTCCTGAAGCAGATAAACGCTATGATCTGCCCTCTTCTTCAGAAACAATCCTTAGATGTATATGGAGGGTGGACTTAAGATGGGGAGAAACCTGAGCAAGGAGATGGGTTAGGAGGATATTTGAGTATCTTGTGAAAGTCGATGGGATTCTGGATTGTCTGCTTGAATATTGAATTGGCAGGGCCTGGTGAATAAGGAAGAGGAAGATCCATTCTTACATTCATTCAATAATTATTTGTAAAGCTCCTCTTCTGTGCCAGGCACTGTTTTGGATGCTGATGCTGGAAATATTGAGGCAAAAAGATAAAGTCCTTTCTCTTAACAAAGCTTGCATTCTACTGAGGAAAGGAAGAGAGAGAGAGAGAGAGAGAAAGAAAGAAAGAAAAAAGAAGAAAGGAAGAAAGAAAAGGAAGGAAGGAAAATAAGGAAAGAAAAAGAAAGAAGAGAAAGGAAAGAGGAAGGAAGGAAGGAAAAGAAAGGAAAGAAAGAAAGAAAAAAGAAAGAGAAAGAAGGAAAAGAAAAAAAAGAAAGAAAGGAAGTACACTATGTGCATAGTCATATCATGTTATGTGATGGTAAGTGCTATGAAGAAAAATACAGCATGTGACTTCCAAGCTTAAAGCTTCTGCTTTTGGCCCATGAAACACTGCCTGAGAGGGCCATGGTAGAAAACCACTCTAGCAAGATAAGAGGATAAGAGGAAGAGGAGATATTGGACACCCTAGCCACTAGCCGGCATTCTCTGCCAAAGTAGAGAACATTCTAGCTGAATCTTCTTTCTCAGAAGAAATTAGCAGAAGAACTGCCCAACCAACCCACAGAGCCATAAGAAATCATAGATCTTTGTTTCTTTCAGCCACTACATTTTGAGGAGTATTATTAGTCAGGAATAGGTCTTAGAAAGAATGAAGAATAAGAACTGTCATTCAAGAATGATTTCTGATCTCCGGTGTAAGTGATGCCTTTACATAAAAGATGCAGAACATAAGGAAGAGGAAATTCAGAATGCCCCAAGCTGGATGGGCTTGGGACACTCCAGACTGGGGCAAAGTTTAATTCTTTGAGATTAACCATGAAAGGCCAGGTTTAAGAGCTTTTTTTTTCCTATAAAAACTTGAAAAAGTATAGGCATCAGTGAGAATAGCTCATTAATTGAATGCATTTTTACTAAATTGCTGTTAATAAAAATGCATTCAAATTAACCACTAATTACTTTATATGTAATTAACGATTAATAATATTAATAAATGATTATTAATAAATATTAAGTAATAATAAATATTTAATAGTACTTAATATTTAATAATATTGTTAGTTGATTACATATAAATATTAAATATACTAAATAATTATTTAATGTTGATTACTAGCAACAATATGTAGCTATAATTGTTTATTTTTTGTTTTGTGTTGTTTTGTTTGTTCTGTAGGGAAGGAGCAGGGGGAGTGACAGGAGCAAGAGGGTCCCAGAAACCACTGGGAATGGATAGAAAGGCTGATACCAATGGAGAAGGGATAGAAACAGTGTAGCCAGAGGAGGCTGGGGAAACAACAGACTTTGCCTTTGTTAACTTTTAGGAATTTGTATAAAAGGCAGCACACTGCACAGCAACGTCCTATCTTCCAGTTGGCTCCGCATGATTGATAAGTAATTTTAAAAAATATATCATATTTTTATTAAGTAGTCTTTATTCTTAGCGACTATTACTCCTACAGTTACTGACATTCTTTAAGGTGAGAAGAACCTGTGTGGTTTTCTGGGCTACAATTATCACAGACTGGGTCATAAACAAATGAAAACAAAAAAGTTTTGCTAAATATTCTAAATTTTTGTTTCTTTTTCTAGAAATTTTAAGCTAGTAGTTTAATATTACTTGTAACATGGTTGTAGTCATTCATGTTAGATACCAATAAGGATATTTCATTCTTTTTGGCAAAAAATTACAGAAATGGCTTATGAAAGATTAATAGATCATCCTAATGAGCTCCTATTAGCCTGGATGTTGCTGCCCCATGCTCTTGATACCCATGTTCCACCAATCTCTGTGAGATTCAGTGAAAAGAGAAGGTCACTTATACATGATGCACTTCTATTCTGAATAGAAGATTTTAGTTTCAAGAAGGGAAAAAGTAAACTTGGCTTATTCATTTATTCTGTGCAAAATATACCTTACTAGGTCTGGATATTGACTTTCATGTTCAAAGTGTGCAGGTCACTACTTTAGTTTGACCATATGTCCTAAGAAACAAAATTCATGATGAATTCAAAGCTTTCATGCAGCCTCCTTCCTTCAAGCTAAGTTTATGTGGAAAGTCCTCCAAGTCCTCCAAAGACAGAATAATGATTTTTTAAAAAGGAAGGAAATAATAAAATAATTAAATGAAATCTACTGATTTGATTTTCAAATAGGAGAGAGGAAATGATATGACTTCAATTTTCTTTTAATTGCCTTTAACATATAGCTTTAAATAAGGGACCACTCAGTTGGGAAACTATCAGTCTTTTTAGGAGAGTGACTTTCACACGTGTTGAATAAATACAGGAATGTGTACTTCCATCTTTCTCCCAAAAGGCAAATAAAATATCTTGGCGTAAAGAAGAAGCTGCAGGCTGGGCACAGTGGCTCATGTCTGTAATCCCAGCACTTTGGGAGGCCGAGGCGGGCGGATCAAGAGGTCAAGAGATCGAGACCATCCTGGCCAACATGGTGAAACCCCATCTCTACTAAACATATAAAAATTAGCTGGGTGTGGTGGCACACACTGTAGTCCCAGCTACTCGGGAGGCTGAGGCAGGAGAATCACTTGAACTCGGGAGGCAGAGGTTGCAGTAAGCCAAGATTGCGCCACTGTGCTCCAGCCTGGCAACAGATCAAACTCCATCTCAAAAAAAAAAAAAAAAGAAGAAGCTGCATTTCTTGCTGCAAATGGACATAGGAGTGTCCTCATTAGAACTTTATCAGAATTGGTCTTAGTTTGCTCATATACATGTAAGTCTTCCTTACTAAATCATAAGCCCTTGAAAGCAGGGAGTACATTTTCCTCATCTTTATTTGCTTAACATTACCCAGTGCAGGGCCATATACATGGAACAAGATCAGTAAATGCCAGCTGAAGTAGCATATTTTGCTTCTCTGGCCTTAGCTCATAGCACTTGTAATAGTTGCTAGTATTGTATTAAATATGAGGATTGCTGCTTAGTGTCTAGCCCCCAATGGACTGAGAGCTTTGTTAGGGCACAGATAGTACTTGTCTTGTTCACTGCTTTATTCCCAGGAACAAGCACAGTGCTGGAGTGTGGTGTTTGCCCAGGAACTATTTCCAGCACAAATGAATGCACAAACGGATAAAGAAACACAGCTTCAGTATACCATCCATCTCTTGGAACAGGAAGGTCACAGAGATGCTTCTCTCTGCATGAATAGTAAATCTCATCCTACAATCTTTCTTTCGCAGTGATAATATTGACTATCATATTATTCTGTTTGTAATCTGACATCTGAGTCTTAGAAAAGTTTCTGGGTCCTACTGCCCCTGGACCTTTCAAGAATGTGAAGTAGGTTGCCTAATGAAATACAGGACACTCAGTTAAAAACTCAGATAAACAATGAGTAATGTACACTATAAAGTAGAATTATGTTATATTTAAATAAAAAGTTATTCTTTATCTGACATTCACATTTCAGTGAGCATCCTGCATTTTTATTTGTGAAAGCTGGCAACCTTGAAGTAATTTTCTGTGCAAGACTAAGAAGACTGTCTGCCCAGCAAAGTTATTTCCTAGTTTAGGATCCTGTCCTAGATTTCCTGTCCACATGGGATATGTTCGATGCAAAATCTGGACCAAGAGAATTTGACCTTTCCAGAGCTTCCAAGTCCCCTTCCTATAGGCTATTCTTCTTGTAGGAACCATGCAGAGACCTCACGTACCTCATGTTTCCTTCGTGGCTATATGTGGTCTCAGAAAAATTATATCATAAAGTCATTCCTATTGAGATATAAATGGCTGATAAGATTCATATATTACTTCTATCAGGTAAATTTATGCTGTAAATGGAAACCGTCAAAATAAATAATAGATAATTAATACTAACTGTGGAATTCGAGAATTTCTCTGAGTTGTTATTGGAGGTGGTTTTAGGTAAAAATTGCTGTTGTGTTGTTCTCTTGAAATTAAGCATTTGGTGTTTGACTACTATATCCTTTCATTTGTGTACATGTAAATCTGGGGTTTGGGCCCCAGAATCTTGGAGGATAGTTAAGAGAAAGGGTTACCGTAAGTGCTCAAGGCTTTTTATCCCATGACCAGAGAGGAAAAACAGAACTCTGTCTAGCTTGATATTAAAAACAATTATGGAGTATCTTTACTTTGCTACTGTTCTTTTTGCTAAGTATTCTCATATGTCATTCTTGGAAAAATTCTGTGAGGTGGATCATATTATGTCCAGATTTTAGATGAAGCAATTGAAGATGAGAGAAGTTAAGTGACTTGCCCCAAGCCAGAAAGATTGTAAATGGCAGAGCTGTGATTCAAACCAGGGTTTTTTTGACTTTGAGGTGATCTTTTTATCACACTATGGTGGCCACTTATCCCACAGCCTACTTCTTGGGAATCCCCAGGTTCTCCCTTGAAGCTATAAATGTGGGCCTAGGGTGTGGCTGTTGGGCAGTAAATACCCCATGGTTAAATGACTTTTGTTTGCAAAGTTTTGAGAAAAAACAGTAATGCCAGATTGCTTTAGTAGTCAAGGACAGGAACATGATTCAGAATCATATGCTGTTTGGAAACTAAATTTCATTGCAAGTTTTTCTTTTCAAGAAGTAAATTTCTCTTTATCCATGGGTAAAGTCATGGTGGATGAAAGGGATCCTGACATCACCACTGAGATTCATTTCCAAGGTTGTGTTAAGGGGCACTTAAAGGGGAAGTGAAGCAAACTTGTGATGTAAGGGAACTTCGTCTTTGATGCCCTCTCACTTACCCTTTAAAGCAACCTCTTTCTCCTTCCTCATCTTAGCACTGTCAGGCCTGGTTAACAATCTAGAAGGAATCTGAAAAAATATTCTACTCTTGGGCTAACTTATGAGTACTCAGAATGGCACCTATCCCTGGGATGTGATAATTTTAATAGAGAATATATTAAAAAGGAATAAAGAGTTGAATTTCTAAATGGTACCATCCTGGATATTAGGGTGGATCAATGAGGAGGGTCTTTTTGGATAGGAAATGACTGCAACCACACTTACTAGGCAGTACCAGAGGAGAGCGAATGTGTAGTAGAATTAGATATTTTATATTCAGAGTTGGTTCGTATTATTTAATTAGTAAGTTAAAGTCAGTACTCCATGACTTAGAGGTTGTAGAAATATGGTTAAAATAAGCAAATTTTAAAATATGAACTTAAATGCTCTATAGGATTGATAAACATTGGAGTCAACATTTGGCCTGTTGAAAAGAAAGCAAGACATAGTAGTCCCATTTGTAAAGTAGGAATTCAGGGATTGTGGTTTGGGGTGTGTGTGTATGTGTGTGTGTGTGTGTGTGTGTGTGTGTGTGTGTGTGTTTTGAGTCAGGGTCTCGCTCTGTCACCTAGGCTGGAGTGCAGTGGCATGATCATGGCTCACTGTAGCCTCAACCTCCTGGCCTCAAGCATTCCTCCCACATCAGCCTCCTTGGTAGATGGAACCACAGGTATGCACCACCATGCCTGGCTATTTTTTTTTTAAATTTTTTTGTAGAGATGGGGGTCACTCTATGTTGCTCATGCTGATCTTGAGCTCCTGGGCTCGGGCAATTCTCCTGCCTTTGCCTCCCAAAATGTTGGAATTACAGGTGTGAGCCACTGTGCCTGGTCAGTGTCCTTCATCTTTATGAAATAAACCACTAAGAAAAAAAAATGAATAGAATTTGCTGCAGAAATAATTAATAGGGAATTTTAATACTGGATTTATTGATGGAAAATTGTCTGGCAATACTGAGATTTGCTACTAAGGAATATCTCTTCGACTAGAATGTGCTGTGATGTAGTAGAAACAGCCAAGTTTTAGAGTCAAACAGACCTGGCTCTTTTTATGACATTGTATCAATTACTTAATATCTTTAATCCTTAACTTCCTCCTTTGTAAAATGGCAAGAATGATAGATAACTGAGTTATTCTAAGAATATTCTAATATCTAAATGAGATATTAGTTTAAAAATGCCTAGTAAATGAATACATAAGGAGGAGCAGAATTACAGGGAAGGGTATAGGGAATCAGGAGTTTGGTATTAGTCACATTAAGTTTAAGATGCTTATTAAAGTTTCCTGGGAAGTCAAGAGGTGATGAATAGATAAATTTAAGATCACTTAAAGGATGAGAGAAGTCTCTTGCGACTCAGCCTTTGGGCCCTCAGCATTTGGAAGCTGGGAAGATAAGGAGAAATCTTCAAAGGAGATCAGGAAGAAGTGGACAGCAGAGAAGAAGAATCAAGTGAAAGTTTTATGCTAGAAACCAATGGGGAAAAAGTGTTTCAAAAAGCAGGGAGAGAGCAACTATACCAAATGTTGCAAGTCAGAGGAAATGAGGACTACAAATTATTTGATTAGGCAATGTGGAAATCATTGGTGGCCTTGACAAGTTATTTCATGGAGGGGTAGAAACCAACAGGCTCCTTCTTAACCCTTGCAGGATCAAGGACAAGGTCTTGGAGGTCCTTGCATCAGATATCTAAATTTTTATAATTACGAATCAAGATAGAAAATAGCAGACATCATGTGAGCACTACACAATAAGCATAAGAAACAGGCCAAGAAAATAGCAGAAATATTGGTCCTGATGTAGTCTAGCCATGGAACCAATGCCAGCAGTCCTTGTCTCCCACCAAGCTTGACAAGAGAATAGAAAGACCAGTTCTCCTTCTCTCATCATCACACTGGGAAACATGCCGGAGGCTGGCAATCTCCTGAAGATGCTGTGTGGGTTCCTCTCCTAGAAGCACATGGATTGACGGTAGTGGGATAATACACAGGCTGCTGGGCCTTGGGGATGCCAGGTGCCTGCAGGGGTTGTTTGCGAACAGAGCTCCCTTAAGATCCATAAAATGGAGGAAGTCATGAGACTAGTGAGGGGCCACGCTGGAGTGCTGCCTCACCCTCAGAGAGAAAGGGGATCCCCAATCTCAGATAGTTTGTTGTCTGGAGTGAGCTCCCAGTCGTCTGGGGGCAACCTTGATCCTGCACTATAAGGTGTTCTGTTATTTGCAGCTGAACGAATTCTAACAGATTCACAGGCATTCAATAAATATTCATTAAATGTCTGCATGAATATGAAACATTACCATGAGGCCGGGTGCAGTGGCTCAGCATTTTGGGAGGTCAAGGCGGGCAGATCACTGGAGGCCAGGAGTTCAAGACCAGCCTGGGCAACATGGCGAAACCCCCTCTTTACTAAAAAGTACAAAAATTAGCTGGGCGTGGTGGCACACACCTATTATCCCAGCTAATTAGGAGTTCGAGGCAGGAGAATCACTTGAGCCCAGGTGGCAGAGGTTGCAGTGAGCCAAAATTGCACCACTGCACTCCTGCCTGGGTGACAGAGTGAGACTCTGTCTCAAAAAAAAAAAAAAAAAGAAAGATTGCCATGACATAATATGCAGCCGTTAATAATAGTGACTAACAATGGGAAACACATGGAATCCACTTAGGTGCCTATCAACAGTGGACTGGGTGAAGAAAATGTGGTGCATATATACCATGAAATACTATGCAGCCATAAAAAAGAATGAAATCATGCCCTTTGCAGCAACATGGATGCAGCTGGAAGCCGTTATTCCAAGTGAATTAACACGGGAACAGGAAACCAAATACTGTATGTTCTCACCTATAAGTGGAGCTAAACATTGGGTGCTCATGGACATAAAGATGGCAACAGTAGGCACCGGGGCCTACCAGAGAGGATAGGGAGGGAGGGAAGAAAGGGTTGAAAAACTAATTATTGGGTACTAGGGTTAGTACCTAGGTGACAGGATCAATTGTACTCCAAACCTCAGCGTCACACAATGTACCCAGGTAACAAACCTGCACATGAACACCTGATCTAAAAGTTGAAATTAATAATAGTAATAATAGTGAATCAGAGCTATAAAAATGATGTGGTATGAGTTAATACATGTATGCCTGTTTAAATGCATGTATGTACATACATATGTATATATGTACGTACGTACATATGTATATATGTATGTACGTATGTACATAGAGAAATATCTGAAAGATAGTTTACAAATTAAAAACTGAAATTATATCTGGGGTATATGATTTTTCAGAAGACTTTTACTTTCTCGTTTATCTTTTTTGTTTTGATTTTTCAAATGATCATACATTACTTTTATGACGAGTAAAAAAATAGAAGTTTTAAGAAAGAAAAAAATGGCATGTAGATATTTTTACATATTCTATATAATTAATTATATAAATATATAACATATATAAAATATATATTTATATAAAACAATTAATATATTGTATATAAATATTTATATAAAATAATATACATTTATATAAAATAATTAATATATTATATATAAATATATATTTATATAAAATAATTAATACATATTACATTCCACATGTGAACACTGAATTAACAGGTTTTTCTCTACATTTATTTATTTATTTATTTATTTATTTTGAGACAGAGTCTCGCTCTGTCGCTCAGGCTGGAGTGCAATGGTGTGATCTCTTCTCACTGCAACCTCCACCTCCCAGGTTCAAGTGATTCTCCTGCCTCAGCCTCCCGAGTAGCTGGGATTACAGGCACACACCACCGTGCCCAGCTAATTTTTGTATTTTTAGTAGAGACAAGGTTTCACCATGTTGGTCAGGCTGGTCTCGTACTCCTGACCTCGTGATCTGCCCGCCTCAGCCTCCCAAAGTGCTGGGATTACAGGTGTGAGCCACTGCACCTGACCTTTCTCTACATTTCCATGGGAGAATTTCAGAAGCACATATTTAAAATTTTATGTCCTTAACCAACCCTGAAGTATTGGTTTTATCAAAAGGCTGTATTTCTTAATCTTTTTTTCATTGTTGCTACCATAGATATTTTTTCTCTAATTGCCATTCCTCTTCACCCCTGCCACAAAATTTTAATATTATATCTGTTTATGTATTTTGACCCTTTTGAGGATCACAGACTATTCTAATATCTAAGATGTTTTTGTCCCCCAAGAGCTATTTTTTCCCTCTTCAGAGGTGATATTGACCCTGTTGAGAACATATAACATCAGCCATGAACATTTTAGTGTCTTGCCATTAATAAGTGTGCTCAATAAAGGTGAATGTACCTCCTTTTTATCCTCCATACCTGTATTCATCCCTGTCCTTCCATTAGAATACTTTGCTTCTAGCAAACACTTGAATGTTTATTGAATAGTAAAATATTAGTTTAGTCTTACTCTAAGAAACAGAGAGGTTCCGTTCCTCGTTACCACCAGCTCACTCCAAATTTCAACTTCTCCAGACTGCAGAAAACACTTCTCCCTTTAAGTCCCCAAATAGTTATTCTAAGGCCCCTTTCTAAATTCCTGCTCAACTTTCATGTTATTTTGCACTCTCCCTACCAGATTTTACTAAATGCTACAGGAAGGACTTGCTCCACAAATCCATGGAGGGTTGTGCTTGCGAGGGCCGTTTCCAATGATGGCTTTTGACTTTGTTGCTCTCTGCATCCTGCTACCTCCTAAGCCGCTTCTTGCTGCTGCCCCTCCTGTCCCCAGACCTTAAGGCCAATGCTCAGCTGACACTGAGTTGTAGTTTTTTTTTGTTTTTTGTTTTTTGAGATGGAGTTTTCCCTCTTGTTGTCCAGGCTGGAGTACAATGGCACGATCCGGCTCATTGCAACCTCTGCCTCCTGGGTTCAAGCGATTCTCCTGTCTCAGCGTCCTGAGTAGCTGGGATTACAGGCATGTGCCGCCATGCCTGGCTGATTTTTTGAAGTTTTCGTGGAGACAGGGTTTCTCCATGTTGGTCAGGCTGGTCTCGATCTCTCGACCTCAGGTGATCTGCCTGCCTCAGTCTCCCAGTGAGTTGTAGTTTTAACATAGCTTTCTCATGGCTGAAGCCACCTCAGGAATTAAAATGCAGATAAGGAGAACTTAACACTGTTTCAGTGGTCACTGTTGTAGGTCAGGCTTCTTCTGAGAGTGGCTGTGGCCCTCCTGAGGCCCTGCATGTTTCTGGGGGGCTGCTGCTTGTTGCTAAAGTGGAGTCCCCTTCAGATTTTCTCCTCTTTTCCCTCCTCTTTGGGTCACATCAGGGCCCCATACTTTTCTTCCTAATCCAAAGCAAGGAAGACATCAACACAGATGGTCAAACAAACAAATTAGAGTAATAAACTCTGTGATTGCTCTTGGGCCATCAGGCCTCAAATGAAGGCTGCTTTTTGTATCATGGTACTTTTGTATCCTGGTACAGATGGATTGAGGATTCAGTCTGAAACATCTGCATTAGATATTTCATTGCTACCAAGCGTTGCTGAGAACAAATCTGCCTCTGCATTTCTTCTGTCCTTTGTTCATTGAACAAATATTATGGTGTTGACTATATGCCAGATACTACCAAATCCTTGGGATGCAGTGGGAAATAACACAGACACATCCCTGTCCTCACAGAACTTACATTCTTACAATTGATTTGTTCCTTCCAGACAAATTAGAGAGTTTGTCCCAAGAACCAAGACCAGTTTTTACTCAAAAATGCAGATACTATTTACCACCCTTTTCATAACAACTTCTCAGCTCCACTGTTCAGGTCAAGACAACATCTCTGGCAATGGAAAATGGTGCCTTGCTATATCAGAAATGAAGACTGCTTGTCGGTTAAATCTTTGCATTGTTTCAATAATAACTTAATCTAAGTGAAGAGATTTTCCCAATCTAAGGTCACAACACAGACTGTATCAGGACTACTTGGAAGTTTAAACACACACATACACACACACACACACACACCCCACATTCAACAACCCCCCCACAACATGCGCATAACAGCATGCACACAAATACACACCACCTATGCACATCACACACACACAGCACCATGTACGCACACACACAACCAGGTTGTACAACCAAAGTTCACAGCAGGTGTTAGGGTGGGGGAAGTAGGGAATCTGTTCTTTACAAAAAATGATGGGAAATTTTAACCATCTACCAGATTTGAAAATTAATCCAGTAGAAAGATAGATTGGGGATCTGGAGAACTTGGGAATAGGGATGGTGACCATGCTCTTCATGATAGTCTACAGGACACAGGAACCAAGGCCCCCCTGAAATACCATCTCTCTGTACTTGTACTGCTGTCCTCACTCTGGCCTATGGTTCAGATATAATTACTATTACTTTTCCAAGTACACAACCTTTCTTTTCCAGACCATGCACACATGGGCCATGATGAAAGTATGTACTCTTCTTTCACTGAAGGGCCAGAAAAAGCTTCCATACAATGCAGCATAGGAATTCCAGAAGCTTTGATTATATATAAGTTGCATATTCATAGATTTTCTAGAATGTAACTCTTATAGACCTCTCCCTCAAATCTCTATTTTGTATTTCTCTCCCATCTTTGGGAAAGGTCAGCTATGGCCACAAAAAGAAAATACTTCCCCCCTTGATAACTTTGTTTTTGTCAAGCAAATTCCAGGTATTTAGAATTTGTCTGGATTCTGATTAGGCTTGTGTGTTAATTAGGCCCAAAGTCCAGTCCCAGAAGCAGAAGAGATGGTTGGATTCAGACTCCCATTCAATCTCCAGCAAGAGCCTAAAAAGGAAAGACGCATTGCCAAAACCTGGGCTTTATTTTTTGCCCCAAAGACGATATATTATAAAGTGTAGAACTCTTGTATACATGCCTTGAATAGAATTCCTAGCCCCCAGAATAACCCTGGCATGGCTGGGCTGTGTATCATCTGATTCCTTTCTGGGCCTGGCTTATTTCAGAAATCACCTCATTATCTGTGCATGGCTCTATCTTAACCACCCTAATGATGGCACAGTTGCACTTAAGTTACTTTTCTACTTTTCCAATTTAAAATGTTGTAATTATAAAATATTTCAGCATTCAGAAAATAATATAACAGATGCCGGTTTTCCACTACCGAGATCTAACCATTCTTTCAGTTTGCACTCTCTTTTTAATGAAAAAATTATAGGTATATAAAGAAATCTCTATCCCCAACCCTTTCTATTCCTTTTGTCCCTGGAATACCACCATCCCAAAT
Organism: Homo sapiens; assembly: GCF_000001405.40. Lineage (NCBI taxonomy): Eukaryota > Metazoa > Chordata > Mammalia > Primates > Hominidae > Homo > Homo sapiens. The sequence continues at coordinate 20,459,307 of NC_000007.14, read as the reverse complement.
GTGTTGTGCCTACATAGTTTATTTTCACTACACGTGCCATGTATCCATAAACATCACATAAATTTGTTTTGTGTTTTAAAGTTTATATAAATAATAATAAACCAAAGTTAAATTTAACTAGATCTTCATGAATTATGATGGACATATTTTTAAACATAATGTTAAATTAAAAATAAAAATATCTCCTTATTAGAAGCAGGGAAAAATGATCTTGATTTTTTGCCATCACGTAGAGTACTGAACATCCAGTTAAATGGGACTAGATTATATTAATGATGCCCATTTTAAAAAAATAGATGAAGATCCACAGAAGATCGGATTTGTTTGTGCATTTTTAAAAAATTGAATGTGGTGGGGGTGGGGGAAATCTATACTCAAGACACAATATACAAAAGAAATGCACTTTTTCCTTGCTGTCAAAGGACTGATGACATGGTTAAGGCATGATTAATGCTGTGAACAACTGGGGAAACTGCCTCATAAGTTAGCAAATATGGATTCAAATTTGGGAAATCCAATATGCACATTTGGAAAAACCCATCATCATATAGCAGAGTACAGTTGCTTCATGATCTTATTAAGTTGCAAAACACGATGGAGAATAGATTAGCACATAAAGTCACTGGGAAATTTTTATTTTATTACAGCTAGACATGTGAACATCTTGATAATATAATATGTCAACAAAATGATGTTGCAATAATGTGGAAATACCTGTGTGGGGAATAAGAAAGATATGGTCAGTGGTTTGAGTTGGTTCTATTTCCTCTTTATTGTTTTCTCTGATTTTAAGATTTGTGTGTATTTCTTATACAAAGTATAGAAGTTACAGAAAATCATGATGAAGAGAATCAGTTGCTCACAATTCCTTATTCTAAAATAACCATTAACATTTTTTAAATGGACATATTATAAACATTCTCCTATATAATTATTCTTCTACAACCTCATTTTCTTTCATAGTTTTAAAATTATAAACACATGATTATTAGGCTGAACATGTTGGCTCACAACTGTAATCCCAGCACTTTGGGAGGCCAAGGTGGGAGGATCACTTGAGGTCAGGAATTTGAGACCAGCCTGGGCAACATAGTGAGACCCCGTCTCTACGAAAAAAAAAAGAAGTAGCTGGGTGTGCTGGCACCCACCTGTAGTCCCAGCTACTTAGGAGGCTGAGGCAGGAGGATCACTCAAGCCCAGGAGTTCAAGGTTGTAATGAGCTGTGATTGCTCATTACAACCACTGCACTCCAGCCTGAGCAACAGAGTGAGACCCTGTCTCTTATATATATAAATATATGTATATGGATATTTAGGTATATGATTATTATAAAAAATCAAGAAACACACATACATACATGAATTTAAAAATCTCACGTTTCCTACTACTACTTCCCATGCAAATTTCACTCCGCTGTTTCAAACACTATTTGATATGTATTCTTCCACATATTTTCTGTGCAAACACTTAAAACAATGGTTATCCTATTTTACTCTTCTTTTTCTTTTTTCACAGTAATTGCGGTAGACTGTTAAACTGATGATCCCCAAAAAACCATGCCTCCTGGAATATGCACCCTTGTACAGTCTTCTCCCAAATTGTGTCTGGGCTTGGCCATCTGTCTGTCTTGCTTTGGCCAGTGAAACACTAGTAAGCTTGATGCAAGCAGGGACTTGACAGGAATTTGTAAGCTAGGGCTTGTTCTCTTGGTTCATTCCCTCTTGAAACCCACTACCATGCTGTAAGGAAGTGGTTCTAGCCTTCTGAATGAGGGGAATCTGTATGGAAAGGAACCGAAGTTGTTCCAGGTGGCAACCGGCTGAGAGATGTGTTAGTGAGTCTTCCTGGATGTTCCAGCCCCATTTCAGCTGCCAGCTGAATGCAGCACTATGAGTGACCCCAGACAACGGCACAAGGAACAGAAGACCACCTCTAGTCTTTCTATGGCATGTGAAACATAATAAGTAATTGCTTTACACTTGAATGTTTAGCTATATAGCAATCAATAACTAAAACAATATTGTTGGTACATATGTATCCTCCTCATTCTTCTTAATTTCCACTTAGTGGGCAATTACGTGAATATATACAACCTTTTATTTAACTAGTTCCTACCTGATGGACATTTTGCTTGTTTGGACCAACAGCATTGCAATGAACATCAAAATTAACACTAAGACAAATATTTTAATATACAAATATTCATGTATACCTCTGGATATGTTCTTAAAGTAAATTTTTAGGTATCTCTGAGTCAGAGAGTAAGCAATTTTTAGAGCTATTGGCAGATACTGCCAAATTGCCCTCAAGAAGAGGAAAGATATCTTTATTTTTCAGTATGGACACACTGAAGATAAGAAAAGCTACATTTAATTACTGGTAATCAGCTTGGACTCTGGCCTGATTACCTTAGCTAATTACTTGGGTTGAGGAGGTGGAACATAATTGTAGAGAAAAAGGCAAGCAAACTTTAAAAAATGTCTGCTGGAATGATGATTCACTTGGAACCAAACATTGTTAGAGTAGAAATTTATATTTGGTAGTATCTGTTTGAAAAAATGGGAAGAGAGAGGGATTGTGAACTTGTACAACTCCTTTTTTAATGTCTAGTTAAGTTGAAGGTGCATATATCCTTTGATCCAGAAATTTCACTTCTAAATGTAGCTCAGAGAAATTCTTATGTGTAGAAATAGATGAGGACATTTAGAACAGTATTTCTTGTAATGGCAAAGCAATCCTGTTTGTAAATAGGAAAATGGGTATATATTGATACAATAGAATAATGTAGTGGAAATGTTATTATAAATCCTGATATATAAAAAAAAAGAGGTCGGGTGCAGTGGCTCACGCCTGTAATCTCAGCACTTTGGGAGGCCAAGGTGGGTGGATTACCTGAGGTCAGGAGTTCAAGATCAGCCTGGCCAACGTGACGAAACTCCGTCTCTACTAAAAATACGAAAAATTAGCTGGGCATGTTGGCACATGTCTGTAATCCCAGCTATTCAGGAGGCTTAGGCAGGAGGAGAATCACTTGAACGTGGGAGGCAGAGGTTGCAGTGAGCCAAGATCACAACATTGCACTCCAGCCTGGGCAACAGAGCGAGGCTCTGTCTCAAAAAAAAAAAAAGAAAAAAGGAAAAGCAAAAAATAGGTTGTCAGAAATACCATTTGACCCAGCAATCCTATTACTGGGTATATACTCAAAGGATTAGAAATCATTCTACTTTAGAGACACATGCACATGTATGTTTATTGCAGCACTATTCACAATAGCAAAGACTTGGAACCAACTCAAATGCTCATCAATGATAGACTGGATAATGAAAATGTGGCACATATACACCATGGAATACTATGCAGCCATAAAAAAGAATGAGTTCTTGTCCTTTGCAGGGACATGGATGAAGCTGGAAACCATCATTCTCAGCAAACTAACACAGGAACAGAAAACCACACACTGCATGTTCTCACTCATAAGTGGAAGTTGAACAATGAGAACACAGGGACACAGAGGGGAATGTCACACACCGGGGCCTGTCGTGGGGTGGGGACTAGGGGAGGGATAGCATTAGTAGGAATACCTAATGTAGATGACGGGTTGATTAGTGCAGCAAACCACCATGGCACGTGCATACCTATGTAACAAACCTGCACGTTCTGCACATATATCCCAGAACTTAATTAAAAAAAAATAGGTTGCATAAGAATTTATACTATATGAACCCATTTACATTTAGTTTTGGAAACATGAAAAAACTATGGTATATGTTGTTTAAGAATGTATACAGATGGAGTAAAAGTATAAAAATATATGGAAATAGGCATGAAATTTATAGTAATAGTTATTCTGTGAGAGAGTGAGTGGGCTGTGATCAAAGATCAGTTCTCAGAGACTTCCAAAATTTTTGCAAGGTGGTATTTCTTAAGTTGGGAGGTGAGTCCCTGACTATTTGTTGTTTTTTAATACACATTTTATATCTTAAATATTCCATATATACATTTCTGTGGTGTAATATTTCTTGGTGCTGAGAAGGGGAAAATAAAGGTGGTGACTGAGGAATCCCCTGCCATGTGGAAAATCAGTTCTTTGGTATTTGGTTCCTACTGACTGGATGTGGAATCCCCAGTATTTTGGAAATATTTGGAAGATCAAGAAAGTTTTCCAGTGGATAGGGCCTTTTCTCACTTCCTTTAAAGATTTTCCTAATGTCTTTGTATTATGAAAATGCATTTATGCCTCAGTTGGAAAGATAATCCATGGTTTGTGTCTCTTCCAGTTGAAGTGTCAATCCTTCACCTTCTTACGTCAAGAAATGAAGGAAGGCAGTATGGTTGAATGGATAGAACATGAAGCCAGACTATCTTAAAATCAAATCTTTGCTTCTTTTCCAGTAAGCTGTATCAACTTGGACAATGAGTAATTTACTCAATTTTTCTGATTTGTTGTGAAAGTCAAATGAGATACCCTATATAAAGTGCCTGAGACATAAGGGCAAAGTCATATTCTGTTTTGTATCATAATCTATAATTTCTCCATCATTTTAATTATATCTATAATGATAGAACTGAGTGATTATATTCAAAAGCCAGATTGAAAGTCACACATTGAAACTAAACCAAGGATTAGTAGAATATTTGTTTTTTCCTGGCTAAACATTAAAATAGTGTGCTGAAGACATCATGCCACTCTTTGATCTTACTGTTGAGTGAGCTGTTACTTCTCAAGGCTAAAGACTTTTCCCTCATATATAATTGCCCAGTAAAGAGTTCTTCATTTATATTGGAACAAAAATGAGTACATGTCTTGGTATGTGTGCCTGCTATTTGCAAATTAGTGTTTATGATGACAATTTTCTTTTAACTACCAGAATGATAGCATTTCAATCCATCAAAATTTTAGACTTTAAGTGGTCTCCAGAGACCATTTCTAAGCCTATTGCTGCTCCTGTTCCTTGGCCCATCTCCATAGTTTGTCAGGACCTACTCCGGGGAGGGTGATCCCTAGGGCCTGCTTCACAAAGAGACGTGACTGATTCGTTGCCAGGAACATCCTTTTCTTGCCTTCACTCTCCTAACTGCGGGGCCCATAGAGACTGCTTTCTCAACTCATCACACTCGCTGTCAGTCCTCTTCCTCAACTAGTGATGGTCTTAAGACTTTAGGAAAGAGGCCGGGTGCGGTGTCTCACGCCTGTAATCCCAGCACTTTGGGAAGCCAAGGCAGGTGGATCACGAAGTCAGGAGATCGAGACCATCCTGGCTAACCTGGTGAAACTCCGTCTCTACTAAAAATACAAAAAAATTAGCTGGATGTGGTGGTGGGCGCCTGTAGTCCCAGGTACTTGGGAGGCTGAGGCAGGAGAATGGTGTGAACCCGGGAGGCAGAGCTTGCAGTGAGCCGAGATGGCACCACTGCACTCCAGCCTGGGCGACAGAGCAAGACTACGTCTCAAAAAAAAACAAACAAACAAACAAGAAAAACACTTTAGGAAAGAAAGTGTATTCCTCTTTGGAGGAATTTAGACTCTCCTAACCTCACCTGAGTTTCCTCAGCTTCTGCACCACAGTTTGGCCCTTGTGTCTCACCTTTCACTGCTGCTGTTCTGCTTTTATCCTCATTCCAAACTCGTTTGATTTGAATTAATTGCCTGTTAATGGAAGTATTAAATAAATAGAAGTTTAATGAAGCCAAAGAACTTAAAGAAGGTTACACTTCTTTTGTCTTGGCAAATTTGAATGGTAACTGGGTTGCATTAATTGGCTTTATACATTTGCTGGGCACTTACTCCAACTGAACTGTTGAGGCACTGAAGCATTAAAGCAAACTGAGATAAGGCAGGGAACAGAAGAGACAGTGTCAATAAACAATACACCAATCAGTTAAATAGAATTCCGTTGATTTAATTTTCTTTCCAAAAATTCTGGAAGCCTAATCCTATTTGGCTTATAAACAAAGGAAATATATGCTAACATCTCATAGCACACACTTTCTTCCATTTCCATGTCCTCTGATTAGAGTATCATCTTGTTGTAGGTTTTTATTCTTCATTGTTGTTCTTTACATTTCATTTGATTAGCCAATGCTATGTCTTCCATTACTGTAAAAATTTCAGAGAAGGGAACTAATTATTTGATGAAATGAAAACAAAATAGAAAGAAAGAATGACATAGGTGGCCCATTCAACAAAGCAATGACTAAAAGTTCCACATACTTAACACATACAAAAATTGGTTCCACATACATGCATTTTTAAAAAAATGAAGATAACTGCTTTATGCACATTAGTGAAAATACTTGTTAAATATATCTTGAGTAAATGCATGTTTTTCACAAAGTAAACTTCAATGAAGTGTTTTCTTGATAACTTGAAGGAATATTTATCAGTTAAAGTTTCTCTTCGGATGTTCCTGTGTGGATGCCCATATACTAAATACACTAAGATGGTTATGGTTTTAGAACTCAGATATACTTTTCATAGATCTTCTGTATTTTCTCAGCTTTCTGCTTGTAAGCCTGACTATATACATGCTGCCCACCTTTAAAATCCTTGTCCAATATTTATAAATGTTTCACAATTTGCAGAGACTAAAATCAGACATATAATATGTCTCATTTTTACATGAGCCTGGTATGTTGAAAGGATTCAATAAATGTTAACTGCCGAGAAAGTTGTTTATAATTATTAATAGATCTAGAGTAAAAGTTATTAGGTTAATCTTGAGTGACCTTGTACAGGAAAATATATACATTTTATCATTTTATGTGTGGGTGTTTTTGGTACCTGTTTTCGTGCTGCTTTTTTTTCCTCTTGCTTACTTATTTAGTTAGAAGATGGGTGAAGGACAGGGGACATATTTCCACAGAGAAGCATAAATTTTCCAGAGTTTGTTTTCCTAAATTATATAGGCCTCTATGACAATACTAGTTAGTAGTCCACCCTTGCAAAACTCATTGCTATAGTGATCCACTATTAATGAGAAAAGTGTCTAGGTCAGATTAAGCAGGCTTGGGATAAATTAGATGTTGTTTCATGTGGTTTAAAGAAAAAGGACAAACTCATTGCCAACTAATGAGAGACTTATAGTTCAGGAATTAGATTTACATAATTTTATGTTTTAGGTTGTTTTTAATTGAAATTCCATTTAATTTAACACTGTATGGGGTAGAAGGTATTTAGCAGAAAATGAGAAACGGTCAAAATATCCAGCAGTAAGGAATGAGTAAATAATTTATGATACATACATATGATGGGATATTATGTAGCCATTAAAATCAGTATTAAATGAATATTTACTAAATGTAAAATGCTCATAATGAAATAAAAAAGAAAGTAGGATAAATATTGTATAAGAACTTGTATATCAATTTAGGAAAATAACAGATATATGCAAAGGAGAACAAAAAAACAAAACAAAATAGTAGACAATACTTGATAGTGGTATGACTGGAAATTTTAGTGGGTTCTTTGTTTTCATTTGCATTTCCAAAATTCTCTAATATATATCTATTATATCTGATACATTTATATCTACTAATATTGTATATGAATCTAATATATATATAATGTATGAGATATATACATCTATTATCATGGGGTTACTTAAAAAAATAGACAGCTATTATTCACATACTACTACTAATACTACTCCTACTATTACCACTTATAAAGAATTATTACTCTTCTTAGTACTTTGCACATGTTAACACACTCAACTCACTCAACAACCTGATGGAGACAGTCTTCCATGGGCCCCCTGCACTCTTACTCATCTTGCTGAGTATGCCACGAATACAAAGCTTTGAGCACTCTTTACCCAGGACACTTTTCAGGCTTATATTTGCAGTGATAATCTTAGGAGATGAGCTAATGTCTCCCTCTGGGACAAAGAGTAGGCTTGCTTACAGGCTGCTATAAAGCAACAATTTCCCCTGGACCTGTATTCCTCTGCTGTAACACAACACACTGGGTGCCAGCATCCATATAAGCAGACCTGTGGTACTACCAGGATTCAGAGAACTGACTCGGCCAAGCTGATACTCTGCCTACTGTGTTTGGTATGAGTAATATTTTGTCTCTGATCCTGGAGTCATATGTCTTTCATCAGTATTAATGAAACCGTGGCAAGTTAATTTGTTAGTTTTCAAGTGGGGTAAAACTTAAGACCCTCACAGTTTTTGACAAAATTCCATTTCATATTCTATGGATAAGGAAAGAGAGACACAGAGATGTTAAGTAACTTACTTGAAGTTACATAGCTAGTGAGTGGTGGCGTCTGTTGTGAACCTGGCAGGCAGGCTCTGGTGTCCAGGCTCTTATTACTCTGAGTACCTTAAGTAGTTCTGCCACTTGTAGCTGCTAAAACTAGGTACCTTGTGAGGTCAAAGGACTACCAGCTGCATCATGTGCTCAACAACTCTGCAAAATAGGGCTGAGGGCTTCTAGGAGTTGCCATATGATGGTGCTTCTGCCATCTGCAAACACATGAGTATGGCAAATTGTCACTGTGAGAGCCTGGGAAAACAAGTCCCTCTATTCCGAGAAGATGAACTAAATGTAAAAAAAAAAAGGGGGTGAAGAAAAGCAGAACTATTCTCTTATCATTAGGCTTTGCATCATGCTATTGCATGCTTGCTATTTTGTAATATCTCCGTTTCCTCCTTAAAGAAAAAGAACACATTGTGTTTGGAAGTCCTGACTTGTCCACAAGCTGTGTTGGGATGGCAATCATCTTGGCTATGGAGGTGGGTCTCCTTATGACTTCAAAGCAGCCACCAGGTTGAGTCTTCAGAGCTTGACTCCAAATGAATCTCTAGTTGGGCCTGGATTCAGGACTGCTATAGTATCCAACTCCTGAGGGTGCCATCCACATGCACACAGCATCAATGTTCTCTCCTAGAGTTGTATGATGCGCTATTTAGACCTTAGATACAGTTCACAGAGAGTGACATCACTGGCAATGGGCTTAAAGCAGTGCAGGTGATATCTAATTTTTAGTTAATGCCATCTTGAGTTTGAAATAAATGGATTTTGTTGGAAAGCACTTCTGAATGAGGTTCTGTGTCAGATTTCTTTCTCCCTGCCCCTGATTTTTGGAAAAAAATCTCAGACAACACAAGCTATCTGTATCAAAATATTACAGGTTTATCCTGATTCAGCAGGTCTGGAGAGGGATCTGAAATGCCACATTATTAACAAATCCATTGCCACTCTTCCATGGAAAGTATATTGAATAACAAGATTAGCATTTCACATACTTCTCTGATGATAAGAATCACCTGGGCCTCAAACTTTTAAAAATACTCTCAGCTCCCACCGGGCACGGTGGCTCGTACCTGTAATCCCAGCACTTTGGGAGGCCGAGGCGGGCGGATCACGAGGTCAGGAGATTGAGACCATCCTGGCTAACACGGTGAAACCACATCTCTACTAAAAATACAAATAATTAGCCGGGTAAGGTGGCGGGCGCCTGCAGTCCAGCTACTCAGGAGGCTGAGGCAGGAGAATGGCGTGAACCCGGGAGGTGGAGCTTGCAGTGAGCGGAGATCGCGCCACTGCACTCCAGCCTAGGTGACAGAGCGAGACTCCATCTCAAAAAAACAAAACAAAACAAAACAAAACTCTCAGCTCACATCCCTAAAGCTCCTAATTATGTGGGCTGGGGATGGCCTGAGCTTTTTAAAGCAAGTAACCCAGGTGATTCTTTTCATCAGGAAATTTTGGATATGCTGTTATAGACCAAATCTAGCTCTGATTTACTATTGGCAGTAGGACTTCAACATTAAACAAACAAAAACCACAAAGAGATGCTTATAACTAGGGATGAAACTCATGTGACTGGGGCTTAAGAAACTGTTAGTTTCATGAAGGCAGGGAAAAAAGTTGTTTTGTTCATTGTGATATCCGAGGGACTTAGTGCAGTGTCTGACAAAGTGAGTACTGATATCATATTTTCCTGTTTCCTTTCTCTAGGATCCCCACAATCTAGCCCTGTATTAGTCAGAACTCGTGTGATTTCAAATGACAAAAACTCGTCTTATGCCAGCTTAAGCCAAACTAGGGAATTTTTTTTTGGAGGGGGAGGGTGGTTAGCAAAACAGAACAGTATAGGGTTGATCTGATTCTAGGCATAGTTGGATTCAGATGTTCAAACAATATTAATCAGTACTGTTTCCTTCTTTTCTTCCTCCTTGCCTCTCCTACCTTTCCCATTTCTTCCCCTTTTCTCTCTCCCTTTCTCTCGATCTCTTTCTTCCTCTCTCTTTGCTTGCTTTCTCTCTGTTTCTTTTCCTTTTCCTTTGCTTTTCTCTCCTTTCTTTCCCTCTTTCTTTCTTTCTTTTCTTCCCTTTTATCTATTTTTTCTTGTTTTTCACCTTTGATTTCCTCTGTATTTTCAGTAGGCTTTCTCTATATAGGAAAAAATGTCCAGGGGCATCTCCAGGTCTACATGGTACTTGAATCTTAAATCTCAAGGGAAAAGAGAGTCTCTTTTCTGACAGTGCCAACAAAATTCTGGAGCAGAACCTACATGACCTCTTCCTATGTGTGTATATGTTTGCAGAAGGGAGTACTTTGATTATTTAAGCCTGGGATTAATTCTATCCAAATCATATGGATTGAGGAAGATTGAATGGAAAGGGAGGGGGACAGGTCATTCAAAGCTGGGGAGGTGGTATTGTGCAGACAAACATATGTCCAACATAGGCTCAAATCTACATTTCCAGCCTCATCGTTTGGCCTATTACTTGATGAAGTGATGACCTGCCCTGAGAGAGTTGCTGATCTGTGACTATTTTACATCTTCCCAATTCTATCCCTGCCCAATGTATTCTTTTGGTTTAAGGCTTGTCCCTCCACCCCTGCCAACCCCTGCCAATTTTTTGTAATCATTCATATTATTGTTTTGTTCAAATGATCTTTCTCTCCAAAGACCTCTTTTTAATAGATTGTGGCAAAAAGCCCGCATAACATAAAAATTTGCCATCTTAAGCATTTTGAAGTGTATATAGTTCAGTAGTGCTAAGTATATTCACACTACTGTGCAACTAATCTCCAAAACATTTTTGTCTTTCAAAATGGAAACTCATTAAACAGATCTCCAATTACCCCTCCCAACATTCCCTGCCAATCATCATTCCACTTTCTATTTTTATGAATTTATCTACTCTAGATATATAAGTGGAATCACACAGGGTTTGGGGTCTTATGATGGTTTATTTCACTTAGCATATGTTTTCCAGGTGCATCCATGTTGTAGCATGTGGCAGAATGTCCTTCCTTTTTACAGTAGAATAATATTCCATTGTGTGTGTTTTCCACCCTTTGTTCATCCATTCAGCTGTTGATGGATGCTTGGGTTGTTTCCACTTCTTGGCTAGTTGAATAGTTTTGCTGTGAAATAGGTGTTCATGAATTCTTCTTTAATTCCTCCTCCTTCTTCTGTCTCCTCCAAGGAATTAACTTCTCTTGCTTTTGTGAGAATGCTGGCTTTTCTCATGCCACCATCTCACTCCACCCATCACACTCTGCACTCCATGGCATGCTTTTAAGGTGAGGCATGTATGGGATATGAGCACCATTTGTTTTACATTTGACATATGCATTCACATTTGTTCTATGGATGGCCAACTAGTTGTAAGATACTAGAAAATAATACTACCAAAACTACATAAAAACTAGTGTCCATTTTTTTTCTAGTTCAGTGTTATACACTAATTTTCTTCAGAAAAAAAGAAATGAGCAATTGAAAATTATGAAGTGAGTAGTTAAACCAGATGATCTAAGGAAGACAAATGTTTAGGACCATCTGTCACAAATACTTCTCCATGTTACATTTAAAGCAGAACATCTGATGTGTGAAATTGTGTGTGTGTGTTTAAAATGCTTTAAAAATTATGTTTTTTTCACATTAATTGCCATAACTAAATTTCTGAAGAAAAAAATCATGATTTATTTATAACATTTATAGCTAACAAAGTGATTTCTAGAAGTATATTGCCAGAGAATCACAAACGCCATGCTGAAAAAGGCATAACCAACTGCATGAGAATGAATGGTTTTGCATAGTCTTACTCCAAATGAGTCTAGTTGAAAGTTTTGGCAGCCATCTGAAACTGCAAACGGGTAAATTCTTAAAATGTAGTTGTCTTTCCTGTTTTCAGCTGCTGATTTCAGTTTTGACATTGCCCCATGATTAAGTTTTACAAAAAGAGAGAAGCCAAAACAATATTACTTGAATTAGAGGTTAGATATTTTTGGTTTATAAAATATCTACAATGCCAGCATGCAACCTTCTGTTATAAGCATGTTAAGTGTTTTTATTTTGTAACAGGATGATTTGATTAAAAGGGAAAGGATTAGTGATATGTAGAAAACTAATCCCACATCTGCTTCAAAAGTTCAGGACTAAATCATGCAACATAAAATACAAGCCTTAGATAACCTAAAAGACATTCAACATTGCAGAAAGCCTTCTGTATAGTGCTATTTCACCTTTCCAACTAGGTTACTACTTTTTAGCCATAGATAATTTTCATTTGATCTTACTCTCAAAACCTATAAGGAGAATTTGTGTGTTTCTTGTAAACATCAGATTAAGTATAAAAGTAGATTAGTCCTACAAAGTATGAACTATTTTCTCTAAGTTAAAAAATCTGATAAATCTGGTCTAATGTAAAGCCCCTTAGTCTAAATATCAAAAGACAATCTCTTTTCTTCTAAAACCTTCATACACCATGTGATATTTAGAATTAAGAAGCAAGTTTATGGTAAATTTCCAAATCTCTTGGATAAATGAAGAATTCAACTGTGGCAAATTAAGGACAATATTTGTTTCAGCTTCATATTTTCCTGTTTCAACATGGAAGTATAAGTTTATATCAAAACTGAAATTAAAATTCATGTTGCCTGTGTCAGCAACCTGGGACACAGAACAAAGCTTCAGATGTGTCCTCATCAGAAAGGGGTGTCTCTCTATGGAGCATGCATCTGACATCTGCCAGAGAAAAAGAGTGTTTATGGACAATCATTCTTGACATAAGGATTAAAATAACTTGCCTTGAGGGTAAGCTCCATGAGAACAGGGGCTTTTATAACATGCCTGGTGCTTTATCGCAAGAAACTAGAACAGTATCTGTTCACAAAGTGTCTGAACACAAAGAAATGTTGAATAAATGAATACATTCAGATACCCTATATTGCTCCTTGCATAGATCTCACTCTCAGGAGAACCATGACCCAGTCCTCTTGGTTTTAGTTCCTAAGTGACTCCCAGATCTATCCACAGCTCTGCATATTCACCACTACCAGTTGCAGTAGCCTCTGTACTTGGTCTCCTTGCCTCCACTCTAGTCCTCTCTATGGTAGGCAGACCTCAAAGATGCCTATGTCCTAATCTCCAGAAGCTGTGAATGTGTTAGATTATATGGCAAAGGGTAATTAAAGTTGCAGATGGGATTAAGGTTGCTAATCAAGTGACCTTGAGATAGGGGAGATTATTCTGGATTTTCTGGGTGGGTCCACTGTAATTTCAAGTGTCTGATGTAAAAGAGGGAAGTAGAAGAGTTAGTGTTAGAGTGATATGATACAAGAAAGACTTGATTGGCCATTGTTGGCTTTGAAGATGGAAGGGGACGATGAGCTAAGGAATGTGGGTAGCCTGTGGAAGCTGGAAAAGATCAGAAATAAATTGTATGCTAGAGCCTCCGGAAAGGAATGCACCTCTGTCAGCAACTTGTTTCTAGCTCAGTGAGATCTGTTATGAACTTCTGAACACTAGAGCTTTAAGATAATAAATTAATTTATGTGATTTAAGCCACTAAGTTTGTGTTAATTTGTTACAGCAGCCATAGAACAGTAATGTATCCTCCAAATGAATCTCATCAGCAATACTTTCCCATCCAGAACTTCCCTGTAAAACACTTGAATGATTTTGCTGTTCCTTTTAAAGTGAAGACCATATTGCTTGATAGGATCTATCTACAAGGCTGTGCCTGGACTGCCCTTCCACAGCTCTACAGTCACATCTTCCAAGCTCACCTTCAATGCTTGTCTACACTCCAGCCACACCAGCCTTCATAATGTCCTATGGTTCCTTCTAACACAGGGTCTGTTGCCCCTTTTCTTTTCAATTGGTTAGCTCCTGCTCTTCTTGCAACCCTCAGGTGAAAAATGACTTTTTCAAGGAGGCATCTCTGACCTTTATAACAAACAGTTTCTGATTCAAACCTGTGATAACACTGGATAATGAGCCTCTCTTGTAAACAATTATCAAAGGTGTGATTTCACATTTGTTCATGTGGTTGTTTGATTAAAATCTGCAACCTTTATGTAATTGCCCAGTGGGTTCTTCTTGCTTGCTGCACAGATAAAACCAATTCACTGAGACAGTGATATGGCAGTAGAGAAAGAGTTTAATAAACATAGAGCTAGCCAAGGGGGAGGACAAGAGTTTATTACTCAAATCAGCCTTCCCTAAAAATTAGAGGCTAGGGTTTTTATGGTTATAATTTGGAGGGCAAGGAATTAGGAAATGGGTGCTACTGATTGGTTGGGGATGAAATTATAGGTGTGTGGAAAACAGTCCTCATGCACTGAGTCTGCCTCTGGGTGGTGGTCACAGGACCAGTTGTCTTGAGTCATGGGTCTGGGTGGAGTCAGTCAGTGGCCAGAATGCAAAAGTCTGAAAAACACCTCAAAAGACCAATTTTTGTGAGGTTATCTATAGGAGCAATTGGGGAAGTCACCAATCTTGTGACCTCTGGCTACATGACTCCCAAACAGCAAGGAATTATAGAAAAGGAAGCTGGGGGACAATGACTGGTTGTTGTTTAACTATGCCTACATTTTAGCAGAATTCAGGCCTCTCTCATAATCCTAATCTCATGGGCTTTCATTAATTAGTTTTACAAAGGAGGAAAGGAGGGGGTTAGTTTTAGGGAGGGACTGTTATCATCCTTGCTTCAAAATTAAACTATAAACTAAATTCCTCCCGTGGTTAGCTTGGCCTGTGCTCAGGAATTAGGGAGGGGAGCTTGCCTGTGAGACTAGAAGCAAGAAGGAGTCAGCCAAGCTAGACTTCTCTCACTTTTGTGAAGGTGGTCTCATGCTTAGCATGATTCCTGGCATGCAGCAGACATTCAGTAAATATTTGTTGAATAACGGAATGAATGAATGTAGCTGGATCTCCAGAAGATTGAATCCCAGAGTTGTTTTGGTTTAATCCCTTACAGAATCACCCTCAGGGAGAGAGGAATTTTAATGTTATTCTCTGATCAAAGGATACGCTAGAAAATAGCTCTACGAAATCTGTTAACTGTGTTTCCTGTGGGATTTTTGGTGAGAATTTTTCCATCATGTTCCTCAGTTTTCTGTTTTGAAATAACTTTGCTTTCCCAGAGAGAGTAATCTGTTTTCTTTCTTTTGTAGTGGACAATTAGGATAGCAGTGCAAATCCATAACTTTCAGAACCAAAGTACACATAACCCAGCTGCTGGAGGAATTGAGAGCTGATGACTTGTAGCTAAGGCCTCCTCCCATCCATGCCTCCATGGCCCTCTCATAAAGAGAGCCACTTGGGTCAATGTGACTCACTGCACTCCAGGAACAGCTTGCGACCAATGATGGCACAATCTGGGCAGTGGGGTGAGGGACATAAAGGTTTTTGTTATTCCAACGGGAACAACTCTGCAGAGCCATCCTTACTTTAGTGCTACCCACCAGGGAGCCTTTATTTGCTGGCTTCACAGTCCAACTCCCCTCTCGACCCCTCTGGTTTTCCTCACTCTCCTATAGGTGCTGTTTCCCAGAGCACTCACCAGGAAACCCCATCAATACAAATCTCTCTCTAAAAATCTCTTTCCTAGAGAACACACTTATAACCTTCTCTTTCTCCAAAATGATAATTGAGTGATTATATCCTCCTTTTATTTTTCCTGGAATATAAGAAACCCAGCTAAAGAAGCTCAGATAGTTCCCTTGACCCCCTTCATGGGTGGGAAATGGAGTGGTTCATTTCACTCAGCCCAATCGCTGGCCACTCCTCGTGGGAGGGAGTGTGTGGATGAGTGAGTGTGGGAACCGGAGTGAATGAACACTGAAACTGGCTGGTCACTCTTCTATGGAGGGAGCAGGCTCTGTGTGGGCCCTGCCGCAGCGTCCAAGTGTTTTACAACCAATGCTCTTTCATCTCTGCCGTCTGGGGATGGCCAAGTGCCAACCAGCTCAGTGGAGGGTCAGGAAGGCAGCCCCTGCCCTCTTGGCACCCGAGTTCTTGTCTGGTGTCCAGGAAGAATCAGGTCACATGAACTGTTTGAAAGCTGATGAATGTGGCCAGGCACGGTGGCTCATGCCTGTAATTTCAGCACTTTGGGAGGCCAAGATGGGTGGATCACAAGGTCGGGAGTTCAAGACCAGCCTGGCCAAGATACAAAAATTAGCTGGGCGCAGTGGCAGATGCCTGTAATCCTAGCTACTCAGGAGGCTGAGGCAGGAGAATCACTTGAACCTGGGGGGCGGAAGTTGCAATGAGCCAAGATCGAGCCTCTGCACTCCAGCCTGGGGGACAGAGTAAGACTCCGTCTCAAAAAAAAAAACAAAACAAAACAAAACAAAAAAAAAACAAAGTTGATGAATGTGGAACACTTTATTGAGTGGCACTTTATTGGGTGGCTCTTGGCAGAAAGTAAGGTGGGAAAGGGAATGGGAAGGTGATCTTTCCCTGAAGCCTGGCCCCTCTCTGATGCTGCACCATCTGAAGTTAGCCACGTCTATCCATAGTCTCTGATGCTTAATTGCTTCTCTGCTCACTGCTCAGCCACTTGTATCCTCGACACTCAGTCACTTGAGTTGCTCTGCCTGCTGAAGTCTTTTATGGACACAGGATAGGGGTGGGGCAGGCCAAAAAGGCAATATTTGGGCAGAAAAACAGGGTCAGCTGTTTTCATTTAGGGCTGTGGTTCCAGGCTTAAGAGTGGGGTTTAGCTAGGAGCCCAGACGTTCTGTATCATTTCCCTTCTCTGAAGAGGCACATCTAACTGCCCTTAGAATATGGACAATGACAAGTCTTAGCTACTTCCTGCTGAAAGGGGGTGTTGTTTGGGGAAAATGACAGCCACATTCCTCCCAGAGGTCTACCCAAGGATCCCCAGCAAAAGAAAGCCATCATCTGAGGCTCCAGCTGCCTGCCTCTTTGGAGTTTGATGGCCTCCAGGCAAGAGAAATAAACAAGTTTTACAAGGTGACGTGTGCGTGGGTCAAATATGTGTATTATGCAGGGGAAGAATTGAGTGCCAAAGATTACAGAAATAAGAAGCAAAACATACTAATCATTCTGAAAACAATATTGTGCCTCGCGGTATAGAACAGAACAAAGGTAGGAACAGCAAGTGTAGGCAAGACTATAAAGAGGATATCCATGGAAGGTTTATTATTAACACTTATCTTTTGAGATTTTTAGCTTGAGGTCTCCGATCTCTTCACATTGGTACTTTGGGTGCTCTTCTGGGTTGACGGGTAATCCCGTCAGCTTCTCAGGCCTTTATTTGGGTATAGTGAATCCAAGAATCTACTTTAGTGAACTTTACTGCCATAGGAGTAGAAAGTGCAGTGTAAGGTCCCTCCCAGTCTACGCCAGAGAGGGAGAAAAGGAAAAAGTGTTTTCATCAGTACCAGGTCCCCTGGGTTGAACAGAGGTGGCCCTAGTTCATGCGACTGGGCCTCCAACAGTTGTTTCAATTCCTGTTGGAAGTGAGCCAAAGAGGTTATAATGTTTAATTAAGTCGGAGTTCTCTTGGTCTAGCAAGAGATCATTGGTGAGAAACAGCTGTCCATACATCATCTCAAAGGGACTCAAACCTAGCTTTGAAAGGGTGGTGAAGATAGCTTGCCGCCCATTCTGAAAGACAGGGAATGGGGGGTCCTTCAATTCCCTTCCTTCTTTCAGCAATAACCCAGGGTATGAGGGAGAGAGAAAGCAGGCATCTCCTTTCTCTTCTGTCTTTGTATCCCCAAGTCCCAGCAACCTTGGCGGGTGCCACCCGTGCGTGCCAATGTGGCTTGCACCCATGAATCAGGGAGGGCCTAGAGAATAGGAATTATCCACACTCACCTATGCCTCTACCTCCCCTACTATTGACAACCTTCGAGTCCCTGGGCCTCATTTATGCCTTGGAGCCTGACCTCCTTCCATGAAGCAGTGGTTTAATCGGCAGGAATTAGTCCCACCCACTTACACTGTGTCTTTTGCCTGGCTTTGGAGCCCTCAGATCTGGTTTTCCTTTCTAGGGCTTCAATCTGAAGGTTGGAATCTAGTTTGAGACAAAAAGTTATTTCAGGAGCTGCGCGGATTCATTTAGATTAAGTCCTAGATGGGTCTTGCCAAATTTGCAGTTCTCAGCCAGCAGGGGTCGCTCCTCTGTTGCCTCCCAATCATAAGCAGAGTGCTGAGGTGGGAAGGGGATCCTCTCACTTGGAAAAGAAAAGAAAAGAAAAGAAAAGAAAAGAAAAGAAAAGAAAAGAAAAGAAAAGAAAAGAAAAGAAAAGAAAAAAAAAACAGCTTAAAGTGCATAAGGAAGGAGACCGGGGGAAAGACCTTCTTGCTCTATGGAAATGGGTTCCTTTAATCAGTGTATCCCTCACCTGATAAGGACCCCTCAGTCATGGGAGGAAAGGCTTCGCAGGCGCTGGTGTGCTAACATATCTGCAGTTTAACATTGTTAAAGAAGAGATAGGAGCAGTTTGAAGCCGTGAAAGAAGAAAAGATACAAAGATACCACAGCAAAGTCTGAGGGTCTTGGCCGATGCCTGTTAGGGTGGTCGGGGACAGAGTTCAGTCTTGGGACCTTCCAACAACACTGAGGAGTAGCCTCAGCCAGATTCCTTCGGTTCCTCAGCACCATATTCTGGTCCTAGTCAACAGCTAGACCTCTGTGAAGGGAAACAGAGCCACAAAACCAACGTTCCTTTCACCCAAAAGAGAGACATTTCCATATGAGCTCACTTGTCTGACATAACCTGGGTGAGCCAGCAGATGAGACGGGTTAGTTCCCTTGACCCCTTTGTGGGCAGCACCTGGAGTGGCTTATTCCACTCAGCCTGTCGCTGGCCACTCCTTGCGGGAGGGAGTGTGTGAGTGAGCAACTGTAGGAACCAGAGCGAACAAATGCTGGAACTGGCTGGTCACTCCTCTCTGGAGGGAGCAGGCTCTATGCGGGCACTGCAGCAGCAGCATCCAAGCGTCTTACAACCAATGCTCTTTCAGCTCTGCCATCCAGGGACAGCTAAGTGCCAATCAGCTCAGTAGAGGGTCAAGGGGGCAGCCCCTGCCCTCTAGACACCTGGGCTCTTGTCCAGCATCCAGGAAGAATCAGTCACACTCACTGTTGAAAGGTGATGAATGTGGAAGACATCATTGAGCAGTGGCTGGCTCTCAGTGGAAAGAGAGGCTGGAAAAGGGATGGGAAGGTAATCTTTCCCTGAAGCCTGGCTGTCTCTGGCCAGGCTCCTCTGCGAAGACACACTATCTGAGGTTAGCCATGCCTATCTGTAGTCTCCAACACTCAGTTGCTTCTCTGCTTGTCGCTCAGCCACTTGTATTACTCTGCTAGCTGAAGTCTTTAATGAGCACAGGATAGCGGCAGGTTGGGCCAAAAAGGCAATATTTGGGCGGAAAAACGGGATTAGCCGTTTTCACTTAGGGCTGCAGTTCCAGGCTTAAGGGTGAGGTTTGGCTGGAAGCCCAGCCCTTCTGTATCACTAGCCCCCTTTTATTTTTCCTGGAAGATAAGAAACCCAGCTAAAGAAGCTCAGATGGCTCATATGATCTACTTATTCACACATGCGGCCTAGGCTGTCTATTGGCATACCTGTTTGTCCAGATGCTCTTTTTATGTATATTGTACCATTATTTTATTGGTACCTCAAGTCTGAGGGAGAAGGCAGGATTTCAATGAAGGCAAACAAACCAAATAAATAGGAGTATAATCTTTTCAGAACACCAAAAAAAAAAAAACACCCCACTAAGCCCCAGAGAGTTGGGTTTACTTTGGGCATGTAGAAATTCCTTGCACTAAAGGGAGGTAGATGTGCCCTGATACTGGACATCCTGGTTGTTCTTTCTCCAGTGGCCTGCCATTGGGGTATGCTTATGACTGCTTGAAGTAAAACCCAGACAGAAAAAGGGTGTGAGTGCATTTGTCTTTTTCTTTAAATTTGCCTCTTGCCTAACAAATTGGGAGGAAAAAAAATGCTAGCTGTAAAATGGGAAACTCAAGAGGCAGATGGTCCATGGCTGAGTCAATCTTCCACATCTTCTCCCTCTTAGACAGTTGCCTGTAAATAACCCTCGTCGTGATTTCGATTCTGCACCAATTCAAGCCGTGTATCTCGTGAGAAATGAAGCAGAATGCTGTGTTGCTTTTATAAAGTGGGTATGACTGTGTCAGTTCCTCATTTTTCAAACCCTTGTAACCAAAATTACCAGGCACAAAAATAGCGTGAGGATTAGATAGAAATATTTCTTGATACTGTTCAGTTCATTTACATAAATCTCATAGGTTCACCCTTTTTAACAAGGAGAAAACAAAGATTTCGGTACTGTGTTGTGGCTGGAGTAGGGGAAGTATTGGGTGTGCTTATGTATCCAATAGACTGCTTCTTAATCCCCTATCAAAGACATTTGTATTCTTTGATCTTGTTTCCTCATTTGAAATTTAATTTCATAAAGTAAAATCAGAAACATGAACTTTCTTGATAATGGTGAGGGAAATTCTGAGATCTTTTTTCCCCCCTTACAATGCAGGTCTTCCTTGAGAACACTAAATCCTTTGATAAGAGAACAGTTTACATAGCCTAAGGCACATTTAATCTGGTGCACTACTCATTAACAGCAAACTGTTTGCTGCCAGAAGTCCTCATATGGTATTCAATGTAGACCTCAGAGACCATGATAACCAGCACACTTACCTGGGTAATGTCTGAGTATCCTAGCAGAGAAAAGAGTTGGAGTGATTCTATAGATTGTTTCTCCATAAAATAGAACTGATCTAATAATTTAAGTTAGCAAAGAGCTAAATCATAAGAAAAAATTTGCTTTTTAAATCAGTTTACTCTGATAATGATCCTAAGAAATGTGGCTGCTTTTAGAAGTAAAGTATTTAAAAACAAACAAACAAACTTGGGAGATTAAGATAATTACTTAGCAAAGTTAAGATGTTGTTCTGGAATGTAGCTTGCAGAAATGAATCCTGATGCAAGAACGTCACCCCAGCCCCTAGGAAGGTAACAGGAGGAAGTGGTAATAAAAGTGTTGACCCAATTATATTTTTTAAAAGCCCTATCTCATTCTCCCAGTTTGCCTATAAAATCACTAAGTAGAGAATGGAAAGCAAAAAATAAAAGATTAAAAAAACTTAGAAGAATGTTATTAGGACATGGTATCATTGCCTGCATTGCATTAGGACTGCAGTGGGTTCTGACAGTAACGTGGTCAAACATCACAGGTTAAGGGCATAGTCCCCTACGACTGCCCACATCACAGACACCAGCTGAAAGTTCAGGGGACCCTAGGTCATCCTCGCTTCTGACCATCTGGCTCCAAATTCAGGGGTTCTCATTACCCCTTCCAGTGTGATAATTTGCTAGAATGACTCACAGAACTTAGGAAAGTATTATGCTTATGATTATAGTTCTATTATAGCAAAAGACATACCAATCAGAAGCAGCCAATAGGAAAGATGCATAGGGCAAGGTCTGAGATAGTCCTAAACACAAAGCCTCAGTTGTCCTGTACAGAAGGAGTCAGCTCGTGTTACCTTCCAGCACATCAATGTGTAACAATACTTATCACCAACCAGGAAAGTTCATCCAAATTTTGGTGTCCAGAGTTTCCCCTGGGATTTCATTATGCACGCTTGATTGATTGAATCATTGGCCATGTGGTTGAACTCAATCTCTAACCCCGCTCTCCTTCCCAGAGGATGGACTGGTATCACCTAGCTTAAAACCTCAAGTCTCTATTCATGTAGTTGGTCTTTCTTTACATCTGGCTTGACCATCACTGTGAATCACTGAATTAGCATAAACTATTAAAGAACCTACCAGGAGTTACCTCATTAGTATAAGCACAGGTGTGGTCCCAGAGGCCCACCGTGAATATCAGAGACACTCCTAACACTCTGGCAGTTTTAAGGGTTTAGAAGATAACTTCCAGTAACCACAGAGAAAAGCGAGCCAAATTCTTCATTTGACAAAAGGAAACCAAACTGTAGGAGAGTTGCCTCATAAATAAAAGGACATAGAAGTTTGACATAACATTTAAGTTTTTAGAGTATTTGTGTAATTATGAATACCTGAATAATTCTGGGGCACAAATTCTGTCTGTGCTTAATGAGCAAACTTCAAGGTGAAAGTATAGCATTCATTGCCCCAAATAGTAGCAAATTGCATTTTGAAGAGCATTTTTATTTCTGAGAGTTTCAAGTATCCAACATCCATTTTCATTAAACAAAGAGTGGCTTGAATTACCAGGACAGCAGAAAATTATGGAAGGTGTTAGATGGCTTTATGCGATAGAGAATATGACAATTTTTTTGGTAAAATGTAAAAAAAAAAAAGTTTTATTTTGATTCAAAATATACCTCACTGTATAAATTAATCTAATTTTTTGAAAGTAAATCAACATTTATTTTGACTTATTTTGTGTTAATCACCATCTTGCACAAGAAATATGGTCCACTGAAGGATACTTAAAAACTAATATGTTCCAATCTATGATTAAGACAGTGATATTAATTCACTGAGTTTTATATTTAAATGTTTACAATTAAATATTTGTATAATGCTAATTTTATTTCTTTTTTTCTAACAAGCTACTTTACAATATATGGAATTTTAAGGCCTGGCTGCTGAATAAGTGAATCACAGATATTGTTCACGTGGATCCAATTATGAAATAAGTACTTCTACCTTTATATTTTAGGATTTTTCATTTTCTACTTAAACATTTCCAAAACATTAGGTGGTGTTAATCTTATTTCATTTTCCAAAAAGATAATCACAAAAGGTATTCCTGAATTACTTTGTAAAGTCTTAGCTCTTTGAGCCCTAAAGCAAGCTTTTAAGCTTTAGTCTTAAACAGTACCTAAGTCTAAAGGTAATCATTTTCTCAGGCATTTTTAGATTTCAGAAAGGTACTTCCATTTGGAAAATCCCCAAAATAATTTTTCCTCAAAAATATTCAGGAAGGTGGTTTGCAGAAGGGCATATTGATTAAAGAAAAAAAGTACTGACATGAGAATTAATTGTGGCTGGAAAAGTCACTTAAACGAAAAGCATGTAAGGGTTTCTTCCACTTCTTTTCTTTCCTTCCTCCCTTCCTCTCTTTTCCTGTCCTCCTCCTTTCCTCTTTTGCTTATTTTCAACCATATGATGCTTAGCAGGAGAGAAGTTTTAAGTTTGCAAATAGTAGACATTTCTCCTACTTGTTATTTATAGATATTTAAAATGTTGTTATTCGTCTAACTAAAGTCATCTCCCTGTTCTGTTAAGTTTTAGCACCTTTTGAAAAAAAAAAACATTCAAAAATCTTAGATCACTAGAGTGAAGAGTAATAAAGCTTTTTATTTTTGTTTGTGTTAAGTTCCAGAAGCAGGAAAATGCTTCATTATTTGGTTGGGTAATAATGAAATCCAGAATATTCTACCATTCATATTCCAAGCATGCAGCCCTGCGCAATTCAGGAAATGTGCGGGTATTGAGCCAAGCTCCTTGTAAAAGCATTTCTCATTTGGTTCTTGTCATCAAGTGAAGTGGAAGCAGTAGCCAGATCAAGACCTGGGAAAGGGCCAGGGTGATGAGTGGAAAGGTCACTTGAGATCAGGGCCTTCCCTAATAATCATTGCAAAAGAAAGGACACTCTGGTATTTCTCCAGATATTAGCAACTTTGCTCATATCTGACCTCCACAGGCCTAGAAACAATTCTCAGCTTTTTCTTTCTCCGACTACATTCTCTGCTTTCTCAGTTAAGACATCATCTTAATTAAATATCCTCCTAGAAAGAATGTGATTAGTGAATTTACACTAGTAAGTTAAAGTGACTGAGAAAAGCCAACTATCTCCTTATCCTCCCAAAGGATATTACCCCTCAGAGATGACACTTTGGTTCAGAGGAATAAAGGTTTAATAATAAAATTTTTAAAAGGCAAAAGAGATGATGGCCATTTTGTAGATGATTTGATTATAACCTGGCCAGCAAGAGAAAATAACAGAAAAAGATTAGAACTAAAAGAAACAGATGAGATATGATAACAGATTTATAACAATCAATAACTTCCTTAGATATAATTTATATCTAGTTAAAATAAATAATGATGAGAGAGGGTGGGGATTTTTTTTTATTGAATAGAAAAAAGGAAAGTTTATAACACATCCAGGAATAATCTTCCAAAGCATGTACATGGCCTACGAATAAAGCTGCAGTAATATATTGAGAGGTATAAAAGAAGAGTTAAATATGCAGAGTTATATAAGATAAACTTGTACAGGAAAACTACTTTTGTTTTTAAAGAAGCCAATTCTTGCTAAATTAATTTTTAAAATCCTAACATAACTACCAATAGGACATTTTTTGGGGGGTGATTAAAATAGTGAATGCATGTAAGGTGCTTAGAATAATGCCTGGCACTTAATCATTTGTATTTCTCCTTTTGTGAATTGTTCATGTCCTTTCTTGATTTCCCTATGATGTGTTTATCCCTCTAAATTAATTTCCCCAAGTTCACATAGGTAGAAAATAAAAAAATAATAATTCTAATCTTTTCCTCATCTATCAAAGGAAGATAATAATCATATCTACTCCTAAGGTTATTTGAAGTATTAAATGAGATTAGGTAGGCAAAAATGCTTTACAGAATGCTTGGAACATGGTAAGAATTCAATGTCATTTAATTTAAAGTATTGTTGTATTTACAACTGGTTTATAACTGTTATAAATATTGAATGCATAGTATTACCATTTTTTTAAAGGGATAAACATGTCATACAGAAATCAAGAAAGGGCATGAACAATTCACAAAAGAAGAAATTCAAATGATTGTCAGGCATTTATTCTAAGCACCTAACATGCATTCATTGTTTTAATCCTTACGATAACTCTATAAGGTAGGCACTATTCTTATTTTCATTTTTATGAGATGAGGAAATGGATGCACAGAGAGGCTAAGACACTTGTGCATAATCACACAGTTAGTAGCATAATATTTATTTCTCAAGCTGTTTCAGTAAATATAAAAATATAATTTGAAAATTCACTTGCATTTCAAAAAACCTTTTAACCTATTTTAGTAATTACTTTATTATTAATAATAAAATATTAAAATGTATTTTGATGGAAATTGATTAAATTATTTCCTCTCATGCTCACCAAACTTAAGAAAAGTGTAAAAACTAAATTTTTTTGAGTGACTTGAGTCATTCTATTTTATCTAATTTCTTCTACTAAAGAAACTACAAACATTTGGTGCTTGTGGAGAAGGGAACTGGGTGACGGGAGATAGGATTAGGAGGAACACTTTCAGAAACTGAAATCTTTTCAATAATGGTCTAAAATACCAAAATTACTAGTGATAAAAATAATATTAAATGAACAAGCTTTGGAATCAGGATTATGAGTTTATTTCATAAATTACAATCAACTTTTAATTTATACAAAAGAGAAGAAAATCCCTCTGTAAAGTTCAGTTCCACTATTTAGATTGGGAGGACATTCCATTGATATGACTTTTATCCCACTCTTAATTTTCATGACTAAATAATCTATGACATAAAATATTATAAAACCAGCTACAGGTAATATGCCATTCTTTTTTCCCAACAGAAGAAAACACTTAAAGATATTAAATATGTAAGAATCCTTTGCCTTTCACAGCTTCCCCTTGTTGGGTACGTGTTTCCTTCTGATAAACTACATGTTCACAGTCAAGTGACACTGATTAAATTATAATGCAAAAAATTTTGTTCTCTTTGTCATATTCCTTTATTAGAGAGCTAATAACCAATTGAATTCCATTAATAGTTAGGGTTTGGTAATGATAAGCAAAAAATAAGTAAATAAGAAAACTAAAACAAAATAATAAAATGGAAAACCAGCAACCTAAAGACAGTAAAAGAATAGGAAATTATATGTAGAAAATTCACCTACTCGTGCTGGGCACTGTGGCTGACACCTGTAATCCCAGCACTTTGGGAGGCCGAGGCTGGTGGATCACTTGAGGTCAAGAGTTCGAGACCAGCCTGGCCAACATGGTGAAACCCTGCCACTAGTAAAAATACAAAAATTAGCCTGGTGTGGTGGTGGGCACCAGTAGTTCTAGCTACTTGGGAGGCTGAGGCAGGAGGATCACTTGAACATGGGAGGCAGAGGTTGCAGTGAGCCAAGATTGTGCCACTGCACTCCAGCCTGTGCAACAGAGTGAGACTTCATCTCAAAAAAAGAAAAGAAAAGAAAATTAGCCTACTCAGTTAAAAAGTCTCAGGTATGGGGAGGCACTTCGTAGTTTAGACTTAGATGACACTAAGAGGTTCTAAGTGTGAGGAGCTCAACAGTAGTATCTGGAGCCTGCTGGGATCCTTACTTACGTGTGGCGGTTCTTCTCCAGGCAGAACAGCAAGGCTGAGAGTCCACAGTGGAGATGGAGAAGCAGGATGTTTTAAGGGAATGACCTTGATGCAATGGTAATCTTCCAGTGTACAACCAGGAAAACTATCCCAGAGGTCACAGAATAGAAAGATTCAGAGACTAAACTGAAACTGTAAAAGCTTGTGGTTAATTGAATCAACGTAAAACAGAGTGAGATGCAAGAAAAAAGATATGGTGTAGGTGAAGACACCGGAGAGGGTAGAGGGTTAAAAGAACCATGCTATGTGAATTCTGCATCACGCAATGTTTCTAGGTCCTATCTCTCTTTCCACCTTATCAGCTCTCTCCATTGTCTGCATGATTACAAGGACCAGGTTTGATTGTGAGCAAGGGACTCAGCAGATGGACAGTGCCTGGAGTCAACACTTGCACTGTAGAAGACACACAGGGGCAAATCGGCTTGGTCTCAGCAGTAGCTTCCACATTAACTTACTGAGCAGCTGTGGATTCTATCTGCACATCTCAGGCAGAGGATACCTGGCCAGAATGGGTGTCACCAGTGAGTTGAGGCAATTTAAACTCTCGTGCCTATTCAGTGTCCCATGAATATTATATTTGGCCTCTCTCTTAACTCATCAACATTTAACAGACCATGAATTTTTGCTGCCTTTGGGCTTTCCATCCTCACCTTTGTTTAACACACTGATGTGCTTCTTTCTTTCCCTATGTCTGACATAGTTCACAGGTCATTAACTTGCTATCTATGCTTAATACCTACTATAAGCTTCTGTGTCTCACAAGCTCCTTTTATACTTACATTTATATTGAGTATTTCTTAAGAGTTGTATCAACTCTATTTGCTTTTCTTGTCTTTTACAAAAGAATTGAATATTGTTAAATAACACAGCAGACACCCCTTACAAGGAGGAGGGTATGAACAGAGAAGAAGAGCTTGGGGATGTGCAGAGGGTGGACTTCTGTGTGTTTGTGGAAATTAGTTCCACAATGTGGATTGCCCTCTGGGAGCTGACAGGGAATGGGCAAGGTATTCCTCTTCCCTCTGGGTCCTTCCTATATTCCCTCTCAGTTCTAACATTCTGGACTGGGTCTCTATTGGTTTTCATGGATGATTTATAGCCAGGCACTGAAGAATACTCTCTACATAGCTGTATACTTTAAAAACAGTCCTTTCATAAGCTGTGTTATGCTGTTCATTCCTGTACCATTACATATTTCCCTAGAACTAATAAATTATTTACTTTGCATCCACAAGGCTTAACTAGAAAAACGTACCAAAAATCAGAGTGTCCAAGTATTGAAGAAAGGGGAATACAGACTTTCCCAGGCAGATGACTCCGAAATTGTTCAAGGTACAATTTGGACACAGTATTTTGATTGTGAGTAAGACATAAAACTGGAATTCATCAAGTGTCCTAGCCTGTCATTCCTATGACAACTCATTTGTGTTTTCTGTTCAAGCCATACATTTGATTCTGACCATTCAGCCCTGTAAATTCCAGCTGAACTTTAGCTAAGTTCTAATATAAGAGAGAAAAATCCCCACTATTACTTACAGTATAAGACTTTCTTCTTTGTTTTTCATCTTGGATCATGGAAATCACCAAAGTTTTACTGTTGTGTCTTAAGATTCTGATCCGAGGGGGTGGGTAAGTGCTAATCCAATATATTTGGTAATTTCTATTTTACCAGGCAGTTCCTCTGTAGTATGTCTGCCACACTAAGACAAATACATTTTAAAAATAAATATTTTGCAATTTGAATTTTCTTATCAAGGTAACTTAATAATCATCTGAAGACTGTTATTAAGGTCAAAAGCTGAAGATGTCCAGACGCATAAGTAACAAAATACTTCCATGAAAACAGATGCCAGTTTCATCATAGGAAACCTGACTGCCAAAAGCTGCACTGTTCCGAGTTACATACTGTTTTAATCCCAAAAGTTGGTTTTAACCAAGGTGTATTTTATTCTTAATTTTTAATGGGAACCAGTTTTCTATATCTTCGATAAATTTTTCTATTTGGAGAAATTACGAGGAAGATTATGAGGAAATATTCAAAGGTTTTAAAAATTAAAGTTTATTTTTATGAATATTTGATAATGAAACTGGTTGTGTAAAGTGATGCAAAATAGTGCTAAATTGATGTTAATGTGTTTTTGTGAGCATGTATTTTAGAATTTGTGTACCGAATAGCACTTTTCCTTGAGTGAAAGGAAGCTGAGTGTTTCTGGGGTGGGAAATTACAGAGCAGTGAAGATTTCAATGCAAAGAATAAGTATATACAAGATAATATATATAGTTAAATTCAGAAATGTCAAATAGGTTTTATTTTTGTATCCCATATAGTAAAAAAGCTTAGCAAAGTGGCTCATACAAGGTGCTACTGTGCATTTGTTGAATGAATAAATGTAACATTTTACCTTATTATTTTATCCATGTTTTTGCAAAGAATTTTGGGTGAAACAAGAGGTTCTCTTTTTCTCTGCAGTAACACACAAGGGAAAAAAGGACCACAGTCTTCCAGAATTGTTCCAAGAACATTAATGGAGGGAGGAGGATTATCTGTGATTATACATTACTGGAATCTCCCCAGAACTAAAGCAATTCCCTGTGTTGTTGTCCTGGGAGAAAAATACCAACTGTGATCCTCAAATAT
Source organism: Homo sapiens (assembly GCF_000001405.40). Classification (NCBI taxonomy): domain Eukaryota; kingdom Metazoa; phylum Chordata; class Mammalia; order Primates; family Hominidae; genus Homo; species Homo sapiens. Next base: position 20,430,000 of record NC_000007.14, on the reverse strand, counting down.
CATTCTACCCTGCCTCCTAAGTACTCGCCCCCACTGACTCTTGTCCTCACTCCAGGCCTCCCTTACCCTAGCAATTTCTCCCACTTCTTGACATGGCGAATGAAAAATGGATTGGAAGAGTGTTCATGTCCGAATGATTGGCCCGTAGAGACAGAGTTTAAGTAATTAGAGATAGCTTCATGGAGGAGGTGGAATTAAAGAGATGGGGATTTGATAGGTGAAGGAAAAAGAGCATTGCATGTCAAAGGTTAAGCAGCATAGTGAGAAACCACAGCTTAGGGGTTGTGATTGCACCTCCTGCAAAATATGGATGCATAGGTAGAGTGAGGTTATACCATGGAGGGTTTTTAAAGGAGTTGGGTTGGATCAGAATTCAAAATAATCAATAAATATAAAGCACCATATCAACAAGCTAAAAGAAGGACACAAGCCATATGATCATGTCAATAGAGGCAGTAAAGGCATTTGACAAAGTTTAGCATCCATTATGAAACAACTCTCAGCAAATTAAAAACAGAAGATAATTTCCCCAACTTGATAATAAAGGGAATATATAAAAAGCCTGGAGCTGGTAACTTAATAGTGAAAGTCTGAATACTTTCATCTCACAATTGAAGACAATGCAAAGATGAAAGATGTCTGCTTTCATCATTCCTATTCAACATTGTACTGGAGGTCCTAGCCCCAGATGATGGCTAGGATAGATGATTTATACAATCATCCAAAACTCTACAAAAAAGCTACTAAAATTAATCAATGAGTTTAGTAAGGTCACAGGATGAAAGGTCCATGCATGAAAATCATAATTCACTATAGTGACAATAAAAAATAAAATTAATAAAACAGTACCATTAAAATAGCACTAAAATATCAAATACTTAGGGATAATTCTAACAAAGTATGTGTAAGATATGTATGTTGAAAGCTATGTAAAATTAGTAATAATAGGTTCAGGGAGTACATGTGCAGGTTTGTTACGTGGACAAATTATGTGTTGCTGGAATTTGGTATACAAATAATTTTGTCACTCAGGTAATGAGCATAGTACCTAATAGGTAGTTTTTAAAATCCCCATCCTCCTCCCACCCTCCACTCTCAAGTAGGCCCTGGTGTCTATTGTTCCTCTTTTTGTATCCATATATACTCAGTGTTTAGCTCCCACTTATATAAGTGAGAACACGTGGTACTTGGTTTTCTGTTCCTGTGTTAATTTACTTAGGATAATGGTCTTCAGCTGCACCCATGTTGCTGCAAAGGACAGGACTTCATTCTCTTTTTATGGCTGCATAGTATTTCATGGTGTATATGTACCACATTCTCTTTATCCAGTCCACTGTTGATGGGCATCTAGGCTGATTCCATGTCTTTGTTATTGTGAGTAGTGCTGCGATGAACATATATGTGCCTGTGTTATTATGGTAGAATGATTTATATTCCTTTGGGTATATATACCCAGGAATAGGATTGCTGTGAGGAGGGTGAGGATCAAAATAGTAGTTTTTTCAGTTCTTTGAGAAATCTCCAAACTGTTTTCCACAATGGCTGAACTAATTTACGGTCCCACCAGCAGTGTATAATGGTTCCTTTTTCTCCACAATCTCACTAGCATCTATTATTTTTTGACATTTAGTAAAAACATTTAGTCATCTATAAGCCATCCTGACTGGTGTGACACTGTATTTCATTGTGGTTTTGATTTGCATTTCTCTAATGATTTGTGATGTTGAGCATTTTTTTCATGTGCTTGTTGGCCACGTGTATGCGTTCTTTTAAGAAGTGTCTGTTCATGTCCTTTGCCCATATTTTAATGGGGTTGTTTGTTTTCTGCTTATTGATTTAAGTTCCTTATAGATTTTGGATATTAGACCTTTGTCAGGTGCATAGTTTACAAATATTTTCTCGCATTCTGTAGGTTGTCTATTTACTCTGGTGATAGTTTGAGGGTGTATTTGTTTCTGTTCAGAAGTTCTTCAGTTTAACTAGGTCCTATTTGTCAGTTTTTGTTGCAATTGCTTTTTCCTAGGTTTCCTTCTAGAGTTTTTATAGTTTTAGTTTATACATTGAAGTCTAATCTATCTTGAGTTGATTTTTGTGTCAGGGAGAGGTCCAGTTTCAATCTTCTGCATATGACTAGCCAGTTATTCCAGCATCATTTATTGAATAGGGAGTCCTTTCCCCATTGCTTGTTATTGTCAACCTTGTCAAAGATCAGATGGTTGTAGATGTGTGGCTCAGCAGGCTTTTAAAATAGAAACTGAAAAAAAGTATTTAAAAATGTATATGGAAAAGCATATTACCTAGAATAGCAAAAGAAATTTTGAAAAAGCAAAACAAAGTTAGATGATTCATATTACCTGATTTCAAGATTTACCATAAAACTGGAGTAATAAAGCCAATGAATTTTTGTAGAAGGGTAGACATATAGAACAATGGAATAGAAGAGAGACTAGATATAAAAACATGCACATGTAGTTAATTGATTTTTGGCAAAGGCATCAAAGTTATTTCACGAAGAAAGAATACTGTTCCTAAGAAATGATGCTGGAACAATTACACATTTGAAAAAGGAACTCAAACCATATTAAAAAACAACTCAAAATGGATCACATGTCTCAATGTAAAACCTAAATTTATAAAACTTCTGGAGAAAAATGTAGGAAAATAGCTGATGACCTTTTACTCTGCAAAGATTTCTTAAATATGACACCAAAAGCATGAGCCAAGGGAAGAAAAAATAGACAAATTGGATTTCATCAAAATATGATACTTCTCTAGAAAGATGTGATTAAGAAAATTTTTTAAAATGTCAAAAACCGGGAGAAAATATTTATAAAAACTTATCTTATGAAGGACTTAAATCCAAAATACACAAATGACTCTTTTATCTGAAGTAACAAAAAACAAATAACCAAATTTAAAATTCAGACTAAAGGTTTGAACAGATATTTTTCCAAAGAGAAGATATGAATGCTGTGTTATCTATTATTATATAACAATTTACTGCAAGGCTTGGTGTCATAAAATTATGATAAACATTTTTTATCTCACAGTTTTTGCAGCTCAGTAAAAGAGGAGCAGCTTTGCTGGTTGTTCTGATTTTCATTGACGTTGTAGTCAACATGTTGGCCAGGGCAGGAAGTCATTTGTACCTTAACTGGGGCTTGAGGATCTGCTTTCAAAATGGCTCACTTGCAGCTGGGTGCTGGCTATTGTCAGGTGGCCTGTGTGCTTTGTCACATGGATCTCTCTATAGAGTTTTTGAACATCCTCAAAACATGGCAGCTGGCTTCCAACAAGGTGGGTGAGCCAAGAGAGATCAAGGAGGAAGCACCAATGGCTTTTATGACTGACCTCAGAAGTGACACACCATCATTCCTGCATATTCTGTTTGTTACACAGCCTACTAAATTTAGGAAAAAACTACATAGGACTGTGAATATCAGTATCTAGGGATCATTTGAGGGTTCATTTTGGAGGCTGGCTGCTGCAGATAACAAAAAAGCACGTAAAAGAAGCTCAGCACCTTTAGTCATTAGGGAAGCACAAATTAAAACCACAAAGATTCAGTAGTACGCACCTACTAGGATGGTGTACTAGTCCATTCTCATGCTGCTGTAAAGGACTGCCCAAGACTGGGTAATATATAAAGGAAAGAGGTTTGATTGACTCGCAGTTCTGCATGGCTGGGGAGGCCTCAGGAAACTTATAGTCATGGAAGAAGGGGAAGCAAACACATCCTTCTTCACATGATGGCAGGAAGGAGAAGTGCCGAGCAAAACGGGGAAAATCCCCTTATAAAACCATCAGGTCTCATGAGAACTTACTATCAGGAGAACAGCAGCATGGGGGTAAGCACCCCTATGATTCAATTACCCCCCATGTGGTCCTTCCTATGACACATGGAGATTATGGGAATTACAATTCAAGATAAGATTTGGGTGGGGACACAATCAAACCATATCAGATGGCTGTTTAAAACCTGACTCTACAAATGCCTATCAAGGATGCTGAGCAACTAGAACACTCATACATTACAGCTGGGAACATGAAATGGCACAGGCACTTTACGGAACAATTTGGTGGTTTCTGATAAAGTTACCATACACTTACCATTCAACCTAATAATCCTACTCCTAGGTATTTAAATGACAGAAATATAAACACATGTCTGTACAAAGAGCTATCTGAGAATGCTTACGGAGCCTTTACTCATCATCACCAAATATTGGAAAACTGCAAATAGTCACCAACCAGTGAGTGGATAATCAAATTGCAGCACATTGATACAGTGGAATCTTACAACTCAGCAACAAAAATAACTACTTGTACATGCAAACATGGTTGAGTCAATAGCATTATGAAAAATGAAAGAAGCCATACACAAAAGAATACATATGAGATAATTCCATTTATGTGACATTCTGGAATAGAGAAACTATAGGGAGAGAAATCAGATCAAGGGTTGCCAGGAGCTGAGAGTAGGGAAAGAGGATTGATTACAAAGGGGTATTGGAATATTGATGGAAATATTCTGTATCTTGATTGTGGTAGTGGTTTCACAACTATATAGGCACATTTGTCAATATCTATCTAAATATACTCCTAAAAAGTGAATTTTTCTATAGAGTAAATTATACTACAGTAAATCTGACTTCAAAAAAGGAAATGTAATTTATTTATTTATTTGAGATGGAGTTTCCACTCTTGTTGCCCAGGCTGCAGTGCAGTGGCACAATCTCGGCTCACCGCAACATCTGCCTCCCAGGTTCAAGCGATCTTCCTGCCTCAGCTTCCCAAGTAGCTGGGATTACAGGCATGCGCCACCATGCCTGGCTAATTTTCTATTTTTAGTAGAGATGGGGTTTCTCCATGTTGGTCAGGCTGGTCTCAAACTCCCGACCTCAGGTGATCCACCCGCCTTGGCCTCCCAAAGTGCTGGGATTACAGGTGTGAGCCACTGTGCCCGGCCAGGAAATGTAATTTAAATATTATGCTAGCTTCCATATTTTAATGTTTCTATGAAAAGATTAGGTTTGGGTCAATATTAAGAAAAAGGCTATTTTTTTCTAAGGGGAATTAAAGTAAGAAAGCTGTTGGCTGTTTAAGAGAAATCAGTGATATCATGGAAAGGGAGGTATGTTACGGTTCTTCAGAGAAACAGAACAAACAAATGTGTATTTTCAGAGAAACAGAACAAACAAGATGTGTATTTCCAGAGAAAGAGATCTATTTTAGGGAATTAGCTATGTGATTCTCGAGTCTTGGCAAGTCCAAATTTTGATGGAGGCAGCTGACAGGCGGAAACCCAGGAGAGTTGCAGTTTGAGTCCAAAGGCAGTCTGCTGGCGAAATAAGAACAGCCGAGGCAAATGAAGTCCAAAGGTAGTCGCTGGAAAATTCCCTGTTGCTCTGCAAGCTCAGCTTTTTGTTCTCCTCAGGCCTTCAACTTATTAGATGAGGCCTACTCACAGCATGGAGGGCACTCTGATTTACTCAAAGTCCACAATTCAAACGTAAATCTCATCCAAAAAACACCCTCACTAAAACATCCAAAATAATGCTTGACCACACACATATCTGGGTGCTGTGGCCCAGTCAAGTTGACACATAAAATTAAGCATCACAGGATGGAATTGGTTGACTGGAAGGGGCATAAACAGCCTTCTATATTGACAGATATGTTAAGATATAGTGGTGGGGTTATGTGGATGTATACATTTGTCAAAACTCCTCAAGCTGTAAACTTAAGATTGGTGTGTTATATGGTATGTGAATTCAATATAATGAAAAAAATTTCAAAAGTGGTCCTGGGCAGCTATGTCATCACTGATATGATATCTCATACAATGTGTTTGTATGTGTGTGTGTGTGTGTGTGTGTGTGTGTGTGTGTGTGTGTTAAGGATGGAAGATAAGTGATGGAGAGTTTCCCTCCTGTAACATTTTTCTCCATTTGCCTCTTCCTTATTCTTGAACCACCCACACCGATTGTGAAACTCATTGACACATTCACCCATCAACATATTTAAGACCGCATTTACTGTCTCTTCAATTCTTTGGAAGTGTGTGCATTTCTTCTTTTATTCTGCCCTTTTTTTTTCAAGTGATTGCTGACTAATTAGACCATTATCTCCCCATTACCAGAATAGATATAATATGTATGCTTATTCTTACTAAATGACTGAGAATCTAGGAAGAACCTTAAATTGCATATTCTTCCATTATTAATAAGAAAAATTGAAAAGATGGCATATATAGCTGGTATTCTAGTCATTCAATTTTGACTCAATGAGTTTTACATAATCCTTGTTCCCAAATAGAGTTAATGTCATCAAAGGACAAGGAAATGAAACTTCAAAACTTAGCAATTGATCTTTTTTACAATTTATTAAGGTCAAAAGGAAAACATGGTGATTGTTTTAAACACTGGAAAACATTCTGTATTTCTATTTTTTTAAAAATAGAAGTTCTTAATCAAACAAAAGGAATCCTAGGAAATTGCTAAGTGAGAAGTAAACAATACAGTTGGCCTTCCAGATCCTGCTGTTCCACATCAGCAGCTCCAACCAATGGCAGATTGAAAATATTTTTTACAAACAATTAAAAATAACAATACAACAAAAAAGCACAAATAAAAAGCAATACAGTATAATAAATATGTACATAGCATTACAGTGTCTAAGGCATTATAAATAATCTAGAGATGATTTACAGTATACAGGAGGATGTGCATAGGTTATATGCAAATACTACACCATTTTATATAAGGGGCCTTAGCATCCTTGTATTTTGGTTTCCTCAGGGGTCCTGGTACCAATCTCCCACAGATACCAAGAGAAAATTGTATTTGAAAATTTAATCTGTAGATTAAGGTAATCCACTGATTTTTTTTTTTTTTTTTTGAGATGGAGTCTTGCTCTTGTCACCTAGGCTGGAGTGCAATGGCGCGATCTCAGCTCACTGCAATCTCCGCCTCCTGGGTTCAAGCGATTCTCCTACCTCAGCCTCCTGAGTAGCTGAGATTACAGGCTCCTGCCACCACGCCCGGCTAATTTTTTGTATTTTTAGTAGAGACGGGGTTTCACTATGTCAGCCAGGCTGGTCTCGAACTCCTGACCTCAGGTGATCCACCTGCCTCGGTCTCCCAAAGTGCTGGGATTACAGGCATGAGCTATTGTGCCCAGCCAGTAATCTACTTTTTTCTAAAAAAAAAAAAAAAAGGTAATCTACTTTATGCAAAGTAATCTCATAAATTTCAAATGTATCAAAATATAAATTCTTACTTTAAGAAAACATGTTAAACAGCTTAATTGAAAATATTTTATAGACATTTTTGGTTCTTTTCAGATTCTTTGGTCGGGGGAGAGGGAGTTGTTAGTTATATCCAAAATCATTCCTGAAAAGAGTCTGATATTATTGATTTGCTATTTGAAAGGAAAGAAAATGGTACTTATATATTCTGTTTCAAATTAAACTCTAACCTGTGGAGTGAGAATAGACACTTAATTAGAGTTAGAATGGACATACCAAAACTAGTACTAGACATTTATTCCCTTTAGTTTTCCTGGGAGGAGATAGGACCCAGGCCACAGTCTTATGTGTTATTAGCAATAATCTACGATGAAGACTTTCTGGCACAAGCCAAGCATCAGACTTCTCTGTCTCTTAAAAGTAAGGAACACGTTTCAAAGCTCCTCATGGTTCCCTTGAAGCCCCACCAAGCAGAAGGTTAGGTGGAACATCTTCAGACTGTCCCCAAAGAGAAGTGGAGTGGAGGCTCACAGCAGAGAGGTCTCAAAAAATGTTTAAACGATCTTCCTCTCCTCCTATCTCTTCCCTCTTTATATCCTCCATGGCTTGAGGGGTCCAGAATTCTATAGCAGGTTCTCAGTACCATTTCCTTTGAAAATCTGAAACTGTGGGAGGGAGGGCACACCTCACCTTGATATCTTAGCATAACAATTAGTAGGTGCCCCAGTTGAAAGTGATGTAGGTGGAGGCCCATTCTAGCATCCCATGCCCTTGGTGCCCACCTGATCACTGGATCTGGCAGGGATTAAAAGTAAATTTTCATGACAAATTTCTACCCTGGTAAGCTTTCTCAGGCCTGTTAAATGCCCCACCAAAAATACATAAGAAATTGTGTTTTCTTGAAAAAAGAAAACGTTTTGGGAAACTGTAAACAAAATATTTATTCCTTGCTAACTAATATTCTAAACAGAGACCAAGCAAGTTAACAAATGAATATGGTATTGAAATAAATAAACAAAGGAGGAATTTTAATTTCCAGCGAGTATTATTCTATTATCCCTGGTAAAACCTAATAATCTTCAGGAAGAACAGAAAACACCTACTGCTTAATATCTGTGGCTTATTTAATGAACAGTTCTTAGAAGAGCACTGTGATCATAGTCTGTAAATCTTTTCTCAGTCACATTCTTTGAGGTGAGGTCCTGGAGCTAACTTTATAGCACCCTCTTACTAGTAGGCCCACCTGGACTGCTGTCTGAAATGAGAGCTAGTTACTCTCTGTAGGTAAAATAGTAAACATTTGTAAGAGAAGATGGAACCCTTCATCAAAACAATTTATATCCTAAATTATGCTTTGGCCTATTTCCATTTAGTATGTTACTAGAAAAATGGAACAGATACAGACATCATAGCTCACAGAAGCCTAACGTAATAGGTGCCTAGATACTTATCGTCTAGTTGGAGTATCATGGAAAATTATGTTAGACAAAATTAAACTTTCTAGATTTAGACTTTCCATTAATCCAAGTCCCCTCTGACTCCTCCCCACAATTATTGACTGATGATCTCTCATCTTTTGTCCTGGCTTTATTTTTCCAATAATGAGACACATATATTTTTTTCCCCTGATGTTTCACTTATTCTTTGGGTCCGACTGACCCTTACACGTATGTCTCTATGTTTTGTTTCCCTTTTGCTAGTCATTGGCACTCAGAGGGTCATTTTCCCTTTTCCAAGCCCTCATTAAAGCAGACTTACTACCAGAATAAGAGCAAAATTAGTGAAATAGAGACAATTTGGATGCGTGCTTGTAGAAATATATATATATGTGTGTATAAATGTATATATTTATATATATATATATATATATATATATATTTTTTTTTTTTTTTTTTCCTGAGACAGAATCTCACTGTGTCAGTCAGGCTGAAGTACAGCAGAGTGATCATAGCCCACCGAAGCTTTGATCCCCTAGGCTCAAGTGATCCTCCTGCCTTAGCCTACCAAGTGGCTGGGATTACAGGCATTTGACACTAGGCCTGGCTAATTAAAAGAATTTTTTTTTTTTTTTTTGTAAGAGACAGTCTTGCTATGTTTCCTAGAACATTTTCTTCCCCTCAAGATCAGATAAAGTTTTGTCTGGGGTCAGCATAATCTGTACCTTTTTGGTCATCTGATGTTAGTTTTCACTCTTTGCAAGTGGTTCTCAGGCATCAGTGGGCATTAGGGTCACTTAAAGAGCATGTTAAAACACACTGCTGGTTTCTAATAAGCTTCCGGGTTGGGAGGGGGGAAGAACATCGCTGGGCCACAGTCCCAGAGTTTCTGATTCAGAAGGTCTTGATGGAGACCAAAAAATCTGCGTTTCTACAAACTTCTAGGTGATGGTGATGCTCTTGGACTGGGAACTACCCTTTGAAACTGTGAATTTATAGATTATCTTGTATTTAATGGGAAAAATGTTAATGGTAAATTAAGATTTTTTAAGTGAATAATTATCTCTCTTGACTTTAATGATGGTAGAATGAATTTCGTAATCATGACAAAGTAAAACAGCAAGAGCATGCCAAAGCCCAATAAAGCAGGAGTTTCCCTCTCACCAGTCTAGTCTGAGTGACTAGGCCCTGAGTATGAAATAATGCACCAGCCCACATCAGTGCTAAAGGATTACCACGTTGAAAGACAAGATATCACTTGTTTTTCTTGTACAGACCACAACTGCTTCTAATTATGATGAAAAAGTTCATATATAAATAATTACATCGAAAGTGATATTATCTTTCAATTAGGTTTATTTTGATAATATTTGAAAGCATGATCATTGACATGGTTTAAAATTTCCCAGCTTTGTCTGGTCCAATATTTTGATAAAGTTAGAATTTAGTCTAAAAGACATGGATTGGCAAGACCAATGTGATTTGTGAGACCAGATTGGGAGTTTTATCCAGTTTGGATAGAAGCCTGTAGTGTCTTTTGGAGTTGGTGCTTCAACTAACTCCTTTCTTTATCACCTACATCTAGCCAGTCCCCAAGTTCTTTCAAATCTTCCTTTTAGCAGTAGCTCATATTTCCTGCCTTTCTACTTTACTTCTTCATGAAAAGCCTTTATGCTCATTTCACTAACTTTTTTCTTTTTCTTTCTTTATTTTCTTTATTTTTAAATTTTATTTATTTATTTATTTATTTATTTATTTATTTATTTATTTGGAGACGGCGTCTCACTGTGTCGCCAGGCTGGAGTGCAGTGGTGCTATTTCGGCTCACTGCAACCTCCACCTCCTGGGTTCAAGTGATTCTCCTGCCTCAGCCTCCCAAGTAGCTGGGACTACAGGTGTACACCACCAGGCCCAGCTAGTTTTTGTATTGTTAGTAGAGACAGGGTTTTGCCATTTTGCCCAGACTGGTCTCGAACTACTGAGCTCAAGTGATGATCCACCCACAAAGTGCTGGGATTACAGGAGTGAGCCACTGTGCCTGGCGTCGCTGACTTTTCTTTGTCACAATTTGAAATGTCTTCCTACCGTACATCAGATGCATCCAAACCTTCCCAACATAACAACATAAACATTTCTTTCTAACCTGGCTCCTTCTCCTCTCCATTACAAATGTACAAGTCTCCCCCAGTCAAAAATAATTTAACTAGTCCCTCCTTGTTGAATATTGTTTGATATTTTGTATCATATCCGCTCATTCTTTTCTCAGCGAATATAAGGGCTCTCAGTGAATATGATCGTGGCACATTTATGGGACAATATTCACCTATTAAAACAGCTATAAATCTTAACATAGATAAATGTTTGATATGTTTTTGGAAAAAAAACCTCTTTATACCGGACTATAGATAGTATATTTCTTAGTCACCAATATATTAATATATACATTTGTTATATATATGTTTTATATGTATTTAATATATATGTAATTACATATATTGTTACATATATTATATATGTACTTTTTTCCTGAAAAATATATGGCAATGACCAACTCTGGGTGGTGGGATTAGAGTAATATTTTTTAAATTTTAATTTCTAGGTATTTTTAACCTAGATATTATGGTAAATATGCATATCTGTATAATGCATATAAATACATTGTACAGTAAATATGCATTATCCGTATAATAGCAGTTATAAAGTGCATAGAAAAATAAAATGGAAATATGCCTACATGTAAAAGTGATTGCCACTAGGAGGTTGGATTTCAATATTTTTTCTTTCGAATACTTTACTTCAAATTATTTTACACTAGTATTAAATTGTATTTAAATTTAGTATTAGATAACATTTAATAGCATTGAATACTTAATAGTGTTAACTACTATTTGGATTTAGTATTTGAGTATAAAAATTAATGCTTCAAATTATATTTAGTTTATGTAATTATATGTCAACCAAGTTGAACTCCAATAATACCACTTTTCTGTGCAAAACCTTTACAGTTTGCTCTTCCCCAGTAACCAAAGCTCAAAATTCTTAGCCTGGGAATCAAGCTCTCCATAACTTAGGACCTGTAGGTTACTGCCTTTTGTTATCTAATGCTGTATCTCAATACAATTTCAATGTTCTTGGATGGAGTCCACACTCTTTCCTGCGTTTGGTTATACTTTATCATTTGTAAAATCTCCCAGGTTACCTCCCCTTTCTTCATGTGCATACTCACCTTTCTTGCAAGGCGAGGCCAAATGCTGTCTTCCATGGGCTTTCTCTTATTCTCCTGGCTCTCCTAACTCTGGAATCCGAGTACCTCTCACCATCTTAAAGGTTTTTTTAATTTTGTCATCTTAAAGGATGTTGTTTCCCTGTGTAGTATTTGTACACATATATCAGCTCCTCAGCTTTATTTGTTGCATATGTTTTATGGGGTGTGGGGACAAAGGTTAACTTCTGATTGTTGAGCTAGTAAAATCTGTGCTCACAATAGATAAGTTACTTATGGAAAGTAAAGCAGATCTGGGTATGAATCCTGCAGTAAGTGCAGCCACTTACTGGCTGCATGCTTTCATACAAGATCCTTAACCTTTCTGTGACTTATTTTCCCTATTTGAAAAATTAAGGAAAATGGTACTTTTTGCTCCTGAGGATTCAGTGAGACAATTATATAAAGACAACTTCATTGGTTACAGTAGAGATTATCTGCTATAATATCAAATGCAATGGTTTAGGTAAGATTGTTTTCCTACCAGAGATGTCTTGCGGTGAACAGTCAATGGGTAAAGGGGAAGCTCTAAGAATTTTAGCACAAGGCTTCCTTTGCCAGGACTGCAGCTCCAGTTGTTCCAGACAACAGAAAGGAAGAGGAAGTGAGCCCCAGGGCTGCACATATCACTTCCTCCTCCATCCCACTGGCCAACATTAAGTTCTGTAGCTGCATTCAGCTACAAAGGAGTCTGGGGGTCTCAACTGTGTGCTCTGCTGCAACTCAGGAGTTAGGTTCTATTACTAAAGAAGAAAGGAAGAAATGGGTCAAATAACACTCAATAAAAAAATCAGGATTCTAAACTTGAAAGACTGCAGTCAAACACAATTGAGATGAGTTCTCAAAACTAAAGGCCTTGTGAAACCTGCCAGTAAGTGTCCATCTGGTCTCTTTAGCACAGACCTTCTATCGAAAAGTACTGTATTAGTTTTCACACTGCTGATACACCCATATCCAAGACTGGGCAATTTACAAAAATAAAGAGGTTTATTGGATTTACAAGTTCCACATAACTGGGGAGACCTCACAATCATAGCAGAAGGTGAAAGACACACTTCACGTGGTGGCAGACAAGAAAAGAGTTTGTGCAGGGAAACTCCTCTTTTTCAAACCTTCAAATTTCATGAGACTTATTCACTATCACAAGAATAGCACTGGAAAGATCTGCCCCCATGATTCAATTACCTTCCACGGGTCCCTCCCACAACATATGGGAATTCAAGATGAGATTTGGGTGGAGACACAGCCAAACCATACCAGGTGCATTACACTTTATCTTTTCCTTCAAACTATTAAAAGCTCCTTAAGAACAGCTAATCTGTCTAAATGTCTTATTTCATTTTTAATATATCTATCTGTTGGGAGCAGGCCCCAAAATCTGGCCATAAACTGGCCCCAAAACTGGCCATAAACAAAATTTCTGCAGCACTGTGACATGCTCTTGATGGCCTTGATGCCCATGCTGGAAGGTTGTCAGTTTACCAGAATGAGGGCAAGGAACACCTGGCCCACCCAGGGTGGAAAACTGCTTAAACGCGTTCTTAAACTGCAAACAATAGCATGAGCGATCTGTGCCTTAAGGACATGTTCATGCTACAGATAACTAGCCAGACCCATCCCTTTATTTCTGCCCATCCCTTTATTTCCCGTAAGGAATGCTTTTAGTAAATCTTATGACTGGCTTGCTGTCAATAAATATGTGGGTAAATCTCTGTTTGGGGCTCTCAGCTCTGAAGGCTGTGAGACCCGATTTCCCACTCCACACTCTGTATTTCTGTGTGAGTGTCTTTAATTCCTCTGGCGCCGCTGGGTTAGGGTCTCCACGACTGAGCTGATCTCAGTATCTACCACATTCTGCTTTATTCTCTTCTCTAGGGTAAGAAAAATCACAATACATGGGTATTCAATAAAATTCAATTAATTTAAGCCTGACTCTTGAGAATGTGCAATTGAAGGTTATGAATGTGTCACACCTAAGGTGGTGGTAGAAGTCTCTGGCACATGGAAAATGCCTGTTTTAACTTTTAGCTATTTTTTTCAGGTTTTTGTCATTAGAATATTTCTTCTGTTTCTACTGCAAATAACTATCAAAAAGGAAAAGAACAACTAGGATGGCCTCCCCTGTTTATCATTGGCCCTACAATTTTCTAGGAGTAATATCTTTTTGGAATTATGTAATGTCCTCTGCTAATGACAGTGTATAGATGCTATTACATTTCCTTGGGGGACAAAGTACTGTTGTCTGGAAGCTTTGAGATTAATGTAACACAAAGTAAATAAGGAAGCGTTTTGCATATTCTTAGATTTTTACATTTTTATTTTAAAACAGAGAATTTCATATTGATTAACACCTACTACTAAACAGAATGATGCATTAATTAAATGCCTTGTCCTAACTGTTATAAGCTCTGTTAGAAAAATAAACATCTCACCACAAACTACAGTGTCAGCTCTTTAATAAATACATAAAACAGAAGTTAGTAGTCAATCAGAGTTATATGAACAGGTTCATAGTATATTATGTGAAAGTATCATATTCTCCAATATTCTGTATCATTTAAGACAATTTAAGTTACGTATAATTCAAAGCCAGAAATAATAAGAAATATGTTCAGTGATAATTTGCTTCTTTCTTAGAGCTATTTTATATTCAAATATTTAATTTAAAAATATATTCTATATTAAATTTATTTTTACAAACGCAGTATTCGTTAGGTGAAACAAAATAAGTTTTTATGTTACTGATAAGTTTAATACATTTCTAATTTTTTTCAGAAGTTCAAGAAACCATAATGAAGTAGCTAATGTAAAATAGTTTAAAAGCTATGTTAAATATACACAAAATGAATTTCTATATTAATATGTGCAAATGTATATTTTCTTATAATTTAGAATTAAAGTACTTTATACTCAATATTCTTAATAAAATTTATGTACCATACTTGTCATTGCGTAGACTTCTTATCAAAATTTCACATTTATCTGTAGGAAAATGTAAAGTTGGTAAAAATTGTTTACACAAATCACACATTTTCCATCCTTGACAATTGCAGTGTTTTTTTTTTAAATATTGCTGTATTAGACAATTTTAACTGAAGTAGGTTGTAGAGGCTAGAAACCTGATTAATAGAGCAGTATTAGACAATTCTAACTGAAGTAGGTTGCAGAGGCTAGAAGAAACCTGATTAATAGAGTTAGCTTACAAAGATAAATTTTATGCAGAAAAGTATTCCAGGTAGATAAAAGAGTAGTGTTATTACTCTCAGGTTTACATTAACAGCTGCCCAGATAGCTGAACAATTATTTCATATAATTCAAATAATTTAAATATGCAGTTTTATAACAGTCGTTACATAAGCTTGAAGTTAAAGTGATCAGAGCCAAGGGGGAAAAACCCACAAATGATAAAGAAGAATAAAAAGTAAGAGGACTCTAGAAGAAAGTTGTTTTTCACAGCACTGATTGTTTTTATCATATTTTTCTCCTGCCATTGATACAAGACATGTAAGATGCTGCAAAACCTAACTATGACAGTTCCATGTAATATTTTTCCAGTTAATTTTGTTTAAAAGTGAGATGATAATATAAAAGGATCTCATATAATAGAATAAAAATAATAAAAATTTGTTAATGAAACGTAGACATACCTACCCATTCTTGTTAGTTAAGTTAGGGTTTGCTGAAATCATTCGCACTCACGTAAAGTATAAATGGGGACCTGAAAGAGCTTTTGTAAACTCAAGATATGCGGGATCTGAGCTGATAATCAGTTAGGCTCCATGTTGAGTTGTGCGTGACTCAGTTGTCCTTAAATTTCGCCTTCATATTTTGTCATAAATGGGCTCTCAAATCTTTATAAGAAAACAAAATTTGCCTAGATGCATAAACATTTAGGTAAAGTTGGATTAGTGTAATATTTATTCAAGCATAATTTTAAACACTGCATCTGAAGTGCCAACAGTTGCAAGAAATGTCACAATTTCAGAGATGTTAAATTGAAAAAGTGATGTCTTGGAATCAATGAAATATAAATATGGATATGTATAATCAGTTATACATAAAAATTTGCTATAGAGGAATTATAAAAGAAAAGGAAAATTATTTGAAAGAATGTTAGCTATATCTCAGTGGTCTGCATTGCATAAAATGGAGTTCTTGAGGTCAATATAAATAAGGATAGTTGTAAATTAAATATTGAGTCAACATAACAGAATGCAATCTGCACATGATTGAGCTCCCATGTAACTATATTTCACTTGATACTTTTATGAAAACATATATATTCCAAATCCTTCAAAATGAAAAGAAGCTCAAACAGTTGTGAAAATTTAGAATTCTTAGATTTTAATGGGTCTGTCTTTGTTCAGGGGCAAAGACTCAAATGAGCTTTAAGATCAATTAAAGATGTCTGGAAATGAAGAACTTCATTATACCATTAAATTCAGTTATTTTTCACTATTAGGCTTATTAAGCTTGAAGCTTTAGGAAATCTCTTGGGAAGAGTGAGTGGAAAAAACAGGAGTAAGAAAAGGAAGAAAAAGCCTTTGAGTCTAATCTACTCTACCAGGTTCCAGGAAGAATATAATTCTACAGAGAAAATTCTTCATAATCTATCATAATATATTTCAGTGTCTGATGGCTGACTCTTGTCTTGCATAAAGATATCTTCAGTGGATATTAAGTAAATATTAAAAATATATTTCAGATTCATTCTTTGAAGGATTGCATCTCATGCATCCACAAATTTTAATGTTGAGTTTTGGAAAATTGCCTCCAGAGATATCTACTGTGTTTAATCTTAGATTTTTTTTTTATTTTAATAAACCAAAGATAAACTGAACATTTAAGACATAATCAGATTTTTAGTGAATTTTTAAGTCCTCCAGAAAAGTCTATGACTTAATAAATATTAGCAAGTTTCCAAAAATATAACAAATGTTTATAAATACGTGTGCACTGCAGTGCAATGGTGTCCCCAGAGAAATAAAATGCATAACAAAGCAAATGTTATGTTGTAGTGTATGTATGGCACATTTATAAATCATTACATACTTTAGGGCACAAAAATGCTGCAGTACTAAAAGTGTTGTTCAAGTTCTCAATTCTGTTAACAATTTAAAATTTCATTAATTGTGTTTAATATCAATGAATCTCAAAAGGCTCCTGTGGCCATATTAGTTGAAAATAGACTCTATTTGCATACATTATTTAACCTAAGAGTACCCTGTGTTCCCTTACCATTTAATTAATTCTAACTAGTCAAATATTAATTCTCATCTCACAAATCATTACACAGGAAGATATCAATTATTCAAGTAAAATACAAGCCCTACAATCTTTAAAAATTAGCTTTTTAAGTAAAAACAAAAAAGATAAGCACAAGACTTTGCAAGCATAACCACAATCATCGTCTAACACTGAGTTGCCTACAAGGAAGTTTGTCCCTTCCTATGGTAACAGCCTTGGTCCACTATAAAGTTAGTGCAAACAAGTGAGGGTATAAAAAAAATATAAACTCTGGATTTTTAAGGATTTCATTTTGTTATACTCTTTTTGGATAATTCATTCCATACGGAAATTTGTTTATTGTTCATAAATATCATAATGTTCATTTCAAAAATTGTCATCATCTTAATGGCTATCTTACACTTTTTTCTTTTGGAGGGTTGTCAGGCATCCATCCATTTTCCTTTTTAAGAAGAACGTTATGTGTATTAGGCTACTAAACCCAATTTTTACATTATTTTTAGTGATCAAAGGTTTCTTATACAAGTGACTCACAGTACTGAATTATGTCAATCTCTCATTTGAGGAAGGAAATGCAGTTCAAGTTAGCATTGAAAGTGCTTGGCTGTAGAGGACATCTAACAGAGCTGCTGTGTTTATTGGCTCCAGAACAACTTATTATAGGTTTTTCAGTTCTCTTTAGGGTAGAATATGAGATGGGGTTAGTCTTCATCAAAATGCAGTATCTAGTACTTTAACTCAAGTGCTGGAAGACAGCAAATCTTGGAAGTTTATTATAAAAAAAAAGATATTTCGGATAGATTCCTTTGTTGTCATGGGCAAAACTGTATATCCACACAGGACTGTTAGACTCCTAGCCAATAAAATCAGACTAAGTCCATAGGGATAAGGTAAGTGTAAATAAATTTCCATTGGGGAAGACAGGGCTCATGGCCCGTGTATCAAGGTCTCAAGCTGAGCACTGGAGAACTCCAGGGAACACTGTTCATACAGGCTATGGTGCGAAGGAATTCCCCTGTAGGTATGCCATACTTCAGTCTCTTAAGAAGCTGATTAGCATGAAAGACTGGAAGCTGATTATGGACAATTCAGTTTGAATTATTCCTTTCTATTTTGCTTTGAACTTTCCTCATACACTTAAGACATGAGTAAATCACATTGAAAAACATTTGCCAATTGAATATTTTAAAGATTCAAGAGGTAGCATGATATTGTGCAATGAACACTGGCCTGACAATGAGAAGATAAAAACTCCTTTCCAATGTGGCCACTTTATCACTTGAGTGTTTTCTGAGAAATCGTTTAAGTTTTCTGAGGCTCAGTTCCCTAACTCACTAAAAAGGAGAATTAGCAGCCTGGCATGGTGGCTCATGCCTGTAATCCCAACACTCTGGGAGGCCGAGGAGGGTAGATCACCTGAGGTCAGGAGTTTGAGATCAACCTGTCCAACATGGCAAAACCCCGTCTCTACTAAAAATACAAAAATTAGCTGGGCACGGTGGTGGATGCCTGTAATCCCAGCTACTCAGGAGGCTGAGGCAGGAGAACTGCTTGAACCCGGGAGGCAGAGGTTGCAGTGAACCCTAATTGCGCCATTGCACTTCAGCCTGGGTGACAAGAGTGAAACTCCGTCTCAAAAAAAAAAAAAAAAAAAAAAAAAGCTTATTTCTAAGATATCATCTATTCTCCAATTTTGTACTTTTATGAATTCTGGCAAGAAGGGTTGGAGTGATTCTGGGAAAGAACATCCTTAGGCTGCCTTGAAGGGAGAAGATAATATAGCTTTTCATTTAAAAAATGCTGATATCTACTTGCAATCAAAATCTAAGAAAACATTCAAAATGTGGTACTTTGCTTGAGGCAGAATTTCTAACTATCTTGTGAATTAATGATAAGATAAATGAAATGGCCAAACAATCCCTTCAGTTTACCAGGTAAGAGGATACAAAACTCCACACTTGTGCACAATGAAGCTATTCAGGTTTTGATGATACTTTACAGTGTCCCCTATTAACATTCAGCTTTTAAAACTAGTATTCTGATAAAGTGACATTGTATTATTAGTTTTTTATGGCAGTAGTAACTTAGCACTTAATTAATCCAGTCATCTGTGACATACATAAACTTATCCTGTAAAAAAGAAAACAAAACATAAAGGCAAAGAGGAGAGAATGCTGGAATTAGTATCCATCTTGCAAAAATAAGCAAACCATAAACACACATGCATAAAACTACACACTTTAAAAAGCAATAATCTTTTAAGATTAAGGTTGTATCTGTTCACCTCTTGAAAGAGTGAAACACGAATCATTTATTCATCTAGCTGTTCTTGTCTATTCAACCACCAACTGTTGAAGTGTTTGGCAACCTTAGAATATACTTGCCAGATTATTTTTTTCCTCACATGTCCAGTGCAGGGATTACTGTACCCTTGTAGTGACACAATGCTAAACTCTCTCACAGCATTGTTCTCTCTGGGAAGCGTAGGGATAACAGGTACCTGTAAAGTGTAATCAGTGCTCTTCAGAGGATCTACATTCTATGCTGATCTAAATAAGTTATATATTACAGTAAAGTGCTACAACGACACTAGTCTCAAACAGTAGTAAGACACATTTTTCTCTGAAAAAGTCAGCAGCTATGTGAGTCACATCATGATGAGGATACTTGTCAGTCTTCGTTCGAGTGTACAACCAGCAACTGGCATGACCGTGAGCAATTTGTCTCCTCCTGTGACTTTTAAAATTATAATCTTTAGGAGCAATTATTAACAATTCCAGTTTCCCATTAAGTGTTTAAAAATCTTTTTTTAGAAGTTGCACCTGAAAGTTTCATGAGCATTTAATTTGCTGATATCCATTTTTATTTCTTCAGGCTTCTCACGTCGGTAGGTGACTGCTCTTGTGCAAACACTTTGCAGAATCAACTTATCCTTAATAGAGAAGAAATATTATTATTAACTAAGGGCCTAAATATTGTAACTAGGCAATAACATACTGTTAGCAGTTCTTTTTTAGAATTCACTGACCTTTTTTGAGGCTGACACTCTGTAATCTGATGAGGACTTAATTTTATTACTATTCCATTGTAGTATCACCTGTCTAATGATCAGGACTTTAAGCAACCCAATCAAGAATGTAACTATGAAAATGATGAAAAATATTCTCAAGTAGCTTGGGCTGGAGAAACATTCTGTAATGAAGCAAACAAATAAATGGATTAAAAATTGGAATAAGTAAATCAAAGAGTCTATCAAGTAAATAATGTTCACACTTCAATTAATAGTGCCAAAGATATTTGCAAATCTCCATTTTCAAATCGGGATTGAAATTACCTTTGATTCAAAACAAAAAGCTCTCTAATTTTTCTTGCGCGTTTACTATGAAAATATTTTCAATAGAAAACCCTCCTTTGGGAAATAGCCATGATTAAGGTATTCAATCACATTATTCCATTGCAGCTTGATTCTTTAATTGTATTAACTGGAATATGTCCATGTCCCATAACCAAGCATAATTTGATCCAAGACAGAAAGAGGACTAGTTTTTGTGGTACGTACTGTTGATCACTAAATGGAAAAGAGGATTTTAAAAAATTATTGAGCAGTTCTGGGCCTTAGGATATGTTTCTCTTGTTATGCTTGGTCTTCATTTGTTCCATGCCAGTAATGGAAAATAAAGTAAACATCTGCAGAAGCTAAAATCAAAACTACTCCAATAGGTGAATAAATATTTCTTCAGAAATTGAAGTGTAAATTTTCATTCTTATTATACACGGCTTCTCCAGGAAATAGGAGTGTCCAATTTGGGACAACATGAAAATATCATTCTTCATTTTCATTAATTTACTTTTTACTAGTCTGTTAACTACACCTATTCCATTTGCCTCTAAACATGCACTGTGTATTTTAAGAATAAATAATGCTTAGGACAAATAATTACTAGCTGGAAAAAGAAATGTTGTGTTAAGAGGAGGGGCATGCTGGATCTCATTTTAGCACCAGATCTTTGGCACACCCTCACAGCCAAAGATCTGGTGCTTGAAAGTCTACAGGCTCTGTTGTTGCCAGAGGCATTACCCTAATCTAACAGGAAGATGGTTGCACAATAGGCAAGTAGTCCATGGAACTCACCAGCTGCCCCAGATTCATAAAATTACTTTGTGGCTAAAGTGGCATGTGTTCCCCTCCCTACTCTCCAGAGTTTGGGAACCTCATCCAAAGTTCCAAGGTGTCCCTGAGAGGGCCACTACGGAGGTGACCTGCCAAGGCTTAGCATAGTGGACCGCCCAACCAATCCTGGGTGATTTGGGTCAGAATTTCCAGTGAGGACTAAGTATGTTTTTGAATAAGGCCAAGCTCAGTGATAAGGGAAAGGGTTCCTCTCAAGTGGGAAGACTTAATTAAGCCTATTTTTTTTTTTTTTTTTTTGTGATAAGGTACTTTGAAAGAAAGGTCAAAGGCTATCCCAGTGCTACAACTGGAATGGAAACACCAAATGCCAGTGCAGGTCTCTGTTGCTACAGGTCTCACAGAGAGAGAATCCAAAATATTCTGCTCAAAATTGGTGTCTTTTGAGGCCTCCACAGTGACTTCGGGCTCATAACATACATGCCTTTTGTTCTGACAGACTGTCATTTCCTCTGGTTGATTTAGGACTACTCAATCAGCTAAGGCAGATCATCAGAGGGGGCACGTGGCTTGATCCCACTTACTGGCTTCTCGCCTGGTGGGAGCTCAGCCAGAGAGACTGAAAGAACAGCCTTTAAGTGCAACTGAGTGGATAGATAATAGAGGTGCCTAACAAATGCCCTTTCCCTCTCCTTGCACAATAGTTGTGAAGGGAGGGGCAGCCCCTAGCTACTGACACATTTTAGAAATATTTCTAATAGGTTAGAACAGAGGGCATTTTCAGAGCTCAAATCTGCATGCATATTTAAATGCTATGAGTGGTCAAACATTCATGCCTAGCCCATGCTTTCCTTAGTTTAGGTCAGGCCGGGGCTTTTCCTAAGGAGCTTTAAGAGAATACTTTTTGTAACAACACTTAAGTCAAAGTAGTGTTTACTTAACATAATAAATGACATGTTGATAGTAAGGCCCTATTTATTAGAAAGGCACTTGGCTTTCTGGAGTGATTGCCGCAGCTCCAGCTGGCAGCACATGGGGCTTTTTTCAGAGCCAAGTTCATTATGGGGTAAGATCAGTGTGGATGTGAGGGAAAAAGGAAACAAAACTCTGGAGAAAGTTTACTCTTTTGTGCAGTCTCTCTAAGAGCTGGGATTTTTCTTACAGGTGGGAGAGACTTGAAATAATAGTTGCAATGGGAATGTTTAATAAAGATATAATTTCAAGGTTAGTTTCTAATGCCCGTGGAGTTCCACACCTTACCCCTGTGCAAAGTAAGGTTCTGGGTTCTAAATAACTTTTGTTTTGTTTTGCTTTTGTTGTTTTTTTTTTTTAAACAGCTTTATTAAGTATCATTGATATACAAAAACTGCACATATTAATGTATACAATATAATGAGTTTGCGATTCAGTTTTTTAAATCTCCCAGAGATGAGTATGCTTGCTATGGTGTGGCTGAGTGGTTAGTTTTCCCCTCTCATCTACACAGCTGAATTCCCATGCAACGTACTTCCATGGAAAGGCATCCAAATAAATTGGCTGTCAAGGCCTCAGTGAACCAGAAATATGAGTTCCCCATGTAAACTCATTTCAGTAACAGATAAAATCTGTGGAGCCATAATTTTCCTTCATAATCCAAACTTGCTTCTAGTTCTGAACTTCCTCATGTCTAATCAATATTTGCTTTCATGTTTCAGGTGAAGCCAAAAAAATCCTAAGTAATGATGATCTGCTTTTACAAAATATGTAACTTCAAAAGGGCCATTCCTTCCTAGTACTTTTCATTTTGATAAAAATATAGCTTAAGGATGAATGATTATAAATGTGACATAATGAAAAGTGTATGGAACTTTTAGTTTGAAGATCTTGATCTAAGACATGTATCTTAACATTACTAGTTAAGAGACAGCAGCCCTCATACAAAATTTCCCTGAGCCTCAGTTTCCCCATCTATAACATGGAGATTATACCAATCTCAAAGAGTTGTATGACATTAAGTGAGCCAGTGAACATGAAGGAAGTATCTAAGGTAGAAGATGACACAAAAACACACATTTATTATTGTTATAAAGAATAAAGCAATGTTTCATAATTTAAAAATAAAGCCCTCAGTCCTCTTTTTTTTTTTTTTAAATGGGGTTCCTCTCTTGTTGCCCAGGCTGCAATGCAATGGCATGATCTCAGCTCATTGCAACCTCCGCCTCCCGGATTCAAGGGATTCTCCTGCCTATGCCTCCTGAGTAGGTGGGACTACAGGTGCCCGCCACTGCGCCTGGCCAATTTTGTATTTTTAGTAGAGACGGGGTTTCACCACGTTGGCCAGGCTGATCTGGAACTCCTGACCTCAGGTGATCCACCCGCCTTGGCCTCCCAAAATGCTGGGATTACAGGTGTGAGCCACCACACCCGGCCCAGTCCTTTCTTTAGCATGGTTAATTATGGGTCTTTTGGGGGAACATCATCCTCTACAGACACTCTTCTGTGCTTTGATTATTAAGCTTTGGCCTACCTGAAGTTTGGTCGACATAATGCTGTTGTTCCATGAGAGCACATGAGGTTTTGCACTGATCAAGTATAGCCTGAGACAAATTGTGAGGGTGAAGGCATTGCATACAATTCCTGCAAGGGGAAACAGAAGTGAAAATATTTATTCTTTAAAAAGGTGGTGGACTATAATATTTTCTGCAAGAAAAAAAAAGACAAAATAACAATGCAGAAACAATTCAAATTTTGATTATGTTCATTAGAACTAACTCCATCATTACATCGAAGGATTGCATTTCCAAATGATTTAAATAAATTACCATGCATAATTCTAAAAAACTTACTTGAGCTACTAATCTGAGAAAGTCAATGGTTTAAAATGTTGAATAAAACAAACTGGAAGTTACAGTGTTTAGATTAGAAGTCTTTGTGCAGATCTCAAATTGTTACTGAAAAATTTATTGGCACAAAACAGTAATGTCACCTTCATTTAATATATAACCTTTCATTTATATATCACTTATTTCTAGGGTGTGTCACAGACACCATTGTTCTTTATCATTAAAATATTAAAAATAAGGCCGGGCGCAGTGGCTCACGCCTGTAATCCCAGCACTTTGGGAGGCCGAGGTGGGTGGATCACGAGGTCAGGAGATTGAGACCATCCTGGCTAACACGGTGAAACCCCGTCTCTACTAAAAATACAAAAAAAAAAAAAATTAGCCCGGCGTGGTGGCGGGCACCTGTAGTCCCAGCTACTCGGGAGGCTGAGGCAAGAGAATGGCGTGAACCCGGGAGGCGGAGCTTGCAGTGACATGTCACTGCACTCCAGCCGGGTGACAGAGCGAGACTCTGTCACAAAAAAAAAATATATATATATATTAAATATAAAACATAGCAGTAACAGCTAACATTTATTCTATGATTGCCATGCATCAAGTACAAAGGTGAGTTTTTTTATATGAATCATTTGATACTTTCACAGATATACAGCAAGGTATTATTACTATCCTCACTTTTGATATCAGGAAACTGAGGCACAGAAAATTATAACAACTTGTCCGAGATCACACGCTTACTAAATAGTAAGCTGGGTAGCAGGCAACCTCTAATTTCAAAAAAAGC
Organism: Homo sapiens; assembly: GCF_000001405.40. Lineage (NCBI taxonomy): Eukaryota > Metazoa > Chordata > Mammalia > Primates > Hominidae > Homo > Homo sapiens. The sequence continues at coordinate 20,405,071 of NC_000007.14, read as the reverse complement.
TAAGGTAGTGAGTGTCCAGATATACTCTGATGCTTCCACAGCTATCCAGGGGTCAAAGATTTGAATTCAAGTCTTCTAATTCATAGCATTTCTCATTTAATTCTTTTTTAGCATGGTGGTCACAATGTATCTGGCAACGTTTAAGATTAAGGAAGTCAGAACGAAAAAGGACAAAAGTAGCTATTCTTTGTGTATGTTTGGAGTCAAAGAAATCATACCAGTTTTCCTTGCAGGCTGTATAACAGGTGGGGCAGTGTTCACAGAAGCGGCCGATGCTCCTGGGATCGGTGCACTCACACCTTCCACACACACACGTGCCTCTTCCACTGCACACTTGGCCCTTTGAATTGACACAGTGCTGGGCTGCTGCTGAAGGGCACTGGCATCGATCACCTTCCCAGCCACTGAAGCATTGGCATCTGCCTGCTTCACACTCTCCATGCCCTGTGAGGAAGACACCGCAGGACCTATGTTATCTGGATCACTGACTTTGTAAAGAGTTTTCAACCATGGATTCCTGTATCATCTCCATGGAAACGCACTGACAGTCCAATGAATGGGAACAGCATCACTTTTTCATTGGTCTGACACAAACAGTGCTGGATTTAGGAGGGTCTGTTTTCAAAGCTGTTCTACTGTAGATAATCTCCCCATGCTAATGCACTCCGCTAACAAGCACGAAGGGCACCCCTGCTTCAGTGGCTGCCAGACTACTTGAATGTCATTGCATATTCCGTTTTACATTAAAAACACACATATCAAGAAACTGCAAAGGCCAAAGTAATGTTAACTGCCTGACTTGAAATTAGAAAAGATACAGGTATTTGATATGGCTTCCATCACCTATTCTCTCAGTCTTCTGATGTTGCTGAAGGCCTAGGATAACTTTGCAGGACTGTGAGGCAAACTTTTCTAGTGCTTCAGTACTGCTAGTGCCATGTTTAAAGATCAGGTCTCTTGAGAAGTTGAACAATTGCATTCACATCCTCAGTGCACTATTTAGTAAGTTAGCAGAGCAGATCCTCCTCTATACTGTGAGCAGTTCTTAGATGGTAAATGAAAAAAAGAAAGAAAGATGGTGTGTGTGGTGGGGGAACATTATGCATGTGGGGTGAAGAAAACATAGTTACACATAGTTAAATGGATTTTAGACAGTAAAAGTGTCCAAAACTTAATATGCCAATGTGCACTAGAAATCGTCAAAAGGGGGTACATTTCACATGATGATATAGGAATTCTGAAGCTTATCTAGCCACAAACCAACCTTCCTCTTTTCTCCCTCTCCCTTCCTTCCTCCTTCCTTCCCTCCCTTCCTTCCTTCTATCTCTCTCCCTTCCTTTCCTTTCTTAGCTCCCTCTCTCTCTTCTTTTATTGCTGAGCACCTCACAGGGTAATTGTTCCACAGATTCTACTGTAGGACCAGCTCAATTTGCTAAGTGTAAAACTAATGAGGTCCAGGCCAGACAAATGTCGGCCAAGCCCTCTGTGCTGTGCAGGCTTATGCTGACTCCCCGCCAGCAGGCCTGTGAACATGTGTTTTTATTCCCAAAGGAGACTAGTGGAGAAAGTACATGTCAGTTACAGTCTGCACTTACACAGAAACAATTCAAAGCAGATTCTCAACTGCTTGTGGGTCAGTAGTATCATACTCATATAGAAAAGCTAGTACATTCGATATTTCACTGCAAACAGAGACTGGGACAAATACTCAAATGTATTTGAAACCCTCTTGAGAGATTGACAGCTGTGGGACGTGACTTCAGAAAATTCTTTCTCTTCACTGTAAAATAATATTTTTCCTCCCTATAAAATACAGTAGACAACTGCTGCTTCATTCTAAAGTCATCTATAATCCATCCTACCCATGATGTCAGTTACAGTTGAATAAATGTTTGTATATTAAGATATTCTATGTATGTTACAGAATAAAAAGACAATTTTCCATTGCACATTTAGGTGATACAGGCCAAATTTTCAGCTGAGACTACATTATAGCATTTATTTTTTATAGGTTTGTTACGTCCCATATGCTTATGATGACGTTTCCATTCGTCAATAATTTAACAAATATTTATTTACTAAAATGCAAATACTAAAAAGATGTTTTTCTCAATGAGTAAATTTAGCACATTGTCACAGGAAAATTATCACAGAACTCAGATGACAGGTAGTTTATTTAATTCATTTAAAAACAGTATTTTGTTTTAGTTTGCTAATGTTGATTAGATTTTCTGGAATCTAACCTGTAGGTGGCAGTAAATTGAATGGCCCAAGAGTGATCTTCGTATTTTTATTTTAATTTATTTCATGTTTAAAATTTGGTCTGTGTGTGGCCTCAAGGACGAATCTTTTAGATTACTTAGTAAGGCAGTATTTTCTTGAAGAATGCTGTCCTTTGGCAGTTTTGTTGCTGGTGGTGGCCCAAAATAAACTGGAGAGGCTTAAATTACTGCCAGCTTAGAATACCATTTATAATAATGCATTAAGGATTTTCATATGAATGAAAAGTATACTCTTATAGCTCACTCCCCATCATCCTGACAGAAATAAAATCCTCTGAGCAAGTTGGAGGGAGTGACCATTTACCAGAATGAATCAGATCCTTCTAGAAGAATACTCTGATTCTTCTGGAAAATGTGTCAGATATCATCAGCATTTCCTTTTCTGGTATATTTCTTTCCAAGATCAAGGAAAGCATGAGAATAACAATTAATTTTAGGTTTTTATTTTGAAGCATTTCCTGTATAAAATAGGTTAAGATATAAATATCAAAATCACGTACTATAAATCTGTTGCCATGCCCTAATTTCATGGACTTTGAAACTTTGAATAACAAATTCAGATTCAGTTTTGCTAATTTATAAACATGTGATTTAAAGACACTTTAACATCTATGCTGGTGTAATAGTGACAAGTAAAAGCTGCCTGTATATATTTATACTCACCAGCACACAGATTTCCATGGTGATATGGACAAGAAAAGTCATCCTTTTCACAGTATTTTCCATACACTTTTCCAAGCTTAATTTTGTGACATGAACATTTCCCACAAACACAAACTCCTCGACCACTGCAAACAGGCTGATCCTTGTGTGACTTGCAACTCTCAGAAGAAAACTGATCTTCATCAAAATGACATTTATTCTCATCACACTGGAAACACTTGGAATCTAGAAAAGTTTCATCTACACACTTTCCTTTAGGTCCTCTGTTGTCCTCACACTGACAGCTGCAGTTTCTGTGTATATGAATTTTAGCGGTTTCATTAAAACCAATAGGTTTGATTATTGCATAGTTTTTTCCTCCTGTGACATCACATTTTTTCATTGTAACTGTTACATTGAAAAGAACCTAAATTTAGGAGGAAAAAGGAAATATATTTATATACCTTAATTATTTTTATTACCAATATTATATCTGTTAATAACTGAATTGATAAGAAACCATCTTAGAGAAATTAACGATATTTGTAAAAGAAACACATGTAATCTCTTTCATATATATGCAACATCTCTTTTTAAAGTCATTTATTTTCCAATGAATGAACTTGAGGGTTAAAGAATATAATAACTACTAATCCCTATATTGCACCATTAAATAGACTTGAGTGCAAGCCTATCTGAAGCATCTACCCCATCACTGATGATTAATTTCTTAGCAAACATGAGAAAGAATAGGCCATTTTCTAAACTCAGCCATTAAAATGTGGGGTATTGAATATTTGACACTAGAGATAGATCACATAAACCAAAGTAAAGGGCTTCTGCTCTACTGGTTTAAAACCCTGAGATGAGGCCTGGCGTGGTGGCTCACACCTGTAATCCCAGCACTTTGGGAGGCTTAGGCGGTTGGATCACTTGAGGTCAGGAGTTCGAGATCAGCCTAGCCAACATGGTGAAACCCTATCTCTACTAAAAATTCAAAAATTAGCTGAGCATGGTGGCGCGCACCTGTAGTCTCAGCTACTTGGGAGGGAGGCTGAGGCAGGAGAATTGCTTGAACCCGGAAGACAGAGGTTGCAGTGAGCCGAGATTGCACCACTGCACTACAGCTTGAGTGACACAGCGAGACTCTATCTCAAAAATAAATAAATAAATAAAAATCAAAACCCTGAGATAAGATGTTCAAATGAACAGTTTTAATTTTGTTCCTATTTTCTAGGAGCCCAAGTAAAGTTTCGGAGTTAAATTTTAGTTTATACAGGGTTTCAGTGGAGGAAAACCTGTGGCCTTCTCTGATGTTACTCGAAAGAAAAATGTTTAGGACTCTCATTTGCAAATCTTAAGACCTCAACACAGGTTATCTATTTGTCTCCATGGAAGAAGATAGCCCAGAACTAAGGAGCTGTGCTGGCAGGAATTGGTCAAATGTTTTCTTTTTCTCTATTTCTTCTTTTTGCACAACACAATTGATTTAATATGTCTATTTATATTTGTTGGCTCACCTTACCATCTTTAGGTACTTTGGTAAATAAGAAGGTATATTTCTTTCACGTTGGATTGAGATCCATTACAATTTAAAATTAATTTGCGCTGAGCTTTTTGGTTGGAATATATATCTACGATATAATAATATAAAGTATCTAAATTTGGCTTATATATACATGAAACATTAGAATTTGTTCCATAATATTAAAATCAATACAGTTGGTGTTATGCTTAAAATGCTTTTGTCTTTGAGAATGCTGAAGCTTAACAGATACATAAGTTAATGTGGCCACTGCCATCTCTAACAGTAGATCATACTCTGGGGTTTCTATAATTAAGAGGTCATATGACTATTCCTGAGAGTTAAACTATTTATACTACTCAATTGAAAATGAAGGAAAGATGGCATGTAAGCAAATGAAAAGAAAAAAAACAATGTAAAAGCTAAGAAAAACCATTCTTCCAAAATGACATTTTGAAGGAAATAACTATTTCTAAGACAGTAAGCGTTTTTTCATAAAGTAACTTAGTGCTATATTTGCTAGTAAAAAGTTTTCTCTGTAGTTTTAATGAAAAGCCAAAGTGCATTTTGCAAACTGGTATATGATGTCCTTTGAACAAAATCCACGGAGTGATCATAGAAGAAACCACAGAATTAGAAACTTGCAATAATTAATTTAAAATACACAGCTCTAAAATTCCTAAGATAGAAAAACATATTCTAACTAAAGAGAAGAGTCTCTTTTATTCATTTTTAGAATCTTCTATCACTTTCAATAACTTTTTCTTTTTTTCTATAGCATGACATTACATAATTAATCATCATTGCACTTTAGATTAAAAGGGGTTGGAAATCTACTAGTCCAAGTCATTCATTTAAACATGAGACAATGCCTCATGACGTAAATGACTCAATCAAAATCACTTCACCCAGCAAAGACTCCCTTAAAGAGTATGTTTCTTTGTGTTACTCTCTCCGTTGTGCCAATCCTTGGAGAATCTCTATCTCCTCTGGTGCTGTTTCCTGATACTGTTACAATCTGGATCTCTCTCCTTTACATCCCATTTTTTTTTTTTTGGTAAATGATGACTCTTCCCATTTTGTATTGTTCTTAATAAATTTCCCTACCTCCTTCTAGATAATTTAGATAATTATGAGTGTACTGGGGCAATCACAAAGTGAAAGATTTTGAAATTCTTAGCCTTTATCAACTGTTCTATCATTCCCATTCTTTTCTGTGATATGTGACTTTCAATTTTACATTTACTTTGAGAGTTTGTGAATATGAAATCAAAAAGGCATTATCATTATTATAAGTACAGACACTACTTATTTGAGAATATGTGATTTCCTAATTTATACCGGTCATGACGCCTAAGTTTAAAGTTACTATTGATACATGATTGTTTCATATTACACACACACGCACACACATATACATATTAAAACCTGAGAGTTGGAGAGAACAATCAGCTGAGCTAAAACAAGTAGGAACTTTGAGGAGAGACAATGAAAGTTTCCTTGAAGTATAAATAAGATTCTTAGAGTCAGTAGTAAGTAAAATTTTTCAGAATGGTTTGCTTTTTCTGTAAGAAAGTACGCCAAACAACTTAGTTTATTTTAAAAGGGAAAAATGCACACCCACATACTTCATCATTGCTCGTCACGTTTCTGCATCCTTCCATGCCTGGCTTTCTGGACCCATCTGGACAGATGGCGGTAATGTTAAAATAGATGCCTTGTACCTGGTTTTCCACCTGAACTTTCACTTCTGAAATGAGCTTCTGCAGAGACATTATTTTTAAATTACATACGAGAGTAGTTTCAAATGTCAGCAACAAAGCAGAGTCAAGCTTATTAAATCATTATAGATTTAATTTTAACTAGATCAAAGAGTCTGTTTCTATAAAAGGATGAATAAAAACAGTGTTTCCACATAATGACCCAATTATATTTGAAATACATAAGAAATACTGAAGGATTAGATTATCTGCATTCAAATTGTTCTATTTTTTTTACATATTTCCATGACTGCATTTTGAGCCCTTCAAAGATATTTATCAGTCTGTTAACAAAACAGTCATTTTTAATCCAGTAATAACTATATTTTATGATAAAGTGTAATTAAACCTTGAGAACACATATATCATCACAAAGGGTAAATCTTGACACCTTAAAATGTGGAAAATGCTTCTGCCATATAAAGCTGCTAAAGAAATATTTTTGTTTCAAACAATTGAGACTATCATGATAGCTAAAACGACTTATTGACACAGAATTGACAAGTACATTTTAGGGAGGCCATTTCTACACTGAAGGAGCAAGAATTACTGGACAGATATAGTTCTATAAGGCTCTCCAAGAATGGCTTAGAATTTTTCCCAAGTCCTTGGGACTTGTTTGTGTCAGTCAAGCTTGCTGCAATCCTTAATACCAAAATAGGTCCTCTTACTGGGCAGAAAACCATTCATTCATTTATTCACCCATGTATACACTCATTCAATAAATATCTATTTAATGCCTATTGTGTGGCAGGCACACACTAATTTCTTTCATTACAATCTTCAAATTCCAAAGGATCCAGCTACCTTTAATGTATACTTCAGATCTGTGTGCATTTTATTCCATACAACTAAGAGTCTACCACATGCAAAAATCCTTCACTTGCCAAAAAAAAAACAAACAAAAAAAAGGAAAAACGAAGTATGTGCCTAAAGAAAGAGAGTGAGCAGCGGGTTATGAAAAGAAAAATAATTTCCAGTGGCTTCTAATTCTTTACTTGAGTGATTTCTCTTCTTCAATGGTATAATCAACAAAGAAACACGTGCTTACTGACAAATAATTGATCATGGAATTCTGGTAGCGTATCTTTAGAACAAGAGACTTTCCTCTAATTTCTCAAAGTAAATATTATTTACAGTAGGTAAGACTATGTCTTCCAGAGAGCTCATACACACTGCAACAATTAATTGTATAATCTTGGTAAATCAATATAAACTTCCAGTGGTATACAAAGATGTTCATATGTGGAAAACCAGCAGATCAGAAGGAAATGCCTAACGCAATGAGCATCCTCAGTTTACCCTTCTAAAATTCTGCTTCTCTTAAGATCTTAGTTGGCCTGGTGTGGTGGCTCACGCCTGTAATCCCAGCTCTTTGGGAGGCTGAGGCAGGTGGCTCACTTGAGATCAGCAGTTCCAGACCAGCGTGGCTAACATGGTGAAACCCTGCATCTACTAAAAATACAAAAATTAGCCGGGTGTGCGTGATACGCCTGTAATCCCAGCTACTCTGGAGCTTGAGGCAGGACAATCACTTGAACCTGGGAGGTGGAGGTTGCAGTGAGTCAAGATCTCGCCACTGCACTCCAGCCTGGGCAAGACAGAGTAAAATTCCATCTAAAAAAAAAAAAAAAGAAAGAAAAGGAAAAGATCTTAGCTAGTTAGGCCAATGTTTTTCAAGCCTGATGTGAAGACAAATCCTTAAAATTTTGCCCAGTTTGGGGATTCAGAAATCCAACCCCAGACATAATCTTGAGCTTCCCTTTTAGTATCTAATAGGTACAGAGGCAGATTCTATATAATTCTTCAATGGATTGTGAATTGATTCTGTTGGACTGTGAAGACAAAATGAAAGTTTAGAAGATTTTTGATAATATAAACATATATAAAATAATAACAGAATTCCAACTTAAGGAGAGTAGTTAGCCCCAGTAAGTTTTTGTTGGATTTAATATTATTTTTCCACTGTTTACGGTTGATGAGAACTACACTGGACTAAGGCATTGCATACCTATGCTAGGCAAAATAACCAAATGTTGCTGTCTCCTTTGCCACTGGGGCAGTCTGACACACAGGTAAAAATCTGTAAATTTATATACTTTTTTTGGAGTAATAAATGGGTTCATACTAAAGAATTTAGAGTGGTTTCTTACAGCATAAGCTCTTGTCTTATTTTGATTATTCTTGGGAACAGACTACTGATGGGAATGAATTGTAGACACATTTGATTTTCTGTGATAAGTCCCTCTTCAGTCTCACTGTTCTTTTTTGTAACAGTGAGAAAGATGTAATTTAAGACGCTCTTCCTTATTTTACTCAACGTACTTTTCAGACATAGAAAACTATCCTCAGTGAAAACAAATCAAGCAAGATTTATTTTCCTTTTAGAAGATGAAAGTTTAAACAAGTTCTTAATTTTTTTTTTTTTTTGAGATGGAGTCTTGCTCTGTCGCCCAGGCTGGAGTGCAGTGGCGCAATCTCGGCTCATTGCAAGCTCCGCCTCCTGGGTTCAAGCCATTCTCCTGCCTCAGCCTCCCGAGTAGCTGGGACTACAGGCACCCGCCACCATGCCCTGCTAATTTTTTTTTAGTAGAGACAGGGTTTCACCGTGTTAGCCAGGATGGTGTCAATCTCCTGACCTCGTGATCCACCTGCCTCGGCCTCCCAAAGTGCTGGGATTACAGGCATGAACCACCGCGCCCGGCCTAAGTTCTTCATTTCATATATTGTGTCTACTTCCTGCCTTTCTCTTTTGTGCCCAAGCTAAAGGAAGGTGCTGTCTGGAGAAAACGAGAAGAGAAACGAGAGGTTTTTCCACAATGCTTTGGCTATAATTTAACTATTAAACTCTGCGTGTTAGGAAGGGAGTCAGAGAATTTGGGAAAGAGACTCTATAGTTGGCCCATAAATTCAAGGTAGCATAAAGCATATCTTTTGACACACTGTAAAACAATGAAAAACAGGTGGTATCGCAGAGGAGGAAGCACCTGAGGCTTGAAGTAAAGGAACACCTGGATTCTGATCCCACTTTCTTCTGCTTATTAGTTGAACAACCTTTGATAAGTTTGTTTCACTTTCCTGAGTCTTGGTTTCTACTAATATACAATGTGGGTACTAACCACCTGCTTTATAGGTCAGGTGTGAGGACTGAATGAGGTCATGTATGTAAAGTGACTGGATCTTAGTGGTAAAAAAGTAGCAGTCACTATTTTCACAACATCTTAACAGAGGTGGTTCTATTCAGGAATGACGCAGGTTGAAAGAACAGATGTTTCTTTAAATTCTTTGCATTGAGGCATTCACTCTTCATAGGACTGATGACAGCATACAACCATCAACTCAAGAAAACAGAGTATCTACTAAGGTGATTCTTTTAATCAAACTCTTTTGATAAAAATGCTAAAATAATTGTTGAACAATCAAGTGGTTGATCATAGAGATCCCAACCGACTCCTCTTAATAATTGCTATATCCCAGATAGTTTAACTGCCCTGGCAGATTATTGCCTTACGTAACTGTGGACTTCTACTTTATCATTACGGCATAGGAAATGACGCAATTTCATGGTAATAATGTACATTCTATAGCTATGACTTGATGATTCACTGAGCACTGGATGTAGAAGGAAATTTAGATAGCCTCTAGCCCAATCTCTGTTGACTGTCAATGAGAAAAGTGAGGCACAGAAAGCAGAAATAACTTTCCCAAAGCAAAAAGCTAGTTAGTGGTAGGGCCAGGGATGAACTTCAGATTCCTAATTCCTAATCTAATATGCTTTCTACTCCTCCTCTCGAGATGACATGGCACTACTTTGTACCTTGTCACAGAAATTGAGGTAAAAATTTTATTTAAAAAATTGTATCTAATATATACATACCTGATAGGCTTCCACTACCAAATTATTGAGGTTTGCAGCCTTTGATTCTATTTCACCAGCAATGGTGCCTGGCAAGAGGGGTAGAAGATCCTATAAAACATATCAGTAGCATTTAAACAATGACAATAGTATGTAATGGGTTAGCAACCAACAAATAGTAAATATTTTTGTAGTTATCAGTTGAAGGTGAACCATTAAATGAATGAAAACCTATAAGACACAAGAAAAATATAAGCAACCTAGTAGAGCAGCCAGAACATATACCCATGTAGTGGTTGTGTGTGTCTGTACATGTGCATGACTGTGTGTGCATCCGGAATCACTGTACCTGATGACCTAAAAATCCAATCGAAATGCAGATGAGCATCTCCCAAATTTCTTCCATGGAATGTAAAGCCCAAGAGATTTTAAACATACAAAAGTTTTGAGGGCAAATGAGCTTGGGAAGTTCTGCATATGGTTTCTTCCACTTAGAAACATAAAATGCACATTTGCAAATTAAAAGTTTCAGAGTAGGCCTGCAATCTAGAAATGATTTAACATTATTTAATGCAGCATTTCCCAAAACTTCTTTAGTTAGGAAAAATCATAGTCACAAGTGGAAACTTCATGGGGTATGTGTTCTTGATGCATGCTGCTTATTATGGAGAAGACCGTAGGTATTTTTAGGGAGAATGAGCAAAGGCTTTAAAGGTCTGCATGAATCGAAGATGAAGCAAAAATAGAAAAAAGCCAATCTGACTAAAGGGCACGTACTTATAGGAAATCAGATGGTAAAAAGTTTTGAAATCCATTTATTCTTGCATTTTATCCTATTCACAAATATCCTTAAGTTCCTGCTGGATGCCAGCCATTACTTAGACACTAACAACTTGGCATCTCAAGTCATAAGGAAAAATGTATCATTTATAGATTTTAAAAATTCATTTATTAGACTTTTATTGAGCTCCTACTTTATACACTTTGGAGATGCCAAATCACTAGGTCACATAGTTTCCACCCTTAAGGATCTCACAAGCATATAAATGACAATTTCTTCACTAAACACTGTACATGTGAACACGTGAAACAATAGAGATGTGCACAGACCCTAATGAAAGGGATACCTGGCCAGCATTTGAGAGCTGGGGAAGGTTGCCAAGGACTGTTTTCTGGAGGAGATGACTTATAAGCCATGCCTTAAAGTATGAGTAAGAGTTAATAAAGTAATGAGGGAGAAGGGCTTCCAGACATGAGAAGCGAGGGTGGGCAGCAAGAACAAAGGCACAGAGGAGAGAATCAGCCTGGCTGAGTGTTTGTGCACAGGAGGATTAGAAGCATGGCTGGAGGGATGAGAAGCATCCCTGCAAGGCAAGGAACAGTGGGGCAATGAGGCCAGAAAGGCAAGCAGAGACATGGCCTCATGTGCCACCTTAGAGATTTGGTCCTCTAATTCAGAGGGCACCGCTGAAACTTTTACTCAAGGGAGTACTGTGGTCACACTTGTGATTTCAATAGATCACTCTGGCAGCCAGATGGAGGATGGATTATCAGCCATGAGGTTGTTAGAACCCAGGTGAAAGGTGATTGATAAAAAAGATCTCTAGGCAGTCAAAGGAGGTGACTACAGGGGCATGCATGGGGCTCACACCGGAGCTTCCCAGGCTTTGGAGCCAGTTGATTCTGACTTTGTGCATAATTTAGTTAATAATAAACCTGGTTTTATGGTTTATCAGTTAATGGCAAATTTTTAAAGGAATAGGAAGAAACTGCTAGAGCCAATAATGCTGCCAAGAAATAATGTTAGAGAAACAGCAAAGAGGAAGCAAAAGCTATAAAAAGCTGCATGGTATTTCAAAGTAAACTATTAAGCTTAGAGGTTAAGAGCAGAGGATTTGGGTTGTTAGAAACCCTTGGGCAAATATTTAGCCTCCCAAAATATGATTCCTCATCTTTAAAATGGGCATATTAAGATGACTGTCCTCATTTTTATGAGTTGCTAAGAGGATTAGATTAATAAGTATTTACAAACTCAATGCCTGACAATAGTTAAGTGTACAATAAGTGGAAGCTGTTACGATTGCTAATAAAGTGGTTTGGGCCATTTAATTTTGGCCAGAGTCCTACTTCTGCAGATGTTAGTTTGTTGTTACCTTAAAAAGTGGTTCCATGGTATATACATTTGGGTAAACAAGGAATTAAATAAAGTTTCACTAAGTCAGACACAGAAAGAAAAATAGCACATGTTCTCACCCATAAGTGGGAGCTAAATAATGTGTATACATGATGTAGAATGATAGATAATGGAGACTTGGAAGGGTGAGGGCCTGGGAGTGGGGTGGATGATGAGAAATCACTTAATGGGTACAATGTGTGCTATTCGAGTGACAGACACCCTGAAAGCCCTGACTTCACCACTACACAATCTACACATGTAACAAACTTGCACTTGTACTCCATACATTTACCCTAAATAAATAAATAAAGCTTCACCATAGATTTCTAAAGGAAGAAGTGTTACGATTAAAGTAGTGCTTTCAGATAAGGTAGGTAGGTAATAGGGAAACTGGTAGGGGGAACACCAGCTTGTGGCAAATGGAAATGGGTTCAAGTATTTATTGAAGCCAAGAAAATGTAATTTCTCTGCAGTTTTTAAAAATAAGTAGAGGGCACTGGGGACTGGCCACTGAGGGGAAATGTATAATTAGGGAGCAGATGGGAGAAACAAAGATAGCAAAGGAGATGAGGGAGACCAAGTAAACAGAGATGCACAATGAAAATTAGGGTGTCATAGCTTCATGAAAATGAGAACAAGAGAGTTTCTAGGAAGAAAGAGCCTTAAAGATTGTGAAAAGAAAGCTATAACAGGGTTGCAGAGGAACAGTTCTATGCTGGGGGGTCCATGGCACCTCCAGTGTGACACAGTTGCTGTCTATTTTGCTTGAGGGTCTCACCTGGCCCAAAAGACTCCAGACACCACCAAGATTATTCTTATGTGTGAAGGCTTTGACTGGCTCAGACACTTCGATGGCCCCTTTTGGTCCGTTATTGAATGACCTAGACCAAAGCTAGGTGTGTCAGTGCTATTTAGAATTAAGCTGATATTCTCTAATTTTAACCTATTATGAGGATATGCTCATGTACCAGAATAAGAAGAAGCACTCTAGACATGCAAGATGCAAAGACGGATTGTGAACTACTTTTTGCCTGATAAGTCTTCTCCACCATTGTCACATTTGAGACCACCCTAAGCATCAGGCTGGACTCAAGTGTATCCAATACAATTCTCAGTTCTCAGATTTGGTTCTAGATGTTACAAACCTAAATAGAATTTATGCTTAAATGCTAAGTTAAGACATTGTAAAGGATACTTTAGTAATACAATATAGAATTTAGATTGTACAAAGTATAATAATTCCAGAATCCTTATCTGTGGTTCTAAAGAAATGTCTTAATTTCAATTACCAATGAAAAAAATTTAATTTTAACATTTTCAGAGTTAACATACCTTATACCAATGAAATTGTTTTCCTTGAACTGCAAAGATGACATTAATGTTGTTGTCTATTAATTTCTCTGAAAGTTGGCCTAGTGAGGGGTGTTCCTGTAATGAATAATAAAATAAATAAGGGAATGAAATTTCATAGCTCCATCCTATTCAAACATCTAATATGAAGAAAACTGTATGACTTACATAAAAATGTACCTGGGAAGGACTATGGTTTTACTGAAGACATTTAAATTTTTGAAAACATAACATCAATATCCATGTATTAAAATATTTTATAGACAAAAGTCCCATAAAAACCTGTAACTTAAAAAGATGAAGAGAGCTGAATTCAACTAACTAACAAAGAGTGAACAGCACCTCTTTAGATTAACACTGGACTCCAAATGGTGTAACTGACAGATAATTTAATATTCAGAAATAGAGACACGTTAGTGGCAATCACATTCTAAGGTGAAATTCAGTAACAAGTATTGAACTGCAAATATGTATGCATGTATATGTATATGCCTATAAACATATATATACACATACACATTCAAACATCCACATATACTATATATACACATTTGATATATAACATGATATAGTTATATAACATATATATATAACATGATATAGTAACGCTCTTTAGAAGCAGGAAATGCTCTACTCAAGTCCTAGGTTTGTCACCTTACAACAAAAGTTCTCAATTCCATCTTCTGTAATATGTGAATGATACCTGCCTTCCATGATTGCTGGCAAGATTAAAAAGATAATAATAGTATGTGAACTATTTAGTGCATTTTCTTGCATGCAGTAAGTGATCAAAACTAATAGCAATTCTGATTCTTATTTCAACTGCTTATACAAGGTATAGATTACAGATTTCTCAACTTATCATTATGCTCAATATTTTTGTTGTATGATATATTTTATACCTGCTTTACTTTGATAAATAAAATTTATGTTGTGCCAACTGTGGCACTCTTTGTGGTAATGAGAAAGTTAGAGAAGAGTAGGAAAATTGAAATAAAATTTAGTTTAGAGAACATGAGAAATCTGATGATTACATAAATGACTATCTAGAGTTATATAGTTAGGTATATTATTGGTAATATTTTTTCTATAAATACTCTTCTAGAAATTAAAATGATTGTCTCGAATAACAAGTTCATAGCTAGATACTTATCAGAGAGATGATGTTAAAGTTCACTGGCAGTAGTCTCTCCTCATTCACTGGTGCCTAATGGCATAAGCCAAAGATTAGTATGTAACTGAGCCCAATTAGTATCATAACATTTAAGTTCAAATTACTCCATAGTTTTTGCTTCCCACTGCACTCTCCAATGTTAACTGTATTTTCTTTAAGGAAAAATCCTGTTAAACCAACTTGGTAAACATTTCTGTATTGTGACAACTATGTGAACTTGGTAAAAGGGCTAGACTAACTAGTTTCACTTATAACGTAAGTTCTAAGTAACAAATAACACTTTATTTCTCTGTCATCTATAATTGTTGTGATAGAAACAAATCAAATTTTCATGAGTTGCCTTTACACATGATATGAAACCAACTAATGAAGAAGCTTAAAAAGTATTAACACGTAGGTCTGCATAGGAAAAGTTTTTCTCAGAGCAATTCTTAAGAATATAATTGTAAAGCAATGGAAAAAAAAAAACTCCAAAAACACAAATTCTGCCAGCTAAATTCTTATTACTTGTTCCTAATGAAAGGCATAATCTTAAAATAGATTGATGACAGTTTGCATAATGCTAGTGAATAAAGAGAACAAGCAGAGGCAAGGTAAATCTGTCTGTATTGGAAATATTTTTTAATGACAACAACTGCTTTTCAAGTATTTTTGCTTTGACAAGATAGTCACAGCTTGCTAAGCATTCACCCTTCTTAATTTTTGGAAACATTTGTATTTTAAGGACAATTTAATACATGTTTTCAACCAGCTTTTACTTAACTGACATAAAATCAATATTTAAGTGGCACTCTAAAATGTAAGCAGCTTTTGAAGACTTCTTAATCTCTTCCCCTTTCCAAAAACAGGAAGTCACTTTGACCAAATGTACATAAAACTTAAATCTAGAAAGTTCTAGTTTGGTCAGAAGCTTATTAAGAAGATCAGTCGTGGTCATTAGAGAAATGCAAATCAAAACCACAATGAGATACCATCTCAGGCCAGTTAGAATGGCGATCATTAAAAAGTCAGGAAACAACAGATACTGGAGAGGATTTGGAAAAATAGGAATGCTTTTACACTGTTGGTGGGAGTGTAAATTAGTCCAACCATTGTGGAAGACAGTGTGGTGATTCCTCAAGGATCTAGAACCAGAAATATCATTGGACCCAGCAATCCCATTACTGGGTATATACCCAAAGGATTATATATCATTCTACTATAAAGACACATGCATTTCAATACTGTTCACAATAGCAAAGACTTGGAACCAACCCAAATGCCCATCAATGATAGACTGGATAAAGAAAATGTGGCACATATACACCACGGAATACTATGAAGCCATAAAAAAGGGTGAGTTCATGTCCTTTGCAGGGACATGGATAAAGCTGGAAACCATCATTCTCAGCAAACTAACAAAGGAAAACAGAAAAACAAACACCGCATGTTCTCACTCATAAGTGGGAGATGAACAATGAGAACACATGGACACAGGGAGGGGAACATCATACACCAGGGCCTGTCAGGGGTTGGGGGGCTAGAGGAGGGATAACATTAGGAGAAATACCTAATGTAGATGATGGGTTGATGGTTACAGCAAACCACCATGGCACGTGTATACATAGGTAACAAACCTGCACATTCTGCATATGTATCCCAGAACTTAAAGTATAATAAAAAAAAGAAAAAAAAAGATTAGTCGAATTTTCAAGCCTACAAAAACAGATTTTTTGAGCCCTAGAGAGAAATCTCTTTTAAAAGAAAATTCCAAGTACCTCAAGGCAGATATTTAAAAATTACAAATGTATAACAGATGTTTAAATAAACCACTGTTGACAGAAGACCTGTGGATTAATGACCATTGCCTAAGCCCCTTCCCCTTTCCTTCATGAAGCAGCCTATCTTCAAAAAAGTATTTTATCTTTTATTTCACTAGCAGGAGACACGCTCCCTCTCAGCCAACTCTCCTGTTCTGGTGACATCACTGCTCCTGAACTCCAACTCCCTCTCTGTCTAACCCATTACATATTGTTTCTGTAAACTCTGAAAATAATTAATAGAGATAACAAGCACTTCAGGGGCAAAAGGGAGAAGGAAAGCAATGTGCCAAGACAGCTGCTAAGTAATTAAGGCTGTGGGAAGTAACTTATAAATGTCAGAAGGAAAGAAGAGGTAAGAAAGATTCATTGGGGGCAATTTTGGGTAAAGAGATAACTGTGTACAGATGTATGGGAGAATTTTAATAATGTGTATATCTACGTGGATAAAAAAGCATTTAAGATTCTCTTTATACAAGTGAGATCCATAATATAAATTTTTATAATAGAATATAGAATTTATAGTATGGAATATTGTAATAAGATATAAAAACCAAACAACTTAAATAAAAACCTTTTATCTGCGTGATTTTTTAGAGGAAAGAGGCAAATAGCATAGAAGTAATCAGATAGCAGACATTTATTTAGAGATGAAACTTTCAATGATGTGTCAGTCAACATCTGTCCTGATAGTTAATTTTGTATCTACATAGTTGCACTGTGATAACTGCATAGACCAGGGTTTCTCAAGAGTAGTGCTATTGACAGTTTGGGCTGGATATATTTTTTATTTGACAAAGGGGCTGTCCTGTGCATTGTAGGATGTTTAACAGCACCCTGGTCTCAACACAACAGGTGCCAGTAGCACCCTCTTTCCACAGTTATGACAGTCAAAATGTCATAACTTGATGAAATTGTCCTCTGGAGGGTAAAATCACTCCAGTTGAGAACCACACCACCAGCAGGGGCTCTGAAAACAGATCATCTGGGCTTCAACTTCTGGCTCTGCGACTACTAGCTATGTGACACTGGGCAGCTGTCTGAACCTTGCTGGGATTCAGTTTCCATAGGTGTAAAGCAGGTATAAACACTAGTATCTACCACTCAGATGGTGGAGATTAAATAGGTTAACTTCGTAAAGCCTTCACTTACTGTTCTGTAATTATTAAGACCAATGATGAGTAGCGGTTCATGTCAAACAGCTTAAAGTCTACTATGGACACTGCTATATAAGGGTGTGTGATTCCAGACAAGATGCTGATCTCTTTAGCACCTTTTTCCCTCCTCATTTATAAAGTAGAAGTAAAGCAATATCTACATTTCACTGGAATGTTGAATGCTGTTAACTGAACATAAAGAGACAAACACCATAGGTCTGCTCAAGAAAAGACAGTTTTTAACAAATGACTGCTTAATAAGAGAGATTTGGAGGCCTTTCCTAAAGGCAAGATATGCTCTTGGATGTGCTTTCCTTGACCTATGTCACTTGCTTATCTTTCTTACCTGGCCCTGCAGATGTTTGAGTTTGTGGCTCCTGGCAAATATGACATCAGTTGTAATCACGATACCCTATTTACTGAAGAAGGGTATGCATTGATTTTTGTAAGTTTTTCAATAATAATGGCAACAAAAAGCTTTCTGCTTAAGTATGACTTACCTACAACATCTAATTTAATGAGAATATTCCATTCTATAAAAATTTTTATCAAAGTTGAATTTTATTGTGTCACTTTTGCAAACCATAATTTTACCCCATTTGAAAGGCATTACACAAGCAGAGCCAGGCTACTTTGAGTCTGGCACAGGTGATTTCTACATGCAATTTTGCTTTCAATTAAAACAATTCCTACTAAATATTGTTTGCAGAAATCCTTTCCAGGCCACTCTTTTTGAGAATATGAGAAGCATTCAAATTAGTTCTCCTATAAAATTACTATTAAAATGTTCTCAGGCCAGGCGCAGTGGCTCACGCCTGTAATCCCAGCACTTTGGGAGGCCAAGGCAGGTGGATCATGAGGTCAGGAGATTTAGACCAGCCTGGCTAACACAGTGAAACCCCGTCTCTACTAAAAAATCCAAAAAAAAAAAAAAAAAAAAAAAAATTAGCCAGGTGTGGTGGCACGCGCCTGTAGTCCCAGCTACTCGGGAGGCTGAGGCAGGAGAATCGCTTGAACCTGGGAGGCGGAGGTTACAGTGAGCCAAGATGGTGCCACTGTACTCCAGCCTGGGCGACACAGTGAGATTCCGTCTCAAAAAAAAAAAAATGTTCTCATAGTGTTTACAATTTGAAGCAGATCATTCAGCAAGCTGAAATCAGGTACTTTGTAGTCTTTCGATGCCCCAAAAGATGGAACAATCGTTTTTAAAAGCTGCACATGGACTTAAAACTTTCTAGTTGTATTCCATACCTGGCACAAAATAAGTGTTCCATGAATTTGCATTTTTATTAGTATGCATCTGAGACAAACCTGAGAAGCAGAAAAAGATTTAACATTTTCTGAAGTAGAAAAGGCCACGTCTCTGTCGGGAAACAGCAAACAAAATTAACAGATCTCTTTATTAAAAGATCACAATTATCTCCTCACATGGAATTCTGTCTGATCTCAACATTAGTTATAAATGTTTTCCAGACTTTGAAAATGTCAGAAATATCCCTTTCAGAAAGAATAAATGTAATAGTGTTATGAACGTTTGTTAACTCAGGTAGCAAAGTTATGGATTACATTAGCAAAGTAGCTTCTTAAGCTCTCTTTATTCATCTGCAGTCCTGGAAAAATTAAGTATAATTCCAAGTAGATAAGATTCATAGTAAAAAGAAAGCTTCCTAAATGGCATACTTAAAAGTCAAGTACATGTTAAAGTTGCATGAGGAGAGGCACAGTGTTGACTATTTTTGCCAGTGAGAAAGCAAAACTGTTTAATGCCTGATAGGCCTTCTGCAATTCTGCCTCCATGCTATAAGATGCTGATCGACTCAGCAGCTAGCCTATCCAAATGAGCCTGCAGGAAAAGGAATGAACTATGAAGCCAGCAGTAAGGGGATTCTGAGGAGGTATATGATAGGAGGGATAAAGAATCACTGGCCATAATGTGATGAGGCATATAAAAGGCTGCATGGAAAAACACCAAGCCTAAACCAGTAAATACTAGTGAATATATGGTATGCACTAGTACATACAATAGGAATGTGGTAGGATCTTGCCAATTTGAATCTCGCTATTTAAAACTGTGAGTCACATCAACATCTGAAAATCCCATTGATAAGGTTCATTGGATGACCTCCACATACTTGTTCCTTGGTCTTCTTTCATTGTTACTGAAGACCTTCATGCTATTCTTGGCCTCCACCAAGGGGTGGGTGAACAGTTTCTGGGAGGGCTCTGACTAAGGGTAGAAATAACCCTGGAGAAGCTGGGTGGGGAGACAGGGTGAAATTCCAAACCCTCAGTATTAATAGTCTACTACATCATTAATAATTTTTGTATTAACATCTGCCATTTTAGAAAGAATGTCACATTTCAAATTGTCATTATCACTGGATAAATCATAAAACTATACTATTGCTACAGTTTTTTATTCTGGCACTTGATCTTGATGAAAAAGCAGTGGAAAATGTAATTTATTCAATAGTGTAACATCATTTGCCAGCAACCATATACAAATATCACAATGTGTAAATATAAATTATTTTATATGTTGTTTTACAACTTATGCAAGTCAAATCATCTGGTTATACTTTCATAAGACTGCAACCAGAAAGACAAGAAATGACAACAAGAACATTATTTTTCTTTTTCTTCTGCATTTCAGTCGACAGACTGTGGCAAAGTAAAGAATGCAGATTTTAATATAAGATTGAGACAGACTAGGGCCAACTCTGCAATTTATTAATGTTTTAGCTGTTTATTCTCAGGCAACTTACTTAGCTTTTCTGACCCTCAGTCCTGCTGTTTGTAAAAGGAGGCTAATTATGACTACCTTATAGAGTTGTTGTAAAGATAAATTTGATGCTGTATGCAGAGTGATTGCTACAGTGCTTTCAGTTGAATACATACTCAATAAAATGGCAGTTGTTATTAGTCTAGGGTTCACATTGACCTTCAGGAAATAGCTATATGTATAAGCAACAGAACTCTGTCCCATGTAATTTAGACATATAAAGGGTTTTTTAATCAGTTGTTTCCTTTTATAAATACAAACCCCAAGACTCTTGAATCAAGAAACTCAGATACCATTCAACATTATTGGCATTGGCTGCTGGAGATAAAGCCAAGAAGCAAAGTGTTTGATTACTTGTCTTAAACAAAATTTAAAATTCCTCCATAATGGCCAAATAGGGGAGGATAGAGGTCATTTTGAAATGCACAAATAAATATGCCTAGAGTCAAAGTCAAGGTAGCTTTCAATATAGAACATTCCAAAGCAGGAGCACATCTTGAATGTATAAATTCATGGCCAAGGGATCAATCAAAATGCTTCAGCTTCTTTTACCTAATATGTAGGCAGTGACCCTACAAATGAAGGGAATGAGAATTTTTAGGAAGATAATCCTTTAAAACAAAGACCTGGGGTAAATAAAATAAAAGTATCCTTCTAAGGTGTTAACAAACACATTATTCCTTGGATTACTCAATATACTACAGCAGTGACATGTGGAAGGGTCACTCCTTTAAATACTGGGAACAATGACCAAGAAGGTAAAAGGTCTTGATGTAATCATCCAATTTCCTGATGTCATAAGAATCCAAGCCCTATCTAAAATTCCACTGGACTTATAACTTATTTCCATAAGGTTCTATAACATGGTATATGCCTAAAATTATGACAGCATTTCTTTGCCTAGGAAATCCTCCCTAGATGAGCAATAGTATCCTTTTAAATACAATTATGGAGAGATGACTTCAGTGACTTGGCAAAACTTCAAAAGAATAATACAATTTGAGAATAATGTCATTGTTATTTTCTTCTTAAAAAAATAAAAACCTTCTCTTTGTCTCACAATAGAATAATTCTTCCTGTACCCTCTCCTACTCCCCAATAAATAAATTAGAACTCTACCATCAATCAAAAGAGGTTAAATAGAAGGAAAGATAGATAAGAAATGACTAAGTAGAAGTAGGTGGGTCTGTCAAAGTGAAATAAGGCTGAGTAGAAGAGAATTATGGAAAGACACTATTGGAATAACTCCAATTCTTGAATTTTTGAATTCAATCTCTAGTTACCTTTTAAAATCTTTATATTTTGATACTACTTTCAAGAAACTAAAATGACCAAGTGTTGAACCTGTTTCATATGGTAATACAATTGCCACTCTAGAATTTCAACAGATCTGGTAGGGTATTGCAGATGAACTGGTGATCTACTTAAAATTTACCCATGGGAACCACACAAATTTCAGCATAATTTTCATGCTTCTGATACTGTGATTCCCAAACTGTGTGTGAGGTGTCTTGGTGCACTGCAGCACACTCCCAAGGGTGGCAGGAAATAATTTAAATCTTCAAGAGAAATACAGTGACATTCAGCATGTATCAGGTACCAATGAAGAACTAGTTGGAGGGAGTTCATAGTTTTAAGATTACATTTCGTTCTATTCTTTTAAATGACATTAATCTTTACCAAGCTGGTCAACTTGAAAATCAACACGGAAGAAGAAATCAGGGTAGTGATGACCAATCTGATTTCAGGATTTGAAAATTTCTGAAGTTACTTACTAAAACTGAAACATGTATCTCTACACTTGATACATTTGTATTATTTTTAAGGAGATACTAAGTTGTTAAGACATAAATAGTTGAGTTATTTGGACTTAACCACTTAAAAAAACAGAACTATTAGGTATTTCTTTTGACCCACGGGTGTCATGGAATAAAATCACTGAGAGACTAGGGTCTCATGAACTGAGAAAGTTGGAGAGGTTCTGTTTTAACATATGCAAGAATATATAAATAAGTGTCAACATCAGAAGTAAATGATGCTTTGGACTGTTGATTCTTCACAACTAGAATTAGATAATGCCAGGGAAGATATGGTTCTAGGTGATTATATTAAATATATGATTCAGAGCTTATACTAACCCTCAGGAAGCAAGCCAGATAGTCACTGATTTAAAAAGAGACCTTAAATAGATAAGATGCAGAGAGGTAAAGTACAAAACAGAGAAAGCCTGCTTTGTTTGACTCTCTTTCTCTCTTGTCTTTTTTCCCTGGTTTCTATTTAGTTTCTACCTATTGTACTGTGAGGTTTCCTCCTTAAAATGTTTGTAGATATCGACCCCGTAGACCTGGTCTATTTGTATAAAGCAAAGGTATACTTTTTTCCCCTGTCTTAGAATTACATAAAAAGTAAAATCTTGTATCATTTTTATTTTCAAAAATTATACAGTGCTTTGTCATTCATCAAAGAGTCAGCTACTAGAAACTGTCAAACTGTTTTATTCATATATTTTATTGATCAGTATTTATAGATTGCACTGTTCCATAAATTCTCTCTCATGGCTTATCCTTGTTCTGTATCTTTCTTTTGTAGGTAATTTCCTGGTACAAAAATAGTTGAGTTGCCAATTTAAAATTGTACTTTAACCAAAAGAGTCATATCTACTAAGCGGTTACTGCTGCATTACCATGGTTGTCGATTTGACATAGACGTTGTTTTTCAGATGACAGTTTCCGTCATTGGGCACCACTATGCCTGCCAATTTGCTATCAAGAGCGAGATGAGACGTCTGATCTGTCATCACCAGCAGCAATCTTTTAGCCTCTTTTCGCCATCCGATATGACTCTTAAAAATAAACATGTAATTAGACTTTGTACAATAACACAGATGTGTACTGTGGTTTTTACCTCAAGTAAACATTACGTTTGAGTTGACGAACAGTAAGTCAGGCTAGAACGATGTGCGTGGGTACAACGCTGCTGCGTAAATAGCTTTAACTTTTATTTGTACATCCTCTATTTTCCCACAGCCATGTGACCACACTAGTTCCTGGCTAGAGATTTCTAGTGTTCCACTGGAGGAAGAACAATATAGATTAAAAAGTAGGAGAGGCCAGGCACGGTGGCTCATGCCTGTAATCCCAGCACCTTGGGAGGCCGAGGCGGGCGGATCACGAGGTCAGGAAATCGAGACCATCCTGGCTAACACGGTGAAACCCCGTCTCTACTAAAAATACAAAAAACTAGCCGGGTGTGGTGGCGGGCGCCTGTAGTCCCAGCTGCTCGGGAGGCTGAGGCAGGAGAATGGCGTGAACCCGGGAGGCGGAGCTTGCAGTGAGCCGAGATGGCGCCACTGCACTCCAGCCTGGGCGACAGAGCGAGACTCCGTCTCAAAAAAAAAAAAAGTAGGAGAACAAGCTGAAGTGAGGAGGGCAACAGTCTACTTCTAGTTCCTCCTTGGAGTGTGGCGCATGAGAAAAGCAGCCCTTTTGGAAAGAATTTTCGCGTTCATAACCTATTCTTTCCCTTTTGTCTTTTCCTATTTAAATCCCTCCCTGAATTTAGCCCCTCTGTCCCAAACACATACCGAAATGAATCACCTTGGTGAGGAGTAAGAGATAGTAAGATATGTTTTCTTCTACACTACGTTTTCACTCCACAAATCAAAGAGAAAATAAAACGTCTAAATTCTTTGAAAGTTTGGCATCTTAGCAAACACTCGATCATGTGAAACGTCTTACTTCACAGACAGCTGCCTGAAGCATGGCGTCAAAACCTCCTTCTGGTGTATCTATGTTTCCAGAGATCTTCTGTCTATGAACTGCTTTCTCAAACTCAGTGATGTTCTCTGTCAAAGACAGCACATGGATGTATCCATGGGGAGGCATGCAGTCTAAATTGTAGTCACTGTGTGGGAAAAGAAGAAGTGTAAAGTTTATTTTGCTCTTCTTAAGCATTCTGGAATACTTAACAGTAAAATTGTACAGTTGTGTGAAAAGGGAGTACTTCTTTTGTGCCAGGGAAACTTTATACGACGAAAATCTATGCTTATAAAATTAGAGATAAGCTCAATGCTGATGACAATTTCTTTGCAAATAGGAAATAAGACTATAAGCATTTGGTATTCAAAAAAATAAAGATGATTAAACATGTTTTTTAATATAGGACAGTTAAAGGCTTTCAATATTTAATCTGCGCTGTGAATTTTTAAGGTGAATATAAGAATGTGCAGTGATTTCTTATCATTGAACAGCTGAGAAACACTTCTGGAAAATGCTTTTGAGGAATTTAGTTGAAATATGATATTAGTTTTTTTTAATACTGCACTAATTTTTAAAGTGATGCTTGGTGGAATTATTGATGAACAATCAATATTCATTAAAATTATTTTGAGAATCTATGATACCCAGAAAGTAAGAATGATTCCTCCTGTACATTCACCTCAAGAAGGCTTATGAAACTCCATTGATGGATGCATCAATCCTGTTCCGGTACAACAGATGACAGAGCTGTTTCGGTAAATTGGAATGTGTATTGTAAAGTAATCTAAGCAATTTGTAGAAGCAAGAAAGATAAAGTCTTTTGTGAAAAAAGATCCATACAGATTTATTTTTCTGAAAATTCCACAGGCTAATGGCAATATTGTGTGAGACACTTGTATTTTTAAGGCTAATTCTTCTTTCATAGTGGGACATATGTTATTTAGAATCAGAAATCTAAAATGATAAGAAAAAAGGCTCTTTCTAAGCAATCAAATTCTCATCTTTTGACCCACTTTCTTTGTGATAACTGAGATTTCTTTGTAGTCACATCGGAGACAACATCATTATCCCCAGTCACAGTACAGTAATGGAGAGATAGATGACGTGTTGGCACAAACTCTTTAAAATGTGTCAAATCATAATTCAGCAATTTTGGAGCAATCAAAAAATAAAAATACAGAATTTCCAAAGAGGTATTTATATACATGGCAGCCTAACTATTGAAGCTTCATTCAAAGTTACTAACATTAGGTAGGGTTTTTTGTTTGTTTTTTTGTTTTTTTTGGTGATAAAAACTGACTAAATATTTAAAGAAATATAAAATAAAAAGCCCAATCTACAGTTCATCTCAGAAGTTTTCAGATATGAAGAAACCTCCCCACCTCACCAAATATTTTTATTCTTATTTTATAAGATAAAAATATAAAATTTGGTAAGTTCTTTACATTAAAAACAAAGTGAGATTTTATAAGCAAAAAATTAATTTAGCATATCCACATCAAACCCTAGATACCTGCATTGATTATGAATCCTTTCGGGGTGGATGCTAATGTATGGTGAAACTGTTTTATCAACGTATGAGCCAAATCCAAGACGAAAGTCACGGGAGAAAAATGCCATTTTTCTAGATAAATCGTTTCCAACGGAATTTAATTTTTCTATATTATTGTGCATTGATGCTGAGACATCAACAAGATAATAAAGATCCACAGGATATTTCTTCAGAGGATGAACTTTCAGCATAAAATTAGCTTCGGCTCCTAGTTCAATAGAAGAAAAACATCATGTAGTCTTCATTTTAAACTTTTCAGGATAAGCTCTTAATAAATTAGTCACATTCTAGCACCTAGCACAATCATCACAAATTTGCACATAAAATTTGGAATATGCTAGTGTAATTATAATAATTATAGTATAATTATTATTCTAGTATAATTATAAGGCAATTTGAAAACCATACCAATTTATTGGTCTCCAAATCCTACAGTTCATTTCCCACAATTCTATAGGCTGAATAGGGATAATAACAAATGGGCCAGCTCCATATAAATGTAACAGGGTATTGTATCATTATATGAACCTCCATTGCCTTAGTAGCTAGAAAAACACAGTGCAAACCAGCAAGCGGCATTCGATCTCAAGACAGTGAGGGGGATGTACGTGTGGAATGACTTGAGGAAAACTGGGAAGGTATCTTTAAAAAAAGGTGATCTCCTATTGGATAAAGGCATAAATTTATTCCTTTGGGTTAAAGTGTATTTACACAGGAGATGAGAAAACTCTGGTACTGTGTAGTACAGCAAGCTATTCAAAATAATTAGTACCTCATCACTAGTTAGTTGGTAAGATTCTTCCCATCAGTTAGCCAAGTGAAGGAATGAGACAGTGGGCTAAAGAATGGTGCCCTGCAGTGCCACATGGAGGACCTGGGGAAGGTAGGGGTCAGCATTTGTCCAACACACGGTAGGTGTTCAATGAACACATGCTGAGGAGGGGGCCCATGAGCGAGGCACCCACCTTGGGCAAAACAACTGGATGAGGAGAGGGGGCTGCCACAAGGACAAATGTCGGTAGTCCCCGCAGGGAACTACAATTTTATTTAGTTCTCTGTCATATTACTATTTGATACAAGGACTTGGGTTGTCCCCCCTAACCCTCTATAGAGTTGGTACCTCTACTTTTAATTTCAAGTATATGGTGAAAAGGCATCTATTTAAATGTAAGCAATTTGTAATTTGTAAATTTTACTTTTTTAAACTATTAAGTAAATGCTTTGTAAGTCATTATTTTTCCATAAGAATATTCCGAATGGAAAACATTTTTAAAATAAACATTCATTTGTATACATAATTTACCTATTTAAAGAACCTTCTAATTTATCAAATTATATTTTTGGTGTTAGCATAAAATAGCAATATTTTCTTTTCGATTATTTCACAAATCAG
Organism: Homo sapiens; assembly: GCF_000001405.40. Taxonomy (NCBI): domain Eukaryota; kingdom Metazoa; phylum Chordata; class Mammalia; order Primates; family Hominidae; genus Homo; species Homo sapiens. The sequence goes on along the minus strand of NC_000007.14, from coordinate 20,377,865 downwards.
ATGTTTTTCAGCCAAATTACCTACTGTATTCAAAATAATAAGGTTTTGCTGGTATATAATAATAATTATGGAGAAAGGGACTACTCATTCCTAATTTGCTTTTTCTGTGCAGGCAACCCCTTTAGTGTAATGCTCCTAGGTTTTGGCCCATATTTGAAAGGAGAAATAGGGCACACATGGCCCAGCCCAGTCCATTCTCTCATCCCTTGCCTTCAGAAGCTAGGCTGCCTCCTGAGAGCATATCCTATATTCTGCTCTGCTTTTGGGCTTCTGTTGACAGAAAGAACTGTTCCTGTGGCAGTGTTCTGCAATTTGAGTGGAGAAATTAAATTCAGGGGAATGTTAGACACTGGTACACTGGGCCAGATCGATGAGAAGTAGAAATTCAACACTACTGGGAGAGCGGTTCATGTTCAGGGACTTGAACCTTGATGTGTGGATCAGCGTTTTTTTGGTTTTGTTTTTCACTCAGACAAAAAGTGTCGACTCTCTCTAGGTGAACTGCTGTTGATGAAAAGTGTTGCTATCTTTGTAGATTTAAAAAAGATTGTTTTTGTAAACCGGCCACATGGTATCATGGTATTTTTATCTTGGTGAATCGTTGCAGTTTATGGTGGCTCTGTCTAAAGATAAATGGCTGTTTTCAGAGGTACTGCTAGATGTAATAGATGGTCAGCATATTGTGCCAGGGACCCAGCAAAGGTATAGGTTGGTGACCTCAGCAAACAACCAGGGCCTGTACAGCATCAGCAAAAGCCCAGTCCTTGGAGGTAAGCTATTCAGGGCCCTCCAACCAAATGCTAGCCACACAAGGGCCCTCAGCAGAAACCAGCTGCTCATAGCCTAGCAAGCAAATTCCGGTCTCGCTGGCCTCAGCAAAGAAGAGAGGCTGTGAGAAAGCACTGCCAAATGGTTGGGGTGTGAGAGTGTGGGCTGCTGTGGCTCGATTTTGGATTCTATAAATTCTGGCCTTAGCACGTATACCGGAGTCAGCTGAGGCCTTGGTAGAGAAGTTTCTAATAAAGAGGAAAAGAGTATTTCCATACACAGGCCTTTTAGTAATCGCTAGCAAGAATAATAATTGATATTTTTACACTGCAAGACCCTTGAGCTTGCTGTGAGGGTCTAGCTTTAAGTAGTCAATTCAAGGTAAATAGACCTAGCTAGGCTGACCCCAAATCGTGCTCTGCTTGATAAGGAGGAAACCAAAGGGGTCAAGCTTGGATTACCATGTCATGCCCATTAGTTTGAGATAGTCCTCATAATATGCTCTCAAGTTGGCTTTGGATCATATAATTATAAATAAAGGAGAAGACTCTTGGGGGCAGGTGTCCTAGGCATCAGTATTCCACAGTAAGAGGACATAGAAATACCTTTTTGCAGCACTGTGGATATTGTGTCCCTAGTTAACACCCCCACTTAACCTTTGTACGTGATCTCATCATAGAGCCACTTATAAACTATTTTGGACAAGATGCCTGGGCATAATTTTGGAGGAGAAATGGAATAGGGTACAAAACATGGGCTTAGAGTGACCCTGGAAATGATTTAATTAATGAAGTACTATGACCCATTTCAGGGTTTCCAGGAAAATCTCCACTTCCCATCAGTGGTTTCAGAGTTAGTACCAAAGGAACTCTAGTTGGCATGGGGACGTGGCTACATGAAAAGGACAGCAGAAATGTCCTGATAGACCATGGATCCCTGCCCTGACAGGGACAGCACCCTCAGTTTCATCACGTGCTTAATGGCAATATCCATTGGTTTTAAACAGAGCCTGGAAATGTTAGGGAGGGGAAGGAAGGGAAGGGGAATGATTGCTCCTCACTTTTCCTCCTTCCTCCCAAGTAGGACAAGCCCCATGACAATAACCCCCTCCCACATTCACTCCTCCTCAAGCATAATATATGATTTTCAAAGCCATTTTACCTAAAGAATTTTATTAATTTTGCACAAGCCATGTTGAATATATTTCTATTAATACTTTACCACTATCTGGGCTATTCCAACTATCAGGTATTATAAACAGTTATATGTAACTGAATTTGTTATATAAAGATTAAACTTAACCTGGCATGTGCTCTCCAGATATTTTTAGTTGCAAGGCACCATGGGTTAATATTTGTATTGAATATTAATAGATGATATGTCAGTGTTCCCTTTTTAATTTCACATTAAATTAATTATAGCTGTTCTTGTCATTTTAGGGGGTTTGGGTGTTGAAGATAAAGGGTAATGATTACTTTAAATTTCTGGTATCTTTCTTTGCCAGTCTCAGAAAGTAACCTAAGTAAGTTTCTACAACAGAAAACAAAATTCTGGTGATGCTTCAGTTGTTTTTTTGTTCATGTACTTTGTTACCATCCTTCATTCTTTTCAATAGTTTTCTGTTTTTGGAATACAAGTAAATGTGAAGAATCTATTTGGGTGTGTGTTTATGTGAATGTCTTTAAAATATCATTCAATTCTTCTGAATGCAGAGCTATCTAATTTTCCTTTTTTTTTTGGAATTTGAATCACATTATCTCACCAATTTTAGGTCTTTTTTCCTATATTAAACAATCAATTCTTACCACTAAACATAGGTAAGACCAACTTTGAGGAAAATAGTTATAATTGACTATAATTTGGGACCGACCATAACATTTCCTTTTTTTTTTCCTTTATGAATGTAGAATTTCAAACACAAGGTAAAATCAGGTTAATTTCGACACTATGTTCAAACTCATTACTTTTGACCCAGTGAAGGGTTTAAGAGTTAAGAATCTAGTAGTTTAGTTTTCACTCACTTTCCTTACCTATTATTCATCAAGTTAAACATTTCAATTGAACTCTAGCATGCCAGAATACTGGGATATACTCCTATCCATCCTTGCCCTTCATTGTCTTTTTGCCTGGATTATTTCCATAACCTCTTCATATGTCTACCTCTATCGTCTCATTTTCCAGCCATCATTATCTATACCACCGAGTCGATCCTTTTAAAATCCAAATTACTTATTTTTTGTCAACAGCTCTCCACCAGATGGCCAATGCCCAATGGCTAAACATGTCAGATCGAAGTTCCTACATAATACTTACTCTTGTCTACATCTTTAGCTCTAGCAAGACAAATCTGCTTTACTTCCCCATATACAGCCTACAAATGCATACTCCTGTGCCCTGCCTGTGGTCCTTCCTCTGCCTGTGGTGGCCCAACCTCTTCTTCTTCATGTAATTACCAGTTAAAGACACCACTCAGTAATCTGCTCCTTCCTAAACTGAGCTGAGGGCCCCGCCCCTGTGTTTCCATGGCAACTGGATCATACCACCATTTTAGTGTTTACCATACAATTATGAGACTCTAGACTGGACATCTTTATCTTTTTTTTTTTTTTTAGCAGCTAAGAGCTACTAAATAAGGTAATCTATGTAAAATATTTACCCTAGTATTGCCTATATAGTAAATGCATATGTTAGTAATTATTACTTACTACTACTAGATTCTAAGCAACACTAGGGTAAGAACTGTTTCTTCATCTCTGAAGCCTCTGTAGTTGGCACATACATAGTCCCCCATAAATGTTTTATAACTAAACTATATTTGAAGCACATTTTGGTTCAACATTTTAAAGGGCCCACATGTTTACTACAGAAAGAAGCCAGCGTCTAGAATTTATTTCCCACAGTATAGGCAGAGCTTCCACAGAGTTTCTCTAAGAGGAAAAGAGTATCATCTGGCTCCCAAATCTTCCTGCCACCACTTATATTATCTCCAGGAAAGCTTTATCCTCATGCCTTTTGAGATTCTAAGAACTCAGACACTCATTTCCTTCCATTAATTTTAACGGGAAGAAGTGAGTCTGTGGCAGAATTAGAAAGAAGACATGGAGGAGAGTTGATGACCTACTTAGAGCTATTGCCAGTGATTGGTTTGAATACAAAGAATAAAAAGTGGTTAAAATGAGTTTTTAAACTACTCAAAGAATGGTGTGAGCATCTCTGATGTACTGGGCACAACGAACATGACTGCACACTAGGAAAAGATAAGTAAAAAAATGATCTGCTTAAGATGAAATTTTAAAACCAAGAGAAAATGTGGAAAGCTGTAAGTGGAAGAATGATAAGCCAATTTCTATTCATTATACTTCAGCAGGGGAAGGAGAAGGGCCCCCAAATGGGACCAGTTTATAATGGCAAGGTACAGACTCCAGTACATTTCCTAATTTCTGTGGGAAATAAAGTGAGGAATGTGTGCCAGGGGGTGGAGAGAAAATGTGCAAGTTCTGTTTTGTTTTCTAAATTTTGAAATTAAGAAACAGGTGAAGCATATCTGGAAAATCTTACTAAATCTACACTAAATTAGAAGATTCTTTTTGCACATTATTAAAACGAACCAAGTTTGAAACATTTTCTTAAGTTAATGAAATATAGGTTAAACTAATCCTTATCATATACATTGTATTATTTCTGAATTAGAATTAGAGAATTCCCTTCTCTGTCCTATTTTCCTAAAGAGTTAATATCCAGTTTCCTTAGAGAACATCAACTAGGATCAATAGTCTATTTCTGTTATCATTTTCCATAAGATTCATAAGTGAAAATAAGAAAAAGTATATTATAAGAAGTGAAAAGTAAAGAAAATGTCATTTTTAAATGTCATTTAAAACATCCAATTAAAATATAGTCCTACTAACATTTTTTAAGAAACCCTAGTCAGTACATGATGTAATAAATATATTCATGAAAAATTCTTAACAGATGCTACATTGGAAGTCATAAATTTTTATCAGAGAAGAATAAAGTGATAAATCAAAATTAATATTAAGAGCTCAATGCATTTTCCACTTAGGTATGCATTATATCAAGCCCTTGATTCTGATTCATCTCATGGTGAAAAGGACTTTCACATCATGGAGTATGTTTCTATATATCTGGGGTTGCCAACATTTAGCTTTATATATTATGCCCTAAGACGGATATGTCTTTGATGTCAAATTCATTTTTTAAGAACATATTTTCAGTTTAATTTAATAAATATTTGCTATATATGGGGGTTATAAACTAGTTCTGCCTCATGGAGCTCACAACTATGTTGGAAAGATGACTTACACACGTTAGACAATTATGCTAATTTGCACATAGAAATTCAAATAGTAATGGGAAATTTAATAAAATCAAGCTCCACAATGACTGACATAAAATTATTTCTCTTTTTTCACTCTCCTACTCCCCATGATCTCTTCCCCACTGCGTTCACTTACCATCTCCTGTTGATGTCTCCTGTTTCTCTTCTATCTCCAACCCCTATCTCTCCCCTGAGCTTCAGCCTCATATAGCTTAAGTCTCTCTCTCTCAACTCAAGACATCCCAGTTTAAATCAACACCACTTCATTCATACAGATTTCCCTACCACACTAAGTTGCTTGCCAGATCCTGGGAGTCCCACATGGCCTATCAATCACCAACTCCTGTGGATTCCACCTCTCCATTCTCTCTCAAGTTTACCTAGTTTTCTCCTGTGTCATTACCACTATCATTGCTTGTCTACAGCACTGAAACAATTTTCCAACTTTTGAACTGTTCATTTATAGTCTCAGAAGGACCAAATCATCATTATATCTATAAAAAAGAACAAGCTAAACTCATTGAAGTGTATAAATTATTTGTAACATACCAGTAGAAAAAATGCAACTTATAATTTTCAAACTTATATATTTAAAAAAGAGCAAGACATTTAAAAGAATATAGTTATAGTTATTAGAGGCAAATAATATATAATAAACCTCTGAAAATTAGCATTCAATTAGAAAAATAGGCATATTTGTATGGAGACAGAAATCACACACAAAAAAAGAGAGATGAAGATGATTAATACCTTAGGAAAAATGTTCAAACTTTCTAGTTCTAGGAAAAAGGCAAAAGAAAACAGCTAATGGACTAAACAAATAGCAGACATTAAAAAGAATGAAAGCAGGCATGGTTGACTAATGAAAGGCTAAACTGAACATCGAATTTTTTGTGTGAATAATGTAACAATCTACATTAAAAAGTAAATACATTGTCATACATTTGACCTAGCAGATCTACTGCCAGGAATGCATGCTAAATAAATATGCGGTTATATACAAAGATACATGCATAATAAGTTTCAGTGAAGATGTGTTTTAAAAAACTGCATTCAAATTTGACTGGGATTGATTGTCTTACATTTATTGATTCACTTGGACTTTGTTATACTTATAGACTATATAGAGAACTGTCATTGTTATGATATTATATTCAGGAGCATAAAATTCTTCTCCATTTATTCGTATTTTCTATTAGGTAGCACAATGGATCTTATACTTTTTTAAAAGTTTATTCCTAAACAGTTTACATTCTAGGTTGCTTTTATGAGATAATCACACAATTGATCATTTTTCTTCATTATATTTAATATTACAAAGGAAATTCACTGATTTTTGAATATTTTAAAAAACAACCTGCCAGAGTAAAATTTAAAAGTATTCAATAGTTAGTTTCATTTGATTTGCTTGGATTTTCCATAGCATGATAATTTTGCTTTATCTTTTCAAAATGTTTATAACTCTTATTTCATTTTTAAAAATGTAATCATATTTATGTATACTTTTGAGAAGGATTTTAACATATCCTAAGGGAGTATTCTTCGATTTTGGTTTTGCCGGAAATGGGCACTAAATTTTATTGAATTATTTTTTATTATCTATTGAGATAACAATATGTTTTATCTCTTTTTGGCAAACTAACATCATAAAAATACATCAATTCCAAAAATCAACTATCTTTGGTTTTCTAGCTTAAGCCTATTTGTTTGGTGATATTGTTCTTCTTATCACATACAGTTAATTTGATTTGCTAAAATTTTATTAAGAATTTGATAATAGGGTTATACTAACCTTGTAATAATTAAGTAGCTTCTAGGCATCCCCTAAAGTGATGTAAGAGTTTAGGCCGGGCTCGATGGCTCACTCCTGAAATCCCAGCACTTTGGGAAGCCGAGGCTGGTGGATCACCTGAGTCGAGGAGTTCGAGACCAGTCTGGCCAACATGGTGAAACCCTGTCTCTACTAAAAATACAAAACAAATTTGCCAGGCATGGTGGCAGGCTCCTGTAATCTCAGCTATTCAGGGGGCTGAGGCAGGAGAATTACTTGAACCCAGGAGGCAGAGGTTGCAGCGAGCTGAGATCGCACCACTGTATTCCAGCCTGGGTGACAGAGGGAGACTCCGTCTCAAAATAATAATAATAATAATAATAATAAATAAGTAAATAAATAAATAAAGTAGTGTAAAAGTTTATATACCACAGAGATGATGTATTCCTTCAATATTTGAATGAACATGAAACATTTCTGCTCATGAAAGCATTTAGACCTAATGTTTTTAGGGAGTATTTCTTATTAAGGGAGGTAATTATAATTTTTATAATTATAAACATTTATAACTTTTTAAACTTCTTGTATATTAGGTTTCTTAGGGTTCTCTATCTTGAGTCAATTTTAGACATATTTTCCTAGAAAATTATCTCAAGACTTAAACAGTTTATTATAGATTTTTGTGCTTAATATTTCTTAAAGGCTTCTTTCTGAATTTTTTTCTATAATTATGGTTTACATAATTAGGTTATTTGATTTTTTGCCCTCTTTTCTTAATTAGATTTGCCAACAATTTATCTATTTTATTAGACTTTACAGAGAACCAGCTCTCTGGTTCTCTGGATTTATACATCCATTTTATTCTTTTTTTCCTATTTTGCATTTCATTAATTTTGCTTTGTTTTTAAATTTAGGAACTCTTTTCTCTGTTTTTCTTATGTTTTTTTTGTTTATCTTCTTCTTATATCTTTGGATGCTTAGTTCATCTGGATTCATTTTTCTTTAATAATAAAAGCACTTAAAGTTGTGAATTTTTGTAACAACATCATCAATAACAACCTGTATATTTTGAAGTGTTTGTTACTGCTATTATTGGCTTATAGGACTAGAGTTTCAATTTATTCTTGGAGATAGAATTATTTAGGAGAGGCTTCTCTGAAACTTGCTGTTATTTAATATTTATTTATTATTTTGTATTGACTTAAAATTTTATTACACCATGCTTGTAGATATTGGCATATAAGAACAGTTTTATTTTTAGAATTGTGTTTTCCTGCCTAAAGTGTAATTCATTTCTAAAAATATTCCATGGGCTTTTGAAAATATTATTTATGTATCAAATGCTATCGACTGAATTGTGTTCCGAAAAATTCATATGTTGGAGCCCTAACCTCCAATGTGACAGTATTTGAATAGGGGGTCTCTGAGAGATATGATTAGGTTTAGATGAGGTCATGAGGATGGAGCCGACATGATGGGATTAGTGCACTTCTAAGAAGAGATACTGGAGAGCTTTCACTCTCTCACTCTTTTGCATGTGTGTTCTCTCTCTTGATCACTTTCTCTCTGCCCTGTGTGGACGTAGCAAGCCAGGATGAGACCTCTCACCAGGAACCATATCTACTAGCCTCTTGATCTTGGACTTTCCATCCCCTAGAACCATGAGAAAATAAATTTCTGTTGTGTATGCCACCCAATCAACGTACTTTGTTATAGCAGCCAAACAGACTAAGAGACTGTTTATTATTTTTCTATTCTATTATATAATTCCTATTTACTTCATGTGCAAATATTAAGGTGTGGGTTTTTCAGTTCTGCTGTTTTGAAAATCCTGTTGAAGGAAAATGAAGAGTGAAGAGGCAGGAATTGAGAATTCTGAAAGATTTGCAGGAAAGATGATATTAACAACTTACTCTTAAATTCAGGTGTGAACTGGGAAGTATTTTCAGACTCATTTGAGTCAGAAAGCTGAAATATAATTGAATTACATGTGTGCTGAAAGGGGCGATGGCCTGGATTAAGATCCTGAAGAATCAGGTAGATTAACAATGGGAAAGGCCCTAGATTATAGTTTTGCTAGGGATATGGAAATGCATAAGAAATGGGGGATGTTAGGCATAATCTCAGGCTCATATAGATCAGAAAAACTGGGATTACAAACCTAGTAGGATAACAGTAAAATTAAAAAAAATCATTAAAGATGGTTGGGCAACTATAACGTTAAAATACAGCTTATATTCAGTGTGCACGAAGGAGCATAACAAAAATAAATAAATAAAATGCAGCTTATAATTTTCAAATCTCAAGAATTTAAAAAAGAGTAAGACATTTTTAAGAATGTAGTCATATTTATTAGAGGCAAATGATATAGGTTAAGCTTTATATATAAGCTGCTGAAAATTGGCATTCAATTAGAAAAATAGGCATATTTGTATGGAGACACAAATTACACAAAAAAGAGAGATAAAGATGGTTAACAGCTTACGGAAAATGTTCAAACTTTCTAGTACTAAGATAAAGGCAAAAGAAAACACAGGCAAGAGAGAGGCATGTGTAATTATAGGAATATCTAAGGGCAGAGTTTAGTGGATGTATTCAACTGGAATTAGGTGTACGAGAACGTACAATTTTTGTTTCACCCTGTCTCTCTTTTTCTAAAAAAGAATTTATTTACGACACTAAATAATTTTTTGCAATGGAAGGTGGGAAGAGCTATAATCTTACCAATCTAATTACTTTCATTTTTGTATATTCCTTTCCAACTGTTGCTCACAATGTCCATACTGGGCTGTGTCATTATTTAATATGGGAAAGAGCACAGTTTTAATTGGAAACTGGGAATATGCCCAGGGCCAAGAAAGTAATGGATTTTGTTTTTCTGATAATCAGAGTCTGGAAGAAATAGCACAGTTCTGGAATGGGGAAGGGAGTGTGTCAAGAATGGTTATTTAAAAATTAATGACAGGACAGGACCACCCACAATGAAATGATGAAGGATTGGATACAATTGTGAACTGCGTTAAACTACATGCATCCAATTGAGTGGTGCGCATCTGTGTACCTTGATTTATCTTACTACATGTAGTTTTTACACCAGGATTCTGTAGCACTGAAGGAAAGTGAAAGCGAATAATGTCCAGTGGCCTACAACATAGGCCAAACTGTGAAATACACTGTGAAGGAAGGGGAAGTACAAAAGAGGTATAGGAGAAAAGGTGTATACTAATCTCAGGGGCCATCACAAAACTGCCCAAAGTAATTATGATAATCATGAATTGCAGCTTTGTGATTAAAAGTCTATTACAAAGTCTCTAAGAACTTTGTAATAAACTTTTAATCACAAGTTGGTTGTGATTAAATCACAAAAATATTGATTGCTTGATTGATTTAATTTTGGAAGATCCCTTCCAAAAAGGATCAATCAAGCTAACAAATACTTACAGAGTACTTACTACATGCTAGTGCTCTGCTAGGCATTGGAAAAAGAGAGTGGAATAAACATGTCCCCTTGCTCCTAGGGCTCGCAGTAGAGTAGAAAAACACAATTACATCACAACCTGATCAGATTATGTGAACAGAACACATAATTAGAATATAGTGTGGTCAGGTTTGCAGTGTCCGAAGACACACAGCTGGCTGCAGGCACTATAAAGACTAGAATTCTAATTTCTTGATTCTGAGTCCACTGTGGTTTCTACAAGAACAATACTGCCTGCCACATAATATTAAAAATGAGCAAATTAAAGTAAATTGCAATTTCAAGTTAAGAATCATTATAGATTTATTTGAAAATGACCAAACCTGGACGCAGCTGGATAGACACTTCTCCTGGTGTCACCTGGGTATTAATTTCATTTTCAGTGGGTATTATAACATGCACAGATGGGTATTCTATTGAATCAACTGAGCAGCCTTTGCTTATTAAATTGGAAACAATATCACAACGTTCACTTCTTGATCCACCTGAAATGAAATCCTGTTTAAAAGAAAGAAAATCACTGATGTTTTTAGTGTATATCAATTACATCCAAAGAAAATGACATAGCAAATATTGCATTTTTGGTATTTTATATCATTTTAATTTCTTCTAATCCTTATGTTTTTACTATTTCTACAAGAAAAACACAAGCAAAAATCCTACTCCAACTTTCTGCATCTAAAACCTATTTGAGAAGGAAAAGCTCAGACTGAAGTTTCTCTGGTTGGCTTTTTTTTTCTGTGTCGGAGACAGAGTCTCCCTCCTGATCCAGGCTGGAGTGCAGTGGCACGATCTCGGCTCACTGCCACCTCCATCTCCCAGGTTCTAAAAATTCTCTTGCCTCAGCCTCCCGAGTAGCTGGGACTACAGGCACACACCACCACGCCCAGCTAACTATTGTATCTTTTGTAGAGATGGGGTTTTACCATGTTGGCCAGGCTGGTCTCAAACTCCTGACCTTAGGTGATCTGCCTGCCTCGGCCTCCCAAAGTGCTAGAATTACAGGTGTGAGCCACTGCGCCTGACCTGGTTGGCTTTTTATTGGTTGTTATTTTCATCAATTTAATATAGTATTCTGGGGATATATATATATGAAAACTTTTTTTTTCCTACCCACGCCTGGGTCTTTTTGACTTCCAAACATAGCAATTTGCACAGAAGTGAGAGAATTCTATCATATTCCCTTTGACAGTGAAACTTTTCCTATCATATATGCTGTGAAAGTATAACTATGCTCCGAGCCTACGCTCTGAACTCTCACTACGCATGACACTCTGCATCAGACACAACAGGTAGGAGAGGAAGGGAATTCTTCAAGACATATCATGTCTTCCATAGATGTTAGAAAGGAACATGGGGCATTAAACTAGGTAATATTGATGATGCTGTTTCTATCCTAATTATTTTCCAATTACTTATGTAGTGTAGAAGGAAAGAGAAAGCAAAGTATATGGAATGGCAGATTAACATGCTACATAATAGTGCAAGCAAACTGGATACATCCTGTCTAAATTTTCTAGAGACGTTTTACTTTTGATTAGCCTTGAAAATTATTCAAGCCAGGTTTACGTTGTTACCATTTATCTAACCTAATCATGGGGAGAAAAAAAAAAAAAAAGCCTGCCTCTCCCTTGCCTCTCCTTCCAGCCTTGCTGGTTGAGGAATCATTGGCATCAGTCACATCCGCACCTAAAGGGTGAGGGATCTTCCAAAATTAAATAATACATTCTTCCTCTCAATGACGTCAGGTCAGCCTGCAGGGAGTGGACAGCTCCTGTTAATGGCATGGATAGTGGCTGAGTCCTAAAACTGGCTGCTTCCCCTGAGGTTATGTTATTAATGCAGGCAATCCTCCTAGTTTCCTAACCGTGAATGAGTTGTTCCAGAACCTTGTCAAAGTTCTATATATAGTCCTAAATCCCATTTCTTAAGCCATGCCTCTGTGCCCAGTGCTTCCCACATTGCTTCATTTCATCCTCACAAGACTGTGAGGCGGGTTCAATTTGTATTTCCATTTTAGAGGTATGGAAATCTGAGGTTCAAAGTGATTAGGTAATATGTGCAAGTTTATAACATTAGAAACTGGTGGAACTAGGATTTGAATCCAACTCAGTGTTTCTTCAGAGCCTGCTCTTTCAATACATAAACTAGGCTGCACTGCGCTATATAGAATATTTGGGAACATGAGCACCCAAGTGAGTTTCTGACCGTTTTCCCTAAGATCCCATCTGAAGAATGTTGCCAACAGTGACAGGTTTTCCTTCTCCCCTCCAGCAGCCACCTCCTTTCTCCTTGACTTAGCTCTTTCTATCAGACAACTGATTCCTCCGAATACTCAAAATCCCTCCTTCTATGGCAGGACTGACAGCTATTCCCAGAGCTGTGACTCTCCAGATTATTTTCTTCCAGTCAAAGGTGTGACAGGGAGAAGGGGTCCCTCTGAAGCCTGATGTTCTATGGCTAACATGTTACATGTGGCTGACAACTGGGCTTCTGTACTATCTTTTGAAGGCTCTTCCAAACTACCCTCACTAAAGCATTCAGCAGTTGACAGCAAGTTGGCACAAACTTCAGGGCTCTAAGGATTTTCCTTAGTGAAGCAGTAAAAATCTAAAATGAAGTACTGGTTTGGGGTCAGGAAATAACAAGCCATGAAACATTCTTGACAGAGAAAAACCTGGAAGCAGACACCAAATTTGAGGTTATAGAGACGAGGAAAGGGAGATGCTAGAATAAAGTGAATTCTTTTGGTCATTTGGCTCACAGGCAGTGATGGGATCGGACCCAGAAACTCTGAAGTTGTCCTCTCTATGACATGCCTGGCTTCACGGGTTCTGATGAACCACTTTCTAGTTCATGAATGACATCTGGTTTTCTCACTGGTGGAGCCCAGAGTCCATCTGGGAAGCCTTTAGGCTATCAGTAGGGAGACTTACTTTCAGACATGCCTACTGTTTCTTGAACCCCTCCCCTGCCTCTATTCTGACTTGCTTCCTAGAAGAAAGTGATATCCACCATCTGTTGCTACCTTATAACTTTCTTTTTTCTCCAAGAAGTAATAAAGGAGGTTGGAAGGATAACAGTAGGCACAGTTGTTAAGTCAGAGGAGACAAAAGCTAGAGACTTATCTCCATGTCAAGCAAAAAGCCATTAAAGACCTGTTTGTTTGTTCCAATTCCCAGGAGCTACATAAGTAAATGTAAAATTATTTAGGCAATCTCATACAAGAAGAAACCCCAGATTAGCAGATCGCTTCTTCAGTGCAATTTACTAGATACAGGCAGTTCTAACTCCAGATTACTGACAAAAGAAGAAAACACAAAACAACCCTAGAGCCAAGAAAGATGGAATGCATTGTAATTGTTTTACTAAGAATTTTGTTATTAGGATTCGTTTCTCTTGGTAGAACAGAAAAACACTTATTTTGAACAACAGGATACATAACCTAATGCCTCAAGCTGAAGCAAGAATTCCACACCAAAGCCTACTTAACTATCAAAAGTTACTAGCTGTGGTTGCCAATTCTCTCTATAGAACACATGGAAAACATAAAATGGTTTGCACTTCATTTCAAAATTACCATAATTTTCCTAATAAAAATGTTATGATTTATTTTATATTCAGCCAGATATGCTGTTTCCAAGCATAAAACCAAATAAAATTTTCCTTATGTTCAGCAGTATCTTTATTTTTCCTGATGCACCTTCAAGGCACAGAATATTAGGAAAATGAAGTCATGCTATAGCTCAAGTCAACCATGAGAAAAAGAAAAAAAAAAATGGCACACCTCTTGAACACACCATCCACATTCTGGACCCAGCGCAAGGCACCTGGCACAGGATGCTGCATTTGAAGATGCACATCTATTGTCTTCTGCAATGAAGGAGAAAACAGTTATAATTTACTCTCAAAATAGAAAGCGTATATAATTCTAGACTAAAATGAAACAAATGAACAATTGAAACAAATGAAAAACTGAAACAAGAGGACCTTTTATTACAAAAATCTGACAACAAAGATATATAATTTATTGGAAAGAGTCGACCGGCTCATTGTAATTAATAGATACCTGGATAATTATGATTTAGTTATGAATTTGGGAGAAAGAAGAGTGACAAAAATCTGATTTTGGTCAGGTTTGGGGGTCTGGCTTCAATTCTGCTGCAATAGTAGAGGACAAGGACCTTCCACATTTTTTAGAAAGTTTAGTAAGTTTCACTGTATTTCCTATTCTCTGAAACAAATAGGTGCTTTGCATTCTAGAGTTTTTCCTACAAAAATTATTGTTTATAGACATAAATCTCAACATATAAATTCACATTAAATCACAGTGAATGAATTTTCTGAGAAACAATCTTGATGGGCATATAAAGTAATTAACTTGGGAATTCTAATTGTGTTAATATTGATGATTTTGGCTTGAGGAATACCAGAACCAGACATACTGGCATGATTTAGTATTTTAGAATTAAAGTGGTTAAACTGAATGAGTTGTTTTAGTTAATTTAATTTCTTAGATTGGAGGACTTAAGATCTAAGATCATGACCAATTCACATTTCCATAGATTCCTGCACATGTCCATAATATTTTAATAACATAGTAGTGCCTAGAAATTATTTACCTTTATCCCTCCATCCACTAACTGCTGAAACAATTAAAATAAGGCTCATTAGTATAGGTTAAAACACAAACTATGATACAGAATGAGTCATACATCATTTTATCATGAGTTTTTAGTAGAACAATCTCAGACTTCCTACAGTCTATTCTTTAACATAAGATGTTCTAAGGACACTGGAAGTCACGGTGTGATCTGTCCATCTCACTCAAAGTAAACAAAAGGGACATCCCGGATATAGGTGGATCACAGACAAGAAGAGAAGAGACATATATAAGCAAACAGTATCACATAGTATAAGATGCACAGAGAGATTTCACCAAAGTGCTAGAAGAACAGGGAAAAGGTGCCTCTCACTCTGCTTTAGAGAGGGATGAGTAGGGGTGGAGGAAGAGGGCATATTTAAGGATTGCTCCCCAGAGGCAGTCACATTTAGTATCTCTCTTTGCCATCTCGTTTTCTTTCTTCTAATCCAAGTTCATCCCTTTAAAAAATGTATTACATATAAAAGAAAACTGTGTGCATGTGCACACTCATGCACATGTGTGTATGTGCCCAATCACACATGGACATGGACATGGTAATTTTAAAGGGAATAGAGACCACAGAATCTCTAGCTAGCCATATTCCAACCGTTTTCTCTTTTTTTCTTTCTCTCTCAACTTTCCCCAACATTCTGGAAATACAAGATAAAAGCAGTTCTGACCTGGAGGTGGAAGGGGATGAGAGGGGAAGGTAGTAGGAGAAGAGTAGAGAGGGAGGAACTGTGTTTACTCCTGTGTTTGCAGTTAGAAGTGCTAACTGGGGTAGTATGGAGCACCCTTCCCTGTATTTCCCCAGACACTCAATGGAGTAAGCAGGAAACATCTTTCCCTAATACCTTTAATGTTCTATTATCTCCTCTATGTATCTCCTTCTATGCCTTGTCCTTCACTTTATATCAACTTTGTGTATACATTGTCCAAAACTTCTTCACTTCACAAATCTTTCTAGACCTGGCCTGGAACTCAAAGAACTAAAGTGAACTCTAATATTTTGTGCTTCCTTTACCACCAGCTTGGCTACCCAGAGTATGAAAATTCCTTAGCCTAAAAATTTTCCATCTGTTGTAGGCTGCCAAACTGTAAAATCTGCTTACTACTAAAATGTTCAGAAAAGTGAGTGACCTTTTTAGTTTTGTTTCCAGAAAGAAAACCAATTTAGGTGTAGACATTAACCACATTTGCAAACTGCTGTGGTCTGAGTGTGTCCCCCCAAATTCATATGTTGAACCTTAGCCTCTAATGCAATAGTATTAAGAGCTGGGGCCTTTAGGAGGTGATTAGATCATGAGGGCCCCACCCTTCTGAATGGGATTAAGGCTCCAAAGCTTTTAGCTCTCTTTGTGCTTCTGCGCTTCCATCATGTAAGGACACAGCAAGAAGTCCCTCACAAGACACTGGATGTTGGCACCTTAATCCTGGACTCCCCAGCCTCCAGAGCTGTAAGAAGGAAATTTGTATTGTTTGTAAATTACCCAGTCACAGATATTTTGTTTTAGCAGTACAGATGAACTAAGACACAGACCTAATTTGACTTTCGCCAACTTGTAGCCTTGACTCAACTGAAACATGAAATTAAGTCTATTTCAGTTCAGACTTGACCAAGAGTTTCACTCAACAGGTAAGACTTTTGTGTTGGCAGTTAAGACTGCAATCTCAAAAAGTGGATAAAGAACACGGACAGACACTTCTCAAGAGAAGACATTCATGTGGCTAATAAACATATGAAAAAAAGCTCAACATCACCGATCATTAGAGAAATGCAAATCAAAACCACAAGGAGATACCATCTTATGGCAGTCAGAATGGCAATTATTAAAAAGTCAAGAAACAACAGATGCTGGCAAGGTTGTGAAAAAAAAAGGAACGTTTTTTCCAAGTGATTATATATAATAATATAATTGAAAAAACTCCAAAAAAAAAAAAAAAAAAAAGACTGCAGTTGCAAAAGTAGATCTACCATTTGATTCAGCAGTCCTACCATTGGGTATCTACTCAAAGGAAAAGAAGTCATCATATCAAAAAGACACCTGTGTTTACATGTTTATCACAGTACAATTCACAATGGCAAACATATGGAATCAATCTAAGTGCCCATCAGTGGAAGAGTGCACAAAGAAAATCTGGTATATATATATATACACACACCATGGAATACCACTCAGCCGTAAAAAAATAATGTCCTTTGCAGCAACTTGGATGGAATTGGAGGCCATTATCCTAGGCAAAGTAGCCCAGGAATGAAAAACCAAACAGTACGTGTTACTTACAAGTGAGAGCTAAGCTATAGGTACCCAAAGACATACAAAATGGTTTAATGGACATTGGAAACTCAGAAGAAGGGTTTGGGAGAGGGCTGAGGGATGAAAAATTACCTATTGTGTAATGTACACAATTTGGCTGATAGAAACAATAAGAGCCCAGACTTCATCACCATACAATTCATCCACGTAATCAAAAACCACTTGTACCCCAACGCTACTCAAGTAAAAAAAAAAAAATTAAAGGACTGTAGTCTCATGGAAGGGAAGCTGTGGAATCTAGGACTCCAGTCTTTGTTTCTAACAATTGTCTGACTCTGTTCTAAGTTAACCTAGTACCTAGTTTCAAGCTCAGATAAGGCTCCTACTTCCATAGTACACATGGCAAAAACAAATTCACAAGTGAAAATCTGTTTTCTTTGTATTCTGATTCTTTTCTTTAAAAAGTTCTAGTTCCCATCTCTAATCTCATATTTCAGACACCTAACGATGATGACCCAGAGAGAGAGAAATGTTGGTCCTGTCAATACTTCCCAGGTTCCAGGGCTTACATTTCTCAGGTTCTACATAGCTACAGGAAAAAAGATCCCATAAATGGATCTGGAGGAGGTGGCCACATGGTTCTGCAGGACTAGAGGAAGGTCATAAATTGAACTGCATGGGAAGAGTGTCAAACATTATTTCTGGAGAGTGTCATGGTTATACTTCACAGAAGACATGCCAGATACACTTTGGCATGCAGCATTTTAAGAATTTTCTTTCTAATTTAAAAATATGCAAGTAAGTAAAATACCAAATATACCAATATCAACAATTACAGGAATTCTTTTCACTGAATGTTCAAAGTATACTGAATGCTATTAGTCAGTGTGTGCTAGGAATTTCTTCTCTCTCTCCCACACACACACACACTCTCTCTCCTTCCCTCCCCTCCCACAACACACATACAAACACACCCTTCTGTGAAAGTAAAAATCTCTACACTGCATATACAACAAAGCATGACTGCTGTTTACAGACACGGACAGTCTGTCTTCAGCTTCTGGGTCTACCTAGTTCATTTGCCCTCCCATCCAACATTACAAGAAAACTACTTTCCAGCAATGGTTCCCTAGCAGCCCTCAGCACTGCACTGACACCTCATTAGAGGTTGTGCCTGAGTGGGTTTTCCCACTTTATGATTGCAGTTGCTGCTTGTTCAGCTATTTGCCTAGTGATGTTGCAATATGCACCTTATTCTTTATATTCGAACACTGCATTTTAATAAGGATTATTTTTTATTGATCCCAATGGAAATTCTTAAGCCAATGGAAGAAGTATTATAATGTGCTAAAGCACAGATCCTCAGATCCTCCTCTTGTGCTCATTTGTTTTAGTTCTCAGTGCCTCATAAAGCCCATGTTATTAAAAAAAAAATGTACTGCCTTAGTGCTATCCACGATAGCAAAGACATGGAATCAACCTAGGTGCCCTTCAATGGTGGGCTGGATAAAGAAAATGTGGTACATGTACAACATGGAACACAACACAGCCATAAGAAAGAGCAAAATCATGTCCTTTGCAGCACAGTGGATGTAGCTGGAGGTCATTATCCTAACCAAATTAACTCAGAAACAGAAAACCGAACAACACATGTTACCACTTATAAGTGAGAGCTAAACATTGGGTACATGTGGACATAAACATGGGAATAGTAGACACTGACAACTACTAGAGGGTGAAAGTAGGGAGGGGAGCAAGGGTTGAAAAACTGTCAGGTACTATGCTTAGTATCTGGGAGATCGGATCATTAGTACCCTAAACCTCAGCATCATGCAATATACCAGGTAACAAACCTGCACATGTACACTCTGTATCTAAAATAAAAGTTTAAAAAAAATACTGCTGGCTGGGCGCAGTGGCTCATGCCTGTAATCCCAGCACTTTGGGAGGCCGAGGTGGGTGGATCACCTGAGTTCAGGAGTTCGAGACCAGCCTGACCAATATGGTGAAACCCTGTCTCTACTAAAAATACAAAAACTACCCAGGTGTGGTGGCACATGCCTGTAGTCCCAGCTACTTTCTTTGCCTTGCTATAGCTGTGTGAAAATTTTCAGGAAAGAGCAGGAAGAAAATAGAAATAAAAAGGGTTAGAAAGTTGACATCCATTGTGACTCACAAAAAAAAAAAGAAAAAAATGATGCTAATATTTTTATCATCTGGAAATCTGAGAAAAATTGGTTTGGGGCCTAGTGCTTTAGAAGTATAACTGTACCAGCAGTTCTGGAGCCCCTGGGGCAGTTTTATGTCACATTGCTATCTCCCATCTAGAGAAAGTAACCAGGTAGGCCAGGAATGGTGGCTCACACCTGTAGTCTCAGCACTTTGAGAGGCTGAGGTGGGCGGATCATGAGATCAGGAGATCGAGCCATGTGGGTATCACAGTGAAACCCCGTCTCTACTAAAGATACAAAAAATTAGCTGGGTGTGGTGGCACACACCTGTAGTCCCAGCTACTCGGGAGGCTGAGGCAGGAGAATTGCTTGAACTCGGGAGGCGGAGGTTGCAGTGAGCCAAGATCATGCCATTGCACTCCAGCCTGAGCAACAGAGCGAGACTCCATCTCAAAACAAACAAACAAAACAAAACACAAAACAACAACGATAACAAAAAAAACCTGCCTTGACAGAAATCAGAAAAAGATTTAATTGCATATTGTCAATAAGTGTGTATATTCTAAGTAATTCTATTTCTGGATTTGTTAGCATGTGCTGTGTGTCTTATATTTTCTCATTGTCTTACAACTGTTGACAACAGGTGTGATGAGGTAGTATTGCTAAATAGTTACTGGGAGGAAACTTCCAATGTTCCATAGCACAGCTACTTACTAAGCTAGTTACCTAAACTCTCCAAGTCTCCATCTCCTCCGCAGTAACAAAGGGCTAACTATAACCATATCAAATTGCTGATGTGAGGATGAAGTAAGGTAAAGCATCCCAACAGAGTGCTCACGGCATAGTAGGCATTCGATAAAGAAACTGTTGTAATGTCATTATAATTAATATTATCTATGTTGGGTATATTATCTATATACACATACACACACATATATATAGACACATATATACGTGTATGTTCATGTGTATATTAATCTCTATGTTCAAAAAAACAAAGAAAGATGTTATGTGTCCTCAAACTTGTCGTAAATGTAACATGCTGTCTTTAAAATGAAAGTCCCTTGGGTGATAAAGTTTTAAAAATACAGCTAATATATAAAAATGGCTATTAAGTAAAAAGTACTGCATTTATTTAGTAAAAAAAAGATTCTTAAAAGCCCATAAAGTTGAATATATACACATCCATCCAATCTATTACAAATACAATTTTGGCATCACTACAAACTGGCTTACTGAAGATCTCTTAGAACACCTGCATTTTATTCAGATTTTGCAACATGAACATTGATTTAAGCTGAACAATTTTTAAATTATTTCCCAGAATTAAATGGTTATGACATATGTGAAATGACCCCTATAGCTATCTGTCATAAAGTATAATAAATATCCATCATCAACAGGATAGAGTACACAAAAGTCAGGAAAAAACATATTCATGACACCCACTTAGGTATTCTTTGTTTTTGATGATGCCATTCATTCATATTATTTTGAAAATATTTAGCTGATAGAAGTGACAGGGGAAAAAATGGACCAGCAAACTCCCCAAAACTAAAAAGGACAGTAGAAGTTTCAGTGTTTAGAATGGGATCTTTCCATAAATCAAGTGATTGGATCAAGTACAAGTTTTTAGAGACATTTCTAGTTTTTTTCTGTAGTAAAGTCAATAAAATTTCAACAACATTTAAAGGATGTTCATGGTTATCTGGCAAAAAGAACAATTACAACTGACAAAGACTGTAGTACTTGATATTTAGAATCAATCATTCTGGATTCTTCTGTTACTCCTAAACAAAATGATTTGTGAGAAATGCATTTTTTTCCAGGCAATATCCCTTTCCCAATTGCATTTACTATACAAATTAAATTAAATTTGAATAACCGTATAAAGCTACTTCCTTAAAAAATAAAACAAGTAAACACTGTTGTAATTAATACATGTTCTGCTTTGATAACAGTCAAAATCAGACGAATTGAGCATGCTTAAGAGTAAAGTTTAGAGTATAACTGGGTTTTCCTCCTTCTAGATATACATATCATAGTCATGTAAATATACCTTAAAATACATTACTTGATTACTGAATCTCTCTTTTGCAGAGAAATATATGCTATTATTTAATATAAAAATTAAAACAAATAAATACATTGGCATTCTAATCACTTGCCATGACCTAGTTATTCCAAGTTTTGATTTGAGGTTTCCTAAAGGCCCCTACAAAAATAAAGGGAAGGAGTAGGTGCTTAGGCCTACTTCTTTGAAAATAAGGTACAGGAAACAAAACAAAAGTCAGTTAAATGTTACGAGGGATTAAGTAAATGGGCGTGAGAGAAAAGGAGGAAACATAGAAAGCTCTCTGAAAAAGGTGGATCTGAGTAGGGAGGTTCTGAAGTAGTAGAGAAGATACATTACCGGGAAGTTAGTGTCTGAGATGATCCCTCAAAACAGGGGGAGCAAGGATCTATTTGTTGAAATAGACAAAGAAGCAGATGTCATTCAAATAATGATAACACATCTGTGGAAAAACTTTAGTTACTAAGTACCACCAATGCTTATTTAAACTGTGCTCATATAGAATTAATTGAACAATATTCATGAAATTCAAAATATTTGTAGTTGGCTCCTGAATTACGCTTTCAGGAAATACTACTCTCTTGCAGTGTCGCCCAGCCTAGGCTGGCACATTCCTCTCCTTTGCCTACAGCACAGTGTTTAATTTGTTTCAAACTTGTAGCAAACAAGCATTCAGACCATGGAAATGAAAATAAGTATCTTTATGGGGCAAACTATTTTCTCTAAATAATTTTGCCTCTACTTTCACTTAGAAAAACCTACAATAGTATTTATGTTTAGTGAAAACCAGTTTGGATTCCTCTCTATCTTGCCTTCTCTGTTTGCTGGTCCAGTGATTAGGTTTGATAGTCTGAACGTGTATTTGGAAGAGAAGGAGGTAGTACAATAATGTTCAATTCTTACATAGTAGCTCAGGAGGAAGCTGGGGGAATGAGGACATTACAAGAAAAAACAATTGTTTTAATTCCCCTGAGAAAGACCCTAGAGTAGAGATTGTTAGCAAGTGATTTACTGGGACAGGCAGTGAGGCATGGCAGCAAGCATATACGTTGGTGCAATGGGAGTGTGGCCTCAACCTGACCCCTCCCATAGCTTTGAGCCCAAACGACAACACAAAGTTGTCCCACCTGGGAGCCTGGGGCCTGTTTTCTACCCCATATCAGACAGTCACTGGCTGCAGGCAGCCTGGTACGGGGAGGAGTGGGGTTGGAGCGGGTTGATGTTCCAGGCATCTCTAAGCAATGTGGCTCCTTTTGGTGGAGGGCAATTCCTTTGAGAAAGTGACAACTGTGAGCCATAAACGGCCAGAATGCAGAGCAGCTGGGGATGGGTGCACCAGCCCTATAAAAAGAGCATGGGTGGGGCACTAGCAATGTCTATACAATAATCTCCCCCAGAGGGTGATAAATGATTAGAGTGTATTGTCACACAGATTGCTGTTTGCCTGCCTGTTCTTAACTAACGGAATCCTAAATTTGTTGAAGGTGGCATTGAGAGGAACTGAAATGCCACAATTCCCACCTTCTCTTGTAATGATGATGATTGCATAACTAACGATGATGATTTAAATGGAAGCAGAAGTTTCTGAATGGGGCTTCTGTGAAAGTTTTCAAAAAAGTTTTCTTGTTTTCCTTTTTATTCCCCTTATGCCCATCCTGCCTCTTTCTGCCTGGAACATGGCTGTAATGTCCAGACCTGCAGCAGCCATATTCAGACTTGAGGGAACTTGTCTCATAGAAGCCGAGGCTAAACACAACCGGAGAAAAGGAGCCCAGGCCTCTCAGAATACCAAGGAGTCCCTGTATCTGCTCGTTTACTCTCAGAACTGGGTCTGATGTGAAAGGAAAGCTTACTCGAATCTTACTTCGTCCTGTTTTCAAAGACCCTCTTACTTGCAGATAAACACAATTCCTAACTGATGAATTTTCATCTGAGTTTTGAAAGATAAATAAGAGACTCTAACAGAATAAATGTAAAGTTTTAAAAGAAATGTCCAGCATAAAATTACTTTATGTGAAGTAGATCATCCATACTAAAGAGATATATTTCTTCATGTTTGTTTGTTTGTTTTTCCTTGGAAAAGTAAGAATACTAGACTACCAGTTCCTGGGAGGAAAGGTGCTTAAATACATTTTCTTTATATACCCAGTATATGAGCCTTGTACATACACTCAATATACTAGAATACACTCAGTAAATGTGTAATTAATAAATAATATTCCAAGTAGAGGTTAATTTGACAATTTAATTCCTGAGTTTTTATAAGTCTTGACTACATATATTCTTAAGTAATCTTCATTTCCAAAACCTATTTATCACAAAAGGCAATGTAACTATGTTTACATAATGATACATAACTAGATGAATTCATCTCTATGTTTCCACAAACACAGATTACCGTTTTCTTTTTTTTTTTTTTTTTTTTTTTTTGAGACGGAGTCTCGCTCTGTCGCCCAGGCTGGAGTGCAGTGGCGCGATCTCGGCTCACTGCAAGCTTCGCCTCCCGGGTTCACGCCATTCTCCTGCCTCAGCCTCCCGTGTAGCTGGGACTACAGGCGCGCGCCACCACGCCTGGCTAATTTTTGTATTTTTAGTAGAGACGGGGTTTCACCGTGTTAGCCAGGATGGTCTCGATCTCCTGACCTCGTGATCCGCCCGCCTCGGCCTCCCAAAGTGCTGGGATTACAGGCGTGAGCCACCGCGCCCGGCCGATTACCGTTTTCTTACACTTGGTCTTCTGATATTGTGTAGTTCAGCTGAACTAGCTTATTTTTAAAGAAGTTAATGAAATGATATTAAGTTAAAATAGTCTTTTTTTAATGCCGCCATCCTCAGGTACAAGATCACCAAATTCACTTACTTTTCCTTATTACACAGATCTAAACCAAATTTAAATTCATTACATGTTCCTTGTCCCTTGAAAGGTGAGTATCCCCTGACTGAGCAGAATTTTCTTGTAATGCCAGTTAGGAAACAGCACTAAATATCTTTGGTTCTCAATAGGTAGGTTTTTAAGGCTTTTATTATATATAATCTTTATGTTTCAGGGACAAATTTCAACTTCTCCTGTTACATAGTGAGTAATTTATGTGATTACAACAGGCCTTTACGCTAGCATAAAGATTTTTGGAGAGCAAAAGAAAAACAAACAAGCATGTTCAACCTTGGGCAGGTTAAGAAATGTTAGGACAATGCAATGCATTCCATTAGTCTGCCCTGCCCTGTTTAGGGCAATCCCAGCATGAGTCAGAGCTTAAAGTGGGCTAGGATGGCATAAATCAAAACTCTAGGTCATGAGGGAATTTACAAGAAGAACCATTGTGAAGCCACTAATGACACCCATGGTGTTGAAATGGGCCATCACAAGAAGCCCAGTCAGATGGGATCATACTAGAACTTTTTATTATGATTCATTTATGCCCATCATAATCAACTTTGCATTGAAAAAGCTCTGATTGCTGCACACATGGGGTGACTATATAATTTATGAACTACACTGAGACACTTTTTAACCTGAAAGGGGCACTGTTAATTGTACCGGTGCAAGACGTGTAAACTGAAACTCCTCAGGAAAACTGAAGTCTAAGGTTACCCTAAACACAGAGTATTCTGGTGTTGTTGAATGAGAAATCAAAACAATAAACAAGGCAATTCATGATGAGTTTACAGGAAATGTGAAAGGAGAAAGAGAACACCATGAGTTAAAGATACACTCTCTCAACATAAAGGTAGACTTGAGGCTGGTTTTGAAGGATAGGCGAAATGCAGAAATCCAGTTAATAGCTGTTTGATTATCTTCAGATTATATCTTATATACATCTTTACATGTATATTTGATGTGGAAAGAAGATGACCAAACATAAGGAATATTTTTCATTTGTGTTTGAAACTGATTTTTCAGTCCATATTATTTCCTAGGCAAAGCAGTTTCTCTTGGCAGCCAAATGGTCACTCAACATACAAGAAGAGTAGTTCTTGAAGAGGAATAAATTCAGTTTTGCAGTTGCTTATTTAGCTGAATACTTCAATTTGTCTTCTGACACTCACCTGCTGGGAATTTTCAAGAACGGCAGAAACAGGAAGAAAGATGGGGGTCAAAACCATATCATCTATCTGTACAGCTTTTCCTACATTAGACTTAGAACTTGAAAAAGGGATCAAAGTATCCAGATTCAAGGAGGGCCCCCAAGGCCCCTCAGTGGCAAATTCTGGTTAAAGCTGCATTTGTCTAACTTGGAAAAGCAGTATTAGTCATGTGCTTTGTTTCTTGTTTTCACTGGAAATTTTCCATACATTCCAACTGTCCTGTTTATGAGGCACACTCCCTTTCTATAAAAGCCAAAATATTCACTGGTTTCCCAGTCTGTTCCTCTAAATAATGTTTTCAATCTAACACACTAGAGTTCCAGGGGCTCTTCCTATTTTCATTTCCAACTCTTGGCAGGTATAGGTTTCCTTTCTCCAACTTAAAAAAAAAAGCACTGTTATTCATGTCCAAACTTCAAATGCCATGGTTAAGGAGGTTAAAAAAAATGCCCTAGGATAGTAAGAATGCATTTTCTACATTGTATCTTTTAAACTTAAAGTCACGTTGCAGGTGTGAACTTGATTACAGTAGCAAAGCAACACTCTATATTGTAAGAGATTTAGTGCTAAGTAAAAAACAAACACCGGTAAATTAAAACCCAATATGAATTTTAGGTCACTTAGGATTTGGTTTTCCTTTAATCACATTTCAAAATTCAAAAATATATTTAATATCTTTTGACTCTGCACTTGAAAATTAAATCTATACATACAGGACAATAAAATTAGAGAAAATTTAAAAAATCAAGTATCTATTACATGATCACACTGTGTTGGCCCTATGCCAAGCACTTTATATAAATGATCTACCTGAAGCTTCATAAAGCTCCCATGAGGAAAGTTCTGCTATGCCCATTTTACAGATGGAAAACTACAGCTTAGGGAGGCTAAGTCTCACCTAAAGTCACAGAGGTGGTAAATACAGAGACCAAGTTTGAACCCAGTTCTGATGACAGAACCTTTTCTTGTAAACACTGTCTTAGGTGGAATAGAGAATAACATAAAAAAGAAAATTATTCCAAAGTATGACTGAAAACTCCTGGCTAATTAGTACTATTATTAGTTCTTAAATGATGACTCAGCAATAATCCCTAGTACCTCCAGAAAATTCTTTAATACAAGTAGTATGTCATTACTTTTCTTATCATCAGTGCTAAGGTAATCCTATTTTCCCACTCTAAAGATAAGAATGTTAGATTCTCCCTAGTAAGATTATTTTCCATCCTTGGAGTCAGAGACTCTCCTAAATACTTTGGTACCCTTTTCAGAATTCATTTCCTTTCTATGCACAGGGAAACTGAGTTTTCGCGTGAAAGCCCCAGCCTGAAAACCTCACTGAGTGCATAAAGCAGACTGGCTGGCACTTGTTCAGCAGAGGGGAGAGCTGTCCTTTTACAACCATGTTTCTCCAGGCTTTTGCCAGGGGACAGCTCTGAGCTGCATGCTAATTAGGCAGTAGCATAGGAAGTGGTGTTCGGAGTTGCTGTTTCCATTTGTGAATTTCTAGCTCTGTCTTGAAAGCCAAATCTGGAACAGGGGAGAAGGCAACTTGTTCTTGTCCTAACCCTGCCTATTCGCTGGCCTCGGCTTCATAAACTAACTGCTGAGGCTTTGCTTCCTCGTTGATGATGTAGGAAAAATGTTCCCCTCATTGTGTGCTGTGTTCCTCCACTGAGCTGTGAAAACAGTTTGAAAAGTAGAGTGCAACTTACAATGACATGATTGGTGGAGAACATTTGCTTTATAGCATGTACAGTTCTGTGAGTTTATGGGACTGTTTTAAGATACAGTTTATAATAGGAAAGATTTATTTTAAAAGGCCACCAAAGGCTGGGCACAGTGGCTCATGCCTGTAATCCCAGCACTTTGGGAGGCAGAGGCGGGCAGATCACCTGAGGTCAGGAGTTCAAGACCAGCCTGACCAACATGGCAAAACCCCGTCTCTACTAAAAATACAAAAATTAGCCGGACATGGTGGCGGGCACCTGTAATCTCAGCTACTCAGGAGGCTGAGGCAGGAGAATCGCTTCAACCTGAGAGGTGGAGGTTGCAGTGAGCCGAGATCATGCCATTGCACTCCAGCCTGGGCGACAAGAGTGAAACTCCGTCTCAAAACAACAACAACAACAACAACTTCAATACAGGGAATTGTTTTTGTTTTTGTTTTTTAAAAAAGGGGCACCAAAATCCCTATACATTCAATAAAACAGTTACCAATAATGCAGACTGATTATTCCCTGTTTTGTGTTTTGGCACTGTCAGCAAAGAGGCATGAGCAAATCTTTGGTGGGTGGAAGGGTTCTGTACGTTGACTGTAGTGGTACGTAGCTTCAGAGGTCTATACATCTGGCAAAACTCATCCACTGACATTTTAAATAAATACAGTTTATTGATGTACATTATATCGATAAAGTTTATTTCCAGTTAGCACTGTAAATTAACTGAGATGGAATATTTGTTAGAAAAAGACAACCAGTGCACAATGAAGGAATATATTTCTTTCCCGCCAGTGTATAGCAAAACATTAAACTATGATTTTTAGAAGAAAATCCAGTGACATCTTATGTTTTTATTTTGTTGTTGTTGTTGTTGTTTAATACAGATTAGATAGTGGTTAAAGTTGTTTATCCCTATACGGCATATACGGCATTTGATTTACATATCCTTTTATATTCAGATTAATTTATTTTAATACTTTTTTGTATGGATTGAACTTGTTTGTGAGATAATAAAAAATCTTTTCAAATTCAAAACTTATTTATTATATTCTGCTTGCAATTTCTTGCCAACTCTCGGCAGCCTAAGAAATTGAATGGAGTAGGTAATGATACCAATGTAAGTTTAAGTATCTTAGTAATTAGTACTATTAGGTTGGTGCTAAAGTAATTGCGGTTTTGGCCATTGAAAGTAATGTCAAAAACCGCAATTACTTCAGCACCAACCTAATATTATGATCAATAGTAATACTAATATAGCTTGAACTATACATCAATATTATACTTTATATCCTGTTCTCTAAAGTAAATCCTCTTCTATCCTCAATGCCAAATATGACACTAAATATTTGTCTTTTCTAAAATTCACTTTATTTGGAGACTCAGACAAAAAGGAACTCTGAATTATTATAAAATGTGTTAACTGTATCTTATAGGATAGATAATCTTCCGTAATACTTTAATATCTTATAATTTTCAATTAACATTCGTTCAGTTTAATATCATCGGTAGAAATTTGAAAAAATATATCACAGTAGAAGTGGTAAATTCAGAAAATTTTATATTGGTACTGTGTTATGAACTATAGTCCATATTGCCCTATAAAATTCTTATTCCATCTTCTCCATATTTCCCCAAATGGTCCAGCTACTGTTTCTCCTTCATCAAAAGTTAGTTTTATGCAGAGTTCATCATTCCTTGGGGAAATGTTCCAACAGTGCTTTGCAAACATATTCTCCTTGTTCCCACTGGCTACTTATGAGATTCTCCCCAGCTTCCATCTTGCAACACTTATCAATCTCTATTCTTTCAAAGGTCACAGCTCTTATTTATATGCTCCCCCATCTTTGTTATCAGCACCAGAAACGGCTAAATTTGCAATGTATTCATCACCTTGCTCAAGGTTATTCTGCCTTACCCAAGTCACCCCCAACACCTCACTACCTCCACCATGGACAGAGCCATTAGGAATCTCTGGGGCCAGGAGCTGCAGCAGGAAATTCTCATGAGCTATAGAGGAGTCACTGGATAACGGAACAATAAAACAGTTCTTAGATATGAAAAACCAAAGAGAAGCAGAATAAATAACAAATTCAAGAGGAGCCAGAGGCTGAGACAGAAGGCAGGCTACTGATTCAAGAACTCTAAAACATGGAGTTGAAAGTAAACAGGAGGTCAGGCACAAATGGGGTGATGCATCCTAAGCAACATCTGATTATCTGAGGCTGCCTTATGGGGCACTGCCAGAAACCTATTAAGAATTGGGTTCCCTCCAAATTTCTTTCTCACCTCATCTAGTTCCTAGACCCTGCTTTCATTAATTTCTTGTTGACTTTCCATCATATGTTTTCACTTTCACTGTTTTAATTCTTTCTTATCAAATCCATAAGAACTCATACCAAGTCCTCTCACTTAAGATATGACCCTAACTTTACCATTATATTATAGAGAAGATCTAAATAATATTCCTTCTTTTCAAGTCAAAATTGTCTTTGTTCTCTTATTAGAAAAATGCCTCTCCTCATTATCAAGATAATTTCCTCTAGCTTTCTAGTTAATTGCTCACTCAAAGGCAAATAATATTTCTTAATTACATTTAGCAACTAGCACTTAGCAATGTTTAAATGTCCTGTCTTTCAACACTGAGTGGGCACTCTATCACTTCTCTCATTCTCAAGCAACTCCCCTTGTTATGTCTTTGGCTATTTTCACATTGCTCTCTCAACTCTACAGCTTGATGACTATGAACTAACAAGATTCCAAGCCTCACTTCCTTGAACATGACCACCAAATTGGTACCTTCAGTTCCAAACTCTCACCCAAGCTTCTGTCTTGAACTTTCAACAATCTGCTTGGCAACCCACTCAGATTCCTGCCACAACTTCAAAATCTTCGAGTCTCAAACATTATGTTCCTCTTCCTGACTTGAATGATGTATTCCATTAATTACATTATTTTCCCATCTATTCTGATTTAAATCTTTGTGGTCAACCTTGACTCCTCTCTCTACCACAGCCTCAACAACCTGTCAGTCACCAAGACTTTTTGCTTTTAATTTACTGTCTTTAGTATTTCTCACTCCCTATTTCCATTCCCATGGATCCATCCTAGTTGAGGCCTTCCTTATCGATCATTTGCTTTAATGTAACAACGTTCTCAGAATCTCTTACAAACACCATTTACCACTAAAAATCACCACATACATTGTTGCCAGTTTCTTTTGCTGATACAGTGATCACATTACTACCCTACTAAACAATCAAGTCAAAACAAAACAAAACGCCTGGAATTATTTCCACCACCTGAGTAGTAAAGTATCTCAGTCCATTCAGGCTGCCATAACAAAATACCTTAGATTGGGTAATTTACAAATAACAGAATTTATTTCTCGCAGTTTTGGAATCCGGCAAGTCCAAGACAAAGGCAGCAACAGATGTGGTGGTATGGCGAGGGAGCCTTCCTCATAGGTGGCACCTTCTTGCTGTGTCTTCATATGGCAGAAGGGACAGACGAGTTCCCACAGGCCTTTTTCATAAGTGCACTAATACAATTCACCAGGGTCCTATCTTCATGACCTAGTCATTTTCCAAAGGCCCCACCTTTAATGCCATTACATTGATGATTAGATTTCAACACATGAATTTTGGAGAAGCAAAAACATTTAGACCATAGCATAAAGTTCTAACAAATCTACCTGCCATTAACTCCAAGGTGCTCTCCTTTGCTTTTCTCCTAAAGTCCTATGTCATGGTCAATGTACATGCCTCCTCTCTGCCTGTGGAGCCCCCTTCAGGTATAATCGTCAGGTGTTATATACTTCTCAGGCAATCACTTTAATCATCTGGAGTCAAGAGTGTCTTAAGACACCCAGAGAAAGTCCACGTTGCTTTTGGCAGGAAACGGGGTAGAGTCAACGCCTCACTTCAGAACTAAGTCAGGCTTCCTCAGACCTTGTCTCTTCCTTCCCTAAGAATTAAGAGCAAGTCTCAGAACCTCCCCTTGCCCCTCAGCCACTGACAGTATCATCACCACTATCTACCTTGAGATCCCAAAGACTAATCTCACTTATCCCTGTTTATTGCACCAGTTTCTACAAGAAGCCCAAGACTCCCAGATGCACCCTTATTCCCCCAACACATTCTAATCCCTAGAAGGCTCTGCACAGCCCTCTTTTCTCCTTATCTCCTATTCCTTTACAACTCCAGAAACCCATCCCCTGTGCCCTCTGAAATTCATAGTCCATTTCCAGAAGGACTGCCCATATCCCAGTCCCTTATCTGAATGTTCTCTTGTCTTGCTTGAACAGAAACCTGGCTCTCCCCTGAGAACTTGTCTTCCCCTGACCTCATGAGTAATCGCTGATGTTTCTCCCAGAATCCTAACAGCCTTGAGCTTGGAGATGTATAAGTGTCTTCCTGAGTCCTCACTGCTACTCACAGGCACTTCTCCCTCTCTCATCCCCTAATCATCCCACCCCCAGCTTTGACACTTGTAACTTACATTATGTCACCCACCATCCTGAATTGTTGCAGGCATTCACTGACATTTACCAACCACAGGGAGATGCTTTCTCGTTTTTAGAAAATGTTGCCTCCTTGCTTGATATAATTTTCTCCAACAATACTCCTATGTCAATTCCTGACAATTTTTGTATATACACACATCATCTTTGCAATACAAGATGCATCAGCTCCTTATTCTCTTCTCCTCTAATTATTTTGTCCTCCACCTTGATTTAGCTACTTTGCTTCCATGTTAAGAAATTTAGACCTTGTAATTACCAGTAACTGCAACTTCTCTACAATTCCAGTTTCACATATCACCCTGTCTGACCACCACCTCTTGTCTTACAAGCTGATTCACTCTGCCTGGGCTCCAGATACCAACAATCTGCCACTACCAGTCCTTCGATCCTGCTATGCATTAAAAATTTCTCACATTGCTTCATAGCCTCTCATCTCTCTACCCTTTCTCCAGTTATCCACAAGGCTAACTCTCTTACTGTCTTGAGGGCTTGGCTCAAACACTGGTCTTTTTTCATGAGGCTTACCCCATCTAATCTACTTGAAATGGCAACTCTGTCTTCCCCCAACCCTGCTCCACTTTTCCCCATAGCACTTACCACCTTTGAACACACTAGATAATTATGTATAACCATGTTTTTTTTTATTTTGTCTGTCCTCCTCCAAAATATAAGACTTATGAGGACAAGAACTTTTGTCCTTTAGTTTCCTAATGTTTTCATACTTTGAATGGTACTTTCCACACACTTGTTGAAAAATATTTATTAAATAATTAGCACATCTTAGATTTTAAAATTATAGAATTTATTGGATTACAATGTCAATATCCTCCTAGAAAGTTATATATCATTGAGGCAGATGATATATTGTTCATATTTCCCTCCCTGAGGCCCTGGGAATTGGCTCAGCACCTTCTCAGTGAGACCTTCCTAATTATCCTACTTAAGATCATACCTCCTTCTCCAGTATTCTTGACTACCCATCTGGGTTTCTTTCTCTCTACAGAAGGTGCTAGATACTTAGTGCTGTCTGGTGTGCTATACATTCTGTTTCTTTAATTTGTCAAATGTCTTGTCTCTCTCCATTAGAACGAAAGCTCCATGAGAGCAGATCTTTTTGTTTGGTTCCCTGCCATATCCCCGAGGCTTACAGCAATACCAGGCACAGTGTAAGAGTTCAGTATGTATTCACTGAAGGAGAGGATGAATGGGTGTCTCCCCTGCATTGCCCAAAACATCGTATGTGCTCTCTCTCTTTCTGTTTACTTCTGTGACATTCAGGTAACTTTCTCCCAATGCTGTCCCTTCTCTTGGTCAACTCTCGAACTCAGCTCAGGGTGCGTCTCCCTGGGGAAGCTTTGTCCTGCTACTGCACTTGCTCCTCTGGCCATTCTGCACTGCTCCCTGCACACACACAAAGCACTATTGTTTCCTACAGGTTGTCCCTGAATTTCACCATTGTGATGTCCTCACTCTACTCATTTAGTAAATTAATACTGACACTTCTGTTCTTCCAGTCTTTACGCACACATTTAAAAGTTTCTTCTAATAGCTAAGAACAATGCAACTAATTATATGTACTATTGGAGACACAGCCTGGATTTTGCTTTATGCTGATGCATTTTAAGACCATCTCGCAAAATACACTATGCCTAGAAAAGGTGGACCATATGTATTGAAAATCTAAATAGCTGGAACCTTCAGTTAATCAGGGCTCTAAATTTTAATTCCCTCCTAAAAAAATGAGAAAAATTAAAACTAAGTATCAATCTTTAGAAAAGACGGCAATGTTCTGTCTTGCATCAGAACACATTTGACATATTTCCTGTCTGAATCAGAAGCCTAAAGCTCTACAGCACTAATGGCCCAAACCACCCATCTCTGCCCCACAGCACTATCTCGTATTGTATGCCCACACAGTTCCTCAGGCTCAGCCACCCCATCTCCTTGATACCTTACTTCCTCTCTGTCCCCATAGCAACTAGTCCAATGTGAAATGCACTGAGCAGGTGCTCAAGCAATGAATTCATTTATTGATTAAATAGTAATGGTGAAAATTTGCAAATGTGATCAAAGGATAACTGCAAGGCCTTTTTCAAATACCAAAGAAAGTTTAAATGATGTACTCACCAAGCAAGGAAAGTGTACACACACATATTAAAAAGATGTTCAAAAGCAAGAGTCAGAATATAAATGGCCATAGAATTTAATTAATTAAAACATCACTTTTCATAGGCACTCTAGGTGACCAGGATTCTCCTATAACTATTTTTTACCTGCTCATAGGTAGCTCTGTTAGTATTATCAAAAGCTACTTGATTAGAGGAAGAGAATGGGTGAATATTTAGTCAAAAGAGACAGGACATTATCATCTGGGAGTGGAGAGCAGAAAACTCCGCTTCTTAAGGAATTTTGAGATTGTAATAATTTTGATGGCTTCTCCATCCTGAATTTTTTTTTGTAATTACTTAATACTTGCAATTAAGCCATGGCATTGTGCAGGGTTTTAGGGATAGGGCACCTGCTTGTATTCCTGTTGTAGAATAACAGCAAAACCTGACATAAGACAGAACTTAACAAGAGTGCTATGAAATGGAACAGGCAGGGTACAGCAGGCAGCAGATAACAGGACGATGTCACCTCAAGGGGGAGTGGGAGGGCCAGAGAAAACTTCCTTAAGGAATTTCCTGGGCCATTTTATTACATGATTGCATCTTTATTCTGTCTGGTTCCCAAATATACATTATCTGTTAAAAACCACACAGTATTGTTAGGTTACTACTGAGAGTCAGCCCAGGCAGCCGGATCAATAAAAACTGGCCAAACGGCAGCAAAGCTGTTCAGAGACATGAAATTGTCTGCCAATATCCAACATCCCATTTCTAAACTTTGAAATCTGAGCCCCTCTGTTTCCTACTTAGCTTTTCCTGGGACCTCAGATCTCTTTTGTCTTCTAACATTTAACCCCTTTCAGGTTCAACTCTGCCGTGTCTACTGAAGATCTGCAAGCTGCCTTTCAAAATATACAACCAATTTATATTTGAATGGGAAAAACAGGAATTACACCCTCACCATGACTGAGGCAATAGGATGTCTCTTCACCTTGTCAGACCCACACTGCATATCCATTGATTATGCAGAGACAGCTAAGTTAATCTGTTTCTTCTGGCCTGGAAGGCTCTGCCGTACTTGCGAACAAATGACAACCAAACTCCAAACTTTGTGTTTCTAGGTTTCTGTGCTCTCAAATGCAGTGTGAATATCTGTGACCATTGATTCCTTTGGTCTTGAACAACCTAAAGTGCCCAGATTCCCACCACCTTTCACTTTTGCACACCAATAATTCCAAAAAAAAAAAAATGAATGAAAAATCTTTTGCCAAATGTGCCATGGGTATAGAAGTTACTGGCAAAACCCTCTCAGATTCTGTAATTTCCAGCCAGTCTCCCAGTGTTTATGTGGCACCTCTTGAGATCTTTTGGATGGAAGAGTTTACTGTATATCTAGGCAACATCCAACAACCTGGTCTTGTGTAACCAACTCATTTAGACCATCCTGGGCCACTTACTGTACAGCATCCTTAGAGGCCTAGAAAGGTGAGTTTGCACTTTTAAGGATAATGTTTTTGGGAATCCAAATTCCTCCTTAGGAAATTCATGTGTAAAAGTGCCACTTAGGCTGGAGAGGTAAGCTCCAAAACGTTGAGGTAATTCTATATTTCTTGGGACTTTCAGGGTATTTAGTTCCTAGATTGTCAATACAGAGCCCTAACAAAGATCCTCAAGTGGACTGACCAGTTAGTGGGTCCTCTGTCACTAGGGCAGCTTTATATTATACAACTTGGAGGCCAATTCTTACGTCCTCTGGAGCTTGATGTTCTTTCATATCATGCTAGAAGCATCTAGTTTGTTCAAAGGGCCAAGAATACTCTGGTTCTGCATGTGGGCTTTTTTTCATTAAGATTAATCCCAAAGGAATTGATAATTACGCAGTATAGGAGAAAATATCACATACCACCTGGGCAGTATCTGAGAAGTTTGCCCTGTGAGAAGGAGGAGTGTAACATCCAATGATCGTTCTGGCTGACCCAACTTTTCTACCCCACCAGTAGAAAGCAGTCAGAAGTAACACATCTTTTTTTTTTTTTTTAACTCAAACATATACCTAAGAGGCAGAATTTGTCCAAAAAGCCCTGATGTCTGACTTTTCATAATGCCCAAAAGTCAATCTCTGCCCAGACAAGTCTATAACCAGATAATCCAACCTCAGGCAAGTGAGTTCTGGCATCAGTGCTATGCTGACCCCCAAGTAGCCAACTGTCAGCCCCGGACAGCCCTAAAAGGGTGGGTGGGCCCAATCTCCAGCTGGCTATGCTGTCTTCAGTGGGCCACAGGCACGTGCTCAAGAGCCCCCTTCCCTTCTCCCATGTGACCACAGTCCCATCAGATGTTACAAAGTATCATGTGGCCTTGGATACCTTCTTTACAAGGCATCAAACATGCTATATCTTCTAAACTAAAGACTGGTAGTAATGCCATTTAGTTCTCATATTTTCAGTATCAACCTGACGTCAGGCTCTCTGATTATATACGTTGGCCCTCACTTTAGGGCCCTTGTTCTAGCTGGTAGTGACTGACACACTCATCAAAAGGGACCTTTTTAACCAAAACTGAGGATGTCTGAAACTGTAACTCCCTTCTTGAATGTTTCTTTTTTTTCTCAGTGTTGCCACTGTCTAGATGAATTTTCTTGGAAATTGTGCCCCATCTGTCATTTCTAGAGCATTTTATTTTGCACTTTATGATCCACTTGTCTTCAATTCCCCATAAAAATCCAAACCAAATGCACAAAAACACAATGGAGCAATACCTTGGGAGGTATGATTTGTACTAAGAAAGAGACCAGCCAGTCATTTTGCTGCCAACAATGCAGTTCTGCTACAATAGTGTCTTTGTTTCCAACTAGAACAGCCAGTTCTACAGCAAGTCCTTGCCACCCCAAAACTTCTTTGCATCCTTTGTTCTATTGCAGTCAATGAATACCTTGCATGACTAAGCCTATCCAGCCTGGCCTCTTTGCACCTCTCCAGCAGGCAATTAGAAAAGACATTCCCTATTTGGTACTCCTTAATATAAATCCTGTCAATCCAGTCCTTGTAGAATTTTGAATTTTCCTTTTAATTATTTTCTTTGTTTGACCTCATAATATTCTAATGATCCTTTACAGCATAGTGGTAATCCCTCATTCCATAAGGATGAAGCTTTTCACCCAGCCCCCTTCCCTACCTAGTACCTGTAACAGTTACTAAGAAATAATCCTAAATATATGGTCCTTACTAAAATCAGGAAAAAAAAATGCCTTTACCTGGGAAGCTGTTTGTGGTTCAATTCCAAGGAAAGATCCCTGATACCACATGTACACATGAAACAGCAGTACTTTTAACTGTGGCTTCATTTACTATCGGCAGATCTTGAAATTTCAACCCGCTTTATCCTAAAAGGAAGTTGAGTCCAAAACCATGGAAAACACCAAAACATTCCTGGCCCAAATCCACCACACATCTCACATACCTAATATGACATATTTGGTACAGTTCTTCAGAGCTGGAATATTTCTAGTTTTTCATCCTCCTGTCTTCATCACCAGCCCTTCTCTCCACTTCCAAACTCGGTCTCTTCCATAGGCTTTGACTTGAACTAGCCCTTGACAGCTACTCTGCTTTCTTACCCTGTACTATCACGAGACTGTGAATTTTTTGGCAATCCTCTAGAATAAACAAACGATACCAATATTTATCTGGAATAGCAACAGATTCTGTCCTTAACAAATGTAACAGTATTATTTGATTACAACAAAGCAAAACATCAATAAAACACCAGGCAGAGATAGCGCACGTCTAAAACCATTATAGCAGTGATGGTTGGCTCATTGATGAGGTCAGCATGAAAGGCCACTTTATAAGACCCTATATGCTGTTTATAAAACAAACTTTTATATTTTATTTTATTTTAGACAAAGTCTCGCTTTTTCTCTCCCAGACTGGAGTGCAGTGGCACAATCTCGGCTCACTGCAACCTCCGCCTCCCGGGTTCAGGCGATTCTCCTGCCTCAGCCTCCCAAGTAGCTGGGATTACAGGTGTCTGCCACCATGCCCGGCTAATTTTTGTATTTTTAGTAGAGACAGGGTTTCACCATATTGGCCAGGCTGGTCTTGAACTCCTGACTTCAGGTGATCCACCCACCTTGGCCTCCCAAAGTGCTGAGATTACAGATGTGAGCCACCGCGCCTGGCCTAAAATGAACTTTTAGTACTTTGGATAATAGCACTCAAAATAGAAGCATCTTTAAAAATCATCTTAAAAGTATATATCTGATAAGAACACTTTAACAATGCAATTTTAAGTTAATAATCTTATTTTTGTTTCCTAAACTAATATTAGTTAAGGACTTTTTTCAATAACTGCAGGAAGATAATTTAAATATATCTGTTTAATATTAGTAGTTTCCTAGCAAGAATTGATCTTAGCACTTTTGTTAAAAGGTGGGTCTGTTTTAATTAAATTATAAAATCCCAATGGAAATCATTCTGACTTTCAATACACTTTTTTGGTGTGTAAATCAAATAATTTACTTACTGCGAAAGAGGAAATAAGGTCACATTAAGATTCACTTTAAGTCGAAAAATAGTCCTTTTACTCCATGAATATAGTATGGCACTGCTTTTTCTATATAGTCATTCACTTATAGATATTAAATATCAAATATATGCCAACTGAATAATTTGACCAAATTAGGTCATTCATGTCAGTAAAATGTTCTTTCCTAAGTTGTTTTTTTTTTTTTTTTTCGAGATGGAGTCTCGCTCTGTCGCCAGGCTGGAGAGCAATGGCACGATCTCGGCTCACTGCAACCTCCATCTCATGGGTTCAAATGATTCTCTTGCCCCAGCCTCCTGAGTAGCTGGGACTGTAGGTGTGTGCAACCACATCCAGCTAATTTTTGTATTTTTAGTAGAGACAGGGTTTCACCCTGTTCACCAGGCTGGTCTCGAACTCCTGACCTCGTGATCCACCCACCTCTGCCTCCAAAAGTGCTGGGATTACAGGTGTGAGCCACTGTGGCCAGCCTTCTAAGATATTTTTTAAAATAATAGAGGGAAATAAGTAAAACTAAATTAAGACTATGCATACATTTGACTCTCATTGTAACATGATTTGCAAGAGAGTAAAATTTTGTATAATCTGTACACATCTCAAAGATTACCAAAAGGGATTTAGTTATTAAAATATAAAAACACTTTGACATGAGGTAGTCAAGACTACCAGACTACCTTATGCAATGGTCTCTGGTGCTTTCTTTGTCTCCCCGGCTCAATAATATTTATTTGTTTATTATTTATTTATCTATTTTTGAGATGCAATCTTGCTCTGTTGCCCAGGCCTGGAGTGCTGTGGCATGATCTTGGCTCACTGCAACCTCCTGAGATCTAGCAATTCTTGTGCCTCAGCCTGTCAAGTAGCTGGGACTACAGGTGCGCACTGCCATGCCCCGCTAATTTTTGTATTTTTAGTAAAGACGGGCTGGTCTTTACTCCATGTTGGCCAGGCTGGTCTCGAACTCCTGACATCAAGTGTTCCTCCCACCTCAGCCTCCCAAAGTGATGGGATTACAGTTGTTAGCCACTGCAACCGGCCCCCAGTAATATTTAAACTAGTAGACAAGTCTGCCCCTAACTGTTTCAGGGCCAACAGCAAGAACACAAATAGCAGTGAGCATAACAGACTACATATTTAACAGCTACAAACCAGGCAAAGAAACCCATAGGTAAAATAAGTTCTATCTTCCTTCCTTGATAAATATATATGCATAATGACCTGGAAGGCTAGGTCTGAATTTGGAATATTCACCTCCAGATTTCTAGTTAGGAACTGGGCAGTGTGTGAAGCGTTGCCTCTCCAGCCATTATCTTCCCCTCTTCTCTCCCACCTCTAAATTTATTCTGCAGCACAGGTAGCCTGTTGTTTACCTGCATGGACACTTCAGCTTGCATGTCCAAGCTCTGTTTACCTCTCCTGCATCAGTGTCCTTGGCCATCTTCACCTAGGATTTGGCACAGGGGTGACTCAGTTTACCCCCAGAAGGCAGGCCATAAAAGTAGTCTGAGGCTGTTTAGGCTAAGAATTCTGGAGATGATCTAGAGGGGGTGACAGACTTTACTTGAGCAAGCCCCATGGACTCCCTGCCCATGGTTGAGGTCAATGGCCTGAGGACAGCTAGAGCTGAACCTTCCAAGGTTCAAGGTAGGGACTCCTCTCACCTTTGAAAAGCAATCTATATGTCTATAATTATGATTCAGAATGCTGACTCAAACCACACAGATCGGAATTCTGGGACCATTATTTATTAGTTAAGAGATCTGGAAGAAGTTATACAATGCCTCTTGAATTAGTTTGCTTACCTATACAATGGGAATAACAGTATATAACTAACAGGGTTGTAAGCATTAAAGGATATATTATATTTTCAAATAATGTGTCCAGGAGGGTGCCTGGCCTACAGTAAATAATACACAAAACTTAATCGTTGTTATTTTTTAACTCCAGAACTCAGTATAGTGCCTGTCATAAAGCTGTATGTGCTTTAAGAAAGTCTGAATGAATAGTCATTAAAGGAGTTAGAATAGCTTGGATTTTTTATTAATTTTTTAAGTATTTAGTTGAAAATGACTATAAATTCCAGTTTTTGTAATTTTTGAAGTATTTAGTTGAAAATGACTACAAATTCCAGTTTTTGTAATCTAATTACAATTTTGTAAAATTGTAAAATCAATTTTAAAGTTGATACCAAGGGTAAAGAATTAGGATTACTTTTTATATTTTATTATCAACAATAGAAATCATTGTCACAGAAAGTTTGAAAACAAGACAGACTTTGAAAAATAAGATTAAAGAGTACTAAGTCTCAGCTTTTAATCTTTGCTAATGATTTGTCCAGAAGGTCAAGAGACTGCTTTCTGGTATGGTCTGGGAAAACAGAAACAAGTGTCCTTTATGGTGTAACCCACTTTTAAAAGAAAATTTTATTTCTCTAAGTTCAAATTCTAGTGAGGCTTAGAAATGATTAGGGAGAATTTGCTTAGCTGCCCAATTTTAGATTGCTCACTATTATCCTCAAGTTATCTATGGGGTCATTTACTCCAGATACTTTGTGAAGACCTACTGTGTACCAAGCATTGGACACACAAAAATACAGGCAGCTTCTTCCCTCAAGGAGGTCACAGGTGGGTGTGTCCATAGCAAAGCTGGGAGGAAGTTGTATGAGGAGCCTGAAGACAATGGGGAGCTAGGGGAAAGTTCTGAGTAGAAAGGAACATGTGGACAAAGGTTTGAAATGATGAAGACTGATTAGGAAGTTCATATTATGAAGCATAATTCAAGCTTTCTCTACGATGTTCAAATCCCATCTCTCCTACTTACTAGATAGGTGACATTGGGCAAGTTACTTATCTCCTCTGCTCCTGTTTATTTGTTTCAAAAACAGGGACCTCTCTCACAGTGTGATTATGAAGACTGGACAAGAAAATGGAGTTTGGTTTTGAATGCGTTAGGGTCTTTGCCTTTAGGCGTGTAGTGGAGACATGGTTTACACAATTTGCTGCACCTTCTGGAGGTCAGGTTTAGAGATAAATATTCTGGAGGTGTCAATGTGGAAATGGTATTTAAGACACAAGACTGGGCCGGGTGTGGTGGCTCACGCCTGTAAGCCCAGCACTTTGGGAGGCCGAGGCGAGCAGATCACGAGGTCAGGAGATCAAGACGATCCTGGCTAACACAGTGAAACGCCCTCTCTACTAAAAATACAAAAAATTAGCCGGGCGTGGTGGCGGGTGCCTGTAGTCTCAGCTACTCAGTAGGCTGAGGCAGGAGAATGGTGTGAACCCAGGAGGCGAAGCTTGCAGTGGGCCGAGATCGCACCACTGCACTCCAGCCTGGGCGACAGAGCAAGACTCCGTCTCAAAAAAAAAAAAAAAAAAAAAAAGAAAACCAAGACTGGATCAGAGAAGTCCTTAGGAGTGGGTCCTGAGCCACTACTACATTTAGAGGTTAAGAAATGAGGAAGAATCAACATCAGAGATGGAGAAGGAGCTTAAACCAAGAGAGTGTGGGTCCAAGAAGCCAACAAAACTGTTTCCAAGGAGGGCAAGGTCAACAGTGTCAAGTCACCAACAGATGATACATCAAGCAGGATGGAGATTAAGAATTAGCCATCAGATCTGGCAATGTGGAGGTTACCCTGATCTTAAGAGAGTGGACTGCAGAGGTGATAAAGAAAGCCTGCTCACAATGGATTCAAAGAGAAGGTGAGGAGAAGAATCGGAGAGAGGAGTTACGGACAACTCTTTCAAGGACTTATAGCAAAAGGAGAGAAAAAATAGGAGATAAAAAGGTTTTGCCACATATATGGATATTGCTTTAAATGATACAGTAGATAGGAGAAAAACTAATCATGCAAGGGCAGGCAGATCCTTGAAACTGAAACTTTACAAGGTATACCTGCTGTGATTCCATTGGAATAAAACAATTAACATTTGTCACGGGAAGCAGATTTACTCATGTTGTTTTTCTCTGTTCATATACATGCGTATCAAAAAGCTATTACATATCCATAC
Organism: Homo sapiens; assembly: GCF_000001405.40. Taxonomy (NCBI): domain Eukaryota; kingdom Metazoa; phylum Chordata; class Mammalia; order Primates; family Hominidae; genus Homo; species Homo sapiens. The sequence continues at coordinate 20,335,369 of NC_000007.14, read as the reverse complement.
TTTCAAAATAAAAATATTTTTAATGGAACTATAATAGAACTATTGAAAAGTAAATGGTTGAAACTGTGTCTTTCCCATTCCTCGTGTCCTTCTCTTTTGCAATTGCTTCCCTTAAAAATTGTGAACATTCTTGTTGCCCTAAGTTTCAGTTTTTAAAAAAATTCATGCTTTAAGATTAGTTACAGTGTGTTCCTCCTCCAGTAGTATTTTTATTTACTGAAATATTTTAAAATAAAATGATATGAAAAATTTCTTTCAAAATATTTAGTTGGGAGAAGGGGGTGAATTGGGTACCAGCAGGAGCACAGATGAAAGAAGTTGGCTTTGAGTTGATGGTTAATGAAGCTGGGTGATGAGTATATAGTGGTCCCTTATACCATTCTCTCTAATTCTGTATGCATTTGAAAATTTCCATTATACCATGTTAAAAACTTTAAAAAATCATAGGGTTAATACCATGGTTAACCAAAAAGAATCCATTAAGTAGTGAGATTTCAGATAATTTGGTAACAAGAGAAGAAGTTATTTTGGGGCACAGGAATTTTCCAAAGCATATCAGCTACTTTGCTGTCAGTTTAGAGGGCAAACATGTATGATTTTTAATTGATCAGAAAGTGTCTCCATTGCTTCAAGATAGAATTAATTTGGGAGCTTATTATGCAAATAATTTAGAAGGCTGAATTTTTTGTTAATGATACCTTGGTTCTTTTAAATATCCGATCACTTTAGGTAAGCATAAATAATTCTGGGAACACTTATGCTATGCAACGCTTTGAGGGGAAGTAATGATATGGTCACAAAATAATGTTAATCTAGTTGATTGTTGTTGAAAATAATAAATAATTGATACTTGAATAAACAGAAGGTGAAATTTCATTGCAATACACAGAAGGTGAAATTTGATTGCAATAATAGTTACCGCTTTTTTAAAAGAAACTGTGATATCTGAAATTTGTTACACTTATATTGCTATATAAAAATTTAGGTAATGAAAGTTCTTAATCTTTTAAAATAAGTAAATGTGGAAACAATGTTGCTACATTAACTCTTCAAATATTAACCACTAGATATACTTTATGTTTTTCTGGTTATTTATTGACCATTTTACAGTGCTATTATTTCTCTAGCTGTGGGTAATCTTCACCAGAGACAGTTAAAAAACAAACTGCTATAATTTTTGCTACATCAGAAATCTTTGGATTTGATTAATAACATCCCCCACTGCTCACTATATATTTGTTATTAAAAGTCCACTATATGTTCGAGACCTATAAATTCTGCTTTAAAAATTAAACCCAAAGTTATGCTGGTCTTATGCAGCTTCTGGTCTCTTTTGTATGGCTTTATTGCCCTCAACATTCTCCTGGTGTAAACTACTGAGCAAGGAAACAAGATTTCCATTGTAACTGATACCTAAATTTCTATTCTGCTTTAAGCATCTAATTTGCACTGTAAAGACATATAATTTGAGACTTGTAGCTATATCACAAAAGTACAGCAGTTTATGCTGATCTCTAATTTTCTGAGTTATACTGGCTATAATTTACATTTTTTGCATGTTTTTAACTGCCATGCAAATCAGTATACATCAGAAACCTTTGTATATTGACAGAGACTGGGAAAAGGATGCCTTGTTCTGATTTCAGATAAGCATTCCCTTTTCAGGTCTGCAGGTGCAAGTAGGCCCATTCATAATATTTCCTTCAAATCAGTTTTAGACACTGGGTAGAAATGCAATGCTTTTTCACAAGAGCCTGACTAATGTTTATAAGCACAGTTAATGGTTTTTAAAAATGTACTTTAAATAGTAAATTTTAGAGGCAAGTAGGACTTTTTCCTTTGCCTGTACGTTGGGAACAAAATATACTGTGTTAACACAAATTTTGGTCATTTTACTAGTGTGTATGTGTGTTTACTAAATCTAGAAAAGCACTTTATTACTTATTGAAACAGGATGAAATTATGCTTAGCGGAAAATTTGCTGCAACAAATGCATGTTTCTTCCATTTAAGAGATAACTGATAATGAATGTTACTTTTTCCTTTGCCTTTTCACTATTTTGAAATCAACAAACAAGCCAAAAAATAACCACAAGATAAAGAGATTTACTCTAATTTCTCCATTTCAGATAACTGAGCAAATCTCCCTGAAACAAATATTAGAAAACTGTATATGCAACAATTTCCTAAAGATAGCTGGATGTTTCCATATATCTCTATATCTATATATATAAAACCTACTTATAAGGTTATGATTTGACTGTTTTAATTAGCTTCAGGCAAAACCTTGACACTTTAAAGTATAGGAGTAAATTTTAACCTACAAAACAATTACAACTATTAATTAAACTCTCCTTGAGCCCAAGAGGTCAGAGAAAGGCTCTAATATAATTTAAGGACTTGGTGACCAAACAGAGAAAAAGTGAAATTAAAAAAAAAAAAAAAGAAAGTATGACAAGAGTCACTGCATTAGCAAAAATAAATGTTGGGCCTATATTGAAAACCATTAAGAACTCATCCTAAACTCATGATTCGTCCTATTACTTAGTTGTGTAATTTTCCAACAATCCAATCTGGTATACCACCTTACATTTGATTTTGTTTCATAAATCAAAAGTCCTAAAACACCTTCTCATATGCTATTTGACTTGAACTTTCCTTTGTGATTTAGAGAAGGCAGGTATTATTAATAAACCTCGTTTTACAGATGAGGACAATGCATTTCGTAAAGAGTTAACCTCTCCACATTAAGGTAGCTCTTACACAAATGGTTTGCCTGGACAGAAAGCTGTTAATCCTGGTTCAGAGTTCTTTCTGCTTCTCTGTCTCAGAGATTGATCTCAGTGAGGGATCAATTAGATAGTATTTTTTTTTTTTAAGCCGAAAGGATGATGACTTAAAGCATTAATATCCCTCCAGTGTGGGTAATTCATTCAGATTGAGCACTAATGATAGCAGAAACTTGTATGCTGTCTTTTTCTGGACTCAAAAATTGAAGACTACTCCCATTATAACCAACTTATCTACAGCCTCGAGTTAAAGGCAAGTTAGTCCTTAGTGGACCCAAATGTTAGAAAGATAGGGAGAACATTGTGTACAGACGATGCCCTTAAGAATGGACCAGGGCCCCTAAATGACTTCTGTAAACAGGACACCCTCTTTTCCAAAATTCCTTTCTATTAGGGCTTCCTCAACACCTAGGAGTAACACAGAGTGTCTCCTCTGATAATTAGTCCTTGCTGTCGCTCCAGGGCAGAAATGCTTGACACCTGGCCTCTAGGCCATCTGTGCTGGAGGACGCTGCCCCGCACCCGCCCCCTTGAAGTTCTCTGATGACCGCAACTTACCTGGCCGGGATGCTCTGGCCGGGCAGCTCTTCGTGCCAGCCCAAGACCTTTGGGGAAGAGAAGAAAACAAAACAAAACAAAACAACTTACCACCTTGGCCCAGTCCAAGAACAAGTGAAAACACCCAGGCTGCCCAGAGGAACGAGGCGGGACCTCGCCGGTCGTTTTGCAGGCAGACAAATGCAGCGGTAAAAAAAGCCAGGGCCGAGCCGCACATAATGCAAAACAGCCCGCCCCGCGCCCGCCGCCTGACTGCCTTCCGGACGCGGGCTCGCGCCTCCCGGGCGCACCTCGGGGCCCGCGGGCCGAGTGTCGCTAGGACGTTTTCCGCAGGCCTAGCAGGCGGACCCCGCGGCTCGGAGCAAGCGGTGCAGGTAAGCGGGCCCGGGCACCGCTCGGCATCTCAGGGCCCCTGCGGCCCTCCCGGCTCGGCACGGCGGGTCCCGCGGTCTCCGCGAGAAGCACCTCCTTCGACGGCCAAGGGCCCCGGCGGCGACTGGAGAGAGGGCTCTGCAAGGGCTCCGCAGCCTGCTCCGGGACAAAGAAAAGAGCTTTTGTTTCTCTCCAGCCGGTGGGGCTTCTGCTGCATAAATCAGCTTAGCGAAGAGCCAAACACAATCAAACCCAAACAAAGCCCGAAGCTGGGGGGGAAACCACCCTAATGTACATTCACTGGGTGATGCTGGATCTGTGGGAGGGGACGCCGGCGAGGTCGAGGGGAAAAAAGTCTGTGGCGCATCAATCAGCGCAGTTGCTTCCACAGGTGGGCAGGGAGGCCAACACCATTAGTTGCAGCTTTGCAGCCCCGTCTGCGGAGCAGCGGGCAAAGACAAGTCGGCAGCGTCCTGGCTGGCAAGGGAGGAAGCTCGGGATGCCAGCAACAGGGGGAGGCGGCTCTGGGAGCGCCCTAGAAGCACCCGCCGACACCCGCAGGCACAGAGCGAGGCATCGCCGCTCCCTCCCTGGCGGGGAGTGGGGCCTGCGGCTGCGAGCGCAGGAGGGGAGGTTCCGCGAGGTGCCGGAGCCCGGCTTCGCGGGGCGGGGGCTGCGTGCCCTTGTCCTTTTCGCCTCAGTGCGCGGCTCAGGCGTCCCGCAGTCCAGAGCCCGAGTTGCTGGCGCGCTCTGGGGTGCACACGGCTAGGATGCGAGAGAGGCGAGGCCGGCGATGGGCGGGAGAGGGGTGGTCCTGCTCTGGCCCCCCGGGGGGCTCCAGACCTGCGGGTAGCCGGGTGCACTCAGGGCAGAGAGTTGCTAGGAAACCTCCCCACGCTACCGGAGCGCCTCGCCTCGGCTGCCCGCAGGCGCGGCTGCAGCCCGGGCAGGAGCAGCAGTAACAGCTCGGAGCAGCGTGGGCGGGACATTGGTGAGGCATGAAGTCACCGCGGCCCACACTCGCTCTTTGTTTTGCTCACTCCAGCTCTTTCTTTTCCCCCTTGGCTCTGATAGTTGCCATTCCCATCGTTCACAAGAACTCCTGAAGCGTAGCCGCGCAACAGGAATGGCACGCCTCGTTCCCTTCTCCCTCCTCCCCCGAATCCTTGCACCCCAACGCTCGCGGGGGTGGTGGGAGACTCGCTCAGCGCCAGCGGCAGCTGCGAGCAAACCCCAATCTCTCACCCCCGCGCTGCTCGCCGCTTTGTTCGGAGATACTCACTGCCCCGCAGCTGCTGCATACAAAGTGGAGTCAAGGGACCTCCCCTGCCCCCAACGCCCTCTACTCAGCACTTTGCTTGCAGTTAGGAGCTCGTCCTCTACCCCACCACAAGGCTGCCCCGGTGTCCCTAGCCTTTGGAGAGTTGGACCAGTCTGCAGGGGCTGTTCCCGGAGCGACTGGCCGAGATTTCTCGCTGCTCCTTCTCTGCTCAAAACCTTAACCCTGGACTGGACAGCCCTGTTTTTCCCCAGCGTCTGGTGGTGGCTCTGGGCTTTTGCAAGTTACAGTGGGTCTTTTGATCTTAAGCGTCACCTTCCCAGTAAACGGAACAAAAAGTTACAGACAGCAGCAAAGCGGGGAGAGGGGAGCTAAGGAGAGAAAGTGGAAGGCACTTCTGCCTGCTTGCAGCTCAGAAATTTAGGTGCAAGTAGGGTGCGGGTGTTATGCTGGGCAACTGCCCGGAAGCAGCGCGCCTCCTCGGGTCCTGTCATTACCACGCTAAGTCGAGGGAGGGAACTCAGTCCCCCGCATTGGAAACAAGGCAGTGTTTCCAGTTTAACACGGTGATGGTTCTCTTTTCCCTCTAGGGGCAGGAGCGATTCCCATTCGAGGAGTTTGACCTCTCATTTTAATACAACACCCGCCTCTTAGAGGCAGCAGACCAGTCCAGCCAGGTCAAGGTGAAATATGCGGGAGTTTCCCCCCTTCTTATTTAATAGTTTCCGTCTCCTTATTTGTAGTTAAAAAAAAAAAAAAAAAAAAAGTAGGAGGCGCGGTCTCTCTCTTTCTTTCTGTTGACTGAGTGAATGGAAAGTACCTGGTTAATAAACCACAACATCGAAACTCCCCCTTTCAGGTGTGGACCGCACAACGGGGTGCACAGGATTAGTTAAGCAAAGCAGGAACCCAGCTGGAAAATTAAACGAGCCCTGGATCTGCAAAGCAGGTCCCTTCGCGAGACCAAAGCCGTGATCCCAACCTTAGCAACATAATTCTACTGGAGGTGATGTACTCTAAATAAATAGAAATAAATCCAGCTCCGCTTTAATATTTATTTCCTTTCCTTAGTTCCAAGTTTGAACAGTTATAGTTTTGTTTTTTGGTTGTCTTAAAGGAAAGGCCTAAAAATTAGTTAGGATGGGTGTGAGGACTTGAAAATTTGAACACAAAAATATCATATTCAATATCTGATTAGTGACTCTTCCATTGGGCAGCCTGGGTATTTTCCAGGGGTTATGTCACAGACCTACTGAATGCAGCCACCCTTGAGACATGCAGTGCTTCAATCAAAAAAAAAAAAAATTAAATCCCTAATTCCCATAAGGACATGTCAATACACTTTAAAGTGTCTATCATATCACCATTCCATAATATTCTAAAATACAACTCTTTGTTGCTGGGTTGTAAGTGGCAGTTACAGTAATAAATAAAATATAAATGTATGCAAACAAGAAAGGATGTAACTTTATGAAATTGATGAGGTATGCACTAATTTTTGTAACTCTGTTTTTAGGTGTTGATATATATACTAATCCAGAACAACCATGTAGCAAGAGGAATAAAATGAAGTTCAGAAGTCTGTTTCGGGAAATTTTGAAGCCCTTTAGAAAGAAAGATTTCTACATTTTGTTACATGAAATTCATGCAAATATATGTCAGGTGCCAGTGCTATGGAGTTGTTGAAGAATAAGCACAATACCATTTATTACCACTTCTCAGTTGTAAAGAGGCTGTAACTCTGGTTGTCGAAATAAAATAAAATGAAATCTCCTAGATGTGACACTGTGACCCCTGCCAGTTATTTACAAACAAGTTATCTGCACATTTTGGGCTGTAAACATAAAAGTAAACTCTCTGAAAGACTGCAAATCATCTTTAGGGTTTTCTTAAAGTAAATACAACTAGTGGCCCAGGAACCAAAAGTTTGCTTGTTTCCAGTTAATGTCACTGGTCACCATAACTCACCCTTTTTCCTATGAGGAAATGTACAGCATATTTTAAAGAAATGCAGTATTGTTATCTTCGTCATATTACCTGAAGAATTCTAATAAAGGAAAAATGTTTCGGAAGATGGTGACTTGATTAATTTGTTTTTCCATCATGTTCTGCTATATTGCTTTGAAATTTCTGACAGCTAATTTTTCATCATTTGTGGTAATGAGAGGAAATGAAATTCACAGATAGTCTAAAAATAACATTTTAGTTATTCATTCCAGGCTTCCTATCATTAGAGTCTTTGAGCTGAGTTACTAAAAAGTCATAAAATTAAATTACTTAAATTTCTTCCCTACTCCTTTAACCTTGATTTCTCACTAAGTGAGTTTATGGTGAGAATGAATAAGCTATAGATAGGTAGCAGGAGTGAGGGAGACACTCAGACTGTTTTTTAAGAAATGGAATCTTGCTATCTCACTATGTTGCCCAAACTGGCCTTGAACTCCTGGTTCAAGTTTGAACTCAAGCTATCCTCCCACCTCAGCCTTCTGTGTAGCTGGGATTATAGGTGTAAGACACCACATACAGCTGTGGCTATTCACACTTTAACTAGATGTGCCCAAATTATTGATCTCATAGTGGCACCTACAGACACATTTGAATTTTAATGTTACATCTTTTTGAAGTTGGGATCAGAGCCATTCAGTACGTTTTGGGTGGGTATTCACAAGTTATCTATAAGCTTGCCTGAGACATCTCAGAAGATGATTAATGGTCAGACCAGTGAGATATATTATTGTGACTATGACCTCTAGCTTCTTCTAATGATAAAGTACATAAATTGCTTGAAGGTATTTTTCACTGAATTGTTACATAAGACAGTGTTTCTCATACTGTAGACTGAAGACTGCATACAACACAATCCCCCATAGAGTAATTCTGAGTTCTAATTCCTTGTCTCTATTCCAGGAGATTCTGAATTAGTAGATCTTGTATGGTGCTCAGCAATCTGCATTATACCAAGGTCCTCAAATGGTTTTTATATGCTCTGAAGTTTAAGAACTTCCTACTTTAATGGGTTAATACAGAGACTCCTTAAAGGCCTCATGAGTGTTTAATAACAGAGATCAGTGTCAGGTGCAAATTCAAAGAAAAATGAACTGCTGGAGCCAGTGTCTCTTGCCAAGATAGTTTATGGATGACTCAATCTGTGAGATATTAATGTTTTCTGAAACAAGACTTCCATGATTAAGCTTGGGAAATGCTGAATTAAAGTCAAATTAAATCCCTTACTAGAGGAATTTCCGGAAACTCAATAGAGCAGCATGCCATTAGATTCTCCAAAGGAAGAAACCTGTATGAGAGAACATCTCACAGATTAATTTTCCTCGAAGCATGCTACAGAGCTAGCCCCATTTTACAAATGTGGAAACTGAGACAAAGACTGGCAAAGAAACCAACCTCACTTTTTCAAGGGAATTCATGAGCAGGCAGAAATCAGAGCTCTGATTCTCCTCAATTATCTCATATTGTGATGACTTCTAGTTTCAAGTAAAGAGTCAGATTATGGCTGTTCTAAGTAAAAAAGGAAACTATTGGCTGGGTGTGGTGGCTCACACCTGTAATCCCAGCACTTTGGGAGGCCAAGGCAGGAGAATCACCTGAGGTCAGGAGTTCGAGACCAGCCTGGCCAACATGGCAAAACCCGTCTCTACTAAAAATGTAAAATTAGCCTGGCATGGTGGCACACACATGTAGCCCCAGCTATGTGAGAGGCTGAGGCATGAGAATTGCTTAAACCCTGGAGGTGGAGGTTGCGATGAGCTGAAATTACATCACTGTACTCCAGCCTGGGTAACAGAATGACACACAGTCTCAAAAAAAAAAAAAAAAAGGAAATTCTTGAAAGAAAATTGGGAGCCCACAGAATCACAGAATCAGCAGGAAGCTGGGAGACTACGACTAACCAAGGCCAGAAAACACGGAGGCATAAGCAGTAGCAGGAAGTGTCTAACTCTTAAGAACAACTTTGAATCCTCCCTTTGCTTTGGATCACTTGCTCAAGATTCAAAATCCTTGTTGGGAATATCTAGTTTTCAGAATTTTCATCATATGTTAGTACACTGGCTTTCTGGGTGTGGGAAAAGGAGAGAAGGGGCTCTCATCTTCAGCTTTCTTGGTAGAAAATATGGGTACTTTTGAATGAAACATTTTATCCGTGCATAGTCTAATCCTGTGCACAGACCCTGTGCATAGTGTTATCCTTTTATAGCATGCAGTAAAATAATACTTGTTTAGTCTTTAACTCATCGTCAGAAAGATGATGTCCCTGGCTCACCACTTCATCACATACAACTGGAAGTCTGTGTGCTAGAAGTGCTAGGGAATGAACAACATTCCTGGGTGCTGTCTTAACTGTGCACCAACCAGATGGGAAGTGAGGTATAAATACCCCAGCTCCCCTGTTTCTTGTATGAAGTCACTTTAGGCCTTGTGTTCTACACTATTTTTGAGCTAGTTTTTAATTTTCAATCTATCATGGATTGATACTTAAATAACATAAAGTAAAAATGAATTATTGGAAAAATGGGTATCACTAAAATGTCAAATTGCTATAAAAGTTTCTTAGTACTTTTAATTTTTATACATTCTTTGTCCTGGGCCAGTCTCAAACAGTAGAAGGACTGGTACTGCCACACGTTACATTTTGAGTAATATTTAGCACCATTTTCCAAAGTTCCCCTGTAGGAGTAAGCTATACTTGGTCACAGTGATAATTGCATTCAAATAGATCCTTCGTTGGTTGTCTTTCCTTCCTTCATTTCCCTGTGACCCCCAATATTTCCTGGTGTCAGGGTCCTCTTCTGGAGAAAACTACATTAAGACAAGCAATAAATGTGACTGGAAACTAACCGCTGGTGTCCTGCCTGTATGAATTTAAATTCTTTTCTTGTCTGGCTATAAGACAACCACAGTGCAAAAAAGCACATGGGCTTTAGAGTCTTATGAAGTAAATTTGAATCTGCTACCCACTAGCTATAGAATCATAGGTAACTTATTTAATTTTCTGCAGCCTCAACTCATTTATGTAATGACTATATTAAAACAACTATCAAAATTACCAATTAAAATGAAGTATCACTACACTCCTATTAGAACAGCCAAAATCCCAAACACTGGTAATATCAAATGCTGACAAGGACATAGGGCAATCCGAACCATCATCACTGCTGGTGGGAATGCCACTTTGGAAGATGGTTTGGCAGTTTCTCACAAAACTAAATGATCCAGCAATTGTGCTCCTTGGTATTTACCCAAAGGAGTTGAAAGCTATGTCTACCCCAAAGCCTGCACATGAATATTGTACCAATTTTATTCATAATTGCCCAAACTTGGAAGTAACCAAGATGTCCTCAGTAAGTGAGTAGATAAATAAATTGTGGTACATCCAGACAATAGAATATTACTCAGGACTAAAAATAAATGAATTATCAAGCCATGGGATGACTTGAAGGAAGCTTAAATGCATATTACTAAGTGAAGGACACCAACCAAAAAGTCTAAATGCTGTTTGATTCCAACCCTGAGACATTTTGGAAAGGCAATCTGATGGAGACAGTAAAAAGATAGTGTTTACCTGGGACTTGGAGAAGGAGAGATGAATAGGTGGAGCGTAGAAGATTTGCAGGGCAATGAAACTACTCTGTATGGTACTGCAGTGGTGGAATCATGGCATTATGCATTTGTCAAAACCCATGTAATGCACAATACTGAGTGAACCCTAATGTAAACTATGGACTCTGGGTGATAATCATATGCCAATGTTGATTGATCGATTGTAACAGATGTGTGATGTTGATAGTGGCTGAGCCCATGTGGCGGCAGGGAGTATATCGGAACTCTGTACTTACCCCTTAATTTTGCTGTGAACCTAAAAGTGCTCTAAAAATTAAAGTCTGTAAAATACAAACACACACCACACAAAACTACCCTGTAAAATAATTGTAAAAAATCAAAAGAGGTCATGAGCGAAACATGTTAGAATTCATCATATATTATCCCAAGGATTTTTGCAATGGTAATTAGGACTATTTTAATTTCATAATATAAACAACCTTGAAAATACATGAATACTTATTTCAAGACTTGCATATTGTCATAAAAATAACATCAAATATCTTTGGTTTTGCTGAATACATAACTTTTCCTTTTCTGGTAACTATACTATTCTTTACTCACATGAATAGATGTAGTGAGCATGTCTTTTTATAGAAGTCTGTAATCCTAGCATTCTTTATGACAATCTAGTTTTATGTCTCCTTAATCAAACAAAATTGTTCCACAATCTTTTTAGTCTGAAGTCATCTCTGTACAGTTTGATATACAACTGCATGAAAGCTTCACTTACTTGTATGTGCCAGAGACACATACGCTTAATACTGCCTTTTATTTAAAATTTAACATGTTTACACTAATATGTAGCTAGGGGGGTAAATGAATATGCAATAAGTATTAAGTATTGCTTTATTGCTCAGATTTCTAAATGGACAGCAGTATAAAGGACCAACAGCTGGTTCTCTCAAATAGAGGTATCAGCAGACATTATAAAGACAACATTTCACCATTGACATAGTTCATCTGTTGAGCCACCGTGGAATGTGGACTGATTTGCACATCATTACACAGCTAAAGGCCTTTCTGAACTTCAATAACTCAGAGGGAGCTCACAACTAAAATTCTCCCTTTCAGCATTTTCTCATGATCGCATAGCCTCTGGAGAGTGAAGTCACTACAAAATTTAAATTATTCTAATCAAATTCACATGGAATTTTTATACTTGGAATACTGCCATTCTCAGCCCCCTTCTCCAATTTCAAAATTACTTCATGTTTCACCTTGAAGAATGTGACCTTTTAACATAGTGAGGAAATTCTTTGCATTTTAGGCACAGGATATTCAATTTAAACATTCATTTAATAAATATGTAAATATTTATTGAACATTTACTATGTGTAAAGTGATGGGCCCTATGGAAAACACAAGCATCAATAGAACCCAATCCCTTTTTTGAAAGATACTATAATCTGATTTGGAAACAATATGTAATAATAATAAAAAAGATGACTCATTTGGTAAATTGTTAAAAGTAAGATAGCTCAGAAATAGAACCCAATATTAATAGCAATTTAATATAACGTAAGTCATGCTTCAAAAATCAATGAAGACGGGATAAATAATACATGGTGTTGGGACAATTATTAGCTACTTGGACAAAAACTTAATCTAGAAACTTCCTTTATATCAAAATATATTCATGATAAACTAAAGAACTTAGTGTAAAACTAGGACACAATATAGGTCAGTATTTTCTGGCGTTGGCAATGAAAGTTCTTTCTACATGTAAAAATAATTTATCCAATTTAAAGAAAACAAATGGACACATTTGATGATACTTTTTTTAAACCTTAGGTATTTATAACTATTGCAGAAATGGGTGAAAACACATACCATAGAATATGCTCATACAAACGTATAAGAAAACATTACAATAGATAAATGTGTAAAGAGGATAGGGAATACAGATGCTTAAAGAAATGGAAAAAGCCCAGCTTTACTAGTTACCAAAAAAATACTAATTTAAGAAATGAGATACTATTGGTACCCATCAAATACTCAAAGACTTTAAAAAGCACGGTGGCTCACGCCTGTAATCCCAGCACTTTGGGAGGCCGAGGTGGGCAGATCACGAGGTCAGGAGATTGAGACCATCCTGGCTAACACGATGAAACCCCGTCTCTACTAAAAATACAAAAAAGTAGCCGGGCGTGGTGGCGGGCGCCTCTAGTCCCAGCTACTCAGGAGGCTGAGGTAGGAGAATGGAGTGAACCCGGGAGGCGGAGCTTGCAGCGAGCCGAGATGGCGCCACTGCACTCCAGCCTGGGCAAGAGTGAGAGACTCCGTCTCAAAAAAAAAAAAAAAAAAAAAAGACTTAAAAAAATGACAGTATTTAGTGGTAGCTAGGTTAAAATAGGAACTCATTTATAGTGAAATTGTAAATTGGCCCTAACTTTTTTTGTAATCAGTTGGCATTATGTAATAAAATCTTTAAAATATTTGAAATACAATTCCCATATCTGGGAATTTAGTCCTCTGAAGGTTCAGAAATATAAGAAATTTATTTATAAAGATCTGCTTTTCAGCATGATATACAATTGCAACATAAAATGAAAACAATATTTTTGGCCATTCGAACCCTTTTCAACCTAAAGTAGCAGGGAAGTCTATCAAGATTTTAAGTGTACCACAGGTATCATTGTTCCCTTTTACAGATGTATGCTAGACAACCCCTGTCTTTCATTAGTTTACAAATTATATTAATCGTGTCTTAGTGAAGCATCTGAAATCTTTTCTATTCCCTTTACCCTCTTTACTCCTTAGTAAAACTTCATAGTTCAGGCTTTTTTTTTTTTTTTTTTTTTTTTTTTTTTCGGGAACTCTTAGCCCTCCTTTCTCCACAGTAGTAGGAGAGTTTTCCTTTGGAGACAGAAATCTAAGCTTTTTGTCCTCTTCTTAAACCCTTCTATGGTTCGTTTAATGCCACTCTCCAACCTTTCTCCTAGGCCATGAAGAGACCTTTAGCATCAGCTATGAAACCTTGGACATTCTGGCCCCAAATCACATTCCCAGTACCCTTTTCTATGAAATCCTCTGCCCTTTCTCAACTGTGTTTACCCTAGGCTCTTCAGAAGAGAATCCTGGTTTTCTATAAGCACTTTCACTTACCTTTTCATAGGCTTCATTCTTGGCCAGACATGTTTTTTCCTCCACTTTTTTTTTTTCCTCATTTGTCCTACTTGATTGTCAAGCATCATTTCTATTGCCACTTCTGCAAGGTCTTTTCAAATTCCTCTGGGCATGATTTACAATGTCTTTCCTTTTAAGTCATTAAACATTTTCTCATTAAAAAAGTAATATGTTTTTATTATAGAAAACATTACATTTTCGTGATGAATCTTATTTGCTTTATTTTTATGTACCTGTGTTCATACTAGATTTATCTTTTTTTGTTGTACTTTTTGTGATTATCTTTCTATGTTACATATTATTCCATAGTGGCTGTGGCGCCTAGTATACTTAAATATGCTGTGTGATTGCACCAGATTCTTGGCAGTGAAATATATTTAGTGTACTCAAATTGGGCAATTTGAGGAGAATTTTCTGATAACCGTGGGATAGGGTGTTAGTGATAGCACAGTATCCCTGAGTTAGAAACAGTGTGCATGGGGGCAGGGCGCAGAACAGAATGCATCACTATCCTTAGGCTTCAAAAGACGAGAGAAGCATATATTACTGAACCTTAGGGAGATTGAGTTATGTGAAGAGGGCCACGTGAAAGGCTGTTTTACCGTTTTACCTTTGTTCAAGAATGGTGGCCAGCCTGAGGCTATCTGCGGAAAGGGGACAGGGAAAATAACTACTCCTACTTCATTCTTCTTCTCATCTTCAATTTTATCAAGACGTACCATTAGTAAAGTTCATACCAAAGCCAGAAGGTAGTGGAGCCACAGTCAGAGTCTTAGGAAGGCTGGTCTCTTATAGCGGAGGGCAATTGGAGAGAGAAGCTGGTGGGGCAAACAGAAGACACTTGACATACCTCAATGTTGGAGTGTGTTCTGTTTATAGTTTTTGGCCATTTTATTAATAAACATATTTGCATGCATCTTTATCCAAATTTTTTAATATTTAGGATTCTTTTCTTAGGAAAAGTTCCCAAGGTAAAATTACTGGGTCAAAGGTTAGATACATTCTGAAGGCTCCTAACACTTACTGCCAAATAGCTTTGCTTTTCCAAGAGATTGTACAAATTCATCCTCCAACCAGAAAACCACGAAAGCACTTTTTAATTATATTTTAAACCCTGGGGAATGTAACCCTCAGGAAAAGCTTTCTGACAACGAGTAAGAAAGAAAGGGTGGGTGTGGTTGGGAGGACAGTTGCTAGTCTGGAGTTAGAAGAAGATAGGGCCAGCCAAAAGACCCAAAGAAATAAGAATTAAAGGACTTGATGAGACGCTTTGTCCAGTTAAGATCCCAATGCTGGGGATGGATTGTGTACTTTGAAATGGCTTTTTAAGTTAGCCTTCCAGCAGGAAACAGAAAGCAGACAAACTGAGTAGTTGAGGACTGTAGGGAAGGTTTTAAGAAAAGGAACAACCGGTGGTATATTCCTCTGGGACTTGTAATAGTGGAGAACCTTAACATCCCTGGCTTGGAGGAACAGTAAAAGACAATATTTCAAGGGACACACACATACACTCACACATGGGGGATGGGGGGCTGTGTAAGGAGGAACTCCAAATAGGAAGAAGGGATTAAATCAATGGACCAGCAGGGGGAAAGTGGGGCAAATAAATGCCCTGACTTGCATTTCTCTCCACCCTCCAAACTCCTGCCAGTGCTCCCAGATGGGCCAAACTCAATGGAAGCTAGAGGTAAAGTAGTCCTTTAACGCATTCTATACCAGCCAGCTTCCTGGGGGCACAGAGTGGGTAGAGAAGGAAACTGGATGGGCAAATGGAAACTATCCAACAGATTTAGGTTTAAAGGATATCAGATGGCCAAGGGAAAAGAAATTAGCTTTATTAAGGTACCCATAATCTATCTTGGCAAGGTTAGCAAAAGAAATACAAAAATTGCTAGTCTAAATTTTACATATTCAATTCATCATTAAGTGTTTGTATTTTTTGCTAACTAAGGTCTGTTTGCTCCCAAATATACTCCTAATTTTTCACCTGGACTCTTTGGATCTTCTTGATTGACTAGAAAACGCAAGTCCCAGAATCAAATACAAAGAATGAAAGTGAAGAAAGAGAAACAAAGGCCATTGCGTAGTTCTAAAACCCTGTTGTGGAGACTAGCAAACTGACAGTCCACGGACCAAATGTGCCCAGTAGATCTTTATTTGGCTCTCATAGCATCATTCCACAGAGCGGTTTAAAAATTGATAAATTTTGTGTAAAACTTAAATATCAGGATGTTTCATAAAGTCCTAGTTTCAGCATCTCTTAATCAGGATATTGAGCACAACTGGGCCTGCATTTCTTCAAGGCAATGAGCTGGAGCTGTTTATCTTCCACCCACTTAAGAAGGGGTCCGAGCTCTCCGGTTTGCTACAACCCTCACCACTCTCTGTTGTCTTCTCAAGAGTCAGTAACCATTTTTTTTGTGATCATGTTACTGCTTTTCATGTACCCAGGCTGAGTTCACTGGTGTATGTTACACGCCCAAGTCCTACAGTCATTTAAGTCTGTGATCCCTGCACTAGTGGCTCACGGACAAAGGGAGCAGTGCCCAGCCTCTGATTCTTTATTTCCTTAGATCAACTCAACATTTAGCATCGATTCAGCAGGAATTATACTATTGTCAATGAAATGTGGCATAACGAAAATTTCTAACAACCTCTCTGTATTTCCTTTAGCCAAATAGTGATTGCCTGTTATCTGATCTGTGTTCTAGCTCTTATCAGTTTCCATCGTACCTCTTAACTCTGTATTTTATTCAGCCTACAGGAAGAAGTTTCAAGTTATAATAGCTTCTCTCCTGTTACATTAGATTGGCTTTTATAAAACTGAAATTTTCCTATCTTTTGAGAACTCTCTTTTTCTTGATGTTCAATTGATTTTGAATCTTCCAAATATACTCTGCTGTAGCTCTATGAGACTGACATTTTCTGATTTTCAGGTGTTATTTATTGAATTACTGGTTCTCTTGAGAGAAAAACTTGCATTTCTTCTAGTTAATAAATTTCACTGAATCCTGTTATGACACCTGTTTTTAACTTACCCACTTGGGCCGAGCCTAGCAATATCTTCCTGATGCTCATTATTGCCTCAACTTTTTTTTTTCTTTTTTTCTTTTTTTTTTTTTTTTGAGATGGAGTTTTGCTCTTGTTGCCCAGGCTGGAATGCAATGGCACAATCTTGGCTCACTGCAACCTCTGCCTCCCGGGTTCAAGCGATTCTCCTGCCTCAGCCTCCTGAGTAGCTGGGAATACAGGCACGCACCACCACACCCGGCTAATTTTGTACTTTTAGCAGAGATGGGGTTTCACCATGTTGGCCAGGCTGGTCTAGAATTCCTGACCTCAGGTGATCCACCTGCCTCGGCCTCCCAAAGTGATGGGATTACAGGCATGAGCCACCGCGCTGGGCCTATTGCCTCAACTTTTATCAAGAAAAGTCCGACAGTCCTAGATCTTGCCCAGTTGGTTTTTGGTCTCAAAACTAAGTAAGAATATGACTTTTCATCATGGACACTGAGGGCAGTATGAGAGAGGTGCTCAAGAAATGATGTATTTACAACTGGGCAAAATCAAGTTCTGTTGTTTATAGAAAGTGTTCAGTAAGACATTAGGCTTAGTACCTTTAAGAAACTATTAAAAGTGCTGTTTAGAATATTAGAAAGATTATAAGATAACAATATTTTGAAGCGCTTAAGGGGTCAGTTAAAATTATTTTAGATATTCTGTTTGACAGCAAACAATGTATCTCTAGAAAAGGGAGATAAATAACAACTGGAAGCATAATTACCATATAGCCATCCTTTGGAAGGATACCAGAGCTCAAAACACCATTCCAAACACCTTACTCTGTCTTGGTAAAATAGTTTTAGTGGTAAGTTAAGGAGTATTGGAGAAAAACTATTATATACTGGAAAAGATAATTTAGAAGTGGCCTGAGGAAATTCAGATGGAGACATCCAGAAGGCAATTGGAAATATAGTTCTGAAACTTAAAAAGGGAAGTATGAGCTGTCATTATAGATTTGAGAGTGAAAATATGCTCATGCTTTAAGTACATCTTATGTGCCAAGGCCTAGGCAAAGCATTTTCTATTCATTGTATCTTTTAGTCCTCAAAGGTAATTATGATCCCAGTACTATTATTATCACTGTTCTTTAGAGGAGGAAACTGAGTTACAAGGGTAAAATTATATGCACAAGATCACATTGTAAATGGTGGGCTTAGGATTTAAAGCCAGGCAATGCGATTCAACAACCTATGCTCACAATTATGACTGCTTTCCAGCACACATGGGCACTTACTCTGTATACTTAGCACTCAAAACTATTATAGATATTCAGCTTTCTCTGTTGTAGATAATGAGCATTAATATGACATTAAGAATTCTTTCCGGCTTTGGCTTTAATGGGAAAGAGTTAAAAAGTTACAATTTGATAATTATTGAGAAATTTATTAAATTGGTGTTTTCCTTCGATGACTGGATTTTGAAAACAAAAACATAGTTTTGATTTTTTTCTTTTTACCACAAATGTAATAACATGTTCAGAAAATCTCATTGTCATGATAAAATAACACATTTTACTGAGGTAATTATTATAATAACAGGCTATTTCACATTTTTTCCTCTCCACCCAAGTCATTTTGTTTTTAATGAGCCGACTTTTATCTGCTTAGCATCTGAGGCAGATGGCAGGACAGTTGCCTAACTGCCGTTTTTTTTTTTTGGTTGGGGAGCGAGGTTAAGTCCTATGCAGAGAGGGAGATAAACCTCAGCAGAATAACCGACTATCAGTAAACTATTGTCATCATCTTGAACTATGTAAATATATAAATTATTTGCTTTAGCTTGACACTCCAGTAGTAAAATTCTAAGAATATTGAGTAATGTTTTTTATATCCATCTTAGGTAATTAATGGAAAATCTAGTAAACAGAGCTTATTTTATTGGTGAAGAGGTGCACGGCAGACTGAGCTTATTATGACAGAATTGTTTAGCATTTACTAAAAAATGGTACTACTTAGTGGCTTGACAAGAAACAATTAATTCTTAAGGTTTGCTTCCATCCCAAATAAGTGTGCTAGAATGAAGGAAGAGTCCAGCTCAGGTCTTTTTCTTGCCAGAATATGGCAGACTAAGAGCAGAGGACTATGTAAGGCAGAGGTTTTCAGTAGGGGAATGGAGCCAACAGAATTACCCACTGGGATTTTTCAATTTTGTTTTCTAGATTTCCCCAATCTCCCCTTTGTGACCTAACCTGAAACGGGTTAGGAGTCACAGTCTCCAGGTGAGAAGTGGCCAATGCCTCAGTTCTCATGCTTAGCTACTCATTAAAATAAACTAAGAAGCTTTTAAAAAATACTAGCATCCAGTATCTCTAAAATCAGAATCTCCAGAGTTGGGGGTTGAGCAGTGATATTTGAAAAAAAAAAAAAAACAAACAAAAAAACAAACAAACAAAAAAAACAAGCAAACTAACAAAAAAAACCCTTGCCAACTTATTCTAATTTGTAGCCATGGTTGAACACCACACGCTTACTTGTTTTAGTCCATTTAGTCTGCTATAACAAAAATCCTTAGCCTGGATACTTTATAAACAACGGGAATTTATTTCCCATAGTTCTGAAGCCTGAAAAATGCAAGATGAACATGTCAGCTGATTCAAAGTCTGATGACAGCCTGCTTCTCAGAGATGGTGCCCTTTCACTCTGTCCTTGCATGATGGAAGGGGAAAAAAAGTTTCCTTCAAGCCTCTTTTAAAAGAGCACTAATCCCATTCGTGGGAGGCCTCATAACCTAATCTCATCCTAAAGGCCCCACCTCTTAATATCATCACATTGTGGATTAGATTTCAACATATGAATTCTGGAGGGACACAAACATCTAGGCTGTAGCAGTAGTGTAGGTTGAAAATCCTGATATTCTAACCTCCCCTTCCCCCAGCACACACTATTTCTTTAATTCCTGGTTGAGAACCTTCAACCTTCATGATGATGAAGACATTCGTGAAAACCGAGTACCTCATTGCTGGGGACCAGAGCTAGGTCAGAGTCTCTCAACCTTGGCCCCCATTTAGGCTTTGATGGTTCTTTGTTGCAGGGGAGGGGTCGTGCTGTGGACGGTGGGATGTTTAGCCACACCTCTAGCTTCTAACCATTTAGATACCAGTTGTACCCTTCCCCCCAGTTGTGACAACCATTAAATGTCTCCAGACATTGCCAAATGTTCTGTGGGAAGCAAAATCTCTCCTGATTGAGAACTGCAGACTTAGCCAATTAACTAAAGCAGGACCCAGTAAGTCAGTCTGGGCTGGGGGTGGATCTGGCTGGATAGAATATGAAATCCTTAAATGCAAACTGGAATGCATGAAGGTTTACGTGGGGCTTTACATTTTATCTGAAGAAGATGTGGAAGCATTTGGAATTTGTTCTGTTATTTATTGCTATGTAACGAACCACTTTAAAATTTAGTGGCTTAGAACAGTGACAACATAAATTGTATTCACAAATCTGAAATTTGGCCAGGGTTGGGTGAAAGAGCTTGTCTTTTGTCTACTGGGGTGGCCCAAAAGCTGGGGGCTAGAATTATCTAAAGTCTCACTAACATAGTGGTTAAAGGCTGGCTGTCAATGGAGATTTCAACTGGATCTATGACTGAAAGACCTACATGTGGCCTTTTCATGTGGCTGCTTGGCTTTCTCACAGCATAGTGGCTGGTTTCCTAGGGCCAGCATCCCAAGGGAGCCAGGAGGAAGCTGTATTGCATTTTATGAATTGGCCTTAGAAGTCACATAGTGTCACTTCTACTGTAGTCAAAAGTTCACCCGGGTCCAAGAAGAGGTAACGTAAATCCCATCATTTGGTGGAGACATGTCAATGTCACCTTATAGGAAGAGCATATAGGATGGTATGTACTGGTGCTGTCATCTTTGGAAAATACAATCTACCACAAAGTTGAAAAAGCAGATCACACAATTGCTTACCTAGGGTCTACAACAGTGCTATCCAGGATTGCTCAAAGGAACACCTGTGTCAATCAGCTGGGGTATATTCATTTGAAATGCCAATTTCTGGACCTTTCTTTCAAGGATTTTCATTTGGCAAGTCAGCCGTGGACATCTGGTGTTTGGTTTTTCAACAAGCCCTCAAAATAATTTTTATTCATCTTCAGAATGTTTTTTCTTTATACTGATGCTTTAATCATTTACACATTTTCAGTACACATTTCCACATTTTCTTCCAGGAAACAAGGCGATGATACAGAGATAGCTTTGAGTAATGCAGCTGTTTTGAAGAGCTACTTCAAATATTGCCTTTGGATTTGTAAAATGCACATATTACTTGTCAAAAGACACTTTGAAAGTAGTGTTGCTGATTGGGTTTCTGTGGACATTTGATCTGTTTTTGTTTCCATGCCATGTCAAAATGAAAAAAGAAAAGAGATAATATTATAGTCTGAGTCAAGAAATTTGAAATTATTTCTTGGGTCAAATTTTATATGCTTTTATGAGACACATAAATTCTACTTTTTGGGTCAAATTTTACCATAAAATGCTTTTATGTTACATTTGAAAACTATACTTTAGGCATCAAATGAAAAGTCAACATTTATAATTATGTAGTTGAAGTTGTATCACAAGGAAGGATTCTTTATAGAAACTTAAAAATGATAATGTATATATTAATGTGGATTCAGTTTTCAAGGGGCATTATGAAACTGTAGGAAATAACATGCTAATGTAGGGAGATTTCCTTGACTTACATGTTGCTGATTAAGCAGCTTCAATGGCCTAAACTATACTTGAGAAAGCAGAGTGTAAAAAGGCCTCTGTGCAATCCAAATAGAATGCAAAAATTCATACCCTTTACTTAGAGTCTTTTTCTATAAACTTACATGAATTTCTGATAGCAGGGTTCCCAGCTTACAGCCAAGGTAAAGCAGTGTGTTAGAATGAGTCAGAAGTTGATAACGACAGTCAGGCACCATAAGGACTATGGGAAACTGAGGCAACAAAATAAAAATGTAATGATTTCACAGCAAGGTAGTTTTCAGTTTTTCAGAGTAGGGGAAACTCATTTTTGCCTCTCACTATTTTTAGCCATACTACATACTACAGAGGTATGTTTCATATACGTTTCTTCACAATATGTTTGAGTTTTTGAGAAGCTTAACTATTTTGAATATATTCTGTTTGAAAGATCAAGGAAATATTGAACAATTTTAGAAAATAATTATTTCAAAGTGGTTAAAGTAAAATAAGCTCTTTTGCTTTTAATAGATACACTTCCATTATTTATAAAATTAGTTTTGTGGACTATTTCATTTGCAGAAGATACTATATAATAAGTGTTTCTCGATGTACAAATTGGTCATTCTATTAAGATATTTTCTTTAAAACTTAAAAAAACTGAATTAAAAGCTTGGGTGTGATTTAAAATCTTATTTGGAAAACTATGTCAGCTTTTCAAAGTTATGTCAGCAGATGCTAACAAGCTGGGAAGGAACAGCAGAACCACAGGGTCATCTGATCCACCAAGGCCTCACTCCAAAATGCATCACAAATGTGATCACTTGTTTTTGCCTCCACTGCTACCACCTTGTCCATGTCACCATCACCATCATCTCTCCCATCTGTATTTCTGTGATAGACTTCTATCTCCCTTTTCTCTTGGCTGCCTCTAATTCCTTCTTCATGCAGCCAACAGATCAATTTACTTCCTTTTTTAACCTGCTATCATGGCTTTCCATTCTCTTTCAAATAAAACCCCAAATCCTTACCATAGCTTTCAAGGCCTTGCATGATTTGGTTTCTGCTTACTTCTCTAATCCCATCCATGACACTCCCCTTGGCTCACTCTGCTTTAGTTCCCTTGGCCCTCTGTTAGTATTTGTCCTTTGCGTACACAATTTCCTCCACCTCTTCCTCTCTATTCTTGGCAGAGCCGGCTGTTTATTCTTCAGGTCCCAGTTTAAAAACTGTCTCCTAGGAGAGGCCTTTCTTGACTTACCTACCTATTGTTGGTCTGTGTCTCCCCAGAATTATTCCCTATAATGGTATGGTATTCAGTTCCTTTGTAGCCAGTATCTTTATATGTTTTACCTATTTTTTTGTTCATTTTCTGTTGCCTTCACAAGATCGATGAAGGGAAAGACCAGTCTGCTTTACTGAACACTGATAATGATGGGTGCCTGGCACATAGTAGGTGCCTAGTAAATATTTTTTGAATTAATAAAATCATGAATGGCGTTCTATAGATAAATCAAGGATAAGTACATGGACTATATATTGGAAAGTGCATGTGCTAATGCAACTTGTCTATATGTTTAACAAGAATTTGAGTGATTCATAGATGCTCTATCCATATGAGCTTTGAAATGAGAAGTTTGTAGAGTTCATAACTAATTTTCCCTATGATATCATAAATCCATTCTCCAAGGTTGACTTTGTCAGAGTCCAAGTAAGGCGTTGAAGATATTTAGCTTGATTCAATCAAGTGCTTTTTAGGAGGAGAATAAAGGGAGTGATAATAAGATACGGAGCAAGAATCATTAATTATAGTATCTCATTTACTCTCAAGCGTAATGAAGAAGTTATATCTGTTAATGTTCTTGATGGAATTTGAGGAGTTTTCTATTACATTACACTCAACAGTGGTTCAGTAAATGTGAGTTTAGTTAAATTTCTTTCATTACGGGCCTTAGGTGTGGGGGGTGATACATAATAAGAACACACTATTTCTTAAACGCATAAAAATTTTCTGACCATTTAAAAGAACCTTGTTTAAACTGGTTTTCTTTGTGTGTGTTGTGTTGAATGAATTGAAAAGTAGATATAATTATATATGCTGTTAATTTAACTACATAAAGGTGAAAAAACAAACTTGAAAAAGTCTTTTTACCCTGTACTTATGCAGAAACATGTGATGACAAGACAACAATTTTATTATAAAAGGAATGCATAGTAGGTCTCATGTAAAATAAAACAAGAAATAAACCTTTAGGTGGCGGCCAAGAGCTATCATTATGAATTCCTTAGCCTGTTTTTATGAGAATTTATGCTCTTGTTTGAAAGTTGTCATGTAAAATGGGCTATTTAAACCACAATAATTCAGTGCAAAGCAAACATAAGGACAAAATTAGGCCTAAGAAGGAACTAGATTTGAATGTTAATATCATCAAATAATTAATCAAATTTTAATTTTGATTTGATTTGACAGTTGGTGTCTTGATTATGATTAGTAGTTAGAGACCCAGTTCTGGGAAGATAATGGTATTGATATGGAGTTACAGGATTAATTATTCTTAGCACTTAAGTAATTGTTTTAATCTTCACATAAATCATCTTTAAACAAAATGGTAGCTTTTTAAGAACTCAAAGAGTGTTATAAAGATGTCAAAACTGTCCAGATGCTTATTGTACAATTGAAAGCTCCATTCAAAGTTGACACAGGCCCCAGAAGAAAGGTCAGTTATCTAACTCACTTTTGCAACATCTGGCAGAAACTATGACTTGTTGGAGTACCAGTGTGTTCTTCTTCTCCTTTTTTACTGCTCTCCGAAATGAAAGTTTATGATTGTATCTGCCATGTGCCCCTTTCAGTTCTAGAAAAAAAGAAAAGGATAAAATGTTTTTTAAAAGGCATTATGATTTTGTGATGACATGCACTCGTTTCAACTCCTTGTTTGTTCTTTTAATCAGTATGCATTAATCTACTCAAAAAGTTTTAGACATCACTATTAGATATTGTTTTAGAGTAATATTTATGTAAAAATTTTCTCATTAACCATTAATTCTGTTTGCATTTAGATTCATGATACACTTTTTGATAAGGCTTTTTGGCAATATAGACTACATTTGGTAGTTGCTTCTAATTAGTCAGGACTTTTTGATGAAGTGTTTCTAGCTCAATTCTTGTCACCTTAAGTAGTACACATTTAGCAATGGCTGTATACACACCCAGCATCATAGAGAAGCGAAAACAAAGTAAACGACAACCTCAGTACACAAGGAGTTGACAATCTCTCTAGATGCAGCAAGAGAACAGGAACAAATTAAAATAATTCATTAAAAACCACACATTGGTGTTGAGTAATAAAAAAGAAGAAAAGAGAAAGTGTGGGTTGATAGTAATAAAGAAAACCTCCATAGAGAAGATGAATAAACTAGTGAAGTTTCCCAATACACTAATGGGAAAGTAAAGATTGTAATTCTTAAGAAACTCTAGTTCCGTTATTTAATGTCAATATTCCAAAATTATACTTTCACAAAATAGATGCCAGAGTAGCATGAAACAGCTCCTTTTCTAAATATTTTCCACTACATTAATCAATGAAGATGGTGACATCCTTTCTCAAAAAAAAGCCTACTTAGCATGTTGCTGGATTACATAGCAAGCTGCCCACAGAATTATCCAGAAATTATTTCTGTCCTCTAGTAATTTACAATACAAAATTGTCTAGGAAGAAAATTAAGCTAAAAACTTAGAAGGTTGTATCTACGGAATTATGTGATAGAAATGTAATATTTTCTATGTCGCCTTGAATGGTTTTAAAGCGATATTCCCAAGGCCAGGGATCAGGAGAGCCATCTCTAATCTTGACTCTTAGGGTATATATATGGTGATAAAATTGTGGTAAGGAGTCATGATTTCTGTGGGGGCATTTTCCTTCTCTATGAAACCAAAGAGGAGAACCAGAAGATCTCTAAGTGTCCCCTCAACCCTAAAATGTTACATTTTATACATTTACAGAGTAAAGCAATACTTCATTCGACATTATCAAAGCAGAAATTTTTTTTCCATCTGATGAGCAAACTCATGGCATAGTTTCAGTGGGAATTGCAAAATGAATCCCACTATATATGAAGCCCCACACATAGGTTGAGAAGGGCTCCCTGGCAGTGCTCAACCTACATGATTGTGTGTGTTGGCTCTATAATCATAGCAATAAAAAAAAGAAGACACAGATAGTTTCTCTCAACTAAAATTTTGTATAATAGTGGTTAGTTTTTAAGTCAACTACACAGTCCCCCAGAAAACCTGGAGTCTTTAATCAAGGTAAAAACTTTTAAATGCAAAATCAGTAACCTAAGAAAAACTCAAAGAACTGATTTTCTTGTAGGTAAAATTTACCAAATCTGTTAAGTGCTATGAAACCAGTATATATTATGGTGTGTCAGTGTTGTTTTCATAAACTTACAAGACCTAAAACTTACAAACAATTCTAAAATAGTAGGTGAGTGTGTCTTCTTAGTACTTAATAAATGTAATATGAATTAAAATTTAACTTCAAATATGCCAAAAGCGTAAAGAGTCAGCCACTATGCAAAAGGACTTAGTATACATGTATATAGCCATGAAGAATTCAGATATTAGAATTTATATCTCTTTAGTTCAAAGCAATGCATTTCAATCTTAGTGGGCCATTTACTTTCACGTGCAATATACTATTGCACACTTTTGAAAATGAGATGAAAGTCAATAAAAGAAAGATGAACATCCAATTCCCAAAACTTAAAAAAAAATCAATTCAAAGTGTATGCCTATTTGATGATAGGAGGTTAGAGAAAACCTCCGTATTGTGAAAGCTTTCATTATTTGATTTTTCGTATGTAATAAGCAGTATAAAATGATGGACATGCCTCCTGTCTCCAATACCACACAAAAGTAAGTAAGAGAAAAAACCTTTCTGTTCCATCTCCCTACAATAATTGCTTCAGAAACCACAGTTAATCTTGGGATACACCATTATTCTGCTGCTTGCTAGTGGACCATACAATGTGAGAAAGTTATTTTTATCTTGAGTGGCAACAATTCAGCAGGATAGACTTGCCAATTTGAGTCCCACTCTTCACTATTTCATTGGGGTGAATGATGTCTGATGTAGACAAGTATAGAAGTTGGCAGATCTCATTGATTTTATTCCCTGTGAATCTACAAATGGGACAGATATTTATTTATTTATTTATTTATTTATTTTTAAAGGCAGTCTATTTAGAATGCTGTTTTCTAAGGCAACTTTTTTTCACATTTTACTATATTAAAGAAATACTCAAAATCGCTTTAATCATAATCCTTTGCACGAAGTCAGTGGGACTGGGATTTAAACAACTATTGAAAAATAATACACAGAAGGAGTGAGAAAAGAATGTCATCCAGCAACAATACATTTTTTTTTTTAAGTTGGAGCAAAATGCCGAACTTCTAATAGAGGGGCTGCAAAGAGAAGAAGAAAAGGCGGTCAGAAAGAATATAAACTAAAGGTAAATAAGAAGAATGAAAGTCGGGACAATACAAAAATGGCTAAAGATTGAAGTGGGAAGAGTGTAATGCACAAAAGTGAAGCCGGAGAAAAAAATGATGAAATGTAGAACAGGAACAGCGGCACAGAATGGAAAAAAAGGAGGTCAGAAAAGCACAAAGAGGGCTGAAGAACAGCAAACAAAGAAGTAGTATCAAATGGAAAGGGAGCAAGTGTCTAGATTATAAAGTGGGGGGAGAAAACATCAACATTCGGGAGGGAGGGCGGCAGCAGAGTGAAGAGCCAGAGCCACGGGAGGAGCCCAGTCATTTTGCTTTGTCTTCTACAAGTGGAGTTTATGCCACTTGACTGGAGCTTGCAAATGGATGTGAATTATTTTACTGGCATTCAAAGTCCTGCTGTAACGTTGTTAGGAATTTGGCATGGTAGTGTCAGCCTTAACAAAGGCTATCAACTTTCCTCACGTTAAACCAAAGCAGCTAAATTTACATCCTTTTGCAGCTTTCAAGCTTTTTTCAAATGGCATAAACTGGCAATAGCTAGGCTTGAAAAATTCTGGGCATTAAAGAAAGCAAAGAATCTGTTTTCATTAAAGATAATCTTATGATCATTTGCTCACATTCTTATTGCTTTAGTTTATAGTTTTTTTAAGAAATCAAGTTTACTTGAATTTAGATGGTTTTATGAAAATTCTAAAAATTCTTGAAATATGGAAATACAGTTTGCAACTACAAGGACCAAATTGCTAAGATAAACTATCAAATCACCATTAAAAAGGGCCCTTTGTCTAAGTAGTTACTTTTAAAATTGCTTTTGAGAAAAAAAAAAAAAAGGTCTCCTTAAAGTTGCAAATAATGACACCAAGAATGATTTGTTACATAGCAGGTCAAAGTAAATCAGTAGTTTCTTAACTTTGAACTGGAACTAGAAACCTAGATATATTTTCTGTTCTTCTGTTTTCTCCTTCTCCTCCTTAATAGCCTCTGAGCAAATTATCTACTGAGTGAAGTTTTATATCTTCAAGTTCAGCTCTGGTTAGGTGTTCACTTTGTTTCTCCATGGGAACAAACACGTTACCATGGGAACTGGGTAGCACAAACTATAAACAGTACTGAAAGCTTTTAGAAAGAACCACGCTTATAGCACAATGTTAACTATACAATGCAAGTGCTAGCTGGCCATTCCAATACCTAGCATATTATGGCATCTCAAAAAGAATAACTTGATCCTGTGCCTTATCAAATGATGAAAAAATAAATAAAACAAAAGGAAACTATACTTTTTTCTCATTAGAGAAAATGCAAAAGTTTGTTTTCATTAAAAAAGTTAAAATCCACAAAACATATTAATTGTGGTGATTATTTGCATTGACTTAAAAGATACACTTAAGTTTCTTCATACGATGAGTGCTTTTTGCACACTGACATTATCTTACATACCATATCTGCTTTGACATATGCTGGGTCTTAAGTCAGGGAAAAAGAAGTAAGAAAGAACAAAGGGGTTAGCACTAAGGGTCTAAAAGTCGGGTGAGTCACCAGCATTCCAAATCATCATATCCCAGGGTAGTGGAACTATGTTTCTGGGCCAGGAATGATTTATCAGGGGTTGGAATCTGGTGGGGAGGGTATGACAATAGGAATTGCAGGCAATGTTAGGGCTTTAGTGCTAGGCAAGAGAAAGATAAGGCCCATTCAGTTAGAAGCAAAGCTCCAGCCAGTGTCTAGGGAACGGAGTGTGAAGTTCAAGGCCAAATACTAGTCATGAGGCAGGGCCCCTGTTCAACAAGTGATGGTTTAGCTTAGGGTGTGGAGTGGAGGATGCCTACAATGACAGGCACACAAAAGTGAAGTTTAGGTAACAGCATTGTTGGATATCTGCAGCTTGCTGACACCTCACAGGCGCTCTGCATACTGGGCCCTGGAATACATGGTTTACTCCAGACTCGAGTTAATGATTGTGGCTAGAGCTTTTAATATATTGCCTGGTTTCATTAACATCATTAACATTGATTCTGTGGATAGGTGATGCTGGCAGCAACTGAAAACAGAAAGGAGACCTGATTTTCTAAAGATCAACCCACTATAAGACCTCCACATTTAATGTTTAACGTTGGTACACTTGTAGATAGAAAGAAGCATTTGCAATTCATTGGCAAAGGAAGAATGCCCATGCAGGCCACACATTTGGTTCCATGTTCTGAATAGTATGCTATCATGGCAATTATTGCGTGTTACCTTTAGGTGAGGAAATGTCTGATGTGACATCAGTCTCTTTGATAAAAGCAATGAAATAAACTTCAATAAAAGAGTTAACATTTTTAAAAAAATGTTCTTAGGTGCCATCTCCTTACCTTGTATTTTTCGGAGTCCTTCAGTGGCTGTTTGGCAGAGGCTCAAAGCAATTTCAGGGAAACAATTTGAACTGAACTGTGTGGTTCATGAAGTTTGAGATCAACAGACTGGCAACTCTTCAGCTTTCAGAAATAATGTGGTCATGCTGTGTGTGTCTCATTGCACTTCTGGGTTATGGTTTATTTAGTTTTATGGAACAAAATAGGTTTCCATGTAAAATAACATTTTCACCTATAAATTAGGAGCAAATAAAACAAAATTAATTTTGATGTAAAAATCTAGTCTCCCCTGTAACCCACATGTAAATTCCCCATGTTATAATTAGAGAAATGCTCTTACTAATATAAGACAAAAGATATGAAAATAAAAAGGCAATTGCCATTTTAAAAGGAAGTAGAAATTCAAAAGAGGAAGGTGTGAGGTTTAACAAAACATTAGAATTAAAAATGATACCGACAAACTAAGAAAGAAGGAAAGTAAGCTGATATTTTTATTTTATTTTTACACTATAGAATTGAATGCAATGTGTAATGTCCCTCTTATGATTTGGAAGTTGAAACAAAACTAAAGCAATGTGTTAGAGTCTCTCCTCATGACCCTGTTCATAGCAGTCAGGTAACTTAGTTCCCCCTTTCTTTTTTTTTGGAGAGGGAGTCTCGCTCTGTCGCCCAGGCTGGAGTGCAGTGGCGCCATCTCGGCTCACTGCAAGCTCCGCCTCCCGGGTTCACGCCATTCTCCTGCCTCAGGCTCCCGAGTAGCTGGGACTACAGGCGCCCGCCACCAAGCCCGGCTAACTTTTTTTTGTATTTTCAGTAGAGACGGGGTTTCACCGTGTTCACCAGGATGGTCTCGATCTCCTGACCTCGTGATCCACCCTCCTCGGCCTCCCAAAGTGCTGGGATTACAGGAGTGATCCCAATACTGGGGCTGACCTCAGGACTCGGAGTACAAAACAGAACACAGCATAGCGGGTGAGAGTGATAGTTCAATGAATAATGAGAATATAGTGCATTAGAAGTAGCTATGAAATGCTGCGAAAGATAAACAATGCTGGACACTAAATAAAATGGTAAGAATTAATATATAGTATTACAATAGGGAAAAGAGTGCAACGTGAACTAAGCTCAACAATGACCTGTACAGAGGTGATTAGGTATTTTAATGGGAGAATGAAGGAGCAGGGAGAAGGTGAGTTGGGATTCCATAGTTTTTCAGGAAAATGAAAAATTACAAAAATCCAGAAACGAGGTTAGTCCACGTGAAACCCATCTAGCTTTGTTTACTGGTGTTTATTGAAGTTCGGCTCCTCCCCTCCCACAGAGACTGGAAAGCGGGATGCTGGTCTCCAGGTGTTGGCTGGGACAACAGGAAATTCTTTATCAGGCTTGGACTTTAAGTGGGGGATAGGCTCATCCTAAGTAAACAATGTTGAGCTGTTAGAAACTGCCTTAGTGTTTGTTCAACCTAGAAAGGTAAGCTTGAGTCCTAGTCAACAAGAGAACTCAGAGGAGCCTGCTAGCGTTTGGTCAAGGTGATAACCTTTGCTCATACTAAGGAGAAAGGTGCCTGGGTGGGGTCTGAAAACTTTACATCAAGAACCTCTTCAGAGGCCTAATAGGTTTCTCAGTAGACACAATGGAGAATGCCCAGGGCCAAATGATACGTCCTTTAGCAGGAATAGAGTTGTAAATATGGCTTGTGGAGTGGCAGGAAATCAGATCAAAAGGGAATTGGGAGTAAGATCATAGCAGGCTACTGAGTTTGAATTGTATATCATAGTCTAGTGCTTCCCAAAGTGTGGGACTCATTCACAAATAACATTTTGGTTGTATGAGGATGAAGCATGAAATCATATTGTCGCATGATTTAAAAAAATTTTTAATTATCTGTTACCCCCTCTAATTAACTTCCGGAGAAAGGCTTAGGTTGATGCTAATCTGTGTCTTAAATGGTATTTTTTTTTTTTTGAGATGGAGTTTCACTCTTGTCGCCCAGGCTGGAGTGCAGTGGTGCAATCTCAGCTCACTGCAACCTCCGCCCCCCGGGTTCAAGTGATTCTCCTGCCTCAGCCTCCCAAGCAGCTGGGATTACAGGCGCCCGCCACCACGCCTGGCTAAGTTTTTGTATTTTTAGTAGAGATTGGGTTTTGCCACGTTGTGCAGGCTGGTCTCGAGCTCCTGACCTCAGGTGATCCACTCACCTCAGCTTCCCAAAATGCTGGGATTACAGGTGTGAGCCACTGTGCCTGGCCTTAAATGGTATTTTCCAATCAGCCTTTCTAACAAAGAGTAAATGAATTTCTGCCAACATTTAATGATGTAATTTCATTTTCATTAATTTAAAAAAAATAGATTTCTTTTATAGAACTAATAGTCATTTTCCCTTTTAGTAAGTAATATGAAGTTTTCTTTCCAAATATATTTACTTAAGTGAAACACACTGAGTCTGTTTAAAGACAAAGATTACGTGTGGTGGCAGGAGGAAGAGTTAGGATGACTCCCTTCTTTCTGGGTTGCTCCAAGAGGGAAGTGGTGGTGTCATTAACTAAGGCAGGAATTATGGAAAAAAAGCCAGAACAAAAGAGAAGAAAATAAAAACCAAGAATAAGAAATGGCTTGCCTATTATTACTGGATGTGCAACAAAGTTTATTTAAACCAAAGTCCTATAACTTCAAGGACATACCCAACCCACCCTCACATTCTCTCTAATACAGCCAATAAAAGCATGCCATAAAACAACCTCATCATTTCTACAACCTGCCTTCTCACAGCCTGCCATCACCTTCAAAATGCTGGGTGTTTTTTTGTTCTGCTAGGCATTTATCCTAGGTTACATCCTTGGTTCTTATGCAATTTGGTCTTGACTTTAAACGTAGAGCTTTCTTTGGTCTTTATTTTACTGCTTTCACTTCAGGGCACAACTGAAATGCTGTATTCAGCCAAGCTTTTGGACCCTTGGGTCAAAGATCCTGGCACCCATGCTCCTCCAGTAACAGGCAGGCTTGTGTATGTACTTTCTCTCTCTCTCTCTCTGTGTCTCTCTCTCCCCCCATTCCCCCCCTGGAGGATAATCCCCCCTTTGCATGGGGGATTATTAGTGTGTCCTTGAAATATATTGCTTTTTATGTATCATGCATTAAGATATCAGATGTCAGGAATGCAAAGACTTTTTTCTTCTTTGGATATCAGTCAGTCATTCTTTTTGGAGTAATTTAAATTAAATCCCTCTTTTGGAGCAAGACCTTCAACTTTTGATTTTTCTTTTTGAAGCAGATCTCTTTGCCTTTTGAACTTCTTTCTGAGGTTCATATCTGAAGCTATTCTGTCTGTCTTCTGAGATGATGTACCTTATCATATAAAAATGTATGCTGTGGGCTGGGCGCGGTGGCTCACGCCTGTAATCCTAGCACTTCGGGAGGCCAAGGCAGGTGGATCACCTGAGGTCAGGAGTTTGAGACCAGCCTGACCAACATGGTGAAACCCCGTCTCCACTAAAAGTACAAAAAACTAGCCGGGCGTAGTGGCAGGCGCCTGTAATCCCAGCTACACGGGAGGGTGAGGCAGGAGAATCACTTGAACCCGGGGATCCGAGGTTGCAGTGAGCCCAGATCGCGCCACTTCACTCCAGCCTGGGTGAAAGAGCGAAACTCCGTCTTTAAAAACTCCATCTTAAAAAAAAGTATATTGGACATTAGCTCCTTGAAAATGGCTTTTTCGTGCTGAATGTTCATGGTGAGGTCAGTCTGAATTTTAGTAATTTCAATTGACCCCTTCAAATTGAGTCTTAAATTGTCTAAATTTTTAAGTACAAAATTAGTTTGGTCGTATTTTATTAATCATACCTTATTTGTAATCAAATAAAGTACACCATTATTTTCAACAATTTTAAAAATTTTGCGGAATTTGGAGTTATGGTGTTGTAATAGATGCACATTTTTAAATAAGTTCAAAATTTTTATATAAAACTTATATATGTAATTAAACCCAAGAATAGCTGTTCCTTTCTGTTAATAGTCTATTTTTCAGTTATGGGTTTACTTTGGATGAAATTTTGACAGAGATACTTGAGAATTAAAGATCTGAAAATGAATTACATTTATAAAAATACACAAGTTCATACTTCCTATATTACATATAAAAAGATATTTTTGTCATGGGATATTTTATGTTAGCTTTAAGACTTCCATTTTTTAAAAAAGATGAGTCATTTCCTCTGTCTGGGAGATGACTGTGAGTGGTAAAAGTCTGGGTACATATGTTAAGGTCACAGAACTTTGTTAGAGCACAGAATCCACGTTCAGTTTCAAATTTCGTCTTGACTTTGAAATAAAGCAATGGTGTTAGATAAAGAAATGAAGGAATGATTTGACTAAGGTAAACCTTCTGTATCCCCGGTTAGTATCTCCTGTAGAAATAGGTCATATCCTAAGCCTTGGACTTTGAAATTTTCATTCTTAGGTCTATAATGAACCAAAATTCTTACTAAGACAAACACTTCTTGCTTAACTTTTGATTAACTTGCACATGCAAGGACATGAATTTATATTGAAGAGTGATGTCATAGCTGTAACAAAAGGGATTAAAAAAAAAACTTAGGCATTTATGCCAGTCTTTTTCTTTTCTTTTCTTTTTAAACAGAGTCTCACTCTGTCGCCCAGGCTGGGGTGCAGTGGTGTGATCTTGGCTCACTGTAACCTCCACCTCCCAGGTTCAAGTGATTCTCCTGCCTCAGCCTCTTGAGTAGCTGGGACTACAGGTGTGTGCCACCACACCTGGCTATTTTTTTATTTTTAGTAGAGATGAGGTTTCACCATGTTGGCCAAGCTGGTCTCGAACTCCTGACCTCAGGTGATAATGCCCGCCTTGGCCTCCCAAAGTGCTGGGATTACAGGCGTGAGCCACTGCGCCCAGCCTATGCTAGTCTTTAGCTCAGAATTTTAGCAGAGTAAAAGTGGGCTCTACTACCTTACTTAATAGCTGTTACTCAGTCTCTTTCAGCCTTTGGATTCACCTGTGTAAAGAGAGATGATAAAACTTTATTCATTTGTTGTGAAAACTAAATTAAAAAGCATATTAAATGTGGTAATATTTGTAAAATGCCTAGGAGGTCATCTAGCATATAGTTATTGTTTGTTCCTAAGTCCCTCAACTCATTCCTTCATCTTTTCTTCTTTGGAAGACAAAGAGCATATTCTTCCCCTCAATGTAATCCATTTCCTGATGAAAGATGATGTATTTGCTCTATGAAGATGAGTGATAGGTAATAACGGATAGTGATGGAGAATGGCAAATACCAAAGAGATTATGACCTGGGCAAGATATCTCATTAAGCAAGGTTGCTTTCTGCATTCACATTTATTACACACAAAATGAGATACAGCAGTTTTATTTGCATAGTAGATGGAGAACAGAATTTATTTATAAAGCTCTCGATAAACTTCTTAAATGAAGTAAGTGCTTGCAGCTATAGTGTTGGCCTCACCAACACTATGGGCCATGAGCTGGAACATATGGAGAGAATGGGAGAGAAAAAAAAATCAGTTACAGTCTTAAAAGTGAGATAACAAAATAACAATATATGGCAATATAGAAAATAATCATATGAAAAGTACTGGTGACAAGTGCTTGTAGGATTTTAAGCAAATATATATATTTTTGATGATAGTGTATTTGTTCAGGTTCTGGCTGGAAACAACATTCATCTCAAATTGTTCAAATGAAGAGACATTGATGCAGTGGTTCTCAGTCTTGGCTGTACATTGGAAATGCTTGGGGAGCTTTGAAAAGTATACATGCCTGTGTTCTACCCTCAGAGGTTCTGCATTAGTTGGTCTGGTTTGTGGCCTGGCTGTTGGGATTTCTTAAAAGCTTCCCAGCTGATTCTAATATGCAGCTTGAGTTGAGAAACCAGGCTCAACCTCTGAGTTGAAAATGAAAGTACTGCTTTCAGAAGTATGGGCAGTGCTGGGAATTAAAGGATGGTAAGACACAAGAGACTAGCTACACGGGGAAATAATACTACCCTTATGATCAAAGAACAAGAGACACTAGATTGACCTAGTGAAAGCTGGACCAGAGGAGAAGGGGCTATTTTACCTAAGCTATAGTATGAGAGGGGGGTATGCTTCTATTTCCTGACTCTCAGAGCTGAAGCAGGATGTATGAGGGTTCTCCAGAGAAATAGACCTAATAGAATATGTGTGTGCATGTGTGTGCGTATGTGTGTGCATGTGTGTGCGTGTGCGTGTGTGTGTGTGTGTGTGAATTTTTTAAGGAATTTGCTCATGCGATGATGGAGGCTGGCAAGTTCAAAATCTGCAGAGTGGCCCGCAGGCTGGAGACCTAGGAAGAGCTGATGCTGTAGTTCATGCCTGAAATGTGAAGGCAATTTGTTGCCAGTATTCCCTCCTGCTCTGGGGCAAGTCAGTCTTTTACTCTTCTCAGGCTTTAAATTGATTGGATGAAACCCACTCATATTATGGAGGACAATCTGTTTCACTCAAAGTTCGGCAATGTAAATGTTAAATCTCATCTGAAAACATCATCATAGGAGCATCCAGAATAATTTTTGACCACATATCTGGGCAGTGCAGCCCAGCAAAGTTGACATATGAAATTAATTGTCACATAAGGAGGGAGAGGAGAAGAAATAGTCCAGCTTCTTTTTCTTCTCTCTCCCCTTCCTTTGGCCAGCTTCCCAGGACTGGCCAAAGGACTGGCCAGAACTGAATGAAGAATGAGTACAGGATCTGAGGGGCAAACTGAAGATGTCCTGCACATACTTCTAACTCATTTATCACAGGCTTGATTATTATTTTGAAAATGCCTTTTCTATTGTTAAAATTCTCATTTGGTTAGGTTGAGCAATATTATGACAGACTCTTGAATTTATTTTTTAAAATTATGCTAAAGACTTAGTGGTTTCTAAAATGATTTTCTAATGATCTTTGCTGAGATGGTTTCTCGTTAGACTAGAATAACATAACAATGTTTGTGTCACCAATGCAAATGCAGTTTTTACTAACCAATAAGAGCACTGCTAAAATTTATTTTCGGCTTAAAAGAAAATACTATTCTATCTAATTTTATATTAGATGGTCACCAGGAAGCTATGGTGACCATGAAGGCCTCCTGCTGTTTCTTAACTTCTAGCCCATGCCAGTTGGCTCCAGGCTTCAGGGGAATGAACAGTTGTTACAGTTAGCAACAGGCAGTATAGTAAGTATGACTAAATGTGGGGATTCTATTTTGACCACTTATCCCTCAGTGGGACCTGTGGGAATCCTATAGATGCTCATAAGAAACCCGTGGTTGATTAGTGGGATTGTGAGGAATGCTTGCTTCCATCTCTTTCCCCACAGGAGTTAGCTGAAATTCCCCAGTAGCCTCATAACACAAAGGTAGCCCCTTTCAATTCTAAGAGGGAAGAAATAGGGGTTTTCCAGGGGAAAGAAGAATCCCCTGTCTCTTCTACACCATTGTTCAAAATCATAAACAAAGAGACAAAATTACTCAGGTTAGGCCATGTATTTTGTACTTTACACCAGAACACATACCCTGCCATTTCAGAAACTACATCCAGGTAGTCCATTTTTATCAGTTTTGTGCATTAATTTCATTCTTACCGAACAGATTATGGCACTTTAAAAATGTTCTTCAGAAAGATTTCTTTTTCATAGGTGTCTCTGGTAATACTTGCTTCTTGCTTTTCACATTTTGCCACTTCTTCCAACTTCAAAATCTAAATTGGGAGAGCAAATACTTTGGTTAGCACAGACAATATTGCCAGACAGGGAAAATCATTTCTGCCAATGGAAATTTATGAAACCCAGAGGGGAAGCACACTCCTATTATGTTTGAGATGGAGAGTCATCAAATAGAATAATCTATAGGAAAGAATATAGAAAATGAAAATTGTTAGCAGTCTTCAATATCAATTCATTGGCATATATATTAGGGCATATTTTGGTACCACTGAAAAAAAGACTTAAAGTTGTATAAATGTATGGAGCAAACAGTAGGACAATGGTCTTACATAATATTTTATCTACACTTTAAAAAGCATTTTGTGAAAATTTTATTCTCATCCTAGAGTCTTTGTATTTATTACGGGTATAAGAAGCTATTGACGACCCTTACAAAGGCTTATTTGGGCATGAGAGGGTTCTGGAAAGATGGCAGAATAGAAAGCACCAGGCATCCATCTCCCCAGCCAGGCATCTACAGTGGCAGAATCTGTTCGATGTAACCATTTTGGAAATCTGGAATCGAAGGTTTGCAACTTCCAGGAGAAGACATGGATGGTAAATTATGGTTAACTTCAGTCAATGTCAGCTTTTAGCTTGACAGCAGCCACCCACCCCATACCCCCAGATTTGTGGCGGGCAGCTGTGCATGTGTTCTTGGAGCAGCTTACACAGGACTTGCAGGAGCCAAGGTGGGCAATAAGGATCCTATCCTCCAATACTGGAGATCTGTGTTCTAATCACTGATAGCTCCTTCTGATTATGGAAGTACAAACACCAGAGATGGGCATCTGTTACTGTTGTACTTCTCTGAACTTTTGGAAGCCCTTTTCCCTCCAGATGAAGTGACCTCCAGGAGATTTAAAGGGTCAGTATCCCATTCCCCATTCATTTGTCTCTTCTTTCCCTTTTGAGAGCCAGAAAAACTAGGATATTCAAAAGCAATTGCATATATGTGGAAAATTAGAAAGTCACCATAATGCTAGGAACAGGTGGAGGCTCAGAAAAGACCTTGTTTACACGTCAGCCTTATCCTCAGCACAGTAACAGCCTACAACACTCAAATCAAAACAAAACAAAACAAAAATCCGTAAGAAACGCTGAGGAGGGGAATAATCTGATTTCCAGAATTACCACACTACTAGATTTAAATGTCCAGTTTAAAAAAATCATAAGACAAACTAAGAAACAGGAAAGTATGTTTCATTCAGAGGAAAACATGAGCCAACAGAACTGATGGCAGATCTACCATACAAAAACTTTTTAAAAACAGTTGTCTTAAAGATGCTCAAATAACTAAAGAAAAACCTGGAAAAGCCAAGAAAGTTGATGTATGAGCAAAGTGGAAATATAAAGAGAAAGGAAATCTAAAAAGAAACTAAAAAGAAAGTCTGAAGCTAAAAAGTACAGTACAATAGTCCCCTAGTTATCTGTAGCTTTCTTTTCCAGTTTCAATTACCTTCGATCAACCATGGTCCAAAAATATTAAATGGAAAATTCCAAAAATAAAAAACTTACAAGTTTTAAATTGCATGCTATTCTGAATATGTTGGCGAAATCTTTCACTGTCCTACTCCATTCTGCCCAGGATATAAATCATCCCTTTGTCTAGTGTATCCACAGTATACTCTACCTGCCGTGAGTCACTTAGTAGCCATCTCTGTTATCAGATTGATCATTGTTGTATCATAATGCTTGTGTTCAAGTAACCCTTATCTTACTTAATAATGGACCCAAAGTGCAAGAGTAGTGAGGCTGGCAATTCAGATATACCAGAGAGAAACTGTAAAGTGCTTTCTTTAAGTGAAAAGGTGAAAGTTCTTGGCTTAATTAAGAAAGAAAAAAATTGTATGCTGAGGTTGCTAAGATCTGTTGTAAGAATGGATCTTCTAATTATGAAGAAGAAAAATACTTGTACTGGGTTTGCTGTTGCACCTCAAACTGCAAAAGTTGTGGTCACAATGCATTACAATCGTTTAGTTATGATGAAAAATGCATGAAATTTGTGGATGAAAGACATGAACAGAAATGTGTTCTGATTGATGACAATGGGGTTTGGTACTATCTTCAGTTCCAGGCATCCACTGCCTGAAACATCTCCCGTGGAAAATATAGGACCACTGCAACTCAGATGAAAAGTTTTCTAGAGAGATTCCAAGGAAGGTTTGAGAAGTCAAAAGAAGTAATTGGTAAACATGAAGATGGGATCATTGAAATTATTGAATCTGAAGAACAGAAATTTAAAAAGTAAACAAAGTACTAAGGAACCTGTGGTATACTATCAACCGGACCAGCATACACATCTTGGATATTCTAGAAGGAAAAGAGAGAGATAAAAAGTCACAGCATATTTGAAAATTTCCTGAATTTGATGAAGGAAATAAATACAAACATCTAAGAAGCTCCACTTGTATAAAGTACTTATCGTAGTCAAAATCATAAAATAGAAAGTAAAAAGGTGGTTGCCAGGGGCTGCGGGAAGGGAGAATGGGGAGTTATTGTTTAATGGGTACGGAGTTACAGTTTTACAAGATGAAAAGAATTTTGGAGATGAATGGTGTTGATGGTTGTTGCATGACAATATCAATATACAATTGATTCTTGAACAATATGGAGATTAGGAGTGCTGACCCAAAATATACCCACCAACACAGCCAAAAATCCAGATGTAACTTCTGACTCTGCCAAACTTAACTACTAATATCCTGCTTTTGACCAGAAACCTAACCAATAACATAAACAGTTGATTAACACATATGTTGTATGGTACATGTATTACATACTATACTCTTACAATAAAGTAAGCTAAAGAAAAGAAAGCATTTTTAAGAAAATTATAACAAAGAGACAATATATTTACTATTCATTAAGTGGAAGTGGATCATAATAAAGGACTTCATTGTCAATGTCTTCATGTTGTGTAGGCTGAGGAAGAGGAGGGTGAGGAGGGGTTGGTCTTGTTGTCTCAGGAGTGGCAGAGGTGGAAGAGAATACACATATAAGTGGACTCACATAGTTCAAACCCATGTTGTTCAAGGGTTACCTGTGCTAGCAAATTGAATTCAAGAGCCTATTAAAAGTATCCTTCACCATGATTAAGTGGGACTTATCCCTAGAATACAAGGATGGTTCAACATACCCAAATCAATAAATTTGACACAGCATATTAACAAAATGAAAGACCTGAAGACATTCATACTGGATGGCCATGAAATGGGAGGTATAGGTATTTGCTGAAGATGAGAGTGACAGTAATGATCTAGAGGACAATGTAGAGATTTAGGACTGTCCCTGAGGGCATATGAAAGGGAGTTTACCAGGAACAAACCAAATAAAAATGAAAGAATTGAATGAAATGACAAAAAACCATTAGGTATCTAAGTTACAGTCTGCTGTCAAGAGCCAATTAGAAAATGCAAGCACTTTGGCTACACCAAAAAAACCTGGAAGTTAAAAAAAAGTAGTAAATATAATAACAATTTTATTTAATTTACATTAATGTTTCTATCTATAATTCTGATGCACATATGAAAAAGTCAGTAGCATATTAACTTGCCATGAAAAGAATATGTCAGAAATGGAAAAAATGATCTTGATAATATATTGAAAACTTCCTATATTCCTGAAAAAATGAAATTATTAAACAATTTAGGAGCAAGTGCTGTAATTGGACTGAGTTTGAATCCAGACCTCACAACTTGCTAGGCAAACTACTGTATCTCTCTTCCTTTCTCTTTTATCTGTAAGATCAGAGAGAAAATAGTACCATTCTCAATGGAGTTTTGTGAGGACTAGGCAATAATGCAAAGTGGTTATTTTTTAAAACAATAGTTGACATATTAAATACTGAACAAATGTTTAAGTTATTTTTTATTTCTGATACTAATTGTAAAAAACAGTGAAGACAGAAATTTTTCTTTTCTCATGGGAGGGTCATACACATATTTCTCTTGTTCCTGCTGTGCTAACTTTTGTTGGCTTATGTAAATGCTCCTTTGACCATGCAACACTGAGTGTGGCCAACAATAAAAAGGGGTGCTTCCCTTTGGGCTAAGTGCAGGGCCTAGTTCTAGTAAAGAAAAAAGAAGAAGAAAAGACTTTTATTAGTCCACATTTTTCAAGATAAATCACAGTACTTGCCTGAATTTCCAAGGGAAAAGGAGGTTATGATTAACATATAGTTTTATTCTACTAGAAATCAGTACTTCAATGAGTAAAGCTATGACTTTCTAAAAAAGTAGAACGGAGAGTAAAAGTCATTTTTCTAACTTCCCAAATAGTGAATGAAGGTAGAAGCAAGGAAATAATGGATCAAAAGACACAACAGTGAGGTTTTGTATGCTGGGAAGAAGTACACACGACATGGCATGATTTAAGCCACATTTGGAAAATTCTTCAAAAATTATTTTTTCTTTGATCTGATACTCGAGAAGTTAGGTTTGACTATGCTTCTTCTATGCCTCAGGTTCCTTAGAAATTTTTCTACATTGTGAGCATTGTCATTTATTTATTGATTTTTTTTTTTTTACAATGACCTAGTGGTATACTCATGTTAATAGGGCTCTGTGGCTAGCATCTATGGAGATATATCAAGAAAGAAGGTGTAATACAAGACACTGTACTTGAATCATTGCATAACTCCTTCCCTATCATGGAACGGAGGAACAGATACCATGTAAGAAAGCAGTATGGTAGACCAGCAGGTATGTTAAATAAAGAATTAGAAGACTTGGCTTAGATCCAGCTCTGTGACTTCACTCAAAAATCAACCAGCCTCTCAAGGCTTCAGTTTTCTCACAGATAAAAGGTCATAGCAATACCTGCTCCTGGAGTTGCGAGGTTCAGATGGAGTAATGTATTGTGAAAGCAGTTTGTATCTGAAATGCTATAAAATATTATGATAATGTTTATTAATATCCGGTTTTAAAAGAAATTTCCACTTTAAGATCTGATTCTACGAAGAAAATTTCCATCTTGTAAAAATATCAACATCAAAATTAAATTTTCAAAAACACGCAGCAAATACTTTCCATCTTTTTTTAAACAACAACAAAAAAACCCTGAAAACATAAATGTTCACAAGTTCCTGGTGATTCTTCAGTTCTTTATAGTTAAAATCTTATGGATGTAAGTTTTCAAAAATAATCAGAAAATTTCATTAAAAGTAGCAATCTGAGTATATGTGCTTACCTCTCCTGTTTCCGCAAAGGCCATTGAAATGACAAAAAAATATACAACCGAAAGAATAAAATCCCCAACTACTCTGGGACATAATACAGACAGACAGCATAAGGATTTCTGCAAATTAGGAAGAATTTGTATTTAATCTCAAGGAGACACAAGAACAAACACATGGATTAAATGATCCTGCGGTAGACACAGAAAAGTACCGGTAAAGGAAAGTCAAAGTGATTGATTTTTCTCCAATGCATCCTAGAGAGTCGAATCTCGTAGACATCAAGCACTGGATGGTGTTGACTTTCAGGATACTATCAACTTTCTGAGAGAACAGCTTTATAAAAATAACAAGAATCTTCTGGGAGTGGAGAAAAAAAGAAGGTCTTCTAAAGCATGTGCTGGGGAGGATGGAAGTATTTTCACAATGCA
Source organism: Homo sapiens (assembly GCF_000001405.40). Lineage (NCBI taxonomy): Eukaryota > Metazoa > Chordata > Mammalia > Primates > Hominidae > Homo > Homo sapiens. The sequence goes on along the minus strand of NC_000007.14, from coordinate 20,292,670 downwards.
TTTAAGGTCTCAGGGGTAGGGGGAGAATTCAGTCAGCACAGTTTTTCAGCTTCCACACTATTAAAATTTTGGACAGGACAACTCTTGGTTGCAGATGGTTGTCCTGTGCATTGTCGGATGTTTAGCAACATTTCTGGTCTGGACCCACCAGAAGCCAGAAGTTCCCTTCCCACCTCCTATCAACTGTGATAATGAAGTATGTCTCTGGAAATTGCCTGGGGTAAATATCCACCTGCCCTAACCCCACCCCATCCTACCCCAAGTTGAGAACAGTCAGCCTAGCAGAGTAGGTTGATAAAGTCTTCATCTTAGAATTAAAACATCCTTTGTTCTTTCTTGAGTACTCTTGGAGGCGGGGGGTGTCCCTATTTGTCTGATTGATTCTATTTATGCTCCCCAAAGAAAAAGCCACTGACACAACCCTCAATTCAGATAAATATTTTTCCGTTATTTCTTCTTTATTTTCTTCATCACATTTTTCCTGTTGTCTGCATCTGGAACTCGAGTTGAATGTCAAAGGAGCATATGTACGTTAGCCACATGGCTGACTTTCCCATATAATCTACTCCCTTATTGTTTTACTTTAGTATTTAGAGAATTTATTACACTCTGTCTTCTGGGTTATTTGTTCAGTCTTTATTTAGGTCCATTCTATTAGTCAACTTTTATATTAAATATTTTATTTTAGTAATTTTGTTTTTAGTATATAGGTATTCTAATTTCTCCTTTTCTGAGGCAGCCAGCTCTTGTTTTGTGGATGTAATACTCTTTTGAATCTTAGTGTGGACAATGATTTTTAAAAGTTTTGAAGTTCTTCTTTGTTTCATGTATTACCTGTTTCCTCCAAATCTAGATGTTTAGATGTTTGCTTTATTTGTCTTGATCTTTGTCTTGCATGCTGTTGGTTTTTCTCAAATATTTTGTAATCCTTGGTGATCCCTTCCTAATTTTTCTCTGTTACTAGAATGACTGGTAGTCAGATGCTATGAGTTTCCTCTACAGTTCTACAAGTGTGTTTCTACAGTGGGCCTTTCACCTGATGGAAGGGCTATTGTGGGCACTGTGTCAGTGAGGGGAAGCTATTGCCTTACACACTTTCTCTCAGGATTGGTTGGCACAAAGTAGACAAGCAGTCAAGGGTTCTCACGTTTGGTAAAAGAAGAAAAAAATGCCATTGAGTGTAGAGAGCTTTAGTATATCTTACTGTCAAACGAAGTTGTCTTTCCTTTTGAAAATCACTTCCTCCTCATCCATTGTGGACTTTCTCAATGTTTTTCAGAATTGCCCTCTCTGACATTGATCCTTAACACAAGTCCACTCAAAAAAGATCCCACATTTTGTTTTCAGAGTGCATTGTAAACTTTATCCTAGAGGCAAACTACTATAGCTAACAGCTACAGTTGTATAATGGGGATGGAGAAAGCTATTTCTGCTCCAGTTACAAGAATATTTTTAATTAAATCATCTTTATTTACTTTGGTTAATTAATTAGTTAATATATAAATATATAGTAGTATAATTAGTTGTAAATTAGTATCATAAATTGGATCATAACTCCTCAATTCATTTTTCATCTCTGTGCTCATTCAATCTGAGCTTGGAGTTTTTCTGCACCTCCACCAGGAAAAGTTCTCACTGCAATAGATTTTTTCTGTAGACTGTGAGTTTCTCTCTTTTGGTTTCTGTGTCATTCTTATCCTTTCTACTTTCTATTTATGGAAATCCCTCAACATTTTTGGTCTACTGCTGATACCCTTTTCCTTGTGATTATAATTATGTAACTTCTTTTTTTCATCATTTCAAAATGACTTTGTGAGAAAGGGTATGTAATAATTGAGATCCATCGCATGCAAAACAGCCCCAAGCAGATCTCTCACTGTTCCTGAGACAATTCTCCGATTTCAACCTGTGGAACTTTATCTCTCCATCTTTCTGAGCTGTTACCCTTCGCTGAAATCCTATATTGTTTTGCCAATTATTTTCCATCCTTTAAAGCCCAAGTTAAATTTAATGTCCTTTAAGAAATCAGCTCTTATAGCCACTTTTCCCCCAATTAATTATTATTTTCTCAACTGAACTGGTAAAACACTCATTATTTCTTACTTATTTGGCATTTATCATGCTTATGTTAACTCTGAAGCTTAGTTACCTTTCCAGGTCTACATACCTATCTTCCTGAAAGAATGTCTGCCTTTTGGAAGCAAGTACCCACAAAGAGTTTTAAAACCATTATTGTTAAATAGCCAATGCCTTATTCAAGACAGGTGCTCAAAAATTATCCTAAAAATAATCTACTTTCTTTTAAAAATCCTATAATTATATTGCATCATGTATCACAAGAGAATTTTACTGTTACTAAGTATTTCACTTGGGGACAATGTGTTTAACATTTCCACAGGGATGGGAAAAAAAGGCTGGATTTCCAGTTTGGTTGATTTAGTTTTGCAGCAAACTAATTTTTTATTTTATTTTATTTTATTTATTTATTTTTATTTACTCAGTTTTATTTTTCAATATTGCTATACTGCATTTATAGAGAAAACAATTGAAACAAAATAAAACCGTTAGGTAAATTAGTGGGTTTAAATATTACCGAAGAGGAAATTCACTAGTTTTCTAGTCAGTGGGACTTACCAAGACACACAACTTGTGTCTGAATTTAAATTTACATAATTAAGACAAGACTCAACTTTCTTGAAAATATGTAAGATTGTATTTTGGGGTGAATTAAATCCTGTGAGATATCATATAGAAAACATTTTGATCAGTGTCCTGCAAAACAATTCTTAAACAGTTCTGAATAACATGAGCCTTATTCCTTTTTGGTCAGAAATTAAATTGCTCCAATGTAATTAGCTAGATTTTAAGCACGGTTTTGTTTTTCTGCTAAGAAAGCATTTGTGTACTATATCCTTGCTACCCAAGCTATTATTTCATGTTCATGTCTCAGAAGCTTTAATGTGCACAGGAATCACAGGGGAATCATGTTAAAATGAAGTTTCTTATTTGGTAGTTAGGAAAGAGACTTGAAATTCGAAATTTTAATAAGCTTCCAAGCTGGGCCAATATTGCTCGTGTCCAGGCCACACAACTGAATAGCAAAGCTGTAGATGATACACCTATTATATTTATTCAAATATACCATGCAATTGGCACATTTTCCATTTCATAGTAAGAGACTTATTGTTTAATAGAGAATGCATTCATTAAATAGAATTGAATTAAAAATATATGCATAAACAGCTCTGTGTTGAAAGAAATTTATATCTGAATTTTTGAAGATGCTAAAATAAAAATGTTTTAGGTTCAAATTTTTAAAAAATTAATTTTACCAATGGTTCTAGAAACACATAAAACATCTATGTATCATTGCCATAGATACACTAGTTCTGTTTTTTTTTTTTAACTTTTATTTCAGGTTCTAGGGTACATATACAGGCTTGTTGTATACGTAAGTTGTGTGTCACTGGGGTTTGGTGTACACGTTCTTTCACCACCCAGGTAATAAGCGTAGTATTTAATAGGTAGATTTTTTTATCTTTACCCTCCTCCCTCCCTCCACCCTTAAGCAGGCCCTGGTGTCTGTTGTTCTCTTCTTTGTATCCACATGTATTCAGTGTTTGGCTTCCACTTATAAGTGAGAACATGTGGCATTTTATATTCTGTTTCTGTGTTAGTTCACTTAGGATAATGGCCTCCAGCTCCATCCACGCTGCTGCAAAGGACATGATCTCATTGTTTTTTATGGTTGCGTAGTATTCTATGGTGTATATGTACCACATTTTCTTTACTCAGTCTACTATTGATGGGCATTTAGATTGATTCCATGTCTTTGCTATTGTGAAGAGTGCTGAAATTTGCTTTTCAAAACCCTAGCTAGTTCTATAGTCTGTGTCGTGATTGGTTACAACAAATATTTTCCATGGGCAATTATAATTAAATTTGGAGAATGATGGTCGTATATAAATATAAACTGCTGAAAACATAAATATGTTTTTATTTTATTTATTATTATTAATTTTTTATGAGATGGAGTTTTGCTCTTGTTGCCCAGGCTGGAGTGCAATGGCATGATCTTGGCTTACTGCAACCTCCCCCTCCCAGGTTCAAGCGATTCTCCTGCCTCAGTTTCTCTAGTAGCTGGGATTACAGGCAGATGCCATGATGCCCAGCTAATTTTTGTATTTTTAGTAGAGACGGGGTTTCACTATTTTGGTCAGGCTGGTTTCGAACTCCTGACCTCAGGTGATCTGCCCACCTCGGCCTCCCAAAGTGCTGGGATTACAGCATGAGCCACTGTGCCTGGCTGTAATACACTGTTAAAATTGGTGAATAAAAGATCTGTCTTAATGACAAAGGCTTAATTATGCCCTTTCTAGGTCTTATCACATACTTGGGATTCTGAGGATATTTTGAACCTACAAAGAATGTAGCATCCATTCCAAAATGAGTAATAAGAAGAAATAAATGTAGACTTCAAGCATCTATAACTTATTTTTCAACAGATCTCCTTTTGTTTTTGCAAACTTTTGGACTAGTCCCATTGTTATCCGGGCTTGAACTCTTTACTCCTTTCTTTCTTCTCTGGTCTGTGTTGTTTTTAAGCACTCACCAGTGATAGATTTCTAGAAAATAGAATGTACAAAATAAACAAACCACCAGAACCAGCAGCAGCTAAAGAAAAATAAAATACAAATAAGGAAACAATGAAAAGTCAAAGCAAGCACCCAAATTCCAAGCCAAATTCAATCTGCAATAAGAGATACATTTGAACAAAATGTAAAAATCAGTGTATATCCCTCAGACTTTGTCTATCAGGGTGAGAGATTCAGCTCTTCACTTGTTCTAGAAGAGGCACCATGACTTGAGTGACCAGGGAAGGAAGACAAATACTTAATAATTATGTCAGATATTTGATTTCATCTAAGTTACACTGGAAAATCATCTATATGAAGTCCCCCAACATCGTGAGAGACTATGATTCTCACCTATGTGTAATTTGTCTTTTTATCAACAGTTTGGTTGACAGTAGATGTATTGTTATTGATTGTATTCCAAAACTTTATGATCGCTCATGTGTTTTCCATTGTATTAACCCATTTATTCCTAGAGATACAACTTAAGGCTAGGAAAAGCAAATATTAAGTAAACATTGTTTTTTACACAGGAAGAAACAGATTCTTATCTATTACCAGTCTGAGGTTTATATTTAACCAGTTTCATGAGAGGTGTTAACTATTATCTCCCCACCTGCTGCTCTAGTTGATCACATGACCCTACCCTACTATAGTCACAGCTAAATGAATCCACAGGTTGACTAGTTGTCTATGACAGTCAATTGTGACAGACTCTGAGCAGACATTAAAGAAAAGAACAATCACATTTCTTTCTCAGAAATTTGGACTTAAGGTTTTGAGGAACACGGATAATTCAGAATTTAGAGTTAGAACTGATAGGTTAGGTAATATAGAGTGGGCTTGTTGCCATAAAGGAAGGCGATAAAAAATTACATATTGAACATATTCGTAGAGTAAAATAGAAAATAACAAGAAACTATAAAGGCAGTTCTTGAAAGACCTCGGTTTCTCTACTTCTAGTCCCAGGTCACAAAAAGCCAACTATGCTTCATTTTGTGTCTTAGGATTCCTGGGTATTTTAATATTCTCCAATAAACCTCTCTTTTAGCTTTTCTAGTTAGTTTGAGTAGGGTTTTGCTCCTTGCAAACAAAAGAGGCTTCTCAAGAGCAGTGACTTAAATTATTCACTGCCAGTTACAGCATCACTTGCTAAGGGCCCAAAGTGACAAAGACACCAAATATTACTTATTCAAGGAAGCAAGCAATGTTATATAGGCCTATACCTTGATAAATACTGAAGTCAAGTTTTTTGTATAGTTAATGTTGGAGAAGTAGGCACTGTTTTATTTAAAAAAAATATTTAACTAGAGCCAACAATAAAATCAAGCCTAGCTGTTACATAATCCGCAAATGATGTCATACCCTTTCTTGCTCTTTTATTTTCCTCCAATTTTGTCTATAATGAATAATTGGGTCAATTAAGGTGCTGTGAGAATTATTCATCTTTCAATTATATACTCTGTATAATTTATTATGCTTTAGAAAATTGTACATAGTGAGACATACAAAATACGATGGGGATTTTCTAAAATCTGGAAAAGAAAAATTTTCTGCTCTCAAAACAAATACACTATAATGAGACCAGGTAGACAATTTTAGCATAAACATCTAGAAAACATGCCTGTATCACCAATGAGCAAACTGTGGACAAAACCAACAGCACTTCAAATATATAAATAGTGAATTTGTTTACTAATTTAATTTCCTGTCCCTTTCTTGGAATAAATTGGATTAAATCTCTGGATTTTCCCTAAGATTCCTCCACCATGTGTTTAAACGTCTTTTGCTAAAAAATTGCTGGCTATTTTTAAAAGATGTTTATTTATAAAAGTAAGATTGAACATATGCATATTAATAAGTACAAAGCAGAAACATTTGTTCCTGTTTTTTTGAAAAAAAAGAAAAAAGAGAAGACCGTATCTGTGTTTTAGCCCTAAATATACCAACCTGAGTCCTCCTGAGGACTTTATGACAAGAATGACCCTAGTTTGGGTTTTGAAAGTTTAGGTGAGTGCCCCTCTCTGTTTCCTGATGTTTGTGTTGGCTTTGGGTGAGACGAAGCTTTGGGTGAGATATTCTCCTATTTACATCTCTGGTTTTCTCATCTGCAAAATAATAACCTTATTGTCTATCAGTCTTGTGTTCTCTTTTTAGATAGTAACATAATGCTGATTACTTAAAGTACATCTATTTCTTACTTTCTGAAAAAATTAAATGGCTTACAGTTAAAGCAAAGATGTATTGGGAAAAAAATCCCCAAACACAGTAATCTAGAATAAAGGAATCAGTCAAGTAATAAAATAAAATAATTGTTATATTTTAAAATGTTCTTACTGATGAAATCACAAAGTACTTCTTCATAGTCAAGGCGGAGACTGAGCTATAGTGGGCTACATATAGTTCTCATTAATATTAGAAAATTAACCAACTAGTTTATCAGGACATATAATCCACATTTAGCTCCTTCCAGAAGCTCTAGAAATTTTTTCAAGAGGATCTTTATTTGGGGAACATAAATGGGATTATTTTTGCAATTTTAGCCATTTAACAATTTGGCTATATATATATATTCTAACTTGTTATTATATTAATGCTTCCTTATTATAAATGGGTAGAATTAATAAAGTACCAATTTGTGAAGGTGTATCTAAGGAACAGAAGACAGGAAGGAATAACCATTACTTATCAGATATTCAGTAAAATCTCATGGTGATATTATCTGGGTCTCTTCAACATAACAAAGATTAAATCTTGTCATTTCTATGAGTTAAAAGGTAGAAGCCATAAAAGGAAGTGACCTAGGGATTCCTCGATCTCTAATTTGCCCCATATCTCGTTAAGGAATAAAGAGCTTTCTAGGTTTCCCCAACATGGCAGCATTCTCAATTCTGTTCCCATCCCTGAAGGAAGCAATTAAGAAACCCATGGGGCTCCCCAAGCAGGGAATGTGAGCCAAGATCCCCAGCACAAATGGGGAGATCCAGTGGGAATTCACCCACTTCCAAGGGGGTATCCCTTCCCACCTGGGGAATACCTAGGGTGTTACTTTTCTAATTCTAAGCCAGTGGGGTATTTGTGAATATACAGTTACATGGAGTTTTCTTGATTTTGCAATGATGACTAACTGCTTAGGGTTATTTAGGTCTGGTTATGACTTCAGATGACAAAACACCTGACTGTAGAATTGACTATAGTACTTATTCTCTTGTTCTACCATATGTTTCTATAAAATACCAACATCCTAGTTTCTCCTTCTTCAAACTGAGGGAGAAAGAAAGAAAGGGGTGGGGGAGAGAGGGAGTGAGGGAAGGAGAGAGAAGGAGAGAAAGAAAGGAGAAAAAAGAGAGAAGGAGAGAAAGGAGAAAAAAGAGAGAAGAAAAGAAAGAAGGAAATTAAAAAAGAAAGAAGAAAGGAAGGAGAAAGAGACAGAAAGAAGTAGAAAGAGAAGGATAAAAGAAAAGAGAAAAGAAAAGGTATGAAAAAGAAAGAAAAAGAGACAAGGAAGGAAGGAAAGAAGGAAAGAAAAAGAAAAAGTTGAGAGATCAGTGAGTAGGAAGATGGATGAGTAATTTGAATTTACATGTAATTTTTAGATTTTGTCTTCTAGGCCGCTTCTGGCTTGTCAAATTATTATGGATTCTTTTGCCAAATCTACTAAATATGAATGCAAAACAGCATGTTTCTTTAATGTGTATTATTGCTGAGTTGTTTTGTGGCTTCATCATGAAAGTCTCATTTTAAAAACAACATGAAAGCAAGGGTTCTCAGCATAATTGTGAGGTTTCATCTAAAGCCAGAAATGGAAACAAGAACGAAAAACTCACCATGGAAGAAAAATGAAACCATTATATACAATATGACCTAGCTAAAAAATATGGAAATATATTTCATAATTTGTCAGCAGTTTAAGGGACATTTAGCAAGTGTATTTTTCACCCCCAAATTAGCTAACTGTCTTTTCGTTTCAGGTTTCAAAATGAAACACTTTTTCACAGTTCTAGTGTAGAGTTCTTGCAACTGATAAATACTGTGTGTTTTATATTTATTTGGCAGATAAATAGACATATCCCTATGTATTCCGATGAACATAATTATTCTAACTCTAAAAATTCCTAATACTTAACTACAGTATCTTTTAAAAAGTGTTTATTTTTTATTTTGGACTAAAATGTTGCAAAGAAAATACCATTGATATAAATACCATCATAAATAACTAATTGTTGCATATTTGTAAGTTTAAAATTTCTGACATTATTACTTCCTGCTTTACGCACATTGATTTAATTACCAAATAATGAATATGGCATAGTAAGTTCTTGGTATAACAACATTTGACTTTTCTTTTTGGCAGTACTCTGACTCTTTTTCTCCTTCTGTCTCTCTCTCTTTCTGAATCCAAATTGATGTCTCTAACCCTAGTCCAATACCACAGGCCTACATTCTAGTCTTGTACTTTCCACATATGGAACTCTCACCTCCAACTGTGAGAAACCCACTCCTATTACACTCAATATATTTACTTTTTTGCTTAAGTGCAGAATATATATAAGATAGTTTCAAAATTGCTAATTCACGCAACTTAGAAAAACAAACTTGTTAACCAGAGTTCAGTATTTCTTTGCAATTTTAAATGTAGAATGTATGCATAGTGAAATACTTAAAATTTTAGGTGTGTCATTCAAAGGCTTTCAACAAATGCATACCCTTAACCCAAACCTCTCTGAAGATGTGGATAATTTTTTTAATTCTAGAAAATTATCTTACTTACATTTAAAAAACTATCCTCCGTGTTTCCTTAGTGCATAGAATAGCTATAAGGAAAGCATTATTAATTTTCAACTTTACTATAGTGAGATAATCTGCTAAGCAGAGAGTATGTGTATGTGTATGAGTCATATGTTTGTGAATAGAGAAAAAAGCTAGGCTGAAGGAGGAACATAAGAATTAAGTTCTCAATATATATAATTATAAGATTAATTATGAGAGGATCATTATATGGAAAGATTAAACTTATTTTTATAATTATAAGATAATACATTAATAGATAATTTTAAGATTGTTATATGGAAATACTAAACCTGTTTTCTGATGTTTGCATCTGAAAATAGACTAAATAAATCTACCCCTGTTTTATGAATGTGTTTACATTTATATAGGCTATTTTTTTCTCTGAGGCCGTTTAAATATTTCTTCTATACTGTATAATTTTAGGACAATATCACTTCCTTCTAGGAAAATTGATTAACCAGCACTGCTTTTTTTTTTTTCTTTTTTGCCTTCTAGGTATGAATTATTGATTCTCAAAAGGATATTAGTTGTAATTGAGAAGAAGCCATCCTTATTGTCTTATTTTGTTGGGATCATCATCATAAAAAGTAAAGAAACAGAAGAAAAATTTTAAGGGTTAATTTTTTGATATTGCAAATGGCTTATTATTGTGAAATTAGGATAGTCAAAGTTGGCTCCATTGTTACTGAGTCCAACAAAAATGCCATGAGAGATGAAGAGATATTTAAATAAAGAAAATAAAGTAGAAGAGAAAGATTGAATAGCATGAGAGAGGAGGACATAATTTTGAAATGGTGGAGAATATATGTTCATTCATTGTCTACATACACTTTATTGAAACAAATCTAAAAGTATATTGAAGCTGACAAAGACATGAAATGTATACACCTGGATGGTGACGCAGAGCATTCTGAGTAACAGAATGTCTGCTGAGAAGGATAAAGATAATAAAGAAGTATTTGGTGAGAAAGATATGAAACAACTACATCTGAATTATTTTCCATATATCACATCTGAAGAGGAATATTGAAACACACACACACACACAAACACACACACATGCTCAGAAGGAAGTAAAATGACCAGAAAGTATTTCAGGTGGTATTAATTGAAGAGGCCAGGGCTGCTTGTTCCTGGGGAGGCTAGGCTGAAGGAGAAATGTAAGAATAAAGTTCTCATTTATTTATAAGATTAATTATAATTATAAGATTGTTATATGGAAAGATTAAACTTATTTTTATAATTCTAAGGTACTACATTAATAAGTAATTATAAGATTGTTATGTGGAAATATTAAACCTATTTTCTGATGTTTGTGGTAATCAAATAAATATATTGTGTGCATATTTGAGGCAGGTTTTGGTTCAATATAACAGATAATTTTCCAGCATCTCAGCTGTCCATAAGTATGACAAGTTACTTTGTTGACAAATAGTAAATACCCCTTTACTGAAAGCTGAGGAGGAATTAAGGATATGGTAGAGAAGAGTTAGATATCATCTGAGATTCTATATTAATGGAAAAAAATGATTAAAATTTACAAAAGAGTTTCTTAGCTTTGACATAAAAGTTTAATTTATGGAAGGAAGGATACTCATCTATTACCCTCTGTATTCTAAATTTATATAAAAGCAGCACATATAATGGAAGTAAGTAAATGTCAGTAATATCAATACTTTCCAAGACACCTTCCGATCATGATATATGGAGTATGTCCTCAGCATAAACTCCTACATCTTCTACACTTCTGAAGAGAAAAGATATTTAGAACCATTAGGAAGAATGGTAGTTCCTAAAATTTCATCAAAAATCCATACTTAGAGTACAGCTGAGAAAATAGCAAGAGATTTAGAAATAATTGCTGAAATAAAATGAGTTAATCATCTTAGTAAGTTTTAGCGTTTAATGTATTTTGTTGTATTTTTAGATGTTTTAAAATTGATAAACGATGTTTCGTTTTATGTGCTAACACTCTATTAATTATAACATTTGATTACCTTATTCTTCAAACATGCCAGATAAAGTTTACTTAACTCCTCTTTTTTTAATCTGCCAAAAAATTATCAAACAGACTAACATCTGCTTTGCATTATGGAATGACTCACACTCTCTTTCAGCCCTTCCTCTGATGCCAATACATACACACTCAAGCACTCACAGTCATCCTGCCATTGGTATGTTTTACCTGTGCTGCATTTATACATACATAGACACATGTCCGTCTATATATAACTGCTTGTATGATATGTATATGCATCTGTATGTAATACAGAGAAAGACAGAGGCACCAAGAAAAAAAAAACTGTTAGCAGGATCTCCTAAAATAATAAGACCTGACAGTTGCTGAGTACTTACTCAGTACTAAGCAATATGCCAAGCACTTTAAGTGCATTATATCATTAAGTGGTCATAATAATCTTTGAAATCCTATTATTACCTTCATTTAAGATATCTCACAGCTAGTATTTGGTAGGATTGAAATTTACCAACCTAATACAGTCAATCAGTGCGAATGCCGCTATTCTTAACCATTGTACCGCAGGGTCTGTAATGACACACAGAAGCACTATCTTCTTCCTTTCCATACCTAGATATAAATTGCTATCTCCATATCACAATATACCCCTAAACCTACCTCCTCCTATGTCTATCAAGAGCGGTGGTTCTTAAATGAAGACCATTTTGCCCCTGTGGGATACTTGGCAGTGTCTAGAGACATTTTTAGTTGCCATAACTAAAGGGTATTATTAGCAGAGGCCACAGATGCTTCCAACATCCTTGCAATGTACAGAACAACCACCTCCCCAACACACACACAAATAAAATGTACACAGCGAATGTATCTTCCCCAATATATTCATAGTGACAAGGTTGAGAAATCCTGATCCAGAGAGACATATATTTGCTGAGAAATGTAAATATTTATGGACATATACTCACATAATTTTCTCTCTTCAGGGGCCTCTTTTAGGTTATTAGAAGACCACGGCTCTTTCAACTAGGTTGTTTTAGGATTTCCCAGTAGGTTACTCTGACTCATCAAACACATCACTATATTTCTAGTTCAGATAATGGTATTGTCACATTGTTCTTGGTATCTAAATATGTTACGTGTCCACGGTGTCTTGTCATGGCTCAGTACTTTTTAACATATATATACACACACACGTGCACACTCATGCACACACAGTTTCTTTATATATATAAAGCTTTGTCTATAATATATATCTATAATATATAAAAATTATATATTTCTATATAAATAATATATTATATATTATATTATGTAAATATAAATAATATAATATATATTATATAAATATATAAATAATATATTATATATTATATAAATATATAAATAATATATTATATATTATATAAATATACAAATAATATATTATATATTGTATTATATAAATATATGAATAATCATCATATATTATATTATATAAATATATCAATAATACATCATATATTATATTATATAAATATATAAATAATACATCATATATTATATTATATAAATATATAAACAATATATCTATATAATATAATATATAAATAATATATCATATATTATATTATATAAATATATAAATAATATATCATATATTATATAAATATATAAATAATATATCATATATTCTATTATATAATATATAAATAATATATTCTATTATATAATATATAAATGATACATTATATAATATATAAATAATATATTATATAATATATAAATAATATATTGTATAATATATAAATAATATATTATATTGTATTATACATAAATAATATATTATATTGTATATAAATAATATATTATATTGTATTATATATAAATAATATATTATATTATATTATATATAAATATTATATTATATTATATTATATATAAATAATATATATTATTTATGTATAAATAGTATATTTATATATAATATAATATATAATATATAAATACTATATTATATATTATAGAAATATATAAATGATATATTATATATATTATAGAAATATATATAATATATTATATAAATATATAAATAATATATAATATATTATTAATATGAATATATATTAATGTATTATATATTATTTAGATATATGAATAATATATTACATATTATATCATATAATATATGAATAATATATTACATATTATATCATATTAATATATGAATAATATATTACATATTATATCATATTAATATATGAATAATATATTACATATATCATATAAATATATGAATAATATATTATATATATTATATAAATATAAATAATATATTATATGTCATATTATATAAATATATAAATGATATATATTATATAAATATGTAATATATTACATATTATATTACATAAATATGTAATATATTACATATTATATTACATAAATATGTAATATATTACATATTATATTACATAAATATGTAATATATTACATATTATATTACATAAATATGTAATATATTACATATTATATTACATAAATATGTAATATATTACATATTATATTATATTATATATTACATATTATATTACATAAATATGTAATATATTACATATTATATTATATTATATATTACATATTATATTATAAAATATATAAATAATATATATTATATTATATAAATAGATAAATAATATATTACATATTATATTATATAATATATAATATGTAATATATTATATAAATATTTAAATATATAAATAATATATTAGATATTATATGATATAAATATATAAATAATATATTAGATATGATTATATATTATATAAATATATATTATATGTTATATAAATATATATTATATATTATATAAATATATTAATTATATATTATATATTATTATGTATTATATAAATATATAAATATATTTGTTATGTGGAAATACTAAACCTGTTTTCTGATTTTTGCATCTGAAAATAGACTAAATAAATCTACCCCCATTTTATGAATGTATTTACATTTATATAGGCTTTTATTTCTCTGAGGCCGTTTAAATGTTTCTTCCATAATATATATAATATATTATATTTATGTATTATAATATATATAATATATTATATTTATGTATTATAATATATATAATATATTATATTTATGTATTATAATATATATAATATATTATATTTATGTATTATAATATATATAATATATTATATTTATGTATTATAATATATATAATATATTATATTTATGTATTATAATATATAATTATAATATTTATATATAATCATATATGATATATTTATATATTATGTTAAAATATATTATATATATTACTCCTATAATGTATTATATATTATATACTATATATGATATATACTATAATATATTATATATTACTATATTTTAATATATAATATTGTAATATAATATAATATAGAAATATATATTATATGAAATATACAAGATATATAAGATATATAATTTCATATATTTATATATAAATATTTTATATCTTATATATCTTATATATTTATATATTTTTTATTTCTTACATGTTTATATATAAATATTTTATATCTTATATAAAATATAAGATATTTAATATAAGATATTTAATATAAAATATAAGATATTTGTTAGTTTGTCGTCCAAAAAGCAGCGTAGTTATCTGTCTTTTCATAGTTCTCTTTCCAATGTTTAGATAATATTGGAAAAACTGGTGGTGGTTTATGTATTATAAACATTTGTTGAATTAATGAATGCATGAATGAATAACGGTATTTACGCCATAGAATTTTGAATTATAAGCAGGAATAAGCCAGGTAAAGGGTGAAACAAAATAGTCCCAAGTAGCAGAAACAGCATGGGCAAGATCCATTTGTTAGTAGAATTGCTTAGAGATGGACAAGGGGATGAAGGGAGACCATCAGGAGATCATTGCATTAATCTATGCAAGGGGTGATTATCACCTGTGTTAGGTTGGTGGTAAGGTTAGTGAAAAAATGTGGAGAGATTCATAAACTATATCGAAAGTAGCAACAACAGTTTTCAGTGATGCATTGGATGAGGGCAATGAAGGAGGAAATGGAAGTGTTGGGTTGACTTCCAAGGTCCTGGCCCTAACTGATAACAACATATTATAATCACCTGGGAGATTTTACAAGGACCCCATGCCTGGGCCCCACTTCCAGTGATTCGATTCTAATTTGATAGGTTTGGATGGGGCTTAGGCCTTAATGGGGTTTTAAAACTCTCAGATGGTTCTAATATGTAGCAGTCAAGATTGAGAATGACTGGTTTAGGTGGCTGTAGCACTCACTGAAATGTGGAAAAGAAACAGGCTTTGGGAGAAATATAAACATCATTTGGTCACACTGAGTTGTATGTATTCATGAGATATATAACTCATGATATCAGGTAGGCAGTTGGATACATAGTCTGAGCTGAGAAGAGTGGTCTTGGATGATGATGTGACTTTAGGATGATATTTTGTGTGTATGTTTTTAATTGACATATCATAGTTGTACACATTTTGGGGGTGCATATAATATTCTGATACATGTATACATGTGTAATTATCAAGTGAGGGTAACTGGGATATTAATCACCTAAAACATTTGTGTGTGTGTGTTAGGAACATTACAGCTCTCTTCTTGCTATTTTGCCAATGTATCACTGTTGAAGATAATTTCCATACTGTGTTATTTAATACTAGAATTATTCCTTCTATCTAACTGCATTTCTGTACCCACTAACCACTTCTCTTCATCCCTGCCTCCGCCTTTCATCCGCACACTCTGGTAACTACAATTCTACTCTTTACCTCTATGGGATCCACTTCTTTAGCTCTCACATTTGAGTGAGAACATGCCATGTTTGTCTTTCTGGGCCTGGCTTATTTCGCTTAACATAATGATCTCCAGTTGCATGCGTGTTTCTGTAAGTGACAGGATTTCATATTTTTTATGGCTGGGTAATATTTTATTGTGCATATATACTATATTTGCTTTATCCATTTATCTGTTGATAGACACTTAGTTTGATTCCATATCCTGGCTATTGCGGATAGTGCTGCAATAAATATGGGAGTCCAGATCTCTCTTCTATATGCTGATTTCCTTCTTTTTTGGATATATAACCAGTAGTGGGATTGCTGGATCATGTTGTAGTTTTATTTTTAGTTGTAGCTTTTTGATAAACCTCCATACTGTTTTCTGTAATGCCTATACTACTTTACCTTCCCACCAGCAGCGTACAAGCATTCCTCCTTTTTTCGCATCCTCATTAGCATTTGTTATTTTTTGTCTTTTTGATAATAGCCATTCTAACTGGGGTGAGATGACATCTCTGGGATGGCATTTCAAGCATGGGAATTTCCCCAGCTTTGGCTAGAAAGAGGGTCATCTTATTTATAATAAACCACTGGCTCATGTTTCTTTATGAATAATACAGAAGTTTCACCACCCCATAAATTTCATCTAATTATTTCTAGTAGTTCCTAGGGATAGCCCATGCAAATTCATAAACTGTTGTCTCATTTTCTTCTACTCTGTTGCTGAGCTCTGTCCCCTCACAGGCACTTGAAAATGATACTCCACTGCTACAACTGGTGGGACTCAACATGTCCAGAGATTGGTTGTCTCTGGATGCTGGCAAGGAGATAGAGCTACACTTCATTAGCTGGAGTTCTCACCACACTGGAGACACATAGGGATCCCTAAGAACCTCTTCCCCACTCTAGGTAATAGCTTGAATAAGCAGCCATGCCACCAGGTCCCACACTAGTGCCTCTGTCCTTCACCTGCACCCCTTCTCAGTGCAGTTCAGACAGGCACCCAAAGTACTTCTTGGGAGACAGGAGCCATAAATGAATGAGATAGCTTGCTGTTATCTTCACCCTAATTCCCCAATCCTCCAAGCACTTTTGACCTTCCTCTGAGCCAAAACCAATCATGAAGCCCCTAGTCATCAAATGTGCTCAAGGCCTGAATGAATCTCAGGAGTGCCTTGTGTGATTTTTGATAGTGCTATAGTCTGTCTACTCTCTTGAGAATGTGGGAGGAGGAGACCTAAAGTTTGATTAAATGAAATCAGAGGTAACCTGGCTCTATATACAAATTTATATGTTCTCTAGAAGAGATATTCACATCAAATATGGCAAGCAAGTTATTTGATATACCAGAGAGATATTGCCAATCAGTAATGGAAATTACATATTAATTAAAAAAGTATATATCCTTTGGAAAACATTTTCAAAAGCTAAGAATTGTTTCAAATTGTGGTTGTTAGGGTACATTCAATGCTTCAGATATTAAGAACATTGAAATAGTTGACAGAAGTTGTTGCAGCCTTAAGAGCACTCAGAGTTGTAAAATAAAGTGAAAACCAGTCCACTTTAATTGGTCACTTCATCTGTATCAATAAAGTATGAAGCAAAAATCCCTCTGACCAGTTTAAATATGAAACTTGATCTGGTCATTTGACTCTATTATCTGAGATGGTAAAAAAGCCCATTCAGTTTTACTCTGAACTACCATTTCTGAAATGGCCTCACAAGGACAGAATAATATGACATTTCTAAAGCCAATCTAAATCATTTCATGAGGCATGAAGGAGCTACCACAAAGTCTAAGAATCTCTTTGGAAAAGCCAGCATTCACCTATGGAGGAAACGAAGAAGCATAAATTAAAAAGTGGTCATTCAAAGTTCCATATGCCTGTCATGGTGGACTTTCTAATCTGTGTTTAGCACCTTTCAGTGATGAAAGTTTATGTTTATCTTCATTTTACATGAAATAATCTTTGAGTGTTTTCTTTGGTAAGAATACATTTAAAAACACTTTATTGAAGTATGAATGACATGTGAAAGCTGTACATATTTAATATATACAACTCGAGAAGTATGGTCATAAATATATAGCCATGAAACCACCACTACATCAAGGACATAAACACACGCATCACCTCCCAAAGTTTCCTCCTGCCCCTTTAATATTATTTTTTGGAGGGGGCAGGTGGAGGAAGAACACGTTACATGAGATCCATTCTCTTGGCAAATTTTAAACATACAATACGGTATTGTTAGCTATAGGCTCTATGGTGTATAAGTGATCTCCAGAACTTACTTGTCTTGCATCACTGAAACTTTCTACCCTTTGACTATCACCTCCCCACTTCTCCCGCCTCTCATCCCCTGGAAAACATTATTCTACTCTCTGCGTTTATGAGTTTGATTATTTTAGATCTCACATGTAAGTGAGTTCATTCATTATTTGTCTTTCTGTGTCTGGCTTATTTAACTTGGGGCAAGAAGAAATTTTGGATCTCAGCCCCTAGTAGGTTGAAGAGCTTCCTTCTCTTCATTTCAAATAGAAATGGAAAAGGGTCACTGAAGACATTTTGCTCAGGTTTCTGTTTTTAAAAAGCACTGCTAGGGCTCTTTCAAAACAGCTGAGAAACAGCTATAAAAATTTGAACCAGAAAAGCTGTAGTCTACAAACTCAGCACTAAGCGGGAGTTAATTGATAATAATGCCAATAGGAATCACTGTAGACATCTGAACACCGAAGCTTCTCCAGGAAGATCTGGTGGGACAATGCCAGCTGTTTCTGGCTGTTGAAATGTTTTCCCTGAGCCTCAGATGTTTTATTAAGAGGATAGTAAGTGTAGCGACTTCAGGGAGAAGTCTTATTTTGTTCATGGCCAGGAAGGCACTAATCATCTTTCTACAAATAAAGGGGACTACAGAATCCACTATTTTTCTATCTCATGGAAAATCAGACTTTAGTGTTTGTATTAGAAAGTAACTTCTTTGAAGTTTCATCTTATCAGTGACGTGGTGGCATCAGCCAATATAAGATATTTAACGAAAGTCTATAATATCTGCTCTAGGAAACTTGAGACAAAGTTACGTTGTCTTCTTTACTCATTGGTCATTAATAAAAGAAATCTAGGACAAGGATTGCTTAGGATAATTTCTAGGGGAGTCCTCAATCCTATCAGATGCTAGGTGACCGCCTATTTAGTAATCTGAAAATAAATTTATAAATGATATAACCTACTAGCACATGTAATTTTTAAAACACTAATATATTTCTCCAATTCTTAAAGAAGAAATAATTAAGTCACGTGTGTTTTAAAGCAAATATGACACAAAATGTGGTAGTCAGATGCTTTCAAAACAAAAAATGTGGCAGTCAGATGCTTTCCCATAGAGAAACACTGTGGATATGACTGAAGACTGATATGAGTACAGTACATTTATGACTCAAATGTCATAACAGGCATTGGCATCAATGATGTGCTTTTCTTGGAAATCTTTTCTTTTAGTCTTCGTAAAGTACTGATAAAAACGAAGTAAAATCTTCCATCAATTTACATGGTATTTACATTTCTGAAAAAAATCACTGTACACTAAGAGTTCAAAAATGCCTTGTATTTATAAGTGAAATGGATTTGGTTCTAAGCTCAGAAAATTAACAAGTATTAAACTCATGTGATGTCCAGTGGGAAAATAAAAATCCGTACAGAATACAGTGCTGTTTCATACATTACAGAAAGCCTAGCATCCCTGACTCCTGCCCACTAAATAAGTGCTGGTAGATCTCCCAATACTGGAGATACACAAAAATCATAGTGATAATAACCCTCTCCTCCTATTGAGAGCCACTGTTTAGACAGTTTGATAGAAGAACTTGAAAGTGTCCTCATGTGTTTCTTTTGCACTAGAAAAAAACAGTTTTGATGAGTCTGTGATGGTGGACAACAAAGGCCGTCGCTGCTTGATTAAGTTATGATACACATCCTTTGTTGGACAGCCCCAAAACTATGATGCCCGTCATCATATATTAAACTTGAAAAGGATCTTAGAGCTTAACTTAATGCAAGCTGCTTAATAAAAGATGAGGAAATTGAGACGCAAAGGATGTAGAACAGCTAGTGAGCATCTATAATGCAGCTTTATATTATTTGCTTCTCACAAAAACTAGGTGATTAAAATATTATTTCTCTATTGTGTGGAAGAGAAAAGTGAGGCTTAACTTGTAGGCAGCTTCCAGGTTTGTGTTAGGCCATAGTCCATGCCTACTGTGCTACGTCTTCCTTGGGCAAAATTTCTAAGCTGGCTAATGAGCCAAGACTTACAATTTTTGTAGCTTTCACATCTTTAGATGTCAGGAGCTATTATGCGGCTTATTTCTCCCCTCTGAAATGTCCCCTTTATCCAATTTTCCTTCTGTTTTTCTGCTTCAGGGGTTGGCTAACTACCACACATGGGCCAAACTCTGCCTGCTGAGTGTTTTTCTAAATAAAGTTTTAATGGAACATACTACTTATGGCTGCTTTCATGCTACAGAGCAGAGTTGAGTAGTTGCAATAGACGCCATCCAGCCCACAAAGCCTAAAATATTTGCTATTTAACCCTTTACAGGAAAAGTTTGCTGATCCCTGTTCTACATTAAAAAAATTATTCCCTTCTTTTGCCGCCAATAGAGATCATTTCCTTGTTACTTGCCTCTGCTAATGCACTGACTTAATTATTTACTGTGCTACTCTTTTTAGAATTACGTCTGTAATTTCTTAGGGTATACTAGAAATAGTTAATTAATCCAAGAAATGACTCAAAAACTGAATTTTTTTTTAGAATAGAAGTGAGGAGAAAAATGAATTTGGGATAGATAAACCTGTGGTTGCTGACCAAATAGCTCTCCATATAGCTGTCATCTGTGGATACTATGAGCCTTCCAAGCCTCTTATTCTCAAAATTAAAATTAAAAAGAGATGTACAGATTTTCCAGGATCACTTCCAGTTCATTTTAAGTAAATAGACTTATGCAACATTGTCAGTTAGACACTAACAGCAAGTGTTGTTTTCCTGGTAGTACAGCTATCTGTCTAGATTGAAAACAGAGACACTTAGACAAATAAATGAGAAAGTACAGAAGTTGTACTTTAAATGCTAATTCACATAATATTTTTTACCTACTTCTGAGGAAAATGACATTTTCCCATGAATTAAATATATATAGTAGGATGCATTTTGGAAAAATGTCTCTTAGAAAAGAAAACCTTTAATTTAGTTTGTAGGTAGATGTGCCAGTTATCCATTTATGGCCTCTCAGCTCTAAATTCACCCTTTTTTTCCTGCTCTGTGATAACGACATGGGCCTTGTTTAACATTGTCAGCAGAGGATATTGAAGGGACACCAGAGGATAGTTTTTGTTTCGTTTCAGGTTTGAGTGTGCTCCTCTAGTTGCAAATGTGCTGCTCTAGCTGAGCTCCTGCAGAAGGCATGGCTTTTTTTCAGCAATATTCTGACATCTAGCAGCAAGTTACATCTCCCCAGCTTCCCTCAGCACAATCCCCACCTTGGGCTGTTTCCAGCAACAAGTTCAATGGTATTCCTGAGAGGAGCTAACAAGTTGCATGGTTTTCCAGTTAAGTATCAATATATCCTTTGGACTTCCACTGCTTCCAGGTGGCTTTCCCATGAGTCCAGCTGCTGCCCCAGCTGGCTTTCCAGCAGGTCAACAGCAACCTATTCAAGCAGCTTCCTGTGAAATTCATCAGTGTCCCAAAAAACAGTTCTCAATTGGCCTAACTGACAGCTGGGGACTCTCTGTGATTTGGAACAACCCAGTTAAATTTCCCATTATCTAGTTTGCTTCAACTATACCCTCCTCAATGGGATCTGAATTCCAGCTTTGGGAAGGATTCTCTTCCTCCAAGCTGTTCCTTTCTTGAGTACTCTCCCCCAGCAGCCCTTATCCCTCAGAGCTTTCTTCGTCCCACCCACTTTTACATAATTCCCCGTGACTCCTATCCCTTGTTACTATTTCTTTATATTAAACTTTCCCTGTTCAAATTATTGTGAAGTTTCTACCTTCTGACTGGAATGTAACTAATACAGCAGAGAAGTAAGAACAAACCATGTTTGTTCTTAAAACATTTTATCTGGTAGGAAAATTAATCTTTTCCAAGTATAAAGAGCCCATGGATTGAACAGACTTTTGGATAAGGCTTAAAATGAAACTGCTGAATCATTTGCTACTTCTGCACACATTCCCTTTGGTGTGTGAGACCACCTCTCGGAATTATTGTTAACTATAACAGTGGGGCAGAGAAAGAACTCATAGTTCAGTTCTCTCAGTCTCCTAGAGAAAGCAAGAGCATGAAAGGAAAACATCCAAGTTTGGTCTCCTATGTTGAATATCTTGTCTGAGTTCCACTTATATCTCAGTTCCAAACTTGGATGTTTTCCTAAAAATGTTGATTCTCAGATCCCATTCTAGACTAACTTTTAATCAAGAGAACATTCCATGGTTACTACTCATGGAAAAGATGGTGCACCCTGCTTCCTTACATGGATGTCTTGCTTTCTCTCTGTCACCTGTAAGCCCCAGGCACACTGAGTCCATAAATGCCTTCTTGGCAGAGGTTCTCAGCATCATAGTTCCATGGAAATAGCCATGCCTATGTGAGAGAAGAGCATCAGTGGTATGAAATGTGAGTAAGCAAGTGGATTCCCTGTTGAGTGTATCTTCTGTGCCTTTCAATTGTGTGTTTTGCATAAAAACTCAAAGAAAAGTTTAATTCACAATAACCATTCCTATAATTAAAATTTCCAAAGGAATAAAAGCAAGGATATTTGTATAATATAAAGATAAGTTTGTGGCTATTTTAATACAAAATAAACCTGAGGGAATTTTTATGAATATCCATCTTGGATTCATTCATCCAATAAACGTTGGATCCATTATTTCCAATACATTCTTCCATTTATCTATTCAACTGTCCTCAGAAATATTTTATGTTTATTCTGTAGCTTGTTACTTTAGACTTTTTAAAGCTATGACTGTGTAACAAATTATCCCATAACTTAGTAGTTTAAAACAATATATATTTATTTTCATTACTGATTGTCTGTAATCAGTTGCAGCTTAGCTGGGCATCTCTGGTTCAGAGTATCTTATAAGGCTGCTACCAAATGTCCTTTGAGGCTGAAGTCATCTCAGGGCTCTCCTGAATTAGAATCAGCTTTCAAGTTTCTTCATAGCTCACATGCTGCTGGCTGGAGATACATCAGTTTCTTGCCGCATGGGTCTCTCTATAAGGCAGCTTACAATCTAGCAGGTGACTTTTTTCAAAGTGAGTGAGAAACAGGGGAACAAGAGAAGAAGAGAAAGAAAAAGCCAGAGTTGTTTGTAACCTATTATTAGAAACAAACCCCTGTCACTTTTATGGTATTCTATTTGTTAGAAGTGAGTCACTGGGTCCAGCCCACACTCAAGGAAAGGGGGTTGCACAAAGGCATGAATACTAGGAGAGGGGTATTAGAGAGGCCAGTTAGAGGCTTCCTACCACAGTGTTCCTAGGATATACAATATGGTTCCCTGCTTTTGAGGTGTTTGCTATAGAGTTCAGTAGGAAATATATGTATTTATAAATAGTAACTTATAAGGTAGTACATGAATACACAGTCAGTGTTTGCAAAGGCATTCACAGGAGGAAGAAGTCTGGGTTGAGATAGTTAGGGAAATTATGGTATAATGAGTTGAAATAGTTTGATCTGGATGCATGGATAGATTTTGGATATGTACACAGAAAAAGAGTGGGGATTCAAGATTTGAGAATATGCAGTTTCAAAACGTGAGAGAATCTTTAGAGACTTAAAATGACTTAAGGGGTTAAAAGTTATATGTATTTACCAATGGTACTTTCTTCAGGATAAAGTTCAAACTCTTTACCATGTTACAGCTAACGTTCATGTTACATCTAACTCTCTTTTAGATAGTCTCCCTCTATGGGAGGATCTAATCATGCAGTGTTCCAAATGAACCTGCTTTTCTCATCTACATGCCTTGGTAGAAATTGCTCTCTTTGAACATCTTATTCGTTATGATTTGCTAAATCTGTTTGTCCTCCATATCAGCAAGCACTGCTTTCTATAATGGTACCATTGTTTAAACATTACATGGGGCTAGGCGCGGTGGCTCACACCTGTAATCCCAGTACTTTGGGAGGTCAAAGTTGGTGGATCACCTGAGGTCAGGAATTCAAGACCGGGCTGGCCAACATGGTGAAACCCATCTCTAGAAAAATACAAAAATTGGCCGGGCATGATTGCAGGTGCCTGTAATCCCAGCTACTTGAGAGGCTGAGGCACGAGAATCGCTTAAACCCAGGAGGCGTAGGTTGCAGTGAGCCAAGATCTTGCCATTGCACTCCAGCCTGAGTTACAAAGTGAGACTCTGTCTCAAAACAAAACAATACAAAACAAACAAACAAACACATTAAATGGGAGGCCATTAGACTGAGGTTTCTATGTAAGCAAAATGAAACTTAAGCTCAGCCCATCACCAGTGGCCAATTGGACATTAATTATCTTTCTTGTACTTCCCACCAGGAGAGTCCAAATAAGACAACTGCTCAAACTTTCACCAATCAAATGATTTGTTGGCTCTGCTTCTGCATTCACCCTGTAAAAACTTTCCCTTCAACCACCGCGGGGGGAGCCCCAGACCACTTCCTGTTTGGAGCTGCCTAATTAATCAATTGCTGTTTGCTCAAATAAATTCTTTAAAATTTTAAAGTGCCAAAGCTTATCTTTTAACACTACTGAAGAAGCAGTAAGGAGCCATGTCCCACCTCATGCAGCAAGACCTCTGTCCTGCCTGTGTTGGAGGCTTCTCCTGAGGGCTTGTCTTGTCTGCTTGTATTGGTTTCCCACCCCCTACCCGCGCTTTCCCTTTATTAGGTAAAGAGCTCCTCCAGGACAAGAGCTGTGCTTTGATTTTAGTCTCTCTGTGACTGACCCAGGGCCCAGTAGTTTAATAGGTGTTCTTTCTGTTTACTGAGGGAATATAATCCAATCAATGGGAGTGGGGGTTGAGCAGTGGCGTAAACCAAGCAGCTAAGCAGAGCGACTGAGCTGAGGAGAAACCATAGGGTTGAAAATGACTGACAAAAACAAACAATTGGGAAAGGATTCCCTATTTAATAAACGGTGCTGGGAAAACTGGCTAGCCATATGCAGAAAACTGAAACTGGACCCCTTCCTTACACCTTACACAAAAATTAACTCAAGATTGATTAAAGACTTAAACATAAAACCTAAAACCATAAAAACCCTAGAAGAGGGAGGCCTAGGTGGGCAGATAGCGAGTTGAGGAGTTCGACACCAGCCTGACCAACATGGTGAAACCCTGTCTCTACTAAAAATACAAAAATTAGCTGGCCGTGGTGGCACACACCTGTAATCCCAGCTACTCAGGAGGCTGAGGCAGGAGAATCACTTGAACCCAGGAAGCGGAGGTTGCAGTAAGCCGAGACTGTGCCACTGCACTCCAGCCTGGGCGACAGAGTGAGACTCCATCTCAAAAAAAAAAAAAAAAAAAAAAACCCTAAAAGAAACCTAGGCAATACCATTGAGGACACAGGCATAGGCAAAGACTTCATGACTAAAACACCAAAAGCAATTGCAACAAAAGCCAAAATTGACAAATATGATCTAATTAAACTAAAGAGCTTCTGCACAGCAAAAGAAAACTATCATCAGAGTGAACAGGCAACCTACAGAATGGGAGAAAATTTTTGCAATCTATTCATCTGACAAAGGTCTAATATCCAGAATCCACAAGCAACTTAAACAAATTTACAAGAAAAAACACAAAAAAAAACATCAAAAAGTGGGTGAATGATATGAACAGACATTTCTCAAAAGAAGACATTTATGTGGCCGAGAAACATGAAAAAAAGCTTATCATCAATGGTCATTAGAGAAATGCAAATCAAAATCACAATGAGATACCATCTCACGCCAGTTAGAATGGTGATCCTTAAAAAGTCTGGAAATAACAGATGCTGGAGAGGATGTGGAGAAATAGGAATGCTTTTACACTATTGGTGAGAGTGTAACTTAGTTCAACCATTGTGGAAGACAGTGTGGCAATTCTTCAAGGATCTAGAACCAGAAATACCATTTGATCCAGCAATCCCATTACTGGGTATATACCCAAAGGATTATAAATCATTCTACTATAAAAACACATGCATACATATGTTTATTGCAGCACTATTCACAATAGCAAAGACTTAGAACCAACCCAAATGCCCGTCAATGATAGACTGGATAAAGAAAATGTGGCACATATACACCATGGTATACTATGCAGCTATGAAGAAGAATGAGTTCATGTCCTTTGCAAGGACATGGATGAAGCTGGAAACCATCATTCTCAGCAAACTAATACAGGAACAGAAAACCAAACACCACGTGTTCTCACTCATAAGTGGGAGTTGAACAATGAGAACATGTGGACACAGGGAGGGGAACATCACACACCATGGCCTATTGGGGGGAGGGGGGCTAGGGGAGGAAGAGCATTAGGACAAATACCTAATGCATGCGGGGCTTAAAACCTAGATGATGGGTTGCTGGGTGCAGCAAACCACCATGGCACATGTATACCTATGTAACAAACCTGCATGTTCTGCACATGTATCCCAGAACTTAAAGTATAATTAAAAAAAAAAAAGGAAAATGACTATTGACAGAAATGGCAAAGTCAAATAAGAAAGCAGCTCTCTCACCCTTCCTTCCATCGCTCCCACAACTTTTCTTTGGTGATAATTTAGATGTGTCCCTATCTGAGGCAAATAGTTTGTTTATCTTGTTACTTTACAGGGGTATATAGAGGTATTGAGAGATGGTATGCTTTCATGGAGTATTTCCTAAAATATATGTTGTTGCTACAAACAGATACTTACTAAACAAGCAAACACAATGTACTAGATGAAATGATACTGAGTTAAACGTTTTTGAGATTGTTTTTAATTTCAGGATTTCACAGAGTCTTTAATGTGAGCACTGTTTATCTCAAGAAGCACATGTAATATGGAAGATTATGCAAATATATTTGACTAAGAAACTCTTTTTCCAAAAAATCATCTATTGGACCCCATGGATAATTATTTGAAAAATGCTTGTTTAGTGTATTTTGGCTCAGTTACATATTCCTGTAAGTTCTGCTTGCTTCTAGTATGACATTTAACACCTACCTGGATTTTATTTCACTTCCAGCCTGTAAATAAAAATAATAAAACCTGACCCCTACCTACCTCTGAGAGGGTATTGTAGGATTAAATAAGATAAACAAAGCAAAACATAAAAAGCAGATATTGTCTTTGCTCCCTATTGGAGCTTCAGTAGCAACATACCACAGAGCAACCTTTCCTAGACACATTGTAAATCACTCAAAAAACATAAAAATCAAATAGAATTTAAAAATCTACTCAAACTACTGAAGTGTATTTAGAATGAGCTTCAGAGAGATAGGACACCGAGGTACACAATTGCATGTGAAAGGGAAGAACTGAAAGGAGAAAAGACCACCACTGAGTGTCACTTTTTGGGCCAGCTCTTTCTGCCTCTCTGTATGCTTTCAATTTTAGTTCCTTTCAAAGATTGCCTGAGGACTGAGGAGCGGGGTCACCTTGAGTAACTATTCTACTGAATGGGGAGTGCTCCTCTCCCCAGTGCCCATTCAAATCCTGCTGAGGCACTTTCTCTAAAGAGACTGCCTTTTATTTTATTTTATTATAACCCTGTCTATTCACTAATCAACTGACTGAAGTGTCAGTTGTCTTGAATAGGAGTCAACCAATACTAAATCTCAACAGGAACTAAAAGCTGAATTTAAAGATCAGCTTAGAGGTGAAAGTATAATTCTTATTTGCACTGTTTTTGGAGGTGGGGAACATGTTTCTAATTCCATTCCCCACAGGAAGATTTTGAAGCAATTTCATGAACTTGCTTCAATCACACATTGAGGGCATTTTTTCATCTTTTAGAAATAAGTCCAATTGTACCTCTGCTGGTGACTGGGGTCTTTATCTCTGTACCTTTAAAGATGAAGCTAATAATGCCCACTTTGAAATGTTGTTGTGAGCACAAAATGAGATAATATAGATTAAACCAAGGGCACTCGGCAGGCATTCAATAAACGGTAGTCTTAGGGTT
Organism: Homo sapiens; assembly: GCF_000001405.40. NCBI lineage: Eukaryota > Metazoa > Chordata > Mammalia > Primates > Hominidae > Homo > Homo sapiens. The sequence goes on along the minus strand of NC_000007.14, from coordinate 20,264,270 downwards.
TTTTTTAGAGTCAACAGAGTTTATCAGAGAACACACTTCAGGCCTAACTCTTGGGGTAGCTCTGAAAGTAAATTGCTCTTTGACAACAGAAAAGTGGAATCCTGATCCTTGCAGGGTTTTCCTGGTAATTTAATGTACTTCTTTCTTGACTCGTGCATTTTCTTTTTCCATAAAGAGTTAAGACTTTCATCTCATAGATTTCCTATTCAAGTATGAGCTAAATTTTTGTTTTTATCTATGGTTTGTAGTACAACTCTTCTATGTGTATTTTTATTAATGTATATTTATTATATGTTAATTGTTTGTTATGGTAATGACCAATTAAGGTATTACAAAGCAAAGATCTTTTAATAGATAAGGCCATGTGCCTTAGGTGGGATGAAGGTTCTTCCCTAAGTCTCCATAATGCTGCCAATCATTTGCTAAGTGGGAGAGTCTCAAGAGGCTGGAGTCTGATTTTTTTGTCTTTGTCCTGAGGGTCAAGTATGTCCAGCAATTATACTTATGTGGTGGAAAATGTATGCCACAGGCTGGGCACGGTGGCTCATGTCTGTAATCCCAGCACTTTGGGAGGCTGAGGTGGGCGGATCACCTGAGGTCAGGAGTTTGAGACCAGCCAGCTCAAAATGAAGAAACCCCATCTCTACTAAAAAACAACAACAAGAACAACAAAGAAAATCAGCTGGGCATGGTGGTACATCTGTAATCTCAGCTACTCAGGAGGCTGAGGAAGGAGAATTGCTTGAACCTGGGAGGCGGAAGTTGCGGTAAGCCAACATCGAGCCCCTGCACTCCAACCTGGGTGACAGAGTGAGGCTCCATCCCAAAAAAAAAAAAAAAAAAAAAGAAAAAAGAAAATATAGGAAATATATGTCACAGAGAAATAAATGGAAAACTATTAGGAATTACAGAGACACTAATTTTGCTGCCAGGGAAAACTGAGGTACTAATTCTGAGAAAATAAATCAATATAGCTTACCTGCAGTCATCCTCAGTTTCTAGTTCTCCAAACCACTAGGTCAATAGCATGCATTGCTTCATGGAGAAAGCATGACACTCTTACACACAGGGTACCATGGGCCTGAATTTGCAACAGGAATTTTCTGCATAGTCCAAAATCAAGCACTTTTGAACACTGAAATTGCCTGGCTTAGTTGAGAAGAGGATGATTTTCTCACAACTCCCAAAACAAACATTCAGCTTGAGGAGGATCAGGCAATTTACATGGCAGAACCAATGAAAAGGGAGAAAAATATGCAATGCAAGGAAATTTCTTGGCCCATAGAAGGAGGAAAGCCCGGCTGGTCAGAGAGAGATGGAGCCTGGAAAACAGATAAATAAATGTCTCTAGGGTTTTGATTCCCCTCTTATGGCTGAATCCGAAATAATGAATAAAGAATATTCAGGTAGGTTTGGTAATTTTAAGATCTTTGGGGCTGATGTCTTGCTTTCCTGGGCATAAATGGGAATATGGAAAGTTTCATGGGGAAATCCCATGCCTCTGAAATGCCAGCAGCATTTATCAAGCAATAGTTATCCAAGGGGGTGGGCCTGGGTGAAGTCTCAGTTTAGTGTGGTGTGGAGAAAGCAAATAAGAGAGCATACATCCCCAAGGCCATTCATAAGTGCTACGTGCCCTTGTGATCAATAGAAGGACTAGTGTAGCCAGATAGACGGTAGGATGTGAGATGCTTGTGACTGGAGGCTAAGGTAAAGTTCATGGACATCAGCAATGGTAACAGGATGCACTCCAAAGACCAAGCAGGGCAATCTCAACTCAGAGATGGATCTTCAGCAGCCATGTGGTTACACCACTGCAGAAGTAATCAGGACAGAGGCCATTACCCAGGGACCAAGCAGGATGTGGTATATCACCTGGAGACTTGCATGTTCCACCTCCATGTCAGAGAACATGTCAGCTTCATTCTACACCCAGGTACTAAATTTGGAAGAATGGGAAGGATTTGAATGAGAGACTCATAAATACAAAATGAAAAATCTATATTCTATTTTTTGTGGGAAGGGGAGTTTCTAGAGTAGATAGAACAAGATATTAGCTGTAAAGCCAAATTGCATTTCTGATACTTGAGTGTATGCTTCTTAAAATCATACCTGCCATGTAGGAAAGAGATCTGTGAATTTGGTTCAGCCCTTTTTAGAACAAAATTCACATGTCTTGGGACATGAATCCCAAAATATGGAAACATCACCATGCTTCTGCTATTTGGATTTTCTGTAAGTGACTCCCTTTGTTTTTTTCATGGAATTTTAAAATATCCTGTGTGTCAGGGTAGATGAGGCCTGAGTCTTAAAAGAGGGAGTAGCATCTTCTTACAGACAGCATATGAGCTTGGAGTGAAAAGCAAAGTGAGAAAATGCAGATGTCACACCCTGGGGAAGCACTTTAGAAACTCCTCCATCCATGGAATCTCCTGATGCTCATATTAGCTCAGTCTTGAAGGAATTTGCATGTTGCTTATTTATAGAGGTCATTCTTTAATAATCTTTGTGGCAATGGCAGAAAGTACCCTTTGGTATCCTCCTCTGGAGCCATCCCACCATAGTCCTCTGAGTGACTGGAGAAGAGAAGCCAAGAGTGATTGTCAGTGTAACTCATGGTTGGCCACAGAACTGGGTTAAACAGGAGGAGTCAGGACGTGAAATCTAGTTAAGCATTCAGAGTCTGGAATACATGAGACCTGGGAGAGAAGGCAGGGTGAAGCCCAGAAAGATATGCTAAGATAAGGAAAAGTAGCCAAGTATTAGGGAAGTCCAGTCCTCAGTTGATTCAACTCTAGATGAAGGGTTTGGATAATGAGCATAGACTCAAATTTAATACTCAGTGACAACTGTGGGAGTGTGAACCCCAATTTTGTGTCTTGTTCAGCTTTAGAAGTGGATTGAGTATAGATAGGCCTAAAAGAAAAAAATGCCAGAAATGGGGCGTAGGAAGTGGAGTATGCTATGAACATGGCAAATGACTTCTTGTCTTATTAAATGGTGCAGGTCTGGAGGCATGCACAGTTTGAGTCCCACCTTTCCCCTTTCACCCTCCTCATGGATGATTTCATTTTCCTCCTGCTTAAAGACAGACTTCTGTGCCAATCTTCAGGACCCATGTGATCTACTGTCTAGATAAACCTATGCAACTCTTACCTTTACTCTGGCTGTTGACTGGTTCCAGCTTTGTGCCCCAATCCTAATGCTGATTGATGGGCTTCTACCTGTTTGTCCTGCCTGAGGCCTTTTATTAATGACCCCCTGCTCTACATATCTTCTGGGGCCAGGATACTAATATGATGTCACTGTAATTCTTCCCAGTAAGTTCAGTCTAAGTTTGTTAGCTTTGGAGGTGATGGTGGCAGTAGTTGCATTTCTGTTACTTAATGTCTCTAAACTCATAGTATTTATGACATTCAAAGAAGATTTTTATATGAAAGAACTAGAAGAACAACTCATTATATAATTTAATTGCTATGTGTTGTTATAAGAGAAAAGTAATAGTTTTTTTTAAAATCCTGTAACAATAGGCTATTAAAAAACCGTTAGTAAACATATTAGGGTCACCAAATAAGTCAATGGCTGAATGGCGATTAGTTCAAACTCTTTAACTTTTCAGTTTTAAGCCATGTCTTTGTGTTTCAGAAAGACACTTTTTCTTAAAAAAAAAAATCTATTGGCTACTCCTAACTTTCTTTATTAACAGTGAAAAAAATTCAATAGGAAGTCACAGAACTTAGTGCTTCTCACTCTGTGCCAATTCTGTCAGACCACACAAAAGCAAAAGCTAGATGATTTGGCAGGGCTATCAGACTTGGAGAGAGGTTTGGCAATGGAATGAGGGGAAGGAAAGCTGACTGTGGTGTCACTGATGCAGGCAGGAGAGAGGAGTGGTTACAGGCAGCATTAGTGAACTGTCTACAGGCAGCATTAGTGAACTGTCTACAGGCAGCACTGCGAACAGCTGAATAGGAAGTTTTACTTAGTGAGGGAAGAGAGAATTTACTAATGTAGTTGATGTTGGGATAAAATGGAAGTTGGCATTTTAGGGCACTATTGAAACCACAGAGGTGGCTTGTGGATGGAGATAGGGCAATACAGGTTAGTATACTATTGTACGCTGTTCTAAATACTCGATACTGCTTTTTTTTTTTTTTCTAAGATAAAGGCTATGTAAAGTAATGCTGTCTGCATATTTTGTCAGGATCAAGTCTCAGCTAGAAAAAAAAACCAAAACAAAATGTTAACAAAAACAGAATTAGTTACAGAGATACCTTCTAGAGTAATGCTTGTTTATATTTATGATCCACTTATTTTGAAGACATTGGATTTCTCAATAAAAAAATTACTATGAAGAACTTTCTTATGTTGGGTGAGCTAGATACTTCAAATGTGTAACATTATTATTATTGTCACTAGAAAACAAATTAGCAAGCTTTAAAAATTTATAACCCTCTACATTCTGTGAAGTAGGAATAATAATATTAGTTAATTTTATTGAACAATATGATGCAGACACTATGATTAGTGCTTTATGTTTATTTTCTCTTCAAAGTTTAAAATAAAATCTGAATAAGGTACTATTTTTATTATGAATTAACAGAGGAGAACATTGAGGCATAGAGAAGCCAAGACAACTTGTTCATAGTCACACATATGGTAGGTACCAGTTCTGGGATTCAGAACCATGTGTGACTCTAGTATCAACTCGTTTAACTAGGTTTCTCACTTGACAATCTAGTCCTCTCAAAAATAAACTGTTTCACTGATGCAAAATAAAAACACAATGATAAACAACTACACACTCACTGAAATGACTAAAATTTTAAAAGAACGACAACACCAAATGTGTTTAGGATATGAAGCAACCGAAACTCTCACACTGCTGGTATAGTATAAAAGGATACAACCTACCTGGAGAACAGTTTGACAGTTTCATGTACAATTAGCCTACACTTATACAACCCTAAAATTCCATTACTAGTTATTTATCAAGAGAAATAAAAGTGCACCTGTACACGGAGTTCATATCAGCTTTATAGTATTCAAAAACTAGAAACAATCTAAATATCCATTAACTGGTAGATAAACCATTTGTGGTAGATTCATGCATTGAAATACTACTCAGTGGAAAAAGGAATAAACTGCTCATATTGAAACAACATGGATAAATTTCAAAAGCAGTATGGTGAGCAGAGGAAGCTAGGCAAAAAAGTGCATATAATGTGTCATTTCATTTATGTGAAGTTCTAGAATAGATAAAACTAGTCTACAGTGATAGAAAACAGATCAGTGGTCGCCTAGTGCCAAGAGAATAGGATTAACTGTGTAGGGACATGCGGGAAATTTTGAATGATATTAACTCTTCTATATTTTCATTGTGGTGGTAGTTACACAGGTTTATATATTTGTCAAAACTTATTGAACAGTACACTTAAAATGGGAGCATTATATTTTATAAAAATTATACCTGAATAAGTTGATTAAAAATTATGCTGTTTCCTGTAGTTAAGTCCTTACTGCTTAGGAATTCTTAGCCTTTATTTCCTTGAACTTCCTGCCTGTTCTATTGTGTATATGTGAGTACAGATATATGTACATTAGGATGTATTGATTTATTTATGATATTGGATGTTCACCTGCTTATAGACTAGATTACTTCACAAAATTGAATTACATGTATTCTTTGTGTTTTCTCATGTTTATTTAGTCTTCTTTTGCTGACAGAATCACAGCTATAACACGATTTACTAATCTGGTTGCATGAAAAACTGTACAACCTGCCAGACTTTGGAAAATACAGTGCATAATGCCAAATATTTATATGTAAGCGAAATGAAAATTTGAATGAACCATTCATATTTATTGGCTCTCTATTAACCAAAAGGCTGTTAAACCAGTACCTGACATAAATAAAGCAATGGAAAAGAACTCCTTGATGGTAACCTTGAAGTTTTAGCTCCTGAAGTATTGTCTAATGATCTCATATAGATTGAATTGTAGTTTTTGTAAGTGTTGGTTACAGTTGAAAGTCAGTATGCTAAAGCAGGAAGACTTCAAATGTTGAATGTAGGTGGACTGGCTTGAATTTATATCCCAGTTTCACCATTTACCTACCGAGTGGCTTTGAGTGACTGCTTCAGCTGTTTGATTGCCAAATTACTTACCTGAAATAGAGGGATAATCTCACAGGCATGAGACAATTTTAAAAAGTACACATAAAGGATGCTTAACATCTACTATCCATGATTGTTATTATTTATTATATTACATAGAGTATAGTGTGAAGAATTCTGATCTTAAATTTAGAATCTTGGGTTCGAGTCTCTGTATTACGCTCACTGGCTTGGCTTTGATTTTCCATTAATCTCTTTGTAAAATGGTTATAGTAGTAACATTAGTTTATTTTGAGGATTAATTGAGACTTTATATGTGGAGTTATATGGAGTAATACCCAGGCAACAGTACATTTTACATTTTAGTTGGTTTTAAACATACATTTTAGTTGATTTGAAATCCAATTTATTGAAACAGTCATATAAGATGATAACTCTGTTAACTAGAATATTAACAAAAGTATTCCATTTTCCAACTGTGACTAAAAATAGGTATTTGAACAAACTTAAGAATAAAGAAACACTGAGATCATAGACTGAATTTTTCTCATTTTATCCAAATCTTTGATATCTTTAAAATAGCAAAATAACTGGCCAGATAATCTGGAACTCATTTTATTATGTGTCAAATGCTTATTTGTGTCCTTTGGTAGTTCAATTTCTATGAAAGACTGGAAGGTGACAAAGAGAAAGCAATGCAACCAAGAATAATGCAGCACTGATCATTTCTTTTGACAGCCCAATTGTTTCATCATAACTTGATTATTAAGCAGATGAATTCAGCAGATGTCAAAATAAACTCTAAGCTCCAGGGATTCCAGCTCTGTAAAAGCATTCAAAATGCAAATTAAAATGACATTTTTCATAATAGGAATAATGTTATGAATTAATCCCTTACTGAGAATTTTTTCTAATTAATATTTATTATCATAGATAATAGATAAACAAATATAAGAAGTAAAAGATAAATTAGCACATAACAAATGAGCAGACCATACGTCTTCTTTGAAAACAAAGAAGCAAACTTTAAGAAAATAAAGCATAATAATAAAGCCATATATTCCAAATATATGAATATAGAAATATTTAGAAATTTTCCTGTAAGAGTATAGGTGGTACATCTTCCAAACATCTGAATAAGGAAACATTATATTACTTAGCTTATTTATTTGTAGCTGACATGACATGGCACAAGATAAAGCAACCTCAACAGAAGGCCTGCATTTCTGTATAGGACTCTATTTTTCTACCTGCAGGTATAATTATTCTGATCTGGGAATCAATATGGTGGTATGACAAGATGTGTTGGCACTGTCATTTTTTTTGTTAAATATCCATGTGCTTGTGAGACATTCCAATTTTTCAGGGCCTTATTTTTCACATTAAATTTAGAAAATACTCTTTTTTTTTCTCTTATTTGGAAAATTGAGTTTGTTTCATATAAAATAACACAAGTAAAACCACTGATATTTCAAATAATGTAGGTTTATTCTATCAGTTGTTGTTTAATATTAAGTTAAATCTCATCCATAGTTGTTTTTTTAACTAAGTTACCAAAGCAAGAGCTTCTTTCTTTATTTCTACAACTGCCATTTCTCATTCTCTCTGCATTGGCAAAATGTTCAATCTGCAGGATTATGCAGGGTATTTCAAGCACTCTAGTTTGGTCATGAATAAGTTATGTATTCAAATAGTCATAAACATTTAATAAGTCATAAAGAGAAATAAGTTCATTAGAGCAAAATAACTAATAAAAGAACACTAGTTAGCTAAGAATTTCCATGTGACGAGCAGACGTAAATACATTATAAGGAGGAAACTTTTTACTTCATAAATCTACATTGTATTTCAAAAGTTTTATAACTACTTTCCACATAATATCCTTTTTGACAATTGAGTAATTCTTTTAAGAATAGCTACTTGCTTAAGATTGCAGGGCTATAATATGTAAGTTTTTATTGAAGCCAAAATATTCTGACTTTGTGTTCACTATTCTTTCTGCTATGTCAGATGAAGTCAGAATAACAGACTCAGGATTGCTTATTTCACCAACGGATGGTTCACTTTTTAAAAACAGAAAATTCATGTTCATCAAGCAATTTTATTTTTGGTTCAAATGTATTACGTAGCTGACAATTTATTGCTTATGCTCATGAACATTCATACTTACCAAAACTACCTGTTCTTATGTTTGTTCCTAAAATGAGAATAGCAAATCTTTGAATGACTGTTAACATTTGAAAAATGGAGATAAATTCATAAACTAAGTTACCACAATGAAATATCTCACCAAAGTGTGAAAGGCTTAACTGCCTGTTTCTTTGTTCATTTCAATGGTCAATTTTTGTAAACAAAAATCACTCAATTATTTTCTAGGCTCAAAAAAAAAAAAGAAATTTTAACAGTATTTAAACAAAAAATGAATTTCCTGTGAATGATCCAAATATACTGCAATAGCTCTTTCTTCTAATTCCACAAGAATGTAGAATATGTACATAACAGACAGCCCTTTTATCTTTGTCCTTCAGTATCCATGTCTTTTTCTTCTGCAGCATTTTGACTTTCCTTTGGGAACCTCCCCTCCTTACTGTTGGTCTTGGTCCTAGGAATGGACACTCTACTTCTGGTCCATCAAACTTTTTTAGGTGCTGTTAGGAAAGAGGAGTTTTTATACTGAGCTTGTTAAAATGGAAGAAACTAAGCCTCAAGCTGCTGGAGCCATCTTGCCACTGCAGGGAGATAGCCTGCTAGTGAATAAAACAACACAGGAAAAAGGAAAGCTAAGAAGTGGAGTGATATTTAATTCTAATATTATTTATTGACAACAATTGTAATCAGTTTTACTTTTGGATTTAAGTAAAGTGAGCCTGTATATCCCCCTTTTCATTTCATTTTATTTCATTTCATTTTTCCGTATAAGCCTGCCTGATTTCATTTTTTGCTACTCGTCACTGAAAAAGTACTGATTAATACATCAGTATTAATGTATGATGGATTATGTATGATGGATGATAAAAATTTTAGTGCTTCAAAATCACTGCAAAGTTAACAACCCTGAACATTTTATGAAGGTATGTTGAATCTGAAGCATCTATCAAAGCCTTAAATATGTTGCTGTGCTATTACAGTGACTCTTCATTTCAATTATAGCCTCTTTGAACCAGATCTGTGAATGCTTATACTGATGTGCAACACACACACACACACACACACACACACGAATATAGGATTATTTCTTTTGAGAACAGCAGATAAAGTAGAGAATGCCTCAATTATATGAATTAAATATCAATCAAGTCAAATGAATGTTATTTACAGTTAAAATTATAGGAGTTTTTAAATAAAAATAGGTTCAGGCCTACAGTTTGTATCAAAGTGTACAAAAGAAACATATTCCCCCAAGGAGCCCGAAACTCTTCTTAGAACATTTTTAAAATTTCTTTTTAAAACACCTAGACTCAGAGATTTGCTCCTGTAAAAGTGGCAGCCTTTATATTTGATGCCTAAGTCTCTCCTCCTTTCTTTTCTTCCATTCTCCCTCCGTAAACATTATTTAGCAATCTACTCTGTGCTAGACACTATGCTAAGTACAAATAATACAGGAGCGGGCAAGTCTAGATTGAATCCCCTTCTTAAAGGTACTTTAAATTTTATCATAAAGTTATTATAGAAAAGGTAGGAAGGTATTCCAGGGTCTACTAAAATTATGGATATTTTCTTTCTCCAGGCAGGACCATATTGTAATTATTTTCTTCTAGAAATGAGGTAGAAAATGCAAAACATCATTTGCATTATTTTCAGGTTAAGAAATGAATCCTTAGGAAACCTCCATTTTTTTAAAATAAGATGGGAGTGTCATTCATGTTTTATCCCATATCAAATGCAGTACTAAGTAACACCTCTAACACTGGCACTGGTCCTGCTATCTGCCTGAGAAATTTGTCTTCAAACATCTGAAAAGTCCTGGATCCTGAGCAGTGGCTTGACTCACTTGGAAACAGGGATTGATGAGAAGGGGTTGTCCAGGGTTCTCTGAAATCATGAACAGGTAGGCATACCAAGAGAGGGGTGGTGTTTTGACCTTAAAAAAAATGTTATTGTGTGTCTTTAAAGTTTACAACATGATGTTATGGGATATGTACAAATAGTAAAATGGCTACTGTAGTGAAGCAAATTAATATATCTGTCATCTCACATGCTTTTTTTGTGATAAGAGCAGCTAAAATCTTCTTATTTAACAAAAATTCCAAATGCAATGCAATTTTATTACTTGTAGTCCTCATATTGTACATGAGATCTCTAGGTTTGTTCATCCTACGTATGTGCTACTTTGGAGGCTTTGACTTACATCTCCCCATTTCCCCACTCTCAATCCCTGCTAAGCACTGTTTTATTCTCTATCTCTGTATATTTGACCCTTTAATTTCTCAAAAAGTGACCTCATGCAGTATTTTTCTTTCTGTGTCTAGCTTATTTCACTTAGCATAATGTGCTCCAGGTTCACCTACGTTATGGCAAATGGCAGAATCTCCTTCTTTTTTAAAGCTAAATAATATATATGTATATGTTATTATACTATTCTATAACATTACATCGTACATATAATATATGATTTTCTTTATTCATCCATTGACGGACTCTTAGCTTGTTTCCATATGCTGGCCATTGTGAATAATGTTGCAGTGAACATGGGATTATAGCTATTTTTAAGAGGTGGTGGTTGCATTTCCTTTGGGCATATACCCAGAAGAGGGATTACTGAGTCATATGGTAGCTTTATTTTTAATTTCTTTAAGAAACTCCATACTGTTTTCCATAATGGCTGTATCTATCTACCTTCCCACCAACAGTATGCTAGGATTCCCTTTTCTTCACACTCTCACCAACATTCATTAACTCTCATATTCTTTGATAATAGCCATTTTAAAGATGGGAGGTGGTATCTACTGGTGGTTTTAATTTGCATTTCCTTGATAATTAGTGATGCTGAACACCTTTTTATATATCTATTGGCCATTGCTATGTTGTCTTTGGAGAAATGTCTATTTAGGTCCTTTGCCCATATTTTAATTGGGTTGTTTTTCTGCTATTTAATTATAAGAGGATTTTATGCTTTTCAGATATTAACCCCTTATCATATGTGGTTTGCAAATATTTTTTTCCTGGCTAATAGGTTGCCTTTTCATTTTGTTGATTGTTTTCTTTGCTGTGCAGAAGCTTGTTAGTTAATATAGTCCCATTTATTTATTTTGGCATTTGTACTCTGAGCTTTTGGTGTGATGGCCAGAAAAAAAATCATTGCCAAGGCCAACATTAAGGAGATTTTCCTCCATGTTCTCTTGTAGGAGTTTTATAATTTCAGATCTTACATTTAGGTCTTTTATCCATTTTGAGTTGAATTTTGTGTGTAGTTAAGGGTCCAATTTTATTCTTTTGCATGTGGAAATCCATTTTTTTTCATCACTATTTATTGAAGTTACTATTCTTTCCCCATATGACCTCTTTTATTGCTTTTCTTAGGGAAGAAATTTTGGTCTTAGTGGCAATAAATCACTACCTACTTTTAACGAATTTAGAATACCGATAGGCAATTTTCTCCCTATTATTTTATGGTAACTTAAAAGGTGAACAAACAAGCATGACCATGCAAAGCAAAAAGAAACTCATTTTCTTAAGGGTTTTATAGTTGTACTATATTTTTTATCCTCATTAGATATTTATGCTATTTCTAGGAAGGGTCATAGTTCTTGACATACATTGTTTAAGTAGAATAGATAGAGGACATGGTGGTCAATCTCATTAGTTTCCTTTGATTTAAAAAAGTCAACTTTATGTGATGGTAATAGAGTTAGATCCTTTGTAAGGGATATTCTCAAGGACTGCCCTTGAAAATGACAACCTCATAGGCACTGATTCCATGTTCAGTAATGGTGATTCCGTCTTTTATTAGTCAGGGTTCTCCAGAGGAACAGAACCAATAGGATGCACGCATATATAAAAGGGAGTTTATTAGGGACAATTGATAATTGGTTCACACGATTATAAAGCAAAGTGTCTAGAAGCTGGGGAAAGAGAGAAGCCAACAGTGGCTCAGTCCAAGTCTGAAAGCCTCAAAATCAGGGAAGCTGACAGTGCACCCTTCAATCTGTGGCTGAAGGCCTGACAGCCCCCAGGAATCCCCTGGTGCAAGTCCCAGAGTCCAGAGGCTGAAGAACCTGGAGACTGATGTCCAACTGAAGGAGAAGAGGGAACAAGTGTCTGGCACAGGAAGAAAGAGAGAGCCAGAAGACTCAGTAAACAAGCTTAACCTTGCTTCTTTCGCCTGCTTTTTCTAGCTGCACTGGCAGCTTATTGAAAGTGCCCACCCACATTGAGGGTAGGTCTTCCTCTCCCAGTCCACTGACTCAAATGTCAATCTCCTCTGGCAACACCCTCACAGACACACCCCGAAACAATACTTCACTAGCCATGTAGGCATCCCCCGATCCAGCCAAGTTAACATCTAATATTAATCATCACACATCCCTTGACTAAATCTATACTAACTCTTATCTAATACTGGATTAAAGAGTATTTGCTGATTGCTCTGTTTACTTAAGGACTTCTTAAAATATTAAATATGCTAATATAAAATAACTGATGTTCAAGAGGGATTAAATGTTGCATTTCCTAAAATTATTTGATCACTGGGTTTTTCTTCCCATGAAATTTCTTAATAGCAGTGTTGTGCTGAACAATTATTGTGAAGTTAGTTGCTCTCTAGAAATGAGCATCTTCTGTGTTAAAATAAGTCAACTGTCTATTTCAACCAATAGTCTGAAGAGAATTGCTATATTTAATGTAAAAAGTAATAGAATCTATATAAAAGCAATGACTATAGCTTTAAAGTAACTATTTGTTAAAAGGATGGATAAGTGAACAAAGAGTAGTAAGGCAATATCTGCATCTTTGACTATTCCCCCAACCTGTTTCTGGCTAGAATGAACTTTGAGAATTGTCCAGCTGATATTCCATTGTGAACACTGATACAGCCGTACAAACAATGAGCAGGTTCTCAGAAGTTCTAGCCTCTCTCTCAATTTCTGGCTGTTGCATATCTTGCTTCCTGCCTCTAAAACATTATTTGCCTCACTTTTCACTTACCTAGCTCCTGTATCAGTTCAGATATCTGCTCACACATCACTTCATTAAGGAAGCCTTTTCTGACAGTTTAAATTAGGGTAGATGTTAATTCTACAAGCCTCCAAAATACTCTCTGCTTACATTTACTTCAGCCTTTAAGGTTCTATGTTAAAACTGCCTATCCTTTGTTTGATTCTCCTACTAAGATATAAACTCCTTTGGGCAATGACGTTATCTTGTTCTGTGTGTGTGTGTGTGTGTGTGTGTGTGTGTGTCAGAGTTTCACTGTTCTTACCTAGGCTGGAGTGCAGTGGTGCGATCTTGGCTCACTGCAACCTCTACCTCCTGAGTACAAGCGATTCTCCTGCCTCAGCCTCCCAAGTAGCTAGGATTACAGGTGCCTGCCACCACGCCCAGCTAATTTTTTTTGTATTTTTAGTAGAGACCAGGTTTCACCATGTTGGCCAGGCTGGTCTCGAACTCCTGACCTCAGGTGATCCACCCACCTTGGCCTCCCAAAGTGCTGGGATTACAGGAGTGAGCCACCGTACCTGGCCTATCTTGTTCACTCTTGTATACCCAGTACTCAACACTGTGCCTGGCATACAGAAGCTGCTTCATAAGGTTTTGGTTGATTGTCCAAATTGTCCATTATTTACATAGCTAATCCATGGCAGATCTGGATTGAAATCCAGATCTCTTTGCATATGGGGCATTTGTTTTCTACTGCCTTGAGAAACAACCCCCTCCACACACACACTCATCTAAACACACAGTTATTAAAATCTACTCTTGAAAGTATTACATGGTTCAGATTGACAATCTGTTAGGGAAAGACCCACAACTAATGTAAATGATTCTAAATCCTTCCACTGAAGTGTGACAGAAGTTGGCACCACATGTGTTGTTTCTGCTGCAGTGAACTTTGGTCCAGGAATGGGCCCTGATGCATTTCTCATGTGGTGGAACAATAATAATACCTACAGTCCAGCCATGTGGAATGGATACGTCATGGGGGAACTGCACAAATATGTCCTCCTCCCATCTAGCAATATTATAAACAGAACAATTTCCTCCTCCCATCTAGCAATATTATGCACAAATATGTCCTACTCCAGAAAATATATCTAAAACATCGCGACTTGTTCACTTATGTCAGCAGTAAGGAACCATTTTGCAAGTGTTTCTAATAATGAAAAGAATTAACATTTTAAATCTTTTCACTCAAGTATGTTTGAACTCAATTTTCATTATGTGTTGTAGTTTATATTGTATTTGTGCTACAGAACAACGGGTCTTTCATTCTCAGCTGTAATGATGAATTATGCAAAAGTTTCTAAGTGCTTTTCTTTTCCTTAATCATTTTGGTGTTCAACTTTCAGATCATGGTAGTATTACACACCACTGCATCTGAGAGGAAGAAAGAAGAGAGTTTGACAATAGCTCCTACAGCTGTATAGAATACACTCTATACCCTCCTCAGTGAGAAAGTTTATTTGTAATTCAGATAGCACAGGCTGAACACACGATCCATTCATTGTAATTGTTCACCCCTTTTAGTGGATTTGACGTCTGAAGATCTTAATTGCCAAGTTTCTACCTTAATCAGAGGTTGTCGATCACATGGTGTTTTAAAAATCAATTGAGTTAACATTTTAAAACTAGGAGATTTAGCCTCAAATTCCATATTTCTGTCTTCTCTTGAAAAATCCATGTATCTGGAACCAGATGCTCGTGCAGCATAAAATCCCTTAGTGGGGTTGGCTGCTGCCTGTCCCTTTCATTTATAAGCATCTCTAGTCCCCACACCCACAGGTTTCTAGCTTTTATGTTACCTCTTTGGCTCTCTTGGCATTGAGTTCTTAACATCTAGATTAAATATTTCTGTTTATATAAGTAATAATAACTTTGTCAATCAATTAAATATGTCTAAACAAAATCTACTTTCAAGATCAATAGTTATTGAGTTCTTTCATCTTTAAGTGCTGGGAGACATTTTGTACAGATAGGATGATATTAAAATCAGAAAAAGTGAGCTTTTGGCCAATATTATTTTGTGTATGACTCAGTTTAGAGCAGTAAGAGTTTACTGAACATCTATGAAGCCCTGGGGATACAGCCATCTGCTTTTGAGAAACTTATACTTCTTTTTCTGCCTATAATCAATCAACTCTCTACAAACCAGTAACAGGACTGTGGATTTGGGGTAAGGGAGGCTACAATCTGTTAAATAAAACAGAATTGGAAAAATTGAACTTCTTTTTAGCCATCTATTTAGACTTGTGTTAGTTCACAATAACGATTTATAGACTTTTTATCAAACGATACATAACGATCATAGACTTTTTATCAAAATTAAAGGAAACATAAATCCTTAGTTATATTCTTTAATTTGGGGGAAATAAAAGGTGTTTTGTGAGTAAATACTTTTCTTCTTAGATTGAAAAGTAAGATTCATTTGTTCTCTCATTGAGCATAATCACAGAAAGTAGGTCATTGCTTTCCTCACCAAATTAACTAAATATGTTAGCCCTTGAACTTTAAATAAGAGTCACATTTTAATGCTAGAATGGCTATGGTGTTTTTCGTCTGTTCCCTAGCTGTTTACATGTTCTTTGACCAGCTTTATTGCTTTCAAAATGCTTCACAGTGTTTCATCTCTCCTACTGTCAAGGCTGAAGAACACAGAAATTTGACAATTCCTGACACCAACTCCCCTGGCTTAGGCCATCTGCGCTTTTACTTTAGAATTTTTCATTACTTTGATCTGATTTTCTACAATTTTGCCACCATGTAAAATGGATCCTGAATGGGTAGGCAAAGTTGTAAGTCAATTATCAGACTTGAAGTCTATCTATTCATTTATTTTTCCTCCAAACCTGCTTATTTTTTTTAAATACCAATACCTGAAAATTGTATTTTATTGAACTGCATATTAATGCATTCTCTCCTGTTTCTCAGTGTTTGTTATGAAACCACAAAAGCTTTTGCACAGTTTTCAAATAAAGCACAATAATCCAATAAACCAATCACATTTTCTAAAATCAAGTTCAAAACAATACCGGGAAGTATAGTTTTTTCCATAAATTTAGAGAAGAGATCAAAAGTAAACAAGTACCATTCAAAGATAAACTTAATATAACAATAATAGATGACACTATTACCAAGGAACTTGTACAATCAACTGCAATGTTAATATCAAGTATCAGCCTCAAAGAGAAACCAGGAAGTTATTGGCAAAATATTTTATTAAATACAGGTCAGTGTTGTACAATGGTATGTGGTGTGGAAGACCAATTACTGACATCTGCATGTTTTAGCATCATTCTTAATCTCCTTTAAAATTCTCGTGGTCCTTATAACCAATACCTTCTTCTCATAAAATGGTACTAGTCTCATAGGTTAGTGGAAATTTTATACTTACTAGTGTCTCTCTATAGCTATGTTGTCTCTTTTTTAGCTTTGAACAAGCTGTAAACTAACTAAACTAATTAATATTTTTTTCCTGAGATTGTCTCCAAATAGATACCTTCTCTCTATTCAGTGAATTTCCAAATGTTTCTGCTTTCATCATTCCACCAATGGATCTGCTTTGGCTGAGGTATCTAAGAAGTTGCACATTGCCAAATTCAACAGAGCCTCCCCAGTTTTATTTTGCTTGAGCTTTCTTCAGGGTTTGACCCTCTCCTTGAAACCTGTTACCCTGTGAGACACTATAATCTCCTAGTTTCTCTTCTTTCCTATACTTCTTAGTTTCTTTCATAGACTTCTCTTCTTTTGCCTATCCCTCAATTAATAAAACACATTTTATTTTAGGCCTTTCATGTGCTTATCCCTTCCTTGAGTGATCTACTGCATACTTAACCTGAACATATACAACTATGTCACTAGCTTTCAAAGCTATATCTTCTGTCTGGATCTTTGTTTTTTGTCCCACATTCTTATGCCCAACTCTTGAATACACATTTGCATTTAGATGGACTTAAGTACTTCAAATGCAGCTCAGAATTTGCACCCAAGGCTGATCTTCCTCTTTTTTCTTTTCCATGGTGAAGAATACCTTGATATATGCAAAACGCCAAGTTACAACCTGGAACTAACTCTGATCTTCTTCTTCTTCTTGAGTCCAATCACTTACTCCAGAAAGATGGGAAATAGTTTTAAAGACCACTAACTTTCTGTTCCCATGGCCAGTTTTCTATCCCACTTGAAATAGTCCCGCCAGATGTTTCACCTGGGCAATCTAGTTCAACTTGGGCTCCTCCCACCTTCCCTAAAGGGCAAGACAATAACTTCTTAAAATGTCAATCTGTTCTTACTACTCTCACTTAAAATCTTTCATGGGCTCAATGCCTAAAACAGAAGTTTTAAAAAAAAAAATTTTAATAAAGAAAACATTGAGTGGAAACCTAAATTGATAAAAGCTAAGCAGTTTTTATTTCTCAGCAGGTCCTGATGTGTCTTTACTCTTTGTATTTTGAAAACCCCGGGCCTGCAATGTGAAATCCAAATTCTTCATGCAGCCAACAAGGCCCTCCCTACCTTACATGTCCCTGCCCTCACTTCCCTGTTATCCTGCTCTCCACCACATTGATCTCTCTGCCTTTCCCTAAACTGACTACTTTTGTTCTGGGCTATGTTGCTGTTCCACATCGCTCCTGGCTGCCTGAATGTTCTTCCTCACCTAGTTCGACCGATCACATCTGGCTCATCTTTGAGATGCAACGAAATTGTCCCCTAAGAGGTATATCTCAAGGCTCCTCTTCTTCCCTACACATTGTCCCCACAACAGCATTGATTGATCCTGCTTCTGAGCTTTGTAGTGTTTTTATATGCGTCTATATGTTTTGTGTATTTCTCTATTTTATATATACCTCTATTTTAGGTTGTTTATGGGTTAATCTCTCCCAGTAGACTGTGAACTCTATGAAGGCAATTGCTGTATTCCGATACCTTCATCTGGTACCTTTTACAATGATTTTAGGGAATTTGCCCTTTTCTGAATATGTTACTTTTACCATTTACTCCTTTTCTTAAGATGCAAATACACTTTTAACCCATTCTGAACAGTTCTGCAGTGCCTCTTATGGTTACTTTAGTTATAATATTAATAAATGGCAGCCAAGTGATTTATCTTCATAGATTTGTATTTAAAAATCTTGGAATATTTTTAGGTCATCCATTCATTTATTAAGTTATTCAATGAGCATTAATTGAGAACCTATAGTGCACTAGGCTGAAAAGTGGAGAGAAGTGGGGATATCTATTTCCTTGTGTTAAGGCTTGCCATCCCAGTCCATGGTGATAGCTTTCAACCTTAACAGCTTATGGATCCTTTGAAGAGAAACTACATTTTGCTTTTAATACACTAGTCCCTAGAATAGATGGCTAAGTTCAAGAAAGGAAGAATAGGCTGGGCGTCGTGGCTCACACCTGGAATCCCAGCACTTTGGGAGGCGGAGGCGGGTGGATCACCTGAGGTCAGGAATTCAAGACAAGCCTGGCCAACATGGTGAAACCCCGTCTCTAATAAAAATACAAAAATTAGCCGGGTGTGGTGGCGGGTGCCTGCAATCCCAGATACTCGGGAGGCTGAGGCAGGAAAATCACTTGAACCCAGGAGGCAGAGGTTGCAGTGAGCCGAGATTGCGCCATTGCACTCTAGTCTGGGCAACAGGGTGAGACTCCGTCTCAAAAAAAATAAAAGAGGAAGAATAAAGCCATAAAGCCTTCACTATTTTGCTGTTATTTTTGAATGCGTTATCATATTGAAGTCAGTGTCAGCCCAGAAGAGATGCTGATAAGATGCAAAATTATAACCAGAATTCATTTGCTGTCTAAAAATTCCATGACATCTTCCTTTTATTAAGGTAACTATGAGGAGATTTTGGACCTTAGTATTTCATATATATTCCTTATATATATGAATAAAATAATTTTTATCAGTTTTGGTGGGGTAGTTTATGTGTCTGTCAGTTATTAGACTGGGAATTAGAAAGTAATTATTTTTATTATTTCCATTAAAAAACCCTGAGTTGATGATTTCAAAACAAAACAAAACAAAAACCAAAAGCCCCTGTGACAAAGATTGTTCATGCCTGCCAAACCCAAACTCACATATTCAATGCTTATGCAAGAAGCATGGAAAACACTTAGCTTTTCTCAGACTGCTTTGTATTTTTAGAAAAAGGAACGGGGAAGCTAATATTTATTGAACGTTGGTTATGTGCTAGTATGGTGCCAGATGCTCTCCTTTAATCCTCACAAGAAACCTTGAGGCAAGAGGCATTACCTCCATTTTTGCCAGTGAGAAGAATTAATCTCAGGATAAAGTAATTTGTCCCAGATTTCTAACTAGAAATGGACAGATTCTGATTTAGAACTCAGGGCTCCACTGTCCATCCATAATCTTTCTACTATGCAATACTGCCTCTGATGCAAGTGCTCAAGGTCACTAGGGGATAATATTATCTAAGAAAATAGGCTAAAATATCCCAGCTTTTCAATGACACCACTTTAAGCCTGACCTTCTTGTTATTTATCCCAGTGGCACGCTCTTATCTATTTACTACTATGATTCACTTTTCACTGTGTATAGTTCATTTCTAGTTCTCTCCTAAGCTTTTGAAGCCTCTTAGAATTGAGCTTCATGATGTAATATATACAATATATAGGTCTATTAACTGGAAATCACACTTTAAAAAATTATTTTTTCCAGCAGTAAAACAAATGTGGTTTTCTTATTGTATCAGAGAAAGTACAGAGTGAAGAGTTCCTTCTTTTGCCTTATTTGCCCTCAATGAAAAGTTATCCTTTAATTTTATGCTCTTTTTATTTATTCTTTGTTTTGCGGTTATGAAGACTTTTTGAAATATCACATCCTTTTCTGCTGAAACATTATGCTAGAGCCCAATATTTGTGTATCATAGAAAGAGATTTGCCATCCAAATATGAGAATGCTATAAGAAAGGTCAGTGCTACAGCAGAATATATTCGGGCCAGAAACTAATGTGCATTTTGATAGTTTTTATTTGAATCAGGAATTTTATATTATGATTTTATTTCAAAGCATTAAAATACATGGCAATGATTTAGCAGTGGAATCATGTGTAGAAATTTTAAAAGATGCATCTCTTACCTGATTTCCATTATTTCTCTCAAGATCATATTAAATAATGTTGGGTTTCCAAATATTCAGGAAGCACCTAAATATAATTCATTAGCACTTAATCACAAACTTACTATAATGCCACAAATCTGTCATGAGAGTAAGATGATTACAATCTTTTCTTAGGCAAACAAAAAATATGAAAATTTCAGCTTGTACCTTTCATTGAGTTTTTGGGTGAAGGAAGACCATTATTAAAACAAATTGCAATCTGAACTGATGGAATAATGAACAGGAGGAATCAGGTTTATATTTGCAGCATATGTCTAATTTTATGTTCCCACAAGCTTTAATTAAAAAGCTTAAATTTGGCCAGGCATGGTGGCTCACGCCTGTAATCCCAGCACTTTGGGAGGCCGAGACGGGCGGATCACGAGGTCAAGAGATCGAGACCATCCTGGTTAATACGGTGAAACCCCGTCTCTATTAAAAATATAAAAAAATTAGCCGGGCATTGTGAGCACCTGTAGTCCCAGCTACTTGGGAGGCTGAGGCAGGAGAATGGCTTGAACCCAGGAGGCGGAGCTTGCAGTGAGCCGAGATTGCGCCACCGCACTCCAGACTGGGCGACAGAGCAAGACTCCGTCTCAAAAAAAAAAAAAATCCTAAATTCACAACCCTTTAAATTACAAATTAATAACTGAGATTTTGAAATACCTGTACTATAAACAGCTTTATTATGCTCTACAGTTTCGATTAGATTCTGCTTTGAGTTCTTATCAGTTTTATTTTGTAGAACAGAGAATCATCAGAAGAGGAAACTCATTTTTTTGTAGGTAGTAATAGAATAAGAAAGTTATCCTAGTGCTTATCCTGTCCTCTTCCCTGCTCAGCACCAATAATTTGTTGGGTGTAAAGATTTGTTTAAAGATACTGACCATCTCCCCCTACTACTAATCTCCTTCCCATCCCCTCATTGTCCCATCCCCAAAACAAACAACCTGCATCTGATAATGGGCAGCAAGCAGGTATTATTCTTTAGTAAACTAAGTCAAGACCAGCAAAGCATAGGCTTGCCTTATACTTATATGTATAATATATAAATATAAATATGTATATATTTATGTACATATATGTATAAATATATTATTACACATAATATATTATATATATTAAATATGTATATAAATATAAGTATGTATATATTTGTACATATATCACATGATATATCATCCATGTCATTTGATATATATAAAAGTCATATTGTCTTTGCCTAAACTTCATGTTTGATGGCAGAACCAAATCTGGAACTCAGATTTCCAGGCTAATATTTATACCACACTACACTGTTGCTTATGCTGAATTCAGCTAGTGATTTTTCTAGTTTGCATTGTGCATATAAATATATATGTGTTGCCTCAGTATTTCCATAGGTTTTAAGGGAAATTCATTCATTCCACAAATATGTATTAAGAACTGACTATGGGCTGGAGATATAGCTAAAAGCAAGATGGACAAATTCCTTGCTTCACAAGGCTTAAATTCTAGTAAGGGATACAGGCAATCAATAAGTTGACAAATCTATAATATAGTAATAGGTATTCAAAGCAGGGCAGGGAGATAGAATATTTTGGAAATTACTTCATGAATGCATTGTCCTGCTGTATAACTTTTTCAAATGAAGATGGGTTTGAGACATTTTGAGAGAGTCTTTGTCCATTTAGTGTTGCTATAACAGAATACCAGAGGCTGAGTAATTTATAAAGGAAAGAGGTCTATTTAGCTCATGGTTCTGAAGGCTGAAAAGTACAAGAAGCAAGGCACTGACACCTGCTTGGCATCTGGCAAGGGCTTTTCATGGTGAGTCAAACATGGCAGAAAACGTCAAAGAGGAAGTGGACATATGTGAAGAGGCAAAACCTGAGTGGTGTCCGGGCTGTTTAACAATCAACTCATGCAGAAATATTCCTGCAAGAAATAATCCAGTATTCAGATATTGAGTCTCCCAACACCAGCTTGGTGTTGTTTCTCAAGTCATTTACTGCTGAGGAACAACACCAAGCCCTTCATGAGGGACCCACCTCCATGATCCAAACACCTCCCACTAGGCCCCACTTCCCAACACCAACCACACTGGGGATCACATTTCAACATGAGTTTTGGTGGGAACAAATTCAAACCACAGCAGGAAAGTATGAACAAAAAGTATGCTTTTATCTGCAGTACTTTGGACTTCATTCAGTATATTTGCACTCATGCGTGCACAGACACGTACACACACAATGTGTTGGTAAGATTGGTATGATAATGGCTTTCTCGATGCATTGTTAAAATGCCATTTTAAATAGAGATTCATTGCTTTTCATTATGAGTGTTGTCATTTTCACTCTAATGTATTTCAATGACATTGTCATCTAACATTGTTAACATATTTAAGTGTTGATGAAAAATTCTTTGAAAAGCCAGTAGATAAAGAAAAAAAAAATACAATAGAAAGACAGCAAAGGAGAAAACACACTGGATTCTCAGTACAACTGTAAAGGTTTTTCCACTCCTGGGGAATTCTAGTGTGTTGTAGAGAAGAAGGAAGAATCTTATGCTTCCTCTCACCCTCTTCTCTCAGGAAACAATAATAATGGCATTTAGAGCTCCTGAATGGCCTTGAGGCAAAAAGAAAGTGTTTTCTTTTTCCTCCCCTACTTGTTTGAAATATCTGAGGGTTTCTCTCTACAATTAAAAAAACAAATATAAAGTCAACAGTGCTAATAGCTGTAATAACCAGTAATATCAGGCTCTTACTATGTTCCAGGCAGTAGGCTAAGTACTTTACATAAAATTATTGCATTTAATGAAGACAAAAACCCTATGACTCAAACGTTATTATGTTTATGTTATGGGTAGGAGTCCTGAAGAGGTGAAATACCTTGCTCAAGGTCACGTATGTAATCAAGAGAGTCAGGCACGGACCCTAGCAATTAGATTTAGGGTCTCGACTCTTAAACACAAGCCATCTGTATGAGACAAACTGTGGATTGGGTTCGAAGTGAAATGTGGAAAAAAATGAGCTGCAAGGTATGAAGGATGAAATGTCGGAGGCTGGTCATTGGCCATGATCCGAAGGAAAGTAGTTCAGTGTGGTAAAAAGACCATGGCTTTTCCAAATATCTGTCTCCTCTTCTTGAGGGTGATCCCCATGAGCATAACAGAGAAGCTGTTGAACATAAGCACAGGTTGATACAAAAAGAAACTTTGGAGAAAATTAGATAATTTTTTCACTGCAGGAGTTTCTTAGATAAGAATTAGTAAAGCATTTGTAGGGCATGTTTTGGAAAGACCAGGGAAAAGCCTTACAAGTATCAACCAAATCGAAAGGGTACTTGTGGTTGGTGGATACGTGGGCTTAATTAGCCATGGCTTTCTGGTCCTGCTGCTTCTTCTGTCTCCTGTGGCTGCTAACGCTGGGTGAAATTACTCACATTTGCAGACACTTCTGTGATCACATATTCACTCACTCAACCAATATGGCAAGTGCTGATTTAGTGGGCCAGAACAGAAATTAAAGAGCTAATGTCTGCTTTAGTAGCGCTTCTGTAGTATTTCTTTTTTCCTTCCTGTAATCATTTAACACATTTTATGATAGTAAATTGCATGCTATATCTGGCTCTGGCTTTCAACCAAAACC